>NC_000001.11:93303835-94553835 GCF_000001405.40 Homo sapiens
ATTTTTTTATTTTTTGTACAGACAGGGTCTCACTGTGTTTCCCAGGCTGGTCTCAAAGTCCTCCACCTCGTCCTCCCAAAGTGCTGGGACTACAGGCATGAGCCAGCACACCTGGCCTGTCAAACAACTTTCTATCAGCCCACTCCTGATAATTTTTAATTATCTTTTTTTCCTTTGAAAGCTTGCTTGTAACTGAGGCTGACGGAGCTCATATCCAAGGTAACTGGGTCTGAGTCTTTAGAACAACTGTCCTTATCTTGGCTCAAGTAAACTTTTTTTTTTTGTCCTGAGATGGGGTCTTGCTATGTTGCCCAGGCTGGCCTTGAACTTCTGGGTTCAAGCAATCCTCTGCCTCAGCCTCCTGAGTAGCTGTGCCCAGCTTAAGTAAACTCTTTAAATCATATTTTGTGCCTTAGCATCTACCTTTAGGTCGACAATGGTAAAGAATAAAAGCGAAGATTTTTAACACTGGATTAAGTAGGAAATTCACAAAACATAATATCAAGCTCTGCAAAGAGCTATCTTAGCATAAATAAAAGGATGGTCTTTACGTATAAACTGTAAGAAAAGGACTCCTAGTTGAATAATATTTTTCCAAGTACATTCATTAATATGTAAATATCAATTAATAGCATCATATAGATTCATTTGCAGAGTTAAATTCCCATGTGGAAATTCTGTAGAGTTGAATGAAGACAATGACAAATGGGTAGAAAAAACTTCCCTTGAATGGACTTCTTGCTATTCTCTCGCTGCCATTTCATTTTGTCAACGATGTAGCTCATTTTCAATAATTAAAGTATGTTACACCCAAATAATCTATCTTCCCCTATTTCTACACTTCTAACTTAGCTTTGCTGCCAAAGCACACTGAAAAAAAGCCGTATGTCAGGACATATAACTTGAGTATTGGGATTTTTGTTCTAAAGGTCTTTTCCTCAAAATGCAATTAGGATCCACATGCAGGAAATCTAAACAGCCACTAGAGGGTGCCAGTCACATAATGACTGAGTAATACCTCCTTCCCCTTTGAGCTATTTCTAAATCTGAAAAGCCAACTGTTCTTGGTAAAGCCTTAGTAAATATGTTTATATTATTTCTCACTTGTGATTTGTAGTGATGTATAAACATGAGACCAGAGATAGCTATGGCCACAATTATTTCACCCTGACGTAAAAATGACTTCTGTGGTCTTCATTACAGGACAAAATGACCAGTCTTTCCTGCCCCTCTGTCATTTTTTTTCTCAGTTGCATAGTTTATCCCATTCTTTTATTGCTCAACTGAATGTCTGTAGGTATACTGACTGACTTTAAAGTGGTCAGATTTATCTTTCCTCCCTTTCTCTGTTTCTGTTTTTCAACCTTTGTTCTTTTTCCCTTATATATTCCCCAGCATTTTTTCTTCTTTATATTCCTTTCTTCAAACATTTTATTCCCAAAAGCAATGTTACAAGAAATAAGAAGGCCATGCTATACAGAACTCTAGGAGTAAGAAAAGCCTAACTTAGGAATTAGATGGAGATAGAATCTGCCTACTTAGTATAACACACCTTTGGGGCTGGTCTTCCACAGCAGGCCCTGAATGAACGTAGACTTCATCAGCAGGACAGAAATGAAATCTCTCAGAGCCCTCCTAGAGGAGGAAAGGGATAAACATGGGTGATTCTAAGGTATCTGGGAATGTAGTTCACTATAATGCACAGTGTTAGGCAAAAGGACAAAAATCTATTACTACTATAGAGAAAAGGTCAAAAGAGCCTATAAACTCAAACAAATATAAAAATTGCCATGCTAGTGAGACCCAAAATCATTTAGGTTTTTATTCTTGAAACAATGTTACAAAGAAAGTTTTGTGGAAATGTTTGGTTGCATATTGTGACTCCCTTAAAATGTCCCTAAAGCATCTGTTTGTCTTTATAATCAATCCACTTTGGCTTTTCATCCCTGAAGTATTTAAATTCTTTTGGAGACTTTTCTATTTCAGCCTGTAAATCCTTTGGAGATTAGAAGCTCCATGTGATTATAGTCATTTATTTATTCAAAAAAGCATTACTGGCCCATGTGGTGGCTCACACCTGTAATCCTAATACATTGGGAGATACACGAGGATTGCTTGAGCCCAGGAGTTTGATACCAGCCTGGGCAACATAGTGAGACCCCGTCTCTACAAAAAATAAAATTAGCTGGGTATGGTAGCACATGCCTATAGTCCCAGCTACTTGAGAGGCTGGGGTGGATCACTTAAGCCCAGGAGGTTGAAGCTGCAGTAAACTGTGATCACACCACTGTACTCCTGCCTGGGTGACAGAGCAAGACCCTGTTTCAAAAACAAACAAAAAACCGAAAAAGCATTATTGTGCACTTAATTTTGTGCCAGGCACTATTTAATGCATGTCCTGAGAATATTAAGATGAAAAGACAGCATCTCCTTACTCTTGAAAAAATCAGCCTAATGAGAAAGGTGCTCTTGTAAATAAAGTGTAAAGAGGTCATCTTGTCTTAAATTACCTTTTGCAAGTATGCCTCCTTCCTCGAGTATTCTGGAATTTATTGAGTAAATTCAAGTAGATGCTAAAACATTTATAAACCAAGATATTCTACAAATATGTTATTCTTGTATTAAGATGTAAGTTTTAAGTGTGTATCATTGTTCTTTCTTTTCTGATTCTGACTTTCAGTCATTCTTCAAAACTGTTTTTCAGTGCCTCCTATGTGCCAGGCACTGTGGTAGGATGCTGGGATACAAATATGAATATGACATTATCTCTGACTCTCCAAGTTATTTATTTCACATCTCCTCTCTCCTCAAACCTCCAACACTTCATCTTTCCTCACTCTCAACTGGTGATCTCAATTTACACTTCACTGAAAGAACAGAAGCCTCAGGCAGTAATTATATCTTCCCACCATCGAATCTACCAACCTACCTGAATCTGAATACATGTTCTCCCTCCTTTCACAATGAGGTTGTCCTTTCCAGGGCTCTGGATCCCATGCCCTCCTGCCTATTTGAGGATTTCACTCCTGCCATTATGTGTCCTCTTTTCTGCATCATGCCTTAGTATTGTCTTGCTTGACTAAACTCTCTCTAGACTCTCCATCCTTGCTGGCTTCTGCCCTCTATCTCAGCATGCCTTCACAGTAAAGCTTATCAAGAGTTGCCTATACTTGCTCTCTCTACTTTCTAACTTCTCTTTCTCTGTTCAACCCACTCCAATTATATGTTCATTGCATCTGCTGAAATAATATTTACCAGATCTGTCACCAGTGACTTTGACCTTGCCAAAGATTATGTCAATTTTCAGTCCTCTCCTATCTGACCACTCTAAATTTGGCAGAGGTGACCATTTCCTCCTATTTAAAATCCATTCTGTAGTTGGCTTCTGTAACCATATGCTCTCAATTTTCCTCCTATTTCACTGGTGTTTCTTCTTGGTTACTTCTTCCTCTACTCAACCCCCCTAATCTCCTTGAATATTTAATTGCCTTCTCACATCTCCACTTGTATTTCTTAAGGCATCTCAAATGTAACAAGACTGAGAAAAATTATTGGTCTTTCCAGAATTTCCTTTTCTCTAGAATTTCTTCCAGAATTTCTCCTTTTCCAGTTTTGTACATCTTGAATAAAGCATCCCCACTCACCTAGTACTTCCTCTCACCACCTTCAAACCAATCCATCAGCAAGTCTTTTCAGCCCCATATGTAAAAAAGAACTTGAATCAAACCTCTTCTCACCACTGTGACAGCTACCACCCTAGTCCAAGTCATCATGTCTTGCTTGGATGACTGCAGTGGCCATCTAATTATTTTCCAGGTTTATCTTCTTGCCCACTATTAGAGAAGCCAGAGAGCCTTCTAAAAACAAAACCACATCTCTGCCCTACTTAACACCCTATGATAATTTTCCATCGCTCTTAGAAAAAAACTGAAGCTCTTTTCCAAAGCCTCTAAGACCTGCATAGCTTTCCTACCACTCTCCCCTTGTTCACTGCACCCTGGCCACATAGGCCTGCTTTACAGCCCTCTCATTTAATGTCAAATGCATTTCTGTCTCAGGCTTTTGCTCTTATTGTTTCCTATGGCTGGAACTCTTCCCATGGCTGGCTCCTTCTCTTTGTTCACTTCCCAGAGCTGTCAGTACAAATTGTCTCCTCAGATCCCTTCACCATTCTATCTAAAATATTCCAGCCACCTATCTCTCACCTGCAAAGTCATTCTGAGCCCCATTACCCTGTTTTATTTCTTCATAACACTTAACATAATCTGAAAGTATCCACTTTTTTTTTTTGTCTCTCTTCTCATTAAATGTAATGAAAGGGCAGGGATCTCATGTGTTTTACTCACCCTTGCATCTCTACTCCAGTGTCTGGCACATAGAGATGTTTGAAAACAGTGATTAAATGAGTGAAAAGTCTAGTCAATGAGTGAAAGAACAGGAAGATGTGAAAGCCAGCAGGTAACAACCCTCGGTGTGATATGAACAGTGACAGAGATAACCAACCAAGGAAACAGTCCATGAAGATAAGTAGCTATGAAATTGCTGGATACTTTTTATATACACCTGACCTAAAATTACATTTTTCTCATTCAGATCTTGAATATTTGAAGATATTAAGTACCTTTTCTTTTCTTTCTTTGTTTTTTTGAGACAGGGTCTCATTCTGTCACCCAGGCTGGAGTGCAGTGGCACCATCTTGGCTCACTACAACCTCCGCTTCCTGGGCTCAAGTAGTCCTCCCATCTCAGTCTCCCAAGTAAATGGGACTACAGGCACACACCACCACGCTTGGTGTATTTTTTGTATAGATGGAGTTTTGCCATTTTGCCTATGTTGGTCTCAAACTCCTGAGCTTATTTGAGCTGCCCACCTCGGCTTCCCAAACTGTTGGAATTACAGGCATGAGCCACTGCGCCCAGCCCTTAAGTACCTTTCATAGAAGAAAGCTCATTTTTTTATTCCTTTCCATTTCCTAGCTCCATGTATTTCTCCCAAATTAAAGCCCATATCTCATTTCTCACCTCCTTTTCATGTACAAAATGTTCTTCCCAAAAACAATAGCAAATAAATAGTTAGAATTAACTGTATCTTTGAAATGCTATAGTTAAATGATTATTTGACTGTGCTAATGGCAGGACAATTGCTTTTATAGCTTCTGTGAAATTCTCTGATATTTACTTCAAAATTAATAGGTGTATTTTAGGTAAATTAACAAAGAGTGTTATATTAAGATTTTTACATCTTTTTTTTTTTAGTCAGGTTCATTGAGGTATAATTTATACACAGTAAAACTCACCCCTTTTAGATATACCTCTGTCAAAAGTATACAGTCATGTACCCACCACCATATAAAGACATAGAACATTTATGTCATCCTAAAGTTTCCTCATGCCTCTTTATAATAAATCACTTCCCCCCCCGGCCCACTGCCTATCATTGACTTGTTTTCTGTCCCTATAGTTTTGCCTTTTCCAGAATGGAATCATGTAATATATACCCTTTTGATCTTTTGATATTGCTTTTGAGATTCATCCATATTGTTACATATATCAGCTGTCCGTTCCTTTTTATTGCTTTATATTTCATTTTATTCCATTGTAATGACTATATTATAAATTTTTTATCCCTTTATATCTTTCTGCGCTGAGTTTTCAGGTATTATATCCAGAAATATTGTTACTTGGCCGGGCGTGGTGGCTCACACCTGTAATCCCAGCATTTGGGAGGCTGAGGTGGGCAGATCACTTGAGGCCAAGAGTTCGAGACCAGCAAGATCAACATGGCAGAACCCCATCTCTACTAAAAATAGAAAAATTAGCCGGGTGTGGTGCTGAGCACCTGTAATTTAGCAACTCGGGAGGCTGAGGCAGGAGAATCACCTGAACTCGGGAGGCAGAGGTTGCAGTGAGCCGAGATCGTGCCATTGCACTCCAGCCTGAGTGACAGAGTGAGTTTCTGTATCAAAAAAAAAAGAAAAAAGAAAAAAGAAAAGAAAAGAAAAAGAAAAGAACTATTGTTATTTTTTGGAAGACATTTTGGTTTTACTAAATAAACATTTTTTGAGCCTCTACCAAGTACCTGTGGATTCTAAGGTGAATAAGATGCATTTTTGTTTTGTGGAGCAGGTGGAAGAATGGAGAATGAGTTTTTTGTTGTTGTTGTTTGTTTTTACAAAGGCCCCAGAGAGGGTAAGTTTTGTTGGGTTGTGAAAACTCTTTGAAACATAAGCACATTAATAATTATGGAATCATTTCACACATCTGTTTTTTACTTCTTTTCACACTTCATCATGTGTGTTCAACTTTATTGATTATAATATTTAGATATATAATTTCCAAATTAAAATTTTAAGATGGGATAATATAGTAATTAAGAATATAAGCTTTAGACCCAGAATAACATTGATTTAATTATTGTGTTCACTTCTTCTTTAGAATTGTAGACAATTGTTTTGTCTTTCCAGAACAGCAATCCCTATTTTTCAGTGAAATGCTTCTTCAAACTGCGTGATTCTCATGGAAGCTGCCACAGCTAGTATCAAACTGAATGGTGAAAAACTGAAAGCCTCTTTTCTAAGATCTGGAACATGGCAAGGATGCCCACTTTCATCACTGTTATTCAACATAGTACTGGAAGTCCTAACTAGAGCAATCAGACAACAGAAAGAAATAAAGGCATCCAAATTGGAATAGAAGAAATCAAACTGTCCTTGTTTGCCAATGATATGATCTTATATTTGGAAAAACTGAAAGAGTCCACCAAAAAACTACTATAAACAAATACACAAATTATAAACAGATTCAGTAAAGTTCCAGGATACAAAATCAACATACAAAAATTAGTAGGATTTCTATATGCCAACAGTGAAAAATCTGAAAAAGAGATTAAAAAAGTAATCCCTTGCTGGAAGTGGTGGCTCATGCCTGTAATCCCAGCACTTTGGGAGGTCGAGGTGGGCAGATCATCTGAGGTCAGGAGTTCAAGACCAGCCTGACCAACGTGGTGAAACCCTGTCTCTACTAAAAATACAAAAATTAGCCGGGTGTGGTGGCGGGCACCTGTAATTCCAGCTACTCAGGAGGCTGAGGCAGGAGAATTGCTTGAACCTGGGAGGTGGAGGTTGCAGTGAGCTGAGGTTGCGCCATTGCACACTAGCCTGGATGCCAAGGGTGAAACTCCGTCAAAAAAAAAAAAAAAAGTAATCCCATTTACAATAGCTACAAGTAAAATTAAATACATAGGAGTTAATCCAAGAAGTGAAAGATCTCTATAATGAAAAGTATAAGACTGATGAAAGAAATTGAAATGGACACCAAAAAATGGAAAGGTATTCCATGTTCATGGATTAGAAGAATGAATATTGTTAAAATGTCCATACTACCCAAAGCAATCTACAGATTCAACGCAATCCCTATCAAAATACCAATGACATTCTTCACAGAAATAGAAAAAAAAAATTCTAAAATTTATATGGAACCACAAAAGACTCAGAATAGCCAAACCTATCCTAATACCACAAAACTGGAGGAATCACATGACCTGGTTTCAAATTATACTGCAGAGCTCTGGTAACTAAAATGACACGGTACTGGCATAAAAACAGACACATAGACAAGTTGAACAGAATAGAGAACCCAGAAACAAACCCACACACCTACAATGAATTCATTTTCAACAACGGTGCCAAGAATATACACTGCAGAAAAGACAGTCTCTTTAATAAGTGGTGCTGGGAAAACTGGATATCCATATGCAGAAGGTAGCTACAGCCACCTGTTAAGAGATAGAAAATATAAAAATATGTAAATAGAGAATACATAAAGTTAAAATGTAGGGGGCATGGAATTAAATTATTGAGATTTTGTTTTTCTTTTTTTGTCTATTAGCATTTTTTGTGACAAGATAAATTATAATCCCTTTAAAATAACTTTCGTTGTATCTATAAGATGTTTTCTTAGAAGACTCATGGTAGCCACGAGACAAAAACCTATAATAGATTCATGAGAAATAAAAGGCAACAAATTAAAACACGTTACCAGAGAAAATCATTTACCCACAAAGGAAAACCATAAGAAAGGAAGAGAGAGTTTACAAAACAAGTAATAAATTGGCAGTAGTAGGTCTTTATCAATATTAACACTGAATGTAAATGGACTCAATTCTCCAATTAAAAGGCACAGAGTGGCTGAATGGATAAAGAAACAAGCCCCAACTATATTCTGCCTAAAAGAAACACAACTTCACCTATAAAGACAAACATAGACTGAAAGTGAAGAGGTGGAAAACAGATATTCCATGTAAATGAAAACCAAAAAAGAGCAGGATTAACTATACTTAAAAGATAAAATAGACTACAAATCAAAGACTGTAAAAAGAGACAAAGAAAGTCACTATATAATGACAAAAGGGTCAATTCAGCAAGAGGATATAACAGTTATAAATATCTATGCACCTACCATTGGAGCTCCCAAGTATATAAAGCAAACATTAAGAGATCTAAAGGGGGCTGGACGCGGTGGCTCATGCCCGTAATCCCAGCACTTTGGGAGGCCGAGGCGGGCGGATCACGAGGTTAGGAGATCGAGACCATCCTGGCTAACACGGTGAAACCCCATCTCTACTAAAAAAAATACAAAAATTAGCTGGGCATAGTGGCATGCGCCTGTAGTCCCAGCTACTCAGGAGGCTGAGGCAGGAGAATGGCGTGAACCCGGGAGGCGGAGCTTGCAGTGAGCCGAGATTGTGCCACTGCACTCCAGCCTGGGCGACAGAGCGAGACTCCGTTACAAAAAAAAAAAAAAAAAAAAAAAAAAAGAGAGATCTAAAGGGAGAGATAGACTGCAATATGATAATAACAGGGGACTTCAACACCCCATTCTCAGTAATGGACAGATCATGCAGACAGAAAATCAACAAAGAAACATCAGAGTTAAATTACACACTAGACCAAATAGGCTTAACTAACATTTATAAAACATTTCACTCAATTGCTACAGAATACACATTCTTTTCATCAGCACATGGAACATTCTCCAGATTAGAACACAGCCCACAAAACAAGTCTCAACAAATTCAAAGTAGTATAAATTATATCAAGTTTTTTTTTTCTTTTCTTTTCTTTTTTTTTTTTTGAGACATTGTCTCACTCTGTTGCCCAGGCTGGAGTGCAGTGGCATGATCATGGCTCACTGCAGCCTCCGCCTCCCAGGTTCAAGCGATTCCTGTGCCTTAGCCTCCTGAGTAGCTGGAACTACAGGCATGCACTACCACGCCCAGTTAATTTTTTGTATTTTTAGTAGAAACAGGGTTTCACTATGTTGTCCAAGCTGGTCTCAAACTCTTGAACTCAAGTGATCCACCCACCTCGGTCTCCCCAAGTGTCAGGATTACAGGCATGAGCCACTGCTCTCAGCCTTCAAGTATTTATTCTGACCACAATGGAATAAAACTAGAAACCAATAACAAGAGGAACCTTGGAAATACACAAACACATGGAAATTAAACAACATATTCCTGAACAAACAATGAGTCAATGAAGAAATTAAGAAAGAAATTTAAAAATTTCTTGAAGCAATGAAAATGGAAATTCAACATATTAAAATCTATGGGATACACCAAAAGCAGTACAAAGAGATAAATTTATAGCAACAAACAAATATATGAGAAAAATAGAAAGACTTCAAATAAACAACCTAACTATGCTCCTCAGAGGACTAGAAAAGCAAGAACAAACCAAGCCCAAAATTAGTAGAAGGAAAGAAATAATAAAGATTGGAGAATAAATAAATGAAATTAAGACTAAAAAATACAGAAGATCAATGAAATGAAATTTTTTTTTTTTAAAGATAAGGCCTGGGGCGGTGGCTCACGCCTGTAATCCCAGCACTTTGGGAGGCTGAGGCGGGCAGATCAGGAAGCCAGGAGTCCAAGACGGTCTGGCCAACATAGTGAAACCCCGTCTCTACTAAAAATACAAAAAATTAGCCAGGTGTGGTGGTGTGCACCTGTAATCCCAGCTCCTCAGGAAGCTGAGGCAGGAGAATTGTGTGAACCTGGGAGGCAGAAGTTGCAGTGAGCCTCGCGCCATTGCACTCCAGCCTGGGCAACAGTGTGAGACTCTGTCTCAAAAAAAAAAAAAGGATAAAATTGACAAACCTTTAGCTAGACTAACAAAAAAAGAGAAAAGACTCAAATAAATAAATTCACAAATGAAAAAGGAGACATAAGAACTGAGACCACAGAAGTACACTCATTAGAGACTATTATGAACAACTATATGCTAACAAATTGGAAAATTTAGACAAAATGGGATAAATTCTTGGATACAATCTACCAGGATTGTACCATGAAGAAACAGAAGACTTTAATAGACCAATAACAAGTAATGAGATTAAAGCAGTAATAAAGTCTCCCAGCGAAGAAAAGCCCAACAGCTGAGGGATTCACTGCTGAATTCCACCAAACAGTTAAACAAATACCAGTTCTACTCAAAGTATTTTTAAACACTGAGGAAATACTTTCTTTTTTTCTTTTCTTTTCTTTTTTTTTTTTTAGATGGAATCTCACTCTGTCACTTAGGCTGGAGTGCAGTGGCACAATCTCAGCTCACTGCAAGCTCCAAAGAGGAGGAAATACTTTCAAACTCATTCTACAAGACCAGCATTACACTGATACCAAAACTAGACAAAGACATAACAAAAAAAGGAAACAACAGGCCAATATCCCTGACCAACACAGATGCAAAAGTCCTCAACAAACTATCATAGTATTATAGTAAACTGAATTCCACAACACATTAAGAAGATAATTCATCATGATCAACTCGTATTTATTCCAGGGATGCAATGATGGTTCAACATATCCAAATCCATAAACGTGATAAAACACATGAAAAGAACCAAGAACAAAAACCATACGATTGATTGAGTGGTTGAGACAGGGTCTTACTCTGTTGCCCAGGCTGAAGTGCAGTGGTGTGATCATAGCTCACCATAACCTCAAACTCTTGGGCTCAAGTGATCCTCCTGCCTTAGCCTCCTGAATAGCTAGGATTACAGGTGTAAATCACCACCCCTAGCTATTTTAAACATTTTTTGTAGAGATGGAGTCTCACTATGTTTCCCAGGCTGATCTCGAACTCCTGGCCTCAAGCAATCCTCCTGCCTCAGCCTCCCAAAATGCTGGGATTACAAGCGTTAGCAACCACACCCAACCTCTGATCATTTCAATAGATGCCAAAAAAAGCATTCAATAAAATTCAACATTGCTTCATGATTAAAAACCCTCAATAACTTGAGTATAGGAAGAACATACCTTGGCCGGGAACGGTGGCTCATGCCTGTAAACCCAGTACGTCGGGAAGCTGAGGTAGGTGAATCACCTGAGGTCAGGACTTCAAGACCAGCCCGGCCAACATGGCGAAACCGCATCTCTACTAAAAATACAAAAATTAGCCAGGCATGGTGGTGTGCATCTGTAATCCTAGCTACTTGGGAGGCTGAGGCAAGAGAATCTCTTGAAACTGGGAGGCAGAGGTTGCAGTGAGCCGAGATCACGCCACTACACTCCAGCCTGGGCAACAGAGCAAGACCCTATCTCAGAAAAAAAAAACAAAACCTACCTCAAAATAATTAAGGCCATATGTGACAAACCCACAGCTAACACTGTATTGAACAAGCAAAAATTGAATGCCTTTCCTCTAAGAATTGGAGGAAAAACAAGGATGGCCACTTTTACCATTTTCATTCAGTATCATCCTAGAAGTCCTGGCTAGAGCAATTAGATAAGAGGAAGAAAGGACATTCAAATTGGAAAAGAAGTCAAATTAGCCTTGTTCATAGATGACATGCTTTTATACTTAGAAAACTCTAAAGAAAGACTTCACCAAAAAAACTCTTAGAACTGATCAACAAAATCAGTAAAGTAGCAGGATACAAAATCAACATACAAAAATCAGTAGCATTTAAAATATGCCAGGAGCAAAAAAATCTGAAAAAGAAATCAAGAAAGCAATCCCATTTACAATAGCTACAAAGAACATAAAATACCTAGGAAACAGTTTAACCAAAGAAGGGAAAGATCAACACAAGGAAAAGTTATAAAACACTGATGAAAGAAATTAAAGAGGACACAAAAAATGGAAAGATATTCCTTGCTCATTGATTGGAAGAGTTAATGTTGTTAAAATGACAATACTACCCAAAGCAATGTACAGATTCAATGTAATCTCTACCAAAATATCATTAACATTCTTCACAGAAATAGAAAAAAAAATCCTAAAATTCATATGGAACCAAAAAAGAGCCTGAATAGCCAAAGCAATCCTGAGCAAAAAGAACAAAACTGGAGGCATCACACTACCTGACTACAAAATATACTACAAAGTTATAGTGACCAAAACAGCATAGTACTAACATAAAAACAGACACATAGACCAATGGAACAGAATAGAGAGCCAAGGGCTGGGCACAGTGGCTCACACCTGTAATCCCAGCAATTTGGGAGGCTGAGGCTGGTGGATCACTTGAGGTCAGGAGTTTGAGATCAGCCTGGCCAACATGGTGAAACCCTGTCTCTACTAAAAATACAAAAAATTAGCTGGGCATGGTTGCCCACACCTGTAGTCCTAGCTACTCAAGAGGCTGAGGTGGGAGAATAGCTGGAACCCGGCAGGTGGAGGTTGCAGTGAGCCGAGATCGCACCACTGCATCCCAGCCTGGGAGACAGAGCGAGACTCCATCTCAAAAAAAAAAAAAAAAAAAAAAAAAAAAGAGCCAAAATATAAATCCACACATTTACAGCCAAACTTCTTCCACAAAGGCACCAAGAACATACAATGGGGAAAGGACAGTCTCTAATAAATGGTGCTGGGAAAACTTGATAACCATATGCAGAAGAATGAAACTAGACCCCTATCTCTTACCATATACAAAAATAAAATCAAAATGGATTAAATACTTAAATGTAAAACCTGAAACTGTGAAACTACGAAAATAAAACATTGAGGAAATGCTCCAAGATATTGGTCTGGGAAGATTTTTGTGGCCTCAAAAGCATAGGGAACCAAAGCAAAGTTGTCAACTGAGATTACATCAAGCTAAAAAGCTTCTGCACAGCAAAGGAGACAAATAATAATGTGAAGTGATCGCCCACGGAATGGGAAAAAAGATTTGCAAACTACCCATAATAAATAATTGTTAATTCTTTATTAATTTATTTAACCCTAACTGATTTTCCTGGCTATTAGGAAACTCAGAGCTTAATTTGTGGTTCATCTTTAAAAACTGAGCATGCTTTTGTGGTTGTGCTTATTATATATATTAACCTTATACATCTCTACTCCCAACAAAGCCAGCTTTATCTTATTTTATTCTGGTATTTTCTCTGCTAACCCATTAAATTATGGCCCCTTAGTGAACCACATCTCACAGTGTTCCCACATTTGTATGGTGCTTTTCCTTAAATATGGGCTAGGCCTGTGACTTGCTTCAACAAGTGGCATGTAGCAAAAGTGACACAGTGCCAATTCCAGGCCTCAACTTTAAGGAAGCCTGGCAGCTTCCGTTTTTGTGCTATTTGAAGCTCCGAGCCACATGTAGGAAGTTTGGCTACTCTGCTGCAGAGACCACATGGAAAGTGCTACATATGGAGGTCATGTAAAGAGGAAGAAGCCCTGAAACTACATGGAGAAAGAGAGAAACTCAGTTCAGCCTCCCAGTGTTCCAGCTGAGCCCAGCCTAGATTGTGGAATCATGAGCAAACTAATGAGTTAACCAATTAGGTAAAGAAGAAATAACCAAATGGTCCCATTCCAGAATGCCCACCCAAGCCCTTCCTCTTTCTTTAGGATGCTGTTTCTGAAAGTCTGGCCTGAAGACCACCTGTATCAGAATGACCTGGGGTGTTTATTTGAAAGAAAAATTGTCAATCCAACCCCAGAATTTCTTGGGCAAGGCAGGATAATCAGTATCTTTAACAAAACTTTTCCAATTGATTCATAAGGAAAATAAAGTTTAAGAACCTGGTTAAGGGCTTTCTCCTGACTGTTCTCCACACTAATCTAAGCCTACCCTTCTTTTTGACAGTCTATTACTCTATTTTCAGAAGTTTGATCCTGCTGTTCCTCAAATGCTGGACCAAAATTCTAGATCAAGGAATTTCTCATGCTATTTTCCTCTCACCTATCCAGCTCTGTTCTACTTGGTTCATTCACTCTGTATCCACCTTGTCTTCAGGAGCTCTGATTTTGAGGTGCTTCTCATGTCTCAGCTAAAGAAACTCAGGCCTAAAAAAACTGAAATCCCTGACTGTGCAGATTAGTTCTGGTTCTTACCTTATTTTTCAGGCCAGCCACATCAGCTGTCCTCATCCTTAAAGTATCATGATGAGAACTTCTGAAACCGAATACAGTTAAATATAAGGACAGAAAAATATCTGATGGTTTTGTCAATTAGATATTGGTAAACTCAGTGAGATCAATTTAGGGGTGCGTTAAAGGAAAAAGATTTTGCAGTAGGTTTAAGAAAGTTTTTAACAAGGTAGAAAAGACTGAGCATGCTTGCAGGTGGAGGAAAAAGAACCAGGAAGGAAGGAAAAGTTGGTAATAAAATAATGTGTGGTTGAGAAGGTAGCATGAACCAGAAGGGATGAGAATTGATTATAAAATAAGGTCCCAGACAAAGAGGGAAGGTGTTTTCAGTTTTCTATTGCTATATAATAAATTATCCCAAATTTACCCATTTTATTATATATCATGATTTGAGGGGCCAGAGATTTCGGCAGGGCTCAGCTGGGCAATTTCTCTGCCCCACGATATCCTATGTGGTTACTTGCCAGGTTTGCTGGTAGATGGGTTAGTCTCAAAATTCCAAGATTGCTTCATTCACATGTCTGATATCTTGGCAGGAGTGACTGGAAGGTTGGGCTCAGCTAAGAATGTCAATAAGAGCACCTACAGATGGTCTTTCCAGGGTACTCTTAGGGTGACTGGCCTTCTTACATGATGGTTCAAGCTTTCAGAGAGGATATTCCAAATATCCTGGGCAGAAACTATTGGTATAAGTCTTCTTATTACCTCATCTCTCGGATCCCAGAATGTCACTTCTGATTAATTCCGTTGGTCAAGTCACTGACTGGCCTTACTGACTCAGCCCAGATTCAAGGGAAAGGGAATTACACCCCACCTCTTGGTAGAAGTGTCAAAGAATTTACAGTCATTTTTAATCTGCTATAGAAGAGGTGAATTGGATAAGATCAGAGAATATAATAAAAGATTTGCCTTGGACATGAAGACAGAATACTGCTAAATGTTGGAGTATGCAGAACTCTGGTCCTCGGCTCCTCTCTTTCTATCCAAGTGTAGGGAATGCTATGCATTTACAAATTCGTAAACTTTCTTAAAACATTATGAGATATTGTGTGTGTGTGTGTGTGTGTGTGTGTGTGTGTGTGTGTGTGTGTGTGTGTGTGTTCTATCCCAGAGTAGGGAATGCTATACATTTATAAATTCGTAAACGTTCTTAAAACATTATGAGATATTTTGTGTGTGTGTGTGTGTGTGTGTGTGTGTGTGTGTAGCTCATCAGCTATTGTTAGTGTTAGTGTATTTTACGTGTGGCCCAAGACAATTCTTCTTCCAACATGGCCCAGGGAAGCCAAAAGATTGGATACCCCTTCTATATTGTCTCCCTAGGTGATCTCGTCTAGACTCATTGCTTCAAAGAACTTTATATACTGATACCTTTCAAGTGTATATCTCTAGACCCAAGCTCCTTGCCTGAGCTCCAGAACTTGTATATCCAACTATCTACTCAGCATATAACTTGGATGTCTAATAAGCATCTCAAATTTAACATGGCCAAAACCAAGCTATCGGATTTCTATCACACCCCAAGTCTGCTTCCCCTGAGCCTTTCCGGTCCTAGTAAATTACACAATTATACACTCAGTTGCTCAGGACAAATACCTAGGAGCCCTATTTGTCTCTTCTCTTTTCCTCACACAGCACATTCAATCCATCAGTATCTACTTCCAATTCATCAATAGGTTCCATTAGCTCCAACTTCCAAAATATATTCTGAACCTAACCACTTCTTTCCATCTCTACTCTTCCAATCTAGGTCAATGCCATCATCACTTCTCACTGGTCTCTGTGGCTGCACTCTTGATTCCTCATTGTCCTTCCTCTATCCACATAGCAGCCAGAGTCATATTTCTAAAGCGTAAACCAGAGAATATAATTTCCTTGCTTAAAATTATCTAAAGACTTCCCATTGCATCAGAATAATCAACAAACTTCTCATCAGAGTCTATGAGGCTCTCCAAATCTTGCCCCATCTGTGTCTCTGACCTCATCTCTCTCCACTCTTCTCCTTGTTCATTGAGCTCTAACCACTCTGATACTCTGTCCCATGAACACACCAAGTTTGTTCATGCTTCAGGCCATCCCACCTCTTGCTCATTCTGCTTGGAGAGCCCCCCGGATCTCTTTTTATCACTTGGGTAATAAAAAGATTCCTTGTTTTTATCACTTGGGTCAGTGGTCCCCAACCTTTTTGGCATGAGGGAACAGCTTCATGGAAGACAATTTTTTCCATGGACTAGGGTTATGGGGGATGGTTTTGGGATGATTCAAACACATTACATTTATTGTGCACTTTATGTATATTATTATTGCATTGTAATATATAATGAAATAATTATACAACCCACCATAATGTAGAATCAGTGGAAACCCTGAACCTGTTGCAACTAGAAAGTCCCATCTGGGAGTGATGGTAGACAGTGACAGATCATCAGGCATTAGATTCTCGTAAGGATCATGCAACCTAGATCCCTTAAATGCACATTTCACAACAGGGTTTGCCCTCCTATGAGAATCTAACGCCTCTGCTGATCTGATAGGATGCAGAGCTCAGGCAGTAATGCGAGTAATGCGAGTGGTGGGGAATGGCTATAAATACAGATAAAACTTCGCATTCACATGCTGCTCACCTCCTGCTGTGCAGGCCGGTTGCTAACAGGCCACAGACTTGTATGGGTCTGTGGCCTGGGGGTTGAGGACCCCTGATTTAGGTGATACAAAGTGACTCAGATGTCACTTTCTCAGCCCTTTCCTGACTATCACAGCTAATGTAGTATCCCATCTCCCTGAGTCACTTTTCTCACAATACCCTATTATAGCTTCATAATGTTGATCAGCACCTGAAGTTCTAATTCATTTTTTTCTGTATGTTTATTGGCTGTCATCCCTCATTAGAACGTCAACTCCTGGGGGGCACAATTGCTGTCTGTCTTATTTACAGCTCATTCTCCAGTACCTTGAACATCACAGACAACAAAATCAACACACAATAGATGTTTATTTAAATTGGCTATTTCTTTCTTCTGGAAGGAGGTTAAAGGAAGGTGGGAAAGGCAGGGCGTG
This sequence comes from Homo sapiens, assembly GCF_000001405.40. Taxonomy (NCBI): domain Eukaryota; kingdom Metazoa; phylum Chordata; class Mammalia; order Primates; family Hominidae; genus Homo; species Homo sapiens. The sequence goes on from NC_000001.11 coordinate 93,321,261, forward strand.
GTGGCTCACGCCTGTAATCCCAGCACTTTGGGAGGCCAAGGCAGAAGGATCACTTCAGGTCAGGAGTTCCAAACCAGCCTGGCCAACATGGTCAAACTCCATCTCTACTAAAAATACAAAAATTAGCCAGGCGTGGTGGCATACACCTGTAATCCCAGCTACTCAGGAGGCTGAGGCAGGAGAATTGCTTGAACCCGGGAGGCGGAGGTTGCAGTGAGCTGAGATCGCACCACTGCACTCCAACCTGGGCGTTAGAGCGAGACATCGTCTAAAAAAAAAAAAAGGGTGGGAAAAAGAAGGAAGACCCCCTTTTCTCTGTGATTTGGGACATAAAGTGGCTGATAATGAGAAACAGTGGGACAGGGTTTTAAGAAGGGTAATGAATTATTCTTGACTCTTCCTTCAAAAGTTGTATTTGTAAAAAACCAGTAGTTGAGAGTTTTGTTGTTTCAATTCTAATTATCATTTCTTAAAAAGTAATTTTATGGAAGAAACAATTTGAATTTTTACCCCTTTAGGTAGCATTGGCTTTCAAAAACACCAATCTCATGTCTTTTACATTCTTGGCCTGGAATTGAATTATGTGAATCTACTGGTTTTGTTTTCCACCCTCTTTATAAGATCTGCTATATCTGGTCCTGATAACACAAGGTCAAGGTCCAGGAAAGAACAAATGTCAATGCTTTCTTTCCTCATGGCCCTTCATTATAGCCTTAGTGAGTCCTTTCACGCATCCATGTCCACACATCTCTGTTTCTCATCAATACAGCCTGTGTGTTTTGAAAGCATGCAATTTATGCCTTTATATCCCTGCTTCTCTTTTTCCTATCAGCAAAATCTATGTGTTTTTTAGGAATTAAATAAGTATATTTTTCTTATATGTATTGGTCATTTTCTATATTTGAACAGTAAGTTCTACTCAACGTATATCTGTGCTGCAAAATTAATTTTCGTACTCAAATTTTGAATGGTGTTTCTTAAAATGACTTTTTTAACACTTTCTAATGAGGTGGTTTTTATTGGCTGACATATACCATTCCTCTAGAATGTTGCTGTGAACTAGATGTGAATTTATGAAGGTGATGAAAATAGCAATTAAGCTAAGAACTACTTCTGGCAGGTAAGAGCATGGTTAATTATTTTCCTTAAAGAAATGCACAAATATATTAGGTTGGTGCAAAAGTAATGGCATTGAAAGCAATGGCAAAAACCGCAATTACTTTCGCATTAGCCAAATACATAGCCAAACAACTTTTGGAAGCCAGACTAACCTGCTGGACATGCTGAACCAGTTTTAGTCTATTCCAAAAGTGGAAAGCGACATGTATGATTCATTCCTGAGACATTTCAAAGAGCCAAATATGTTTATACATGATATAGCATGTCAATATCTTCATGAAAGCTTTTGACTTGCCTTTTTACAAAAGTCTATATGCTGTTTACAAGTGTGGCTTAAGAACCAGAATGGACATGGACATGCATTGGTAACTGGTCAGCAACCAGGTAAATTCCTGTAGCGTCTTTGCTCCTAGCCTACAAATGGGCTTTTTAAGAATAAGCCTCTCACCAAGAACCCACCAAGAGCATTAAGAAATGAAAACATTGCTCAGACCTCTTTTAGCCTGCTCCCGATCTGGAATCTTGATTAGAGAACTTATTTTTAGAGTTTTCCGCATTTGTTCAACTACATGTGTAGGAGGAAAGAACACAGTATCAGTCCGAATGTGTGTCTGTGACTGTTCTCTCGCAAACTGGGGGCTGGAAGTTTAGGGAAACTGTTTTCTCGGATCCAAGCAGAATCTGGATGTAAACCATTTCTAGACTAATATCGGTTTAATTAATTCTTGTGAATCTCCAAAGATTCTACAGCTTGTTTTGGGATACAGCAATTGTTACACCAACCCACCCAATGTAACCTTTATTTTCTGAGGCCACACTTGGGGATTTTGGGTACATGGATAACAAGTTCCCACCCTGTCCTTTCTTTATAAGGACAACCAACGTGTGAGGTTTCTCCCATTTTCATGGGTCCCGAGTGGCCTCCCAGCCCTGGGAGCTTTCTCACCCTTCTGCCAAGGCTCCAGCCAGGACTCTGCACTAGTTCTCCCCCTGCTCCTGCTGGGGCTCTACTCAAAGTTGATAGGGGTGGGGTAGGGAGAGGGATTCCTACCTCCTTCCTTCTGGTGCTTGTAACAGCTCTCTGAGCTGAAAGCTGGCCCTTAGGCTAACTCAATTTAATCCTCCAAGAGGCAGTCTTTTTCTTTAAGCTTTTCTTCAGTTCTTTATTAAAGACTTAAGTTTTCTCAGAGACTAGGCCAGAGAAACGTTGAACTGTATCATAACAAATAATTCATCACATGCAGACAGCTGCTGTCCTAACACTAGCCACAAATCTTAGTTTTCTGCTACCTTAGATGAATTTCCTGCCCTCCCAGGCAGCCCCATTCACTTTCCCTCAAAATGGCTGGAAAAAGTCTCTTCTTATTTGGTTTAGGAAATATAATCATGGTATTCTAGGGTAATAATCATCACTCCAAATTCTTGTATCATTTCTTCCAAGAAGCTTTGAGACCCTCATGCAAATAATACTCTCTTATTCTGATATCTCTGCCTTTCCAAAGTGAACTTGTAGTTTATATATCTTTCTTTTCCCCTATTTGACTAAGGTGGGCCTTGTCCATACAGAATCTTCAACACTGTCCCAAGCTTCATAGAATTCCCAAGGAACTATAGTATGCACCTATGCCCTGTTCTGCACAGCAACTTGGCACCAGCTTCTTCTTTCCACTAGTCTCAACTTATTACAGTCCTTCCACCCCAACCAACTCCTACACTCAAGATCTTGACTACAGAGCTCTGGAATATTAAAAGCAACCACCACTAGCATACTGTGTGCAGAAAAAAAAAAAGTTTGGAACCCTTGGATTTAAATGATTTAGCAAAGACAGAAAAAAAAAATGTATGCTTTGGAGGCAAAATAAGTAAGATTTTCAAATCAGTATTCAAAAATACTTTTTCATTGTCTATTAATTGCAAACAAAACAGGATTTTAGTTTGTCACCACCATAATCCAAGCCCCTATCATGTCTTGCCTAGACTCCTAAAATAATTTTCCTACTTGTATTCTTTCCACCTCCCAACACATTCTCCACACAATATAGTGCTCTTTTAAAACTAAGTCATGTCACTTCCTTGTTTAAATCCTTTTGATGGCTGCCCATTTGACACAGCATAGAGTCAAACTCCTACCATAATCGTAATGGTAGTAATTAATAATAATAATAGATAAGAATAGTAGTAGGTTACCCCTATTATTCCCTATCATTGGACTTTGTTACTTCCTTCACAACATTAATTTCATTGTATTTACTTACTTGTATGTTGTTTGTCTCCCCAGCTTGAATATGAGCTTTCCAAAAGCATCAGCACTGTTTGTCTTATGTTGGATCCTTATCTCCCAGCATGGTGCCTGGTACGTATTAAGCAATCAGTAAATGTTTATTAAGAGAATAAAGTTTTAGGATTTAAAAGTAACTTAGAAACCATCGAATCCATCTAGTCCCTTTCCCCAATTCAGGGCTTAATTTTCAGCCCTCTGTAATGCAGAGGCTACTTGGATAGCAGTGTTTATGCTGGTGGAGAACAAAAAAGAACAATAGGGAGGAGCTGTTCCCTTTCCCTAATTGATTTTACCTTACTTGTTCCTACATCAGCTTTGCTTTTTACCACTTAGACAAACAGTCATATGAGTCATTTATTCATAGCCAAGCAGCTTAATCATGCATGTGGGCACTCCTTTTTGTGTGTATGTGGAGGGTGGAGAGTTATAGTTGAGTAGTTTCCAAACTAATGTTCATCTAGCTATTTGTGGAATCGTAAAGATTTTGTCTATTAGAGGCATGAGCCACCGCGCCCAGCCTATGCTCCCTCTAACAATTCTTTAATGTAGTATTTTCTAAATTATAAGCTTTGACTCATCATTGCGTATCATAAAGATAACTATGGTCTCATGAACTTTCGTTTCAGTCATAAATGTGACTGTATGTGTTTGAACTGTCTTGCTATAGATGCAAAATATATTTCTTACTGTGGGAAATAAACAACAAAAGTCTGAAAGCCACTGCCTAAATGAGCATTAATATAATATCTTATCTTAGAAAGGAGACTATTTGGTAGTCCTAGGAGAGGATTTGGGTTGACCTCAGAGCCCTCTTAGTCAGGGCTCTGAAGCTATTATGGATTAAGGTGAATGAGAATGGTAATTCTTTCTTTCTTTCTTTTTTTTTTGAGATGGAGTTGCCCAGGCTGGAGTGCAGTGGCAAGATCTCGGCTCACTGCAACCTCCGCCTCCTAGGTTCAAGCAATTCTCCTGCCTCAGCCTCCCAAGTAGCTGGGATTACAGGCATGTGCCAGCATGCCTGGCTAATTTTTATATTTTTAGTAGAGGCAGGGTTTTGCCATGTTGGCCAGGCTGGTCTCAGACTCCTGATCTCAAGTGATTCACTCACCTCGGCCTCTCAAAGTGCTGGGATTACAGGCATGAACCACCACGTCTAGCCTTTTCTAAGTGAAAGCACTATTTTATAGCTTGCAAACACTGTTAGAAAAATCTTCTGGAAGCACGGTATCAGTTATCTGAAATACATTACAAATACAACAAACACATTATTATTTTCATTAGTTCTCCATTACTTTTTTCCTTTGGCCCAACAGATTAGTACCAAAATGGCCTGGGGTCTAGTAAAAGTTGGGGAACAGGGGAAATGGGTGAAGAGAATTAGGCCCAAAAAGAACATGATGGGCTATCCTTTTTGTGCCAATTTCCTTCTTATCGCTTCTTTTTTTTTTTTTTTTTTTCCTTTTTGAGATGGAGTTTCCCTCTTGTTGCCCAGGCTGGAGTGTAATGGTGCGATCTCGGCTCACCGCAACCTCTGCCTCCTGGGTTCAAGAGATTCTCCTGCCTCAGCCTCCCGAGTAGCTGGGATTACAGGCATGTGCCACCACACCCGGCTAATTTTGTATTTTTAGTAGCGATGGGGTTTCTTCATGTTGGTCAGGCTGGTCTTGAACTCCCGGCCTCAGGTGATCCACCCGCCTCAGCCTCCCAAAGTGCTGGGATTTCAGGAATGAGCCACCGCGCCCAGCCCATGGCTTCTCCTTTTACAGTGAAATAGGAAACAAGATCATCTGCTGAGAATGAGGATGAGGGAGGAGGTATTGAAGGCTTGAGAAAAGAAAAGGCAAGAGGTAGTGGAAGAGTGAATGGACTAAGGAAACATAGTCTGGCTATGGGCAGCATTAAGGGATATGTATTTAAAGCAGGTCCAGTGAACATGTTTACCTGTTCAGCTGTGAGATGCAGTAGTTAGAGAGCTGACTTTTACCAGAGATGAAAGGAAATTCTATTTAGGGAAAGAGAAGAGCATAAACAAAGTTTGAGTACTTGAAATTACATGATGTATAAATATATTTTTAAAAATCTTACAGGCTGGGCGTGGGTGGATCACGAGGTCAGGAGATGGAGACCATCCTGGCTAACATGATGAAACCCAGTCTCTAATAAAAATACAAAAAAAATTAGCCAGGCGTGGTGGCACACGCCTGTAGTCCCAGCTACTCAGGAGGCTGAGGCAGGAGAATCACTTGAACCCGGGAGGTGGAGGTTGCAGTGAGCCGAGATGGCGCCACTGCACTCCAGCTTGGGTGACAGAGGGAGACTCTGTCTCAAAAGAAAAAAAAAAAAGAAATACAAACGTAAGCCAGATAGACATAGTCCCTGACCTTACACAGCTTACTCTCTTAAATAAGCAATCACAATAAAATTTGGTAGGTTCTTAAAAAAGAAAAGATGAAATATAGATAGGATTGTTAGATAAAATATAGGATGCTCAGTTAAGTTTGAATTTCAGATAAATAATGTATAATCTATTAATTACTATAAATATGTCCCATACAATCTGGAAACTCTATCAAAGTTCAGAGCAGGAGCTTCAAAGTTAGTCCAAGAAGATAATAAAAGGCTTCCTGGAGGAAGGGACATTTAAACTGAAACCTAAATTTTACCTTATGTGCCAAGTTCTTATCAATGGCATTTCTAACTAGAATTTAATTATTTCTGCAAAATGCTTTCTGCTCATTACTGGGGTGTGGCCTTTGTCTCTCTCTCTCTCTCTCTCCAAAGTGTTCTTCCCATAATGTGAAGAGGAGAAAGATCTTTTAAATCTTTTTATATAAAAGAATAATTTACAAGTTACAGATGCTCCTCAACTTATGATAGGGCTAAGTCCCAATAAACCCATCATAAGTTGAAAGTGTCCCTAAGTAGAAAGTGTACTTAATACAACTAACCTACCAAACATCATAGCTTAGCCTAGACTACCTTAAACATGCTCGGAACACTTACATTGCCTACATTTGGGCAAAATCATCTAACACAAAGCCTATTTTATAATAAAGTTTTGAATATCTCATGTAATTTATTTAATTTTGTACTAAAAGTGAAAAACAAAACAATTGTGTGATTACTAGAAGTACGGCTTCTACTGATTGCATTTTGCTTTTGCAACATTGTAAATTCAAAAACTCCTCAATCAAACCATCTTAAATCGGGGACTGTCTGTAGAATCTAAGCTGAAAACTCCTTCTCCCCATTGGACAGAAAACAGTTGCCACATAACTTCCTGTGTAACATTATTAAGTATCCATCCAGATTAGAGTAGCTCAAGGTTTTAAGATTGTATTCCTTTATGCCATACTAATTTAGGCCACACAAACTATTAATTGTTGGTGTAATTTTCCAAATGAATTATTTTTGTGTATTTTCCAAGTAAAGTACTTTTGAGATTTAATAAAAAGAACTGGCCTTATGTTGATATACTGGAAATGCTATCCCAGCTTTGTCCCTGCCTGAGTCTTTTCCATCCTTCTCTGCCTTTCTTCCAGTGCAATCTATGGCTAATGTGCATTACAAGGCCAGATGTTTCTGGGGAAAACTACAAACAAACAAACCCTTGCTACTTGTCAATAAGTGGTACTACAAATATCAGAATATACATCTATATTTTTTAGTGATAGATTATTTGAATCAGTCCATTTATTAGCATTTAAATTTGTTACCACCAAATCAGTTGAGCAAGATGTTAAGGGGGTGAAATAAATTCTTTTGGACAAACTTGGTCGTTGTCACTTGTAGAGAAAGACAATTGCTTATTTTTGTAGCAACTATTGTCACAGACAAAAACAAAAAACAATACTTCTGTCAATTCCCTTTTAGTCTGAGTTTCAAGGTCAAGAGATGCATCAAGAAAGTATATCTGTGTAACTACAGAAAATCACATCCCTGACTGCCCCAGCACAAGGCCTAGGCTGTTTCAGGCAGTTCCTCTCTAATGATACTGCATTCCCAGAACATTTAAAAATTATTCTTGAGAACTACAACCAAGAAATGGTGGTCGGGGGGAGAACTAGGTCAGTCCAGAGTCACATGGAGAAGTGTCTTCTAGACACTTTTTGGAATATCTTGATGGCTCACAATGAACCCATTAACTGGTCCCCTCAGCTATGGCAGAGCTGTGTACAACGTCCCCCATCCTCCCTCTGGCCAGTGACTGGACTGGAAATAGGCTGCTGACTCAAGCTGAGCAGAGTCCCTTCCCAAGGAATCTGGAAGTGGGGATGGGAGCAGAGAGAGTGTGTCTTTCCATGTGGTTGGAACTGTAAAAAGTAAATATGAAAGCTGTGGCTGCCATCTGCCAGCTGCCATATGGCTTGAATAACTGAGAAAGCCAGATGCTGCAGAAAAAAAATGAACTGAGAAACAAAGTAAGCTCTCTCTCTCTGAGTTCCTGCTGATATTTCCATTTCAGTGTCAGCTCTTTTGACACCTGGTTGCTTGCATTCCTGCCTTAGCTTCGTGAGATGCTTCTATTTTCTTATGTTTCCCCTTTTCTACCTAAAACAGTTCAAAGTTGGTTTCTACTCTTGATAAACAAACACCCTGATGAATCCTGAAGGCTAGGCATTGTCCCCACCAATCTCTGGTGAGGCAGTTGTTTATCAAGAGTTGCCCTGTGATGTGCACATTGCTTTCTCCTTAGCAAGGTGTTCCACTCATCAGTCCTGCTAGGCAAAACAAATGAGAAAAGATGCACGAAGCAGAGTGGGAAGAACTGGACACAACTGAGTTGAAAGCTAACCATATTACTTATTTGCTGTTTGACCTTAAACTAGTTTCTTAAGGTCACTGAGCCTCTGCTTATTTACATATTCACATCTGCCTTGCAGGATTGATTAAATGAAATAATTTATGTCAAAATGAGATTATGGTTCTTGGAGCAGTAACTGTAATGATATTGTCACTTGGTATCCATGGACACATTTAAGGCTCTCTTCCACAGGAAGCAATGAGATAAATATTTAGACAGTTTTCAATTTTTCTGCTATTAACAGAATTCTGCAGTGAACAACCTTGTAACTAAATCTTCAAGCACACTTTTTTTTTTTTTTTGAGCCGAGTCTCACTCTGTCGCCCAGGCTGGAGTGCAGTGGCGCAATCTCAGCTCACTGCAACCTCCGCCTCCCAGGTTCTAGCAATCCTCCTGCCTCAGCCTCCTGAGTAGCTGGGACTACAAGGGCCCATCACCACGCCTGGCTATTTTCTTTTGTATTTTTGTAGAGATGTGGTTTCACCATTTTGGCCAGGCTGGTCTTGAACTCCTGACCTCACATGATCCGCCCATCTCGGCCTCCCAAAGTGGTGGGATTAGAGACATGAGCCACCACACCCAGCCAGCCTCTTGAGTAGCTGGGACTATAGGCACATGCCATCACACCCCAGCTAATTTTTGCATTTTTCATAGGGACAGGGACTTGCTATGTTGCCCAGGCTGGTGTCAAACTCCTGGCCTCAAGAGATCCTCCAGCCTCAGTCTCCCAAAGTGCTGGTATTACAGACATGAGCCACCATGCCCAGCTGTGATGTTTCTTTTTAAAAGGAAATTGCCAGCCCTTCAGGGCCTCTCTTTCTCCCTTCCCACAGACTGGAACTCAAACCCAATTGAGACCATGTAAATGAGGACAACACCTTAGGGAATGGCAAAACAAAGACTGAAGTACTTTAGGACCCTGAATGACTGCATGGAACAGAACCCTGCTGGAGCCCGAAGCACTGACCTCTGACCTCTTACCTCTGACATGAGATGTCTCTTTGCTACAGAATCTCAGTCTTATCTTAATAGCACAGGGGGGTCAATACATCTTTTATTAGTTACAGTAAGGCACTTTGGAGTACTAATTAAGTTTTATACAATGAGCAGGTTAGGTATGACTTGACATCATCCGTAACAGCCAAAATGATGTATCCTCCACCTACATGTTCCAGTATTTCATTTGTTAGTATTATTCATACCCGCATAAAGAAAATTTTCCTTCCTTATAAAAGTGCAGTGGTTTCAGTGCTAATCATTCCCTGCTTCCTCTCCACAACAGTTCCTTCAGTGTTAATGCACGGCATCTTAACTGACAGCAAGCTACTGAATTTCAGGTATATTGCTGACCTAAGCGGATTTAAGCAAACAGTGGGTAGTTCTTTTGTTTATTTCCAAGTCTGAACTTGCAGTTGATTATCTGCAAATATTTTGTAGGATTATAGGTAGATTTCCAGAGTTAAATTAGTTGTATAATACATTATGGAGACTACAGCCTAATTTTTTTTTATAGCCTAATTTTTATAAAAGTAACTCCCTTAGTATTGCAGCAAGCTCAATGTTAACTGCTTCTCCCATATGGTCACTTGTGGATGCTTATATTAAACTGATGCGCTTTCATTATACATTAATGTTGGCTAACGTGACAGCCTCTAAGTAATCCAGATTACATATGGATGACTCTGGAAATAAAGTGAATATTGAACATTCATGCAAATGATTTCTAAATAGATGTTTAATATATTCCTTGCTTATGTAAATTAAATTGCTTTGTGATTAACACCTTCTTTGTTCCCCTTCTCTCAAGGATCATAGAGTTCTGTGCTTTCTATTGTCCAATGTCTGAAAACAGTTGGTTTTATTTACTTTATTTAATTTTATGGCTATTTACTGGGGGAAGGTAAATTCACTATTCTGTTATGGCTGAAACAGAAGTCTCTCGGAAACTTCGAATCCTTTTTTTTTTTTTTTTACCCTAATGCTATATAAGAATTGCCTTATATTAAGTAAATATTCAGGAATAGAGACAGCCCTAAGAACTGGGTCATGTCACTAGCCCTCTTCAGTTGCAGTTCACGGATCCTCCACCTTGACAATAACCATGATTCTATCCATTTCTCCTCCCTTGTCTGCTGCTACCACCAACTCCTCAGCACCTCCTCTATACATGCATTGCAAGCTTTCTCCTTTCTCATAACTTTGGTATGCTGAAGATTTATACTGGCCTTTCTCTATGAATCCTTTCAGCTTCAACTTCAGCTCTGTATTGCACATGGGAACTCTTGAAAAGACAATCTGATCCTGTCCCTCTCAGGGGAGAAACTTTTGGGCCACAGCTTTTTTCTCAGCTATAGCAAGGAAAGCAGATAGGGAAAAGAGGTGAGTTGGTCACTATGTGCAGAATATGGCCAATCAGAGAAGTTCTGCTAAAGGAGCAAGCAGGTGTGGCAGTTGCTGAGATTTGCCTATAGCAGTTATTTACTTACATGTCTATGTCTCCTAATTTTAAGCTTTTTGAGGTCAGGTGCCATGTTTCAGGTATTCTTCAATGCTTAGTGCCCAGCACATTGCTTGGTACATAGTAGGTTCTCAATACATTTTACTGAATGAATGAATGAATTGATGAATGGCTATCTTGGCTCCCCAACTAGACTGTTAGCCCCCTTGATTGGCCTCAGAGTAACATAGATCCTTAAAATGAACAAATTACAAGACTACTTTGGGGATTGTTTTAAGAAATCCTGTTTAAAAAATAATTGAAATGCTAGCCAAAGTGTTTTTTGATTTTGCTTTAATGATTTTAATTAGTATCCAACATCAATTCTTAATCTGTATACAACAGTTCTGGAGTGACCTGGATAACAATTTGTTTGCTCATACACCTTAAGTACTCCCCAAATAGAATGTATAAAAGTACTAATTTAGATTGGTTTTGTGTAATCTGTGAATAAATAATATTTTACAGCAGTTCTCTGGGTAATGAGAGTCACTCTGTACAGATAGTAGGTATGTACTTAAATATTTATACATTTCCCTCTGAGCTAGTAAGTCATTGACCCTGAAGCTGGAATGAGGCTGGTTTGCACCTTGGAAAACTTAATCGTTCCCATGGTAACACAGAGACTCTTGCCTACCACTTCTTCCCACATCTTTGTTATATTTAAAGCAAGAAATTGTTATTTACTTCATATTTGATATGTTGATACAATTTTCAGGGCACAAATTCCTAACCTCAGCCATTCTTGTGTATAAAATATTGCCATAGTAACAATAAAAAAACTGATTATAAGTAATAACTTATGAACTGAAAAATGATCTGTCAATTCTATAGCATTTTAGAGTTCAAAAAATGTTCCCTCAATTTTGCGACAATTATCAAGATGTTGGGATTAAAAACATATTTAACCAACTAGTGAACTAATGATTCTTACATATTTTGAAAAGACAACTACTAAGTTACTTTACATGTTTAAATTTAAAATATTTTTTGCTTATCAAAAAATAATTTCTGTTCATTATAGCAAAGTTAGAGAATAAAGACAGGCAAAAAGAACATTTAACAATCCAGTAATCTCCATTTCCCATGGTTATTATGTCTTTTCAGTATCTTTTCAGTGTGTGTATATGTGGAGGTGATGTGGCGATGGTGTTGAAGAGAGAAAGAAAGAAGCTCATCTCCCAATAAATTTTGTTCTGTATTCTGATTTTTTAAAACTTCATATATGCCGGGCATGGTGGCTCACGTCTGTAATCCCAGAACTTTGGGAGGCCGAGGCGGGCAGATCACGAGGTCAAGAGATCAAGACCATCCTGGCCAACATGGTGAAACCCTGTCTCTACTGAAAATACAAAAATTAGCTGGGTGTTGTGGTGCGTGCCTGTAGTTCCAGCTACTTGGGAGGCTGAGGCAGGAGAATCGCTTGAACCTGGGAGGTGGAGGTTGCAGTGAGCTGAGATCGTGTCACTGCACTCCAGCCTGGCGACAGAGCAAGACTCCGTCTAAGAAAACAAAACAAAACAAAAACTTCATATATTATGAACATCTTTTCAAATATATTAACTATAGTGTCATTTTTATTGGTTGAATAGTGTTGATGTTTGGTTGAAGGAATTTACCATACTTTAGTTAACCAGTCCTCTTTTTGTTGGTCATTTTCATTTTTCAGTTTTTCACCAATATCAAACATATACCAAAAAAAGATAAAGAAAAAAGAAAGAGAGAGCAAAGAAGGGAAAGAGGGAGGGAGGAAAGAAGGGAGGGAGGAAGGAAGGACACTGCAATGAACATCTTGTGGCACACATTATTAATTACCTTCTCTAATACTGAGTATTATCTTTAAAAATAATCCTTACCAATTAGATAGGCAAAATGGTATTTTAATGTTGCTTTGATTTGCATCTTTTATTATTGATGGAAATGAAAAAAAAATCTTTGCTGACCCTTTTCATTTCTTCTTTTCTGATTTACCAGTACAAGTCCTTTGCCCATTTTTCTGTTTGGCTATTTATCTTTTCCTTACTGATATGTAAGACTTCCTAATTGTTAGTCCTTTTTTTTTCTCTTTCCATTTGGCACTTGCCCTTTTTCTTTTTCTTTTTTTCTTTTTTCTGAGACAGGGTCTCGTTCTCACACTGTTACCCAGGCTAGAGTGCAATAGTGCAATCATAGCTTACTGTGGCCTCAAACTCCTGGGCTCAAGCAATCATCCCATCTCAGCCTCCTGAGTAGCTAGGACTATAGGCACACGCCATTATGCCTGGCTTTTTTTTTTTTTTTTTTTTTTTTTTTTTTTTTTTTTTGGAGAGATGGGGGTCTTGTTATATTGCACAGGCTGGTCTCGAACTTCCCCGCCTCAAGTGATTCTCCCATTTCAGCCTCCCAAAGCTGGGATTACAGGTGTGATCCACCATGCCCAGCCTGCCCTTTAATTTTTTGGTGACTTCTAAAGCACAGTTTTTAGTTTTTTAATATTTAAAAAATAAATATTTTACTTAATGTTTCACATAATATAATCCCCCCTCCCAAGACTATACAAGTTTTTCTTTATATTTTCTTCTCGTAAGGCTATGGTTTCATTTTTATATAAAATCTTTAAAATCATCCAAATGCATGAAAGTCACAATAAATCACTAGAAATTTATTTTAGAACATGGTGTATTTTTTCCCTCCAAACAATTGGCCAATGACCCTTTCATTTATTGTATAGTTTATATTTTCCTCACTGATTATAAATGTAACATTTTAAAAAAAGAGATGGGGTCTTGCTATGTTAGGCTGAAGTGCAGTGGCTATTCACAGGTGCAATCACAGTGCACTAAAACCTCAAACTCCTGTGCTCAAGTGATCTTCCCATTTCAGCCTCCTGAGTAGCTGAGACTACAGGCTTGTGCTACCATTCCCAACTTGAATGCCACTTTTATTATCTATCTACTTGGGTCTGAATAACATTGAATTTTAATGTGAAAATACAAAGATGCCCCACGTATCTAACCATTTCCCCTCTGTGTGTGTTGCCTGGGACCTCTTCAAAAGCTGTTTTTAATCAGCTATTGTGTGGAGGGAAAATAAGGTTTCATTTCAAATGCCAAAAAGATACTGAATGAATCTCTTTAAAATTAAATCAGAAAGTGTTATAAATATTTTATAACAGTGTCATTGCTAATGCAGACTTGTATTGTGAGATATTATAATCTAAGCTCTTTTATTGCTATACATCTGGGCTATGATGGCTTATATTTTATGATCATATTTTGCTCATTAAGCCAATAAAATATTCCTAATTAACTATGGGTGATATATGCATTAATTATATATTTATTATAATTACTCAGGGGCTAAGTATTATTTATGAATTTAAAATGATCAAGGCCGGGCACAGTGGCTCACACCTGTAATCCCAGCACTTTGGGAGGCCAAGGTGAGCAGATCACAAGGTCACGAGTTTGAGATCAGCCTTACCAACATGGTGAAACCCGTCTCTACTAAAAATACAAAAATTAGCCGGGCGTGGTGGTGCGCGCCTGTAATCCCAGCTACTCAGGAGACTGAGGCAGGAGAACTGCCTGAACCCGGGAGGCGGAGGTTGCAGTGAGCCGAGATTACACCACTGCACTTCAGCCTGGGTGACAGAGCGAGACTCCATCTCAAAAAAAAAAAAAAAAAAAAAAAGATCAAACACATTTTGCATACATGGGTACCTGTATGTGACCAGCTGGTAGATCTTAAAGCCAAATGTATTGGTTCATGTTTTTCCAATATAATCAATATAATTATACCAAAGAAATAGAAATCGATTTTGTTATCCTTTAAAGCTCCCAATACTAGAAAAGCATCTGCGTAGGTTTAAGTTGTGCTTAAGTTGTTCCTTTCTCCCAAATACAAGAAAATCACAAAGATACATATTTCTGTTCTAAATATAAACAGTAACCCTAATTTTAGTTTTAATAAAGACGATAGGTTTGATGGTGAATGCCATCATGGTGAACTGGTATTTAGACAGTGACTTTCTCAATCACTTTGCCTGTAATTTAACCACATGCCACTTGCCATCATATGCTCCTGAAAATACTATAATTGGTCACTTAATCAATGTACTAGCTCATTGTAGTAAATGTTGGCCTTAACCCATTTATGCCAGAGGTTGCAAATTTTTTTGTGTGAAAAATCAGACGATGACCTTGAGCATAGGATATAAATAACTCCCACAAGCTTAGCATTCCAATAATGGAACATTAGGAATAAATAGGTTTTAACCAAAACAATGACTTAGGTCAAGTTACATAACCAAGCTTATAAAGGTGAATTTGCAGAATTTTATATTAGGTCATTTCAAAGATACATGTAACTCACTTTTCTTCCCATATATACATTCCAATAAGACATTTCAGGCATGTTTTGGTGCATTTGATAGACGTCAAAAATAATACTTGCTGTCAAAAAACAGCATTAAATCCTGTGTGAGCCTGACTGAAAAAAGAGCTACAATGTGATTACCAAGAAAATGGTCTGCGAATTGCTTGGGCAGAATCTCTAAAGCCTGTTCTTTTCCCAGTGCTCATTTACAGTGAAGAAAACAAACCAGGTGGCAGGGGAATTTAACTTGAAAAGAGGCTTATTTTCCCCTCCCGAGACACAAATTTGATTTTATCTCTTGGCTCATATTACAAAGTGTGGCTGTTCTCCAAATTAGCTGGAGGATGATTTTTAAAAAATGTTTCTCACTTCCTTCCCCTTAATCATGCTTTCTACAGTGTATTGAGAATATCTACCTCTTCATCTCCTCAAGTCTCTCACAGATCATTTCTCATTTCGCCGCCTTCTAACTTCCTGTTCTGTCACAAAATCTCTTGATCAATTCTCTCTACTTTTCTTGTAAAATCCCAACTTTATGTGCTAGGCTTAAAGCCACCACCATTTTTAGAAATCCGCTTATCACATGATAAGCATCATGCCTCCACAAAGGGTATCTCTATTTTTCTTTTCTTTTTTTTTTGGAGACGGAGTCTCGCTCTGTCGCCCAGGCTGGAGTGCAGTGGCGTGATCTCGGCTCACTACAAGCTCCGCCTCCCGGGTTCACGCCATTCTCCTGCCTCAGCCTCCCGAGTAGCTGGGACTACAGGCGTCCGCCACCACATCTGGCTAATTTTTTGTATTTTTAGTAGAGAGGGGGTTTCAACTGATCTTGATCTCCTGACCTCGTGATCCACCCACCTCGGCCTCCCAAAGTGCTGGGATTACAGGCGTGAGCCACGGCAACCGGCCCACAAAGGATATCTCTATTTCATAAATGAAAAAGACTGAGCTTAGAAAAATTCAGTAGCTTTTTCTCGCTCACAAGACTAGTAAAATTTGAAGAGGAAGAGGAATATGTGACTTAATCCCAGGTATAGAAGGCCCAGGGCCTACACTTACTTTCAATACCAACAATGCAGGGGCAGTATAACGTAACTATGAAGAAGAGTTGTTCTGGAGCCAGACCGCATGAGCTTCAATCCTGGCTTTGTCACCTAAGAGTTAATCTAAATTTTTTGTGTTTCAGTTTCATCATCTGTAAAATATAAACCATTTACTGAACAACTATTCATTGGTTCCCAATCATTCCACCTCAGAGTTGTTCTCTGATGTGCTGTCTTGCTTTTGTTTAATTTGTCACATTTTATGCTGATGATCACCAAGGGCTTAGATGTCTAAAAATGAAGGCTTAAATCACTCTATTAGGAAAAGCCCCCCAATCAGTTGGAATAGTAACTGTAAGCAGGGAAACTTGGATGGGTAGTCATACATACTAGCTATGGCCTCATAAACTGTAGTGAGAATGAGTACTCCACACATATTGCTGGAATGTCTGAACACTGAAAAATTACCTATTCCTCTTCCCTGCCTTTTTTTCCTAAAAGACAAGGTCTTGCTCTGATGCCCAGGCTGGAGTGCAATGGCATGATGATTGCTCACTGCAGCCTCAAACTCCTGAGCTCAATCAATCCTCCCACCTCAGTCTCCTGAGTAGCTACGACTACAGGTGCATGCCACCATGCCTGACTAAATTTTTTTTTTACTTTTTAGTAGAGACAGGGTCTTGAAATGCTGCCTAGGCTGGTCTTAAACTCCTGGCCTCAAGAGAGCCTCCTGCCTCTTTTTTTCCTTTTAAAATAAGAACTATCACTGTTTTCTTCTCCTTCCTTTTTTTTTTTTTTCTCTCTAGCAACTATTGCCACCCTGGCCCCAAAAGTTATTTATAGAGTACATTGGTAGTAATTATACTTACAATTTAGTCCATGGAGTGCAGGACCATGAGGAACTATAGCTAGATAAGATTGTGCCAGAATTAGAAGAATAGACATTTTACTTTCAGAGACCATGACTAAAAGAATATTAACACCAAGATGCTCCTTCCATCAGCTGGATGTACCTTTGGGCTTGGAAAGATGGCAAGTATAGGAGTTGTACTGGAACGGCTGGATCAAATAGGTTGAAGGCATTTTTGTCATTGTACATGTGGGGAAAAGCAACCAAGTAATAAGACACAACAGATATCTCTTAAGGCACCGACACAGCTCACAGTGACACCTCCCTCCCCAGCACAGCGTAAGGGTGGAACAGTAGCAAAATATCTATACACATAACTTGCAGATGAATCATGCCTGAGTAACATGGACGTGGAAATATGACCCAAATTGGGCAAACAGACTTGTTTTCCCAAGAAACTGGAATTTTGATGTGAGATGCATAGAGGGTGAGTTGTTTACAGCCCACCAGGAGGACAGTTTATGGATTCCTACCAGTGAGTTTCCCAGAGTTTCCCTGGTTATTCAACAGTTCCCAAGATTCCATGAGATACCCCAGTATCCTTCCACTAAAGTCAACTTTATGAGCTGCAGTTGTTGTTTGAGCCAGAACCTTAACTACTACACTTCCCCAAATAGCCTTCTCTCATGTTATTCCTTTATGTGTTCCTTTCTCTCCACCAAAATAGCAAAACAGAAAAAACAATTGGGCTTACCAAGAATGCTGTGATATTTTGACTCACTGAGCTTTGGCTGTTTCCCTGCATGAAATTCCCTTCTTCTTCTTCCTGAAACCTTGTTCAAGGATACTTCAACTATGATACTTACCATTGTCAACCCCTAGTTACTTGCTTTGATTTGGAAGGTCGTCCACTGTGCCCTGTCACATCAAAATCATGGCACTTACCATACTGCACTGTGTAGTCTTTGGTTTACTTGCCTGTCTCCCCCATTAGATGGCAAGCTCCTTGACAGCAAGGGCTACTTCCCATCTGACTGTATTTCTCCAGTTCTTTATTACAGTACCTAGTGCCCAGGAGACCCAGTAAGTAAATAGATAAATGAGTAAACAGTTTCTGCTTCAATATGAGAACATGATTAAGCTTACCTGCTTGAGGAATGTGAGGAAAACAGCCAATGTAAAACGGCCACACCCTTTCTAGAGCTGATGACAGCCAACTCGTCCCAAATGTGGAAGTCCAGCGAAAAATCAGCAGAGCCACCTACCCAACCCACAGTTGACTTAGAAGATAATTCCAGAAGAGCTGTCCAACTAATGCAGAGACTCCTAAGAAAAAAGGTATAGTTATTGTTGTAACCCACTGCCCTTTGGGTGGCTTCTTAGGCAGCATTTTTGTAGCAATAAATAACTGGTGCAATATCTGTAGGTTAGATTTTACCTGAGGATCACCAACTTGAGAGCTTTGTTTGCTAAAAAAAAAAAAAAAAGGTTGTAAATCCAAGGATTGCTTTTACAAATCCCACTGTGAATGTGAAGAATGGATATATTTATAAATCAGTAGAAATAATATTTCTCACTACTTAATAATGTTTAAAGATTAGTAGAAGACATTTTTAAAAAGAATAATTTAAAATTAAAAAAATTTACGGGATAATCAAAAGTAAAACCACCAATAACTTCTTTATTCTAGCACACACGTTTGCATTTCTATTGAGCCTTTCTCCATGTACATATGTATTTTCACGTTGTTCTAATAACAATGTTGTATTTAGTTTTAATATTAGAGGAAAATTACCATATTCATATATAATATTCATAAGTATTTTCATGCCTACATAAGTTATTCAAATAGATTTACTATAATTAATCATTGTTTCAATTGTTTTTAAAAGTTAAATTAATATTTTTCTATTACCAACAATACAGCAAATAGTTTTTTCTTCTTTTGGTATTACTTCTTCAGGCAATAGACATTGTCTTTCTTGTTTATTGCCATATCCCCTCATAACCCCAGTAACTAGCAAAGTATATGGTAGACACTAATAAACATTTCTTGAATGAAAGCAATGCATGAATGAGTAAATGGAATTTACAGAAGTAGGCTTTCCAGTTCCATCTGCTTCAAATGCTTTTTAAACAAAATTAGCAGGACTGAATTAGATTCAACATTCACACCATTTGAAAGAAAAATTTATTTGCATCACAATTTAAACTTATCATCTATAGATAAAGAGATTTGCTATTCACCTCAAAATCTGAGTTAGTTGCATAGTTGACCCACAGGAATGTATCAGCTTTAACTGAAAAGACCAAAAAAAAAAAAAAATTCTAAGGTGTTTGTTCATGAACTGTTTGTACAAATATACTGGATATATACCATTTATTCCCAGTTCTCATCCTCCTCTGCAACGCTTGACACTTTGGGCTACTTCTTTTTCTCAAACTTGGTTGGTTGTGTATCTGTTTTTGTGACAATGAATTTACACAACTTCTCTTGCTGTTTCTTTGACCCCTCCTTTGCCCTTGCCTGTGGTCATTCTCTAAATATTTCCTTAGTCTTCTGCTCTTCTCCCTTTGCAATCACTGTCTATAATCACTCACCTATAATTTGGCTTCAACTTGTCCTTTCTGTGAAACATGCTCAGATCTGTATACCTAATCCTGATCACTCCATCTGTGTCTTTTCAATCTCATCCTCCTCCATTTCTTTGAGCTTCATTTTGCTTGTATTTTCAATCTGCTTCTCTTCTCTGGCTCCTTTCCCTTGAGCTACATGTGCCTTTGCAATTCCTCCTTGACCCTGCTTCTTCCTTAAGGTGTTTTCTCATTGCTCCCTTTTCCTTCACCACCAAACTTTTTGAAAGAGTACTCTCTGCTGCCTGGCTCTAGTTCTCCCCCCATTCCTCTTCAGTTCTTTGCATGTTGACTTCCGATCTCTCTTCCTGAACTTTTACTTCAGTAACACTATCTTTGATCCCCTTCCAACAATGCCTCTCTGTGGCATCTCACACTCTTGTAACTCTCTCCCCACGACTTCCTTTACATAATGCTTCTTGGTTTCTATCAAATCTTTCCTCAAATATTTTCTTCTTTTTGCTTTCTGTCTTTGAACATTTTTCAAAAAATTCTACCATCCTTAAAGGTCTTTATCCAGTTTCAAAGTTAACAAATATTTATTGAGTGCCAAGGACTGTCCTGGCTCTGGGGATGCAGAAATAAACCAGACCCTCACTGGCTCTGGGTACTTACAGTCTAGCTTAAACAAACCCTGCTATAGAGGGACTTGTTACATAGCCCTACTATATGATCCCACATCTCCGCTGTCCAACTCTCACTGGATACATCCATTTGGATAGCTATTTCTTTCTCTCCATCCAAATCTACCTCTTCTTACCATCATTGTCCCCACCTCCATTATTATTTAGGCACGGTCCTCGTATCTCACGGTAGATGCAGGCAGAAGCTAAATCCTGTAAATTCTGTTTCCAAATGCCTCTAATTTGTTTCTTTTATCTTATTATCACCAAACTTTCTTTGTTCAGGTCTACATCATTACTATTTTTACAATAGCTTAATAATTAATGTTCTTGTCTCTGTCCATTCCAGACCATCTCACATGCGAACTCAAACTAATCTTTTTAAACATTATTGTTTATGTCATCCCCCTTCTCAAAAATGTTCACTAACTCTTTCCACTGCTTACAAAAGGATCTCCAGACTTCTTAAAATGATGTGGAAAGACTTGAGACTTTGTAGTCAGAAAGCTTGGGTTGCATTTCCAATCTGCCACTTATTCACTCTGTGACCTTGAATAATCTCACTGGGCTTCAATTTTCCCATCCATCAATTGGGATTAATGACTAGTTATAAAGACCAAATACATGTGAAAGTGCTTTATATTTTTAAAGTCCTATAATGAATATAACCTTTTTTCCTTTTTTTTTTTAATTTAGAGATAGTTACCAAATTACAAATAGCTTCAGCTTTGGAGTTAAGTAACAACCTGGTTTGAAATTTCAGCTCCATTACTTATTATCTGTGAGACTTTGAACAAATTAGTAAAACTCTCTGAGACTGTTTTCCCCCCATGTCAAAACACCTATTTTGCATGGCTATATGGAAATTAAATGAAATAGCAAATATGAAAAACTTTTGGCCCAGTGTATAATTCATATCAGGCACTGATCTGTTTTCTTTTTGCCCTAACCTACTTTTCCTGCATCATATACCACTACACCTCTTTACAAACCTTATTAATAGAGCCACTCTAGACTACTTTATTTCCCCAAGCCATACAATGTACTTTTGTGTTTTTTCTTCAGCTACATGCTCTTTCCTTCCCTATCAAAATTGTACTCAATCTTCAAGGTGCAGTTAAAATATCCAGTCCTCCATAAAACCCTTTGTACTCCACAACTAGTGTGTTAATCACTTCTTCCCATGCATTCTTAGCCTGTATATTTTATCACAATATTTATTTGAATCTGGTTTATATTCTGCTTCTCCCACCAGATTATAGGGTCTTCAAGAACAAGGTGGGAGTTATATTCATCTTTATTTCTCCCACATCATAGTCAGGACACTAGACAGTTATTGAATGAATGTAGAAATCAGATGCTGTCTTCTCTTTCCACTTTCTATAGGACACCACTTCTACAAATGCCTGCCCAAACATGTGCAAAAGCAAGCACATCTTCTCTAAACAGCTCCCTTTCAACTCCACTGTTTTTGACAGTGACACTCCCCTAACCCTACTCTGAGGCTAAACTTTTTTTTTCCTTTTCTTGAGGCAGGGTCTCACTCTGTCACCTAGGCTGGAGTGTAGTAGTGTCATGGCTCACTGCAGCCTCAGCCTCCTGGGCTCAAGTGATCCTGCCACCTCAGCCTCCCAAGTAGGTAGGATCACAGGTGTGCACTACCACACCTAGACAACATGAAAAAAAAAAGTTTCATATATATGCATTCTCTCTGAAACTCTTAAAGCTTAATAAGGAGATGTTCTCTTTGTCCTTAAAAGCCTATTTATAATACAGATACATGTAGTGTACTATAAATAACTATTTAAATATGGGCTACAGATTAGCATATTTTATGACATATCACACTGGTATTTATATCCAATTAAATTTCTCTCAGCCACGTATGTAATAAACTAGTTACATGGTTCATTACTAGTTGAAGACTGACCAAGCCTGATAAAGATGATAAAAGACACTAACATTATATAACACTTCATACTATAAAAAGTACTTTCACACAACTCTCATTTGATTTTGAATCCTGTGTGTTACATAATATTTCTATATCTGAACTGAAGAAAATGAGGCTTGGAGAGTGACTTGTCTAAGTAAAAAAAAAAGCTGGGACTGGAACCTACAACTCTTACTACACATTCAATTCTGTTTATGCTACCACAGAAGCCTGTAGCAATAAACTATTACTGAAATAATGTGTGCTCTACTCGTCTATTTAGCATAAGTCTATAAACATAAATGTTACATGAAAAAGCAAAGTTATAGTTTTTTCAGGAGAGACAAGATAAGGGTCAGTGACACTGTGACAACTTGGGACATTTTTTGCCAGCCAGCTTTTTCAGACGGATAAACTTGTTAAGGTCAAGATAAATTTAGGCACCATAATAAATCTTTAAATCAACAGTAAACTGACAAAAAAAAACAAACCCACCACTTCATAAAGTATTTTTTTTTTTTTGAGATAGAGTCGTGCTCTGTCTCCCAGGCTGGAGTGTAGTGGTACGATCTTGGCTCACTACAAGTTTTGCCTCCAGAGTTCAAGCGATTCTCCTGTCTCAGCCTCCCAAGTAACTGGGATTACAGGTGCCCACCACCACACCCAGCTAATTTTTGTATTTTTAGAAGAGGTGAGGTTTCACCATGTTGGCCAGGCTGGTCTCGAACTCCTGAGCTTAAGTGATCCGCCCCCCTTGGCCTCTCAAAAGTGCTGGTATTACAAGCATGAGCCACCATGCCCAGCCTGAAGAAAATTTAATTAAAATACTGTTTTTAATCAAAGAAATTTTGTTTTGACTAAATTTAGTAGCACTGAAAAACAAGTGTCTACACTTCAGAAATTAAAGAACCAGTAAGTTGTCCTGCAGAAAATGCTAAATGAAAAAATAGCATAATAAACTGTAATGTCTTCTTGAGAGCAGCATATAGGGCTCAGACAGAACGTTTTAAGAAAACACTGTCAACAAGCCAGTTGCCATCATATGTATCAAGAGTAATGAATCTGATGAACCAAAGTGACAAAATGGATTTCAACAGTGTCTTGTTTAGTTTTTAGAAATTCCAACATCCCACTATTTATAGTATAGCCTCTTCTTCCACATGACAGTATGACAGACTCAGTTTTTTTACTTTTTTTTTTTTTTTATCTTTTTTGAGACAAAGAATCTTGTTCTGTCACCCAGGCTGGAAGTGCAGTGGCACAACCGCAACTCACTGCAGCCTTGACCCCCTGGCTCAATCGATCCTCCCACCTCGCCCTCCAGAGTAGCCGGGACTACGGGTGCCTGCCACCAAGCCTGGTGAAAAAAAAACCCGTGTTTCATATTGTCATATAGAAGAGGCTATACTATAAACAGTGGGATGTTGGAATATATATTTATATATATAAATATATATTATATATATATATATATATATTTTTTTTTTTTGTAGGGACGGGTCTCACTATGTTGCCCAGGCGGGTCTTGAACTCCTGGGCTCATGTGATCCCCCTGCCTCAGCCTCCCAAAGTGTTGGGTTTACAGGTATGATGAGCCACAACGCCTGGCTGACACACTTTTTTTTTTTTTAAATGCAATTTCTGTTTAGACCTTGACACCTGTTGATATTACTAGTCACTATGGAAAGAAGTAAAAACAGTTGCTTAAGATGCTCTAACACTTTTTTCCCCTGTAGAAGCCAACATGGAATACAACATGAAAACTGTCTAAATGGGAACCTTCTAATATAGCTCATTGTATGCCATGCATTTCCACTCCATTTCCACTATGTTGGAACTGACTTCTGCTTTCCTACTTAGCCATTAGGCGACTTAGTTGCCTCTAGGCAAGTAACTTCTCTGAAATGTTTCATTTTTCATGAAGTTTAAAAAAAAAAAGGTGAAGGACTTTAGAGAGCTTTGAACCGAATAAGGTCTATCAGACATCTTGAAAAGCTTTTTCTCCAGACGACGCAGAAACAGGCACACGGGGTTCTGCTTTCCCCACCTCCCACCCCCAAGCCCAGGTCCCATTCTTCTCACTTTCAATCCTCATTTGGGCTCCTAAAGGAATAGCAAAGAGAGTTATTTTATCAATACCAGCGCTCCTCTGTCCCCAAATCCAGCTAGGGAAGGTTTCGGAGGCCTCAGCTACTTGAGAGAGGGTAGAGACGATCCTTCCTCGCCTATCTACCCAGCCACCCACCCCTTCCCAGATGTAGCGTCCGGGCCCCAGACCAAGCGCGTGCTTGGAGCTCTCCGGTACAGTGAGGCGCGCGCTTGCCTGGCTAGGGTCCCTGTGAAGGAATGGGATCCCGAGGTGCTTGCCAGGACCGTAGCAGGCGGAAGCTGCTGGCAGCGCGAACGGGCGGCTCCCGCCGGCGTGGGTGGGGGAAGGGCGGCAGCCACACCCGGAAGTCGGTCCGGGAGGGAGGGGGAAATCTGAGGGAACGAGGCTTCCGGTGGCGCAAAGGGTGTCGGGAGCGGCTTCCTGCAAACCTTCCCTGGCATCTGGAGGGACCACCGTTGCCGCGTCTTCGGCTTCCACGATCTGCGTTCGGGCTACGCGGCCACGGCGGCAGCCACTGCGACTCCCACTGTGCCTGGCTCTGTCCATATTAGTTCCCAGGCGGCCGTCGCCGTTCCAGCAGCGGCAGCGGCAGCGGCAGCGGCGGACATGTTGTGAGGCGGCGGCGCGGGTGTCTGAAGGATGGTTTGGCCGAGGCGGCGGCAACGGCTGCTGGCGGCGGCGGCAGCGGCAGCGGGGCCTCGGGCTCTATAGAGCCGAGCCCGCTGGGTACCCGCCCGGTACCGCGGCGAGGCCAGTGCCCCTGGATCTTGCCTCTGCTCCGACGCCGTTGGGGACCAGTTAGGCGACAGCGCCCGCCCCTCTGAGGAGACACGAAGGTGGTTCCCCAGCCGCTCAAATTTCCGGACCACCGCGCTTTCCCCTCCTCAGCCTGGGCTGTGCTCTCTCTAGAATCCTCGGGCCCCCACTTTCTTCCCAAACTCATCCTAAATCTCTCACACACGCGAGTGTTCCCAGCCCTCAAGCCAGCTGCTCCTCCGTTCATTTTCTGCACCCTCTTCGCAAAGCACCCCCCGGGATCACTCTCCGAGGGCGACTTTTTGAGAAATCTCGGTGGAGTAGTGGACCAGAGCTGGGGAGTTTTTAAAAGCCGGGGCGCGAGAAACAGGAAGGTACTATGGCTTCCTCGTCTGGCAACGATGATGATCTCACTATCCCCAGAGCTGCTATCAATAAAATGATCAAAGAGACTCTTCCTAATGTCCGGGTGGCCAACGATGCTCGAGAGCTGGTGGTGAACTGCTGCACTGAATTCATTCACCTTATATCTTCTGAAGCCAATGAGATTTGTAACAAATCGGAAAAGAAGACCATCTCACCAGAGCATGTCATACAAGGTAAGTCGTGTGTGAGAGCTGGTTTGAATGAGGTTCTAGGGTAGCAGTCTGCTAATCGCGTGACCCTTTCGTGTCAAAGCCTCCATTCCTCTTCCCTGGTAAGTAACTTAATGAAAAAGCCAGACTGGCATGTAGGCAGCCGGTGCTTTAAAAACAATCCCTTTGTAGCATTTTTGCAGTACTTTTCATCCAGCGAATACATGTAAGGAGTGCAAACATTTAGGTCAGCGTCCCCAAAACGTAAAGAATAAGAGTGATCTCACTTTACAGCCAGGTAAGCCGAAGCAACAAGAATTACTTGCCTGAAGTTGAACTTAGATAATAATTAAGGAACGCAGAAATTCTCCTTTGGAAAGTTAAAATTCAGACGGAGGAACTTCAACGTGGGTGGAGACAGAGCACCCCCTTCCCCACCTGACCTTTCACCAATGTAGAGGAAAAGATTTATTTTCTGAACACATGAGTTAAAAAATTCTTAACATACAATGTGTTCAACGTTGTCAAGTTTATCGTTGTTAAATAAAAGGTGTATGTTTTCTGCTCTAAAAATGGTTTGATGGTACGTTCATGAATGAGTTACCAAATAACTCCTGTTCCATTCTGTAAGAATAGGGTGAACTTTAAATTTTCGTTTTTTTCTTTTCGTTTGCTTTTATGTCGTTTGCTTTGTTCTATTCTGTGGAGATAAGTTTTGAAATCTTTGATTGAAAGTTTATGCAAGTTTTTTTTTTAACGGAAAATTTCCCCGTCCTTTCCTGCTGTCATTCCTATTTGAATGTATACACTTAGGCTTTTATGGAACAGCACTTCTGAAAACTTCAACAGTTTCTTTTATCCTGGAAAGGATTTGGTCCCGTAATAGGGATTTGGGGGACTGTATTCTGGTGGTTTCAGAGAGGAGAAACATATTTACTATTCATAATGTTTCGGGAACGTACCTTTTGCGATATTTTTACATGTACTCTTGTGAAAGAGTTGTACTCAATTTGAGGTGAGAACTTGCCTTTTGTAATAATCTAATTAAAGTTATTGATTGCTTGTGAAATCAGGGAAAAATGATTAATTTTAATCATTTTGATAGGCAGGTGGTTGTCTATCACTTAATTTTTATAATTTAACTTTTTAAAATGTGACTTTCCTGTTGTACTGAAGTAGAGAACACATCTGCTTATATTGACCATATCCAATATTTTACTCTCAGTATTGACAAAAGGATTAAATGATTCATTTTTAATCCTTTATGACGTCTTGAAAGTAGTTTTAAAATATATCCTGCCATTTCAGTACACAAGCAGAAAAATCCCTAGGAAAAAGCATATTTGATTCTTAAAACTAGTACTAGTTTTTTTTTTTTCTACTTGTTTGGTGTGCTGAATACTCTAGCAAGTAAAATGAAAGCCAAGTTGTCTATTTTTTCCCTTGTGTATTTATTTTTACATTGTATGTGTGATTGCTGTCATAAGTCTTTCACAAGATTATCCAGCACAGATAGCTATAATTTCTTTTTACAACTCTTAAAAAGGAAAAAGAACCTTTATCAACATTGCCTTTCTAATGAAAATTGCAAAAGATTTCAGCAGGGTCTGCCTAAACATTTGTTTACACTACAGAAGTGGGGATCGTTCCAAAAACCTAATAACACATTACAGTCTGTCTTCTTGGGGAGAGTTGATTCTTTTCTAGGATATATTTAGATTTCTGATTGACATGATGGAATAGAAGTGCAGCTGTAGCAAGCAGTATGCTAAATAATTCAACTTTGGAATATGCTAAATTCAGTTTAATGTGTGAGTCAGAAAGCTATAGTGAAAAAGCATTTCCATTGTGTAATGAAGATGATTTGTTTTTAAAAATCATGTATTGACGTGTTACCTTAAATTTAAAAATTTACCTTTTTTTCTTGTATTATGCTATTCTTAAAAGTGGTTAAGAATCTACATTTTCGCCCAAGAATTCTCCCTAGTTGGGGTTGTAGACTTTATACATTTATAATCTCATATTGCTTAATTATTCCAAAGAAGTTTTGTTTTGAGAGATTACATTTTTAAAGAAATTCTTAAGGTTTATATGTTTTAGGTGTTTGAAGTGTGTGCCTATACACTAATCATAATAGGACATTTTTATACTTTTCTGTCAGCATTGATTAGGAATGTAGAATATATCCAAATGGAATAAGTAATGTACATTTTAAAGTGATATGATTCTCACATGTTGAAGTTTGGGTTTTTAGTGATAAGTTTAATGAATTAGACTTTGCTTCAGGACATTTCACTTGTTCATTTCTCACCTTGCTTTATCTTGTCTGAGCAAATTAAGCATTCTGAGATAGTTCTGTAAAATGCAAGTTAAAGTTGAACTAATTTTATCACCAGTATATCTATGAAATAACTTATTTAAAAAAATTTTTTTTTCTGTTTTGCTTATTTTGAGTTTAAGAAAGTAGACTTGGTATTGAAGACCATAGATACATGAATAGAGGGAGTTCTAAGCTATAAAAGGTGTTCCTATTTTGTTGCAGTTTTTTGTGAACACGTATTCTTGAATGAGTTCTAACATGTTCTGTTGCCTTATAGAAAGAATTGACATTGAGAGTCAGCTGTAAGTTCCGCACTGAGAATTCTTTAACCTTAGGGAAATCTTTTAACTAAGGTTTTCTTATTTGTGTACAAATAATACTTGATTTCAGGTATTACTTGTAATTTTTGAGAATTAGTCAGGGGTTGAGAACCTTACATGAAATATCTCCCCTCACATTTATGAGAATTGTAACTGAAAGTAGTAAAAGTTTGAAAGAGTATCTGAGAATTTGCGTCTTCAGCTGTTGAGTTGCTCCAAGCTGTCTTACGTTGAAGGAATTTTTAAAAAATTCCTGTCCTTCTCACACTAGTAGCTTTGTAAGATAACATGAAAATAGATCACTGGAAAAGATGAGGGAAAGACCAACACTCAATTTTTTACTATTTGATTCAATAGACATAAAATTATTTTGTCAAATTGCAATGAAGGTACTTAAATGCTTTGAATTTCCATACTTAACTAATGTTAACCATTAGGAGCAGTTTTGGCATAAGTCCATGGACCACAGTTTGAGAACCTTTGCTCTAAAGCCTAAACCAGTCTCTGTTGGAAAGTGGACGTAAGTAGTAAATAATCGTTTATACAGATATTTTTTCCGAAGGGACACATCTAATTTGCACTGCAAAATTTATCACATAATCAAATGCTTTTCAAGTTAGGATTTTATTAATACTTTTCTTTAAATTAATATATCTTTTATTTCTGTTTTCCTTCTGCCACCCCACAATTACTTATTGAATACTACCAATTATTTGGCATCATGCTAGGTACTACTAAGGATATTAAGATAAATGATACTCAATTCCTTCTCTGCCATTAGTCTCTCATTGTTGTCCAAGATTTCCAGTAGTGATACCATGGAGGACATGGTTCTTAAGGGGTTTCAGAAACCTTTGCCAGGCTAATGAGCCAAGAAGTCACTTTGGCCTACATCCTCTTAATGTATTTTATGTGAAATACATTAGTTGCTTCCTTCCCACAAACAAAAGAAAATGGAGAAATTAGAGAATGCTGATTTATATAGTATTTAAAAGGTACTGTATATCACGTAATTTTACAAATGAAAAACATGTTTTATGCATATGAAGTATAAAGTGAGTCACATAAATTCATGTTATGACAGAACCTTTCAGGAGTACATCACTTTGTAAAATAAGATAAGCCTATATGAAGATTATTGTTGCTTCAAAGAAATTTTTACTTCTTTTTTGTTTTTTTAATAGCTGTCTTGTTAACATCTGTCTTTTAAGCTGAAAAATGTGCAAAGTATTTTTTCCCCTAATGTACACCATGGACTTTTCTGGTTGTAGTTTTGAGATACACGGCATAGGGTGACAGATAGTGATGTGTGTTAATTTTACTCACAAATTTTTAAAAAAATATTTTTCTGTTTTGGAAAGATGAGATCCTTAGAAATAGGGCCATGAATAGTCCATAAGGTCTCTGTACAAATTAGAAAAAGGCACTCCTTCCTTAAAAAGCATTACTACTGTCTGCCAGAAAAAGTATCACAGTAAACATACGAATTTATGGTATTTACAATAAGAATGGCCCTCTAGTATGTTGTGTACTGAACAACCTACCTAACTGTATGTAAATGGTGGCCCTGCTTGGGAGCCATTTCCTTTATCCTTTAATATTCTCTTTGTGTAAAATGGGAATGATAACTAATACATGATAGCAAATAATGTAAAATATCTCTCTATTTAGAAGGTATTATGTCCAGTTATTGATATCTGTTAGCCCAATGTGTTTAAAATTAAAGTCAATGAAATTTTTGAAATTAAATTTATGGCTGCTCCTTTTCAACCATTTTGTTGAGAGTATAGTTTTTACGTATGGCAACTCTTTGAATAATATTAAATATTAACCTTGGACCTACTTGAAAGCAGTGTTCTCAGCCTTAAATGTTTTTAAAGGTAGTTATATATTTAAAAAAAATTCTTAATCCAAGCCCTCCATGGTTAAAAATAGCTTGGATTGGATTTTCTTTCTTTTTTTTTTTTTTTTTTTTTTTGAGACAGAGTCACGCTGTCAGGCTGGAGTGCAGTGGTGTGACCTCGGCTCTCTACAAGCTCTGCCTCCCGGGTTCAAGCAATTCTCATGCCTTAGCCTCCTGAGTAGCTGGGATTACAGGCGTGTGCCACCACGCCTGGCTAATTTTTCTGTTTTTTGTAGAGACAATGTGTTGCCATGTGGGCCAGGCTTGTCTCTAACTCCTGACTTCAAGTAATCCCCGTGCCTTGGCCTCCCAGAGTGCTGGGATTACAGGCATGAGCCACCATGGTCGGCTGGCTTGGATATCCTTAATGTCTAGTATAGTAACTATGGTATTTTGAAGGGTTGTCTCTCCATTGTGTTGATTTGTTAATTTTATAAATTTGATATTTTATAAATATGCTTGTCCAGCTTGTATTTAAATATGATATTGTATAGCTATACATTTATTTAGGTCCTGTACACTTATGAGGGTACTCTTTTAAATTTAAAATAAAAAATACAGATGAGAAATACATAGTCTGAGTTGGTTAAGTGATTCTTAGGTGCTAGACACTGTCAAACGCCTTATATTAATTACCTGTTGATTCCTACAACCCTAAAACTAATAACAATATGATATTTATTGCTTCATTTTTAATTTTTAAGAGGCAGGGTCTTGCTTTCTCACCCAGGTTGGAGTGCAGTGCCACAGTCATAGTTTACTGTGGCCTCAAACTCCTGGGCACAAGCGATCTTCCTGCCTCAGCCTCCCGTGTAGCTGGGACTACAGGCGCCTGCCACCACGCCGGCCAATTTTTTTTGTATTTTTAGTAGAGACAGGGTTTCACCCTGTTAGCCAGGATGGTCTCGATTTCCTGACCTCATGATCTGCCTGCCTTGGTCTCCCAAAGTGCTGGGATTATAGGCGTGAGCCACCGTGCCTGGCCATGTTGGTGAATTTGATATACAGAACTTAGAATAATGCCTTTCTGAAGTTTTTAGGGAGGTCAGGGGAAGTGAGTTAACTTAATAATAGGACAGTACTATGCTTTTTGGCATCAGATTATTTCTAAAGAAGGTTGATGAAAACAGCTTAACATTTGAAATACTTAAAGTTGTAAATCATTCAAAATGTCTAAAAACCACAGTTTGCATGGGCATGTAGATTTGTAAAGGTGTTTTTGGCATTCTCCCAGAAGAGCAAATCCCTGAAGTTAGAAGTGAGAGCATGTATACTAAAAGGAGTCTGGTTCAACATAATGATTGAAAGACTTCAAGAACTGATGACTTAAATTGATTTACTGTTTTTTGCCACCTATGTTTCATCATTGGTTCACAATACAAAATATGCCTTTGGGGCATTAGTCAATATACCAAAACTATAAAATATAATTTTAAATACTATGACCCAAAAGGAAATTTTATGCCTTGTCTTTTCTGGATTACAGAAGGTATTTAGGGTGTGTGAATTTTTTTTTTTTTTTTTTTTTGAAACAGGGTCTTGCTCTGTCATCCAGGCTGGAGTACAGTAACGCAGTCATGGCTCGTGACATCCTCAATCTCCTGGACTTAAGCAATCCTCTCACCTCAGCCTCCTGAGTAGCTAGAACCATAGGCACGACCCATCACACTCGACTAATTTTTTTACTTTTTGTAGAGACGAGGTCTTGCCATGTTGCCCGCGGTGGTCTTGAACTCCTGGACTAAAGGGATCCTCCCACCTTGGCCTCCCAAAGTACTGGAATTACAGGCATGAACTACCATGCCTAGCCCATTTTTTTTTCCTTATAAAATTTCCTTTCTAAATACGAAAAGGGGAGAAACATTTTTATTAGTGCTTCTTGTATCTTTATAGTCTTTCAGCTACGTTTTTTTTGCCACATCATTTAAATATGTTTTTATTTTTCCTGTTAAGTTTTATTTTCAAGAGAAACCTGTTGGCTGACTATAAGTGCTGAATTTCATGACTTTTATTTCCACCAGTATTTTTTAAACTTGGCAGTTTGAGTATCTGCTAAAAATAGCTTCCTGTTGGTATATTGGACAAAAGAAAAACTTCTGTTCTTTTATTCTGTCCTACCAGAACTTAGTAGAGAATGTGTTACCAGCCTACTTTTTCTAAGTCAAATGACACAAAATGTTTTTTCTTACTAAAACCATATGTTCTTATAATGGGCTTTTTTTTCTTCCCTGCTTACAGGAAATGCTTTGGTCTTTTAAAAATTAGTCAGAATGAAAAGTGAAGGCATGTGCCTTGGTTCTTCAAGTTTTAACTGATTTGCCACCTAATATTTAGCAGATTGATAAAATATTTGTCTTGGCTGCCCAGACAGTTGTTGTACAACTATAAAATAGGTAAAATTATTAGAAAACAGCAAAACATTCCCCTCCCCCAAAGAAAAGCCCACAAAAACTTTAGGTCTACGGGTTGGGGGAAAGCTGTGTTTTATCACCCTTTCATATTTTAATATTTTCATTTCTCTAGCACTAGAAAGTTTGGGATTTGGCTCTTACATCAGTGAAGTAAAAGAAGTCTTGCAAGAGTGTAAAACAGTAGCATTAAAAAGAAGAAAGGCCAGTTCTCGTTTGGAAAACCTTGGCATTCCTGAAGAAGAGTTATTGAGACAGCAACAAGAATTATTTGCAAAAGTAAGTAATTTATTTAAATTATTTTCCTCTGAATCCTACCCTGTTTGCTAACTGAAATTGCTTCCTAAATTAACAGACATACCCAGAGGATTCCCTTTTTCTAGGTAGTTGATTATAGATTCTGGTGTTCAGAGCTGACCAATTTGACTCTGGTTTATGTGAAAGTAAATATTTGCAGCAATCTGTTCTAAAGAGAACAACTCCAAATACCTATTGAAATTTCACTTGATATTTTTTCAGACAGAATGACCATTTTAAGGCATGAAAAGTATACCTAAATATTCTTAAGATTTAAAATGATGAGCTGATGAGAAAATACTATATCAAATTTTATGATGCATGACATACCAGCAAAATCTGATTAATATCAACTGTGTAGTTAAATTAGGTCTTTAATATACACCTTTGAAGCATTTTAATCTTAAAAAATATTTTAAAGCTAGTAGAGCAAAGGGAGAAAATGTCTTCTTCCTTGCTTGTAATAATTCTAATATCTAGACTCTGAAGGATTAGAACCAAATACTAATGTTCTCTGTTTCAAAAAGAGAAGGGAGGGGAATTGGTGGCAATGCTGTGTTTTCCCTTCTAAGTTCTGGCCTCTCATTTGAAATTATAAGGCAGCTTTGGATTGAATAGAAGAGAAGCCGTAGTAACCATTAGAACTGGGAAGTATCATTTTAGGTAAACTCTTCCAGGTTAGTCCTGTAGCTGATCTCTCTGCAGCCATAACAATCAGTTTGGTTTACATCAAACTGCATTTTAGTCTTAAGTATTGTTGGTCACTAGACACCAAGTACCATTTAAACAAGATAAAAAGAAAAACTTACATTTATTGAGTTCTAACCACGTGTTAATCACATTGCCAAGTAATTTTCCTGCATTATCTCATTTAATCCTCCCAACAACCTATCATAGGCACTAAAGAGGAAAAGCCTTTGAAGCAGGCGTTAGTACATGCAATGTTATAATTCATATGAATATGAGGTACAAAAGAAGAGGTGTTGATGTTTTAAAAACATTAATGGCTATTTATTGATATTGCAGACCACCTAGAGAATGCTAAATTGAACATTTAGTGACAGAAGATTTTCTCCTGGATACTTTAAATACATAAAAACTTGGCAGAGTTTTTATGAAATATAAATTTTATTGTATTCATTTACATATTAAAAAATAGACTCAGAGGCGGAAAAACTTCCTTGAAATTGTTTGTCATTTGTTCTACAGTTACTTACTGAAGTCATTACTATTTACCAAGCATCATGCTAGGTGCTAGGCTTACAAGAGTGAACAAGGAGACAGGGTTCCTGTCATTATAGAGCTTAATCTACTGGGGAAGATTGAGTGGGAAAGATTGACTTAAATAAAACAGTAAGTTCAGAAAGTTAGGAAGTGTTGGAGTCTATATTTAAACTTAGGTATTTTGACCCAAAAGCCTGTACTGTTTCTAACATACCATGCTGATGCTCTAGCCTCCATTTTATATGCTTAAACTTATTATGGGGCTTTTAAATAGAATATGTATTATCCTTGCCAGGGCAAAATATAAAGAAATAATTGACTGCCTGCTATATCTGTCTTCACCTTTCTATCCCTATTATCTGTTTTTTTATTCCTCTTTTTTGTCTCCCTTGTTTCTTACCCTGACTTATGTATGAAGATCTCTAGTATTTCTTTACTATTGTGAGGATGACCAGCGGAGAGGTAATATTATAGCAGTTGCCTAGTACTTCTTCCCTAGAGCACTGAAGTTCTAAATATGAAAGAGTGGATAAGTAAATATATCTTTTTTATCACTTTCATTTTGTTTCATTTTTTAGACTTTAAATATTAACACAATGACAGCCTCATTTGAAGCTAGCAGCAAATATTTGGAAGGAGGGAACCTTTAATACATCAAGATTAAAGTTAACTTTAAATTATAAATGAGTCATTTTAATATGTGGGAGTGAGAATCTTAAAACATAATGAAAACCTCCAAAAGAAAAGTGAATTAGGAAATACATGCCTGCTTACCTGTCTTTCACACCCCAATTTTAGAAGAAAAATACTTGGGATGGATTGAGTAGGGGGCAAGAGAGAAAAAAATATATTACAGTAAATATCACTGAAAAATGTTCAATTTGTGGAAATGAATACAAATAAAATTTTATCAATCAACTTTTTTTTTTTTTTAAAGAGACAGGATCTCACCATGTTGCCCAGGCTGGAGCACAGTGGCTATTGACAGGCTCGATCAGGCACACTTCAGCCTAGAACTCCTGGGCTCAAGGGATCCTCCTGCTTCAGCCTCATGAGTAGCTGGGACTATAGATGTGCACTAGTGAGCCCAGCTCAACAGTTAGTTTTAAAGGCATAGAAATGTTTTTATGTTCAGAGAAAAGTATCAGCGCTGATACAGGGCCGTGGTAGCTAAAAGTCAATTAAATTTGAAATGTAACTAGTACACAGCTTTGCAGACCATTGAATAGACTACCAAATCAAGCACCTTTGCAGTAAAACCTTTGTAGAGACTTGAAATTATTTGAATTTTTTCCATGTCACAAAATTATACCAACTTGTAGTTGATTAGACCACAAAATATAGGTATGCTTATGTTGGTTGAATTTATGTATTTGATTTGCCCTGCAATTTTCTTATGAACTCTTACAATTTTTTTTTTTTTTTTGAGATGGAGTCTTGCTCTGTTGCCCAGGCTGGAGTGCAGTGGTGCTATCTCGGCTCATTGCAACCTCCGCCTCCCGGGTTCAAGCGATTCTCCTGCCTCAGCTTCCCAAGTAGCTGGGATTACAGGCATGCACCACCATGCCTGGCTAATTTTTGTATTTTTAGTAGAAACAGGGTTGCATCCTGCTGGCCAGGCTAGTCTCAAACTCCCAACCTCAGGCGATCCGCCCACCTTGGCCTCCCACAGTGCTGGGATTACAGGCATGAGCCACCGCGCCCGGCCTTAAAATGTTTTTAGCGAAGCTCTGTTAGTTGGTTTTGAACTCTGGATATTCCTGCCGTAAAAGTAAATATGCTATTGTGTTAGAATCAACTATTTTTCCTATTTCTTTACAAAAATGGATGACAGTCATTATTAGGGAGAATGGATGGTTTCTAATTTCCTAAGCAAAATGAAGTTTTTGTTTACTGTAAAAGTTGTCTTATCCTTGTTTTTTCTAATATCTATAGTCTTTTCCTTACTTATTTCTTCCTCTTTGCCTTTAACCATATACGGGTCTTCTGCATTTCCTTGTATCCCCCAAACCCTTTCATCTTTTGCTATAATGATCTGTGTTACCCACCAAGCAAGGTGGCACCTTCCTGTAGTCCCAGTTACTCGGGAGATGGAGGCAGGACAATCCCTTGAGGCTAGGAGTTCAAGGTTGCAGTGCATAACAACTATGCCTGTAAATAGCCACTGCACTTTAGTCTGGACAACATAGCAAGACCCCATCTCTAAAATAAATAAATAAATAAATAAATAATGATCAGTGCTACCATTTTTTGAAAATGTACAATCACTTATTCCTCAAATTTAACTTCTGTCCTACCACAGAGGCATTTAATCACCAAATTCAGTAATTTTTTTTCCTTTCAATTCTTACTCATCTGTTTTTTTAAAAATAACATTTAATGTAGACCTCTTCCTTTATTAGTCTCTGATACTATGGTTACTTGGATAGCTTTCCCCCAAGGTAATAGCTTTTCTTCTTCCACTTCACTACTGCCACCTACACCAGCACCACCCTACTCCTGCCCTTCAGTCAACAAATTTCAAGTCAGAATTCAATTAACATGTCCCTACTGTATGTAAGACATATGTGGTACTATAGATATAAAAAAAAATGAAGAATATATCATTATGAGACTGACTACTTGGATGAGGAAGATAACTATAATATGAGGCTGACCACTTATGAGAAAGAGATTCTGGCTGGGCATAGTGGCTCACACCTGTAATCATAGCACTTTAGGAGGCCCAGGTGGGAGAATCACTTGAGCCCAGGAGTTTGAGACCAACCTGGGCAATATAGTGAGACCCTCTCTCTACAAAAATAGAAAGAAAGAGGGAAGAAGGAAAGAGAAAGAAATCCCAAGTATGGAAACATTACATCAAATTTTAGGGGTACAGGAGTATGCCAACTAGTAAGCAATTATCTTAGCTCCAGACCCACCTTTCTATGCTCTGCTTTGTGACTGGACCTAGTACTCTGCAAGCCACATGTTTCTTTGCTAGCTGACTCTCCATTAGACTCTGTTGCCATATGGGGCTATCGTGGGAGATTGCATGGATGGAGGAAGAGAAAGGGTTTTCTCTTACTTTCTCTTGTCTTTCAGTTCCTTTGAACAACCCAGCAACACTTCTTCACCCTGGTTGCATCAGTTTTCCTGTAGCAGAGACTGAACGCGGTTTGCATTTTCTCTAATACACCACCAGCCTGAACCCGCACCCCATCCCCCCACTCTGGCAGTGTGGATCCCAACCCTTGGGGCCCTCCTCCAAGCGCAGATATATTAGTACTAGCTTATCTATGCCCATTCTTCCGAGGCCTGAGTTTCAGTTCCATGAAGTGGTTTCTTAAGCTTCTAAATTTTAAAAATTCCAGCATTTTCCTTTATTCCCTCAGTTTTAGGGTTGGTGGCTGCTTCCTGTAGCTGCTACTTTCATGACATCTTCATGTTCTCTTCCTGCCTTTTCAGCTCCCTAATAACAACTTTATACTTGTTTAACAATTCTTCGTATTAAATTTTTTCCATTCCAGTAACTCATGTGACATCTATCTCTTGATTATACACTGACTGATGCCAGGAGGAGAAAATAGTATTTCAGTTTGACTTGAAGGAAGGGTAGAATTTCAGTAAGTGGCAGGAAATTTCACATAGGATGAGTGTCAGCATGAGTAAAGGTAGCAAAGATGAGGAAGTATGGTGTATATTTGGGAAACATTTTGTGTTCTAGGCTTTTTTGAAGCACAAAGTACATGTTACAAAAAAAGACTATAGAGAGGTTGGGGTAGACACTAATTTGGAAGACCTTGAACTCTAGGCTAGGAAATTTGGATTTGATTGATAACAAATGATTTTTTTTAAAAAAATGAAATAGTGACCTGATTAGAATTTATATCTAGAAATGTTTGGATAATAAAGTCATGACAGATTATTCAGAAGAGTGAGGATTGTACATGGTAAAATCTTAAATGTTACTGGTTATGCTGGGCATCACTGTTTTCCTGTAGCATGTTCATTCAGAAAATACTGAGGGCCTTTATGTTAGGAATGCAACAAAGAATATGGAAACAATCTCTATTCTCAAGTGTGGTGGAAAAAAAGGATATAAACTTAGATAATTCTAGAACAAAGTGGATGGATATGGGAATGCATAGGGAATTATGGTATATTAAATAGAGCATAAAATATGGCTTGGAAAGGTCAAGAAAGACTAGCTGATTTGCATTTCAGATGATGACTAGGAATTAGCTATGCATAAAGGGGAGGGTCTGAGTTGGACTTAAAGAACAATTCCAAGAACAGACAGAGAAGGAGAAAAGGATTGTTTTGGCAGAGTCTAATGGGAAATTGTAAGACCTTTTTAAGAACAGGTTCATTTTTTCCCTTCTTGGTGTGGTTTTTCTGCAAACAGATGAAATTAAATTGTGAAGGAGCCTTAGCTGTTTCATAGGTAATTAATAATGTATGCATCCTGGTTTCTTAAATCCTGTGGTTGTTTTTAATAGAGGATATATCAGATGAATGGATTTTAAGTAGTATCTTTTTACTAGTGTGTATACGGGAAGGATATGTATATTTGTATGTGTGTATATGCAAATGTGTGTACTTACAGAGAGGGAATGAGGGACACAGAGAGATAGGCATATAGTAGGTTAGGGAATTGTAATAGAAACTCAGAAAGAAATAATGGGGTAGCTACTGCATACATGTACAGTACTTCTTTCCTATGAGGTAGAGGTACTATACTAGAGAACTTTTAAACCATATAAATAAATTTTAGATTGAAAAATGTTTGTATCAAAGTTGTAATATGAGGGTACAGAAGAGTCAAGTGAAATGAAAGGAAAAGAAGAGGGAAAGAGCCAGAGGGAATATTGTGGGTTTTTCACAATATTGGTTCCACTTTTTCAACTTCTTCAGTTGAATCAAAGGTCATAAATTACGTGAAATAAAACAGGGCCATTTATAAGAGATCCAAGTTTGAGAAATTTCTTAGACCTGTGTAGTTAGAAAAAAGCAATCTCTAATTATATTTACCTATAGAGTTTATGTTCTCCAGATGTGTGACAATTACATAGTACTTGGACAGTATCCAAGTATGATAATAAACTGTCTGAAATTGGCCTAATCTACATTTAACCAAAGTGTATATATTGTGGGTTTGTAAAAAATTGTTATTTTTTTTTATGTTTTGGGTGTTTAGGCTAGACAGCAACAAGCAGAATTGGCCCAACAGGAATGGCTTCAAATGCAGCAAGCTGCCCAACAAGCCCAGCTTGCTGCTGCCTCAGCCAGTGCATCTAATCAGGCGGGATCTTCTCAGGATGAAGAAGATGATGATGATATCTGAAATTCACCAGCTGAGTTTCTATTTCTTCTATAAATGTTTTTCCCTGCACAACAAAAACAGTGAAAGAAATGCTTATCTGTAATTTTGTATGCATCTTGGTGGACTTGTCATTGGTATTCTAGGGATGTCTGCTATTAAGTTTCATCTATTGTGTGCTATACATGTAAAAACTGTCTCTTTGAACTATTGAAAATTTAAGGTTCAGTATAATATCAATTTTGAATTTTTAATGGTGTTTATGAAATTTTAGATAGCAGCGAGTCCTTCGTTTGATCAATAAACAGTGTTACAGATAACTTCAAGTTTATAAAAATACAGTGAAATTTCTACAAAGCTCTAAATCTGCATTTGCATTTCCTCTGCCCTTTTAACTAAACTAAAACTTGTGAATTTTAAATTATTAAGGGGGGGGTGCTGTGTGAATCAGTAGACATTGGATTGGGTTGGTGAAAGAGTTCAGTTCTGTAGTATCTGAATTTGTCTTTTAAAATGAGTACATATATAGGCAATAAATATATATGCTCAGATCAATATACTTGTTTAGAAAAACTTCAAGACATTCAAAAACTAGGAAGGAGTATGTTTAATAGTATTTGTATAAATTTGGTGGTTATGTTTTTTTATTTTGTTTCTGTTTTGTGTAGAGGTAAAAACTATAGTTTTATTACAGCATAATTCATTTTGAGCTCCACTATGACATTTCAAAGACTGCCCAGTTTGGAAGTCTGTCATGATTTTTACTCTTTCACTCCAATTCAGTAATTGTTGATAGTATTACTTACCTAGTCCATCCATACTCATATTATTCAAATATATAGGTGGTACTTTTGAAACAATTACATTGGTTCTCTTGGTTTAACTGAGGTTTATGAATATTCAAACCTTTGCTGGGGGAAAGAAATGAAAGTTAATGAGCATGCTTGCTATGAGAGAGGGATTTTTAATTTAACTTGTAGTTATAGTTTACTTATTGTTTTTAGAATTACTTTTACATTTTCCCAACTAGATGGCCTAGAGTCCAACATTACCTTTTGAGATGACATTATTGTCTCCATAATTGAGTGATAGCTTTAAAAAAAAGATTAGTTTTGCTTAAGAAGTTATGTTACAACTGATCAGCCCTATATGAATTAACTGATCAGCCCTATATGAAACATAAGTTGTGTTATAACTTATCAGCCGTATATGGAACATAAATAGTTTCTACCTGCTTGTTAGAGAAGCTTTAATTTGGTTCTAATAAATACAGTATGGTAGTGTTTATAGGAATCCAGGATGTTGAAGAAATGGCATAATGTCTATATTTTGGAAACAGAAAGGAAAAGTCACTTAAGATAGTATTAAGTAATTAAATTCCTATGTCAGTTGCCAAATCTTTTAAACTTATGTATTCACCAAGCCCAAAAATAGATTGTGGCTCCCAGGATTCCAATTTTAATTGGAGAGCTAAGTAAGTAAAGTTTTATAACTGTTAGGTTTCTTAATGATCATATTTTGCAGTTTTAGTAAAAGGGAAATATTGTTATACATTTATTAAATATACTTCCCCCATGAAGTGAAAAGGTTAATTTTGCTGAATGTTTTAAGTTGAAGTTACTTCATGGATGTCATACCCATGAAGTGCATTTGGATGAGATAGAAGAAATTGTTTTTTAAAAAGTTTAAGTACCAAAGGTAGTCTAGTCTAGAACGATAAGTTAATACGTGTTGGCTTTTCTAATTTGTACTGTAACATCCTTATACTTTCTATTTTAAGTATATCTGTTTCTTAAGTAAACAACTTAGATATTTTCCACACCTTTTTTTTTTTTTCTGATGCAGAGTTCAGGTTAATATTTTACTGCATCTGATAATGTATTATACGTTTGAAGCCTAGTGACTTTTCATTTTGACATTCTTGTGATTTCATATGCTGTATTCTTCAAGCAATAAAATTGTGATGTGTTTTATAAATGGTTTTTATATTTAATGTTCTATAGAGAGATTTCTATTATTACCATTTTTACTATTTTCAAGAATCTTAGGCCCAAAAGACATTTTGGTCATTTGGTATGTAGTACCTGCCTTTTGTTTTTGTTTACTGTTATTTCAAAAAATGTGGTTTTACTTGTATTTTTATAATTTACAGTCCTAAGATCGAGGCATAACAAAGCTTACTTATGCAATATTTTATTTTTAGGTTTTTTCTTTTTTTTTTTTTTTTTTTTTTTTTTTTAGCATTTAAGAGTCACTATTATGTTTTGCCAGTTAAAATTTTTTAAATCTTTTGAAGAGAGAAACAAAATCTTCAGCGTTCTTGAGAAATAAAATTATTGTTCAGTAAGTATTTTTCCATCCCCTTGAATATATGTTATATATTCTTTTTCGGCAGATTATCAGATTAGTAAGTGTTTAAAAGGCATCAGTTTTTAAAACTGCATATACCACACACACACAAAACAGTACACAAATAAAGGTTTTCACAAATTAAACAAACTCACATACTAGTCTTCAGATCAAAACACAGAGCATTATGTGTACCCCAGAAGCCCTCCTCTTTCCCCATCTTAACACTGTCTTCTTTCTTGCTGAAAGTTACTATCCTGACTTCTAAAATCATAGATTAGTTTTGCCTGTTTTTTATTTTATGTAAATGTAATCATACATAATACACTTTTTTTCATTCATCATTTTTGTGAATATTTTAGTTTCTTGTTGCCACTGTAACAAACTACCACAAACTTAGTGACTTAAAACAACACAGATTTATTCTTTTATAGTCCTGGAGATCAGAAGTCCAAAAATCAGTTTCATTAGGCCTAAATCAAAGTATCAGCAGGGTTGGCTCTTTATTGAGGTTGTGAGGGAGAATGTTTTCTTCCCTTTTTTGGCTTCCAGTGACGGCCTGTATTTATGGGCTTGTGACCCCTTCCTCTCTATGATCAAAGCTTGCTTTTGTCATTATATCATCTTCTCTTCTGTAGTCAGATCTTTCCCTGCCTCTAAGTTTAGGGCTCACCTGCATAAAGCAGGGATAATCCCCCTATCTCAAGATCCTTAATTTAATCACATCTGCAGAATCTCTTTTGCCATATAAGTGACATTCACAGGTTCCAGGGATTCATACGCTGGCTATCTTTGGAGGCCGTTATTCAACCTGCCAAAGTGAGATCCATTCTTATTGTTGCATGTATTTGTAGTTCATTCATTCTCATTGCTGTATAGTCTTCCGTTTGTTTATCCATTTTTCATTACATCCAAAAGTTATTCATTCTCCCATTAATAGTCTTTTGAGAATTTTTCAATTCTGAGCTATTATGAATAGTACTGTGTAGAACATTCTTATACATGTCTTTTGGTGAGTGTATACATTTCCATTGAGTATAAACCTAAGAATGGAATTGCCAGGTTGTAGGGTGTGTATATTTTCAGTTTTAGTATTTACTGTCAAACAGTTTTCCAAAGTGACTGTAAGAAGGCACCATTTTAATGTGTAGCATAAAAATGAATTACGCTAATGATCTTAGTGGGTTGAATTTCTCGAAACACCTAAATTGTACCAAATGAGTTATATTGCAGCAGGTATGTTGTTAATTTCATATAACAGGAAAATAAGAGCAAAAGTAATTGCCCTTATTAACTGACACATTAGTATTACATACTCATTAGGTTATTGCTCCTTAGAAAAAATGCAAATTTTAAGTAATCGTAAGTAGTATGTTGAATTAGTATGTTGTGGGAAAATCTGTGATTTAATTTTTTAATTGAATTTTAAATTTTGGGTTATAACCTCATTAAAATGCATGATATTTCCTTATATAGGTTTCTAAATTATGTCTGTCCAACTCATCTATATCCAAATGGCCATTAGGAAGAATTATCCAATTCAGATGGCATAGGCACTGCCTTCCAATTTCTTCATTTGTATTTTTTTGTTGCTGTTTTCTTTTTTGCCTCTGTCCCCAACAATTTGACCACAAGTCCTACCCCACCTCCTCTGTTTTTCACCATCCCCCAGGATATAAAGTGTCATGGTTAGGATCGGCCAGGGTGAAGAGAATGATAACATAAGTAGCCTCCTTTCACCTAAAGTATTACCACTGGTTCTTATCCTATTTCCTCAAAATAAATGAGAAGAGAAAGTAAGGAATAAGAGGAAGAAACTTTTTTTTTTTTTTTAAAGAAACAGGGTCTCACTATGTTTCCTTTTTCTTTTTTCTTTTCTTTTCTTTCTTTTTTTTTTTTTTTTTTTTGAGACAGAGTCTTGCTCTGTCACCCAGGCTGGAATGCAGTGGCGCGATCTCGGCTCACTGCAAGCTCCGCCTCCCGGGTTCACGCCATTCTCCTGCCTCAGCCTCCTGAGTAGCTGGGACTACAGGTGCCCGCTAGCACGCCCAGCTAATTTTTTTTGTTTTTTTTTAGTAGAGACAGGGTTTCACCGTGTTAGCCAGGATGGTCTCGATCTCCTGACCTCGTGATCCACCCGCCTTGGCCTCCCAAAGTGCTGGGATTACAGGCGTGAGCCACTGCGCCCGGCCTATGTTTCTTAATATAGATTGCAGTGGCTAGATTACAGTGACTATTCACAGGCATAATCATAATGCACCATAGCCTCAAACTCCTGGGCTCAAGCAATCCAAAAGGAGGAAACTTTTAACTTATGATCAGTTTCTACCATAAATCAAGCAACTTAGAAAAACCTTAGAACAGGGTTTCTCAAACCAAGCATTGTTAGTATTTGGGGTTGGTTAAGTCTTTGTTTGTGGGAGCCTATCCTGTGCATTGTAGGATTTCTAGCAGCATAATTGGCTTATGCCCACTTGATGTCATTAGCACCACTCCCCACCCTACTTCCAGTTGTGACAACCCAAAAATGTCTCCAGACATAGCCAACTGTCCCTGGGTGTTGCGAGTATAGGAGGCAAAATTGCACCCTGTTGAAAACCACCACCTTAGATCATCTAGGTTTTACTTTTAGGATAAGACACTTGAGGGAAAGGCTGTGAAACTGAACCTCTGTTAGAAGCAACACACAGTATCACTGCAAAAAGACTAAAAGAAATAGGTGATTTGGAAAGAGGAGGCCCAGGATTAAAATATGTTTCCAAGAAAGTCAAATC
Organism: Homo sapiens; assembly: GCF_000001405.40. Classification (NCBI taxonomy): domain Eukaryota; kingdom Metazoa; phylum Chordata; class Mammalia; order Primates; family Hominidae; genus Homo; species Homo sapiens. The sequence goes on from NC_000001.11 coordinate 93,365,739, forward strand.
TTACAGGAGACTCTTGACTTCACATCTGCTGATCCCTTTACCCGATAGGACCTAGAGCAGCCATTATAAATCTCTGTACCTGCTTGCTGCTTTTCTACCTCATTGTTAGCCACACCCAGTTTGAAACAGATGAGGTATGCTATTTCATAACTAGTACATCTTTTAATAAGCATTTTTTATTGTGATTAAATATGCATATCGTAAAATTCACCACTTTAACCAGTTTTAAGTGTTCAATTCTGTGGCATTAAGTATATTCATACTATTGTGCAACCACCACCACCATCCGTCTACAGAACTCTTCATCTTCCCAAACTGAAATTATGTATTCATTAAACAATAACCACCCATTACCTCCTCTCTCCTCAGCCTCTGGTAACCAGCATTCAGTCTCTATGAATTGACTACTCTGGATATCTAAATGGATTCATTCTTATTTCATTTACCATAATGTCTTCAAAGTTCATTCATGTTGTAGCATGTATTAGAATTTCTTTCCTCTTAAAGGCCAAATATGCCGTAGTATGTAAATACCGTATTTTGTTTATCAGTTCATCCATTAATGGACACTGGGTTGCTTCTGCTTTTTGGCTATTGTGAATAATGCTTCTGTGAACGTGGGTATACAAATAACTGTTTGAGTCCTAATAGGCTTGTTATTTTTGAGTGCACAGATCTGTATATTCGCAATTGAAATAGGGAAAGTCTTTATATTCATATAAAGATAATTTATAATACAATAAGTCCTCAATGTTGTTGATAGGTTCTGGGAAACTGCGAGTTTAAGAAAAACAACATATAATGAAATCAATTTTACCATAGGTGAACTGATATAAATAAGAGTTAAGTCCCTATGGCATATATTTCTGGTTACAAAAACACTACCAAATTTCTAATAAAGACCCAAAACACTTCTAAAATTAAACATTGAGATTAATATGAGCTTTATATACATTTAAAAAGGATAAAAACAAGTAAGAATTGGCTGGACATGGTGGCTTACGCCTGTAATCTCAACACTGGGAAGTCGAGGTGGGCAGATGGCTTGACCTCAGGAGTTCGGAACCAGCCTGGGTAATATGGTGAAACCCGTCTCTACAGAAAAATTCAAAAATTAGCCAGAGGTGGTGGCTTGCACCTGTAGTCCCAGCTACTCGGGAGCCTGATGTGGGAGGATCCCTTGAGCCTGGGAGGTCGAGGCTGCAGTGAGCCATGATCACGCTACTGCACTCCAGTCTGGGCAACAGAGCAAAATCCTATCTCAAAAAAAATATATATATTATCCAGCCCCAAATGTTTATGGGGTTGTTATTGATAAACCCTGCATTAAACAATCCCACAGTCGGTGCTGCGGTGAGCCGTGATGGTACCACTGCATTCCAGCCTGGGTGACAGAATGAGACCCTGTCTCAAAAAAAAAAAAAAAAAGTAAAAATTATTTACCCAATATTTGGCGAATCAGTGAGTGACAGCAGTTGTAGTGCTAGTGGGTTAAATCAAGGAATAACTGTTGGGAAGTGAAAATTTTAAGGAGCACCTCCTACCACCATGCAGTTCAAAAACAAAAAATAAGAAATAAAGTGGGCTTGCTGAGTGCTTTCATACTGCATCATTTATTGTGCATTTGTATGATTATTATATACTTTACAAATTTTCGTTTTACAGTAATTTGTATTCATTCGTTTTTCAACCTGCTTATTTCAGTTCAGTGTCTTGGGTAGCTGGAGCCTATCCCAGCAGCTCAGGGAGCAAAGTGGGAGCCAACCCTGGACAGGATGCCTTTTCATCACAGGGCGCACTCACACGGCACACACACGCATACTGGGACCATTTAGCTGTACCAATTCACCTAACGTGCATCTTTGGGAATTGAGAAGAAACCAGAATACCCAGAGAAAACTCATGCAGATATGTGGAGGACATGCAAAATTCACACAGACAGTGGCCCTGGTTGTAAATAATTGTTTTTCATCAATGTTATAATGAAATTACAGGCCGGGTGTGGTGGCTTACGCCTGTAATCCCAGCACTTTGGGAGGCCGAGGCGGGTGGATCACGAGGTCAGGAGATAGAGACCATCCCGGCCAACATAGTGAAACCTCATCTGTGCTAAAATACAAAAAATTAGCCAGGCTTGGTGGTGTGCACCTGTAGTCCCAGCTACTTGGGAGGCTGAGGCAGGGGATTTCTTGAACCCAGAAGGCGGAGGTTGCAGTGAGTTGAGATCGCGACACTGCACTCCAGCCTGACAACAGAGCAAGACTTCGTCTCAAAAAAACAAACAAAAAAAGAAATTACATTAGTTGAGGACCTGCTGTATGTGATATGAACAATGAGGATCAACTCTTTTTGTAATAGTTTTTTTACATATGTTATTTCATTTGTTTATTTCCTCTGTGAGGGTAAGTATTGATAGTCCAGTCATAGACTGGTAACACAGGCACACCATTAAAAATAATAGACATACAGTATGCAGTATTTTGTTTTACTTATGAAACTCCGTATTTTATGTATGATGTATTGAGTATGAAGAATAGTACATACTGTTTCCTTTTAACTTTATGTTTCTTGCCTTTGTATATTTTATATGAATAGCACTTGTCACTAACATAGAAAGCAGTAGAGGTGGAAGAGGGAGACTTGCCAGAATAAGTTTTTAATGTGAATCAGAGATTTTTATTAGGAATTGGGAGTGGAAGGAGAGAGATAGTATTAGAAAGTATGTATGCAGCAAAGGATGGAGAAACTGTCCTTGTTGTTAAGGCATCTAAGGATGCTCCAATTACTGGGGAAAACATACCAGGCTCAAAATGGTCTGATTATGCAAATACCTTCTAATACGTTTGTTTCTTTTGTTGTGCCTATAAAAGATGCCATTAACTTCATATTTATGTCACTAATAAACTTCTAGAATCCATGTAGTAGGGTGTAGTAGTGTGGTTAAGCTATGAAGAACAATGGTATTTATTTCCAAAACACTTATTTGGTATATTACATAGGATAGAGTATGTTTTCTAAGCCAAATAGTGTTAGGTTTTCATGTGCAGTTGCCTTACACATATACTAGTAGCCCTTACAAAATTTCGTCTGTCTTTATTATAAACATGTTGTAAGTGAGGAAACTAAGATTCCAAGAAATTAAGTACTGTTGGCCCTCTGTGTCTGGGGGTTCCACATCTATAGATCGACCAACCATGGACTGATGGATTGAAAACATTTGGGGAAAAAACAAAAAATAACCCAACAATGAAATAGTATAAATTTTAAAAATAATATAACAATATTTATATATCATTTACATTATGTTAGATATTATAATCTAGAGATGATTAGCATCCTTGGATTTTGGATTTTGGTATCCTTGGGGTATCCTGGAACCAATCCCTGGCGGATACCAAGGGATGACTGTAATATAATAACATCTAACAAGTGAAGGATTTGAACCCCAATGTAAGTAATTATGAAAACTATTTTTCTTCCACTAGAACTTTTTTCCCCAAAAATACTCTGGAAATACTGGAACAAATACTAAAATAAATGACCTTTATTTGAAGATCTTTTAAAAAAATTATAAGCCTGCCTGAGGATAGCAAAATTGTGTGCTTTTGCAAGGTAATTGTAGAACTCATTCTAAGGAAGCAGAGGTAATGTCTGTTACTATTTTCAGCTCCCTTTTTCTGTCCACTGTTGTCTAAATGATTCACTCAGTGTTATGCAGAATATGAGAAGTTATTTTATAAAGTTGATTTGTGGTATAGGCTTTACATATGTCTTTTCTTTTGGTCAAAATACTAAAGAAAGCTTATAGAAAAAGTGACCTGGTGTCAGGTTTTAGTTTCATCCTTATCCAAATGTTGCAGAATTTTGGAATCTTTTGGAGTACACTTTCTCTTTAAAACAAGCCCATCACCTTTAGTATAGTGGTGAGTAAAAATAAAATAAAAACAAGGCCAAATTGCGTTTTTCTAAATTGCAAGTTCCCTGTTTTCCATATCCCAGTAACAAACCTACTGTTGTGCAAATAGGAAATAACATCTAGTAGCTACTTTAGCAATGGACGTGGCAAAATAAATAAATTAGTAGCTATGGCTCATTATTTAGGATTTAAATGAGCCATAACTACTATAAATGAAATTGAAGATCATGTTCTTAATTTGAAATTAAGGATCATGATCTCATTGGTACTGATGAGTCAGCAGCTATCAATATATAAGGATAACCCTTATATTTTAGGAATTATTTTAGGAGAAAGAACTATTTTAGGAATTATTTTACACAGAATTCTAATCATGCTGCCTTGGAGGTTAGGCAACTACCATTCCTCACTTTGTAGCTTTATTGATTCTCTTCTGAAGCTTGCAGTAGCCTCCTAACTTGCCTTGCTGCCAGTCCTTCCTTGTCCCAGTCTATCCTTCACATTGCCACCAGTGTTATTTTTCTGAAATACGAAAGCGAATATGAGGCTTCTCTGCTCCTTGGTGATAATAGTATAAAGTCCAAACTCTTAAGTATTACATAAAAAGTATGTTTCACAGCACACCTCAACTTTGTTTTCTATAATCTCTTAATCGTAATGAAATCTGGGCTAAATAATGCTATCACTTTAACTACCTTTGTGCATGCTTCCTCCCAACTCTGGAGTAACCTTTTCCCATCTTTACCTGGCAAACTTCAAACCATACCTCATGACCCAGCTTAAATTTTAGCTCCTATATGAAGTTTTCTCTGATACTTTTATGTGTAATCACCCTTTCTTTGATTATGTGTGGTAGATATTTCTATTTTTGAATTCTTCCTAGCATATTATAATTTATTTGTTGACAAATCTATTTCTGTTATAGTGGGAGCTTCTAGAGGACAGGGACCATTTAATTATCCTCTCAGTATCCTAGCAACTGACACAGTAAAGGTTTTTGCACTTGAAATTACAAGTAATCTACTTGTAGTTAGCCCTCAGTTCACCTGATACTCTATACCATTTGTTCCTAGAAAACTATACAATACATGATAGGAACTTGGTAAATATTTAATGGTAATAATGGAAAAGAAGAAAAAATTGCATTTCATATGCTGTGTTTAAGAAGAAAGGTCTACACCAGGCATGGTGGCTTACATATGTAATCCTAGTGCTTTGGAAGGCTGAGGCAGGGGGATCACTTCAGCCCAGGAGTTTGAGGCTGCAGTGAGCTATGATTGTATCATACTCTAACCTAGACAACAGAGTGAGACCCTGTCTCTAAAAAAAAGAAAAGAAAGGTGCATGAATAAACCATTTAAGAAAAACTCAGGAATACAGTATTTCAATATTGAAAAGGTTGAAATTATCAGAAGAAATTTATTTTTTTGGCATAGCATTCTCTGGTTCTAGAAATACAAGATAACAAAATGTTTTCCACATGGTTAGCTAGCGAAACAGAAGCACCTTAAGATATTTCAAGCAGGCCAGGCGCGGTGGCTCACACCTGTAATCCCAGCACTTTGGGAGGCTGAGGCAGGCGGATCATCTGAAGTCAGGAGTTCGAGACCATCCTGGCTAACATGGTGAAACCCCGTTTCTACTAAAAATACAAAAATTGACCAGGCTTGGTGGCGGGTGCTGTAATCCCAGCTACTCAGGAGGCTGAGGCAAGAGAATCACTTGAACCTAGGAGACGGAGGTTGCGGTGAGCCGAGATCATGCCATTGCACCCCAGCTTGGGCAACAAGAGCAAAAACTCCGTCTCAAAAAAAAAAAAGATACTTCAAGCAAAAAGTGATTTAATATAGGGATTAGGTAATGAAATTACAAGAAGAACTGGAGGAGCAAAAAAGGCAAGGCAGGCACGATTGCCCAGATATGAGAAACTGTGAGAACTCCTTTGATCATCTGTAACTTTCAGTCATGCCAGAGCCTTATTTTTTTCCTTTTTTTTTTTGAGACAGGGTCTCACTCTGTTACTTAGGCTGAAGTGCAGTGGCTTGATCATAGCTCACTCCGGTCTCTTCTTCCCCAGTAGCTGGGACTACAGGTGTGCGCCACCATGCCTGGCTAATTTTTTTTAGGAGAGATAGGCTCTCACTATGTTGCCCAGGCTGGTCTCAAACCCCTGGGCTCAAGTGATCCTCCCATCTTGGCCTCCCAAATTGTTGGGATTATAGGCATGACCCACTGCACCCAGACAGGGCCTTTTCACTGCATAAGAAATCACCTTGGCCAGGCATAGTGGCTTACACCTATAATCCCAGCACTTTGGAGGGCCAAGGCAGGTGGATTGCTTGAGCCCAGGAGTTCGAGACCAGCCTGGGCAACATGGCGAAATCCCATCTCTACAAAAAATACAAAAAGTAGTCGGCATTGTGGCATGTGCCTGTAGTGCCAGCTACTTGGGAGGCTGAGATGGGAGAATCGCTTGAGCCCAGGAGTTTGAGGCTGCAGTGAGCTGAGATCATGCCACTGCACTCCATCCTGGGTGACAGAGCAAGACCCTGTCTCAAAAAAAAACAAAAAACAAACAAAAAACCCTCAAAATTTAGCAGCTTAAAACAACAATCATTATCTCTTACAATTCTGATAATTGAATGAGCTCAGCTGAGCAGTTCTTCATATGCTATATTATTTAATTAATCTGAGGGATTAATTAAAAGGTCCAAGATGGCTAACTTGTATGACCATTAGCTGGTACTATCAGGTGGGATCTCAGCTGGGGTGGCCAGTTGCAGCGCCCTGATTCTCCTCCATGTGGCTTGAGCTTTCTTTAGCTTAGTGGGATTCTAAGAATGAACATCTCAAGAGTGTTACCAGGGGGAAGGAAGTAGAAACTGCTAGTCCTCCTAAGTGCTGGGCTCAGAAGTCCCAAAACAGCTCCTCCATCACATTCTATTGGTCAGAGCAATTGCAGGGCCAGTCCAGATTCAAGGGGAGAAGATATAAGCATATAGAATGGGGATAAATGTTGGAAACCATCTTTGGAGACTAGCTACCACACCTGTCTGCACAGGTTCTTCCCTGCTTTGAAATGCTCTTTTCCTGTCAAACCTTTGTTCATACTGCAAGATGCAGCTTATAATTCAGTACCCATGTAGAGCTTTTTCTGTCATCTCCAGATTATAGTCAGTAGTCTTTTCCTCTGTATAATCTGTGCCTGTTGTATATATTTCTATTTTTATGTCCATCATTCCTTATCATTTATTTGCTTAGATATTTTTCTGTCAGAGTGTCCAGGGAAAAGTAAGCATGTTGTCACCAACTCTTTGTCTCTAGTAACTGCAACAGTGAAGGTATTTGCTATTGAACTTGTAAGTATCTGCTTCTGGTCAGTACTAATTTCACCTAGAGTACCATACCATCTGTCCGTAGAGCTTCAACCTGAGACCATTTAAAACACAAAAGATAGTGAATATTCAGTGGGGATAATGGAAAAGGAGAAAAAAATTGTATTTCAAATACTCTGTTTAGGAAGAAAGGACCATATGTGAAACATTTAATTAAAAATTTCAGGAAAATTGGTATTTTAGTCTTGAAAGGTTTAAACTTACCTGGAAAAATAATTTTTCCAGCATAGCACATTTTCTGATTCTAGGAATGCCAGATAAAATGTTATGCCATACAATTGATAAGAAAAATGGAAGTCACGGCCGGGCACGGTGGCTCACGCCTGTAATCCCAGCACTTTGGGAGGCCGAGGCGGGCGGATCACGAGGTCAGGAGATCAAGACCATCCTGGCTAACACGGTGAAACCCCGTCTCTACTAAAAATACAAAAAATTAGCCGGGCGTAGTGGCGGGCGCCTGTAGTCCCAGCTACTTGGGAGGCTGAGGCAGGAGAATGGCGTGAACCCCGGAGGCGGAGCTTACAGTGAGCTGAGATCGTGCCACTGCACTCCAGCCTGGGCGACAGAGCGAGACTCTGTCTCAAAAAAAAAAAAAAAAAAAAAAAAGAAAAATGGAAGTCACCTGCAATATTTTAAGTAAGGAGGGATTTAATAGACAAAACTAAATGATGAAATTGTTAGAAGGGCTGGTGGAGCAAAAAGAGGTGGTGTTGCCCAGAAATGAGGAAGTATAGTAAGCTACTTCTTCCTCTGGAGCCAGTAGTCAACCCATACTACACGATGACTTTAACAGAGTTGTGCTCCTCTGTCCCCCATGCAGCCAGTGCTGCCACCATAAGATCCAATGTCCAGCTGCTATCCAGGTTCTACAGGAGCCTACTCTTATGACAGTTGGGTACCATAGTCTGCTGGTACCACCACTACCTGAGCCAGAAGATTGTTTCCATGTCGTTCAGCTTTTTAATCTCTTGCAAATGCCTACAGTTGACAGAACCCTAACAGGGACGCTGTGAGGCGGAGCAAGATGGCTGAATAGAAGCCTTCCCCAATCATCCTCCCCACAGGAACACCAAATTGAACAACTATCCACACAAAAATAGCACCTTCATAAGAACCAAAAATCAGGTCAGTGATCACAACACCTGGCTTTACCTTTTTATTACTGAAAGGCACTTAAGAGGGTAGGAAAGACACAGGATTCCCTTCTGTCCCATGATGTGTCTAGAAATGTCATCTGGGAGCTAGGTCCTGGAATGGTGGCCTCAGGACTCCTCATGGTGTCCTGTCCTACTGTGGCTGACCAAGCAAAGTTCTCTTTATTCTTTCGTCTCCTCTCAAGCAGAAGGAAGGAGTCTCCCAGAGCTGTGCTGCCTTGGGTTAGGGGAGGGGTGGTGCAAGTATTCCCTTGGCTGCTCAGCTGGCATCTCACTGGGTTGCATGCCCCTGAAGTTCACTGACTCCAAGCCCAGTACAGCATGAGCACTTGCCCAAGAATTGCAGCCCTTGTGGCCTAGACTGAACTGCCAGCCACTCTATTGCCTGTCAGCACCATGTGGCATGGAGAGAGAATCTGTGTGCTGGAGAGGGGAGAGCACAGTTATTATGGGACTTTGCATTGAATGAGTTGCACAGTCATGTCACAGCAGAAAGCAACACTGGGCAGAATTCAGCCAGTGCCCACAGAGGGAGCATTTACACAAACCCCAGTCCGAAGGGAATTGCCCACCGCAGAGGTTGGAACCTGTGTTCTGGCAAGCCTTGCCACTGCAAAGGTTCTAAATAAACTTGAAAGGCAGCTTAGGCCACAAGGACTGCAGTTCCTAGGCGACTCCTCATGCTGTACTGGCCTTGGAGCCAGTAGACTTGGGGGTATGCAACCCAGCGAGACACCAGCTGGGCAGCAAAGGGAATGCTTGCACCATCCCTCCCCCAACCCAAGGCAGTGCAGCTCTAGGAGAGGCTTCTTCTGCTTGAGAGGAGAGGAAAGAATAAAGAGGAGTTGGCCTTGCAACCTGGATACCACCTCAGCCACATTGCAACCTGGATACCACCTTATGCCTCAGGACATAAGGCAGATTCCTGAGGTCCCCATTTTAAGCCCTAACTCCCAGATGACATTTCTAGACACACCGTGGACCAGAAAGGAACCCTCTGCCTTGAAGGGAAAGGCCTTTCTGGCAGGATTCATCACCTGCTGACTAAGGAGCCCTTGGGCTGTGAAAAATAAGCAGCGGGTACCCAGGCAATGTTCACCATAGGCCTCGAATGAGACTCAGAGACATACTGACCTTAGATGTTAGCCAGCACATTCTCAGCTGTGGTAGCTACAGGGAAGAATTCCTGCTTGAGAAAAGGAAGTGGGAGTGTAAAGAGGACTTTGCCTTGCAGCTTTAGGTACCAGCTTGGCCATAGTGGGGTAGAGCACCAAGTGGGCTCTTGGGGTCCCCGATTCCAGGCTCTGGCTTGTGGAAGGCATTTCTGGACCTGCCCTGGATGAGAGGGGAGTCCACTGCCCTGAAGGGAGAGTCCCAGGCCTGGCAACATTCACCACAAGTTGATTGAAGAGCCCTTGGGCCTTGAATGAACATTAGAGGTAGACAGGCGGTACTTACTGTGGGCCTGGGGCAGTGGTGGCCATGGAAAGAGACTCCTCTGCTTGTAGAAAGAGGAGGGAAGAGTGAGAAGGACTTTGTCTTATGGCTTGGAGGCCAGTTCAGCTGCAGTAGCATAGAACACCAGGTAGATTCCTAAGGTTTCAAAATCCAGGCTTGGTTCTCAGGTGGCATCTCTGAACCTGCCCAGGACTTGGGGTGGGGGGTGGGGAGAGAACTTGCTTCCCTAAAGGGAAGGACGCAAGCTTGACTTTGCCATCTGCTGATGGTGGAGCCCTAGGGCCTTGAGCAAACATAGGTGGTAGCTAGGCAGTGTTTATCATGGGCCTTGGGCGAGGACCAGTGCTGTGCTGGCTGCAGGTCTGACCCAGCACAGTCCCAGTGGTGCTTGTGTCACAGGGGTGCTTGTGTCACCCCTCCCCCAGCTCCACGCAGCTCAGCATAAAGAGAGACTACATTGGTTTGGGAGAAACTAAGGGAAGAGAACAAGAGTCTTTGCCTGGTAATCCAGATAATTCTTCTGGAACTTATCTAAGACCACCACGTTACTGGGCTTGGAGTGCCCCTTAATGCAAATATGGCTGCAGTGACCAAAGACTTAGATCACAACACCCAAGTTCCTTCAAATACCTAGAAAGCCTTCTCAAGAAGAAAGTCTCAAAGCTAGGGCCTAAAATAGGGGTACAAACAAGTCAAAACTGTGAAGACTACAATAAACTCTTCAATGGCCAGACACTGACAAACAACCACAAGCATCAAGACCCTCCAAGAAAACATGCCCTCACCAAACAAACTAAATAAAGTACAAGTGACCAATCATAGAGAGATAGAGATAATGTGATCTTTCAGACAGATAATTCAAAATAGCTGTTTTGAGGAAACTCAACAAAATTTAAGATAACACAGAGAAACAATTCAGAATTCTATCACATAAACTGAACAAAGAGGTTGAAATAAAAAGAAGCAAGCAGAAATTCTGGAGTTGAAAAATGTGATTGATATATTGAAGAATGTATCAGCCTTAACTGCGGAATTTATCAAGCAAAAGAATTAGTAAGCTTGAAGACAAGCTATGCACAGAGGAGACAAAAGGAAACAATAAGAAAGAATGAAGCACACCTGCAAGATATAGATTTGCCCTCAAAAGGACAAATTTAAGAATTATTGGCTCTTGACTACCTCAAGACATTTAAAAATGAAACTCCCAATGATCAGAGATAAAGTAAGAAACATAAAAGCAGCAAGAGAAAAGAAACAAATATTAATAACACAGCACAGCTCCAGTATGTCTCCAGCAGACTTTTTAGTGGAAACCTAACAGCTCAGGAGAGAGTGGCATGACATATTTAAAGTGCTGAAGGAAAAAAAACTTTTAGCCTAGAATAGTATATCCAGTGAAAATATCCTTCAAATGCGAAGGGAAGAAAAGACATTCCTGGCCGGCGTGGTGGCTCATGCCTGTAATCACAGGATTTTGGGAGGCCGAAGCAGGCAGATTACCTGAGGTCAGGAGTTCAAGACCAGCCTGGCCAAGATGGCAAAACCCCGTCTCCACTAAAAATACAAAAATTAGCTGGGCATGGTGGTGCATGCCTGTAGTCCCAGCTACTCAGGAGGCTGAGGCAGGAGAATTGCTTGAACCCTGGAGGTGGAGGCTGCAGTGAGCCGAGATCATGCCATCTGAAGGTACAAAACTCACTGGTAATAGTACTACACAGAAAAACAAAGGATATAATAACACTGTAAACTGTGGTGTGTAAACTACCCATATGTTAAGTAGAAAGACAAAAAGATGAACCAGTAAAAAAAAGTAATAACTTTTCAAGACATAGTACAATAAGATAAATAGAAACAATAAAAAGTTAAGAAGTTGGGGACAGAGTTAAAGTTATTAGTTTTCTCTTTGTTTATGGAATCAATGTTAATTTGTCATCAGTTTAAAATAATGGGTTGTCAGACATTATTTGCAAGCCTCATGGTAAACTCAGATTTTAAAATATGGAAAAGATACACAAAAAATGAAATTGAAACAACCACCAAAGAAAATCACCTTCACTAAAAGGAAGACAGGAAGGAAGAAAAGAAGGAAGACCAGAAAACAAATAACAAAATGGTAGGACTATGGCCTTACTTATCAATAATAATATTGAATTTAAATGGATGAAACCCTCCAATCAAAAGACAGAGTAACTTAATGGATTAAAAAAAAAAAACAAAACAAAAAAAACAAAACAAGACCAGGCTGGTTACTGTGGCTCACACCTATAATCCCAGCACTTTGGGAGGCCAAGGCTGGAGGATCACTGGAGTGCAGGAGTTTGAGACTAGCCTGGACAACCTAATGATACCTCCTCTCTACAAAAAATGTTAAAATTAGCTGGGCATGGTGGCACATGCCTGTGGTCTCAGCTGCTTGGGAGACTGAAGCAGGAGGATCACTGGAGCATGGGAAGTCAAGGCTGCAGTGAGCTGTGATCACATCACTGCACTCCAGTCTGGGGAACAGAGCAAGACCCTGTCTCAAGAACCAACTCCTGCCAGCCCCCTCCCCCAACACACACACTAGCAAAAAAGACCCAATAATCTTTTGCCTACAAGAAGGACATAGAATGAAAATAACGATGCACATAGACTGAAAATAAAGGCACCATAGGCTGAAAATATAAAGGCACACATACAGTGAAAATAAAGGGATGGGAAAAGATATTTTATGCAAATGGAAGCCAAAAAGCACAGGAGTAGCTATACTTCTATGAGACACAATAGATTTCCAGACAAAAACTATAAAAGGAGACAAAGAGGTCATTATATAATGAAAAAGGGTCAATTCAGCAAGAGGATATAACAATTATAAATATATATGCACCCAACACTGGAGCACCTAGGTATATAAAGCAAATATTATTAGAGCTTAAAGAGAGACCGCAATAAAATGATATCTGGACATGTCAACACCCCCGCTTTCAGCACTGGACGGATCATCCGACAGAAAATCAACAAAGAATTATTGGACTTAATCTGCACTATAGACCTATGGACCTAATAGATATTTACAGAACATTTCATCCAGTGCCTGCAAAATACATTCTTTTCCTCAGAAGATGGATCATTCTTAAGGATACATCATATGTTAGGTCACAAAACAAGTCCTAAGAAATTCAAAAAAATTGAAATAATATCAAGCATCTTCTCTGATCACAATGGAATAAAACTAGAAATCAATAACAAGAGAAATTTTGGAAATGGTTATACAAACACATGGAAATTAAACAATAGTGGCCACTATGACCAACTATATGCCAATAAATTGGAAAACCTAGAAGAAATGGATAAACTCCTAGACATATATAACCTACCAAGATTGAACCATAAAGAAAGTCAAAACCTGGACAGACCAATAACAAGTAATGAAACCAAAGCCATAATAAAAAGTATCCCAGCAAAGAAAAATATGGGATCCGATGGCTTCACTGCCGAATTCTACCAAATATTTGAAGAACTAATACCAATCCTACCCAAACTATTCTGAAAAATAGAGGAGGGAATACATCCAAATTCATTATACAAGGCCAATATTACCCTGACACCAAAACCAGACAAAGACACTTCAAAAAAAGAAAACCACAGGTGAATATCTCTGATGAACATTGATGCAAAAATCCTCAACAAAATACAAGCAAACTGAGTTCAACAAAGCATTAAAAAGATCATGCATCATGAGCAAGTGGGATTATCCCAGGGATGCAAAGATAGTTCAACATATGCAGATCAATCAACGTGAAATATCAACGGGTTGGACAAAAACTATATAGGAAAAAAATCTAATAATCTAATTTAAAAATGGGCAAAAATTTGAGTAGACATTTCTCAAAAGACATACAAATAGCTAACAGGCATATGAAAAGGTGCTCAACATCATCGATCATCAGATAAATGCAAATAAAAAATACAATGAGATGTCATCTCACACCAGTGAAAATGGCCTTTTTCCAAAAGTCAGGCAATAACAAATGCTGGTGAGGATGTGGAGAAAAGGGACCCCTTGTACACTGTTGGTGGGAATGTAAATTAGTACAACCAGTTTGAAGAACAGTCTGGAGATTCTTCAAAAAACTAAAAATGGAACTTCTATAGGATCCGGAAATGCCATTGCTATGTATATATCCAAAAGAAAGGAAATCAGTATATCAAAGACATTTCTGCACTCTCATGTTTATTGCAGGACTGTTCACAGTAGCTGAGATTTGGAAGCAACCTAAGTGCCCATCAGCAGATGAATGGAAAAAGAATATGGTACATATACAAAATAGAGTAGTATTCAGCCACAAAAAGGAATGAGATCCTGTCATTTGCAGCAACGTGGTTGGAACTGGTGGTCATTATGTTAAGTGAAATAAGCCAGTTGGAGAAAGACAAAGTTTACATGTTTTCACTTATTTGTGGGAGCTAAAAATTAAAACAATTGAACTCACAGAGATTGAGAGTAGAATAATGGCTACAAAGACTGGGGAGGGTAGTGGGAGAGGGGGTGGGGAAGTGGGGATGGTTAATGGATACAAAAATATAACTAGATAGAATGAATAAAATCTGGTATTTGATAGCACAACAGGGTGACTGCAGTCAACAATAATTATACATTTAAAAACAAAAGAGTGTAATTGTATTGTTTGTGACACAAAAGATAAATGCTTGAGATGATGGATACCCATTTACTCTGATGTGATTATTACATATTGTATGCCTGTATTAAAATATCTCATGTACCCCATAAATATATGCACCTGCTATATACCTGCAAACAAAAACAAACAAAAACAAAAACAGGAACCCTGCCGGCAACAGAGTCTAAGGAAATTTCTGTGTTGCCTAGCCCCTGCAATACAGTAAAAGGGTAGGCGGAGATGATGCTGAACACATCACAATATCTGGAACACAGCATTATAAATATAGTTTATGAAAGAAATATAGAGACAAAGAAATTTGTCTCTAATGCTTTTAAATATTTCACACAATAAATAAGATCTTAGGTAACTTTCAGCCTTAATATTTTTACTAATAAATTAGAAAAGCTAGAGGGAACTTCCTCAACTTGGTAAAGAACATGTTCAAAAAAAGCTAACATTACGCCTAGTGGTAAGAAACCTGATCCTTTCCACTGAGATCAGGAAGAAGGCAAGGATGTTCCCTCTCACTACACCTTTTCAACATTGTTATGGAAGTACTAGCTAAAGCAATGAGACTTTTAAAAAATTCTTTAAAAATATTAGAAAAGGTACCTGACAAGGCAGTCTTTCAAAGGTACAAAAGTAGATCTTTGAGCCTATTTGACAGAGGAGGAAAGTGTGTATGTGCACATACACATATGTGTGTGTGTAAGTGAATGATACACACACATTATATATAGTATATTGTATGACAAAAAGAATACTGTGGTTTGTGAAAATGGAATTTGTTTGTTTTTGCCAACCAATCACTCTATGATTTTGATAGAACACTGGTAGAATTCTGAAAGTTGAAATACAGCTTCATTAATGTGTATTAGGCATTGGCACTGTGCTGGAAACTAGGGACACACAGATGCAAATTATACACCTCAATTCAGTAAATGTTTATTAATTATCTCTGCACTAGGTACTGGGTCTACCAAGATGAATTAAGGCCAGATTTCTTTCTGCGAGGTCCTCATAATCCAGTGAGAAAGACTGATAAGCAAATGATTATAAGATTGTGATAAGTATATCGATAAATTGAAAGTATGACCACAAGAAAAATATTGAACGGTAAAATTTTAAAATTTAAGTGACAAGAAACTTGGAGGTTACTTAAAATTACCCAAGAAGATGTCATATCCAGGAGAAAAAAACGTTTGCTCTGGAATGAAAAACATCTTGGGCAGTTACAGTTGAGGGATTTGGGGTTCTTAAGTGTGTATAGAATGGTCACTTTGGGAAATACAGAAAGATTTTTTTTTAAAAAAACTCATCTGTAATCTCACCACACAGTTCCCCGTAACATTTTGATATACCCCTTTCTTAATCCAACGGCATCTCT
The DNA here is from genome assembly GCF_000001405.40 of Homo sapiens. Classification (NCBI taxonomy): domain Eukaryota; kingdom Metazoa; phylum Chordata; class Mammalia; order Primates; family Hominidae; genus Homo; species Homo sapiens. The sequence goes on from NC_000001.11 coordinate 93,381,713, forward strand.
TTTTAAAAATGGAAATAATGTAAAAAAACAGAGGCCTAAAAGTCCACAAAAAAGTGACAGGTTGCATGTTACATGTATGTTAGAAGTTATTCAGGGAAAAAAAGAGAGAGAGAGACCCATTTGGGCCAGGTGTTTTAAACTTCAAAATACACACCTGAATGCAATAGCTTTTCCCAATTCTCATTTCTTTACTATTATTTGCCCTTCACCATCTACCCAGTCACACAATCAGAACCATCCACCTACTGCCAGAATAATCTGTAAAACAATCTAATTTGTTAATCCGTTGGATTGAAATACTTTAATAGCTCCTCATGGATTTTGGTATCAAGTATCAATTTCTTATTTTAGCACAGACAGCCCTTCTCCATCTAGCTGCCACCCACCTCACCAATCTGACCTGACCTCCTGCTCCCCACAGTTCTCTAGCCACATTAAAATGTTTGTAGTTGTACAAATGCATAGTAGTATTCTCCAATCATCAGTATCTTTTTACATGCTCTTTTCTCTATCTAGAACATCATTACTCATCCCTACATTTTCTCTGTTTAATTGCTTCTCCTCTAAAACTCAATTCAAGGATTGCTTTTCAAGATGCTGCAGACTATTCTGTTGCCCCACTATACCATGCATATGCTACCTAACAGCATTTGCTATACTGTTCTGAATTATTGACGAATTGTTCTCTCATTTAATTTGACCTTGAGGACAGGAACTATGTCTTGATGATCTTTGAGGCTCCTGCTTCTATCACAGTACCCAACATATAGTAGATGTTATAAATACTAGTTGAAAGAATCAGTGTAAAATGGTAGATAAAGGGGCTGATACTTTTTTTCATTAATAATCTTCAGGAAACACATTTAAGAATTATAGCAAATGTTAGTTGCCTACCCAACAGCCATTCTTCCTTTCTCTTTTGTTATTAAAACCCAGCTTTTGTTGTAGCAATGTATCCTATGGCATGATTCTTGATAGACCTAAGTCAGTCATGACATCCCCTTCTTCTTTTCCAGTGATCCATATGGGTTGGGCATGATGAGTCACAGAGGAAAGATGCTGAGGCTTCAGGGAGAGGTCTTCTTCCCTGATAGAGAGTCACTTTCTCCCCTTTTCTCCCTGCTGTGTTTACTGTTTTGTAAGGGATATGAAGCATGGAACTGGAGGAGCTGTCCTGTGTCAGCCTGAAATAATCAAAAGGATCAAAAATCCTGTTTTAGGCAACATAGGAAGACTCCAACTCTACAAAAAATTTAAAAAATTAGCCAGGTATGGCAGCACATGCCTGTACTCCTACCTACTTGTGAGGTTGGGGTGGGAGGATCACTTGAGCCCAGGAAGGTGAGGCTACAGTGAGCTGTGATCGTACCACTGCACTCTCACCTGAGCAACAGAATGAGACCCTGTCTCTAAAAAAAAATAATAAAAAATTTAAAATCCAGTTTTAAAGAGTTTATTCACCAACCTGGACAACATAGCAAGACCCCATCTCTTAAAAAATAAAAAAATAGCCAGGCATGGTGGCATGCACCTGTAGTCCCAACTACTCGGGAGGCTCAGGTGGGAAGATCACTTGAGCCTGAGAGGTCAAGGCTGCAATGAATCATGATTGCACCACTGCACTCTAGCCTGGGTAACAGAGCAAGACCCTGTCTCAGAACAACAACAAAAACGCCAAGAGTTTATTCAAGGAAAAAGCTGGGAATGGCCATCTGGGAAACAGACTCCAAAGAAATGGGGTCAGTGCTCTGAAGTTAAAAGTTAAGATCTTGCTTATAAATGCAGAAAACAAAGAAATTTAGTAGGATTATAACATTTTCACTACTAGGCTGGCTTATGAGTTACAACAGTTTAATTAGTTACACTTTGTTTTCTTTTCCTTACAGTTTGTTTTACTTGTTAACACCTTATTGTCATCTCCTTTCCAACTTAAGAGTGTATTTAACATTCTTTCTTAGACATTGTGATAGTCGTGAAGTCTATTTTATATATTTATAGTCGCTTTATTCATAATTGTGAGAAACTGGAAACAACACAAATGTCCTTCAATAGGTAAATGGGTAGGCACAGGAAAGAGGCAGAAAAGCCCAGGAAAAGAAAGGGGCTGGACAAAGGAATTGGGGGGAATGAGAGAACTGTTCTGTATCTTGAGTGTTGTTACAGTTATATATCTCTGTGTGTTTATTAAAACTCAGAATTGTACACCAAAAGAGCAAACGTCCCTGTTTGTAAATTATAACTTTTTTAACAAAGTTAAAAAAAAAGGAATGTTTTCTTAAGTATGAAGAAATAAGCTACTAATACAAACAATGTAAAACAAAATCAGGTCAGATCAGCCATCAGACAGATTAAACATGGAGAAGTAATCCAGTTGATCTACTATTGAAAACAATATAAGTTACTCTATCATTCTACTGTATTATTATTTGAGTCCTTCTCAGAAACCATAAAAGGTAGTGGCTTTGATTTATAAACTAGCAGTACTCTTACCAGCTAGCAAAGTAATGAAGAGTCCTGTGATTCTGGGATATTTTCTATTTGCATCTAATACAGAATACAGAATGTGAATGTGCTTAGAGAAGGATAAGAAGTGAGACAATCAGGGTCTTGTATTAGTTACAGGGAAATACTCTAGCTCCAGTTCTTTAGAACTATGCCAAGAGCTACCAAGATTGAGTAGAAGAGATAAAAAACATCTGGAATAAATGGAAAGATTGTCACATCTAGTCTCTAACACATAACCATGATTCTAAAAATAATACATACAAAATTCAGTCATTCACCTTAATAGAATTATCTTGTAGGCCACGGATAATTTTTCATCATCATACTGTAAACAATAGACACCTTTACTCTTTTCAGAGTGGCACTGAATCCTTTGTAAGGTGTGTCATCCACACTGCCAGTTAGATTCTATAGTCTCTATAACCTGGATAATCTTTGGGTATAATGACCTATGAAATGAATTGGGAGGGCCATCTGTGGGTCTGTTTTTAAACAGGTGCTGTCCCACCCTTTTTCTGAAAGTCCCTTCCATAGAGGATAAGCGTGTACCATTCGTTCAATCAGCTTCTTCCAAAGCATTCATTCTGAGGTCACTTGCTGCCATTCTTTACATACCAGCTCTGCTGCACACAGAGACCTGGCATCGAAATAACTTTTTCTGCTATGTGATCTAAGCCTTGATCTGGTAAGTGGTAAAGTCCTGCTGCAACATGGGCTTTGGGTAAGAGTTAATACACCCATACTGATAGTGACAAATTTGTGAACTAAGATGTTCCAAATAGCCTTAGTTGGTTGGGCCTTTAATCTGGGACCTATTAATCCACTCAGAGTTTTAAAAAAATTGGTAGAACAGCCGCTGTCTTAAATTGATACATTGCCTCCAGGCTAAATTTTAGTTATCCTTTGTCATTCCAAACATTTCTCAAATTTGTCTTTCACTATTTGAGGTTGAGAAGAAGTAGTTGCCTCTTTCAACTCTACAAGTAGGTCCTCAAATTGGTGGACTCTTGATTCCCTTCATTGCTTACAAAACGGTCAATTCTTTTTCTCAGCTCATCTCTTTCTTGTAATAGCTTGCCAAATGCAGCCAATAGCAAATAACACACAACATTCTGTTTTCTAGCCTTCCCCCGAGCTACAAATGTATTAAGTACATGACCTGTCTTCCAAGTTACTGTAGATAACAATTTTATTAAATGTTTCACTACTGCATAGCATGGATTGCTATCTGAATCTCTGAAAACAATTTTATTGCTACCTGCTGTCGCTCTTAAATGTTTTATATTCTTGTTATTGCAGCACCCCACTTTAGATAACCATGTCTACCTTAAGTGAGGATGACCTGGATTTTGCTGTAGTAACAGCCCTAAATTCTCAGTAGTTCAAAACAATAAAGATTTATTTGTTGCTTATTGCTATGGTCTGAATGTGTCCCCCAAAATTTATTGTTGAAACTTAATTGTCAATGTGATAATATATAAGAAGTGGAGACTGGCTGGTCTGAAGGTAGTCAGTTATCTTGATTGTTCACAGTCAGTTACAGATAGAACCCTTGTTCTACTCTTTCCCCCTTCTCACTACTGCAGTTGACTAGCCTTGAAAAAAAAAAGATGTGGAGGCTTTTAGGAGTGATTAAGCCATGAGGGTGGAGCCCTCATGAATAGGATTAGTGACCTTATAAAACAGGTGCAGCGAGCTGTTCACCCCTTCTGCCATGTGACAATGCATTAAGAGACACCATCTATGAAGTAGAGAGCAAGCATTCAGCAGATTTTGTTGCCTTGATCTTGAACTTTCCAGCCTCCAGACCTGTGAGAAATACCTTCCTATTATTTCTAAATTACCCAGTCTCAGGTATTTTGTTATAGTAGCCCAAATAGACTAAGATGCTTATGCAACTTGTCTTCACAATGTGGAGCAGAGCCCCTCAACTACCCCAAATAGACATATAGCCTACCTCACTGCCGACACCAGCTCAGTCAGGGAGACCCTAACCAGTGGCGATAGAGGAATTAAAGACACACACACAGAAATATAGAGGTGTGAAGTGGGAAATCAGGGGTCTCACAGCCTTCAGAGCTGACAGCCCCGAACAGAGATTTACCCACATATTTATTAACAGCAAACCAGTCATTAGCATTGTTTCTATAGATATTAAATTAACTGAAAGTATCCCTTATGGGAAACGAAGGGATGGGCCGAATTAAAGGAATAGATTGGGCTAGTTAACTGCAGCAGGAACACACCCTTAAGACACAGATCGCTCATGCTATTGTTTGTGGCTTAAGGATACTTTTAAGTGGTTTTCTGCCCTGGGCAGGCCAGGTGTTCTTTGCCCTCATTCCCGTAAACCCACAACCTTCCAGCTTGGGCGTTAGGGCCGTTATGAACATGTTACAGTGCTGCAGAGGTTTTGTTTATGGCCAGTCTTGGGGCCAGTTTACAGCCAGATTTTGGGGGGGCTTTCTCCCAACACCTCACAGGTGGACTGTGAGATACCTGAGACTTTCTCAGGGCATACATTGTAAGAGGAAAAACGAAACTGCTTTTTCTCTCTACTGACACACTTAACACAGAACACATCTGTGACCAGATGTATGGTGGTATTTCCCCACATCCAATCAATTCTGCAGCTAACACCGGCTGGATGTCCTTTAATACAATCCAATTCTGATACTATCTACCTAGATAGTGTCAGATTCCACAGGCTCAGTCCCACAAGACTGCTCCCACTTCAGGCACAAATCGCAAGTAGTGGAGTGTTACCAATACTTCTGACCAACTGGCTATAAATCATGGTTCCCGTTATCACCTTGAAAAAACTGCATGTTTTGGGAATGGCTTAGGGGCTGGGATGAATTTGTCCCATGTCATGCTGGGTAGTCAGGTACTGCTGTCCCAACTAAGTTGCTGAAGTCCAACTAGCTTCTTACCTTGTCCTTGTGTGGTCCTGGCTGTCTGGGTAGGTGTCCTGGGTGGACTCAGTGTTTCTCTGGGTTGTGTCTGAGATGACTGTCTTTGACATGGTGTTCAGGGTGGCATAATGAATCCTTCTCTCTCTTTTTTTTTTTCTTTGAGCCAGAGTGTTGCTCTGTCACCCAGGCTGGAGTACAGTGGTGTGATCTCGGGTCACTGCAACCTCTGCATCCTGGGTTCAAGCGATTCTCCTGCCTCAGCCTCCCAAGTAGCTGGGATTACAGGCACCCACCATGCCTGGCTAATTTTTGTGATTTTAGTAGAGACAGTGTTTTGCCATGTTGGCCAGGCTGGTCTCAAACTCCTGACCTCAGGAGATCCGCCTGCCTCAGCCTCCCAAAGTGCTGGGATTACAGGCATGAGCCACCATGCTTGGCCTGAATCCTCTCTTATGTGAACTGGCCTGAGGCTCCAGTTTTGTACCCTTTACTAATAATTGTAATAATAAATCTATATAAAATATTTTTTCCAACATTTAGAGCTTTATGAACAGAGGAAACAAATAGCTTTCATAATGTCAAGTTATAGACTTATTTTTGTTGCAGAGAAGTACAATACTTTGTTGCAGAGAAGCTAATTAAAGATTCAAGCATAAAATATATTTGGATAATGTACTATGGGAGAAGTGGGATGGGAATATGACTTCAAGGAGAAAAAGGAATATCTAAAATTACTTTGTTTCAGAAGAGCTTGTTTTTGTATTTTTTAAATGGATGATGGTTAAGGGTCTATAAGCTACGGAAGCAGATAAACCATCAAATCTCAATGGCTTAAGTAGAAATTTCTTCTTTTTTTTATTTTTCTTTTTTTTATTATTATTATACTTTAAGTTCTAGGGTACATGTGCACAATGTGCAGATTTGTTATATATGTATACATGTGCCATGTTGGTGTGCTGCACCCAATAACTTGTCATTTACATTAGGTATATCTCCTAATGCTATCTCTTCCCCCTCCCCCCACCCCACAACAGCACCCAGTGTGTGATGTTCCCCATCACACATTGTCAAAACTCTGTCAAAGTGTTCTCGTTGTTCAATTCCCACCTATAAGTGAGTGAGAACATGCGATGTTTGGTTTTCTTTCCTTGCAACAGTTTGCTTAGAATGATGGTTTCCAGCTTCATCCATGTCCCTATAAAGGACATAAACTCATCATTTTTGATGGCTGCATAGTATTCCATGGTGTGTATGTGCCACGTTTTCTTAATCCAGTCTATCACTGATGGACATTTGGGTTGGTTCCAAGTCTTTGCTATTGTGAATAGTGCCACAATAAACATGCATGTGCATGTGTCTTTATAGTAGCATGATTTATAATCCTTTGGGTATATACCCAGTAATGGGATGGCCGGGTCAAATGGTATTTCTAGTTCTAGATCCTTGAGGAATTGCCACACTGTCTTCCACAATGGTTGAACTAGTTTACAGTCCCACCAACAGTGTAAAAGTGTTCCTATTGCTCCACATCCTCTCCAGCACCTGTTGTTTCCTGACTTTTTAATGATCACCATTCTATTTGGTGTGAGATGGTATCTCACTGTGGTTTTGATTTGCATTTCTCTGATGGCCAGGGATGATGAGCATTTTTTCATGTGTCTTTTGGCTGCATAAATGTCTTCTTTTGACAAGTGTCTGTTCATATCCTTTGCCCACTTTTTGATGGGGTTGTTTGTTTTTTTTCTTGTAAATTTGTTTAAGTTCTTTGTAGATTCTGGATATTAGCCCTTTGTCAGATGAGTAGATTGCAAACATTTTCTCCTATTCTGTAGGTTGCCCATTCACTCTGATGGCAGCTTCTTTTGCAGTGCAGAAGCTCTTTAGTTTAATTAGATCCCATTTGTCTATTTTGGTGTTTGTTGCTATTGCTTTTGGTGTTTTAGACATGAAGTCCTTGCCCATGCCTATGTCCTGAATGGTATTGCCTAGGCTTTCTTCCAGGTTTTTATGGTTTTAGGTCTAACATTTAAGTCTTTAATCCATCTTGAATTAATTTTTGTATAAGGTGTAAGGAAGGGATCCAGTTTCAACTTTCTACATATGGCTAGCCAGTTTTCCCAGCACCATTTATTAAATAGGGAATCCTTTCCCCATTTCTTGTTTTTGTCAGGTTTGTCAAAGATCAGATGGTTGCAGATGTGTGGTATTATTTCTGAGGGCTCTGTTCTGTTCCATTGGTCTATATCTCTGTTTTGGTACCAGTACCATGTGTTTTGGTTACTGTAGCCTTGTAGTATAGTTTGAGGTCAGGTAGTGTGATGCCCCCAGCTTTGTTCTTTTAGCTTAGGATTGACTTGGCAATGCGGGCTCTTTTTTGGTTCCATATGAACTTTAAAGTAGTTTTTTCCAATTCTGTAAAGAAAGTCATTGGTAGCTTGATGGGGATGGCATTGAATCTATAAATTACCTTGGGCAGTATGGCCATTTTCACGATGTTGATTCTTCCTACTGATGAGCATGGAATGTTCTTCCATTTGTTTGTGTCCTCTTGTATTTCATTGAGCAGTGGTTTGTAATTCTGCTTGAAGAGGTCCTTCACATCCCTTGTAAATTGGATTTCTATGTATTTCATTCTCTTTGAAGCAATTGTGAATGGGAGTTCACTCATCATTTGGCTCTCTGTTTGTCTGTTATTGGTGTAGAGGAATGCTTGTGATTTTTGCACATTGAATTTGTATCCTGAGACTTTGCTGAAGTTGCTTATCAGCTTACAGGGATTTTGGGCTGAGACGATGGGGTTTTCTAGATATACAATCATGTCATCTGTAAACAGGGACAATTTGACTTCCTCTTTTCCTAATTGAATACCCTTTATTTCTTTCTCCTGCCTGATTGCCCCGGCCAGAACTTCCAGCATTATGTTGAATAGGAGTGGTGAGAGAGGGCATCCCTTTCTTGTGCCAGTTTTCAAAGGGAATGCTTCCAGTTTTTGCCCATTCAGTATGATATTGGCTGTGGGTTTGTCATAAATAGCTCTTATTATTTTGAGATATGTCACATCAATACCTAGTTTGAGAGTTTTTAGCATGAAGGGCTGTTGAATTTTGTTGAAAGCCTCTTCTGCATCTATTGAGATAATCATGTGGTTTTTGTCTTTGGCTCTATTTATATGATGTATTACGTTTATTGATTTGCATATGTTGAACCAGCCTTACATCCCAGGGATGAAGCCAACTTGATCATGGTGGATAAGCTTTTTGATGTGCTGCTGGATTCAGTTTGCCAGTATTTTATTGAGGATTTTTGCATCGATGTTCATCAGGGATATTGGTCTAAAATTCTCTTTTTTTGTTGTGTCTCTGCCAGGCTTTGGTATCAGGATGATGCTGGCCTCATAAAATGAGTTAGGGAGGATTCCCTCTTTTTCTATTGATTGGAATAGTTTCAGAAGGAATGGTACCAGCTCCTCTTTGTACCTCTGGTAGAATTCGGCTGTGAATCTCTCTGGTCCTGGACTTTTTTTGGTTGGTAGGCTATTAATTATTGCATCAATATCAGAGCCTGTTTTTGGTCTATTCAGGGATTCAACTTCTTCCTGGTTTAGTCTTGGGAGGATGTATGTGTCCAGGAATTTATCCATTTCTTCTAGGTTTTCTAGTTTATTTGTGTAGAGGTCTTTATAGTATTCTCTGATGGTAGTTTGTATCTCTGTGGAATCAGTGCTGATATCCCCTTCATCATTTTTTATTATGTCTATTTGATTCACACATAACAATATTAACCTTAAATGTAAATGGGCTAAATGCTCCAATTAAAAGACACAGACTGGCAAATTGGATAAAGAGTCAAGACCCATCATTGTGCTGTATTCAAGAGACCCATCTCAAATGCAGAGACACACATAGGCTCAAAATAAAGGGATGGAGGAAGATCTACCAGCCAAATGGAAAACAAAAAAAAGCAGGGGTTGCGATCCTAGTCTCTGATAAAACAAAGATCCAAAGAGACAAAAAGGCTCAAAATAAAGGCTCAAAATAAAGGGATGGAGGAAGATCTACCAACCAAATGGAAAACAAAAAAAAGCAGGGGTTGCAATCCTAGTCTCTGATAAAACAAAGATCCAAAGAGACAAAAAGGCCATTACATAATGGTAAAGGGATCAATTCAACAAGAAGAACTAACTGTCCTAAGTATATATGCACCCAATACAGGAGCACCCAGATTCATACAGCAAGTCCTTAGAGGCCTACAAAGAGACTTAGACTCCCACACAATAGTACCGGGAGACTTTAACACCCCACTGTCAACATTAGACAGATCAACGAGACAGAAAGTTAACAAGGATATCCAGGAATTGAACTTAGCTCTGCACCAAGCTGACCTAATAGACTTCTACAGAACTCTCCACCCCAAATCAACAGAATATACATTCTTCTCAGCACCACATCACACTTATTCCAAAATTGACCACGTAGTTGGAAGTAAAGCACTCCTCAGCAAATGTAAAAGAACAGAAATTATAACAAACTGTCTCTCAGACCACAGTGCAATCAAACTAGAACTGAGGATTAAGAAACTCACTCAAAACCACTCGACTACATGGAAACTGAACAACCTGCTCCTGAATGACTACTGGGTACATAACGAAATGAAGGCAGAAATAAAGATGTTCTTTGAAACCAACGAGAACAAAGACACAACATACCAGAATCTCTGGGACACATTCAAAGCAGTGTGTAGAGGGAAATTTATAGCACTAAATGCCCTAAGAGAAAGCAGGAAAGATCTAAAATTGACACCCTACCATCATAATTAAAAGAGCTAGAGAAGCAAGAGCAAACACATTCAAAAGCTAGCAGAAGGCAAGAAATAACTAAGATCACGACAGAACTGAAGGAGATAGAGACACAGAAAACCCTTAAAAAAATCAATGAATCCAGGAGCTGGTGTTTAGAAAAGATCAACAAAATTGATAGACCGCTAGCAAGACTAATAAAGAAGAAAAGTAGAAATTTCTTACTCACGTAAAAATTTAATGGTTATCAGGGAGACAGATGTTAATGGGAGATTGGAAGGCAGTGGTTGGAGCAAACTATCTTTGCTAATGTAGTCAATCAACATCTAGCTGGTAGAAGGGGAAAGAGAGAGAGAGAGAGCAGCATGCAGATCGTGCATGGGTAGTTTTTATGGGCCTGATCAGGAGTAGCATAAGTTACTTTCACTCACATTCTGTTGCTCTGAATTCATTCTACACAGCCACACCTAATTTCAAGGGATGCTTTTCATCCATGAAGAAGAGTAAGTGGGTTTGGTAAACAGCTAGTTGATCTGTAATTCTATGATGGATATAAAATTTCTAAAATACTTAGATTCATTTTTTGTAAAATAAAAAGAGCAAAGTCACAGGTCTACTTTTAAAGTTAGTATCTAAACTGCAAAAAAAAAAATGTATTTTTTGTGAGGGCAGTCCATTGAGATTTGGGTTTGAAACATCTTTAGTTATAGCAAGCAGGCAGTAGCAATCTGACAGACTTTTCTGGTTTATAGTTGGTGTGTCGCAAGGTTGTTTATACATGAGCTTCAGCTCATAGAACTTCAGGATAAAGAGAGTTTCAATTTTAGTGAGTCCAAGTCAGAAAAATGGAAGAAAAATTTAGAAACATTAGTTTGGAGACTTATAGCCAGGAAAGAATTCAGGATTCGGGATTTCCTGCAAGGAAAATAATAAAATCCCCAAAACAATGGACAGGGTTAGGAATTTATAACAGGTACATGAAAGTTTTCTTCTGAAACATAGTTTTTCTCTCTTTAGTTCCCTACTTCTAACAAAGATAAATCATAGAAAGACCAATCTATTTGTAAAATTATGTTTTAGTCTTATACCTGGCCTGATTATTTGCATAAAGTAAGTAAGAATAGTGATTTATCACACAGGCTCTTTTAAGTTGGTTTGTTGGAACATTTTCATAAAAAATCTCAGATTAGACTTTCTAAAAGCTTAGGAGCCAGAGCTGAGTGTGATGGTTCATGCCTGTAATCCCAGCACTTTGGGAGACCGAGGTGGGTGGATTGCTGGAGCTCAGAAGCTAGAGATCAGCCTGGGCAACATGGCGAAACACCATCTCCACCAAAAAAATAATAATAATAAAAATAAAAAAATTTAAAAAAAGTAAAAAAGCTTAGGAGCCAAGCCAAACACTATAATACCTGTACGAAAACTTCGGTGAATACCTTTCTTCTCAAGGTCCTCAAAATACATTGAGGTTCCTGGGTCTGTCCAAAAGTGAGATTCTTTACTTACTTCAAGGTCAGGGACCTTGTAAGGGAACTGTGTAGACAAGGTACCAGGTCAGTCTTTTTCCAAGTCTATTGGCTTTCTAAAGTGAACCTCAATTCCTCAAAACAGTCTAGTCATTTCTAAAAATACGACATTCCAGTCTAATCCTCAGTAATCAGCATTTCAAATTGTGTACTATTACAAAAGAAAACAAATTCTTACGAATCTATGCAAATAATTATATTGTCATAAAATAACACTACTTGCAAATAGTTTCTAAATTTTGGAGGGATCAAATAAAGAGGTAAATATTTGAATTTGGCTCACAAAAGTATACTTTACTTAATTGGTGTAAGCTATAAATAGCTTAAAAGAAAAATGTTTACTCTGGGGAAAAAAGAATCAGCAATGTTTCAAATAAAAAGTTATGGTTAAAAAACAATTTCAGTTTTTCATCAGTTCAGTCTCATGTACTTAAGTATTGTTCCGTGTGATTATACATTAGCAATTTTATGAGTCCACTTTTGTTCTATTAGTGTTCCAAAATTGTTTTACCCCATCTAATGATTCAATCTTGATTTCTTTAAAAAATTTTTTAAAGGATGAGCTTGCTGTTAAAAAAAAAAAAGAAAAAACAAATTTTTAAAATAGAGATGAAGTCTCGCTATGTTGCTCAGGCTGGTCTTGAACTCTGGGCCTCAAGCGATCCTCCCATCTTGGCCTCCCAAAGTGCTGGGACTACAGACATGATTCAGTCTTAAAGTCATCAGAAACATGTATTCAAGATTATTTGTTGTAGTCTTTTCCATGAATTTCCTTAAAGACAAAACTTTAAAACTTATAAAGAGAGAGGCTGAGGCAGGCGGATCACCTGAGGTCAGGAGTTTGAGACCAGCCCGGCCAACATGGCGAAACCCCCGTCTGTACTAAAAATACAGAAAATTAGTTGGGTGTGGTGGCACACACCTATAGTCCCAGCTACTCAGGAGGCTGAGGCACTAGAATCACTTGCACCTGGGAGGCGGAGGTTGCAGTGAGCCGAGATCACGCTGTTGCACTCCCGCCTGGGGAACAGAAAAAAGAACTTTCAGAAAACAAGAGCATAAGCATAAAGCCACAGATGCTTAATTGCGGACAATAAGACTTAAAGTAACCATGATTAAAGATGCAATTGACAAGGAAATTTGGTCATTTTTTTTGTGGCCTACAACTTTACACAATATCCATAATTGTGACTAATAACACATACCAGGACATACCAGATTTTTAAGAATCTCATTCCATTTTGGAACACATACTAACACATTTATACAAATATGACTCGCAAAAGGCTAAACATTATTTCTTATTTCACAATCCTTCCTGCATGATTTTAACATACCAAATAAGCCTAATATGTCTCTCTTGTACTTCCAGGGACCCTTCTGGAGTGTCCAAAAGTTAGCTTGAAGTCAAAAAGACTTAATTTAGAATTTGAAATTTGATTTTAGAAAGCCTGTCAAATATGTCAAAGATTTAAAACACTGGAACAGAAATAGGATCATAGGTCATTCATTTAGCAAAACTGATAATTAAAATAATTCAAAAAGCAAAAATCTTTTCTTTATGTTAGAGAGGGGACTCAGTTTTCTAAACTATCAAAAGGCCTAATAAAGACAGCTGGAGGCAAACAGAGTCTATCTGTCCTTCTCTTACTGTGTGCCCACTTTTTTGCAATTTACGAAAAATGAGCAACAATTTTTTTTTTTACTCATTAATACTACGCAAAAATCTTTTTCAAAAGAGAAAAGCAAATTTTATTTATTTTAATTTTTTTAGAGACAAGAGTCTCACTCTATCACTCAGGCTGGAGTACAGTGGTATGATTATAGCTCACTGTAACCTTGATCTCTTGAGCTCAAGCAATCTTTCCACCTTACAACCTCCTGAATAGCTAGGACTACAGGCACATTCCACTGTGCTTGGCTAATTTATACTTTTTTTTTTGCAGAGATGAGGTCTTGCTCTGTTGCCCAATCATGGCTCACTGAAACCTCACCTCCTAGACTCAAGCAATCCTCCCACCTCAGCTCCCCAAGTAGCTGGGACTACAGGCATGTGCTTCCATACCCAGCTAATTTTTGTTTCTTACTTTTTGTAAAGACAAGGCCTCCCTGTGTTGCCCAGGCTTGTCTCGAACTCCTGAGCTCAAGCAGTCCTGCTGCCTTGGCCTTCCAAAGTGCTGGGATTACAGGCGTGAACCACTGCACTTGGCCTTGCCGACAATTTAAAAACTAGTTTTTCTTTGCCAGATATTACTAAATTGACATGAACTTGAAAAGCATTTTGGCTGATTATTTAATTTATGAACACTCATTTATTTAAAAGTCAATTTGGTACCATGTAGATAATATAAAAAGGCAGCCATGTACACATGTATGCATAAAATACAGACAAACATAAGTAAAGATTTTATAGCATTGATTTAAAAATTTTAGCAATAAGACAGGTAAAACTCACATAAAGGGCAGTTGAATTCAAACTCTGTCATTGTAAATGGAACGAGTTAAAGTTTATCTGTCCCACATATTCAAAGCCCTTATAAGGGTTTTTTTTGTTTTGTTTTTTGTTTTGTTTTGTTTTTTTTTAGAGAAAACAGTGTAGCACATTTATATCTCACAGCACAAAGAGAATTTAAGCTTTCTGAAGAAGAAGTCAGGGTGTGTTAGAGAAAGATTAAAAATAGATGCCTAGGTAACACAAAATTATAGGAATTCACCACAGGATTTTATAAGGAGATCAATTTTAGTTAGGTAGTTTTCAATTTAGTCTCCATTTTCCAATTGGACCACTCAGCTCAGGGTGAAGCCCATTAATGAATAATGCCAACAAAATGCTTACAGTTTCCTGGGCCTAATACTGGTATTTGTGAAAAGCAGACACAGCTGGAAGGCAGAGCACCTAGATCCTAGAAATTTATGACCCCATTTTCACACTGAATTCCAGTTTCTCAGAGTGGAGGCAAAAGTCCAAGAGAGAAAGGTCATGGAAACAGGTCGTGCAATCTTCTACAGTGTATCTCACTAGAAGGAAAGTTCCCCAAGGCTGGTGGGTGACTCAATAAAAGTCCCCCAAGGCTGGTAGGACTCCAGCCCACTCTGTGATCAGCCTATCCCCCATAGGAGTCTTATCCTTTGGTGGTGAGTGTTCCTACAGCCTCCAAGTTTCCAAAATGTACTTTTTAAAAAATCTAGCCATGCAAGCACTTTGGGAGCCCGAGGAGGGCGGATCACGAGATCAGGAGATGGAGACCATCCTGGCTAACACGGTGAAACCCCATCTCTACTAAAAATACAAAAAATTAGCTGGGCGTGGTGGCGGGCACCTGTAGTCCCAGCTGCTCGGGAGGCTGAGGCAGGAGAATGGAGTGAACCCAGGAGGCGGAACTTGCAGTGAGCCGAGATAGCGCCACTGCAGTCCGGCCTGGGCGAAAGAGCGAGATTCTGTCTCATTAAAAAAAAAAAAAAAAAAAAAAATCTAGCCATGCAAAAAATAAAAATAAAAAAAAGTAGCCTCTGTGTAATACCTATTCATTGCAACCACTGTCAGCCACCTCCAAAACTGCAGCCCTCACCAGTGACTGCAGCCACTGAATGTAGAGCCAGCCATTGCATACTCAAGGATCAGGTATTCTCTCACAGTACAAAGTAACTTCTGGTACCCTCAAAGCCAAAGCTGTCAGGGAGCTCAGTGCAAATGAGAGCAGAGCTTTAGACCTGAGAAGAACCTGCTCATGACTTTTGGTGCTTCATGAAGAAGACAGAAGACCCCAAAATGTGGTCAGAGGCACCTTTTTGGTCTTCCTTAAGGAGTGTCATAGTTGCTAGGGTTCCCCTCTAGATCTCTTCGTGTGGTATCAAAGGTGGTAAAGGAAGGAAGAATAAAAGTAAATGGGATAATAAGTCTCAGGGAAGCCAATTTGGGGAGATTTAAAACTTCTCAAAAAAAGTCAGTGAAGTTTTACCTTTTTCTAAGCAAAAAATTATACCAACAGGAAAGGAAGCAAACAGAGGGATGAAACATATTTTACACACTCACATATATATATACGCACACACATGTGTATGTATATGTACATAAACACACACGCACACATACAATTTTGAGACAGGGTCTCACTCTGTCACCCAGGCTGGAGTGCATTGGCACCATCATGGCTCACTGCAGCCTCGACCTCCCAGGCTCGAGTGACCCTCTCATCTCAGGCTCCCAAGTAGGTGGGACCACAGGTGCATGCCACCATACTCAGGTAATTTTTTTTTTTTTTTTGTAGACATGAGTTCTCCATATGTTGCCCAAGCTGGCCTTGAACTCCTGGGCTTAAATGATCTGTCTCAGCCTCCCAAAATGTTGGGATTACAGGCATAAGCCACCATGTCCAGCCCAAACATATAACTTTTTATAAAGAGTTTCAGTAAACTGAAAAAAATTCTCATGGGAGAAACAAGATCCAAAAGAGAAAAAGCAGAAAGGCCTTAAAAAAACTTTTAGTTTGAATATCAGTTTTTAATTAAGCTGGCTTCTGACCACATAAAGCTTTTTAAAAACAATCTTTTAAAATCTGTCAGAGTTTAGCCATGACAAACAGCCAATATTCTTGGTTTTGAACTTCTTTAAATCAAAGTTATCTTCCAAGTGACTCCAACCAAAACCTATAAGCCTTTTATGACTTAACCAAGGATGCATAAGGCATCTCCAAAAAGGTGCAAAGCAGTTCTCACAAGAACCAGAACTACCCCAAAGACAGCTCAAGGAAAAAAAATTTACTAGTTGCAAATGGGGTACAATATACATTTCTGACCAACCATGTTCTTTAGGGTCTTGGCTTATCAACTAACCATCTTCACATAAAGTCTCAGCAATTGCATGCCCCATAGAGGGAAGATTAAAATAGACAAACAATTAGTAAGACAGGAAACTAAAAGCTGTCCATGGAAGGGAACAAGAACAGTAATAAATGGGTACTCCAAAAGTCAAGAGTTACACACAAATATCAAACCTGTAATCACCCAATGAGTTCTTCCTGCCTGCTCTACAGACAGAATCAATTCATTTAGAGCATGGCATTGCAATAGAGAAAGAGTTTAATTGATGTAAGGTCAGCCATGTGGAAGAACTGGAGTTATCACTCAAATCAGTCTCCACGAAGGCTCAGGAGTTAGGGTTTTACACCTGAGAAGAACCTTCTCATGACTTTTGGTGCTTCATGAAGAAGACAGGAGACCCCAAAATGTGGTCAGAGGCACCTTTTTGGTCTTCCTTAAGGAGTGTCATAGTTGCTAAGAGTCCCCTCTAGATCTCTTCGTGTGGTATCAAAGGTGGCAAAAAAGGAAGGAAGAATAAAAGTAAATGGGATAACAAGTCTCCGGGAAGCCAACGTTTTGGACAATTTGGTGGACAGGGGGATAGGGAATGGGTGCTGCAGATTGGGTGGGGATGAAATCATAGGGGTATGGAAAATGGTCCACATGTGCCAACTCCACCTTGGATAGGGGCCACAGGACCAGTTGAGTTATGAGTCATGGGTCCAGATGGGGTCAGTTAGTTGCAAGACAGTCTGAAAAAAATCTCAAAACACCAATGTCAGGTTCTACAATAGTGATGTGATCTATAGGAGCAATTGGAGAGGTCACAAATCTTGTGACCTCTGGCCACTTGACTCCTGAGAAGTAAGGGATTATAGAAACTATATCTACATCTTATCAGCATTCAGACCCCACTCATAATCCTAACCTTATGGCCTTTCATTAGTTCTGCAAAGGTGGGTTAGCTTGGGGAAGGGGTTATTATCATCTTTGCTTTAAGATTAAACTATAAACTAAGTTCTTCCCAAAGTTAGCTTGGCCTACATCTAGGAATATAAGACTAGACTACAAGTTGAAATGTCTCCTTTTTAAATCCTGTGGGGAATCCAAAGCAGGCAGTTTTAGTGTACAAAGGATTTTAACTTTGTTTTAAATCTGATTTCTGCTTTTTTTTTTAAGGAGAATTTCTAAGGCTAGTCATGACACTAATATGTGTCTTTCTTTCAATTTGATCCTCCCACAAAAACAAATAAGGCAATTACTTAGAATGGAGTAAAATATTTTTCAGATATAGGAGTCTTTCTAGTCCAAAGGATCCATCTTCTGGCCACTAACGATTAGAATTTCCAACTATGTATTTATTTCAATAGCAACTCAATTCAATAAACCTCTTCATGGATAGACCAGCAGGTAATTTTCCAGGTTTGGAATAAGTTTTTACCACATAAGCAAGCGTATCCCTGGAGAGGGCATAGAACAGCTAATTCCCATGATTTCCCCAAATTCACTCCCAGAAATAGGCCAAAATAGCAAAAACCTCTTGTCACAGATGGTAAAGAATGGTGTTTGTGTGCACTGTTCCTTCATGTTCTGCAGGGAGCAAGTCTATGCAAATCTACCCCCAAAGTTTAAGGAAGCTGAGAGGCTGAAGAAACAGGCTGACAATCCAGTTTTTCAGGAAGAAAGATTTAATAGGGAATTAACAAAGAGAAGCCATCTCTGTGTCTTGTTTGATGGCAAGACAAGATAGTGGATCCCTGCACCATTTACCCTCCCAGGCCCAGGGTTTACATACCACAGGGGAGGAATGTGTAGGACAAGTGAAGTCAACACCCAGGGAAAGGCAAGAATGCTATGTGAATCTGCCAAAGGGCAGGATTTAAAGTCAAGGTTATTTGACCTAAGGGCAGAATTTACAGTAACAGTAAAGTAGAAATCTTAGAGGTATTCTCAGAACAGGGAATCAGAAGTCAACATTGTGGATAAGCATTCAAAATGGAATTGCTTTAGCCTCTACACTTCAATAACCCACAAATTTATAGGGGACTACCAGTCACAGATCCTTTAATTGGTGACAACAGGTAGGTTCTCTTTGGATTAGACTTTCCCAGAACTAACGAGGCAACAAAAGTCCCTTATGGTTAAGACTTCTTATGAAGACAAACTTCCCTGGCCGAGTGTGGTGGCTCACACCTATAATCCCAACACTTTGGGAAGCAAGGCAAGAGGATCCCTTGAGGCCAGGAGTTCGTGATCAGCTTGGGCAACATCTCCCACTCCCCTAAACAAAAAAAAGAGAGAGAAATTAGCCAGGCATGGTGGTACACACCTGTAGTCCCAGCCACTGGGCTGAGGCAAGAGGATCCCTTGAGCCCAGGAGTTTGAGGATGCAGCGAGCTATTTTGCACCACTGCACTCCAGCCTGGGTGAGAGAGTGAGACCCTGTCTCTTAAAAAAAAAAAAAAGAGACAAACTCCCCTGAGAGCTTGGCACATTCTGAACAAAGAGTGTGCTGCTTGATAGCTTATGTGTCTTGGGGTTCCCAGTCCTTTCAGAACGTAAACCAAAAATAAAATTCAAAGGCCTCCCTTCAACCATCTGAATGGACTGCCTCCTTGGCCAGGACACTCTAAAATTTAACCTGAAAGACTGGTTGGGGCCATGACTGACAGGAAGGGTGGGAGGGGTTGGACATACCTTATTATACCTCTCCAGCATTAACATCAACACAGACCTTAAGTCTGATAAGAAACATTTACAATCTATTTTCTCTGAAGCCTGCTACCAATTGCCAATTGCCAATCAGAATATGCTTAAATCTACCTATGACCTGGAAGCCCCTGCTTTGAGTTGTCCCATCCTTCCAGATCAAGCCAAAGTAAATCTTACATGTATTGATTAATGTCTTGTGCCGTATGGTTTGGCTTTGTCCCTACCCAAAATCTCATCTTGAATTGTAATCCCCATACTCCCTATGTGTCAAGGGCAGGACCAGGCAGAGGTAATTAGATCATGGGGGCAGTTTCCTACATGCTGTTCTCATGATAGTGAGTGAGTCTCACGAGATCTGATGGTTTTATAAGCATCTGGCATTTCCCCTACTTGCACTCACTCCATCCTGCTGCCCTTTGAAGAAAGTCCCTGCTTCTCCTTCGCCTTCCACCATGATTGAAAATTTCCTGAGGACTCCCCAGGCATGCAAAACTGTGAGTCAATTAAACCTCTCTTCTTTATAAATTACCCAGTCTCAGGTATTTCTTCATAGCAGTGTGAGAACAGACTAACACAGTAAATTGATACTGAGGTAGTGGGACACTGCTATAAGGATATCCAAAACTGTGGAAGTGACTTTGGAACTGGGTAATGAACAGAGGTTGGAATAGTTTGCAGGGCTCAGAAGAAGACAGGAAAATGTGTGAAAGTTTGGAACTTCCTAGAAACTTGTTGAATGGCTTTGACCAACATGCTGATAGTGATATGGACAATGAAGTTCAGGCTGAGGTGGTCTCAGATGGAGACGAGGAACTTGTTGGGAACTGGAATAAAGGTGACTCTTGCTATGCTTTAGCACAGGGACTGGCAGCATTTTACCCCTGCCCTAGAGATCTGTGGAACTTTGAACTTGAGAGAGATGATTTAGGGTATCTGGAAGAAGGAATTTCTAAGCAGCAAAGCATTCAAGATGTGACCTACTTTTTCTTTTTTTTTCTTTTTTTTATTATACTTTAAGTTTTAGGGTACATGTGCACAACGTGCAGGTTAGTTACATATGTATACATGTGCCATGCTGGTGTGCTGCACCTAGTAACTCATCATTTAACATTAGGTATATCTCCAAATCTTATCCCTCCTCCCTTCCCCCCCCCCACAACAGGACCCAGTGTGCGATGTTCCCCTTCCTGTGTCCATGTGTTCTCATTGTTCAATTCCCACCTATGAGTGAGAATATGCGGTGTTTGGTTTTTTGTGCTTGTGATAGTTTGCTGAGAATGATGGTTTCCAGCTTCATCCATGTCCCTACAAAAGATATGAACTCATCATTTTTATGGCTGCATAGTATTCCATGGTGTATATATGCCACATTTTCTTAATCCAGTCTATCACTGATGGACATTTGGGTTGGTTCCAAGTCTTTGCTATTGTGAATAGTGCCGCAATAAACATATGTGTGCATGTGTCTTTATAGCAGCATGATTTATAATCCTTTGGGTATATACCCAGTAATGGGATGGCTGGGTCAAATGGTATTTCTAGTTCCAGATCCCTGAGGAATCGCCACACTGACTTCCAGAATGGTTGAACTAGTTTACAGTCCCACCAACAGTGTAAAAGTGTTCCTATTTCTCCACATCCTCTCCAGCACCTGTTGTTTCCTGACTTTTTAATGATCGCCATTCTATTTGGTGTGAGATGATATCTCATTGTGGTTTTGATTTGCATTTCTCTGATGGCCAGTGATGATGAGCATTTTTTCATGTGTCTTTTGGCTGCATAAATGTCTTCTTTTGACAAGTGTCTGTTCATATCCTTTGCCCACTTTTTGATGGGGTTGTTTTTTTCTTGTAAACTTGTTGGAGTTCATTGTAGATTCTGGATATTAGCCCTTTGTCAGATGAGTAGATTGCAAAAATCTTCTCCTATTCTGTAGGTTGCCTGTTCACTCTGATGGTAGTTTCTTTTGCTGTGCAGAAGCTCTTTAGTTTAATTAGATCCCATTTGTCTATTTTGGCTTTTGTTGCCATTGCTTTTGGTGTTTTAGACATGAAGTCCTTGCCCATGCCTATGTCCTGAATGGTATTGCCTAGGCTTTCTTCTAGGTTTTTATGGTTTTAGGTCTAATATTTAAGTCTTTAATCCATCTTGAATTAATTTTTGTATAAGGTGTAAGGAAGGGATCCAGTTTCAGCTTTCTACATATGGCTAGCCAGTTTTCCCAGCACCATTTATTAAATAGGGAATCCTTTCCCCATTGCTTGTTTTTGTCAGGTTTGTCAAAGATCAGATGGTTGTAGATATGCGGCATTATTTCTGAGGGCTCTGTTCTGCTCCATTGGTCTATATCTCTGTTTTGGTACCAGTACCATGCATTTTGGTTACTGTAGCCTTGTAGTATAGTTTGAAGTCAGGTAGCGTGATGCCTCCAACTTTGTTCTTTTGGCTTAGGATTGACTTGGCAATGCAGGCTCTTTTTTGGTTCCATATGAACTTTAAAGTAGTTTTTTCCAATTCTGTGAAGAAAGTCATTGGTAGCTTGATGGGGATGGCATTGAACCTATAAATTACCTGGGGCAGTGTGGCCATTTTCACAATGTTGATTCTTCCTACTGATGAGCATGGAATGTTCTTCCATTTGTTTGTATCCTCTTTTATTTCCTTGAGCAGTGGTTTGTAGTTCTTCTTGAAGAGGTCCTCCACATCCCTTGTAAGTTGGGTTCCTAGGTATTTTATTCTCTTTGTAGCAATTGTGAATGGGAGTTCACTCATGATTTGGCTCTCTGTTTGTCTGTTATTGGTGTATAAGAATGCTTGTGATTTTTGCACATTGATTTTGTATCCTGAGACTTTACTGAAGTTGCCTATCAGCTTAAGGAGATTTTGGGCTGAGACAATGGGGTTTTCTAGATATACAATCATGTCATCTGTAAACAGGGACAATTTGACTTCCTCTTTTCCTAATTGAATACCCTTTATTTCTTTCTCCTGCCTGATTGCCCCGGCCAGAACTTCCAGCATTATGTTGAATAGGAGTGGTGAGAGAGGGCATCCCTTTCTTGTGCCAGTTTTCAAAGGGAATGCTTCCAGTTTTTGCCCATTCAGTATGATATTGGCTGTGGGTTTGTCATAGATAGCTCTTATTATTTTGAAATAAGTCCCATCAATACCTAATTTATTGAGAGTTTTTAGCATGAAGCGTTGTTGAATTTTGTCAAAGGCCTTTTCTGCATCTATTGAGATAATCATATGGTTTTTGTCATTGGTTCTGTTTATATGCTGGATTATGTTTATTGATTTGCATATGTTGAATCAGCCTTGCATCCCAGGGATGAAGCCCACTTGTTCATGGTGGATAAGCTTTTTGATGTCCTGCTGGATTCAGTTTGCCAGTATTTTATTGAGGATTTTTGCATCAATGTTCATCAAGGATATTGGTCTAAAATTCTCTTTTTTTGTTGTGTCTCTGCCAGGCTTTGGTATCAGGATGATGCTGGACTCATAAAATGAGTTAGGGAGGATTCCCCCTTTTTCTATTGATTGGAATAGTTTCAGAAGGAATGGTACCAGCTCCTCCTTGTACCTCTGATAGAATTTGGCTGTGAATCCATCTGGTCCTGGACTTTTTTTGGTTCATAAGCTATTAATTATTGCCTTAATTTCAGAGACTGTTATTGGTCTATTCAGAGATTCTACTTCTTCCTGGTTTAGTCTTGGGAGGGTGTATGTGTCGAGGAATTTATCCAAATCTTCTAGATTTTCTAGTTTATTTGCGTAGAGGTGTTTACAGTGTTCTCCAATGGTAGTTTGTATTTCTGTGGGATCGGTGGTGATATCCCCTTTATCATTTTTTATTGCATCTGTTTGATTCTTCTCTCTTTTCTTCTTTATTAGTGTTGCTAGCGCTCTATCCATTTTGTTGATCTTTTCAAAAAACCAGCTCCTGGATTCATTGATTTTTTGAAGGGTTTTTTGTGTCTCTATTTCCTTCAGTTCTGCTGTGATCTTAGTTATTTCTTGCCTTCTGCTAGCTTTTGAATGTGTTTGCTCTTGCTTCTCTAGCTCTTTTAATTGTGATGTCAGGGTGTCAGTTTTAGATCTTTCCTGCTTTCTCTTGTGGGCATTTAGTGCTATAAATTTCCCTCTCCACACTGCTTTGAATGTGTCCCAGAGATTCTGGTATGTTGTATCTTTGTTCTTGTTGGTTTCAAAGAACATCTTTATTTCTGCCTTCATTTCGTTATGTACCCAGTAGTCATTCAGGAGCAGGTTGTTCAGTTTCCATGTAGTTGAGTGGTTTTGAGTGAGTTTCTTAATCCTCAGTTCTAGTTTGATTGCACTGTGGTCTGAGAGACAGTTTGTTATAATTTCTGTTATTTTATATTTGCTGAGGAGTGCTTTACTTCCAACTATGTGGTCAATTTTGGAATAAGTGTGGTGTGGTGCTGCGAAGAATGTGTATTCTGTTGATTTGGGGTGGAGAGTTCTGTAGATGTCTATTAGGTCAGCTTGGTGCAGAGCTGAGTTCAATTCCTGAATATCCTTGTTAACTTTCTGTCTTGTTGATCTGTCTAATGTTGACACTGGGGTGTTAAAGTCTCCCAGTACTATTGTGTGGGAGTCTAAGTCTCTTTGTAGGTCTCTAAAGACTTGCTTTATGAATCTGGGTACTCCTGTATTGGGTGCATATATATTTAGGATAGTTAGCTCTTCTTGTTGAATTGATCCCTTTACCATTATGTAATGTCCTTCTTTGCCTCTTTTGATCTGTGTTGGTTTAACGTCTGTTTTATCAGAGACTAGGATTGCAACCCCTGCCTTTTGTTGTTTTCCATTTGGTTGGTAGATCTCCCTCCATCCCTTTATTTTGAGCCTATGTGTGTCTCTGCACGTGAGATAGGTTTCCTGAATACAGCACACTGATGGGTCTTGACTCTTTATCCAATTTGCCAGTCTGTGTCTTTTAATTGGAGCATTTAGCCCATTTACATTTAAGGTTAATATTGTTATGTGTGAATTTGATCCTGTCATTATGATGTTAGCTGGTTATTTTGCTCGTTAGTTGATGCAGTTTCTTCCTAGCCTCGATGGTCTTTACAATTTGGCATGTTTTTGCAGTGGCTGGTACTGGTTGTTCCTTTCCATGTTTAGTGTTTCCTTCAGGAGCTCTTTTAGGGCAGGCCTGGTGGTGGCAAAATCTCTCAGCATTTGCTTGTCTGTAAAGGATTTTATTTCTCCTTTACTTATGAAGCTTAGTTTGGCTGGATATGAAATTCTGGGTTGAAAATTCTTTCCTTTAAGAATGTTGAATATTGGCCCCCACTCTCTTCTGGCTTGTAGAGTTTCTGCTGAGAGATCAGCTGTTAGTCTGATGGGCTTCCCTTTGTGGGTAACCTGACCTTTCTCTCTGGCTGCTCTTAACATTTTTTCCTTCATTTCAACTTTGGTGAATCTGACAATTATGTGTCTTGGAGTTGCTCTTCTCAAGGAGGATCTTTGTGGTGTTCTCTGTATTTCCTGAATTTGAATGTTGGCCTGACTTGCTAGATTGGGGAAGTTCTCCTGGATTATATCCTGCAGAGTGTTTTCCAGCTTGGTTCCATTCTCCCCGTCACTTTCAGGTACACCAATTAGACGAAGATTTGGTCTTTTCACATAGTCCCATATTACTTGGAGGCTTTGTTCGTTTCTTTTTATCCTTTTTTCTCTAAACTTCTTTTCTCACTTCATTTCATTCATTTGATCTTCCATCACTGATACCCTTTCTTCCAGTTTATCAAATCGGCTACTGAGGCTTGTGCATTCATCACGTAGTTCTCGTGCCTTGGTTTTCAGCTCCATCAGGTCCTTTAAGGACTTCTTTGCATTGGTTATTCTAGTTAGCCATTCGCCTAATTTTTTTTCAAGATTTTTAACTTCTTTGCCATGGATTCAAACTTCCTCCTTTAGCTCAGAGTAGTTTGATCGTCTGAAGCCTTCTTCTCTCAACTCGTCAAAGTCATTCTCTGTCTAGCTTTGTTCCGTTGCTGGTGAGGAGCTGCTTTCCTTTGGAGGAGGAGAGGCACTCTGATTTTTAGGGTTTCCAGTTTTTCTGCTCTGTTTTTTTCCCATCTTTGTGGTTTTATCTACCTTTGGTCTTTGATGATGGTGACGTACAGATGGGGTTTTGGTGTGGATGTCCTTTCTGTTTGTTAGTTTTCCTTCTAACAGTCAGGACCCTCAGCTGCAGGTCCGTTGGAGTTTGCTGGAGGTCCACTCCAGACCCTGTTTGCGTGGGTATCAGCAGTGGAGGCTGCAGAACAGCGGATATTGGTGAACAGCAAATGCTGCTCCCTGATCGTTCCTCTGAAAGTTTTGTCTCAGAGGAGTACCTGGCCATGTGAGGTGTCAGTCTGCCCCTACTGGGGGGTGCCTCCCAGTTAGGCTACTCAGGGGTCAGGGACCCACTTGAGGAGGCAGTCTGTCCGTTCTCAGATCTCCAGCTGCGTGCTGGGAGAACCACTACTCTCTTCAAAGCTGTCAGACAGGGACATTTAGGTCTGCAGAGGATTTTGCTGCCTTTTGTTTGGCAATGCCCTGCCCCCAGAGGTGGAGTCTACAGAGGCAGGAAGGCCTCCTTGAGCTGCCGTGGGCTCCACCCAGTTCGAGCTTCCTGGCCACTTTGTTTACCTACTCAAGTCTCGGCAATGGCTGGCGCCCCTCCCCCAGCCTCACTGCCGCCTTGCAGTTTGATCTCAGACTGCTGTGCTAGCAATGAGCGAGGCTCCGTGGGCATAGAACCCTCCAAGCCATGCACGGGATATAATCTCCTGGTGTGCTGTTTGCTAAGACCATTGGGAAAGCACAGTATTAGGGTGGGAGTGACCTGATTTTCCAGGTGCCTTCTGTCACCCCTTTCTTTGACTAGGAAAGGGAATTCCCTGACCCCTTTCGCTTCCCAGGTGAGGCGATGCCTCGCCCTGCTCCGGCTCACATTTGGTGTGCTGCACCCACTGTCCTGCACCCACTTTCCGACACTCCGCAGTGCGATGAACCTGGTACCTCAGTTGGAAATGCAGAAATCACCCATCTTCTGCATCGCTCACGCTGGGAGCTGTAGACTGGAGTTGTTCCTATTCGGCCATCTTGGCTCCAACCCTCTCCCTGACCTACTTTTTCTAAAGCATACAGTCACATCTGTTCACAAAGAGATGGTCTGAAATTGGAACTTATGTTTAAAAGGGAAGCAGAGTACAAAAGTTTTAATAATTTGCAGCCTGACCATGTAGTAGAAACAAAAACCCATTTTCTGGGGAGAAATTCAAGCCACTGGCTGCAGAAATTTGCATAAGTAAAAAGAGGCTGAATAGTAATAGCCAAGACAATGGGGAAAATGTCTCCAGGGCATTTCAGAGATCTTCCCGGCAGCCCCTCCCATCACAGACCCGGAGGCCTATGAGGGAGAAATGGTTTTGTGGGCTGGACCTAGGGCCCTGCTGTTCTGTGCAGTCTCAGGACATGGCACTCTGTGTGCCAGCTGCTCCAACTCCAATTATGGGTAAAAGGGGCCAAGGAACAGCTCAGTTTGTTGCTTCAGAGGGTGCAAGCCCCAAGCCTTGGCAGCTTCCACGTGGTGTTGGGCATGCGGGGGTGCAGAGGACAAGAGGTAAGCTTTGAGAGTCTCTGCCTAGGTTTCAGCCTGCATGTCCAGGCAGAAGTCTGCTCCAGGGCCAGAGCCTGCATGGAGAACCTTTACTAAGGCAGTGCAGAGGGGAAATGTGGGGTTGGAGCTCCCACATAGTCCCCACTGGGGCACTTCCTAGTGAAGCTGTGAGAAAAGGGCCATCATCCTCCAGAACCCCAGAATGGCAGATCCACCTACAACTTGCACTGTGTGCCTGGAAAAGCCCCAGGCACTCAACACCAACATGTGAAAGCAGTCACAGGGGCTGTACCCTGCAGAGCCACAGAGGCAGAGCTGCCCAAGGCCTTGGGAGAACACCTCCTGTGTCAATGTGCCCTGGATGTGAGACATGGAGTCATAGGAGATTATTTTGGAGCTTTAAGATTTAATTGCTGCCCTGTTGGGTTTTGAACTTGCATGGAGCGTGTAGCCCCTTTGTTTTGGCCAATTTCTCTTATTTGGAATGGGAACATTTACCCAATGCCCGTATCCACATTGTATCTTGGAAGTAACTAACTTGCTTGTGATTTTACCTTCCCAGTAGCTGGAACTACAGGTGCATGCCACCACACCTGACTAATTTTATTTTATTTTATTTTTTGATATTTTTTTGTAGAGACAGGGTTTCACCACAGTGGCCAGGCTGGTCTTGTAAGGACTCTTGGATTAGATTTTTAAAGGCATCTCAATGCTAAGAAGCCAACTCAAGGATTCACCATTAGACTGTGCCTGTAATAACTGTACATTTGGTAGAAGGCCTCTCTTCTCAAGATCCTGGCCTCAAGTGATCTACCCACCTCAGCTTCCCAAAGTGCTGGGATTACAGGCATGAGCCACCATGCCCAGATACATCAGCATGCTTTTGATATTAATCTTCAAACTTTAGAAAAACTTATAAATAATTCCCTTCTAATTTTAGCCAACTTGATCACACATAAAATTCCTTTCCCAAGATTAATCTTCCACAAACCTTCTACGGCTTACTTAAACCTTCAGTTTTGTCCTATATTGCCTTTTTATACTGGTATTCTACCTTAGGACAAAAATTTACTTTTGCTTCCTTCTTACTATTTTGACTACACCAAGTTCTCCCTCATGCAAAAGAAAAAATTACTCTTTTCAACTTTCTTTACCAAAAATACATCTTTCTTACTTTTTTTTTTTTTTTTTTAGACAGGGTCTCTTGCTTCGTCACCCATTCTGTAATGCAGTGGCACAATCATGGCTCATTATAGCCTCGACCTCATGGGCTCAAGCAATACTGCTGCATCAGCCTCCTGAGTAGCTGGGACTACAGATGTGCATCACCATGCCTGGCTACTAAAAACATATTATAGAGATGGGGGTCTCACTATGTTACCTATGTTGTCTCAAACTCCTGGGCTCAAGCAATTCTGTCTCAGCCTCCCACAGTGCTAAGATTACAGATGTGAGCCGCAATGCCTGGCCCACATCTTACTTTCTTTGTGTACTCTGTATATAGAATTTTTTTTTATATCTTATAGTTTTAGTTATATATATATATAAACTACAATTTCAACTCTTAGCAACCCTAATATCTAAAGAAAGCCTAGGAAGTTAGTAATTTTAAGCTTACATACCAGTATTTGTAGGTGAAGCCCATTTCATAGTTTTTAGAAAGATACTCATCATTTTTTTGTTTATTAACAGATTGAAGTATATTTAGCCTTTCTATGCTATTATAAATGACTCACACATTTTATGATTATCTAATACTTAATGTAACATGACATGACTTTAAGCTTCTGAAAAAGATTTTAAAACTATGAAAATTTCATTTATAAACTTTTATTGCATTTTTATTTTATTTATTCATTCTTTTTTATTTTATTTTCATTTATTTTTTCCTTCAGATGAGATATTTATTCATTCTTATCAATTATGCTTGAACAGTTTCTTAAACAAAGCTAGCCATGAACTCAAGTTATTTGTTTGTTAATTGTTTTTACATCCTGTGAATGTTAGGCTACCTAGTATGTTAGCCACTACCTAAGCAAGAACCCTAAAGTTAAACACATGGGTATTCTGCTGTTTAGAAGACACTTCTGTTTTTATTAAAATAGCAATATTAAACTAGTCTTATTTACTAAAGATTTCCTAAGTTGTGTGAACTCAAAGGCATTTGAGTTTGTGTCTATTTTTCTGATAAAATATGTAAGTTCTTACTTTTACTTTAAGCCAATTAGAGCCCTTTCATATATTTTGATAGTAAAATTTCATGTACTCATGACATGTATAAGCATAAAAATATACAGACAGAATATACACAGACCATACACAGACAGAAGCAGATTTTATAACTTTATTAGGTTTTTCATTTGCCAATTCAAATAATTTCCCTTCCCCACTTTAGACTATCGAATCGTCAACAATTGTTAACTGGGTAACTTTAAATTTGCACTTACAAAGGACATGACTCTTAGGTGAAAATTTACATCCCAAAGGCACAGTATTTAGGTCTAAACACCATTATTTCATGAGACAAAGAAGGGCATAGGTAAAGGCCCAGTCAAGACAAGGTTGCCAGGAAAAGTGTCTTAAACAAGATAAGGTTTGTTAGGTAAACTCTAAGCCAAGCCTTCCCCATTGTAAAAATTTCTAGTGGTTTAAGAGCAGTGAGGGAGATGCCCTTACAAATGGAGATTTCTTGTATAGATGTAAATTTCTTTTACAAAGTGTTTGAAAATAGCCAGCTAAATGCCAGAAAGTCTTATTTTGGAGACAGTTACATAGGTATTTTCACTTTACCTTGTTTCTTAATTAGATTACTGACTTTAGGGTGCAGACTTTTAATGAATAGAGCAAAGAAAGCACTTGCAGTTTATTCTTCACATATTTAAGTATTAATACTTAAGTATGTGAAAGCAGGCACAACTGGAAGGCAGTGCATCTAGATCTTTAAAAATCAAGGACCCCATTTTTACATTGAACCTTGGATTCAAGGTTCAAGAAAGAGGGAAACATTCTAAGACCAGGCTGCATGATACTTCCACAGTGCACCACACTACAAAGACATTTCTCAAGGGTGGTAGGTGTCAGGTCCATGACTATGCCAATTGTCATGCCCAGGGCCAGGTTTCAGCCCATACTGAGGTCCGAGGGGAGTGGGTGGATGAGGAGATAGTTGAAAGACTATTCAGGGGGCCGTAGGCAGGTACAATGTAGTTTTATTCAGCAGCTTACTTACACTAGCTCTCTCACACTGTTCGCCTCATCTTGGCTGCTTAGTCCAGTGGCTCCCGCACACAGCTGCGTGGCCAGCTCTCCTGTCAGGGTCAGCAGCTTAACTCTTTCTCTCTCTGTGCATGAGTTGTCCAAGCTGTGTCCTGGCTCCCCCCTGTCCCTCCAGACAGCTGTGACTGTCTCTCTTTTTCTCTGGGTGCAAGTGTGCTTATATAGTGTCAGCAAGGCAATTATACCCCCTTATTTTTTTTTGAGACAGAATCTTGCTCCGTCACCAAGCTGGAGTGCAGTGGCGCAATCTTGGCTCATTGTAACCTCCACCTCCTGGATTCAAGCAGTTCTCCTGCCTTAGCCTCCTGAGTAGCTGGGACTACAGGTGCGCACCACCACGCCCTGCTAATTTTTGTATTTTTAATAGAGATGGGGTTTCACCATGTTGGCCAGGATGATTTCAATCTCTTGATCTTGTGATCTGTCCACCTCAGCCTCCCAAAGTGCTGGGATTACAGGCATGAGCCACCATGCCTGGCCACAGTTATACTTTTTACAGACAATAGTGGCATAGGGCCAAGGGATGGCCTTCCCATGTTATGGCTACATGGCTGCAATAACAAGTGGAGTTATATGCCTGTGCTACAAAGTCACGCAGCATGTAAGCATCTTACCTCAGCCCATCCTTGACCAAAGCACAGCCATGTTCCTTACAGTAGGCAACCCAACAGCAATCAGCCCGCTCTGTGATCTGCTCATCTCCATCAGGAGTCTTATCTCTTGATGGTAAGAGTTCAAGCCTGCCTTTTTATCTAAGACCTTTGCAGGAATAACCATTCACTGCAACTGCTGTCAGCCACTTCCAAAACTGTAGTTTTTGCCAGTGACTTACCAGCACACACAAAAGTCAAGTTCTCTCACATTACAAAGTAATCTCTGGTAGCCCAAAAGCCAAAGAGACCAGGCAATATTTTTAACAGCTTATAATTCTTTATCATTTAACAATTTAGTTTCCCCCATGCCAATATGAATAGCAATTTGTGAATTAACAGAATCTGATTTTGGAAAAAATTTTGAATCTAATAATTCTTTTTTCAGTTTTTTATTTTTTTTTGAGACAGGGTCTCACTCTGTCACCCAGGCTGGAGTGCAGTGGTATGATCGCAGCTCACTGCAGCCTTGACCTCCCTGGACTTAGGTGATCCTCTCACTTTAGCCTCCTGTGTAACTGGGACCACAGGTGTATCAATGAAAAGAATCAAACTCTATAAAATACTTGAAGAGATTTATTCTGAGCCAAATATAATTGACCATGGCCCATGACACAGCCATCAGGAGGTCCTGAGAACATATGCCCAAGGTGGTCGAATGCAGCTTGGTTTTATACATATTAGCGAGGCATGAGACATCAATCAAATACATTTGAGAAATACATTGGTTTGGTCCAGAAAGATGGGACAATTTGAATTTGGGGGAGGGGGTTGGGAAGAGGGGCCTTCTAGTCCAGAAATTTAAACATTTTCTGGTTGACTATTGGTTGAGTTTGTCTAATGACCTGGGATCAATAGAAAGAAAATGTTCAGGTTAAAATAAAAGATTGTGGAGACCAAGGTTCTTTTCAAGTTTCATAGTGGCTGCCCTCAGAGACAATAGATGACAAATGTTTCCTGTTCAGACCTTTAAAAGTTGCTAGACTCTCAGTTAATCACTTCAAGATTGGGAGGGCCTGGAAGAAAAAGATCTAGCTATGTTAATAGAGATTCTTTACAGATGCAAATTTCCCCCCACAGAAGACAGTTTTGCAGAGCCATTTCAAAATATGGCAAAGAAACATGCTTTGGGATAAAATATTTTGATTTTCTTCTTTGTCATGTAATTTTATGCCAGAGTCAAATTGGAAAGTAACTCACCATATATAGAGTTAAATAAAACCCATTTGATGAGAATTTACGGTTTGTAGGGTATGACTCCCCAGACCCTTTAGATATTTGGGCAAGATAAGAAAAAATAAGAGCTTTGTTCACAGGTGTATGCCACCATGTCTTGCTAATTTTTTGTATTTTTTTAGAAACTGGGTTTTGCTATGTTGCCCAGGCTGATCTCAAACTCATGGGCTCAAGGGATCCACCCACCTGGTCCTCCCAAAGTGCTAAGATTACAGGCGTGAGCCACCAGGCCCAGCTGACCCTAATAATTCTATATTATCTTCTAATTTGAAACACATTTCCTCCCTTTTGAGACAAGGAGGTATGGGTGGTGTGTAACCTACAATCCTTTTTGGAATGTCCAAGCTTTTTGTAGAAATTGCGAAGCAGGGGATTGAGTAAGTTTTGGAACTTATTAGGCCATTTAGAGGTTAGAAATTGGTTGAAAAAATGTTTTGGTTGTAAACTCATGACCTCCTTTGCTTTTCTTCTCTGTTTAATTTTCCTTCCTTTTCTTCCCTGGTTAGAGTATGGGACATTTGACACACAACATTAATTAGAACATGAGTTTGACAGGTAGTCCAACTGGGGCATTGTCTGTTTAATATAATTATCAACTCTCATCTGATTGTTTATAAAGTTTGAGTTAGGGAGTATCATTTTGGTGGTTAATATAACTTTCTTCTTTTAGGCCTGAATATTGTTTAAACACTCTTTCAACGGTCTCATAGTATGATATTACAGGTTCATTAAGATTTTGTTGGTATTGCTGTATTTTGTTCCACCCAACTATTATTTAGAGAACTAAGGGAATAGTATGTAGCAAAGCTTTGGCAGTATTGTAGGTCAATTCACAATCTGCTTCCAAAAATTTGTGGAAGTCTAAATCCTTTAGGTTCTAAAGGATTTCTCCAATTTACATTTGCTATCTAATATTTGGTTTAACTTTCTGACACTAACATTTGAGCCAGTTGATATGAATCAGAAAATCAGGATCATAAATTCAAATGTTTGGTTTTAATTTTCTAGCAAATTCAATAGGATCCTGAAGAGAATCAAGGAATCCTTTAATTATGCTTTTAAGTTTAACTTTTGACTATGGTTGATAAACCTAGGCAGGTTCTCCTCTGCTGAACACAGGGTGTTTCCAAAAACGGAGCCAAAACAGCAGAAGAAGGAGGAGGAGGAGAAAGGGGAGCTAAGTCCAGACAAGGAGGTTCTGACAAAAGAGAAAGAGGAACTGAAGGGCGAGGAGAAATTTTGGCAGTCTTTTTCCGTTCAGAAATTATTTTAGACAATTTTTTGTTTTTCTCTTGCAAAGAAATGACTTTATCAGAGCCTTTTTTAGAAGCTTCTAAGTACCATTGAAAATAGCTCTCCCTTTGGCCTGAAGTACAAAAATAAATAAATAAATAAGAAAAAAAACACAGGAAATAGCTTTCCCAGTGATTGTGTTTTTATTTTAGAGCCGGCTTTTTCTAACTGAGTGTGTCATTATCTTCTATTTATAGATGAGGAAACTGAGGCACTGAAAAGGTAAACAATCACTCACCCTTACTGAGCACCTATTATACACTAGGCACTGTCCAAAACACTTTACAAAAGAGGGAGATAAGCCTAGAGATGGAGAAGAAGCAAACTAGAAAAAATTAGAGAAAGACAGCATGATGGAACACATTGCGAGGCTGGCACAAGGTGCAGTGAAAAGAAGCATACAATAAAGAAAGGGAAGTAATAAAGAGAGGGAAGTAATGATTAGCGAGCAAACCACATGGAATGAGTATTGGATTTGGGTAGGAATTCAGTCCTGGTCCTGCCACTGACTCAGCTTATTTAGGCAGACTATTAGAAGTTAAGAACATGGCTTCTGGAGTCCAATTGCCCAGGTTTGAAATTTTCTACTTCAGCAGCTTTAAGAAGATACGTGGCCTCTTTGTGTCTCAATTTACTCAGCAGTAAAAAAGATAGTATTATCTCCCTCATAGGATTGCTGAGAAGATGAGAGTTAATGGGCATTTCTATTAACAGCAATTTAGCTTGTTACGGACTAACTCTCCTGCTGAGAACAACTAAAAACACTGTAAAATGTTTTTAGAAATACATGATTGAAGGTATTGAAGAGCTACCTAGGCAACAAAGAGATTAGAAGTCAAGATCCTAGAAGGAAAGAATGCACAGAAAGAGGTAAGATGTTTGGCAATTCTTTTTTCTCTTTTATTTTTACTTATTTATACATTTTTATTTTTTTACTTTCATCTTTCTTTCCTGGCACCAGTTATTAAGTATTGGCTAAGAGATTGAGACTGCTTGCAGTTGTATAGGACTAGGTGAAGAAAAACTGCACTTCAGGGCCTAACAAAAAGGAGAGATCCTAATAAATACTCCAGTTTTCCAGTTGTGATTCCCCAGAAGTCTACAACTTAGGGATGAAAATATACAAGCCATTATAAAAACTGACTCCTTGGTTCAAATCAGCTCAGTCCCTCCTTTTAGTAAGTTGACCTGACTCTACTGAAACTGTCTGAAAGGAGAAGAAAGAAAAGTCAATAAAGGGTATCTTTAGAAGTTCAATTCTATGGTTTACTTCTAGGTTACTATGATGGTCTCTTGGGACCTTGCTTCAATTGTAATCCCCATGTGTCAGGGGAGGGGCCT
Source organism: Homo sapiens (assembly GCF_000001405.40). NCBI lineage: Eukaryota > Metazoa > Chordata > Mammalia > Primates > Hominidae > Homo > Homo sapiens. The sequence continues at coordinate 93,416,404 of NC_000001.11, forward strand.
GGTGAGAGGTGATTTAATCATGGGGACGGACTTCTGCCTTGCTGTTCTCATGATAGTGAGTGCATTCTCATGAGATTTGACGGTTTAAAAGTGTGTAGCTTTCTTAGTGCACACTCTGTCTCCTACTGCCTTTTGAAGAAGGTACCTGCTTCTACTTTGCCTTCCACCATGATTGTATGTTTCCTGAGGCCTCCCCAGCCATGCAGAACTATGAGTCAATTAAACCTCTTTTCTTCATAAATTACCCAGTCTCAGGTAGCTCTTTATAGCAGCATGAAAACACACAAACACATCAACTTCAAACTATACTACAAGGCTGTAGTTACCAAAACAGCATGGTACTGATATTAAAATATAAAGTAGACCAATGGAAAAGAATAGAGAAGCCAGAAATGAAGCCAAATACTTACAGCCAACTGAATTTGGACAAAACATACAAAAATACAAATTAAGGAAAGAACACTCTATTCAATAAATGATGCTGGAAAAACTGGCAAGCCACATGTAGAAGAATGAAACTGGAACCCCATCTCACACCTTATACAAAAATCAATTCAAGATGGATTAAACACTTAAGTCTAAGACCTGAAACCATAAAAATTCTATAAGATAACATTGTCTGAGCAAAGAATTAATGACTAAGTCCCCCCAAAGCAAATGCAATAACCACCAAAAAGTAAATAAATGAGACCTAATTAAACAAAAAAGCTCCTGCACAGCAAAAGAAATAATCAGCAGAGTAAACAGTCACCCCATAGAGTGGGAGAAAATTTTTGCAAACTATACATCTGACAAAAGACCAGTATCCAGAATCTATAAGGAACTCAAACAAATTAGTAATTAAAAAATAAATAATCCCATCAAAAAGTTGGCAAAGTACATGAATAAAAGTGGCCAAAAGTGGGCGAAGAACATTTCCCAAAAGAAAATATACAAACAGCCAACAAACATGAAAAAGTGTTCAATATCATTAGTTATCAGAGAAATGCAAATTAAAACCAGAATGAGATATCACCTTACTCCTGCAAGAATAGCCATAACCAAAAAGTCAAAAAATAATAGATGTTAGCGTTAATGAGGTGAAAAGAAACACTTTTACACTGCTGGTGGGAATGTAAATTAGTACAACTGCTATGGGAAACAATTTGGAGGTTCCTTAAAGAACAAAAAGTAGAACTACCATTTGATCCAGCAATACCACTACTGGGTATCTTCCCAAAGGGAATTAAATCATTATATGAAAAAGACACATACACGTGCATGTTTGTAGCAGCATAATTCGCAATTGAAAAGACATGGAACCAAACTTAGTGCCCACCAACCAACAAGTGATATACAGAAAATGTGGTATATATACATGATGGAATACTATTCAGGCATAAAAAGGAACAAAATGTCTTTTGCAGCAACTTGGATGGAGCCAGAGACCATTATCCTAAGTGAAGTAACTCAGGAATGGAAAATCAACTATCGTACGTTCTCACTTATAAGTGGGAGGTAAGCTATGAGGATGCAAAGGCATAAGAATGACATGCTGGACTTTGGGGACTTACGGGGGAAGACTGAGAGGGGGATGAGCAGTAAAAGACTACATCTTGGGTACAGTGTACACTGTTCAGGCGATGGGTGCACTAAAACCTCAGAAACCACCTCTAGTCAAATTATCCCTGTAACCAAAAACCACCTGTACCCCCAAAACTATTGAAATAACAAACAAAAACTGATGAAAATTCTAAAGCTACAATTCCATAATTTAAAATCTTCCACCAGGGCACTCTAAGCCAAGAGAATACTTTCACAAACTGACTCTGACCTACTCTGTATAGGATGGGAGGAGTTACCTTTTTTTCCTCCAGAATGATAAAAGGATTGGATATCTTGGGCAGTTCTAAAGTGTGGGTCCAGGAAAACAACCACCAACTCAGGAATTAATATAAGTTTTAAAAGACTTCTTCTGGCCCTGTGCGGTGGCTCATGCCTGTAATCCCAGCACTTTGGGAGGCTGAGGTGGGCGGATCACGAGGTCAGGAGAGCGAGACCATCCTGGCTAACACGGTGAAACCCTGTCTCTACTTAAAATACAAAAAATTAGCCGGGCGTGGTGGCAGGCGCCTGTAGTCCCAGCTACTTGGGAGGCTGAGGCAGGAGAATGGCGTGAACCCGGGAGGCGGAGCTTGCAGTGAGCAGAGACTGCACTCCAGCCTGGGCGACAGAGCGAGACTCCGTCTCGAAAAAAAAAAAAAAGTCTTCTTCTTCTTTGTCTTTAAAGTTATTCCATAGATATAACAAAAAGATCTGCTTCAAAAGCTTCAGAAACAGAAATGTTTTGACTACATGTTTGCTTTATATATTCCAGTTCCCCCTTTCCATTAGATGTGTATTTTAATAGGTAGATAATAAAGATGAGTAATCTTCTGGCATTTTCATGCTCAGGTTTCCATTCTGATTTTATGCATTTACCTTTTCTTTGTTACCTTAGAATCTTTCCTTATATCAGGTCCCTCAGGTTTTTACTCCAAGTTAGCCAGCCTTAGAGGGAGAGTTTTTACATTTATTCTGTCTCTACCTGACTGGAATTGTGGGCTTGGATTAAGACAAAAGAGAAAAAGAAAGAATTGGCAGGGACTTTTGCTTCAGGCCATGATGAGGTAACAGACTGGATTCGCATTTTCATCTTTATTCTTTATTTTTAAGAAAACAACTTTATTGAGGTTTTTTTTTTACTGATCATGAAGTTTCTCCTTTTCAGGTGTATAATTCAGTGATTTTTGGTAGCTTTTCCAAGCGGTGTAACCATTACCCTGTCAGTTTTAGCACACTTTTATGCTCCCAGTAAGATCTCTTGTGCCCATTTCCTGTTAATCTGTTTCTATCCCACTGGGCGACACTACTGTATCTTCTCTCTCTATGGATTTGCCTATTTTGGACATTTTATTTAAATGGAATCATACACAATATGTGGTCTCTTGTTTCTGGTTTCTTTCATGCAGCACAATGTTTTTGAGATTCATTGTGACATACCATGTGTCAGTAGTTTGCTCCTTTTTATTGTTGAAGAGTATTTCATTGTATGGATAGACCATGACACTGTTCACTTCTGCTCCTCTTTCATTGGCTAGAACACAAGTCACATGGCCAAAACCAACTGCAAAGGAAGCTGATAAATGGAGTCTATGTGCCCACAAGAATGGAGCCTATTGTGCTAAGTACAAATATCACGAATGTGGTTGTGTGTAGAAACTGCAGAGTCTGTGCTGGGCACAGTGGCTCCTGCCTGTAATCTCAGCACTTTGGGAGGGCGATGCAGGCAGATCACTTGAGGTCAGGAGCTTGAGACCAGCCTGACCAACATGGTGAAATCCTGTCTCTACTAAAAATTCAAAAAATTAGCCAGGCATGGTGACATGCACCTGTAGTCCCAGCTACTCGGGATGCTGAGGCAGGAGAATCACTTGAACCCCAGAGGCAGAGGTTGCAGTGAGCTGAGATTGTGCCACTGCACTCTAGCCTGGACAGCAGAGCAAGACTTTTGTCTCAAAAAAAAAAAAAAAAGAAAGAAAGAAAAGAAAAAGAGGCCAGGCAAAATGGCTCACGCCTGTAATCCCAGCACTTTGGGAGGCCGAGGTGGGTGAATCATGAGGTCAGGGGTTCAAGACCAGCCTAGCCAACATGGTGAAACCCTGTCTCTACTAAAAATACAAAAAATTAACTAGGCGTAGTGGTGGGCACCCGTAATCCCAGCTACTCAGGAGGCTGAGGCAGGGAGGTGGAGGTGAACCTGGGAGGTGGAGGTGAACCTGGGAGGTGGAGGTTGCAGTAAGCTGAGATTGTGCCATTGCACTCCAGCCTGGGCAACAGAGTGAGACTCCATCTCAAAAAAAAAAAAAAAAAAAAAGAAAAGAAAAAGAAACTGCAGAGTCTGTGTTTTTGAGTTGCCTTGATGAGCAATGGAGCACACTCACATTTTAAACAAATCAAAAACTGAATAAAATATATAGAAAGGAGGTATATTATTTTTCTATTGCAGTTGTAACAATTTACCACAAACTTAGTGCCTTAAAACAAGTTTGCGGTATAACAACAGCAACATATATATAATATATGTTTTATTATATGTTTTTAAATATGTTTTTATTATATTTTTAAATATATATGTTTTAAAAATATATTTTAAAAACATATTTTTAATATATGTTTTAATATATTTTTAATACGTTTTATATTATATATAATTATATAATATAAAATATATATATTATATAAAAATATATTACATAAAACACAAATGTATTATATTACAGTTCTGAAGAGTCCAAAATGGATCTCACTGGGCTAAGATCAAGGTGTCAGCAGGGCTGCATTCCTCCTGGAAGACCTAGGGGAGAATTTGTTTCCTTGTTTTTTCTACATTCTAGAGGCTGGGAAATTGGCTTATGTATTCATTATTTTTTGGCTTTCATCAATCTTCAAAGCCAGCAACACATCATTCTGACCTGTGCTCCGTCATCACATCTCCTTCTCTCACTCTAATTCCCCTGCTTCCCCTTTTCGCCTATAAGGACCCCTTATCAATACAGTAAGCCTACTTGAATAATCCAGGATAACCTCCCAATCTCAAGATCCTTAATTTGATTACACAGGCAAAGTCCCTTTTGCCACTTAATATATTCACAGGTTCTGCGAATTGGGACATAAACATTTTGTGGTTGGGAGGATGTCATTATTCTATCTACCACATAAGGATTTCAGACATTGGACAACAGGCGGGATGAAGGGGAACAAATGAGGTGAGCCTCATTTAGCTCAGTAGCTTCAGTTACTGACAGAGGAGAGTTTCCAGGCCATACCACAGGAAGGGAGGACTCAAACAGATCTTGATGGTCTCCTTGAATAGAGGAAACAGATCTTGATGGTCTCCTTGAATAGAGGAAACAGAGTTGAGAATTCACACAGGGCAAGGTAGCTAGATTTCACTTGGCAGAGTACTGGTGAGGAGAGAGCTTCATGGAAAAGAGAGAACTAAATAGAGAAAGAGAGCTTCGGATATTTGCCAAGTTGTCCTTGAGTCTTTTCTTTTTTTTTTTTTTTTTTGGTAGAGACGGGGTTCTCCCTATATTGCCCAGGCTGGTCTGGGACTCCTGGTCTCAAGCAATCCTCCCACCTCGGTCTCCCAAAATGCTGAGATCACAAGCATAAGCCACCGTGCCCAGCCCTTCTTGAGTCTTTTTTTTTTCTTGGTTTTTTTTTTTTTGAGACGGAGTCTTGCTCTGTCACCCAGGCCAGAGTGCAGTGGCGTGATTTGGCTCATTGCGGGCTCCGCCTCCCGGGTTCACGCTATTCTCGTGCCTCAGCCTCCTGAGTAGCTGGGACTATAGGCACCCGCCACCATGCCCAGCTAATTTTTTTGTATTTTTGTAGAGACGGAGTTTCACTGTGTTAGCCAGGATGGTCTCTATCTCCTGACCTCGTGATCCGCCTGCCTCCCAAACTCACCAAAGTGTATGTAGAAAGAAATTATTTAGGGCTGCTGAGAGAATCACCAGAGATGAGCAGGAAGAACAATCCCTGGAACAATCCCTGGAGATCACACAGGAGTCCACCCGCCAGAGTGAAAAAAAATTGGTAATACATGGGACATGAGGTGGAATACACACAGGGTATTGCTTCAGTAATGAGGCAAAATGAGCTGTAAACTAAAAGCTACTCTTGTCCCACGAACAAAGCTTGAGGGAAAGCCTCAGAAGGAACAAACTATTTTCAAGTAACTTAACTGAACAAAGCTCAAGAATATCAAAAGGAATATAAATTATGTAGCATCAAATGGCATAAAACTCCAATGTCAAGCATCCAGTGAAAAATTATTAGGGATACAAGGAAACAGAAAAATATGACTTATAACAGGAGAAAAATTACTTGAAAGAAATAGACACTAGAATGGCATAGATTATCATCTGTTATTATCAATGTTTCTATCATCAAATTAGTAGACAGTATAAATTATTATAACTATAACTGTTATATAACTTATGTGTTCAAGAAGGCAGAGGAAAGCATAAGCATGTTAAAGAAAAACATAGAAGATATAGAGAAATTTAAATCAAACTAATATAGATGAGAAATACAGGCTCTGAGATTTTTTTTTTTTTCGAGACAGAGTCTCGCCCTGTCGCCCAGTCTGGAGTGCAGTGGTGCGATCTCAGCTCACTGTAAGCTCTGCCTCCCGGATTCATGCCATTCTCCTGTGTCAGCCTCCCTAGTAGCTGGGACTACAGGCGCCCAACACCACGCCCGGCTAATTTTTTTTTGTATTTTTAGTAGAGACGGTGTTTCACCGTGTTTCCCAGGATGGTCTTGATCTCCTGACCTCGTGACCCTCCCGCCTCAGCCTCCCAAAGTGCGGGGATTACAGGCCTGAGCCACTGCACCTGGCCGAGATTTTTTAAAGTACACTGGGTGGGATTAATAGTAGATTAGACAGTGGAAGAAAATATAATATGTAGCAATAGGAATTACCCAAAATGACACACAGAAAGAAAAAAAGTTGAACTTTGGGACAAATTCAAGTGGCCTAATGTGTGTATAACTGAAATCCCTGAAAAGGAGGGCTAGGACAACAAAAAAAATTGAGAAGAACAAAGATTTAAAAATCCAGCATATTTCTTGTTGAAAATAATGCAAACCAAAAGATGGTGGAACATTGTTGGCAAAACACTGAAAAAAATCAAACTAACGTTCTATACTGGGTAAAAATATCTTTCAAAAAAAGGCAAAATAAAGGCTTTATTGAATATATAAAAACTCCCCCTTTTACTTTGCTCTCCATCCTTTTCGCCATGTAAGGATGCAACATTCAAGACACTATTTTGGAAGCAGAGATCTGGGCTCTCATCAGACACCAAACCTGCCAGCTCCTTGTTGTTGAACTTCTCAGCCTCCAGGACTGTGAGAATAAATTTCTGTTGTTTATAAATTATATATATATATGGAGAGAGAGAGAGAGAGAGAGAAAATTTAATGCCAGCAGAATTGCACTACAATGCTAAAAGGGTTGGGTGCCATCGCTCACACCTGTAATCCCAGCACTTTGGGAGGCCGAGGTGGGTGGATCACTTGAGGCCAGGTGTTCAAGACCAGCTTGGCCAACATGGTGAAACCCAATCTCTACTAAAAAATACAAAAAATTAGCTGGGTGTATTGGCAGGTACCTGTAATTCCAGCTACTCAAGAGGCTTAAGCACGAGAATTACTTGAACCCAGGACGCAGAGGCCGCAGTGAGCCAAGATTGTGCCATTGCACTCCAGCATGGGTTACAGCGTGAGACTCTGTCTTAAAAAAAAATGAAAGAAGAGGCTGGGCGCGGTGGCTCACGCCTGTAATCCCAGCACTTTGGGAGGCCGAGGCAGGTGGATCACGAGGTCAGGAGATCAAGACCATCCTGGTGAAACCCCGTCTCTACTAAAAATACAAACAAATTAGCCAGGCGTGGTGGCGGGCACCTGTAGTCCCAGCTACTCAGGAGGCTGAGGCAGGAGAATGGCGTGAACCCGGGAGGCGGAGCTTGCAGTGAGCCAAGACCGCACCACTGCACTACAGCCTGGGTAACAGAGCGAGACCCCGTCAAAAAAAAAAAAAAAAAAAGAAAAGAAAAAGAAAAGAAAAGAAAATTAAAGAAAAGAAAGAAATCTGCCAAGCAGAAGGGAAGTGATACCACATGAAAACCTGGAACTACACAAAGGAATGAAGAGAGCACTGGAAATGGTGAAAATGTGGGCAAAGATAAAATACTCTTCTTGCTAATTTAAAAAATTTCTTTAAAAGATAATTGAAGCCATGTGTGGTGACATGTTCTAGTAGTACCAGCTACTTCAGAGGCTGAAGCAGGAGGATCATTTGAGTTCAGGTGTTCAAGACCAGCCTGAGCGCCAAAGCGAGACCTTTATCTCTTAAGAAAAAAAAAAATTGGCTGGCCAGTCACAAAAGACCACATATGATAGGGATTCATTTACCTTAAATGGCCAGAATAGGCAAATCTATAGACACAGATTAGTGATTGCCTAGGGGTTGGAGGATTGGGGGAAAATGGAGAGTGACTGCTAATGGGTTAGGGGTTTCTTTTTGGGATGATGAAATTCTCTAAAATGATGGTTGCACAAGTCTGTGAATATGCTAAAAACTGTTGAATTGTGCACCTTAGGTGAGTGAATTGTATAGCTTGTTAATTATCTCTCTCTCTCTTTTTTTTTTTTTGAGATAAGGTCTCACCTTATCACTCAGGCTGGAGTGCGGTAGTGTGATAATGGCTCATTGAAGCCTTGCAGCCTCAACTTCCTTGGCTCAGGTGATTCTCCCACCTCAGTCTCCTAAGTAGCTGGGACTACAGGCATGCATCACCATGCCTAGCTAATTTTTTGTATTTTCTGTAGAGATGGGCTTTCGCCATGTTGCCCAGGCTGGTCTTGATCTCCTGAGCTCAAGCAATCCACCCACCTTGGGCTCCCAAAGTGCTGGGACTACAGGCATGCGCCACCATGCCTGGTATTGTTAATTATATCTCAATAAAATTCTTTAAAAAGATAACTAGGTATTTAAGGCAAGATTAATAACAATGAGCCAGTCATGGTGGCTCACACTTATAATCCCAGCACTTTGGGAGGCTAACGTGGGAAGATCACTAGAGCTCAGAAGTTCATGACTAGCCTGGGCACCATAACAAGACCCCAACTTTACAAAATAATTTAAAAATTAGCTGAGTGTGGTGGTAAGTTCTTGAGGTCCCAGCTACCTGGGAGGCTGATGTGGGAGGATTGCTTGAGCCCCTCAGGAGGTTGAGGCTACAAGTGAGCTGTGATTGCACCACTGCACTCCGGCCTGGCAACAGAGAGAGACCCCATATCAAAAAAACTTAATAACAATGCATTGTGATGCTTATAACATCTGAAGGAGTAAAATGCATGAAAATAGCACAAAGGCAGGGGAGGGAAAACAGATGTATATTGTTGTAAGGTTATTATACCATACATGAAGTATCATAATTCTTGAAGGCAGATTATGATAAATTAAAGATTTATACTACACATCAAGGAAATGCAAGTTAAAACTACAATGAGGTATTGCTTCACACCCACTAGGATGGCTATAATCCAAAACAAAAATAAGAACAAGTGTTAGTGAAGATATGGAGAAATTAGAACTCTAATGCACTGCTGTGGGAATGTAAAATGATGCAGCTGCTTTGAAAAACAGTCTGGAAGTTCTTAAATGGTTAACATAGACTTACCATATGACCCAGTAATTCCATGTCCAGGTATGTACAGAGAAATACAAACATAAGTCTACACAGAAACATATATCTAATATTGATAGCATCATTATTGATAATGGTCCAAAAGTGAACACAACCCAACTATCCATCAACAGATGATAATGAATAGATAAATAAAATATGTTATATCCATATAATGGAATATTATTTGTGAATAAAAAGGAATAAAGTACTGATATATTTTACAACATGGATGAACCTTGAAAACACAATACTAATTGAAAAAAAAAAGTCACAAATGACCAGATATTGCATGATTTCATTTATACACAATATCCAGAATAGGCAAATCTAATGGTTGCCTATGGCTGAGGAGAATGGATAAATGGAGGGGAAGGTTGCTTAGGTATAGGGGATCTCTTTTTGGGAATAATGAGAATGTTCTAAAATTGATCATGATGATACTTGCCAAATTCTGTCATACTAAAGCCATTAAATTATATATTTTAAGTGGATGAAGTGTATGATATGTGAATTATATCTCAAAAAAAGTTGTTTTACCAGCCTGGGCAATATAGTGATGATAACAGTGGCAGCCTCTCTGGAGCAGCTGCTCCCATCACGCCAGCTGCAGCAGGGAGGCACAGCTAGGCTGCACATTCCATGGAGCCAGCAGGAGCCAGGAACAGGTGGGAGCCCCTCCCCTTCTGAGTTGGTGGGGCAGGAGCTCCCTGGGTACAACTGCAGCTGCCCAAGTTGTGGTTGTGGACCTGGGTCTCCTACTCCATGGAACAGGCAGGAGCCCTACCCCACAACACCATAGCTGCAGCTGCCCAAACCATGGCTGTGGACTCAGACATCCTTACACTCTTCAGGGCCTCAGAAGGCCCCACACCACCGTTGCAGACTCAGAAATGCCTGCTCCCACTGACTGGCTTCTCCCTGCTATTGGTGCTCACTCTGACCTTGCTGCAAAGTCAGGGCTGAGCCCAGGTGCTGTCACAGCATGGCCAGGTGTGCACACACTCGGAACAGTGCTGACACACAAGCTCCCTGCTGCCTGGGCCCCCTCCAGACTTTGGGCATTGATGAGCATAGGAGGGAAGCCAATGGGGACTGAGGGCATCTTGGTGCTGGCCTGCAGGCACCCCTAGGCACTTACAGCCTGGGCACCACAAATGGCCACAGGAAGCAGATAGGTTCCTGGGTGGAAGGGGGTGAGTTCCTGGTGAGGCCTCACCTTCAGGCCAGGGAAGGCCTGAAGGCTGGTGACCGGGCTACCAGTTCCACAGACCAGAGTGCGAACTTCTGGGGCCTTTTCCGGACCCATGGCCACCCATGGACCAATCAGTGCTTAATTCCTCCCCTCTGAGGCCCATAAAAGCTCTGGGCTCAGCCAGAGCTGAGTAGACTTCAGGATGACCAGCTGCAGAGAGGAGCTACCCACTCCAGGGCCTCTTCTCTGCTGAGAGCAGCAGATGTTGGGACGACCAGCTGCAGAGAGGAGCTACCCACTCCATGGCCTCCTCTCTGCTGAAAGCTACAGATACATTGGGATAACCAGCTGCAGAAAGGAACAACCTACTCCAGGGCCTCCTCTCTGCTGAAAGCAGCAGATATGATAAGACAATCTACCTGCAGAGGAGGCTCCCCCTCCAAGGCCTCCTCTCTGCTAGGAGCGAAACACTCATCAGGATACCCTAGCTGTGTAAAGGAGCTACCTACTGTGGGCCTCCTCTAAGCTGTTCTATCCCTCAATAAAGCTCCCTCTCATCTTGCTCACCCTCCACTTGTCTGCATACTTCATTCTTCCTGGTAGCAGGACAGAACTCAGGGCCTGTCAAATGGTGGGGCTAAAAGAGCTGTAACACAAACAGGGCTGAAACATGCCCCTTGCTTGCCACATTGCAGGTGAAGAGAAGGAGAGAAGAGCTGTGGCCCTTCGGGAAGCCCAGACCTGGGAACTCCCTGAGCTAGAGTTGTGACTCCCTCTTTGGGGTCCTGCAGTTCCTAGAGTCTCTAAGCTTCTGGGTGCCACTGCATTTCCCAGTGGCAGCCTTGGAAGCTGCTTTTGGTATGCCTGGTCCAGCCACAGCCTTGCAGAAAGCCGGCACCCATGCCGGTACTTGGAGCTTCCTGCCCCACTGCAGCAGCTGGCATGCCTGACTGTGCACAGTGGCTGGACCCCATGCTTGCTCACTCACACATCTCTCACCACTCCATGCCTGGCTTGCCCTTGGCAGCCGTAGGATCCAGGCCAGTAGCATGAGCTGAGAGGAGCCTGCCAGGCCAAGTGGGTGGAATAAGCCCAGCAGCCCCAAGCAAAACTCAGCCACAGAGGTTTCCAGCCAGAAAAGCAACAACCCAAGGATCCTGCAACAGTGAGACCCCATCTCTGCAAAAAATTTAAAAATTAGTCAAGTGTGGTAGTACATACCTGCAGTCTTAGCTATTTGAGAGGCTGAGGTAGGAGGATCACTTGAGCCTGGGAAACGAAGGTTGCAGTGAGCCGAGATCACACCACTGCACTGCAGCCTGGGTGACAGAGCAAGACCCTGTCTCAAAAAGGAAAACAGTCATTTTAAAAATAAAGTTTAAAAAATGTATATTAGAAACCCTAAAGTAACCACTAAAATACAAAACAAAGAGTTGTAGCTAATAGGCCAACTGGAGATAAAATGGAATAATAAAAAATACTCAATCCAAGAGAAGTTAACAAGAAAAAGGGGGAACAGAAAACAAATAGGACAAACAGAAAACAAAAAGTAAGATGGTAGACTTAAACCCTACCATATCCTTAATTATGTTAAGTGTAAACATCTTAAACACCCCAATTTAAAGGCAGAGATTGTCAAGTTGGGTAGAAAAGCAAGACCCAACTATATGCTGCCTATAAGAAACCCATTTGAAAAACAAAGTAACAAATAACCTAAAAATTAAAAGATGGAAAAAAATCTCATGCTAACACTAATCAAAAGAATACTAGGATGACAATATTAATTTCAGACAGAGTAGATTTCTGAGCAAAGAATATTGCCAGTGTTAAAAAGAATCATCCTAAATCCAGGTACAGTGATGTGTGCCTGTAACCCTAGCTACTCCAGATGCTGAAGCAAGAGGATCACTTGAGCCCAGGAGTTTGAGACCAGCCTGGGCAACATAGTGAAAAAAAAGTTAAAAAATTAGCTTGGTGTGGTGGCGAGTGCCTGTAGTCCCAGCTACTCAGGAGGCTAAGGTGGGAGATCACTTGAGCCCGGGAAAAATTGAGGCTACCTTGAGCCATGATTATGCCACTATACTTTAGCCTAGATGACAGAGTGAGACCCTATCTCAAAAAAAAAAAAAAAAAGAAAAGAAAATGAGATAAAACAAAGGAGTCAATTGGTCAAGAGAACTTAGCAATTCTCAATGTTTATGCACCTGATAATTAAGCTTCACATACACAAAATAAAACTGATGGAACTGCAAGGAAAAATATATAAGTTCACAATTATAGTAAGATACTTTGGCATCTTTCTCATTAGAATTTAATAGAAGAGATAAACAGAAAATCTGTAAAGATATTGAAGATTCAAACACCATAAACCAACTTGACCTAATTGAAATTTATCAAATACTTCACCCAACAGCAACAAAATACATGTTCTTTTCTAATATCCACAAAACATTTACCAAGATAAGTCATATTCTGATCAAAAACCGAGTCTCAGTAAGTTGAAAATAATTCAAATATACAAAATATGACAACAAGAAAATTAAATGGAACTCAACAACAGAAAGATATCTGAAAAATCCCCAAATAGGTGGATATTAAACATAAATAACACACTTCTAAATAACTCAAGTATCAAAAAGGCAAGCAAAAGAATGTTAGAAATTATTTGAATTGAGTAAAAAGAAAAATTTGTGAGATGATGCTAAAGCAGTGCTTAGGAGGAAATATATAGCATTAAGGGCATATATATTTTAAAAATTGTTTCAAATTAGTGACCTTAGGAAACTGTAAAAAGAAGAACAATTCAAATCCAAATCAGCCAAAGAAAGTAATAAATATAAGAGCAGAAATCAGAGAAATGGAAAACAAATAAGCAAGAAGAATAGAGAAAATCAATAAAGCCAAAAACAGATTGAGAAGATCAATAAAATTGATAAACCTGTAGCCTGACTGATAGGAGACAAAAGAAGATACACATCACTAATATTGAGAAGGAAAGGGTGACATAATTATAGGTTCTATAAACATTAAGAGGATAATAAGGGACTATTATAACTTTTTACTAATATATTCAACAACTTAAATGAAATAGGCAAGCTACCAAAGCTTACTCAAGAAGAAATAGTAATATGCAAAGTTTTATTTTTATTAAAGAAATCAAATTTTTAATTAAAAATTTTCCCATTAAGAAAACTCCAGGCCCAGATGGCTTCACTGTTGAAGTCTACCAAAATGTAAAAGCAAAATAATAACAGTTCTACAAAAATTCTTTCAGAAAATTGAAGAAGAAGAAACTTCCCCTAATTCATTATATGAGACTAGCATTCACCCGGTACCAAAACCAAACAAAAACACAGAAGATAATGAAACTGTATGCCACTGTTCTTCATGAACATTGAAATAAAATTCCTCAACAAAATGTTAGCAAAATAAATCCCGTAATGAATACAATGGTTAATATATTCTGACCAAACTAGTTTATCCCACAAATGCAAGACTGGTGAAAAAAATTAGAAAATTAACCAATGTAATTTAATCTACACACACACACACACACACACACACACACACACACACACACACACACAAATTCTTCTCAATAGCTGAAAGAAAAACATTTGACAAGGTCTTACATTCATTCCTAACGAAAACTTTCATCAGTGTAGGAATAGAAGGGAATTTCTTTTACCTGACAAAGTCCATATATAAAAAATTTACAGCTACCGTCATGGTTTATCATGAACAACTGAATGCTTTCTGTCTAAGATTCCAAAGAAAGAAAGAAATGTCCATGCTCACCTCTTTTTCTTTGACAGGTTCTCGCTTTATCACCCACACTGGAATGCAGTGGCGCTATTATGGCTCACTGCAGCCTTGACCTCCTGGGCTCAATTAATTCTCCTATCTCATCCTCCCAAGTAGCTGGGAATACAGCTGTGCACCAGCATGCCTAGCTAATTTTTTTTTTTTTGTATTTTTGGTAGAGACAGGGTTTCACCACGTTACCCAGGCTTGTCTCAAACTCCTGGGCTCAAGTAATCCTCTTGCCTTGGTCTCCCAGAGTGTTGGGGTTTATAGGCATGAGCCACTGGATGGGTCCTCCATGCTCACCTCTTCTATTCAACATTTTATTAAGAAAATAAAAAGAAGTAACAGTATATAAATTATAGAAGAAGAAGGAAAATTTTATTTGGAACAACAAAATCATCTAGGTAGAAAATCTTAAGGAACCCCTCAAGAAAGATAATATAACTATATAACTAAGAAGTGAGTCATCATTGAAGTATATATAATGTACAAAATACATAAAAATATTAACCACAGTCAGGAATCAAAATTCTACAACCTATACCATTTATAATAACATTGAAAAAAATTTTTTGAGACAGTGTCTTGCTCTGTCACCCAGGCTGGAGTGCATTGGCATGATCTTGGCTCTGCCAACTTCACCTCTTGGGTTCAAGTGATTTTCGTGCCTCAGCCTCCCAAGTAGCTGGGACTACAGTCATGCGCCACCACATCTGGCTAATTTTTATATTTTTAGTAAAGACAGGGTTTCACCATGTTGGCCAGGCTGGTCCATAACTCATGGCCTCAAGTGATCCACCCACCTTGGCCTCCCAAATTGCTGGAATTACAGTCATGAGCCACTGCACCCAGACTAGAAAATTTAAAATATTTAGGAATAAATTTAATGAAAGATGTTGAAAACATGCACACTGAAAATGACAAAACATTGCTGAGAGAAGCTAAAGATGACCTAAATAAATACAGCAGAGAGATATGGCAGGTTCATGAATCAGAAGACTCAATATTGGTCAGATATTAGTTCTCCCCCTGGAGATTCAAAGCAATCCCAATAAAAGGCCAGCGCAATTTTTTAATAGAAATTGACAAGCTGATTCTACAATGTGTTTGAAAATGAAAAGAATCTAAAACAGCCAAAACAACTTTAAAAAATAATAAAGCTATTTATTTACACTATTTGATTTTAAGACCTATAAAGCTACAGTAATCAAGACGGTATGGTATTGGTGTAGATAGAAAATAGAACAGAGCAGATACTCTGGAATTAGAGGTAAGGCTACAGTAATCAATGTGATATGGTAGTGTAAAGACAGACAATAGAATAGAATAGAGAGTTTGGAATTAGAAATATAATTGATTTTTCACAAAGGGTCAATGCAATTCAATAGTGAAAGGATAATTTTTTTAAACAAATGACACTGAAGCAATTGAATTGCTATATGTGACAAAATGAATCTCATGCTATACACAGATTATATACACTTACCTCACACTATATGCATACTGTCCACAAAAAATTAACTCAAAATGGCTCTTAGACTTAATTGTAAGGGTTAATACTATAAAATTTCTAGAAGAAACAAGGAGAAAATATTCATGACCTTGGATTTGGCAAAGATTTCTTAAACAGGATACAAAAAGCATAAAAGAAAAAAGTCACTGTATGAATTATCTACTGTGGGACAACAAATTACCTCTAATCCTTAAATAGTGACTTAAATAGTACTTATTATTACCTTTGTGAGTCATGAATCCCAGCATGATTTAGCTGAGACCTCTGCTTCAAGGGTCTCTCACAAGGCTACAGTCAACTTTTAACTGGGGCTGTGCTCTCATTTGAAGTCTCAGCTGGTTAAGGATCCACTTTTGATTGTTGTTTTCAAGATTTAGTTCTCAAGGGTTGTTGAGAGGCTCTTAATTCTTTGCTAGTTATTGGCCAGGGGTAACTCTGTTTTGCCCTGTGGGCTTCTCAGTAGGGCAGCTCACAATAGAGCCTCTTGCTTCATCAAAGGGAGGATAAAAGAAGAGTCAGGGAGAGGGTACAAGCAAGAAGCAAGTCACAGTGTTTTCTAGTGTAATTCTGAGGTGATATTCTATCACCTTTGCCACAAGTTATTCATTAGAAATAAACCACTATGTCTAACTCACATTCAAGGGAAGAGGATTACACAAGGTCACAAATGCCAGAAGGTAGGGATTGTTGAAAACCGTTTCAGAAATTTCCAACCATAAACCATTGAACTTTACAAAAATTAAAATCTTTTGCTCTTCTGAAGACATTGTCATAGACTGGGAAAAAACATTATCCAATAAAAGAACTGTTATCTAAAATATATAAAGAATTCACACAGTTCAATAATAAAAAGACAAACAATTCCATTTTCAAAATGCCAAAAAGCTGGGCACAGTGGCCCATTCCCATCATACAAGCTACTTGGGAGGCTGAGGCAGTATGATTGTTTGCACCCAGGAGTTTGAGGCTGTAGTGCACCATGATCATGTAGTGCACTGTGAATAGCCACTGCACCCCAGCCTGGGCAACAAACTGAAACCCCATCTCAAAATAAAAAACTGGGCAAAAGATTTAAATAGATACTTCATAAAAAATATATGTGGATGGCAAATAAGTACATGACAAGATGCTCAACATCATTATTTGTTATGAAAATGCAAATTAAAACACAATGAGATACCATCATATATCCACTAGAATGTTAAAAAGACTAGCAATACTAGTCTTTGGTGAACATGTGAAGCAACCAGAACACTCACACACTGCTTGTGGTACTTGAAAATGATGTAATCTCTTTAGGAAACAGTTTGGAAGTTTCCTAAAAAGTTAAACATAAACCTATTATCATGAGATCTTTGGGGTGTTGCTTCACCTGCTGGAAACCTCTGTGGCCATTGGCACCTTTACCCAAGTTTTGCTCAGGCCTGCGGGGCTTGTTTTGCCCACTTGGCCTGTCAGGCTGCACTTGGCTTGCACTGTTGGTCTGGATCCCACACCTACCAAGGGTGAGCCAGGGACAGAGCGGTGAGGAATGTGTGAGTGAGCATGGGGTCTGGCCACTGCACACAGCCAGGCATGCCGGCTGCAGTGGGGCAGGCAGCTCCAGGTGCTGACACAGGTGCCGGCCCCCTGTGAGGCTGTGGCTGGACCAGGCATACTGCAAGCAGCTTCCACTAGGGGCACTGGGGAACACGGTGGCACCTGGAAGCTAGGAGACACCAGGAACCACACAGCCCCAAAGAAGGTGTCACAGCCCTGGCTTGGGGAGCTTCAAGGTCTGGGTTGCCCAAATGGTCGCAGCTCTCCTTTCTTCTCTCCTTCTCATCACCTGCAACATGGTGAGCAGGGGGGCATGTTTAAGCTCTGTTAGTGTTACAGCTCTTTCAGACTTGCCATTTGGGGGTCCCAAGTTCCTGTCCCACATCCAGGAAGAATGAGGTATGTGGACAACTGGACGGTGAGCAAGGTGAAGAGGTGTTTTATTGAGCAACAGTACAGCTCTCAGGAGACCCAAAGTGGGTAGCTCCTTTCTGCAAGCAGGTCACCCTGACATCTCTGCTTCCTCAGCGGAAAGGAGACCTGGAGTGGGTAGCTCCTATCCACAGACAGGTCATCCCATCATCTCAGCAGAGAGGAGACTGGAGTGGGTAGCTCCTATCCACATGCAGGTCATCTCAACATCTGTGCAGCCCTTAGCAGAGAGGAGACCCAGAATGGGTAGCTCCTATCCACAGGCAGGTTGCCCCGATGTCTCTGCAGCCCTCAGCAGAGAGAAGACCTGGAGTTGGTAACTCCTCTCCACAGGCAGGCTGTCCCATCATCTGTGCAGCCCTCAGTGGAGAGGAGACCCAGAGTAGGTAGCTCCTATCCACAGGCAGATCACCCTGATGTCTCTGAAGCCTTCGGCAGAGAGGAGATCTGGAGTGGATAGTTCCTATATGCAGGCAGGTTGTCCCGTTGTCTGTGCAGCCCTCAGCGTGGATTCTACCCACAGGCAGGATAGCTCCTATCCACAGGCAGGATAGCTCCTATCCACAGGCAGGTCATCCCAATGTCTGCAGCCCTCAGCAGAGAGAAGCCCTGGAGTGGGTAGCTCCTATCCAGAGGCAGGTTGTCTGGATGTCTCTACAGCTCTCAGTGGAGATGAGACCTGGAGTGGGTAGCTCCTGTCCACAGGCAGTTCATCCTGACAAGTCTGCATCCCTCAGTGGAGACTAGAGCTGGAGTGGGGAGCTCCAATCTGCAGACAGGTCATCTACCGAGTTTGGCTGAGTCCAGGGATTTTTATGGGCTTCAGAATGGAGAAAGTGCATGTTGATTGGTCCGTGGGCGGCCATGGGAGAACCTGAAAAAAGCACCATAAGTTCTCACTTCAGACAGTGGAACTGGCAGCCCGGGCCACAGCCTTCAGGCCATCCCTGGCTTGAAGGTAGGACTTCACCAGGAACCACCTCTTTCCACCCAGGAGCCTGGCTGCCTCCTGCTGCCGTCAACTTGCTGTCCATGGTGCTCACCAGCACCCAGGCTGTTCATGCTGAGGGGCACCTGCAAGCTCACACTGAGCTACCCTCTGCCCCCTCTCAGCCTCCCTCCCATGCTCCTCAGTGCCCAAAGTCCAGTGCGGACTGAGGTGGCAAGGGCTGGTGTGTCAGTGCTGCCCCAAGCATACACACTTGGCCAGGTCATGACAGTGCCCAGGCTGGGGTCTCAACTCTGCTCCAAAATCAGACCAGGCACCAGGAGTAGGGAGAGGAGCAGACAATTCCAAGCCTGCAGGGGTAGGGGGCCTTCCTGGCCCCCAGAGCTTTGGAATGCCTGGGTTCACAACCCCGGCTGGGTGACTGCAGGTGCACCTGGAGGGCAGGGCTTCTACCCCTCCAACTCTGAAAGGGGCGGGGCTTCCATCTGTTCCTGGATCCCTCTGGCTCTGTGGAGCACGCAGCCCCAGCGGTGCCTCCCCACTGCAGCCAGTGTCATGCCTGAGGCCACTCCAGACAGGCTGCAGTTGCCATCACTATTATATAACTCAGTCATTACATTCTATTATATTATTCTATTGCTGCTATAAAAAATTACCACCAATTCAGTGGTTTAAAACAGCACAAATTTATTATCTTACAGTCTGGAGGTGAGAAGTCTAAAATCAATCTCATTGGGCTACAGTCAAGAGTTGGAAAGGCTGGTTCATTCTGGAGGGTCCAGGGGAGATTCAGTTTCCTTGCCTTCTAGCTTCTAGAGACTGGCTGAATTTCTTTGGCTCCTGCTCCCATCCTCCATCTTTAAAGCCAGCAACATAGCATCTTTCAATCCCTCTCTCAGCTCCGTTGTCACTTCACTTGGTGTCTGACTCTGACTCTGTTGCCTCCTTCTTACAAGGGCCCTTGTGATGACATTGGGCCCCCTTGGTAATCAAGTGAATTTCCCACCTCAATTTCCCACCCTTCACTTAATCACATCTGCCAAGTACCTTTTGTCATATAAGGTAAATGGCAGAAGGGAATTAGGACATGGACGTCTTTGGCAGATCATTATACAGTCTGGCAAAAACTTGTAGGTATTCATTCCAAAAATAAAGGAAAGCATGTGTTCATAAAAAATCTTTTTATTTTTCCTTGAGACAGGGTCTCACTCTGTTGCTCAGGCTGGAATGCAGTGGTGAGATTATGGCTCACTGCAGCCTCAACCTCCTGGGCTAAAGCAATCTTCCCACCTGAACCTCCTGGGTAGCTGGGACCACAGGCATGCACCACCATGTCTGGCTAATTTTTTTTTTTTTGTAAAGATGACGATTTGCCACGCTGCCCAGGGTGGTCTGAAACTGTTGGCCTCAAGCAATCCTCCCACCTTAGCCTCCCAAAGTGCTGGGATTACAGGCATAAGCCACCATGCCTGGCCCCTACAAAATCTTTTACACAAATGTTCATAGCAGCTTTATTTGTAATATTTACAAGTATTTTATTTGTAATATTTACAGGTATTTTATTTGTAATATTTACAAGTATTTTATTTGTAATATTTACAAGTGTTTTATTTGTAAAACAAAAAGTAAACTATTCTCCTTTAGCAAGTGAATGGATAAACAAATTGTGATATATCCACCAAATAGAATACCACTCAGAATTAAAAGAAATTATACAGCAACAACATAGATGAATTCAAAGTAATCACAGCAGATAAAAGGAGCCAGATGATGGTGTACATACGGTATGATTCTATTTATAGAAAAATTCTAGAAAATCTAATCTTATCTGTAATCAAAAGCAAATCAGCAGCTGCCTAGGGACAGAGTGGGATGGGAGAGGTGGGTTTGGATTACAAAGGGTCATAAGGGCATTTTTGGGAGTGATGGATATGTTCATTATCTTGATTTTTGTGATGGTTTCATGAGTACATACATATATCCCTTTATAAATGTGCAGTTTATTGTATGTCAGTTGTACCTCCGTAAATGTGTTAATACAAACAAAAACAATTGATTCCATTTGGATTAAAGATAATAAAAGGGGTTGGAGCATTTTGCTGGAGGATGAAACTATATTCATCTTGGTTACTTCATAAGCAAACTGGATTTGGTGGGGGCAGGATGCTTAAACAAATATAAGCAAAGCTTCCTCTTTTCTGTTTTTTCTTCATTTTTTTTTGGCTTTCCATAGATGTTGCTGAAACACACCAAGAAGTTGCTAGCTGTCTTAAAGGTCCTTTTAGGGGACTCTGCTTTAAAAATATTTGCTTAAAAAATATCTAATTAACAGTTGAGGCTCAGAAGTGATTATTTTCAACTTAATAATTTTTTAACTTTCTCTCCCTCTCCCTTTTTGTTTTTGTTTGAGACAAGGTCTCTCTCTGTTCCCCAGGCTAGAGTTCAGTGGCGCGGTCACGGTTCACTGCAAGCTCTGCCTCTGAGGCTCCGGCGATTCTCCCACCTCAGCCTCCCAAGTAGCTGGGACTACAGGTGAGCACCACCATACCTGGCTAATTTTTGTATTTTGTTTTTAGAGATGGGGTCTCACCATGTTGCCCAGTCTGGTCTCAAACTTCTGAGCTCAAGTAATCTGTTGGTCTCGGCCTCCCAAAGTGCTGGTATTACAAGCGTAGGCCACCATGCCCAGCCAACTTTCTCTTTTGGTTGTACATATTGTGCTACTGCCTAATATTTTCTGTACTAAGTGGGCTGTAATCTGAAAGGACTATAATGTATGGTCAAAGAAAGAATGAAAATTGCAGTAAGGTCATGAACTTCTTACATGAAGAAATGAAAAATTCTGTTTTATTTCAGATTTAACAATCCTAATTGAATGCATAATATTTGCATGATGTCCTAATATTTACACTGAGTGCAAACAATAAATTCTACTATAAAGCAGTCCTGCAAATTGTAGCCAAAATCAATGTTCTTTTGCTTACTGCAGGGAGACTGGTTCTTTTTACTTCTATATAGTTCAACATTCTTGCCATTAGATGGCAGTCAAAACTAATGCAATGATTAAACTCCTCTTCAAGTTTAATAATGATTTGCATAGGTACAACATGTTATTCAGTGGACATATTTATAAAAAGTTCTGTGAAAATTGAAAGACATTGTCAATGATCTAACATTCCTCTTGGTAACCAGGCATTTTCCAAGGTAAATAGGTATCCCAAAGAGATCAGGTCTTTTTTTAAAATATGCTTTCTGAAAATTTGGAGTATAACATATGTACAGTAAAATGCAGAAAGCAACGTCAGTTCGAGGCATCACCACAAAGTGAAAACACCTATATAAGCATCACCTAGATAAAATGAAAGAACGTTACCAGCATCTCGGAAGACTCCCTTGTGCTGTCTCCCAATCATTACCTTCTCCCTTCTCCCCAGAGGTAACCATTATCCTGACTTCTGACATTATAATTTAGGTTTTCCTATTTTAAGAAAGTTTATAAGTGTTATTATATATTCTTTATGTCTGGCTTCTTTCACTCAATATTTTTGTTATTTTTGCTTGTAGGTATATTTCATTCTTTTCCCTTGTGGTTAACAAATTTTATTATATGAATATACCACTATTTATCCATTCTACTATTGGAAATTTGGGTTGTTTCCAGTATTTAGCTATTATAAATAATTTTCTGTGATGAACATCCTTGCATGTGCCTTTGGTGCACATAAGAATGTATGGCGTTTGAGTATATACCCAGGAGTAGAATTTTTGGATTGCATGGTATGCAATATTGCCAAATAGTTTTTCAAATTTGTATCAATTTACACTTCCACCAGCAGTGTGTGAGAATTTCTATCATTCCACATCTTTACTAACACTTGGTGTTGTCGATCTTTTAAATCTCAGCCATTCTGGTAGACAGGTAGCGATATTTCAGTAGGGTTTTAATGTGCATTTTCCTCATACCTAATAAGGTTAAACACTTTTTGAATATATTTTCTTACGTTAAGTGTTGATTCATGTATTTTGCCAATTTCCCACCATGTGGTCTATCTTACTGTTTTGTAGGAACTCTTTATATATTCCCCAGATATGAGCCCTTTGTTTGGTATATCTATTACTAATACATTTTCCCATTCTGGGTTTGTCTTTTCATTCTCTTAAAAGCACTTTTTGGTAAATTTTAATTTACTCATTTTATCAATTTTTTCCTTTATGGTTAGTTCGTGCTTTTTGTACTTTGTTTTAAAAACCTCTGCCTATACCAGAGTTGTGAAGATAGTCTCATATGACATGTTCTAGAAACTTCACTGTATTAACTGTGAAACTCTGTATTTTCACAAAATTCAACTCCAGGTAGATTTTAGATCAAACTGTGAAATACACTTGTTTACTATTGCTTGCAGTCATGTAACTTGTGGCATTCCTTTCTTCTGGGCACAGGAACCAGAAATAGGATACTAAGAGCAGAGAATAAAAATTTGTTTTTTCTCAAATTGTATGTTTGCCTGTGAAGAAATTCTTTCTTGCCAATTTTGCTGAAATGGAGAGAAGAAAGGGTACGCAAGAGACACCACTTCTTCAGGTTAACTCCAGGAGAATGATCTAGAAAGTGTTCTAGGATACTCAGCTGGGCGTGTTTTCTTTTTGCAGATTGAATCCTGAAGTATTGTAGTCAGTCATTCCTTTAACATTTAATGACACCTTTTTTTTTTTTTTTTTTTTTTTTGGAGACACAGTCTCGCTCTGTTGCCCAGGCTGGAGTGTAGTGGCATGATCACAGCTTACTGCAACCTCAACTTTCTGGGCTCAAGTTGTCCTCCCACCTCAGCCTCCTGAGCAGCGGGGATTATAGGCACATGCAATCATGGCTGGCCAATATTTTTATTTTTTGTAGAGGCAGGAGGGTCTCACTATGATGCCCAGGCTGGTCTCAAACTCCTGGACTTACGCTATCCTCCTACCTTTGGCATTGCAAGTGCTGGGATTATAGCCATGAGCCACTGCACCTGGCCTTAAATGACATTTGAGTATAATAGTGAAGATGAGATAAATTGTGAACAGGCAGGGTGTCTCCTTGAAGCAGTCTGGGTAAATTGCTATGAGAGCACAACACTAGGAAGAGTTTCCAGGGGTAGCAGATCCTTGTTACTCCTGGACCCACCCACTAGAAGTGCAGAAAAGGCAGGTTACTTCATAGGTGGATAAGCAAATGTTCAGTTACCCTTCTGTGTAATCTGGTGGCCAAAAACATTAATTAAGAGTCCCCTCTCCTGAACCTTCAGCTTAAACACTGAGCAGCTTCCTGTCTCACCACACCTAAGCGGAGATTTGTTTGAACTCACCGCACATGAGTCCTTAAACAGAACCTCTCCAGCCTTGCTCGAAGTGAGTCATTTATTTTCTGGGTCTTTCCTGGGAGATGCAGGGAATGGTGTTCGTGTGAGTTTGTGGTGTGTTTGTGTTTGCTGTTTTTTTTGGCAAATTCCACAGAGCAATGTGTGTGATATTCATTAATAATCAAAATACACTATGGAGTTAACAAAAATACATGCAAACATTATGGCTCCATCACTGGAAATTTAGAAATTCCGACTTAATAGGCCTACAGTGAGGCCTGGGCGTTGTTGGTTTTTGTAATTTTAAACTTTCTTTAGATAGATAAAATACGGACAATGTAATAAAATTAAATGTACAAAAGAGAAGTAGTGAGAAGTAGGACTCTTAAATCATCCCAGTCTCCTAGTTCCCCTGTCCAGAGGGAAGTACTACTTCCAGTTTCTTGGGTTTCCTTCCAGAGGTATTCTGTGCATGCACACAGAGAGTGAGATTTTCTCTTTTAAACAGAAGTGATAGCATCATTTACTACTGTTCTGAATATTGTAAGTCACTAATTTTTAAAAGGCTCTCCAAGAGATTTTGAAGCAAATGCTTCATTAAGAGCTACCGATAAAAGCTATGCTTCTGTTCCCTGCTAAAAGCTATGGATGCATCTATTAAAAATCTTTTATATCTAATTTCATGTATTCAGCAATGCCCTCAAATCTGTGGTCTAAATTCATCGGGTTAAGACTCTGTGATCTAGGGTGTTCAATTTAAGAATACTTGGTGTTACCAGATTAAAATACAGGATGCCTAAATTTGAATTTCAGATATAAAATAGTTTTTAGTGTAAGTATATTCCATGCAATATTTATAATATCTGAAATTCAAATTTAAGTGGGAGTCTGAATATTTAATCTGGCAGCCCTATAGAAAATTTTGAGTCATCGGAAGTTATTCCAACTGATAGTCTGTAGAATGCCCTCTTTTTGAGACGACCTAGGTTATAATTTTAAAACCAAGCCCTTTAGGTTAAAGCCAAATTCTCTGAGTTTAATGATAAATTAGGTATCTGTTGGCTTACTTCAACATAAATGGATTTAATTTGCTGTTTTATCTCATGGGATAAACCTGTATTGTTACAGTGAAGTGGCCACTGAAATTAAAAAATAAACTTGAGGCCAAAAGTTTGAGACCAGCCTGAGCAATATAGTGAGACCCTCTTTCTAAAAACACAAGAAATTAGCAAGATTTGGTGGAATACAATTAGTCACTGCTACTCAGGAGGCTAAGGTGGGAGGATCACTTGAGTTTGAGGAGGAATTGAGGTCCAGGAGTTTAAGGCTGCTGTGAAATATGATGTTATGCTTCATGTCACTGCCCTCCAGCCTGGGCAACAGAGCAAGACCCCATCTCTTTAAAAACAAACAAACAAAACACCAAATCTTGAATTTACACATAGTAGATTATGTGTATTACTTTTAAAGAATTTAAAATATCTAAAGTCTGAGCCATGTTAGTCTTTAGAATCAACATTAAAATCTTAGCAGACTGGATTTGGATAAGGATAAAGAGAACCAGCCTAGAGGTAAGTGTTCATGATTGATTATTTAAATCATTTTTATTATCAATAAAAAAGTTATTAAGCATTTACTTAAATGGTGAAAAATTCTGACATGAAGGATGCAGAATTGTGGTTTATTATCTTTTAAGTAAATCAATAATAACATATTATGCTGCAGTTTGCCACGGTT
The DNA here is from genome assembly GCF_000001405.40 of Homo sapiens. Classification (NCBI taxonomy): domain Eukaryota; kingdom Metazoa; phylum Chordata; class Mammalia; order Primates; family Hominidae; genus Homo; species Homo sapiens. Next base: position 93,442,196 of record NC_000001.11, read on the forward strand.
ACCACAGGGCTGAACGAAGGAGGATGAACGAGAAATGAAAACTTAAAACAAAAGAAACTGTCTTAAAGAAGGGATCTGGGGAAGAAGAAGAGGGCTTCCTGCTTCTACTAAGCAAAGGCAGCCGCCTTGAGCTTCTACAGCCGTTCATATTTATTGTGTAGATAGAGCAGGGAGCAGGAGGTAATGATTGGTCAGCTACTTAACTGATCACAGGTTCACATTATTGCTAACAGGCTTCAGATGCGCCTAATCACAAGAAACACGTGCCTGGGGCGTGACTGCCCTCAGCATTCCTTCTGGGCGGCAGACGCAGTTTATCAGTTTGCCAACACCCTGCTTTCAAGGGAACAGTTTGCTGTTTACTCATATAGCCTCCAGTGGTATACTGAGTTGGTCACAAACCTCACTCTTTCGGCCTGCAACAATATTATAATAAATATCAAATGACAAAGAATTACAAATGTTAGAATCCTACTATGAAGATAGTAGAGGCAAAGATTACCACAATGGATATGATTTTGTTATATAAGAGATGAAAAGAACTTATAATTGTGTTAGACCCTGAGTATCCCAGACAATATCTGAATGGACTCAATAAAATTAAAATTTATCATTTCATTTCAGAATTGTAGCTACAGTACCTTTTCATTTCCTTCCTTGCTAATCTACATAGGATTTAGACGGTGGTATGCTTATGTTTAACAATCAGTGCTCCAGCAAAAAAGCCCTGATTGGAAGCATTTCCTAATTCCTGTGGTGTAAAAACTCTTACCATGACTGCTATCAAGCTAACACTTTTTAACAACCTGTTGGCAAAATTCCTGAAAATTTGTTCTTGTGAATCTGTACAAGCTGATTTTATTTCTATGAGTTTATATGATGTACCTGTCTGGTTTTCATAAAAAGAAAACAGAGAATGTTTGTTCTTTGTTAACTGGTGTGCATATCTTGAAAATTTTTATCACATGCCAAAAAATTTCCAAACAAACAAAACTCAACAACAAGAAAAAAAATAGGAATACTTTAAGAAATTAATATAAATTTTGAACGGGTTTGGGAAAGTACAACCAACACCTAGAGAAAACTATAACTTTTGTTCTACCAGGTCTCCTGCCCTGAAGAAAATTTAATATAAACAAATACCTAAACGTTTTTAAAGTTACACAGTTCTATCATAATGCAGTGGGAAAAATCCAACCAATGTAGAAAAGTAGACATAAGTTACCTCTTTAAACACGTCTATTCTGTTTGATTTATATAGAATTTTTTTTTGTTTTTCCACATTTCACTAGAGCAATTACATGAAATGCTTTAACTAGATTCAATAATGGTGAGTAGAATTCCAAAAAATATAAAATGGCCTCTCTGTCTCCCTCTCACTTTTTTCCCCTCTCTCTTTCTTTCTTTCTTCAGGGAGCCACCTTGAGCAATGCCCTTGAAGTTTTGGATTTCTTCCAATTCTTGGGTAGGAAAACTGGCAGTACAGAAAGTAGTGATGACTATTAACTAGCCAGTGCCATTCTTCATTTGGCTGGCATGGACTCAGCATGCTAGTGTGATCCCATTTTTGAAACATTAAAATGGTACTGCTCTTTGATTTTCTTCCTTAAGGTAGTTTTAGCTTGGTTGTTCTGGCCTAGCTACTTGGAGGATAATTTTATTTCTGGACATTGTCTCTGTAGCTTTAATTTTAAGACAATGTCTTAAGATTTTCAAATGACAAGGGATTGATTTATGGTTGAAAGTTGATGTTCTTGGACTAGTAAATTATTATATATCCCAGAAAGCAGCAGTGAAAAAACCTTGTTTCATATTTTGCCTTAATAAAGGATTCATGAAGGGAATATTTGAAACCAGAAAGGGCATTAGCTAAATGTTTATAACATAAAGAAATTATAAAAGGAATTTGCATTTGAATTGCTACATGATAATATATGCAAAAGAAAACACTTTAATGGATTATTATAGACCAGAGTTCTATGATATGCCTGAAAAGAAAATGCATTCAATAAGTTATTTTTCATAATAAAAAGATACATTGTAATAATTGTTTAAATTGCTAAAGCACCTTTGTAATTTAAGCCCTTTCAAGTTTACTTGTAGAGTAGCTTCATTGTATATGGAGAAAATAGAACAATATCATTCTTTTGTTTCTTAGTATTATTACCTTATAAATTATGTAATATGAAATCGAAACTATGTGGTGATTGATTGCCAAGATAGGTCAAGTAGCAAAAAAGTATAATTGGTTTGAAGATTTTTACATTTAATTATTAAAATTATGATATAGAGGTAGCATCTGGAATAAATTAATATTAGATTTCTACTATAATAAAGAGATATTTCTTTCACGATTCTGAAAGTTATGTTTTAACATTTTAAATTTAATTTACTTTAATTTTTTAAAATAAGAGATGGGGTCTTGCTTTGTTGGCTGGGTTGGTCTTAAACTATTGACCTCAAGCAATCCTCCCACTTCAGGCTTCCAAAGTGCTAGGATTACGGGCATGAGCCACTGTACCTGGCCAGTTTTAACATTTTTAGAGATAAAAATTCTGTGCTTGAACTGCTTACAAAATGCCTTGTCATGAGTCTATAAAGAATAAGTTATCTGTAAAAATAATTTAATGCCAAAATGATTTTGATTATGTGAAAAATCATAAATGTCTTATAAACTGCCATACTGATAATATACATTTGTGTATGTGACTATGTGTATGTAAAATATCTGCATGTTTGTTGGCTAAAATGCCTATATGCTATTTTAGAGAGGATTTGTTCTAATAGGAAATACTTTGAAATCTGATTAATCTTTATTATTTTTTTAACAAAGTATAACACTAAACATTTATTTCTTTATTGTGAAAGTTTTCACTTTTTAATTGTTTTTGCTTAAACATCGTTGAACCAGTGACTTTTAATGTCATGAAAGAATTTTATAAATTACAAATAATTCTTTAGAAGAGATTATTTAAGGTGGTAATATGAATTATATTAAAAATTTTATAGTAATGGAGGGTAACAGAAATTTTATTTAAATTTGAATATTACAACTTGATGCAGGGCTGGGTGCAGTGGCTCACTCCTGTAATCCCATCACTTTGGGAGGCTGAGGTAGGAGGATCACTTGAGTCCAGGAATTTGAGACCAACCTGGGCAACATTGTGAGACCTCTGTCTCTACAAAAATAAATAAATAAATAAAAATAAATACATAAATAAAATTAGCCAGGTGTGGTTGTGTGCCTGTGGTCCTAGCTACTCAGGAGGCTGAGGTGGGAGGATCACTTGAGTCTGGGAGGTCAAGGCTGCAGTGAGCTATGATGGTGCCACTGCACTCCAGCCACTCCTAACGTCTCCAGGACATTAGGAGACCTTGTCTCAAAACAAAAACAAATAAGAAAACCCTTGATGCCCCCAAATCTAGCTTTTTGAAGAGAAATGAATTGTTTTAATTGTGGAATCCTGCTTCAGAACCTTGGAAGAAGAAAAAGTCTTCATGTAGGAGGTGAGCTTTATGTTCATTTGGGAAATTACATAAACAGCACGGTTGAAAATTTTAATGTGAACAGTAGATTATTTTACTTTAAAGGGAAATCCTCACTGGGCGTGGTGGCTCACGGCCTGTAATCCCAAAACTTTGGGAGGCTGAGGGGGTTGGATCTCTTGAGCCCAGGGGTTCAAGACCAGCCTGGGCACCAATGGCAAAACCCCATCTTTACAAAAAAATCCAAAAAATTAGCCAGGTGTGGTGGTGAGCACCTGTACTCCCAGCTACTTGGGAGGCTAAGGCAGGTGAATTGCTTGAGCTGGAAAGGTGAAGGTTGCAGTGAGCCCAGATGGCAATACTGCACTGCTGGGCAACAAAGCAAGACTCTGTTTCAGAAAAAAAAAAAAAAAAAAAAAAAAAAAAGATAAATCCTTTAACTTGGGTTTAAATTATATTCTATAGGTCTTAGCTTTTATGACAATACTTAGATATAATAAATCTTGGTATTGCTGTGGTGCTAAATAATGACACCCATTTAATAAATCCATTTCCCAGCTGGGCGCAGTGGCTCACGCCTATAATCCCAGCACTTTGAGAGGCTGAGGGGGGCAGATCACTTGAGATCAGGAGTTCGAGACCAGACCGGCCAACATGGTGAAAACCTATCTCCACTAAAAACACAAAATTTAGCTGGGCGTGGTGGCAGGCGCCTGTAATCCTAGCTACTCGGGAGGTTGAGGCAGGAGAATTGCTTGAACCTGGGGGGTGGAGGTTGCAGTGAGCCGAGATCGCGCCACTGCACTCCAGGCTGGGTGACAAGAGTGAAACGCCGTCTCAAAAAAAAAAAAATCCATTTCCCCTTACTAATTAATGTTACTTGCAATTGCAAAATACATTCATGATTCTAGGGAGTGATAGGAAGTGATGGGAGAGGCGGTTAACAGTGTTAGGTGACATAAATAAACGAAGAAATTATTTTGGAATAGAGGCAATGTAGAAAAATGTTAGAAAGTGTTGTTCAATCCTTCACAGGCTTTTCACTGCATGGTACAAAGTTAAGCATTTAAAAATTGGCTATAACCCACTTGGAAGAGGGCATTTGTATGCTTAAAGTGGCCTCAGAAAAGGACAGCAGAGAATTTAGGAAGATTAGCAACTGGACTGTCAGGCGAACTCAGGCTGTTGGCCTCAACTCCAAGAGGGAGCGCAGCTAGGCAAAAGAATACGGATTAAGCGGAAGAGGTTGGAACACCTGTCCAGGCCAGGTAGGGGAGGAGTTTCAATGCTGACAAAGAACCCGTTGGGAGAGCTTCCTAAAACACCCAGCTGTCATGACGCACTGAGGAGTACTCTACTAGTTGACTGTTTTGAAGTGTGTGTGTGTGCGCTTGCTTGCTTTAGGAGACAAGCTATTAATACTAAAGCATATGTTAGGGAGTTGCTCAGCGTACTTGATATCTAGTAGCACCAGCCAAACTAGCTAACAGCCTTTCCATGGAGATAGGCCAGGAAGTAGCTCCATAGAGAAAAAAGGAAGTAGTGGACCTGCCTCCAAGGTTCCGATACTGGGAGGTGAAAGAGATCTGAAGTTCCGAATAAGCTGTTTACACTACCAGAGAAAAATCTGGCTCCCATCCAACCCTCACCCACGAGGTGCCCATTCCAGACATGGGGCAAGCTGCCTTCTCATCTTCCGCAGGTGACAGCTCGGCTCACATTTGTCCACGTCTTCCATCTCGTGCGCTGGCAACATACCTAAATGATTACTGGAAGAGCTGCCTCTTTTTATAATTTCCTGACAGAATTTATAAAATTAAAATATTTAATTAAAGACAGAATCGGGGACATGTTGCCTTCACATTTGCTGTTCAACCTGTGCACATTTTGGTGGTTCCCAAGAATCGTCATGCCAAAGCATCAGGCTTGAAAGGAGAGATCACCTTAAGCATCAAGATTTAAAAAAATAAAACACAACTCTCCTCAGTCTAAACTCTAGGATTTGGATGACGCTTCCCTGTCAAGGTTTCTCCCGAGTGGAGGAGACAAGAGGCAGGAAAGGCAGGTAACTAAAATTGCCTCATGTAAAGGGGCTCAGCGCAGAGGAGGAATGAGATAATAGCGGCGGTGGGGGTCTTTTCCCTTCTCTCCCTTTCTATCTTGGAAACAGGGGTCCGACTGGCAGCGGAGTGGGGGCAGTCCAAGCTCCGGGGTACCTGCAGGAGGAGACTCGACCAGCGAGAGGGGCCAGCGAGGGTGACCAGGTGCCCGCTTGGGGACCCCGCCGGCGGTGGCCAGGCTAGCCCAGGTCCTCCCCGATCCCAGGATGCACTGCGCCCCGCCCCCTCCCCGCGCCGCGTTCCGCCTCCCCTCGGCCCCGGCCCCCTCCCGCCCAGCGCGGGGAGGCGGGGACGCGTCGGCGGCGGAGGCTTCTCCAGTCGCGTCTTTCTCACTCACTGGGGAGCCCGGCGGTGGCGGCACCTTTCGAGGTAGACCCGCTGAGCTGCTAGCCCGCCGGCCAGCGAGTGAGAGGTCGGACAGACTGTGGAGCCGACAGACTGAAGGACAGCGGCACCGCCAGACGGCCAGAAAGTTCCGCCATGAGCTGGGGCACGGAGCTGTGGGTGAGTCGGGGAGAGGGGCGCCCCGCACGGACCCCGGCCCCTGAGAAGCGCGGGTTGGGCGGGCGCCGCGGACCCTCGGCGGTGAAAGCGCGCTCCGCCGTCCTCGGTCCGGCGCTGGCGGAGGGTGAGGGTCCCGCTCGTCTTTGTGTGCAGACTCCTCTTCCCTTCTCGGCCGGGGGTCTAGGGGGCCGCTAGTCCGTGCTCCCGCCTTTGCCGCCGTGGTGCAGCTCGGGCGGCGCCCGGGACGGCCGGGGGAGCAGCCCGCGGGCTCCTGCGTGCGCCGTGATCCCCTCTTGTTCCTTCTCCCTCCTCCACCTTCACTTTTCCCGACGCCTGGCTTCGCGCCCGGCGGCTCCTCTCTTCCTTTGTATCTCTCCTCCCGGAGGCGGGGGAGGGGGCCCATTGTCCCCAAGGGGCGCTGTTCGAGGGCGGGGAGGGGACCGGCCGCGATTCCTCGCCCGGGCCAGGTCCGCGGGGCTAGGGCGTCGCCCGTCTGGGGCGGCGCCGCCCAGAGCCCTCGCCCCAGGTATGGGGACCCAGGCGGCTTTGTTCGGAGCCCGGCCTCGGGCCAGCCAGGCCCAGCCCACACGCACATTTCTCTCTCCCTGCCTCAGTGCTTCGGGCGGGCACAGCTTCGAGGGACTCCGGTTTGGCCACCCCCGGCTGCAGCCTTTGGGCTGGTGGGTTGGTTTTGGGGGCTGAATTAAATCGAGTGATCGATGAGGAAGCTAATTTTACCAAAAGGAGCGTACGGTCTCCCTGTTGCTTTACTTCCCTTTCCGTTCTTTATTCTCACTTGTTCTTTCTCCTTCGTTCTCTCCTTTCCTTTCCTCCTTGCCTTTCTTTGGCACAGGAGGCTCCAGACAATGCCCAGTGTCTGGCCAAGGTACGGGCGGAGGGTAATAGGTCGGAGAATTTGCTCCTGGCGCCGGCGCGGAAGGGTCGAGGTGTGGAGGGCAGTGATTTCTCAGGTGCGGAGGGCAGTGATTTCTCAGGTGCGGCCGGGAGAACTGGGGGCGTGGGGGCGCTGTCCCGAGAGCCGCCTGGCCTCAGCCACTCCCCTTTTTATTCCACCTGTGCCTGTTTTCCGTGCCTTTTGTTCGCGAGGATCTCGTGAAATCACTGCAGAGAAAGGGGAGAAATAACTTTTGAGTATGTGTGTGCCCAGCTAGGGTGGGAGTGAAAGCCAATGGGTTAATTGAAAGGCAAAATGTTTTCTTATTTTTCACGTCTACTCATAGATTGGGAATCTTAGAACTGTGAGACTTTAGAGTCCATCTAGTGAATGCTTTACTTAGCCAGCCAGGAATCTCTTGTGCAACATTCTGTACAAGTGCTTACCCAGTCTGAAAACACACCACCCAAGAGAAAATACCTTAGGAGCCCCTTCATTCCGTTTCTTAGATAGCATTAATTGTTCTTATATTGGGGAGGATTGCATGGTAAATGAATTACATAAAGTTTAATTCTTTTACATTGGTTAGTTTCTCAGGCATTATTGGCCTTTTTCCCTTACACTTTGTGCATTCTATAATTGATTATAGTGAATTATCAATGAAAGGAAATGGGTATAGTTTTATTTTAAATTTTTAAATTTTTTATTTTTTTCATGCCTACCAGAGTGCATTCATTCGTTTTTATAATTACAAAATATTTTAACTTTTGCCTACTTAAATGACTTGTGCTTCAAAGGAAACTAAAATGTAAGTAGAATACTTCTAAAAAGTAAACATAGGAAAACAGTGGAGGCATGTTATTTAGATTTAACTCTTAAGATTTTTAAAAAATTCACTTTGTATCACACTAAAGAATAACAGTTTTAAGGAAAAACATTTTAGTGAATAATAAAATGTGATTTTAAAAGTTTTTTTTTTAAACTTATGGTACTACCTAAGGAAACGATTCCATTCCTCTACTGTCTCCTATAATTTGGTTACTTTCAGCATTTAAAGAGTTTCTCAGCAATCTGAAAAGATAAACTGTAGAAGAGATGGGAATTTTTGTTCTAACTAAAATTTGCTTTGTGTCCTTTGGAAATTCTGAAAAAGATTTTTAATTTTTCTCAACATTTAATACATCTCCATATTTTAAGATTTTTAGTTTGAGGATTTGAGGGAAACATTTATTAGAAACTAAGTAATGTAGAGTGAACTAATATCAACTTGGTGTCTGAAACTTAGATAAGCAGAACTTGGTGTAGAGGACTATTGTTGGGACTAGAAGAAACCTTAGAAAAATTTGAGTATGCTTCCTCTTTTTACTGTTCTCAGTTTTGAAAAAGGATTATACTTCTAATGGATTGTAATGTAATACAAACAACCTGTACTGTGCTCTTGCCATTGAGGAATTTGAGGTTGGGAAATTCTCTCGAAATTTTGGATTTAGAAACCAGTTCTCCTATTATTTCATATTTAGAATCACATTACTGTCCCAAAGAGTTAATTATTGAGAATATGTTGTTACAGAAAAATGATATGTAGCCATGCACTTAAACCTGAGTCTGTTTCTTGTAACAATCATTGGAATTTTTATTGCTATTTTAATGCTTCTTAAGTCTTATGTTAAATTTGAGAAAAAAAGGAATTCAATAGAACGGCTCTAATACTGACTTTGGGGGACTTTTGTAGTGATGTGCTGAGTGGATCGTGTCAGACTTTGGTTGCGTAGTTGTTAGGGGATATGAATTAACTTGTAATAAATTTGAGCTGTGCTTACAGGGATTTCTAGTGTTCCAAATGAGTAAATAAGTTAGTGAATATATACTACAGTCACAGTTTTGCATTGTATTCTGGGTAATACCAAGGAAAGAGATGATACTGTCTTCACTTCTTCAGGATGCGTGGTAACATCTTAGGCATTGCTTATTGTGTTCATTTCTTTATTACATAGCAAGAATGGATGGATCAGATAGCCAAATATGAATTAATAATTTCACAAAGCACAGATTTTGAAATTACTAGCTTTTTTTTAACAGATAGGGACATTAGAGATTGGAAAAGACCTATGTTTAGTAAATAAGTTTTACTTATTAAGAAATAGGTTTTTAGTTTTTGAGGACCTAGTTAAAGTTCGACAGAAAAAATCTGTGTATGGGTTGTGAATGTGTGTATAAATATGAAAAAAATATATGGCTGAGCACCTCACATTCATATGATTTACTGAAAAATTTGCTACCCAAGGAAAATGCTGGACAAGTCTGGTAGTTAGAAGATGGATTCAAATATCTGATTTAATTTATAAGTGCATATAAATCTTTTTTATGCCTTAATTTCTTGGTCGATATAATCTTTGGCCCTTAGTTTAAGAATGTGTAATTTAAAAGCCATTGTTATTTTCATCATATTATTTATATTATTATTATTTTTGAGATGGAGTCTCTTCTGTTGCCTAGCCTGGAGTGCAGTGGTGCGATCTCGGGTCACTGCAACCTCAGCCTCCCTGGTTCAAGCCATTCTCCCACCTCAGCCCCCCGAGTAGCTGGGATTTCAGGTGCACACCACCATGCCCGACTAATTTTTGTATTTTTAGTAGAAACAGGTTTTCACCACGTTGGCCAGGCTGGTCTTGAACTCCTGACATTGTGATCCGCCCGCCTCGGCCTCTCAAAGTGCTGGGTTTACAGGCGTGAGCCACCGTGCCCGGTCTTCATCATATTATTAACTAAATGCATTTGACAAAGCTTATATCTTTTTGGAAGAAACTGAAAAATGTGGGTTGAGTGATAGATTAGGTGGATAATTTATGTATTATCCTCAGTGTTAACCTTTTAATACTTTATTATCTTGGCTTCATAACACTTTATATAGCACTTAAATTTACATTGTAAGTGACTAGATTGTCCTTGAGTGTAGAAAGGCTGGATTCATCTTTGTTTTCACTGACCAAGACAATGCTTGTAGGTGATCATGCATGTTTTGCCCAATTGCATTAATAGTTGATTGCATTACCCAGAGTATTGATTACTAATTAGCAAGTGTATCTTTAGGGTTCTGAAGGCCTTTGTAGATGGTGATAGGTTAGGTGATCTGGATAACAGCTCAAGAAAGTCTAAAGCTGAAACCAAAATTATAAAGTTAAGTTTTACTACTTGGGTTAAACATTTTTGTCAAGTAAAATGGTAAAAGGATGGGGAAGAAAAGACCTACAGGTAATTTCTGGTGAATTTACTTGATTGATAGCTTGGTAATGTGACTGCCTAAATAATTGGTGAAATCTTAGGCCACATTAATAGATTTATCTGTAACAAAGGAATTGGGTCTCATAGTCTACTGGTTAGACCATATCTGTAATATATATGTATATTTTTAGAGATGGGGTCTTGCTATATTCTCAGGCCAGTCTTGAACTCTGTGCTCCACAATCGTCCTTCCTTAAGCTCTCAAGAAGCTGGGACTGTCTATAATATTGACTTTAATTTTACTTCACATTTTTTGGAGGGTGCTTGTCTAGAGGAGGTTGACAAAGAAAATTCATTATTAATGTAAACTGAATTGCTTCTCCAAAAGTAAATGAAAGGCCGTGAAACTGCTGTAGGAATTCAGTTTTGTTTTAAAAATACAATAATTTTGTGTCTATTATTTGGGAAGCACTGTTATGTTTGGTGAGATTTATGAAGGCTTATGATATTGGCCCTGCCCTGACAAAAGGTAGAGTTGCTTTGAGATGATATAACTTTACTGTAAACTCCAAAATACTTCCCTACATTGATACCACTGCCCAGAATGCCCTCTGTTGACCAATTCCTATCAACCCCATGCCTCCAGACTACCCATTCTGGATATTGTCTTATGGGACTACCACCTTATATTACGGTTATTATAGTTATTTCTTGTGTATTCAAATCTTAGGGAAATTGTCATGGTATAAATACTTAAATATCTTACATTCCCTTTTGTTGGTAGAAATTGTTGTGTTCAACATTGTATTACAGACGTTATTGCTATTAGTTAAGGAGGATGAGTGAGAGGTATCAAGATATCTGTTTATGTCACCATTCCATAATGACTATAATAAGTTGGAAGCTAGAGAGCTGCCTCTAACCAGTATCTCCTTTGCATAGCCACTCATACTCCATTTACTTCCATTTGCTTGCTTTCTTTGCCTTTTTCTTAAAATATTTGCTCTCTCTCCTTCCCCCACCCTATAAACCTATAAAATATGATTTTGGCTGGAAACTTTAAAAAAACCTATTCTACCAACTTTTTCCTCTGTCAGCTAGTTTGTAGAGAGGAAATAGTAAGAGAAATAGTAATGGCTTATAAATGTCAAATACCTTCTGTGTATATCAACAAGTGCTGTCTTATTTAATAATCTTCAATCTTTAAACATTTTCACTTCAATAGCAAAAAAAAATCTGTCTTGGGGAATATATCTATAGAATATTAAAAACTGGTAGGAAAGGTTATGTAAAGGTTTTGTTCTATAGAATGTGAAAGCCGTTCCATATTTCAGTTCAGGCCATGTCTATCTAATACACCTGAAACACGTAAACAGGACTGATGCTTGTTCATTCAACAGATGTTTATTTCATGCCTATTATGGCTTCAGCACTAAGCTAGGCTTTGTGGGGCATACTAAAAGAATCAATTAGATATCAGCATGAGCCTCAAAGCAACCCTAAAACAACTAGAAAGTAATAGATGGACTTTAGGGCTATGAAAAGTGACTTTTCATTCTAGGTATCACAGGAAAATCTTTAGGAAGACTGTCATTTGACCTAGGTTTTGGAATAAGAAGGGTTATGCAGGTGGGGGTTCCTGACAGGTTCCTAGAGGGCAGATATTGTGTCTTACTCATTGCTTATTCATTGTCTGATTCATTGCTGTATCCTGCCTGGATTAGCCTGACATTAGTAGGGTCTTTAATAAATGTTTGTTGGACTGACCTGAGTCTAGTGTTGCGTTTGACTTGAATTTGAGTGCACAATGTCTGAAAGTAGTGATGAAGGGTAGACTGGAACCAGGCAGGCAAAGAGGTTGGTCTGGCTGATTGCTTGATTCATGAACCTCTTGTGTGTGTGTATGGGTGTGTCTGTGTGTGTGTGTGTGTGTGTAGTTACACATTTGTATATAATCAAACCACTTTTCAGACCATTTAAAAATTCACAGAAGAAAATCTTAGTTTATTGGTAGAAGGGATTACCTCTTGCTTCTGAATACTTTGGTGGCAGGAGGGGAATACCTCTGGGTTTTAGAAGATGAAAGTGTATTTATTTTAGCGCCGCTGCAAGAATATTTGAAGGATGTTATTTCCTTTAATAATATGTTACTAATTTGAAATTAGTTTTATTTTTAAATATATATTATTACTACAGCTCGTTTATATTGTTTTTTATTTTCCCTTTATCTGTGACTGTATACTGTAGGCCCTCCATATCATTTGATTTCCACGTCTGTGGATTCAACCAACCATGGACTGGAAATACTAATTAAAACAATCATACAACAATAAAAATAATACAGATCTAAAAACAATACAGCATAACAACTATTTACACATATCATTTACATTGTATTAGGTATAAGCAGTCTAGAGATGACTTAAAATATATGGGACGATGTGTGTAGGTTATGTGGGTTATGTGCATATACTGTGCTGTTTTATTTTTATTTATTTATTTATTTATTTATTTATTTATTTTTGAGACGGAGTCTCGCTCTGTCGCCCAGGCTGGAGTGCAGTGGTGTGATCTTGGCTCACTGCAAGCTCTGCCTCATGGGTTCATGCCATTCTCCTGCCTCAGCCTTCCGAGTAGCAGAGACTATAGGCGCCCACCACCACGCCTGGCTAATTTTTTGTATTTTTAGTAGAGACGGGATTTCCCCATGTTATCCAGGATGGTCTCGATCTCCTGACCTCGTGGTCCACCCGCCTCGGCCTCCCAGAGTGCTGGGATTAGCGGCGTGAGCCACCCCACCTGGCCTGTTTATTTTGCTGGAGTGCAGTGGCACAGTCATAGCTCACCGCAGCCTCAAACTCCTGGGCTCAAGCGATCCTCCTGCGTCAACCTCTCAAGTAGCTAGGACTCCAGGCATGTGCCACCATACCTAGCTAATGTATCTTTTGTAGAGACAAGGTCTCGCTGTATTGCTCAGTCTGGTCGTGAACTCCTGGCCTCAAGTGACTTTCCTCCCTCAGCCTCCCAAAGTACTGGGATTACAGGCATGAGCCACTGTGCCTGGCTCTATGCCACATGCCATTTTATAAGGGACTTGAGCATCCATGGCGAATACCAATGCTGGTGGACAACTATATTTTTACTTCTATATCAGTTTAAATATCAGTGCTTTTTCTGGAGGTGAGAGGGTGTTCACTGGGAAAAATGCAGTTAGTTTAGATCCCCACTCTTCTGCTTTAATTCCTAGTTTCATGAGCTGATTTATGTACTAAGAGTATTCTAATAAGAAAATATTTTAGAATATTTGAAATATCACCTTCTAATTGATGACAATGATAAATGCTTTAAAACTGCAAATTGTGCTTTAAAAATAATAAAAGTAATCTGTTAGTGTTACAGATAATTTTAATATTGTCATCTGTGCCTTTCGGCATTTTCCTTTTTTTCCCAAAATAAGTTGTATTAACTTCTATGATTGGTTTTACAGAATTTTCATTGACTAGTTCTTTGAAACCTCTTTTATACTATAGGGGGATGCCGTCGGGCATTGTGAGATGTTATCTACCTGGGCATGGGGGTACACCCCTCTAGTCTCAACTATTTGGGAGGTTGAGGCAGGAAGATCGCTTGAGCCCAGGAATGAGTCCAGCCTGGGCAATATAATGAGACACTATCTCCAAGGAAAAATAATGTCTGACTGCTTTTTGTAATGTGGGAGTCAGCATTTAGAATCTGTATGGAGCCCAAGAAAAAAAATCTCTAATAACAAGGATAAAAGTTTATGTAAAGTGTCCATGTTGAATCCAAATTAGTTATTCATGTTTGGCAATTGGGGCATTTTTTCCTTAAGTTCTTGATAAATAACTAATCAGCAGACTTTACAAATATCTCATGAAAGACGGGAAATACTAGTATTTGTATACTTGTTATAGTTTGAAAAGAATCAGTGTATAGAGTGAGATTTTTCTATTTTTGGTACATCATAATTTTGTTGTTTTTAGGGAGTAAAGGATATCTGTTTTGTTTTTGCTGTGTCCTTGCTGCACACCCAATTTATAGAAAAGGAGCCAGGTGCAGCTGCTCATGCTTGTAATTCCAGCACTTTGGGAGACCAGGGTGGGTGGAGCTCTTGAACCCAGAGAAACCAGCCTGGGCAAGATGGTGAAACCCCTTCTCTACCAAAAAAAAAAAAAAAAAAAAAGCAAAAATAAGCTGGGCGTGGTGGTGGGCACCTGTAGTCCCAGCTACTCAGGAGGCTGAGGCGGGAGGATCACCTGAGCCCAGGAGTCGAGGCTGCAGTGAGCTGGTATCTGCCTCTGCACTTTAGCTTGGGTGATAGAGCAAGACCCTGTCTCAAAAAAAAAAAAAATCGTTGCTTTTGGGGGAGTATTTACAGGGGATGACAAGCCACTGAATCCCTCTATTGATTCAACAAATTTGAGTGCTTAATATATGCCAATTGCTTTTCTTTCTTATCTTTTTTGAGACAGGGTCTCACTTCCATAGCCCAGGCTGGAGTGCAGTGGTGCCATCACAGCTTACTGCAGCCTCGACCTACCTGGCTCAGGTGATCCTCCATCCTCAGCCTCCTGAGTAGCAGGACTACAGGTGCTTGCCACCACACCCAGCTAATATTTGTATTTTTTGTAGAGATAGCGTTTAGCCATATTGCCCAGGCTGGGATCTTCTGGGCTCAAGTGATCCATCTGCCTCAGCCTCCCAAAGCACTGGGGATTACAAGTGTGAGCCACTGCGTCTGACCTCCAACCACTATTCTGAATTGTATCACCATTGATTACTTTTGTAGGTTTTAAAATTTCATATAAATGATACCGTATGGTAAGTACTCTTTTGCACCTTCTTCCTTTTTAACATCTGTTTTCTTCCATTTTGCATCTTCTTCCTTGGTATCTGTGAGACTCATCCTTCCGTGGTTAGTTGCAATGTTCTATTTTATGTATAGAATTTGTGTTTTCTTCTGCCATTTGCTTGGGGTCATTACTGGTCTGGGACTACCTTAAACTAGTTTTAAAATGTGCAGTTCCCTTGTGTGGTTGTTGGATTTTGATTTTTTTCCCCTGTATCTCTTGCTAGACTAGCAAAACAGTGATTCTAATTTTTCAAGATTGGCAAACATCCTCAGGGCAAGAGTAGCTTATGTGCTCTTTTACCTTTCTGGATTCTCCTTTTTACTTCACGTTTCTTGGCTTATCTTTGATGATTTAAAAATTTTGATATATATTTTATCCAGATTTTTTATTAAGTTAAATAGTGATAGTTGACCCAGATAACTTAGCCCACCATTACTGGAAACAGGAATTTATTTTTTATTTTATTTTATTTATTTTTTATTTCATTTATTATTATTATTATTATTAATTTTTTTTGAGATGGAGTCACACTCTGTTGCTCAGGCTGGAGTGCAGTGGCACGATCTTGGCTCACTGCAAGCTCTGCCTCCTGGGTTCACACCATTCTCCTGCCTCAGCCTCCCGAGTAGCTGGGACTACAGGCGCCCGCCACCACGCCTGGCTAATTTTTTGAGTTTTTAGTAGAGACAGGGTTTCACCGTGCTAACCAGGATGGTCTCGACCTCCTGACCTCATGATCTGCCGCCTCAGCCTCCCAGAGTGCTGGGATTACAGGCGTGAGCCACGACGCCCGGCCGGAAACAGGAATTTCTTATATTAAGTTTTTAATTTTTGCTATTTTGATTTCTAAGAGCTGTGTTTTTTTGGTTTTGTTTTCTGAATGTAATTTTAAAATAGCATCTTCTACTAGTATCTTGGAGCAATATCTTCTCTTAGTTCTTTTTATAGATCAAAGACAGGTTTTTGAGGAGGAAAACTGGATATCCACATGCAGAAGAATGAATTTTTTGTTTTTAGATAGAGATGGGGTCTTACTGTGTTGCCCATGCTGGTCTTGAACTTCTAGGCCCAAGTGATCCTCCTGCCCCAGCCTCTCAAAGTGTTGGGATTACAGGCATGAGCTACCGTGCCCAGCCCAGAAGAATGAAACTAGACCTTCATGTCACACCATATACAAAAATCAACTTAAAATGGCTTAAAGACTTAAACATAGGACCTGAAACTGTAAAAATACTAGAAGAAAATATAGTTCCATGACATTGATCTGGGCAGAGATTTTTTAGTTATGACTCCAAAAACACAGGCAACAAAAGCAAAATGGACAAGAGGGATTACATCAAGCTAAAAAGCTTCTACACAACAAAGGAAGCAGTCAACAGAGTGAAAAGACAGCCCATGGAATGGAAGAATATTACAGTAATCCACCCTTCAGTTTTGCTTTTTGTGGTCAACTGTGGTCTGAAAATATTAAATGGAAATTTTCAGAAATAAACATTCACATAACTTTTATTACTATTTATTGTTCTAATTGTTCTCTTTTATTATTAGTATTGTTGTTAATCTCTTACTGTGCTTAATTTATAAATTGAACTTTATGGCAAGTATAGAAGTATAGGAAAAACAGTATAGACCCATATAGACTTTGGTACTACACGAGGTTTTAGGCATCCACTGGGAGTTTTACAGTATATCCTCTGTGGGCTGAGCATGGTGGCTCACGCCTGTAATCCCAGCACTTTGGGAGGCCAAGGTGGGTGGATCCCTTGAGGCCAGAGATATGAGACCAGCCTAGGCAACATGACAAAACACCGTCTCCACTAAAAATACAGAAATTAGCCAGGTGTGGTGGCATGCACCTGTAATCCCAGCTACTCCAAGAATTGTTTGAACCCAGGAGGTGGAGGTTACAGTGAGCTGAAATCACGCCACTGCACTCAGCCTGGGCGACACAGTGAGAGAGACTCTGTCTCACAAAAGAAAGAACAGAATGTATCCTCTGTGGTTAAGGGGGGACTACTATATTTGTAAACTATGGGTCTGAAAAGTGGTTAATACTCAAAATATGTAAGGAACTCAGACAACTCTAGCAAGAAAACAACTTGATTAAAAAAATGGGCTGAGGACCTGAGCATAAATTTCTGGAAAGAAGACATGTAATTGGCCAACATGTATATGAAAAAATGCTCAACATCTCTGATCATCAGGGAAATGCAAATTAAAGCCCCGATGAGATACCACTTTACACCTGTTATAGGACTGTTACTAAAAAAAGGAAAGATAAATGTTGGTGAGGATGTGAAGAAAACGGAACCCTTGTACATTGTTGATGGGAATGTAAATTAGTGCAGCCATTATGGAAAACAATATGACAGTTCCTCAAAAAATTAAAAATAGAATTGCCATATGGCCTAGCATCCCACTTCTGTGTATTTATCCAAAGGATAGGAAATTAGTATGGTGAAGAGATACCTGCATCCACTTTCTTTGCAACATTATTCACACTAGTCAAGATACGGGATTGCTATGATTTGAATGTTTGTGTCCCCTCCAAAATACAAGTTGAAGCTTAATCTCTAATACAAGAGTACACATTAAGTGCCCCTTCTCTGAAATGGTTGGAGAAGACCAGAAGTGTTTTGGATTTCAGATGTGTGTGTGTGTGTGTGTGTGTGTGTGTGTGTGTGTTTTTGGGATATTGAAATATTGGCATTATACTTATCAATTGAGCATCCCAAATCTGAAAATCCAAAACCTGAACTGCTCCAATGAGCATTTCCTTTGAGCATCATGTTGGCACTCAAAAGGTTTTGGAACATTTCCGATTTTGGATTTTCAGATTTGGGATGCTCAATCTGTTTTAAGCAGTGGGGCCTTTAAGAAGTGATTAGTCTGTAAGGGCTCTGCCTTCATGGATGGGATTACAGCCCTTATAAAAGGACTTGAAGGAGAGAGTTCACACTTTCCATTCCTATTTGCCCTTTTGGTGTGTGACGACATAGCACCAAGGCGCTGTCTTGGAAGCAGAGAGCAGCCTTCACCAGATACCAGTTTTCCTGGCACCTTGATTTTGGACTTCCCAACCTCCAGAACAATGACAAATAAATTTCTGTTCTTTATAAATTACCCAGTCTCAGATACTTTCTTTTAGCAGCACAAATGGGACTGAAACAGGAGGCAACGTAAATGTCCATCAGTGAATGAATGGATAAAGAAAATATCTGTTTTCACAGTGGAATACTACTCAGTTCTTAAAAAGAAGGAAATCCCAGGCACATGTTTTCAGGATCTCCTGTGGGATGTGTCACAGAAAAAAAAGGAAATCCGGTCATTTACGATAACATGGATGAACCTGGAGGATTTCATGTTAAGTGAAATAAGCCAGGTACAGAAAGACAAATATCACATAATCTCACTTACATGTGGAGTGTAGAAAAGTTGAACTCATAGGAACAGAGCAAAATGGTCGTAACCAGAGGCTGGGTGTGGGGAGAAGTGGGGAGATGTTTGTCAAAAGACTTAAACTTTCAGTTATGCAGGAAGAATAAGTTAAAGAGATCTATTGTACATCATGCTGACTACAGTTAATAATGTATACTTGAAAGTTGCTGTAAGAATAGTTTTATATCATAAATATATATAATTTTTACTTGTCAATTAAAAATAAAAATAGGTTTTTTATGTTTAGTTTTCTTATCTTTGCATAATATCTGTAACCTCCAAGTTTGCATTTTTTTCTTTGTCGGTTTTGGTTTCTGTCTTTCATGTTAGAGGCTTTCCTCAAGTATTTTATGATTCCAGGACTCTGGAAAGATGTCTGTTAAAATTAGGGCATACTGAGCTCTGATATGCTCTGCCTGTAAATTTAGAGTTTGGATTGTTTGAAGTTTTTGATCCTTTTAAAGGAATTTTGCTTGTTTACGCTGGAGTGTTCAGATCCCTTTTTTCTTTTCCAATCCTTTTGTGAAGGCCCAGGAGGTATGCAGGGTCTTCCCAGGGTAGAAGCAAGTTGAAGTGTTGATGTCACATATACCATTGCTGTTTATGGTGTTGGGAGCACAGTTTGAATTTTTTCTTAATCAGGTGCTTAAACAAATAGCTTGTCTTATGTAACAAGAAATTTGGAGGTAGGCCGTCACTGGCGTGGGTTCACGAGATCAACACTCTCAGAGTCAGCATATGTGCAATTGTTTTGGACTTTCCTTTGTAGTTATAAGGTGATAGTTGCAGTTCTAACCATCGTGTTTGTATTTAAGGCGCAAAAAAAAAAGCAGGGAACAACATCAACAATGTTTGCCTCTTTATCACAAATGCAAAAGCTTTTCTAGAAACCCTACAAAAAACATCTCCCTTATTCTCACTCTCCAGAGCTGGGTGCATTGTACCTGAACAAAATTAGGATTCTGTTAGGAAGAAGAGGAATAGGTATAAGGTATGCCAAAGCAAAGAATATAAGATCTCTGTCTCCAAGGAATTAATGATGGCTTTGTAGAGGGAAAACAAATATGTGGATATTTGAATTATTACATGGGAGTTAAGAAAAGGATAATAATACAAGTAACTGATCTGACATTTTAAGAAGAGATGACATCTTAAGGGATCTCACAAAGCCCACCATCATTTTAAGAGGCCTGTTAGTGAAGGACTCGTGTGTCTTAGCTGGACTCTATGGACCACTTCTTACTTGTCACACATCATGCCATGCTGACATCACCTGCCAGAATGGAAGGGTGTTTTGAGCAAGTATCCAGAATTGATGGGCAGTGCATGGTGGAGTTGACCTGACTCAAGACAGATGAGAAGATACTTTAGGGACTGAGGAAAGAGTCATGAAACAAAAGGCCAGAAATTTATTTTGTGAGTAGAAGATTTCCCTGGATGTTGGAAACAAAGATCTATATTTAACCCAAATCTCTTAGTCACCTAAATATAATACCAAGCTATAAATTTGTCTACAGAGAATAAGAGGCCATCAGCCTGGAGTTACTTTTTTTTTAAATTGATAGACTTTATTTTTTAGAACACTTTTAGATTTACTTAGAAATTAAGCAGATATTTATTATTCCTTCTGCCCCAGTTTCTCCTATTATTAACATCCTACATTAGTATGGTACATTTGTTATAACTAATGAACCAATATT
Organism: Homo sapiens; assembly: GCF_000001405.40. Lineage (NCBI taxonomy): Eukaryota > Metazoa > Chordata > Mammalia > Primates > Hominidae > Homo > Homo sapiens. The sequence continues at coordinate 93,462,432 of NC_000001.11, forward strand.
GATACATTATTATTAACTAAAGGCCACAGTTTATTAAGGTTTCCTTAGTTTTTACCTAATACCCCTTTTTTTGTTCCATATTACATTTAGTTGTATGTCTCCTTAGACACTTGGCAGTAACATTTTCTCAGACTTCCCTTGTTTTTGATAACCTTGAAAATTTTGAGGAGTACTGGTCAAGCATATTGTAGGATACCCCTCTATTGGAAAATGTCCGATGTTTTTTCATGATTAGACTGGAGTTAATGGGTTTTGGGGAGGAAGACCATATGCCATTTGCATTACATTATTTCAAGGGTGTCTGTTATCCACAGGATTTTATCACTTTTGGCATTGATCTTGGTCACCTGGCTAAAGTAGTGTTTATCAGATTTTTCCACTGTATTTTTTTTTCCTCCTTTTTCTATACTGTACTCTGGAAGGAAGTCACTATGTATAGCGAAAACTGAAGGAGAGGGGAGTTATGCTCCCCTCCTTTATGATAAAGTATCTACATAATTTATTTAGAGTTCTTTTGCATAGGAGATTTGTCTTTTCTCCTCCATCTATTTATTCATCAATCATTTATTTATATCAGTATGAACTGATGGATATTTGCTTTGTACTTTGAGTTATAATCCAAGACTACTTCATTAGTTTTTTTGCTCAGATTATTTCAGCTTTTGACTGTTTGAGCTCTTTCGGTTGGCTTTTGTGTCCTTTTAACACACTGCCATCAATAAGGATTTTCTTTTAAAGCGCTTCCTTACTTTCTGGGACTGTAAGATATGTGATCCAGGCTCATTTTGTGCATTTCCTGCCCCAAACCTAGAATAAGCCATTTCTTCAAAGAGCCCTGGTTCATTTTGTTGTAGAATAGTGTTAGAAACAGATCTGGGTGCTGGGTATGCTCATTGCTACTGCTGTATCATTTCTTTTAGGACCTCTTAGCTTAACAAAAAATACATGTTTGTATATTAACCTGTGTATAAGATGCTCCTTAGGATGGGGTTGTGTTCCAATTAACCAGTTGTAAAGTTGAAAAACCATAAGTTGGGGACCGTCTGTGTACATATTTATAAATATTTCCTTATGTAACCATCTGTATTAAATCTGAGTTCTCACTGATGCCTCCAAATCTAATCCATTACCACATCTATCTTTCTAGCCTCCTTCCTTGCTTATCTGTAAATTCCTACTCCAGTGATTTTCTCTGCCTGCCATCCATTTGCTTAATCGTTTATTTCCAGTATATATGTATTGCAGTACCAGAGTTGTTAACCCATATCCCTGTGGGAAACAACTCTGTCAACTGGAGTACAGTGATTATGTGCAGTTCCTTTGCATTTGGTTTTAGGCTCTTCGTTTCCAGAGTTACTTACATCACCTTTTCTCATGCCCTTCAGTGAGTTTGTTTCATACATTTGTAAAACAGATTCTCCTATCACATTTTACATTCTTTCCTGAGATTCTGTGACCTAAATGATTTTTTAAACTTGCATACATTAACTTTCATTCTTCGTGCTGTGAAGTTCTGTAGGTTTTGACAAGTGCATAATGCCATGAATCCAAGATTCCAAGATCATGTAGAATAGTTTCACTACCCTAAAAATCCCCTGTGGCCTACTTCATACCCATAAGGGTGGCTACCATGAGAACAACAGAAAATAAATGGTGTTGGCAAGGATGTGAAGAAATTGAAACCCTTGTGCACTTTTGGTAGGAATGTAAAATGCTACTGTGCTGTGGAAAGCAGTGTGGTGGTTTCTCCAAAACTTAAACATATGATTCAGCAATTTCACTTCTGAGCATATACCCAAAGAATTGAAAGTAGGGTTTTGAACAAAGATTTACTGAGTAGCTACAGTACATACGGATCTTCTCCTTGTAATTGTAAAGATATGTACAATTTTCTCTAATTTATGCTTATTCAATATAGGAACCTTAAATCTGGTATACTATTTACTAAACACAATATTTGTATTCTGAAAATTGCCTCTATGTTTCTATCATATGTCTCTGGAATCCCAGTTACATGTTTGTTGGATCTTCTTGCTCTATCCTCCACATGAATAAAACATTCATTATTTATATTTCTCTACTGTGTTCTGTTTTCTTTTTACAGATTTTTTCAATAAATTTTATGATAAATTATGTTAATTGGTTGTTTGACATGTTTCCAATTTCAATCATAATATGTTGTTTTCTTTTCTACAAGTACTATTTTGTTCTTTTCCAAACAGTCAATTTCTTGTTCTTTAATCATACTTTCAATAGCAGTCTTTAAACATATTAAACATAATTATTAAATTATTACCTAATAACTTAAATACCTAGTTTGATGTTATTGCTGTCATTCAAGATGTGAGCTATTTACTTGTGGGTTTAGTGATTCTTAATCAGAAGTTCATGTTACTTTAAATTTATCTGCAGGAACCATTGAGGCTTGAGTATAACATGTGTTCCTCCAGAAATGATTTCTATTACTTCTGTCAGGTACCTTGGGGATGATACCAACCCAGAATCCATATAAGCAATAATTTTGACTTGGGGGTTTCTCAGGGCCACAATAGTCATAAGATTTAGGCTACATAGCTACATAAGTAGAAGTTTGAGGCTAAAAATCATCAGGGGAAACTTTTTCTGTTCCTCTCAAACTAAGGCTGAGAGAATTATGCATATCATGGTTTCATTTTGTGGGGTCAGGTTTTTCTGTTTTGCTCTGAGAGAATGTTACCCTTTGGGAGGCCCTGTTTCAGTGTCATGAGGGTTGTCTCTTTTTTGGGGGGGGGGGTTCTTTTTTATTATTATACTTTAAGTTCTAGGGTACATGTGCACAACATGCAGGTTTGATACATAGGTATGCATGTGCCATGTTGGTTTGCTGCACCTATCAACCCATCATATACATTATGTATTTCTCCTAATGCTATCCCTCCCCCAGCCTCCCACCCCCCAACAGGCCGCGGTGTGTGATGTTCACCGCCTTGTGTCCAAGTGATCTCATTGTTCAATTCCCACCTATGAGTGAGAACATGTGGTGTTTGGTTTTCTGTCCTTGTGATAGTTTGCTCAGAGTGATGGTTTCCAGCTTCATCCATGTCCCTGCAAAGGACATGAACTCATCCTTTTTGATGGCTGCATAGTATTCCATGGTATATATGTGCCACATTTTCTTTATCCAGTCTATCATGGATGGACATTTGGGTTGGTTCCAAGTCTTTGCTATTGTGAATAGTGCCACAGTAAACATATGTGTACATATGTCTTTATAGTAGCATGATTTGTAATCCTTTGGGTATATACCCAGTAATGGGATGGCTGGGTCAAATGGTAATTCTAGTTCTAGATCCTTGAGGAATCGCCACACTGTCTTCCACAATAGTTGAACTAATTTACAGTCCCACCAACAGTGTAAAAGTGTTCCTATTTCTCCACATCCTCTCCAGCACCTGTTGTTTCCTGACTTTTTAATGATTGCCGTTCCAAATGGCGTGAGATAGTATCTCATTGTGGTTTTGATTTGCATTTCTCTGATGACCAGTGATGATGAGCATTTTTTCATGTGTCTGTTGGCTGCATAAATGTCTTCTTTTGAGAAGTATGTGTTCATATCCTTTGCCCACTTTTTGATGGAGTTGTTTGTTTTTTTTTCTTGTAAATTTGTTTCTTTGTAGCTTCTGGATATTAGCCCTTAGTCAGATGAGTAGATTGCAAAAATTTTCTCCCGTTCTGTAGGTTGCCTGTTCACTCTGATTGTAGTTTCTTTTGCCATGCAGAAGCTCTTTAGTTTAATTAGATCCCCTTTGTCTATTTTGGCTTTTGTTGCCATTGCTTTTGGTGTTTTAGTCATGAAGTCTTTGCCCGTGCCTATGTCCTGAAAGGTATTGCCTAGGTTTTCTTCAAGAGTTTTTATGGTTTTAGATCTAACATTTAAGTCTTTAATCCATCTCGGATTAATTTTTGTATAAGGTGTAAGGAAGGGATCCAGTTTCAGCTTTCTACATGTGGCTAGCCAGTTTTCCCAGCACCGTTTATTGAATAGGGAATCCTTTCCCCATTTCTTGTTTTTGTCAGGTTTGTCAAAGATCAGATGGTTGCAGATGTGTGGTGTTATTTCTGAGGCCTCTGTTCTGTTCCATTGGTCTATATTTCTGTTTTGGTACCAGTACCATGCTGTTTTGGTTACTGTAGCCTTGTAGTATAATTTGAGGTCAGGTAGCGTCATGCCTCCAGCTTTGTTCTTTTTGCTTAGGATTGTCTTGGCTGTGTGGGCTCTTTTTTTGGTTCCATATGAACTTTGAAGTAGTTTTTCCAATTCTGTGAAGAAAGTCATTGGTAGCTTGATGGGGATGGCATTGAATCTATAAATTACTTTGGGCAGTATGGCCATTTTCCTGATACTGATTCTTCCTATCCATGAGCATGGAATATTCTTCCATTTGTTTGTGTCCTCCATCTCCTTGAGATGGAGTCTAGCTCTGTCGCCCAGACTGCAATGCAGTGGTGCAATCTTGCTCACTGTAACCTCCGCCTCCCAGATTCAAGCTATTCTCCTGCCTCAGCCTCCAGAGTAGCTGGAAGTACAGGTGTGCGCCACCATACCTGGCTAATTTTTGTATCTTTAGTAGAGATGGGGTTTCACCATATTGGCCAGGCTAGTCTTGAACTCCTGACCTCAAGTTATCCACCCGCCTTGGCCTCCCAAAGTGCTGGAATTACAAGCATGAGCTACCGCGCCTAGCCAAAAGTAGGGTCTTAAAGAGATATTTGTCCACCCGTGTGTATAGCAGCATTATTGACAATAGCTAAAAAATGGAAGCAACCCACTTGTTCATCAGCAGATAAATGAATAAACAAAATTTGTTATACACATACAGTGAATATTATTCAGCCTTGAACGAAATTCTGACACATTCTATAAAACATGGATGACTCTTGAGGACATCATGTTAAGTGAAACAAACAGGTCAGAGAAGGACGAATATTGTACAACTCCGTTTACATGAGGTACCTATAGTAGTCAAAATTGGAAAGAAGGAAGTAGAATGATGGTTGCCAGGGAATAGGGGTTGGCAGGAATGGGGTTATCATTTAATGGGTATAGAGTTTCAGTTTTGCAAGATAAAAAGAATTCTGGAGATGGTTGGTGGTGATGGTTGTACAACAGTATGAATGTATCCCAGGACCACTGAACTGTACACTTAAAAATGGTAGAGCCAAGCATGGTGGCATATGCATGTTGTCCCAGCTACTTAGGAGGCTGAGGTGGGAGGACCATTTGAGGCCCGGAGTTTGAGGCTGTAGTGTGCCATAATTGTGCCTGTTAATAGCCACCGTACTTCAGCCTGGGCAACATAACAAGACCCCAGCTCTTAAAAAAGGTAGGCTTGGCGGTGTGCGCAATAGTCCCAGCTACTCTTGAGGGTGAGGTGAGAGGATCACTTGAGTTCAGGAATTTGAGTTCAGCCTGGGCAACAGAGTGAGACCTTGTCTCTTTCTAAACAAAAGTTAAGATTGTAAATTTTACATTATGTGTATTTTACCACAATAAAAAATTGCTTCTCTCCTCCCCACAATTCCTTTGTGCTTGCCCTAGTCATCCCCTCTTCCCGTGTAACCACTGATCTTTTTACTGTGACTTTTCATTACCTCAGAAGGAAAGCTGTTGCCCATTAAGAGTCACTCCCTTCTTCTCCCTCTCCTCCAACCCCAGCCCTAGGAAACCACTAATCTTCCTGTCTCAACAGATTTACCTATTCTGGACATTTCATATAAATGGAATTATAGCATATGTGGTCATTGGTGACTGGCATGTTTCAGTTAGTTTAAATGTTTTCAAGGCTCATGCATACTGTAACATGCATTACTTTGTTCTTTTTTTTTTAACTGAATAATATTCCCTTGTATGCATATACCACATTTTATTCATCCATTCATCTGTTGATTGACTTTTAGGTGTTTTCTATTTTTGGCATGAATAATGCTGCTGTGTGCTGTGAACATTAACGGACAAATTTTTCTTTCTGTGTTTCTTGGAGACAGGGTCTCGCTCTGTCATCCAGGCTGGAGTGCAGTGGCACAGTCTTGGCTCACTGCAGCCTCGACTTCCTGGGTTCAAGCGATCCTCCCACCTCAGCACCCCATGTAGCTGGGACCACAGGCACGTGCCATGACGCCTGGCTAATTTTTATATTTTTGGTAGAGATGGGGTTTTGCCATGTTGCCCAGGCTGGTCTTAAACTCCTGGGCTCAAGCAGTCTGCCTGCCTCGGCCTCTCAAAGTGCTAGGATTACAGGTGTAAGCCACTACACCTGGCCCGATGGACAAGTTTTTGTGTGTATATATTTTTCTTTCTCTTGGGTATATACTTAACAGTAGAATTGTTGAGTCATATGGTAACTCTATTTTTAACCATTTTAGGAACTCCCAGACTATTTTGCATTTTATATTACCACCAGGAATGTGTGAGAGTCCTGATTTCTGTATATCCTTGCCAACGGTTGATATCATCTGAATTTTTGGTTATAGCCATCATAATTAGATATAAAGTAGTATCTTATTGTGGTTTTGATTTACATTTACTTGATGACAAATAATATTGAGCATCTTTTCTTGTGCTTATTGTTCATTTGTATATCTTTCCTAAAGAAATACCTGCTTACCTCAGTTAACTTTTTTTTTTATATTTATACTTTAAGTTCTAGGGTACATGTGCACAACATGCAGGTTTGTTACATAGGTATACATGTGCCATGTTGGTTTGCTGCACCCATCAACTTGTCATTTACATTAGATATTTCTCCTAACATTATTCCTCCCCTAACCCCCCACCCCCCAACAGGCCCCAGTGTGTGATGTTCCCCTCCCTGTGTCCATGTGTTCTCATTGTTCAACTCCTACTTATGAGTGAGAGCATGCAGTGTTTGGTTTTCTGTCCTTGCGATAGTTTGCTGAGAATGATGGTTTCCAGCTTCATCCATGTCTCTGCAAAGGACATGAACTCATCCTTTTTCATGGCTGCATAGTATATTCCATGGTGTATATGTGCCACATTATCTTTATCCAGTCTATTATTGATGGACATTTGGGTTGGTTTGAAGTCTTTGTTATTGTGAATAGTGCCGCAATAAACATACGTGTGCATGTGTCTTTATAGTAGCATGATTTATAATCCTTTGTTACCTTAGTTAACTTTTAAGTATGAATGTTCACCATAAATTTCTGTGGTAGTATGTACTAGTAAACTATAAATAAAAACTAATATTGATGGCAGTGGTACTGTTTAAGAAAAGGAAAAATTGCCAGGCAGGAACTCAGGAGGCTGAGGCGGGAGGATCACTTGAGGCCAGGAGTTTGAGATCAGCCTGGGCAATATAGCAAGATCTTGTCTCTAAGAAAATAAAAATAAAAAAATTAGCCTGACATGGTGGTGCACACTTGTCGTTCCAGCTACTTGGGATCACTTGAGCCTGGGAATTCAAGGTTACAGTGAGCTATGATCATGTCACTGCACCACTGCAGTCTGGGCAACAGAGTGAGACTCTGACTCTTAAAAGAAAAAAAGAAAAGGAAAAATGTAATTGTGGTGTTAAAGTACCATATTTGTCCTTGATATTCCTCCCTGAACTTGCCAGCCACTCTTTTATACTGAGATGTTTGGTTTTGGCATTAATTTAAGAAACTTAAAATCTAAGTGTGAATGTTAGCTATGCTCTCTTTTCTTTCTTTATTTTTTTTTGAGATGGGTCTAGCTCTGTTGCCCAGGCTGGAGTATAGTGATGCTGTCATAGCACAGTAACCTCAAACTCCTGGGCTCAAGTGAGCATCCTATCTTAGCCTCCAGAGTAGCTGGGACTACAGGTGTGTGCCACCAAGCCCAGCTAATTTTTTTGTGTGTGGATACAGGGTCTCTTTATGTTGCCCAAGCTGGTCTTAAACTCCTGGGCTCAAGCAGTCATTCTGCCTTGGCCTCCTAAAGTGCTGGGATTACAGGCATGAGCCATCACACTCAGCCTTGTCTGTTACTTTTTAAAAGAAACTTTTCCACTAATTGGCTCTCCAGTTGGCTTGCTTCTCTTGTCTCTGACTATGGATGGGAGTCTTTGTTGTTGTATAAGTAGAAAGCTTTCTTATGTTGTTAGATGTCAATAGTTTCAGATATGAAAGTCCAGGAAATGGGCCAGGCACGGTGGCTCAGACCTGTAATCCTAGCACTTTGGGAGGCCGAGGCGGGCGAATCACCTGAGGTCAGGAGTTCAAGATTAGCCTGGCCAACATGGTGAAACCCCATCTCTACTAAACATATAAAAATTGGCCAGGCGTCATGGTGCATGCCTGTAATCCCAGCTATTCGGGAGGCTGAGGCAGGAGAATGGCGTGAACCCGGGAGGCAGAGCTTGCAGTGAGCAGAGATCGTGCCACTGCACTGCAGCCTGGGTGACAGAGCGAGACTCCATCTCAAAAAAAAAAAAAAAAAGTCCAGGAAATGTGGGGTCTTAGGTAATGAAAATCTTCTGCATAATTCAAACAGGACTTTAGAATTCGATTAGTTTCTATAACTAAGATATTTTGGCTGTTCTTTGGTAATATCTAAGAAGAATAATTGCAATATTATTCTTTTTTAGTGATGCAAAATTACAAATACTGCAGTGGTACTTATTTACTCATTTATATTGTAGCTACAAGTTGAGTGTTCCTTATCCAAAATGCTTAGGACCAGAAGATTTTAATATTTTGGATTATTTTTGGATTTTTTGGAATACTTTCATTTTATTTACTGGTTGAGCATTCCTAATCAGAAATGTTCATTGGAGCATTTCCTTTGAGCATCATGCTGTCACTCAAAAACTTTTGGATTTTGGAATGTTTCAGATTTTGGAGCATTTCAGATTAGGGATGCTCAATCTGTGGAACGTTAGTTTATGTTAAAGCTACATTTTTGTTTTTATTTTGCTTAGTGTTTTGACTTAATCATCTATGTTAAGAACCTAATTCTTATCCAGGCACTGTAGCGCATGCCTGAAATTCCAGCACTTTGGGAGGCCAAGGTGGGCAGATGGCTTGAGCCCAGGAGTTCAAGACTAGCCTAGGCAACATTGCAAGACCCTGTTTCCACAAAAAATACAAAAATTAGCTGGGCGTGGTGGTGTGTGCCTGTAGTCCCCGCTACTCGGGAGCCTAAGGTGAGAGGATTGCTTGAGCCGGGGAGGTGGAGCCTGCAGTGAGCTGTGATTGCACCACTGCACTCCAGCCTGGGTGACCAGAGTGAGACCCTGCCTCAAAAAACAAAAGCAAAACCAAAAACCTAATTCTTTTTTATTTATCCTCATTGTTTCTTGCTTGGGTGAAAATGTTGGTTCATTTCTTTGTTCAACTTCTGGCTGGTAGTCGATAAGTTAGTCATTTGTTTTGTGTATTTTATACCTTTTAAACATCAGCAACAACTTTTTATTTCAGTTGGCCTTTGGCTTGGAGAGTCTAATAATAACATTAATTTATGGGGGTGTTGGGTGGGCAGCAGTTTATAGTTTTTTAAGACTTCATTGATTATTGTGATTCTTGCCTGTCTGAGAAATGGTGCTGTTAATTAGCAGTACAGAAATCTGGACAATCATTAGAATCATGTAGAGAATTTAAAGGCAGTAACAACCATACTCCCTAACCCTACTCTAATCTCTTGAATCAGATCTCTGGAATGAGGCCCAGAAATTTGTGTTTTTTGAAAACACTCCAAATGATTCTGACAGTACCAAGGTTTGAGAACCATTGGTTTATGTACTCTAAAATCTTTACTTAAGTCAGGGAATTAGAAATCTCCTTGTTCTTGGACTGAGTCATATTCCCTTTTTACTCCTATTAAATTGATTTCACGAATACTACTACTAATCTAATGATTTTTGAATACTTAAGCAGTGCATTTCACATTTTTGGGTTCAGAGAGATTAAGTATCTTGTCTAAAACTACTTCATAGTAAGTGGCAGAGTGATATAAATTCAGATATTTCTGTATCCAGAGCCCTTATTCTTTACCATGAATATTATACTACCTTTTATTGAATTTTGTTGAGAAGGCAGCCATCAGTGTATGTGCAGAGAGATTATTAAAAAAAAAATCCTCGGCCGGGCGTGGTGGCTTATGCCTGTAATCCCAGAACTTTGGGAGGCTGAGGTGGGTGGATCACGAGGTCAGGAGATTGAGACCATCCTGGCTAACACAGTGAAACCCCGTCTGTACTAAAAATACAAAAAATTAGCCAGGCGTGTTGGCGGGCGCCTGTAGTTCCAGCTACTCGGGAGGCTGAGGCAGGAGAATAGTGTGAACCCGGGAGGCGGAGCTTGCAGTGAGCCGAGATTGCGCCACTGCACTCCAGCCTGGGCGACAGAGCAAGACTCCATCTCAAAAAAAAAAAAAAAAAAAAAAAAAAAAAAAAAAAAATCCTAACAGTTTGTTAGTTTACCATAAAGCTGTTAAGAATATTGCTGATTGCATTATCGTGCTATTCTCTGTGGGACTCATGGAAGAAATTACTCTTTAGCTTTTTTATAGTATAGAAACTGCGTTTTGTATGACTGTTTATGTTTCTCATTTTGCACTTGCTGCTAGAAAACTTAAAGTCAGATTTCTGGTTCACTGTTAGCAAATGTATAGGATTTTTTGTCTGCATTTTGTTTACAAATTTTATTCTTAGTATCATCTTAGATTTGTCTATTTCTTTTTTTCATCTCTTTTATAATTATTGTATCTTGCTCTGTTATCTTTATGTTGCTTTAGATGGAAGTGTAAAGTAATTAACAAGTGATTTTGAACCATTTTATTTTATTCTGGTCAAAAATCTTTCTGAAAGATTTTTGAATTTGGGCAAGAAAGGATCTTATAATTTGGAACATTATCTGTGTGCCAAGCACTTTGCTAGATGTTCTTTTATTTTTTATTTTACTTTCATGCCGGCTCTGCGAGATAAGTAGTGGTATTCCCATTTTACAGAAGGTGAAACTTAAGGTTAACTTTTGTCATGTAAAGCTAAACTCTGATCTAGATTTGTGTGACTCCAAAACTTTTTTTATATGCCTCTAATGGATGTAATTTACCTAGAGATTTATTAATCCTCTAGTGGGGGTCGTTTCCATCTTCAACAAGCATTTATAAAATACTTTATAGAAAGCACTGTGCCTAGTTCTGGGTATACATCCCCAACTGCCTTGTAGAAATTGCTACACTGGATAGGATGTCTTAACTTGAGCTTAACGTGTATTTGAACAGACATTTGTATTAGTCTGTGGTCCTGGTAGGAAACAGTACTCAAAAGGCTTAACTGAGGAGTTTTAAATAAACTTTTTATAAAGGTGTGGGCCTGGTCTGTGGAGCCAGCAGTGGTGGATGGTGCATTACCCTAGAGCTAGTAACAGTTGGGAGCTGCTAGTAGTTAGGCCTTAAGGGCAAGGAGAGGCATTGGTTACTAGCCCCCTAAGCAGTAGCTGTAGGCAGAAAGGGCTGCGTGACGGGATCTATGGCCTTTAGTAGGGGAATATAGGAAATTTACAGCAGAGTGGTGGAGGAATAAAAACTTGGATTTCTAATCCTAGTACTTTGGGAGGCCGAGGCTGGTGGATCACCTGAGGTCAGGAGTTCAAGACCAACCTGGCCAACATCGTGAAACGCCATCTCTACTAAAAATACAAAAATTAGCGGGTGTGGTGGTGCATGCCTGTAATTCTAGCTACTCAGGAGGTGGAGACAGGAGAATTGCTTGAACCGGAAGGCGGAGGTTGCAGTGAGCTGAGATCACGCCACTGCACTCCAGCCTGGGTGACAAAGTGAGACTCCGTCTCAAAAAAAACAAAAACAAAAACTTTGACTTCACTTCCATCCTACTTCAGGATGCCTCCAATCGACTGAACCAAAGGATAAGTTAGAGGGCAAGGGAAACCATTGATAATAGTCTGTTGGGGCCCAGAGAAGTGTTGATGAAAGAAAGAGAGTGATTCTGGAGGAGGAAAGAGAGCACAGACAGGGCCCTTACTCCGAAGATAAGTATTGAGATAAGATAAGCAGGGAAGATAAGTATTGAGCAAATTACTACAAGTGTGATGAGAGCTGTGGAAACTTAGAATAGACGTGCCTAGCCTGAGAAGGCTTCTCTGTGGAATGTTCTTCACACATCCTGGTTCTTTTGAAACAAAACAGGCCCCTTCTACAGAGATTCTGATTTACTAGGTCTGGAGAGTATATATTTTAAAAATCCTACCCAGGTTATTTTGTCAATCATTTCTTAGAGTTAGAGAGAGGCCATAATGCTGGGGCTTAGAGGTTCAGGGAAAGAATGATGTGAGATGAAGCTAGAGAGATGATGGCCAGAGCCTATAAGCCATTCTTGTTTTTTTGTTTTTAAGTTACCTTACTAAATAACTACATCCTAACTTCTTCTGCCTCTTTTCACTGTAGTTCTCATTCTCACACCTAGCTTCTTTTCTTTGATGTCTTGTTATGAACCTCCAATTCCTTAGTAGGAGATATATATATCAAGGAAACTGGAGAAATAAAAGTGATAACAGTAGCACTGTGTCATGATAACTGAATTCTAAAGCTTGTTCATTTCCAGTAGAGAACTAGAGCCAAGGTCATTTTGTATTTTTTTTTTAAGTGAACAGAATCTGAAGTGACTTCTTCTTTTTTGAGTTTTTCTTGATGTCTAGAATGATGATACACATACAACTAAAAAACTATGAGACATGCAAAATATATAGAGCTGCAGTTTGCAATGAAAGAAGTAAAATATACTCCTAACTTTTAGAAACTAAAGATTCAAGCTTTACATATTCTGAAAATATATAATAAAAAATTTTATTATTTAAAATACATTTAGGCCAGGTGCAGTGGCTCATGCCTATAATTTCAGCACTTTGGGAGGCCAAGGTGGGAGGATCACTTGAGGCCAGAAGCAACGTAGAGAGACACCTTCGTCTAAAAAAATACAAAAAAATTAGGCAGGGTGGTGCGTGCCTGTGGTCCCAGCTATTTGGGAGGCTGAGGTGGGAGGATCACTTGAGCCTGGGAGGTCGAGGCTGCAGTGAGCTGTGGTTGTGCCACTGCACTCCAGCCTAGGTGACTGAGTGAGACCCTGTCTCAAAAAAACTCCCAAAACAAAAACCAAACTCCTTATCTCCACCACTCAGTACACATCACATGCATGTAATAAAGAGATACTCTGAGCCAATCATCACATTTCATGAAATATTTTGCATAAGTGTAAATGTTAGATAAATAAGCTGTAAACATAAAAATCAATTAACATAACTTGTAAAGGATAAAAACTGCTATTCATAAGAAATTATGCATGAGAGTAGTTGTAAAATAATAACAAAATAATCATTATTAACAGCTTTAAGTATTTGAATTATTCTGTTTACTAAAAGGAAACATAAAGTAAGGTTGCCTGTTACTAACTTTACAGAGTTGTGAAATATAATTGTGAAATCAGAAATTCTTACTGGTAGTTTTATATATGAAAATGGCTGATTTCTACATATTCTGTGTTTTGTTACCCGACTCAATTTTGTTTTTTTAATAGTTTTTTGGCCAGTTTTCTTGAGTTTTTGAGATTTTGCAGGTACAAGGTCTGCAAGTAGCAATATGTTTATATTTTCCTTTTGCAATGTTTATACCTCCAATTTCTTTCTCTTGTTTAATTTCATTGGTATGTTAGTGCATTAAAACATCATGTGAAATATTGGACTGAACACCAACATTGCGATAGTAATGTACAAATGATATGTAACTGATTCTATGTTCAATTAAAGTATTTATTCAGCTCTTAGTAGACTGTAAACTCTTAAGTGTAGAATCTGCTTTTAATTCTTTGTATCTTCCATCTAGTCCAGTGTCATTTACTAGCTGGTAAACCCTGAGCCTTACTTTCCATGTTTGTATAATAATAGGAGTAATTACGCCTACTCTCAAGGAGAGATTAAATGAGATAATATATAAAAGCACTCAACACAGTGCTTGGCACTGGTGGCAGTTATTATTATTCATTTAATTCAACAAATAATTGAATGTTAACCTAAGGATAGGGATATTATGTGAACAAAAATATCCTTATGTTTTTGGTATGGTGGAAAGAGAGCTATTAATCAGATAGTTGCATAGAGGGGTAAGTAAGTAAAATTCTGTAAGATGATATCAGCATAAAAACATAACCCACCACTAAGTTCAGCAAGGGTGTCCTGTGGAAAAGATTGTAACAGAGATCTGAAAAATGGTTAGGAGATAATAGGTGTGTGTGAGTGGGCAGAGGGGGGGAGTTCAGAAAAAAGATGTAGCATGTGCAAATACTCTTAAACAGGAGGGTGTCTTTCTCAATGAAAAATGAAACAAACAAAAAAAATCCATTGTAGCCAGAGCAAAACAGACACAGAGAAAGATGTGTTACTGAAGTTGATAAGGTGACCACCATTCACAGGACACTTACCATATTAGTTCGTTTAATCCTTCCAGTCATTTAAGATACATAAATTGACATCTCTCCATTTTACTAATGATGAAACAAGGCAGAGAAGTTAAATGGCTTGCCCAAGGTGACACAGCTAATAAATGGCAGAGTCTATATTTGAACACAGGCAGCCTAGATACAGAATCAGTGCCCGTAATATTTGTACCATATTGCCTGACATGCTCACTTGCATTTTGAAAAGATCACTTTAACTACAATGTGAAAAATAGATTAGAGGATAATTAGAAAGCACACTGAGAGATCAGTCAAGAGGCTATTGCAGTATTAAACAAATGGTAATTGTAGCTTGGAGTAGAATGATGGCAATAGAGATACAGGGTAGTAGATGGCTAATTATTACAAAGTGAGTGTATCCTGTGTGAATAAATGAAAAACGAATGAATGAGCTGAGACACATGTATAATATGGCAGTGTGCTGTCTTACTGTACAGTGTTTATAAGCAACAACTGCTGAATTATCTGTTGGAATAAAAACGAGGTGAATGTAAACCTATTTAGATTTGTGTTACCACCAACTAAGGTTTTTGTCTTAAATAGATGGTAGAAAAATGTGTTAATCTATAAAATAGTAGCTTGTATATGTTCATTCTGCAAACTTTCGGGTGCACTTGATGCTGTAAAGCTCTTCTATTTCTCATTAGACCTTTAAATACTCTTCAGCACAAAAATGAATTGTAGTACAAAGCTATTACTGCTTCTCAGAAAATGAAGAATGCTCTAAAGATAAATATAAATGAATTAAAAGGAAGAGATTATTCACTCTAAAATTGAAAATCATAACCTTCCTGAACAGTAAAGGCAGATAAGCAGAATAAATACTTGAGTCTAATTTGAAAAATCCATATTTCTATTTCAGATGTCCTACTATAACCATACCCTGCATTAGTGCATTTTGTGGTTAAAACATTTTTATTCCAGAAAGCTAAAAGATGTAATAAGATACAATAATTGTTTTTAATTCTGCCTTTTCTGTTTCTTTAACAGTCCTCTTACTTTCTATAATTGTGAGTACCATCGATAGACACAGACTAATTCTGTGTTAGAAATAAACTTTATTTTTTAAAATGTCTGGAACACACACAGATTCACTTTGGTTGTAGAATAAGCAAACTGTGAATAATTCACACTGTGAAAACTGTGTGAATTAAGAATCTTTCCAGTTAGGGATAAATGGGGAACTGATAGTTCAAGAATGTAAATCAGAATTTAAAGTGAATAGGAGGAACTTTCCCTTCTCTCTTTTACCCTCTGAGCAATTGAAGTGAGGCTCAGCATGGTTGATGTCTTTGGTGTTGGAAGCTGCGATGGTCTAGAGCAGGGTATCAGAACCTGGGTCTTGAGGAGTGTAGGAGGTGGCCTGGAATGGTAAGTCAGAGCCTAAGCAGAGAGAGAGAGAGGACAGCCTCCATGTGAGAGGATGGCAGACTCAGTGTAGGGTATCAGAGCATGAATGGGATAAGGAGGATGACCATTTGGGAGAGTAGAAAGAGTGGCAGCTATAACCCATTGCAGTGTGTTGGAGCCTAAGTGGAATGATGAGGGCATCCTGTGCAGGAGGGCAGCCAGCCTCAGGATAGTAGAACCCAGGTGGAGAGGGGGGCAGTCCATGCAGACAGCAGCACAGTGGCATCAGCTTGATGGAGAGTGTTAGAGTAGGGGGCAGCAGTGGCAGTCTAATAAGGTATGAAGCCTTGAGTACAGTAAAGAGGGTACCTGTATGTAGCCATGGTGGCAATGAGAGACTGATTACTACCTGCTGGAGATTGTTTTAAGTGAGTTAATATATTAAGGATAAAGGGAGCCAGGTTTTTTGACTGTTGGAGAAGGAAATTACAAATATTGAAAGGTGTTGGTGTTAGATTGGAATTGGAGATATTGGTGTAAACTCATGGTATAGATAGATGGATAGATGTAGAAATAAAGAGGTAAATGTTTGGTAAGTTTAATTCGGACTCAGGTCTTCTTTAATTCACACAGTCACATTGACAAGGAAGATACTTAATGATTTGACACATCCTGAGGTTTGCTTTCTAAAAGGCAGCCATTTAAACTTAAAGCAAAATTTGTACATCAAAATTTGTAACTCTTCTAAATCTTATCCCTTATTGGGGGAACCCACCCCAATATTTCAACGTAGGTTCTTTCTATTTTCCCTGTCGGCCGGTCTGAGAAATAGAAAGAGTACAAAGAGAGGAATTTTACAGCTGGGCCGCTGGGGGTGACATCACATATCGGTAGGTCCATGATGCCTACCTGATCCCCAAAACCAGCAGGTTTTTATTAAGGACTTCAAAAGGGGAGGGGGTGTACGAACAGGGAGTAAGTCACAAAGATCACATGCTTCAAAGGGCAAAAAGAGAACAAAGATCACATGCTTCTGAGGAAACAGGGCAAGGACAAAAGCAAAGATAACAAGGCAAAGGGCAAAATTAGAATTACTGATGAGGGTGTGTGTTCAGCTGTGCACGTATTATCTTGATAAATATCTTAAACAACAGAAAACAGCGTTCCAGAGCAGAGAACTGGTCTGACCTCAAATTCACCAGGGTGGGGTTTTTCCCCACTCTAGTGAGCCTGAGGGTACTGCAGGAGACCAGGGCGTATTTCAGTCCTTATCTCAACCACTAAGAAAGGCTCTAAGACAGGCACTCCCAGAGCAGCCGTTTATAGACCTCCCCCCAGGAATGCAATTCTTTTCCTTCCTAGGGTCTTAGTGTTATATTCCTTGCTAGGAAAAGAATTTAGCGATATCTCTCCTACTTGCACATTGATTTATAGGTTCTCTGCAAGAAGAAAAATATGGCTCTATTCTGCCCAACCCCGCAGGCAGTCAGACCTTATGGTTGTCTTCCCTTGTTCCCTGAAAATCGCTGTTATTCTGTTCTTTTTCAAGGTGCACTGATTTCATATTGTTCAAACACACGTTTTACAATCAGTTTGTACAATAGTGGTCCTGAGGTGACGTACATCCTCAGCTTACGAAGATAACAGGTTTAAGAGATTAAAGTAAGACAGGCATAAGAAATTATAAGAGTATTATTTGGGAACTGATAACTGTCCAGGAAATCTTCACAATTTATGTTCAGAGATTGAAGTAAAGACAGGCATAAGAAATTATGAGAGTATTATTAGGGAAGTGATAAATGTTCATGAAATCTTCACAATTTATGTTCCTCTGCCGCGGCTTCAGCTGGTCCCTCTGTTAGGGGTCCCTGACTTCCCACAACAATCCCTTTCCCCACAAAGCATGCAGTTCTTCATTTTATGATTTTACTGAACCTCAGAACAATTTAGTGAAGAGAACAATTTAACAAAGAGAAATGAGTAAACCTCTAGTGGCCACTTGTTCCATCCGCATACCAACCTAAGTCTGAATACCTTGGACACATCAACAATGCTGTTGTCTTTTTCTTGCCATAGCGAGTGGAAAGACTCTCCAAAAATTTTAACTTTCACAAATGACTTAATCTTTTGAGAACCCATTCCTCTATCTATAAAACCACCAACTTCATAGGGTTGTTGTGGGTGAAGATTAAATGAGAAATGCATGGAAATTTTCTCTAGACATTGATGCATTGGAGTGTGCTTCCCTTCAAGTGTCTTCCTACTTTCTTGCTGATGACTCTAGGGGTCCTGTAAGTTGGGTCTCTTAGAGTCTCTTAATTTTTTTTTTTTTAATTTTTTTTGAGAGGGACTCTGTCGCCCAGGCTGGAGTGCAGTGGCACAATCTTGGCTCACTGCAAGCTCCACCTCCTGGGTTCATGCCATTCTCCTGCCTAGAGGTGCCTGCCACCACGCCCGGCTAATTTTTTGTATTTTTAGTAGAGACGGGGTTTCACCGTGTTAGCCAGGATGGTTTCAATCTCCTGACCTCGTGATCCGCCTGCCTCGGCCTCCCAAAGTGCTGGGATTACAGGCGTGAGCCACTGTGCCTGGCTGAGTCTCTTAATTCTTAAGGAATCAATTTATTAAAATCTCTTCCACAGGTTTCTGTATTATAAAGTTGCCAGATTGTATCTCACATCTTCCAATTTGTGCAAGAGCAAATAATGGTTCGGGTAGAATTATGAAAAAAAAAATCATAATCCCAATCGCTTCCTCCAATGTATGATGTGATTAATCTTACTTGTGTTACCATAGACATTTTCCTGACAAATGCTCCAGCGGAAGAAGCACATAACCAATCAGCAGTTGAAACTTCCCCCCTTTTGATGTAGAGGTCCCTTTACAACACATAATCTCAGTGTTTCTATGTGTAGAACAAACTTCTTAATTTCTATATAAGCAGTTAGATAGGCCCCAGAGGTCCATGTGTGCTCCTTTTTTTTCCCTAAGGCTAAAAGTGTGAGGCAGCCATTTGTTGCATACTATTCCTTCAATATTTTAGTGAAAGCACACTTCATACCCAATCTTTATTATCACTATCAGCCTGTCAGTAATCAAATATATAGCTACTAAATGAAGAGTTGTAACTACTTAGTATTAACACCATAAGAAAGGAAAACAATATTGATGTCTGACATGTTTAAGGATGCTTAACAGGGAAAATTAAGGAGACTGGCCCATTAATTATGGGATAAAATAATAATAATCAAACATCTTAACTAGTTTATCAAGTCACACTTACAAGCCTCTTACTAATTTACTCCTGTACTGAAATGAACATACGGTAAAATTCAAGAGAAACTGAGGTTCAAAATAAATTTTACTTCTGAGCTTGGAATACAAGAGAGTAACAGACTGCTGTCCTAATTATAATACCTTTTTGACACATTGTTATAGTTCCTTGCCACCTCTGAATAAACTGTCCATTTCTACGTAATTGTTGGTCATTCTTATCAATCCTTTTTGAAAGTAGATGAGAAATTTTTTAAAAATTGGGAAAAAAAGGAAAGTGTTGGTCTGTATTTAGGTAAAATTTCAGTCTGTTGCATTTGAATAAAAATCTGCCAAAGGCTGGGCACAGTGGCTCACACCTGTAATCCCAGCACTTTGGGAGGCTGAGGCCAGAGGATCACTTGAGCCCAGGAGTTTGAGACCAGACTGGGCAACATGGCGAAACCCCATCTCCACTAAAAATGCAAAAAATAGCCAGTTGTAGTAGCGTGTACCTGTAGTCCCAGCTACTCGGGGGGCTGAGGTGGGAGGAGGATCACTGAGGCCAGGAGGTGGAGGCTGCAGTGAGCCGTGATCACATCACTGCACTCCAGCCTGGGCAACACAGTGAGACCCTGTCTCAAAAATAAATAAATAAGTAAAAAATAAATAAATCTACCAAATAAACACAAGCACAACCCAAAAAATTTTTTTGTTTGCCTTATTTTCATTTCTTCTTAGCTGCTAAACTTCGTCTATGTGTGTACTTTTCTCCTAGTATATCTGTTAATTATTACTGTAAACATATGATTTATTTCACATTAGCAAAAAGAAATCATTCTTTTTCCATTTAGAGCCATTTTATGTAAATGTTAAAGGTCAAGTTAAGAATTTTAATAGTTTTTCTTTAAATTTTTTTATAAATATGCTTGTAAGTACTTCATGTGCAGTATAAGGTTCGCTCTAGTGCTCTTTTAGGAGTAAAAATAAGAATCGTTCTTGAAATGAAGTTATTTTTAAAAGTCTGAAATTATGTATTCATTTACAATACTGTGCATGGTAATGATTTATTGAAATGAAAGCTAGTAGCAGGCCAGACACAGTGGCTCACACCTGTAATCCTACCACTTTGAGAGGCTGAGGCAGGCAGATTGCTTGAGCCCAGGAGTTCAAGACTAGCCTGGGCAACATGGTGAAACCCCTCTCTCTACAAAAAATACAAAAACTTAGTGGCTCACGCCTGTAATCCCAGCACTTTGGGAGGCCGAGGTGGGTGGATCATGAGGTCAGGAGATCGAGACCATCCTGACTAACACGGTGAAACCCCGTCTCTACTAAAAATACAAAAATTAGCCAGGCGTGGTCGCGGGCGCCTGTAGTCCCAGCTACTCAGGAGGCTGAGGCAGGAGAATGGCTTGAACCCAGGAGGCGGAGCTTGCAGTGAGCCGAGATCGTGCCACTGCAGTCCAGCCTGGACGACAGAGCAAGACTCCGTCTAAAAAAAACAAAAAAAACAAAAAACAAAAAGTAGCCAAGCATGGTATCACACTCCTGTAGTCCCAGCTACTCAGGTGAGAGGACCACTTCAGCCCAGAAAGGTGGTGATGCTGTGGTGAGCTGTGATGGTGCCACTGCACTCTGGCCTAGGCAACAGAGTGAGACCCTGTCTCGAAAAAAAAAAAAAAAAAAAAAGAAAGGAAAGCTAGTAGCAACCACCCTACCGGGTCACAGGCAAGTTTTCGATGTTGAATAAAGAATTATATAGAGTCAATATGAAAAGGACAAAATTTAATGTGCCACTAATGGTGCCTAGTTTATGTTGATGTGCAGGAGAATTCATTTACTTAATCATTTCCGTTTTACTCAGTGCCTCCCACCAGTATTACAGTCACAGTAAGTCATGAAAGAATAAACCACAGCCTAAATTATTCATATATATGTTCAGAGTATTGCTGTTTTGGATCATGGAGACTTCTGATTAAATTATTATGCATCTATCTATTATATGAAATTGACTACATTAATCATAATTTCTTAATCCTAAATATTAAGATTTTTCAATATTATGGATAAAAATGAACCATAAGAGTTCTGTCTAGATCAGTGTTGCTTCTTCCAAAATATAATAGACCATATATAGATAAAACTAAATTATCTCAATATTTAACCATAATTATATGCTAAGAATAGTATGAGGTCACTCTTTGGAGTTATTCCCATGAATATACCAAGAACTAAGTATTCCTTCAGATTAGATTAGAGCCAGAAAGCCTATTTGCTTTCCAAATAATAAATAGTCTTAGAGAATTTACTTAAGTGAACTGATTTAAAGCATCAACACAAGGGAACAAAGCTAATTAAGTCAAGACATCTGCATCATTGATTTAGCTGTTTCTTAACTCTGTTACTTTGTGCAAATAGTTTATTGAGATGGAGTCTCTCTCTGTTGCCCAGGCCAGAGTGCAGTGATGTGATCTTGGCTCACCACAACTTCTGCCTCCTGGGTTCAAGCAATTCTCCTGCCTCAGCCTCCTGAGTAGCTGGGACTACAGGCGTGCGCCACCATGCCCGGCTAATTTTTGTATTTTTAGTAGAGATGGGGTTTCACTATGTTGGGCAGGCTGGTCTCAAACTCCTGACCTTGTGATCCTCCCGCCTTGGCCTCCCAAAGTGCTGGGATTACAGGCGTGAGCCACCACGCCTGGCTGGGCAAATAGTTTCATCTTGAGGCTTCAGTTTCCTCATCTGTAAATAGAGACTGATCTTTGAAGTCTCTTCTAGCTGTAAAGGCCTATGATTAGATTTCATACTTAAACATTGCAGTCACCAAGTAGATTGAGTCTCAGAAAGGGAAAAGGGGAAAACAGACTAGAGTAAAATGGAAAGTGAGCCCAATGAGAAGCCAAGAAATCAGAGAGAGATGGTGCAAAGGGATGCTTAGCCCTGTTCTAGAGAATTTTCATGTTAAAAATATGAGTGCCTATACACAAAGACTAGTTCTGTTCTTGAATCCCCTGTTCGCTAATTATGTTCTCTGATGTCAGGATAAAATGTCAGCACAGGGGGACCAAACTGTGTTGCTAATTGGTGTGAGGGTAGAGGAACTCCTGGCAGGAAGTAGTCTAGGTTGGTAGGTAGCAGGGATAACTATGGAAGCAAATGACTTGAGAATCTGAGCAAAGGCTAAACAGTATAACATAAAGAAAACTAGATTTAAAATAGTTAATCTTAAACTCTAGTTATGGTGTTAACCCTAACTACTGAATGACCCTGGGCTCAAGTTTGAGATGTTGGGAGGCAGAGCAGTGCTGAACAATAGAGAGGCTAATGTCAAACAGAAGTGAAAGACAGCTCCTGGGAGGAATGGCTCACACCTGTAATCAAGCACTTTGGGAGGCCAAGGTGGGAGGATCCCTTGAAGCCAGGTGTTCGAGACCAGCCTAGCCAACATAGCAAGACACTGTCTCTACAAATAAAATTAATTAGCTGGGCATAGTGGCACATACCTGTAGTCCCAGCTATTTGGAAGGCTGAGGCAGGAGGATTGCTTGAGCCCAGGAGGTCAAGGCTGCAGTGAGCTGTGATTGTGCCATTGCACTCCAACCTGAGCAACAGAATGAGACCCTATCTCTAAAAAAAAAAAAAAAAAGGAAAGAAAGGTAGTAGGATCTCCCACATTACAAAGAACTGTGAAATAAGATAGCTGTGTGGGAAGATGGGAAGATGGCTCATATACTACACAGATAGAGCTTACTTCACACAACAGATATGCTCTGATAGTTTGTAAATTTATTTTGGATTAATCAAATCATTTTAATTGTCCTAAGAACATATACTATTTTAAAGACCCCTATAGAGAACAATTATCCTGTAATTTAATTTTTTAATAAATACATTTATATATTGAGTTTGCTAGAAGACATAAAACCTATGTATTGTATGAAGTTCAGTCATACAAAGCTGACCACTAAAAATTGTTAACAGTCATTACTGTATATAACATTCTGGAGGTCCTAGCTAGTGAAATTAAAGACAAGTGATTATTTGATAACTCTCCTTTCCACTAAGTATATTTTTACTCACATCCCTAGTGCCAAGCTCAGCACTCATTTTTTTGTTGCATTAAATGAATAGTAATAGCTACCAGTGCCAAGTACTATGTTAAATGCATTATTTATATTTCGTTTCTTTTTTTGAAGTGGAGTCTCTCTCTGTTGCCCAGGCTGGAGTGCAGTGGTGTGGTCTCAGCTCACTGCAACCTCCGCCTCCCGGGTTCAAACGATTCTCCTGCCTTAGCCTCCCGAGTAGCTGGGATTACAGGTGCCTGCCACCACGCCTGGCTGATTATTTTTGTATTTTTAGTAGAGATGGGGTTTCACCATGTTGGCCAGGCTGGTCTCGAACTCCTGACCTTGTGATCTGCCTGCCTCAGCCTCCTGAAGTGCTGGGATTACAGGCGTGAGCCAACGTGTCTGGCCACATTATTTATATTTCATTTAATCTTTTCACTTTAGAATTGTGTAATTACTCCAGTTTTACAGATGTGGAACAGGAAGCTCAGAGATCAAGTGCTAGTAAATGACACTGTGTTAGATGGCAGATGCAAAGAATTACAAATGGATTCTGTACTTAGAGTTTTTAGTATACTAAAAGCTCTAAGTGAACATGGAAAATGTTAGCCTACTGTTCATGTGTAGTTATTACAGCATTGATGTTTGGTCTCATATACCTTTATTGCACGGATGTACCACTATTTTGGTGTAATACAGTTATTTTGGAATTAAAAAAAATCAGAATCACTTGCATGTTGAGATGTGCCCAGCTAGTTATTAGAGTTTCAGATGTAAAAATGTCACTCTTCTATAATTCCATAATTTTCAAGAAGATGAAGAAAATAATGGGTAAAATATGGCTCTGTAGCAGAATACTTTTTTTTTTTTTAAAGTGCTTTACCATTTACCAGTCTTTCACATACATTCTCATTTGACCCTCACAACAACCCTGTAAGGTAGGCAGCATAGGTGTTCTCATTTGACAGTTGAGGAATGTGAATCTCAGAGCAGGTAACTGATAATAATAATTCTTAATTCAAAGACTTTCTGAATAAGTAAATCTCAACTATTGACCTTGCCTTCTGTTTTACTGAAAATAAACAGAAGCAATCGTAGGAGAATTTCCACGTGCTCCTACTACCACATCTACCAAGCTGTTTAGACCTATGCCCACTTACTTTGCCTTCTCTCCTGTTACTGTAATTGAACTGCTCATGCTCTTAGCAAAGGCTCAGTGCTCATTGCTCCAGCAATGAACACTGCTTCTACACTTAAGTGTTTTCTTTTCTTTCAGATCATTTCCATTAGCAAGAAAATCATATTATTTCTTTTATCTTAAAAACCACCCTCACTTGACCCCACTCTTCTCTTTAGCTATTTTTCATATCCTTTCTCTCCTTTCAAGCAAAATTCCTTAAAAGTGATGTCCATGCTTACTGTCTTCAACTTCTATCTAATCTTTTGGAACCCATTTCAGTCAGGCTCTTACCCTCATTATTTCAACAGAACTGCTCTTAAGACAGTCAATGATCTGCATGTTGCTAAAGTGGTCAGTTTTCAGTCTTTTTACTACTTTTAATAGCACCTGACAAAGTGGAACACTTTCTCCTCCTTGAAATAATACATTATTCATTTGGCTTCTTTTTTCTTCCCCCCAAATGTTGGCTTTTAATTTTGCTTGTTTTGTTTCATGTCTGTAACAGTGGGTACCTGGGATTTGATTTTGCCCATTCTTTACTCCCCTATCACTTTCTTTTCATCCAAGAAAGCCTGATTTGGATAATCAGTGTAAGTCAAAGTGTTCAAACTGAGTGTATAGTTTGTCAAGTAAATTTCAACTCTTACAGTCTGAAATGTTACAAAGTTAGGCTGTAGTACATGTTTGGCATCTCATTTTTCATCATACTTAATTTGTCACTGCATTCGATAGAGGAAAGCAGAACAAATAAGTTTTCACTAACCAACCACATGACAGAGATTTTTGACTCCAGGCCTGGTGGAAATTCAGAAAAAGAGAAAATCATATAAGGGAATGAGGCTCCTTAGAAGACCTTGGAAGATCTTGTTAACAGGTCAACCTAACTAGCCATAAACGCCCTGAATTCAGGACTAAGATTTTCATCACTGTAGTGATCTTCATTTGTCTTCTTATAAATTATGCCACACTTTTCTAGTTTTACTTGTACCTCACTGGTCACTCCTCAGTGTCCTTTGCTGGTTCTTCATCAATTCCTTGACCTCTGAATATTGGTGTGCAACAAGGCATAATTGCAATCATGTCCAGGGTAATTTTTTTATCGTGTATCTTCAGCAGGACCACTACTATTAATTCCAGACATATGTATTTAGTTGCCTACTCAACATGTCAACCTGGATGTCTTAAGGACATCTCAAATTTAACTGTCTAAAGCCAAAACTTTTTTCTTCCCATTGCCCAAACTTGATCTCTTATTTTAGTTAAAAGCAGTTTCATCCTTCTAGTTCATGGGGCTCAAAATTGATGTTTGTTTTTCTTTTACAACCCATGCTCAAAATATTAGAAAATTTTGTTAACATTACCTTCGGAATATATCCAAAATCTTAACCACTTTTCACTACCCTGCTGCTTTTACTCTGGACCAAACTAGCTCATCTCTGGTCTGGATTATTGCAGTAGCCTCCTTAAAAGGTCTCTCTTGCTCTGAGTTCGGGGTGTGTGTGTGTATGTGTGTATTGTGTGTGCGTGTAATTTTTGTTTTGTTTGTCTTTTTTAAAAAGAAAAAGCCTGTAGCACCCAGTATACCCAAGCAGTCTCCCATCCAAATACTAACCAGGCCTGACCCTGCTTAGCTTCCAAGATCAGTCAAGATCAGATGTGTTCAGGGTTGGTGGGTCTGTGGACCTTGAGCTAGTTTTTAATCAACATGGAAACTCCAGTGATCTATTTAAAAACTTGCATTGGGTCATGCCAGGTTTATTGGAGGTTATACCCTCCAATGTATTTCCAACTCAGGGTTAAAGCCAAGGTCCTTATGGTGGAAGATGGGGCATATAAACTGGCATTCTGGCGCTCACACACTCCAATATCTACTACTCTCCCCTCTTGCTCGCTCAGCTGTGGCTTGCTTATTCAGCTTTTTGCTCTTCCTGGAATACATCAAACATATGTAGGCCCAGGGTTTTAACCATTTTAACAACTGAACTTGTAACTGCACTAGTTCTCCAGGTAAGCAGAAGTATTAGGGTTATGGACAGTTTATCCGAAGTAATAACCAGGAATGCCTAATAAAAACATGCAGGTATTGTGGTAAAAAATAGAGTTGGTGAACAAGGAGTTACCTTCTGACTGTTTCTCTTTTAGTGAAGTAGGAGGCAAGGTTATTAGCTAAGAGTGAGATGGTTAGGAGATGGTGTAAATTTAAAGGAAAAGAATAAGGTATGAGATAGTTGGCTAGGATAATGAAGTAGTGAATGGTTTTGAGCTAAGTAGTATTAAAGTCCCTTAGGTAATAGACATGAATTTCAAAGCACAACTAGCCAACCTGGTTCTTTCTTTTCTTTTTTCCAACTTTCTTCAGCAGCATGAGGAAGGGTTAGTAAAAATCTAACCATAAATCAGGGTTGAAATTTGGCAAAGCTAGAGAGGGGCAAGGACAGTGAGTATATTTGGAAGGAGTGATTATAATGACGGCTTAGGGAATCCAAGCTGTATAAAGGTGGATATGACGACAGGAGTGGGTGAAGGATAATAATAATGATGTGTTGGGAACAATGGGTTGTGGTCTCTGTGGGGCCAAAAAATTGTTGGACTTGGGGTATTTCAGGGAGTGACTTGACAGGGTAGCTGTCTGAGAAAGATATTCTTGAAATTTATTGCAGGGAAGTGGAGTGGGAGAAACAAGATTGACATTCTTCCTACTTCATAAGGCAGTTATTGCTATTGACAATGGAGATGACCATGGGAATGACTTACTAAGGTGGAGTGGAAGTGAAAATCACAGAGAAGTTAAAAAAAAAATTGCAGTAGGGTATTGGAAAGATCGTTTGGGTAGATTTTGAAGTCACTACAACCTTAATTTAAATTTAAGAAAAAATTAAATGAAAAGACTTGGAGGAGTTTCCCAAATATGCGAGTTTTCCCCTATCTTTAAAAAAACAACACCATGAGAAACCAAAAATAACTAAATTGATTTTTTAAAAATTCTACAATATTTCTCAATTTTCTTTGAGGATAGACATGGTTGATCCTGAATGGAAGTTGGTGTTTTAGCTCTATGAGACTGAAACAAAAAGTTTCTGCAGTCCATAAGAGTTAAAGAGGGAGAAAAGTCAGTTGTGTTAGATCTTTAAAAACATTTTTGGTGGTAGTTTGGTATTCAGAAGTGCTGGAGGAACTTTGGCAGAAAGTCAGAGCCATAGAGCAAGTCCAAACTAGGACAGCAAAGTCATTATTCTGCTTTTTAGTGAAGAAAGTATTTTTAAAATGATGATGACACTTGGTTTTTTACCAAAAAGTACTTTATTGGTACTTCATTTGGATGCAAGGCTGTATCAAAGTAATTGGGAAAACAAGGATTGAATATTAAATAGTGACTTCTAAAGTGATACATAAAATAGTTTTTTTTAAATTAAATTACATTAAAGACATACAGATAAAAGCAAGAAGACTGAGTAAACATAATATTTATTGCCTCACATTACTATACGGTAGAACCTTGTAGCAACATATAATTCGAGTTATACTACATAATGTGGACATTTATGTTGGTGCTGATGCCAGCTTTAATTTAGAATATTTTCCTTGTGTTTCCAAGTAAATACAGTAAAATAACTTTAAATATTTTACAAAATTAAAAAAGAATGCCCAAAGGAAACAGAAAATGAGCTTTCTTGAGTTTACATATAAGATGATAAGATTTAAATTAGAGCTCACCACTGATACAGAGATTCATTTCACACAAGCTATGGTAAGAATGAATGTGTTGGAAAAGGAAGTGAGAGGATATTTAAGACAAGGAAATGAGGAAGTTGAACTCTGAGTAAGTCCAACTAGCTGAAATTACTAACTAGTAATTTATTCCAGGTTCTATCTGGAATAAATCCATAGGAATAAGAACAGTGCTAAAGGTAGAGAGAATAGGGAAGTGATGCCTCTTTGATGACTTAATATTCTTCTTTATTTCTAACTTACAGATGATTTCAGAATACTGCTCACCTTCACTCCTTTAGTTTGTCATGATCTTTTCCCTTGACCTTTTCCATAGTCCCAAAGTATTTGCTGATGTGGAGCCAGGAGGATGTATGATCTCAGGCTTTGAAACTAAAGAGGTTGGAAGATGTTACTTTTGATAATCTAAGACTTCATGACTTTGATTCTTACATTTTATTATTTACTTAATTATTTTTAAGAGATTGGGTTTTGTACTGTCACCCAGGCTGGAGTGCAGTGTGCGATCATGGCTCACTGCAGCCTCAACCTCCCAGGCTCAAGCAATCCTCCCACCTCAGCCTCCAGAGTAGCTGGGATTACAGGCATGGGCCATGATGCCTGGCTACTTTTTTTAAAAAATTATTTTTTTTAGAGATGGTCTTGCTGTGTTACCCAGGCTGGTCATGAACTCCTGGACTCAAGCAATCCTCCCACCTTGGCCTCCCAAGTGTTAGGATTACAGGCGTGAGCCACCATGCCTGGCTGATTCTTATATTTTAATTTAAAAACTTTCTACTTTATATTGTGGTGATTAAAACCATTCCTTGCTTTCCAGCCTTCTTCTCTCATGTTTCTGGAATTGTTTGATCACTAATAGTGTGACCACTAAAGAAAGGCTGAATGACTTTTTTTTTTTCCCACCCCAAAGAGACAGGGTCTTGCTCTGTCACCCAGGCTGGAGCACTGTGGCATGATCACAGCTCTCTGTAACTTTGAACTTCTAGGCTCAAGCTGTCCTCCCATCTCAGCCTCCCCGGTAGCTAGGACTACAGGCATGTGCCACCATAACCTAGTATAAAAAAATTTTCGTTTGTTATCCTCCCACCTGGGCCTCCTAAAGTGCTGGAATGATAGGCATGAGCTACTGCCAGGTCACAGTTGTTAAAAAGAAGAGAATTTGTTTCACTTGTAGCTAAACTTGTATTATATTTTACCTTTATGGTGCCTTTTAAAGCTGATTGCTATTTTTTGAAGTTGGCTTTTATTTATTTTAAAAGTATAGTACAACCTTAAATATACTTAACACAATTATAGGCTTCTGTTATGTTTTCTACTTGTACAGTTCTATTTTGAGTTTTAAATCAACATTAACAATTAAACATTGTATCCATATATCCAGTTTTTGTCAGTTATAAAATAAATTTAAAACTTTAAAAAATGGTATCTAAATAATTTTTATAATTTGTAACTTATCAGTAACTGAAAAATGAAATTTGATTAACTTTCTCAATATTCTGATTAGCTGAGCTTTTAGACATTTGTTATGGTGACCAACTCTCAAAATACCTTTTGGAGAGAGCTAATACATAGATATAGTCTAAGGTTCTATCCAGTGGAATCACAGCACGCATGATTTTGAGTACTGGAGAAAATAAGAATGACATTTAGTTTTTAAAAACAATCTGATACAGGTCTTAGATATCTATTTTTTAGATGAAGTAATTTTTCTTTGAGAATCCTGAAAGAGCTTGAAAAGTGATAAATAGAAAATGAATTCTTTATGGGAACCAGTGGTGGAGGAGATAACAACAAGAAGAGAAAAGCCAGTAAAACCATATTAGTAGGGTAGGTAGGAAGGACTTGATAAAAATTAGATAAAGGATAATGCATTATTTAAATGCATGGGTCTTCAAAGAAGAGCACACAAGATGATCCACTGACATAAGGAGAAAAGAGCTTAGAACTTCTGTTTATATGTTATCTAAAAAATAAGAAATGGGATACTTTACTAGTATTTAAAATGTGAGTTGATACTGGTGTCTTGTCTTGGACTTAGAAAGTTTCCTATAAAGAAACCATGGATTGGGCTGGGTGTGGTGGCTCACGCCTATAGTCCTGGTGCTTTGGGAGGCCCAAGTGGGAGAATTGCTTGAGACTGGGAGTTTGAGACCAGACGGAGCAACAAAGCAAGACCCCGTCTTTACAAAATATTTTTAAAAATTAGCTTAAGCCCAGGAGTTCGACGCTGCAGTGAGCTATGATGGTGCCACTACATTCCTGGGTGAAAGAGCCAGATCCCATCTCTTAAAAACCTAAAAAATAAAATATAAAAAAGAAACTGTGGATTAAATATAATATTTTAATGTGAATATAGGCAAACGATAAGAAATGGCCAGGTTGATGCTTCTTAATGTGTTTGAGAATAAAACGTAAACAATGTTTATTAACAAAGAAAGATATAATGTCTATATAATCATATGGATTAGAGGTGACCTTCCCCCTCTAAGAAATTATTGAGAAGGTTATTTGAAATGGCACTTTGGGAGGCCAAGGCAGGAGGATCGCTTGAACTCAGGGGTTTGAGACTAGCCTGGGCAACATGGCAAAACCGTGTC
The DNA here is from genome assembly GCF_000001405.40 of Homo sapiens. Taxonomy (NCBI): domain Eukaryota; kingdom Metazoa; phylum Chordata; class Mammalia; order Primates; family Hominidae; genus Homo; species Homo sapiens. The sequence continues at coordinate 93,493,096 of NC_000001.11, forward strand.
TCTACTAAAAATACAAAAATTAGCTGGGCTTGGTGATATGCGCCTATAGTCCCAGCTACTTGAGAAGCTGAGCTGGAAGGATCATTTAAGCTCAGGAGGTCGAGTCTGCAGTGAGCCATGGGGCATCTCTGTAGTCCTAGTTACTTGGGAGACTGAGGCTGGAGGACGGCTTAAGCCCAGGATTTCGATGCTGCAGTGAGCTATGATGGTGAATGCATAGGTGAACCACAGGAAATTTATTTTTGGTGGAGGGGTGAAGATTTTTTTACTGTGTAAAATACATAATGTAAAATATACCATCTTAACCATTTTTAAATGTACAGTTTAGTGGCATTAAGTGCGTTGATACTGTTGTACAACCATCACCACCATAAATCTCCAGAATGATCTTCATCTTGCAACTCTACACTCATTAAATAACTCCCCATTCCTTCCTACCCCTGTTCCCTGTCAACTACCATTCTACTTCCTTCTCTCTGGTTTTGACTATTGTAAGTACCTCGTGTAGGTGGAATCATACAGTATTTGTCCTTTTCTGTCTTATTTTACTTAGCATGATGTCTTAGATATTTATCCATGTTTTGTAGCATGTGCCAGAATTTCCTTCCTTTTTAAGGCTGAATAATATTAATTGTATTTATATACCACATTTTATTTATTCACTTATTTGTTGATGGACAAGTGGGTTGCTTCCATAATGCTGCTATGATATGAATATGGGTTACTGGAAAGTCTCTTGAAATTTTGAACTTAGTGGTGAAAGACGTACACTATTAGAAATATTCTTGCTAAAAGGAAAAAGTGTTCCTTCTGACACCAAACACATGAGTTTTTTCCACTTGAACAACCAGTTTTTCAACTCCCTGGACACTAACTAGATGTCTTACAGTTCAATTTTGTCACTATCTGTCTGGAGTTGGTACAGATCCTACCGTTCAAGGGTTCAGTTCCATAATACCGCCTGGACTTCAAGCATCAATTGCAGGTCCTGGACTTCTGGTACTTGACTGACTTGGCTACAAATCAGGGGTTCCTGTGACCCCCTCCTCCAGTTTGATAATTTGCTGTAATGACTTACAGAACTCAGGGAAACACTTCATTTACTATTACTGGTTTATTACAAAGGATATTATAAAGGACACAGATGAACAGCTAGATGAAGAGGTACCTAGGGTAAGATTTGGAAAGACCCAGGGTGCATGATCTTCTGTTCCTGTGGAGTTGAGATGCACTGCAAGTGGATGTGTTCACCTACCCAGAAGGTTTCCAAATCCATGGTTTAGGGTTTTTATGGGGGCTCCATTACATAGGTATGATTGATTAAATCATTAATTATTGTTGATTAAATTCAGTCTCCATCCCTTCTCTCTTCCCAGGAGGTTTGGGGGTGGGGAGAACTGAAAGTTTCAACCCTCAGATCACATGGTTGGTTCCTCTCCAGCCAGCCCTTGTCCTTCAAAGTCACTGCATTAGCATAAATTTAGGTATGATTGAAAGGGGGTTATTATGAATAACAAAAGATGCTCCTCTTACCCCTGTGACTCAGGGAATAAGGGTTTTAGAATCAGGGGTGGAGACCAAATGTATATATTTCTTATTATGTAGCTGTATTAGTCTGTTCGCATACTGCTAATAAAGACATCCAAGACTGGATAATTTATAAAGGAAAGAGGTTTAATTGACTCACAGTTAGTTCCACATGGCTGAGGAGGCCTCACAATCATGGCGGAAGACAAATGAGGAGCAAAGTCACGTCTTACATGGGAGCAGGCAAGAGAGCATTGGCATTTGCAGGGGAACTCCCCTTTATAAAACCATCAGATCTCATGAGACTTATTCACTCTCATGAAAACAGCAAGGGAAAAACCTGCCCCCATGATTCAGTTACCTCCCGTGAAGTCCATCCCATGACATGTGGGGATTATTACAATTTGAGGTGAGATTTGGGTGGGGACACAGCCAAACGGTATCAATCATTAGCACTAACTCTTCCTTTTATGGTGAAAATAGTGATATGTGTAAAATATGGCAATAAAATAAATTATCTCAGCAAATACTCTTAGGCCACATGGAAAAATAGAAATATTTTTTAGGAGAGATTTCACATGGAAAGTTTGTTGTACAGTTTCATTAAAGTACAGAAGTTTCCAACATTTCTCAGCTTATGTCTAGATTGTTTCAATAATGAATAATGTTTCAATAAAGTAGTTATATTTAAAACTGCCTTTTTGTGACCCACTAAAGGAAAGATGTGTTGAGAAAGATTTATTCTTAACAGTAAATGTATTAACCACTGATAAAGTAGTGTGTTGGCTGGAATTTTAAAAAGGAAATTGGAATAAGGTTGGAATTTATTCACTTCATTTGTAGGTATGCAAAGAAAACTAAAGCAGGAAGTCCACAGAATATTAAGTTATATTTTTATTATGGTTAGTTTTATAAAAACAATACCTTTAAGGCTATTTACAGTGTTTCCAAATGAAACAGGGAGAGACAATTGAAAAATCTTTGTTTAATACAGGTTGGCTATTTATCTTCTGGCTGTTTCAAATTTGTTGACATTTTTCTTTAACTAGTATGCTTACCTACCAGGTATTTTTGAGAAAATTTAATCTGTCCCTTCAAGATAAAAGAGAAATTTTAATGGTGACTGAATATCTGCTTTTCCAAAGAAATTTGAGCTATATAGAAAGCATTTTGATGATGAATGTTTGGAAATGTATTCATTATATAATTTTGTTGCTGAAAATGATCTGTGTCATGTGCAAATATTATTTTGTCTGTACACTTAAAATTCTTAGAAACAGAAATCTTTTACTTGTTGTAAAGTCAGTGTTTTAGAGACAGGTAATCAACAGGATATATACATGTATAGAGAAAAATTTCTTTTAAGAAATTGACTCGTGATTGTGGAAGCTTGGGATCTGCAGGATAGGCCCAGGGAACAGTTGTAGTTTCAGACCAAAGTCAGTATTCTGGCAGAATTCTTTCTTGCTGGGGGAAGGCCAGTCTGTTCAATGAAAGCCTTCAACTGATTAGATGAGGCCCACCCACCCCTTTTGGAGCATAATCTGCTTTACTTAAAACACACCTATTTAAATATTAATTTTTTCCTTCCCTCTTACCCTCTCCCCCTCCCCACCTCCCCCTTCCTTCTCCTCTTTTTCCTTCCTTTCCTGTGGACAGGATCTCACTGTCACCCAGGCTGGAGTGCAGTGACACAGTCACAGCTCACTGTAACTTGAATTCCTGGACTCAAGGGATCCTCCCACCTCCGCCTTTCACCTGGCTAATTTTATTTATTTATTTATTATTAATATTTATTTTTGAGATAGGGTCTTGCTCTCTTACCCTGGCTGAAGTGCAGTGATCACGGCTCACTGCAGTCATGACCTTCTGGGCTCAAACAATTCTTCCACTTCAGTCTCCCAGGTAGCTGGAACTACAAGCATGTGCTAACATGCCTGGCTAATTTTTAAATTTTTTTTGTTAGAGATTGGGTCTTAACATGTTGCTAAGGCTGGTCTTGAACTCCTGAGCTCAAGAGATTCTCTTGCCTCGGCCTCCCAAAGTGCTAGGCTTACAGATGTGAGCCATCTAGCCTTTTTTATGTTTTGTAGAGACAGGGTCTTGCTGTGTTGCCCAGGCTGATCTCGAACTCCTGGCCTCGAATGAGTCTCCCATCTGGGCCTTCCCAAGTGCTGGGATTATAGGCATGAGCCACTGTACCTGGCCTAAATGTTAATTTCATCTAAAAAACACCTTCACAGAAACATCCAGAATAATGTTCGACCAAGTAAACATTTGGGCACAGTGGCACAGCCCAGATGACACATAAAATTAATCATCACAATTAGTTTCAGTGGGGTTTGAACTTTTTTTTGAGACAGAGTCTCGCTCTGTCACCCAGGCTGGATTGCAGTGGCACGATCTCGGCTCACTGCAAGCTCTACCTACTGGGTTCATGCCATTCCCTGCCTCAGCCTCCCAAATAGCTGGGACTACAGGCATCCGCCACCACGCCTGGCTAATTTTTTTTTGTATTTTTAGTACAGACGGGGTTTCACCGTGTTAGCCAGGATGGTCTCGATCTCCTGAACTCGTGATCCGCCCACCTCGGCCTCCCAAAGTGCTGGGATTACAGGCGTGAGCCAGTGCACCTGGCCTGAACTTATTTTTTAAAAATAAAAAGTTGTAATATTTTCTGATTTAGTTTAGTTTACAAAAATAACAAATTGGCATCAAATAAATTTATTGGCCAAATTTTAACATAAACCTTTGCATATTGGCAGGTGGGTTGAAAAATGAATTAGAAAATATAGCAACAGTAAATTTTTTGCATTGATGGTGTCTTTATATCTTTATGTGGTGTCTTTTGTTTCCCTAGCTATGGCAACAACTAGAAACTAGATATCATAGTTTAGAACCAATACCTTCAGATTACTTTACCATTAAGTGTTCAACTAGGAGTTTATAAATAATAAAGCATATTTGATTATTGCCCTCACTAAAAATATTCTTAATAATATATACATATTTTTTGAGACAGAGTCTCACTCTATTGCCCAGACTGGAGTGCAGTGGCATGATCTTGGCTCACTGCAACCTCCGCCTCCTGGGTTCAAGCAATTCTCCTGCCTCAGCCTCCTGAGTAGCTGGGACCACAGGTGCGTGCCACCACGCCTGGCCAATTTTTGTATTTTTAGTGGAGACAGGGTTTCACCATGTTGACCAGGCTGGTCTCGAACTCCTGACTTCAAGTGATCCACCCACCTCGGCCTCTCAAAGTGCTGGGATTACAAGTGTGAGCCACTGCGCCCGGCCATAATATTTTAAAAGTCATTGCTCAAAGGCTTTTGTTTGTCAAATATGTTAAAAAAAAAAACTGTTTAAAAATAATGTTCATTTCATTTTCATCTCTTTTTAAAATTTCTATTGTGATTTCATAACTACGTAATTCAATAGTATATCATTTAATATATAAATAACTACATATAATTGTTTTTGTTCAGGTTTTTTACTGATGGGGTTTGGAATTTAAAATTTGGAGACTTAATCTAGAGGATAAAGAAGTGTAATATAAAATTTGGTGAAGAAGATTGTGGGAAGAGAAGCCTTTGAAGCAATTTAGAAAAATAAAGGAAGATTGTTTCAGCTTTGAAGTGTTGTTGTTTTTTTTGTTTGTTTGTTTTTGGAATTGTTTTTCATTGATTGTGTTTTAGTTTCAGTTTGATGAAAATTCTAATTTACAGTAGTTTATATTATGCAGATTGAGTTTACTGAGCAGTGCATTTTCTTGCTGTATTCAGATATATTTTGAAAACCAGATGATAATCAGAAAGTTTCGTGGAAGAATAGAGTGGTAACTTGCTTTTAGGAGTAGAATTTTTTTTGATGGTTTAAGGTAGAGAAAGAGATAAAAGGCAAAAGGAGATAATTTGTTTGTAAATAACGTGACTAAACCACAAGTGATTTTAAAACAACCTGTAATTATGGAAAGGGATGATACTTGAATTTTTTTCAGCATTGCAGACTTGATATAAGAGGGGGAGACAGCACCAAGTTATTAGTCAATTTGGAGCTTGTTCTTAAAGCAAGGGAAATGATGGTTTCTGTGGCAGGAGGTGGCATCTTTGAGAACTGAAAGAGCCTTGTAGGACAGTGGTACTCTATTATATGTCATTATCATGTTTCCTGCATTGCAGAACATGTTTAATAACATCACCACAGTCCTATTTAGGTGGGTGATGGGACTTCCATTTTAAGATGGGAAAACATTCAAGGAGCCTTGTTAGCTTGCCCAGTTTCAAACATCTCGGAAATGGCAGATCCCAGAATTTGAACTCAGGTATGTTTGATTTTGTCCAGTTAAATAATTCTTCACTGAGTACCTGCTATGGTGCCAAGCATGGTGCTTAGGCTGTGGGGGTTCAGAGTTGAATGACACATGATTCTGGCCCTCAATATAGTATAGCAAATGAATAAGATAGTAATTTTAGGGAGGCTTGGGGACCTGGAGAAAGTCTGAGAGTTTAGGACCATTTTCTGGCAGACATAATGCCTGAACAGAATCTCAAAGGCCAGGATAGGGGGGATTTGGGGAAGAGTTGACTGCAAAAAGCTGATCAGGGGAGGGTGTTGCAACTGGGAGAGCCATGTTTGTAAAGACGTTCAGACATAAAGTAGCATGATTTATGCTTAGGGACGACCTATTTCTAGGTCTTAAAGGGTGAAGTGGGGGAGCTAGTAGAAGAGCCTGGGTTTTTCCTTTTATACCTCATTGCTTCTCTGTACAAATACCAGAAGCTGTTAAAAATATCTGTGGATAAAATTTTAGACTTTTGAAAATGCATTTTTATCTTCCTTTTCCAGGATCAGTTCGACAGCTTAGACAAGCATACACAATGGGGAATTGACTTCTTGGAAAGATATGCCAAATTTGTTAAAGAGAGGATAGAAATTGAACAGAACTATGCGAAACAATTGAGGTAAGTTAATTTTTTTTTCAGTTTTTAGAATGAAATTACATGTTTAAACAGTTGAATATTAGAGGAATGTGATAGTCCAGAGGTTAAATTCTATGTTTTTCATCAGAATTAGATTGAATTAGGTAACCGGTTTGTTTTAATGATTAATTAAGTCATTGGCTAGTACAGTACCACAAGGAATATTGACTAGCTGGATCACAAATAGCTTTCATTCCAGAAAGACACTTAAAAATCTGAAAACTGGGGAGCAAAATGCCGGGAAAAAGAAATATCTGCGTGTTATTCTGTGTTTTATACTTTTATTCCTCTCTAACTTTTTGCTTTAGTCATCTTTTCAAAGTATTGAATATTTCTTCAGAGTTTTTTTCTTCAGAGTTTGTAAGACTTGGAAATAGAGTGTGTGCTGAGCTGAGTTTCTTTCTGTCAGTATTCAGTTACATATTATGAATGAATGTGATTTTAGAATATGTTTTGGAAGATAAAAGTTTTAAAGAGAAAATTTTAGTCTTAAAACTAATGGACTTTGTTGACAAGTAGTTGCTGGAACTTATTCAGTAAAAATGGTGCTTGAAGTCTGAAGACTAGACACCAGTATAAAGTTTTAGCTGTAGGGTTTAGGATAAAAAAGTGTCCTGAAGTGACAAAAAATCCAACCTAAACAGGCATACATGACTACAAAGTCCAGGCATATTTTGATTCAGGGGTCAAATAATCTTCAGGCCCCATTTCTTGGCTGTGCTCCCTCTTGTTCTTTTTATTCTCAGGTTCCATTCATACCATCCTCCGTGTTCGTTTAGCTCTAGGTTTTACATCTTCATACCCCCATATCCTGGAGAAGAATGATGGTCTTCTCTATTGTACCTTTGGGGAGAAAGGAAGGGAGGGAAAGAGGAAGTGGGGGAATGGAAGAAGAGGAAGAGGGATGGAAGTAAGGGAAAATGCAAGCCTGCACCAAGCTTCTTTTCTCCAGAAATACTAGCAGAGGGTCTCCTTTAGTCATACTGACTTTGGTTAGGTTATGTGTTTATCCTAAACAATTTACTAATACTGACTTATAGCTAATGATGGGGGAAGGATAGTTACTTAAAATTAATTTAAACTAGTGGTCCCAGAAGGAAGGGGGAGTTACTTGAGTGCCTCATATATCCACATAATAGTGCATGTAACCAACTGACTGGATGTAGGGATGGAATAGACTAGAGTAATAAAAAGCTTGCTTATAATATTTTTATAATGATAAACACTATTATATTTACTGAATAATGGCATTATGCTAATTTCCTAATCCGTTTCCCTCCTGTTTGTTTAAACAAGGTATTTTCCACATGAGAGTATAAACAGGGAGCCTATTAGTATATTAATAATCACAGTGATGATGTTTCATCTGTCCAAAAGTTAATGATCTGGGAAACTTACCTCTCTAGAATCTAGGAGAGCATGAAATGGCCTCTGAGAGATTAAAATAGCAGCTACCAGATGTATTCTTGTGTGGCAAATAAAAATTCTATTTAAATTTTAATTTGATCTCAATTTTAGCACATTAAATTCTCAGATTTCTATTGGAAAATTCTCAGTTTTTCCAATAGAAATGAGAAAAAGTGCTATAGGTAATACAGTGATGGCAGTGTGAAGGGACAAACAATAAAGGAAAAGGTTTAAAAATTACAAAAATAGATGAAATTTACTGCAGGAGTGCCCTAGCTCATTTTATGTTGCCATAACAGAATGCCTAAGTCTGGGTAATTTATAAAGAAAAAAGGTTTATTTAACTAATGGTTGTACAGGCTGGTAAGTTCAAAGGCATGCCCCCGGCTTCTGGCACAGGGTTTTGATGTGTCAAAGGGGAAGCGTGGATGTATGAAGAGAGAAAGAAAACCTGAAGGGAAACTGACTTTTTAAAAACCCACTCTCAAAAAGTGATCCAGTCTTATTAGAGTGAGAACGCAACTCACTACCAAAAATGACACCAAACCACTATCCATGAGGGCGGATCCCTCATGACCCAGACACCTCCCATTAGGCCCTATCTCCCAACACCACCACTTTGGGAATCAAATTTCAACATGAGTTTTGGTTGGGGTCAAACAAACCATATCCAAACCATAGTGAGAAGTGAATCTACTTCTAGGGCCCCAAGAGAATCACTGTATTATACAGAGTGAAAAAGTAAATACTGGTAAGAATGATCCTGCACCTTCAAGAAAATAATCAGATTATTTTAAAGAAGGCAGAGAATATAACAGTGTTTCTCAAAATGTTTAAAAAGTCTAATCTGTCCTTTAATCTAGCATTTTCATTTCTAAACTTTCCTGCAGAAAAATACAAGTGAGCAAAGGTGTTTGCACAAAACTCTTCATTGCAGGAAAAAAAAAAAGTTTCTGGTTGTAAAAGTGCCTGTCAGTAGAAGAATGATGAAAAAGACTGTGGTAGATAAAGTTTTAAAAAAATCAGGTGTACCAGCATTTTAAAATTTAAAAGCCTTATTCATCAGGTTGAATGATGAATGTGCAGTAAGAACTGAATGTACAGTAACATGATTTTATTGCTTACTTGTGTTTGTATATACAGTTACATATAAAATTTGTATGTATTCTGAAGAGGTCTAGAAGAGTACACCCAGATTATGTTACAATGATTACCGTTGTGGAACCAGAGTAGGGAATGATAAGGGAAGGAACTTTTTATTTCATACACTTTTGAATTGTAGTCTTTTCAATGATTGTGTATTACTTTTGTAATTTAAAACACTTGTTAAGAAGAGGATATGCTTCAAAAGAGATTCCTATCACAAATTATAAAATAAAAATTGATAATTTATAAGATTAAAAAAAACTTCAGTAATGTGGAATATTTAACTGTCCAGGACAACTTAGACCTCAAAGCTTTTGAGATGGCCAGGGTTTTGCTAGTGTAACAGGACTCATCTAATCAAATGGCAGACTTGTTTGCCTTCTCTCTGTTCTGAGACTGATAATAACCATTAGAATTTTCACTTACTTGCAAAAAAGGGATTTGAGCTCCAGTTCATTGAAACAAGGGTGGCTAGAACCCACAACTTCATGATATGAAAAGTAGAATTTTGTATTGAGAAAGTGGGTTTTATTATGTACTGATGCTTTACAAAGGTGATTTGAAGGAATGAAGCACACTTAAGGAATTTGGCACATTTCCATTCTAAGGATGATTCTCAATAGCAGCGATTCTCAACAAGGGCAGAATTATTGGAGTGTTGAAGTATGAGGAGTAATGAAGAGTTGAGAGAAGGCATGTTTAATTTGAAATGATCTACATTGAGATTTGCTGCTTTGGATGACTACTTAGTAAATGATTGGATTATCAGCTGCTGTTTATAGTATGTCTTTTATCCAAAGGGAAGAGGTTTGCCTTGTTTGTTTCCTCCTCTTTAATGGGAAAAATTCTTTTGGTTAACTCCCCTTATTTTTGCTAGTGCAGAGGATAATTTCTTTCATAGTGAGGCAGCACTTTTTTTTTTCTCCTAAATAATATTATATTAGTCCATTCTCACGCTGCTAATAAAGACATACCTGAGACTGGGTAATTTATAAGGGAAAGAGGTTTAATTGACTCACAGTTCAGCATGGCTGGGGAGGCCTCAGTAAACTTATAATCATGGTGGAAGGAGAAGAATAAGTGCCAAGCGAAGGGGGAATCCCACTGTAAAACCATCAGATCTCGTGAGAACTAACTCACTGTTGTGAGAACAAGATGGGGGAAACCGCCCCCATGATTCAGTTATCTCCACCTGGTCCCTCCCATGACACATGGGGATTATGGGAACTGTAATTCAAGATGAGATTTGGGTAAGGACACAGCCAAATCATATCAACTATATTCCTGATGTTAAGCAATTACATTTTAAATATATTACAAGATTAAAATTTCTTAATCTTTGGTAATTCCAGATTGTTTTAATCTTTTCTCCCTTTACTCTTCTGTTGTTGTGTTTTGATGGTGTTGGTTTAACTTTATTCTGGTGTTTGATATTGATTTTTGGTTTTGGTTTGAGGATGGGAATAAATAGAAAATAAAGCATCTAATTACATTTGGAGACATAGTTATATGCAATTGAATCATGTCCATTTTGATTGATGGAAAATGGTTACTTCAGATCACTTGGTAGAGTGTTTTTTGTTTGCAAAGATATGCAACTGAAATCAGTCATTCTTTTAATAAACATTGTATTTGTATAACAGATTAAGATTTCTAAGTAAAAAAAGGAGCCATATATATGTGATAAGTTTGTATCATTTTAGTTTTTTCTAGTAAAAGTAATTGTATTAAGTTCTATCATAGAGATAGTGCTGTATGAAATTATATTCCCCAGCCTCCACCCCAGAGCATACATAAATTTTTGGTTCAGATGTGGCAGTATGGTATAGTGGAAGAGAATTAGGCTGGAAGACAGGAAGTGCACAAACTACTCTTATTTTGGCAAGCAGACATCTCTGAATTCCTTTGATCAGAGATTATATTATGTGCATTTCTCTACCCCATACCAAGCCTACCTGGTACCTCTGGAACTGGGTGATTAAATTTAAGTTGAATGAATAAATAATTAAATAATCTGTGTTTCAGTTTAGTTTAGAAATTAGGATTTCTGACCACATGCTGAACCTTTGACTACATAGCAGCTTTCTATTAATACTGGAGTTTGGTGTCGTGTACATCATTGTGATGTGGTCATTAAGTTGGTGTTGTGTACATCATTGTGTCTGCTAAGAACAGTCCTAAATATTTCGGGTAGGCTTAGATACAGAGCAATCCAAATATAGCTAGTCTGTAAGAAGTGCCTTTCACCTCCCGCCATGAGTCTGAAGCCTCCCCAGCCATGTGGAACTATAATTCCAATTAAACCTCTTTTTCCTCCCTGTCTCGGGTATGTCTTTATCAGCAGCGTGAAAACGAACTAATACATAGTCTCTATCTCATTTTACTTTTCTCATACCTCTTTATCAGAATTTGGTTTCTGTGTCACTCTTTTGTCCGGCTGAAAGATTTTGCATTCTCACCAGCAATACACAAAGCTTCCAGTTAGTCCACATCCTTGTTGTTTTGCAAGTAGCCACCCTAATCGGTGTGAGTTGTTATCTCCCTGTGGTTCTGACTTGCATTTCCCTGACCATTTGTGTATCTTTGGAGAAATGTCTATTCAAGTCAGTTTTTAAAATTGAGTTACTTGTTTTTTTGTTGTAGAGTTTTAGGAGTTCTTTGTATATTCTGGATATTAACCCCTTGCCAGATATATGATTTGCACATTCTTTCTCCCATTCTATAGGTTGCCTTTTCATTCTCTTGATTGTGTCCTTCTATGCATTGAAGTTTTAAATTTTGATGTAGTTTATCTATTTTTATTTTTTTTGCCTTTTTGTGTCATATCCAAGAAATCATTGCAAAATCCAGTATCACAAAGATTTTCTCCTATGTTTTCTTCTCAGTTTCATAGTTTTAGGTCTTTGATGCATCTTGAGTTAATATTTGTATGTGTTAAAAGGGTCCAGCTTCATTCTTTTTTTTTTTTTTTTTTGAGACAGAGTCTCACTCTTGTCGCCCAGCCTGGAGTGCAGTGGCGCGATCTTGGCTCACTGCAACTTCCGTCTCCTGGGTTCAAGCTGTTTGAAATGTTTGTTCCTCGGAGCCGTAAAGAAATAGCACTTGAACATAAATTTATTTAGTAAGGCCATTTTTACTTCCTGCAGAAAGGGTACACTCGTGCCACAAGAGTACACCGAACAAAGGAGACAGGGTCATTTATAACCTGAGGCATCCACCCTACTGCTGTGTCCAGTTTCCATTGGCTGGAACGGGACCTCACCCCGATTGGCTAGCAACTTAGAACTTTGTAAAAAGAGGCCAAGGTAGAGGGGAACAAAGGAAGGAGGAAGTAACTTGTGGAATGTTGAGAAAGGTAAAAACACTTTTAAATAAGGAAGAGGAACAGGCTATGACCTAATGCTTGCTTGGACCAGTATAAGCACGCTAGGGTAAATATTTAGGCTAAATTGTGGGAGCTAAGAGCATAAAGTAATGTTGATTTCCTTATTACGGCTAGCAGATATTTAAGAATGTTAGCACAGGTCTTTAAATAAATTTTGCTTCTAAGAGAAGCTACTATTTATTCCTAATTAGATGGGGAGGAAAGTCTTTGAAGAGGAACCTCTACTTTACTTTTTACAAAATGATTCTCCTGCCTCAGCCTCCTGAGTAGCTGGCACTACAGGCACCTGCCACCACGCCCAGCTAATTTTTGTATTTTTAGTAGAGACGGGGTTTTACCATATTGACCAGGCTGGTCTCGGACTCCTGACCTTGTGATCCACCCGTCTTGGCCTCCCAAAGTGCTGGGATTACAGGCGTGAGCCACCATGCCTGGCCCAGCTTCATTCTTTTGCAATGGATACCTTTTATGTTTAATTTTTTTACTATAAGAGAGAAGATTCGTGGCCGAAAGTGATGGAACTCCAGCTTGAGCTAATTTAAGTATAATGAGAAATTTATTTACAATATAAATTTATTGATTTATTGATTTTAATTTTTTATTGAGTTCAAGAAGTGGAATAGTCATACTGCTAGAAGGCTTGGTCTACAGCTAGGTCACAGAAAAAAATAAGGACAGTATCTGAAACACCGCCAAAGCCCTTTGTCTTTTCTTCTTCTTCTTCTTTTGGTGGGTTGGTGGCTTTATTCTTTTAGTGCAGACTGGCTTTCTCCATGTGGCAGGAAATACAGTCATCAACAGTGCCAGTTTTATGTCTTAGAGATTCAGCTCCCATACTGGCCTCAAAGCTGTGTCAGATCCAAAGTCTTACAACTTTCAGAAAGGGATCTCGTTGGCCCAGCTATTTTGTTTTCTATCGTTGGGTCACTTAACTGAGCCCACAAATTTGGGCCATATGTGTTAATCTGGCAGCTCTTAAGTAAGTTAAGAAAAGGGGTACTAGTCAGTGAGTCTCAGGTCTCTAATATTACCCTTTGCTGGAAGAAATGGTATGATTTATATTCCATTTTATAAATAGGATATTGATCACCTCTTAAACAGTGATTAGAACTCAGCCTCTCAAATATTGAAAGGTTGAAAATGTATAGAGGTGATTCTCAGTCTTTTAAGATTTTTGAGATAGTTCACATTCTGGCACTTAGCTGCAAAATGTTTTAATAGAAGTGAATTAATATTTTGAGAAAGTATTTGGAATATTTTGTAATTTTTACTGAAACTCAAAAGTAAATATAAACATGACAAAACTAGAATGGATAAAAAGATTAGAATCAACAACTTAAATATATATTAAAAAGGGTGATATATTTAATATCACATATATAACTAATATGTATAGACTACTATAATCTTTAGAGATGCCCACTAAATTTAGAAGCCTTCTCTGACAACTGAAGGAACAACATTAATTTCTTTTGTATCCAGAGTGCATGAAGCCAAAGTACATAGAAAAACATGGAACACACACACACACACACACACACACACACACACACACACACACACACACACTCTCTCTCTCTCTCTCTCTCTCTCTCTCTCTCTCTCTCTCTCTTTCTCTCCGTCCCTCCCTCCCCCACCCCCCCAAACAATGTATCAGCATATCTATGGAATCTATTATAATTTCTGTAATATGTACTGTGTGTATAAAACTTTGTGTTTCAGTTAGCTCCTGATTTATGACAACATACTAAAAACATGTCTTACACATAAACTGCTATCATAATTGGTGGAAAACCTGGATTTAGAGAGGGGTGAACAGAAAAAGAGCCTAGGGGAAGTAACATTAAGGGCAGATTTCTTAAACTAGATGAATTGTCTAAAATATTTTTAGTTTAGGAACAACCTGAATGCTTTGCACTTACCTATTAAAATTTATTTGAGCTAATAAGCATATTGTGTTAAAACTGCAAAGCAGGGATTTGCGGGACTTACTTAACCATTCATGCCTTTGTATGACTTTTTGTTGACTTTAGACTGTTTTTTCAGAAGGCCCAAATGAGATCAGCTGCTTCGGAAGAATAAATTCTTATTGTATATTTTTATTATTAGTTTTATTTATTTATTTATGAGACGGAGTTTCACGCTTTCTCCCAGGCTGGAGTGAAGTGGTGCGATCTTGGCTCAGTGCAACCTCCGCTGCCCAGGTTCAAGCGATTCTCCTGCCTCAGCCTCCCTAGTAGCGGGGATTATAGGTGTACACCACCGCATCTGGCTAATTTTTGTATTTTTAGTAGAGACGGAGTTTTGCCATGTTGGCCTGGCTGGTCTTGAACTCCTGACCTCAGGTGATCCACCTGCCTCGGCCTCCCAAAGTGCTAGGATTACAGGTGTGAGCCACCACCCCTGGCCTAGTTTTTTTTTTTTTTTTAAATTATGAAAGCATTATATGATCATTATAACATTTAAATTCAAGTCCCTTCCCAGTTCCTCTCCTGAGAAGTGAGTACTATTAATAATTTGGTGTGTTAGCCGGGGCGGTGGCTAACCCCCATAATCCCAGCATTTTGGGAGGTGGAGGCAGGTGGATCGCTTGAGTCCAGGAGTTTAAGACCAGCCTGGCCAACATGGTGAAACCCCATATCTATTAAAAAGACAAAAAAATTAGCCAGGCACGGTGACATGTGCCTGCAGTCCCAGCTACCTGGGAGGCTGAGGTGGGAGGATTGCTTGACCCAGGAGGTGGAGGTTTTAGTGAGCCAAGATTGTGCCACTGTACTCCAGCCTGGGTGACAGAGTGAGACCCTGTCTCAAAATAATAAATTGATGTGTCTTCTTTCAGAGCATATGTTTTCCTAGAAATTTGGATTTGGTGGAAAATGAGAAGAACTTTGTGGACAGTGCTGTAGTTTTTCAGGTTGCAGGGTTGGCTTGAATGGAGTCTTTAGTGACCTGTGTATGGCATCTGAGGGCTCAGGATATTGGGGTTTGGGATGAGTCACCTATAGATGTGTGAGTTTTACATACAGGGAGGCAAGAGGAATTTATTTTTAAAATTGCTTAGGACTACCCTGCATGTTCAAAATACAGTTATTTTCTTCCTCTTCCCCTTACCTCTTGTGTTACATGTGCTCTTCCTCCCAGAAGCTAGAGTTCAAATTAGTGTTATTTATGTGATGTTTAAGCTATTAAAGACTTCTATGGTTACCCTCTGTAGTACTCATAATTCTTCCAAGTATCAGAAGCCTAACTCAGATTGGTTTAAACAAAGAAAGGAATTTACTGGCTTATTTGAGGGAAAAATTTAGGGATCCAGGTACTTAGAGAAGTGTTTAGGATCTTTCTTCTTGGCTTTGCTTTTCTCTGTGTTGGTTTAATTTCCCAGTAGGCTCTTTTTCCGTGGCTTTAAGATTATGTCCTATCAATTTAACAGCTTCAGCAGAAAGAGAGCATGCCTTCCTAAGAATTACAACAGAAATTTTAGGATTGACTTTCATTGGCCTAGATTAATGGACCTGGATCAAATAAATACTCCTGGACCTTAATATGTGGTCACCGTGACCACAGGTTCATAGGCATGACAGTGGAGGAGCTGTATTTTAGGATATGTTAGGCTATACTAGAATGATAAATTCCAAATCCCAGGGACTAAACATAACTAAACATTTATTAACACTCTTAATCATGCAAAGTCAGCTACAAGTTCAGACAGTCCATGTGGTAACTCGAGGATCCATACTGTTCTTATCTTCATCTCATCATTCAACCTCCACAGTTGCTTCAGCAGAGAATGAGGGAGCCCAGAGGGTTGTACACAAGCTCTAAATGCTTCAGCCTGTACTTACACAGAGCTCATAGCCCCATGCAGAATTGGCCACGTCGTTCTACCAAACTGTTAGGGGGCTGGAAAGTGTGTGAAATAACATGGCTTTTTGATGAACAGAAATGCATTTCCACAAGCTGTTACAAAAGAAGGGTAGTGATACAGGTAGGTAAAACGTGTCCCCTACAGACTGGGACCCTAAACAATGTTTAAAATGTTGATATATAAAATGTAGTCAATCGGAGGAGCCAAGATGGCCGAATAGGAACAGCTCCGGTCTACAGCTCCCAGCGTGAGCGACGCAGAAGACAGGTGATTTCTGCATTTCCATCTGAGGTACCGGGTTCATCTCACTAGGGAGTGCCAGACAGTGGGCGCAGGTCAGTGGGTGCACGCACCGTGCACGAGCCCTGCTTGGGCGAGGCATTGCCTCACTCGGGAAGCGCAAGGGGTCAGGGAGTTCCCTTTCCTAGTCAAAGAAAGGGGAGACAGACGGCATCTGGAAAATTGGGTCACTCCTACCCGAATACTGCGCTTTTCCGACAGGCTTAAAAAATGGCGCACCAGGAGATTATATCCCGCACATGGCTCGGAGGGTCCTACGCCCACGGAGTCTTGCTGATTGCTAGCACAGCAGTCTGAGATCAAACTGCAAGGTGGCAGCCAGGCTGGGGGAGGGGCGCCCGCCATTGCCCAGGCTTGCTTAGGTAAACAAAGCAGCCAGGAAGCTCAAACTGGGTGGAGCCCACCACAGCTCAAGGAGGCCTGCCTGCCTCTGTAGGCTCCACCTCTGGGGGCAGGGCACAGACAAACAAAAAGCAGTAACCTCTGCAGACTTAAAAGTCCCTGTCTGACAGCTTTGAAGAGAACAGTGGTTCTCCCAGCACACAGCTGGAGATCTGAGAACGGGCAGACTGCCTCCTCAAGTGGGTCCCTGACCCCTGACCCCCAAGCAGCCTAACTGGGAGGCACCCCCCAGCAGGGGCAGACTGACACCTCACACGGCTGGGTACTCCAACAGACCTGCAGCTGAGGGTCCTGTCTGTTAGAAGGAAAACTAACAAACAGAAAGGACATCCACACCAAAAACCCATCTGTACATCACCATCATCAAAGACCAAAAGTAGATAAAACCACAAAGATGGGGAAAAAACAGAGCAGAAAAACTGGAAACTCTAAAAAGCAGAGCGCCTCTCCTCCTCCAAAGGAACACAGTTCCTCACCAGCAACGGAACAAAGCTGGACGGAGAATGACTTTGATGAGCTGAGAGAAGGCTTCAGATGATGAAATTACTCCAAGCTACAGGAGGACATTCAAACCAAAGGCAAAGAAGTTGAAAACTTTGAAAAAAATTTAGAAGAATGTATAACTAGAATAACCGGTACAGAGAAGTGCTTAAAGGAGCTGATGGAGCTGAAAACCAAGGCTCAAGAACTACGTGAAGAATGCAGAAGCCTCAGGAGCCGATGGGATCAACTGGAAGAAAGGGTATCAGCGATGGAAGATGAAATGAATGAAACGAAGCGAGAAGGGAAGTTTAGAGAAAATAGAATAAAAAGAAACGAACAAAGCCTCGAAGAAATATGGGACTATGTGAAAAGACCAAATCTATGTCTGATTGGTGTACCTGAAAGTGACGGGGAGAATGGAACCAAGTTGGAAAACACTCTGCAGGATATTATCCAGGAGAACTTCCCCAATCTAGCAAGGCAGGCCAACATTCAGATTCAGGAAATAAAGAGAATGCCACAAAGATACTTCTCGAGAAGAGCAACTCCAAGACATATAATTGTCAGATTCACCAAAGTTGAAATGAAGGAAAAAATGTTAAGGGCAGCCAGAGAGAAAGGTCGGGTTACCCTCAAAGGTAAGCCCATCAGACTAACAGCTGATCTCTCAGCAGAAACTCTACAAGCCAGAAGAGAGTGGGGGACAATATTCAACATTCTTAAAGAAAAGAATTTTCAACCCAGAATTTCATATCCAGCCAAACTAAGCTTCATAAGTGAAGGAGAAATAAAATCCTTTACAGACAAGCAAATGCTGAGAGATTTTGTCACCACCAGGCCTGCCCTAAAAGAGCTCCTGAAGGAAGCAATAAACATGGAAAGGAACAACCAGTACCAGCTGCTGCAAAATCATGCCAAAATGTAAAGAACATCAAGACTAGGAAGAAACTGCATCAACTAATGAGCAAAATAACCAGCTAACATCATAATGACAGGATCAAATTCACACATAACAATATTAACTTTAAATGTAAATGGACTAAATGCTCCAATTAAAAGACACAGACTGGCAAATTGGATAAAGAGTCAAGACCCGGCCGGGTGCGGTGGCTCACGCCTGTAATCCCAGCACTTTGGGAGGCCGAGGCGGGCGGATCACGAGGTCAGGAGATCGAGACCATCCCGGCTAAAACGGTGAAACCCCGTCTCTACTGAAAATACAAAAAATTAGCCGGGCGTAGTGGCGGGCGCCTGTAGTCCCAGCTACTTGGGAGGCTGAGGCAGGAGAATGGCGTGAACCCGGGAGGCGGAGCTTGCAGTGAGCCGAGATCCCGCCACTGCACTCCAGCCTGGGCGACAGAGCGAGACTCCGTCTCAAAAAAAAAAAAAAAAAAAAAAAGAGTCAAGACCCATCAGTGTGCTGTATTCAGGAAACCCATCTCATGTGCAGAGACACACATAGGCTCAAAATAAAAGGATGGAGGAAGATCTACCAAGCAAATGGAAAACAACAAAAGGCAGGGGTTGCAATCCTAGTCTCTGATAAGACAGACTTTAAACCAACAAAGATCAAAAGAGACAAAGAAGGCCATTACATAATGGTAATGGGATCAATTCAACAAGAAGAGCTAACTATCCTAAATATATATGCACCAAATACAGGAGCACCCAGATTCATAAAGCAAGTCCTGAGTGACCTACAAAGAGACTTAGACTCCCACACATTAATAATGGGAGACTTTAACACCCCACTGTCAACATTAGACAAATCAACGAGACAGAAAGTCAACAAGGATACCCAGGAATTGAACTCAGCTCTGCACCAAGCGGACCTAATAGACATCTACAGAACTCTCCACCCCAAATCAACAGAATATACAATTTTTTCAGCACCACACCACACCTATTCCAAAATTGACCACATACTTGGAAGTAAAGCTCTCCTCAGCAAATGTAAAAGAACAGAAATTATAGCAAACTATCTCTCAGACCACAGTGCAATCAAACTAGAACTCAGGATTAAGAATCTCACTCAAAACCGCTCAACTACATGGAAACTGAACAACCTGCTCCTGAATGACTACTGGGTACATAACGAAATGAAGGCAGAAATAAAGATGTTCTTTGAAACCAACGAGAACAAAGACACAACATACCAGAGTCTCTGGGACGCATTCAAAGCAGTGTGTAGAGGGAAATTTATAGCACTAAATGCCCACAAGAGAAAGCAGGAAAGATCCAAAATTGACACTCTAACATCACAATTAAAAGAACTAGAAAAGCAAGAGCAAACACATTCAAAAGCTAGCAGAAGGCAAGAAATAACTGAAATCAGAGCAGAACTGAAGGAAATAGAGACACAAAAAACCCTTCAAAAAATTAATGAATCCAGGAGCTGGTTTTTTGAAAGGATCAACAAAATTGACAAACCACTAGCAAGACTAATAAAAAAAGAGAGAAGAATCAAATAGACGCAATAAAAAATGATAAAGGGGATATCACCACTGATCCCACAGAAATACAAACGACCATCAGAGAACACTACAAATACCTCTACACAAATAAACTAGAAAATCTAGAAGAAATGGATAAATTCCTCGACACATACACTCTCCCAAGACTAAACCAGGAAGAAGTTGAATCTCTGAATAGACCAATAACAGGATCTGAAATTGTGGCAATAATCAATAGCTTACCAACCAAAAAGAGTCCAGGACCAGATGGATTCACAGCCGAATTCTACCAGAGGTACAAGGAGGAACTGGTCCCATTCCTTCTGAAACTATTCCAATCAATAGAAAAAGAGGGAATCCTCCCTAACTCATTTTATGAGGCCAGCATCATCCTGATACCAAAGCCGGGCAGAGACACAACCAGAAAAGAGAATTTTAGACCAATATCCTTGATGAACATTGATGCAAAAATCCTCAATAAAATACTGGCAAACCGAATCCAGCAGCACATCAAAAAGCTTATCCACCATGATCAAGTGGGCTTCATCCCTGGGATGCAAGGCTGGTTCAATATACGCAAATCAATAAATGTAATCCAGCATATAAACAGAACCAATGACAAAAACCACATGATTATCTCAATAGATGCAGAAAAGGCCTTTGACAAAATTCAAGAACCCTTCATGCTAAAAACTCTCAATAAATTAGATATTGATGGGACGTATTTCAAAATAATAAGAGCTATCTACAACAAACCCACAGCCAATATCATACTGAATGGGCAAAAACTGGAAGCATTCCCTTTGAAAACTGGCACAAGACAGGGATGCCCTCTCTCACCACTCCTTTTCAACATAGTGTTGGAAGTTCTGGCCAGGGCAATTAGGCAGGAGAAAGAAATAAAGGGTATTCAATTAGGAAAAGAGGAAGTCAAATTGTCCCTGTTTGCAGACGACATGATTGTATATCTAGAAAACCCCACTGTCTCAGCCCAAAATCTCCTTAAGCTGATAAGCAACTTCAGCAAAGTCTCAGGATACAAAATCAATGTACAAAAATCACAAGCATTCTTATACACCAACAACAGACAGAGAGCCAAATCATGAGTGAACTCCCATTCACAATTGCTTCAAAGGGAATAAAATACCTAGGAATCCAACTTAACAAGGGATGTGAAGGACCTCTTCAAGGAGAACTACAAACCACTGCTCAAGGAAATAAAAGAGGATACAAACAAATGGAAGAACATTCCATGCTCGTGGGTAGGAAGAATCAATATCGTGAAAATGGCCATACTGCCCAAGGTAATTTACAGATTCAATGCCATCCCCATCAAGCTACCAATGACTTTCTTCACAGAATTGGAAAAAACTACTTTAAAGTTCATATGGAACCAAAAAAGAGCCCACATTGCCAAGTCAATCCTAAGCCAAAAGAACAAAGCTGGAGGCATCACACTACCTGACTTCAAACTATACTACAAGGCTACAGTAACCAAAACAGCATGGTACTGGTACCAACACAGAGATGTAGATCAATGGAACAGAACAGAGCCCTCAGAAATAACGCCGCATGTCTACAGCTATCTGATCTTTGACAAACCTGAGAAAAACAAGCATTGGGGAAAGGATTCCCTATTTAATAAATGGTGCTGGGAAAACTGGCTAGCCATATGTAGAAAGCTGAAACTGGATCCCTTCCTTACACCTTATACAAAAATCAATTCAAGATGGATTAAAGACTTAAACGTTAGACCTAAAACCATAAAAACCCTAGAAGAAAACCTAGGCATTACCATTCAGGACATAGGCATGGGCAAGGACTTCATGTCTAAAACACCAAAAGCAATGGCAACAAAAGCCAGAATTGACAAATGGGATCGAATTAAAATAAAGAGCTTCTGCACAGCAAAAGAAACTACCATCAGAGTGAACAGGCAACCTACAAAATGGGAGAAAATTTTCGCAACCTACTCATCTGACAGAGGGCTAATATGCAGAATCTACAACGAACTCAAACAAATTTACAAGAAAAAAACAACCCCATCAAAAAGTGGGTGAAGGACATTAACAGACACTGCTCAAAAGAAGACATTTATGCAGCCAAAAAACACATGAAAAAATGCTCGCCATCACTGGCCATCAGAGAAATGCAAATCAAAACCACAATGACATACCATCTCACACCAGTTAGAATGGCAATCATTAAAAAGTCAGGAAACAACAGGTGCTGGAGAGGATGTGGAGAAATAGGAACACTTTTACACTGTTGGTGGGACTGTAAACTAGTTCAACCATTGTGGAAGTCAGTGTGGCGATTCCTCAGGGATCTAGAACTAGAAATACCATTTGACCCAGCCATCCCATTACTGGGTATATACCCAAAGGACTATAAATCATGCTGCTATAAAGACACATGCACACGTATATTTATTGCGGCATTATTCGCAATAGCAAAGACTTGGAACCAACCCAAATGTCCAATAATGATAGACTGGATTAAGAAAATGTGGCACATATACACCATGGAATACTATGTAGCCATAAAAAATGATGAGTTCATGTCCTTTGTAGGGACATGGATGAAATTGGAAATCATCATTCTCAGTAAACTATCGCAAGCACAAAAAACCAAACACCGCATATTCTCCCTCATAGGTGGGAATTGAACAATGAGAACACATGGACACAGGAAGGGGAACATCACACTCTGGGGACTGTTGTGGGGTGGGGGGAGGGGGAGGTATAGCATTGGGAGATATACGTAATGCTAGATGACGAGTTAGTGAGTGCAGCCCACCAGCATGGCACATGTATACATATGTAGCTAACTTGCACATTGTGCACATGTACCCTAAAACTTAAGGTATAATAATAATAATAAAAAGAGATTTTAAAAATTACCATAATAATTGACCTATTATCCTCTATGAGTCTCATCATCTGATAAAGATTTATTCTCAATTATATAAAAATCATCAGTTATTGTTAAATCAGAAACTCAGTATATGTAGACTCCTCCAGTCTCTTGGATTTACATATATAGTTTTAATTGTACAATATTATTGTAAAAGTTAATAGCCTTTCAGTGTATCTGATTTAAAATTACCACAGAGCATTGTGGGATTAAAGGAGTACTGTGTCAAGGGGGAAAAAAAAAAGTTTTCTCATCTTTTCTGTTGACACTGTGGCTGGCAGTATCTACTTTAAAATGGAAGTGAGAAAACATCCTGGAAGGGGGCACCCGGATTTGAACCGGGGACCTCTTGATCTGCAGTCAAATGCTCTACCACCTGAGCTATACCCCCTTTACCTGTTAAAAGCTCCCTCCTTGTCCACTTACGGTGACTCAATACATTCAAGTTCCACCCACAGGAGTTCTGGCAAGCTTTGTGTTCTAAAGCCCCACCTTCTTAATTGTCCATCATCTGCTTTGGCTTGTCCCTTGACCACTAATAAACTGAAAGGGAACACTTGAAAAATGACATCCTGGGCTGGGCACGATGGCTCACGCTTGTGATCCCAGCGCTTTGGGAGGCTAAGGTGAGGTCAGGAGTTTGAGATCGGCCTGACTGACATGGTGAAACCCCGTCTCCGCTAAAAATACAAAAAAAATTAGCTGGGCGTGGTGGTGGGCACCTGTAATCCCAGCTACTAGGGAGGCTGAGGCAGGAGAAAAAAAAAAAGTAGTCAATCTTTGAAACTACTCACTCTATGAAATGCTTTTTGCTTAAATTTGACTTGTTTAATGCAGTTCATGAGTTTGTGCTTCAAAACCATTGAACTTAAAAGTAATTTCTAGAAAACAACCCCATTTGTAGGTGGGAGACTGTGCCTGTCATAACCACACCGTTAAATCACCTGGTAATTGCTAAATTCCATGGATATTTTAGGTACCTGTTTTATTATCTTTGATGATAATAGACTGTTTCTGTCTTAGAACAACTTCTTCTTCACCCTGTTCTTCCTCTTCCTCCTCCTCTTTTCTTCTTTTCCTCTTCCTTTTTTTTTTTTTTGAGACAGAGCCTTGCTCTGTCGCCCAGGTTGGAGTGCAGTGGCACAATCTCAGCTCACTGCATGCAACCTCCGCTTTCCGGATTCAAGCAGTTCTCATACCTCACCCTCCCGAGTAGCTGAGACTACAGGAGTGCGCCACCATGCCTGGCTAATTTTTTTGTATTTTTGGTAGAGACAGGTTTTCAGCATGTTGGTCAGGCTGGTCTCAAACTCTGACCTCAAATGATCTGTCTGCCTTGGCCTCCCAAAATGTCTTAAGTGTCTTCTTTTTTTTCTTTTTTTTAAGAGACAGGGTCTCACTCTCTTTCCCAGGCTGGAGTGCAGTGGCAACGATCATAGCTCACTGCATCCTCGAACTCCTGGCCCCAAGGGATCCTCCCACTTTGGCCTCCCAAAGCACTGAGATTGCAGGCGTGAGACACCTCACCTGGCTTGTCTGAGAACATCTTTTAAAAAAATCCCTTCTCTTGGGTTTTCTGTTACCCATATGTCTACTCAATTTGGTTGTCTCAGCTTTGTTGTTGTAATGCAAAAGCAGCCATAGACAATACATGCATGAATGAGTGTAGTGCATTCCAATAAAATTTTGTTTTAAAAATAGGTAGTGGGACATAGTTTGTTTACCTGTAATCTTCCTAGCTTAGTTCATCCTTACTGTTCTTCTGAAGCAACTCTTCTTCCTTCCCTGTTAAATTTGTGTTTGTAGATGGTCTTTAGCTACCTTTCATTTCATACTTCTTCAGTAGCCTCATTCACATTCATTATTTTAACCATCTCTGGTGTTGGCATCAGATTTGAGGAAGGTTTTGGCTTTGTCACTTACTGGCTGTTTGACTGTGGGCAAGTCACTTAATGTGTCTGAGTCCTGTAAAGTCAGGCTAATAATATCTGCTTGCAGTTGTTGTAAGCATAAGATTATATATAAAGAGTTTAGCATTAAGATTGGCAAGTAATACATGGATGACAAATGGTAATGTCAAGTAATACATGTATGACAAATGGTAACTCCTTGTTTCTGTTATTGTCTTTACAAATGTTTACCCTCATATCTGCATCGTGATCCCAGAAGTTTCTTTAGAGTTCTAGTTTTTACTATATATCTCTACTGGGCATTTTTATTTAACTCTTCTATAGTGTCAGTTAAGAAGCATTCAGCTTCACGTAATAGAGTCATTTTATACAACAAATTTGGAAACGGCATTCTAGAGCTCAGTGATGAAGTTAGGGCATTTTCGTACATCTCTTGGTCTTTCCCCTTATGGTTTCAAGATATTACGGTAGCTTCCAGCAGCCTGTCCTCCCACATCTGTATACAAAACAATTTTATAAAGTAGTCACAAGACAGGGCTTCTCTTTGTGTATTTTTTCCTTTTTATTATAAAAATTATTGTTTTTAACAAAGTTAATTAGGAAATAGAATCTGTAGGGATTGAACATGTTAAGGTGGGAGAAAGTGTAGGATGATTGTCAAATTTTTGGCTTAAATGTCTAAATTCTAGATGGATGGTAGTGCCACTAATGTAAGAAAAGAGGTATGTAAAAGAAGATTAAAAAGTAGATAAATTTCATTTTAGACTTGTTGAATAGAGGTACCTGGGGCAGATGGACTGCCTATGCAACTGCCACTCCTCCTCCTATAGAAGCTTTATTGAGGTATAATTCATATGCCATAAGATTCATTTGCTAAAGTCTACACTTGAGTGTTCTTTTAGTGTATTTACAGAGTTGTGCAACCATAACCACAATTGAATTTTAGAATATTTTCATCATCCCAAAAAGAAAACCCTGTACCCATTAGCAGTCATTTCCTCCTCCTCCATGTGCTAGCAACTGTTATCTATTTTCTGTATCTGAATTTGCCTATTCTAGTGAATTATTCTGTTGATCATGTTTTCCCCTTCTTCCTTTTTGAGTTCTTTTGTAGAAAGGACTGTAGGTCATGCCCAATTACTAGTTTGCTAACCATGACTCGTCCCATTCTTTCTGTCAGTCTAGTATCTGAAATAATTAATTTATAGCAGATAGTAGCTTTGCTGATATTTGGGTGAATTAGTAAATCATTCATAACAGTGAGTTTTGTTAGTGTTTGGGTAACCAGGATTAATAACCACTGGTCAAGAGTATTTATTCAGAGTTCCTTCATATGACTTTAGAAGGGTCTCTGCTTCGTTCCCCTCTTACTTTTCACGTTACTACTTGCAATTCTCTAGCTCATATTTGATGTTCCAGCAACATTGAACCCACTTACAGTTCTTAAATGCTCTGTTTTTCCCCACTTCTTTGTCTTTGCTCATTAGATCTTCTCTAATGAGCAGAATCCTCCCCCAGGGGTTTCCAGTTGCCCAATTCCTGTTTATCTCTTTAGGCTTAGTCAGCAAATCAGAAATTTTAGCTTTTTACCCCTGGGGAACCCTCTTTACAGAGCCCTCTATTGTTCTTACCATATTATGTTATGTAAGAGTGTCTATATATTTGATTTCTCTAGACCAGAGATCTCTGAACTTTTTATTGCTCACCTGTAAAAAATGTTTGAGCATATGACTGCACAGTTTGTAAATTATGTACATGTATTAGTGTAGTGACATATTAAATATCAGCAAAACTTTGAAGGCCAAGGAGGATGACTCACACCTGTAATCCCAGTACTTTGGGAGGCCAAGGCAGGCGGATCACTTGAGGCCAGGAGTTTGAGACCAGCTTGGGCAACATAGTGAAACCCTGTCTCTTTAAAAAGTATATGTAAATATTATTAGTCAGGCATGATGGTGTGTGCCTGTAGTCCCAACTACTTGGTAGGCTGAGGCAGGAGGATCTTGCCCAGGAGTTTGAGGCTACAGTGAGCTATGGTTGCACCCTAGAGTGAGTGAAGTGCTAATGCTTTCATCTTGTCCCTAACTTTATAATCAGTGGCAACTATGGGTTTCTTGATGGTAGGAACTCAATACATGTTGATCTGAACTCTTTTCTCAGTGTCTTGCCTGTTCTTTTTCCACCCCTCACTGGGTGTTAGGTCTTCCTTTTCTTTGTGTATCTTTATCATAGCACTTACCATGCAGTATATTACAATTATTGGTATATACTTGTCTCCTTTCAATAGAGTATAAGTCTCCTGCTCATGGGTCCTCTTTTATTTATGATGCTCCTAGTAGTTTGCATGGTGCTTAGCACATAATAGACAATTTGTAGAATGAATAAATTGATTCAAGTGGCATTAATTGATACTAATCTGAGAATAATTAAGACAGTGATTCTTTTATAGTATTGAAAGATAGTATGGCCACTTACTTTAAAACTGCTTATAGTTTTAAGCAGTGCATCTCAAATTGTTTGCGATGATGGACCAGTTTTAGTTTCCAATCCATTGTGTACTGATGCTTTTGTAAACAATAAAAATTAAATACTAGAAACATGACATAAAAGAGACATAGAAAATATAGGCCCTAATTTTTAATTATTAGATTCAAAAGAAATACAATTATTCCCAACTTCTGTACTTATCTCATTGTAGATTATTACCAAAGAGTCTATGGACCCTTGCTGGACCCAGGTTGACCATACTTTGAGACTCAGGGTATAAAGCACTTTATATCATTTATTTCTCGTAACTGTATGGGGTAGGTACTGTTTGCACCATTTATAGGAAATGAGGGGACAGAGAAGTTAGGCAAATTGTCCAAGGTCACATAGGTACTACATAAAAGCCAGGATTCAGGTTGGGCATGGTGGCTCATCCCAGCACTTTGGGAGGCTGAGGCAGGTGGATCACCTGAGGTCAGGGGTCGAGACCAGCCTGGCCAATGTGGTGAAACCCTATCTCTACTAAAAATACAAAAATCAGCTGGGTGTGGTGGCATGCACCTGTAATCCCAGCTATTTAGGAGGCTGAGGCTGGAGAATCGCCTGAACCCCGGAGGCAGAGGTTTCAGTGGGCTGAGATCGCCCCACTGCACTCCAGCCTGGGCGACACAGTGAGACTCCATCTCAATAAACCAACCAACCAACCAACCAACCAACCAACCAACCAACAAACCAGCCAACCAGGATTCAAACAAAGGTAGTCCATTCTGGCTCCAAAGTCCATATGCTAGTCTCTTTCTGATTTTGAAAAGATGAAATAAGGTAGCATTCTACTATAAGAATGTTAAGAACAGACATGGATGAAGGCAAAAAACAGTTACAAGTCAGAATATAATTCATTTGTCTAGAAAAGAGAAGGGTAAGGAGTCACATAATGATTTGCATGTAAAAGTGGAGTTATGGAGATGGTGACAAACTGTTCTTTTATTCCTTGAGTCAGCATCTGCTTACATTTTACCTTAGTATTAAAGTCCTCAATTTGTGAAAAAAAAGCGATGGTATTTCTTTGAAATGTTTCTTTTTGCCCTGACTCAGTTTCACATACTGAGTGTAATTGTTCCTGAGGGGGATTGGTTCCCAGACCCATGAATACCAAAATCCAAAGATGCTCTCAGTCCCTCATATAAAATAGCATAACATTTGCCTATAACCTACCCACATCCTCCCCATACTTTAAATCATCTCTAGATTATTTAGAATGCCTAATACAGTGTAAATGCTATGTAAATACTTGTTAGGCTCTATTGGTTTTTTAATTTGTATTACTTTTTATAGCTCCATTGTTATTTACTTACTTGAATATTTTTGACCCGTCGTTGAATCTGTGGTTGTGGAACCCTGGAATACAGAGGGCCAATTGTACTTTGTTTCTTCTATTCTTCCTCTTAACTATTTTCTTATTTGATAGTAACATCAACCAAATTGTTGTGATTCCATTCATATGAAAATACAGAAATAACCTTTCTTTCTCCAGGTATCAGTATTTTAAGAACAAATTGTAAGTAATGATTACATATTATGATGCTAATGGAGTAGAGATCATATTGCTGTCTTAATTGTTTTATATCATAAAATTCATGATTGAATGAAATTGAAAACTTAGACTATTTCAATTGTAACAATAGTTGAAATTTTTAATAAACTTTAAAAAATCTTCTTCCTATAGAAATCTGGTTAAGAAGTACTGCCCCAAACGTTCATCCAAAGATGAAGAGCCACGGTAAATTACATACCTGTTCATTAATGCATATTAAAAAATTTAAAAATACTTATATTTTTATTATTTAGTAAGATATATTCTTAGCTTTTTATAAAGATTTTATAAAGTTTAATTTAAAAATTAATGTTTATGAAAGAAGGAACTACTGTTTATCTTTTATGAGGATAAATACTGTAGTGGGCTTGATCAACAGTTTTCTAGAATAGTCAGATACAGATTTTCAATTAAAATGTAGACTAGGACTCCACTTGAATGATTTAGTCTGCAGAAGAAAAGGATATTTTTCATACTTGGTTGTGTAGTTGTTGGCTTCGTAGATTCTTGCTTTTACTCTTATAGATAGTAAAACAATTTGACTGATTGGTATAAAGGGATGTTGAAAAGCACTGAGAGTTTTTGCATTAGAAATAAATTAAAAGGTTAGAAATCACTTATGAGTTTTTTTGTGGTCTTAAAGAGGAATATGTGGATGACTGTTTAGATGGAGAAACAAGAGGAGACTCGACTTAAACAAACAACTCTGTATATAATTGTCAGTTGTTAGGATTCTCAGGTTTAGTGTTAATGGAGTCCTATCTGAGCTGTTAATCTTCATCTGTAAGAGAGTGTTCCGCAGTATGTTCAAAGTAGATATATACATTAATACAGTGATTCTCTTTGTTTCTCTCCTTCCCTCACACACGTTTTTACCCTTATTTTTGACCCTTTACCCGCTTTGGTGTCAACTATAATGGCACTTCACTTCCATTCAGGATATGGGCAGGCATACAGGCAGCTGTGTCCAGAGCTGATAGCAAAATTGTTCTGTAGATCAGCCATCGAGATGCATTTGGCAAGCACATCATCTCTGCAACAGGTTCAGCTACCAAGCCTAGGAATCCAACCAAGTTCATTCCCAAGCTCAGGCCAGTCAGTTGGCAACTTAAGAGATTCCAGTATGCCAAAAGAGCCTGCAGGTAGTATTCTTATTATTTTTTGACCCCAAATATCCCTTTACTAATAAATGAAAGACTACTTGAAGATATACAAACATGTATGACTTGAGCTTAATGCAGGATTTTTTTCCATATGAAGTTAATTTAGAACTAGTAGCTGAGATTTAGGTTGAATATGCTAAAATTTGCGAAATGTTAGATTCAGTCCATACCTCACCAACATTTGTAATGAAAATAAAAGTAAGTCTCACCATTTTGAAATGTTTTTGCCAGGTTTACCTCGTGTGTAGCCTTTTTTAATATCCTTAATGAGTTAAATGACTATGCAGGACAGCGAGAAGTTGTAGCAGAAGAAATGGCGCACAGAGTGTATGGTGAATTAATGAGATATGCTCATGATCTGAAAACTGAAAGAAAAATGGTAATTCTTACAATTTTCATCCAATTGCAATAGTATATGAAATAGTCACACAGAAACACTTTGTTTTCTTTAAAATGTGTGTTCAGCATAAACTGGTTTTTCTATTTCACTACATTTCTTCTAGCTAAAAATTATCACAAAATACTCTTGCTAATTTATGATCCTTTTGGATTTAAGTTTGGCAAACTACAGCCTATGGGCCAGACCCAACCAACTGCTTGGTTTTGTTTGCTAGTTGCCACAGGCTAAGAATGATTTTTATATTTTTAGATGGTTGAAAAAAGAATAATATTTCATGACATTGACAATTATATGAAATTTTATTTTTAATGTCCATACATAAAATTTTATTGGAACAGACCCACATTCATTGACTTTTATATTGCCTGTGGCTGCTTTTGCATCACACTAGCAGAGTTGAGTGTCACAGAGACTGTGTGGCTTAAAAAGCCTGCAATATTTATCTGACCTTGTATAAAAAATGTTTGTCATCTACTATTCAAGACAATCATTATTTTTCTGGAAATTGTATCTGTTTTCAAGGTTATATGTAAAGTGTTAAGACAATATCCTATAAAATGCATTTTTAGGAAGTTTTGCATTACTTTCTTCCTAAGTCTTGGTAAAGTTATATAATTAGTACCTTGAAAAAAATAAAGTGAAAAGCCTTTTGGGGACTTTAGACTTTAGTGTTTAAATGTAATTATTTTTATTTGTTTTTGTTTTATTTTTTATTTTTATTTTTTTTGGCCGTGGTTATAATCTTCAGCATCTGCAAGAAGGACGAAAAGCTCAACAATATCTTGACATGTGCTGGAAACAGATGGATAATGTGAGTTATGACATTTTCATGGTTAACATAAAATCTTGTAGACTAGATTAGCCCTAAATACTTTTATGCTTCATATCTATTTGAGTTTAATGTTTCTCAGTGTATTATTAATAATTTGACATTGGTATTATTGTATAATAGTCAATAAAGTGTAAATGGAGGATGTGAGGTCATTTTGTCATTTTTCTTGTTGTCCTTTATAACTCTATACTTAAGAACTCTGTAATCTTCAATCATTGTGAACATTTAAGGAGATTCTTTTTTTTTTTTTTTTTTTTACTTTAAAGTAGTTACTATAAAGTATTAATAGAGGATAGAAGTAAGAGGGAAAAGGAGATATATCTTAGAAGACTATTTCCTGAGGACTGAGAATAATCAAGGTTCTTTTTCTACCTTTAACTTAACACTTGATGTCTCTTGACTTCATTTTTAGCATGTGAAAAATGAAGAGAGTGAACGAGATGATATGAAATGTTTCTTCCAGTTCAGTCATTGTATAATTTTGTAAATGCTCCTGATATTGGCCTGCTAATAGAAACCTTCCCATTGTAGGAAATAAAGTACTTTGTAGGGCAAAATTATAAAGGCATAATAATTATTTACTTAAAAATTTCCCCAAGGCACTTGCTCATGTGGTTTTTCTTAAATGCTCTCGTATATAATTTGTAAAACAAGATGTTCACGTAGAACACTGCAGTTGCCTTTACATAAAATGCTCTATAATCTGTGTCATGGGATTAGAGTCAAAAAAAAAAAAAAGCTCTATTAAATGATATTCTGTAGTATAAGATACTCTTTTTGGACCCTCAAGTTATCGAACAGTTTACTCTTTACTAGCATATTTCTCTGGTGGACACTGCGTATTCCTTGAAAATTATGCCGAAGGGAGTTTTTCCATGTTAAATTAATCAGTTTAGCCTGTGCTTGTTAGAAAAAGTACTTTGAGATTAAAAATCTCATGTATATACTTCCATTGCTTTCAGCCTGTTTTCTTTCCCTTTTAAAAATGCATTTTCAAAACTTTGATTACATTTCTACTATGTAACTACCATTGATGTGATATTCTAATCACCAGTGCTGATTGAGAGTTCTTAGGTATATTAATAATGTTTTCATTTTCATTTTGATTTTCTAATTGGTTTCAGCAAGACTTCACCAAGTATTTATGTTGATTAAGTTTTAAATTGCCTTAACTATCATCCTTAGTATCTGCCACCTAATGAGTGTGTGTGTGTTTTCATTTGCACAAAATAACATACTCCTACATTCATGAGTCATTGGTTCCTTTAAAAATTGGTGTTGGCACAAATTATTCTTAATAGGTGCCAACTTGCCTTTAGAACAATTGACCGTTGTTAAGCAAAAGTTTTAGAGGTCATAAGAAAGAAAGAAGCATCAAAAATGTAGGAGAGATTTCTTTAAGGCATTAACAATGCTATAAAAAAAGGTGAGTTCAGCTCTACTTGTGTTTATTGAAAAGTATCCTTGACATGTACTCTGGAGGTACAAAAGTAAGTATGACATGGTTCTTGTTTTTGTAGCACTTGCAGTCTAGTGAGGGAAACTAACCAATATAATTTCTGTTTAATATGTAGAAACAAGTGTAGGATTCTATTTCCTAGTTCCATGTCTTCCTCTTTAGTCAAGAAAATGAAATTGTAGAATTCCTAACACGTTTGAAATAATTGCGAGGTGATGTAAAGAACTGGTGGACAGGTTGAATTAGTGACAGGGTATTAAAAATTGAGGAAAAAAATTAAAAGACAGTTATTAACCTTGGGATGAATAAAGTAGGCAGTACTGGCATTTAAGATCAGGACAGAAGAGCCTGTAAAGGAGGTATTAAAGGAATGGTCAGAGATTAAGAAGATAGAAGCATCAGAGATGCGAGGTCCATCAGTTACAAGGCTCCAAGTAACAGAGCATACAGTTTTATAAGAGCAGAGCTCAGAAATGGAGCAGTTCCATAGTTAGTCAGTAGCCCACGGTTGTCACCAGGCTCCATCTCCTTTTCATCTGTCTACTTTGCCATCTTGACCAGGTGCTCTTTTCCTCAGCCATGTCTCCTTAAGGTCAGCAGTAGGCTTAAAGAGCTAAACACGATATCCTCATTCAGTTTCATCCAGAGGTGGGAAAAAGGCAGCATTTCACTTCCAACTATCCCATTTTATCAGGGAAGGAAAACTTTCCCAGAAAGTCCCCAACAAATTTCCTCTGGATGCCTTTGACAGAATTAGATTACTTACCTCTGCCCTGGCTGTGGGGAGTCTAGGAGAGCAAGTATTAGCTGTTTTCTGCCTCTGTACTGGGCGGGGCAGGCTCTGCTAAGCAAGAGTAGGGGAGTAGAAGTGGCTGTACTTCGTCTGCCACACCAAGGATGAAGGGAAAAACAATCTTTTCTGGAGTATATTTCTGTCTTGTATAATGTTATATTATCTTTCAGGGAAGGAGCATTTTTAATATTATTGTACTACTAGTTCTTTTGCTTTTGCAAGGAATTATTAGGTAGGTGTTTTCCCACAAATAAGATACCAAATATAAAAATACTTTTGTACATAAGTAGCCTCAGTTTGTACCAGAATTAGTAGCCTATAGTTACTTGATTGGAAAACACAGCTCTGAACTCAGTTTCAGAGAATGAAATGTGGAAGCTTAATTTTCATAGCAAAGTGATTTTATGTATGAGTATTTAAATATTTTAGGGGCTTTGAGTAAATTACAAGTGCCTCATTTGGTGTCTCATACTAATCAAAATACCTGTACAAAATAAAGCCTACATTTAAATAAATTTGAAAAAATCCTGGAGCGCATTTATTTGATGTAAGTTATAGGCCTATCTGGTTGTAACTGTATTACAAACTGAACTACGAAACCTCTTGGCTACAAATGGCTTGATATAACAGCTATTGTAGTTTTAAATTGTATTTTAAACTCTTAGTTACTTGAAAGAAAGGGAAATTGCTAACTGCTAGGGAACTATGGGTAAACAAATCCAGAGCAGTAGGTGTCTGAGCTGATAAGTGGCATTTGGAAAAATGGGGACAGGGTGTTTGAGGTATAATGGTTTCCTGGACCTGGTACTTGCTAAGGGCTTGGATTTCCAGGGTAAGAAATTAACATTGTAACTGGTTCGATAAAGGAGGTTAGGTAAATACAAAATATTGAGATCCCCTGTTTGCTTCTTCTGAGGAATTCTCAGAGCACAGGTTGCAAGGTGCGTATTTTCCAGGCAAGAAATTGGAAGTCTTTCGGGGTAATCTAATCATTTAGGGAGAAAAAGCTTATAAAAACTGCTGCCAGGTTTTTCCAAGGAAACGAACTCCCTGGCCATGTCACCCTAGAGGAAAATATCATAATCCGTAAAGCCCGATCGGTGGAGCTTTCAATGGCTTTTTAAATAAGAGCAGATATCCAAGGATCCCAGGATATTTAAAGAAGACATCTAATGTGCACATGAGGGACCAGAACTAATATGCAGGAAAGAAGGCAATGTGACTATGAAAGGAAATGAAAATTAAAATGCAAAAACAAACAAGGAAAATACTTACAGCTGTTAGCTAATATTCTCAAAGGGAATAGAGAAAATTTTACATCCATGAAATAAGGTATTATTTTAAAAGAAACATATAAAGAACAAAAAATAACTCTATGATAGTAGAAAAAAAAGCCCACTAGAAAAAAAATGAAAGATAAAGTTCAATAAATACCCCAGTAGAGCAAAATGACAGACATTGAAAATATGGAAAATTAGGAGACTCATCCAGTAGGTTCATTTCCAAAATAGTAAACATACTAGAAAAGAGAAAACATAGAAAAGGAACAAAACATAGAAAAGGACAAAAATAACTCAAGAAAGTTTTCCCAGAACTGAAAGACATGAATTTCCAGATGGAAAGGATATCCCATGTGCTCAGCACAGTGGGTCCACATCTCTTGAAATTTCGAACACTTTGGAGAGAGAGAAGATTCTACCACCCTCCAGGGAGAAAAAACCCCAAACAAACAAACATGGTTTATACAATGGGTCAGGAATCAGAATGGAATAGACAGGATAGTTACACAGGAAGCCAGAAGAATAGTGGAGCAATACTTTTAAGTTTTTGAAGGAAAATGATTTCCAACTTAGAGTTCTATATCCAGCCAAATTTTGTCAATTAAAAATGATGGTAAATGCATTTTTAGCCATGGAGATTCAGTTATCTCCTGCAGACCTTTTAGGAGGCTGCTGCTGAATGTGTTCTAGCAAAATGAGGAAGTGAATCAAGAACGGAGAAAGCATACAACTAGGAAATAGGACATCCAAACAAAGATGGAGGTGAAATGAATCCACAGGTTGATGGGGGAGGGAAATGCTAAGGTAACAACTATGCATTAGGCCTAGTTGGTAATGAGTTCAAATTCCAGCAAGTTTAGAAGCCTTTGGGAAAGATTTATCAAGAAAATAAAATCAATAGAATTCCTAATGTGTTAGAATTAACTGCAGTCAGTTTTAAAGAACTGGAAAA
This sequence comes from Homo sapiens, assembly GCF_000001405.40. NCBI lineage: Eukaryota > Metazoa > Chordata > Mammalia > Primates > Hominidae > Homo > Homo sapiens. The sequence goes on from NC_000001.11 coordinate 93,528,829, forward strand.
AACTGGTTGAATTATGCATTGGAAACTAAGCAAATTGAAAAAATGAAGACATGTATTAACTCCAGAATATCAAAAAATTATGTAGGAAAGAAAATGTAATATGACATATATTTTACATGGCTCAGTTGTGAATAGTTTTTACAAAGTCATAATAGTTTGAATGAAATAAAATTTAAAAAGATTTGGGGTCTGGGCTGATGTTCTTCGTGGGACACCTGGAAGAAACAATATAAAACCACTTTGGAGGGACGCTCCATATACCCAAGCTACATTGGATCTCACCAAAAAAGTATAAAAATAAATGCCAAAACAAACCAACTGAACAAAAAACACCAAACCAAAAAAGTCCTCCTGAAGATGAGGACTTATATTTTTTATAAAAAAATTATAAAACACACATTTTTTGAGTGAGATATATAATAAATATTAACTCAGTCATGCCTATGTTATTTTTCCTCATAGTCTGTAATTAATGTCTGATATTTAAGGAACGTGGATTGGTTGTAATAGTAAAATTTATTTTCTAATTTAGAAAGGACAAATTTTACTTAGTGCGCAGTTCATTTCCACACAATACACAGTGGCACATTTTAAAGTTATTTCTTTTTTCTCTCTTTTTAAAATTATTATACTTTAAGTTCTGGGATACATGTGCAGGACGTGCAGGTTTGTTACATAGGTATACATGTTCCATGGTGGTTTGCTGCACCCATCAACCCGTCATCTATGTTAGTTATTTCTCCTAATGCTCTCTAAAGTTATTTCTTAAATGAAGTTAGCCTGATTTTATTTTCTCAGTGTGATATTTTAATTTTTTTAACAGAGTAAAAAGAAGTTTGAAAGAGAATGTAGAGAGGCAGAAAAGGCACAACAGAGTTATGAAAGATTGGATAATGATACTAATGCAACCAAGGCAGATGTTGAAAAGGTAAGAAATACTCCAAACCAACTTTAATGTCAAAATATTATTATTTGCATAAGGAAAGTAGTCACGACATTTGTATGACTACAGTATTAGGATTTACTTGAGATACACTGTATCTAAGTCTAAAATATACAAATATTTGCCAACTTTAAATTATACGTATTGGTCTGAGAAAGTAATATATGTTAATTTATTACAATATCTTAGCTGCATTCAAATTTAGAGGAAAGACGTAGTTGCTACTGGGATTGAGTTTTTAGCCTATTCCAAAATAGGTTAGAAAGCTAAGATGTGTTGATGGGGTAATAATTAGTTAGAGAATAACTGTTGTAATTTGACTTTGTACAAGAGATCAAGAGGAACAGAACTGTATTCTAAATAAGCATTCCTTAATTTGACTTTGTACAAGAGATCAAGAGGAACAGAACTGTATTCTAAATAAGCATTCCTTAAAGTATCTGTGGTTCTACACATTGGTGGAAACACTGTTGAATGTTGCATTATTCAACAATCATATTATTATTTAGTTTCACTGTGATTTAAGTTCCATATTTTAGTTGGATATAGTTGGATCATAAATGTTTTACTGTTAACTTTTTTAACAATCTGAAAATATTCCTAAAGCTACCTGTTTTTCTCTTCTGATTAAAAGCACACTGTTTCAAGCTATAATGTTTTCATTTGTTTGTTTTTTTATCTGGATTTGGTAAGGAGAGTCTATATTAGAATGTCTTATTGCTATCAGGGAATACTATTGTAATGAGAGAGGGAAGAATATTGTAATAAGGAGACCACTCTGACAGTAAGATCTGCAGGTGTCTTTAAATATAAAATATATTTTAAATGATATTAATAGTTCAAAAAAGTTATGCCACGTCATTATTCTTTTGATGTCAGGTGTTGGCTTCTTCATTGATAAAATCTAGTTTTAGTATAATTTTCAAAAAAGTGAATTGCTGTGATTTTGTTGTTGATAATAATTTCGACCATTTTGCCCCTAGGCCAAACAGCAGTTGAATCTGCGTACGCATATGGCCGATGAAAATAAAAATGAATATGCTGCACAATTACAAAACTTTAATGGAGAACAACATAAACATTTTTATGTAGTGATTCCTCAGATTTACAAGGTAAATCTTAGATATGAAGTTAATCTAGTTTTAGATTAACTGGTGTTTAAATATAAAACTTGTAAGTCTTAGACATCAGAATCTTTCTAGATTCACTAGACATCAGGGTTGGGGTGAGAGATTCCTTTATGATTATAGATTTGAAAACAAGTGTTTTCTAACTTTTAAGTCACACATTTTCCTACGTATCTACTATTAGTGTTATAAACAGTTTACTAAAACAATGACATTTGTAAGATACATTTAAATACTTTAAGTATTTTGACATGACAAAGGAGAATTAATTGAATTTGTATATTGTAATCTGCTCACCTAGAATTGAGATGTAGCATTTTTATACCAAACCAGAGTCATTGGCATCAGTCCAGATGGCAGAAATAAATCTTACAAAATATATTTGCTAGCATGGTTTTTGCCTGCTTATCATGCTGGCTCTGTTAGATGATAAATGTAATTCAGACTTTGAGCTTGCTTATAAATCCTGTCTGTCATCACTTGATGATAACAGTTGCCAAACAGCCTCAGGTAAAAAAGACCTCAGAATTTTCATGAGGGTTAAATTATTTAATTGCCTGTTCTAGAAAGAAGAGAAATTACAGAAAAGGGATTTAGTAAAGCAGTGTTGATGAGTTATTATCTCAACGAGCAGAGCTTCTGTGGGAAGAGTGTCAGCCCGGGTACACTTTTTCTTCTTTATAAGGCAAGTTGGAAATACAAAGAAAGCACAGTGAGAGATAATGAACTGGAGTGGGGACCAGAATTCTGGTCATTGAATCCAGAGGGCCAAGCCTGCCAGTCTTCACTGTGATGCTTTTCTAGGCTTAGTAGTTAAGTCTTCATATTCTGGGGAAACTATAACTTGTGGAGATAAACTACCTTTTGTGTTTTGGGCCTGATACTTGGATTTGGACCTTTCTATGGAGCAATTCTGTGAAAATGCAGGTCTCAAAGTCCCAGGCTGTGGGAGTTTGGGGAGACAAGGAGTGTAACTGCTGTCAATGAAACAGCAAGGTCAGTGCTGGCAAATAGGATATGTCAAAAAAAAAATGCCTTTAAGTTATTGGACTTTATGTGTTCCAACATATTTCCTAGTGGCATGTGCCAGTGAATTTTCAGTTGTGAGGATTCTATATGTGCCACTTTGAGCTTGTGACTTCCTGTTTTTCCTCACGTATCCCCAGCTCTGAGGTGTACACTGCAGTAGGTCTGGGTACCTGTTGATAAACAACTAGTATGGACTGTTGGTCCAGCCAAGTCTTACCAAAGTATCCTGAATTAACTTGAGGTTAGAAGTCTCAGACTTGGCCGGGGGCAGTGGCTCACGCCTGTAATCCCAGCACTTTGGGAGGCCGAGGCAGGTGGATCACGAGGTCAAGAGATTGAGACCATCCTGGCCAACATGGTGAAACCCCATCGCTACTAAAAATACAAAAATTAGCTGGGCATGGTGGCACGTGCCTGTAGTCCCAGCTACTTGAGAGACCGAGGCAGGAGAATTGCTTGAACCTGGGAGGTGGAGGTTGCAGTGAGCCGAGATCGCGCAACTGCACTCCATCCAGCCTGGCGACAGAGCGAGACTCCGCCTCAAAAAAAAAAAAAAAAAAAAGTCTCAGTCTTGTATATGTTATGGGCCAGTTGCTTTAAAAAAAAAAAAAAGCACCAGAATTTTGTCATCAAATGAAATGTTTTCTGGAAGCATAAACAAGAACTACTCTGATTGAATAGTAAAAGGTGGGAGTGCTATGGGGCAGGGAGCTGATAGCCAGTAAGGGGTCCTTTTAGAAGGCTAGAATCCCAGTGTCATCTGGTTTTAGGAAAACAATACTAAGTGCCTTACTATTTTTTTTCTTTCTTTTGTTGTTTAGCATGTCCCAGGTTTTAAGTATTATAAGTCAATAGCACTTGTTAAAAGGTATTAACAACAGTGTAACTATGAGGGTAGAAATATTTAATTTTTGATGGGGGATCACTAATTGAACTCCTTTAGAATGATTGAAAAATTCAGTTTTCTCTTTTTAAAAAAATTCTTGATTATTAGCAACTACAAGAAATGGACGAACGAAGGACTATTAAACTCAGTGAGTGTTACAGAGGATTTGCTGACTCAGAACGCAAAGTTATTCCCATCATTTCAAAATGTTTGGAAGGAATGATTCTTGCAGCAAAATCAGTTGATGAAAGAAGAGTAAGTGCTAAATAATTATCTTTGAATGCATCTGTTTGGTTTAGGTGTGCAGTTTAAGTTAGTGAAATGAGTTGAGAAAGGGATAAAGTAATCTGATGTGTGGTTCTAAATTATATTCTGTAGAAGAATGTCTTGCAATAGATTCCTTTGAGTTCTGAGATTCATTCTACATGCAAAAGTTCTAATTCTTTCTTAAAAAAAAAAAAAAGATTTCTAACTCTCTTCTCCCACTAAGTTTTCAGTTCTTATCAAAGAGTCTAACCTAGGAACTGTGTGTTACAAATTGTGTTATACTATTATATTAGTTTAGTGAAAATTTAGAGAAGTATGTGGTTAGAGTTGCCTTTAGCACTTGAGCTGGATCAAGAAATGTGGGTAGCATATGGAGTGATGACCAATGAGGAGGAGGAAGGAGGGCATTATGTGCAGATGAAACAGCATAGCCCTCCTCCCCTTGAGGATAGGTAATCACATTGTATCTTGATTAAGGACTAGGGTCTTTTATCTCAGTAAATGTTGATTGAGTGATCAAAAAGCATGGTTGGCAGAAACTGAGGAAAGGCAGTGGCAAGAGAAGAGAACTGGTGTTTGCAGGATATCAGATATGTGTCACATATTTTAGTCTTCATGAACCTATCAAGTAGATATTATATTAGTGAGGATCCTTTCTGTTACAGCTAATAGAATTCTCACTTAAATTTAGAAAAGAGGATTTTTGGCTTTCAGCATGGCTGGATACAAGTTTATACAATATCATTACAGCCCTCTTCTCTCTAATTACCCTTTAGCAAATTATTGCTGAGGGTAGCATTACTGACAAAAGTAAGCTATGACTTAAGGATGACTTTTGACTAAATGAAGGGCAAAATGTACTGTTAACAGAAATAGGCAACAAAAGAGAGGTTGTTGTTAGGGGTGGGGAGGAATTTGTAGAGATACTCTGAAAATAATGAGTTTAAGGTATCACTAAAGCATTCAGGTAGAGGTATGTATGTCTAAAAACAATATTTATGTGAGTTTAAAAATTTTAAATACATGGTATTAAACTTTCAAATGTTGTTTGCACTCAGTAGTGTTTATGAGATCTTTTCCCTGTTGCTCTGTTAACATTCCACAGTATATATTTAATTTATTTATCTTTTCCCATGTTGGATGAGTTAGAAAGCCTTTCCTACTCATCTTTTACTCTCTTTTACAATTAGATGTTCTTTCCTCATTCCAAAGATTAGCTTCTTTGTTGACATCTATCTTTTAAAGCAAAAAGCCTTTTTCCTTTGAAACTTCTCAGAATTTCTACTTGTTAATAACCTCTTTCTGTATTCTTTTTGTCAGTTAGGTCTTTTTCAGCTAAGTAGTCTTCAGATGAATTTCAGGTGGTTAAAGCTACCAAGTAAAAACATTTTATGAATATTATAAATTAATTAAGTTGTAATTTGCAAGTATATTTTTCTTTTGGGATTAAAATACTTTGAGTTTGTTACACATTCATGGGAATAAATTATTTACCTTAATGATTATTGTGGAATTATTTATTTAAACTTATATTTGTTGTTTTTTTGTACTGAAAAAGTTATGAAAGCTGATGTAGAATTATGAGCAAGTGAAACAGTTTTAAAACCTAGTTTCTTTTGTATAGGACTCTCAAATGGTGGTAGACTCCTTCAAATCTGGTTTTGAACCTCCAGGAGACTTTCCATTTGAAGATTACAGTCAACATATATATAGAACCATTTCTGATGGGACTATCAGTGCATCCAAACAGGAGAGTGGGAAGATGGATGCCAAAACCACAGTAGGAAAGGCCAAGGGCAAATTGTGGCTCTTTGGAAAGAAGCCAAAGGTAAAAGTCATAAAATTCCTATATGCTAATCAGTTTAAGTGTACCAACTAAAACAATGTGGGTATTGAATGCAAAATGATTTACCATTAATGGAGAATAAATATTTTCAATTTGAATGATTCAGTTAACCTTTCACTTATATTAGGAATACCTTAACAGTAACAGTTATTTATGGATTTAACATTTGACTACCGCTTAATAATGGGTAAGAGTATTAACAAAGTTGTTAATATCTAGTTAAGTTATATGCTTTTGAAGTTTCATTTGTATGTAGTTTCCATCAGAATTTTTAAGGAAACATGATCTAACTAAAATAGCACTAAAATTGGAATTCTCAAATGGAATGAATGACCACAGCCATAATACATGTCAAGTTAGGTTTTATAGATCCTACTACTAAAATTATTTTTATCATCCATATGAGTTTTTAATGGGAAAGGTTCAGTCTTGGTTAATTGAAGTTTAAAACAATTTCTAGTTTGGTAAGAGAATCTCACTCTTAACTTCTTGTTAGAACCCACCTTCTGATGTGCTCTTTATTTTAGATAGATCTAGGTCAGCATGTGAGCAAATGAAATAGATGGGTGCTTTGTCTTTCTTATCAATTAAGTGGTTGTACTCGTGTCTTATTAGTAAGGAGAATAGAGAAATACTTTTAATCTGATGTGCTGTATTTATTAAAGTATACTTGATTATTTTAATTCATTTTTTGATCATGGCATATGAGTGTAGATAAAATTAAAATTTAACTCATTATAATATACCTGTATCTTTAAAAGCACAATTATAATTAACTCATGCTTTATTTATGCTTTTAATCATATTGTCCAGTCAAGAAGTTGAGAGGTGAGACCTGTTTTAAGTCAGATCGAGGTAGCTAGAAGAGCTTAGATGTACAAGGAATACTGGAATTAAAAAAAAAAAGGTGAAATAAGGATGAAATAGAAACAGCCTGAGAGGAAAGCCATGAATGTAATGAAAATTTTTTTGCCTATTTTTGGTAATAATCAGTTACAGTTTTAATATTTTATGTGCGACATTACCTGTTTAGATAACTTTAGGTGTAGCTGCCAGCTTTATTTCTTGACAAGTACCATGGTAATGCTAATATTCTAGAAATTAGAAGAGAATTTTAAAATCTAGGCCATATTGCTTTCTTTGACAATATAATTTGTGAACTCTGTGTTTTTAATTTGTCCGATGTTAAAAGTAATCAAGTGAAATGGTACATTTTAAAAAGTAAATTTGATTTTTTTAAATAATAGTTTTGGGCAAAACTATGTTTACTTTCTCATAATATTTTTACAGAAAACTTTATTTGAGATATATTTTGTGAAAAGTATGTTGCCAAAAATAGAATTTTCATTTAGGAGAAAACTATGCACATTTGGCTTATTGATTCCTTTCTTTATTTCCATATTAGCCACAGTCCCCACCCTTAACCCCTACTAGTTTATTCACATCCAGTACTCCTAATGGGTCCCAGTTTCTCACATTCTCCATTGAGCCCGTGCATTATTGTATGAATGAAATAAAAACAGGGAAGCCCAGAATTCCTTCTTTCAGAAGCCTCAAAAGAGGGGTAAGTTTAATAATGGGTTAAAATGCATGATGGCCTATTGTGTGTGTAGTGTGGCTTTTAATACTCTCCACCCTCATTATAAGGCTCTCTCCTATAAATACACAGTTTAAAAACACCACAGAATTAAGAATAGCTGCCCTCAAGTTAAAAACAACTCCTCTTTATAACATTTGAAATGCTCAACCATAAAAGAATGGTATTATAAAGAGGGTGCTGGGTACAATCATATTTTAGCTATTTTTTTGTTTATGTGAAATCATATGTTCACCATTGTCTTGTAATGTATTTACATTTTTAAGACTTTCAGTAATTTGTCACTGGAGTTACTCTTGTAATAATTTGTCACCAATGCTGACTTCACCTGCCAATTTTATAAAATATTATTTTATTGACAATAAAATGTCAAGCTCAATTTTAATTGCCCTGCTTATTTTCAGATGTATAAAACAGTTTCCAATAGTTAAAAAAAATTAAAGATAGGCATTTTAAATATCAAGATTGTTGTAGATCAAATTGAGATAATATATTAGAAAATAGATTGTAAATTGTAAAGCCTACAAAAATACTAGATATCACTGAGTAATGTTTACTAAACTGTTGTTTAGCAACAACTGTTATACTACTAATAAATACATTAGTGTTACTCTATTTAATGTTAGTGAGGCTAATTTTTCTTGTTTATGTTTGATTTTAAGGGTGTGCTTTTAATATTCATAACCTGTAATTTAGACTCATTTATAAGATTTGAGCATTTGTTGGGACATTTGAAAAACATAGGTTCATTAACCCATAGATGAGAAATCAGTCTTTCAATGTCGTAAGAAGCCTAACAATAATAATCTAAAATTAGGTTGTTTCGTTCTTCCTTCTTAGACCCTTCCCTCCCTTCCTTTCTCCTCTTTTCTCTCTTCTTACCCCTCCTTCCCTTCTATTTTTCTTCCTTTCTGTCTTCACATTGCATTTTGGCCTCCTATAGAACAAGATATATTAGTTTAGGGACAAGATTACATCTATATTGCTTTAAAACATTATGACAAACTTAACTGATGTTACTAATGCAGCAGAAATGTCCCAGTGTATTATGTCATTTTCTGGACTTCTTTTTTCCTCCAGTGACATGAACTTCTTTGCATCTGTCTTACCTAATTCTATATGTGGATGGTAGGTAATTGATGACATTTTGAAAAGTCCCCATGGATGAGTCTGTATGATAACTGTAGGCATGCCTATAATCACTTCTAAAAGCTCTGAACACTTGTTTGAAAGACTTTGAGAAATCATATTTGGGATTTCTATTGCCTGAGTTACAAGGCTAGAACTCATTCCCATGTTGCTTCCCTATGGCAGTTTATTTATTACTTATTTTTAATTTAAAATTGTTTTAAAGAGATGTGGTCTTGCTCTGTTGCCCAGGCTGATCTCAAACTCCTGGGCTCAAGCAGTCCTCCCACTTCAGCCTCCCAAAGTTCTGGGATTACAGGCATGAACCACTACTCCTCTGGCAATTTAGACTACACTAAATATTATATTGTTACATAAATCATGAGAAATTACTATGTAGTAGTCACGTTTTTGTAATCATTTGTATATCCTATATAATGAGTCTACCAGGCCCAGTTAAAATAGTCATATTTTACACTATATAGTCATAGTCATATTTTCCACATGTAGTCATAGAGATGCGAGGTAAGTGTAATTCTAAGGAAAAAAAAAACTCAGGCAATTAGAGCTATGAACCCTGGAGAGAAGCTTAAATATGTGTCATCTTATTTTTTTTTTTTTTGAATAAGTTTGTAGGTAGAATTTTATAACTGTAAAACTTAAAACTATTTGCTTATTGTTTCTCACAAATTATAGATATTCATAAGTTATTTACGTAAGATAGCATAAGTTATTTTTGTAGGGATCTAGTTTTAGAAGGCTGAAATCCCCTCCCAGATTTATTATTAGCTATACCACTCCAGAGAAGAAAGCAGTGTGAAAGAGAAAATATGACAAACCAACTAGGGGTTTAGAGGACAGAGCAGGGAAGAAAGTGGATTACAACTTGGAGGTTGAGAAATTTTTTTCTTTTGATTACCGTTTGGTATTTACTAGATATTTATCTCAAAAATTAACCTATAGAGATTTTTTTTCCACATAAGAATTTTCTCAATATAGAAAAATTCAAAAAGAAGAAGGTAAGCTTTAGTAAGCCTGCTTATATGTTTTTACATGGAATTTTCAGTCTATTAAGATTACAAAATAAGTCTAGAGGTTTCTTAAAACTGATGAGTTGTACCATTCAGTTCAGAAACTCCTGTTTTGTGCGATATTTGCTGCACATTGCTTTTCCTAAATAACTTCTTAAAAATTATGATTTTTTCTTTTTCTTTTCCTTTTTTAAAGAAAAACTCGTGTGTACAGATCCCAGTATAAATTAAGGATATGAAAAATGTTTTTGAGTTTGACAGTGGTATCAGCAGATCTTTTCTGAGGGAGGAAGTTCTATAATTTCCTTCTGTGACATTAAGTTCTAACCGTTAATGGATATTTGAGGATATACTCGAACTTAACTACTTAAAAACAAACTAATAATTTTTACTCTATTGCTACTTTGAGTTTTATTGGATACTGTTTTTTAAGTTATTTATTTAGCAATGAGTCCAGGTTTTCTCTCTGAATATTTATGACTTTATAGACTTTCAGAGACATTTTTCTAAGCTTTTATCTCTCCAGAGTAGTTCTCATGAAATTTTGTCCTATTTAAAATGAAATACACCTAATAATTTTAATTGTCTAAATGATTTCCTTTTTAGCTCTCTTGTGTTTATTAAATGTAGTTGAGTATATGAAGTTTTCTAGTTTATGAGTATATAATTGTATATGAGAATAAGATATTTTTGTATGGAACATGTATTACTTTAAAACCTTACACAGAACATATGTCTAATATTTTTACAAAGAACTTGAGCTTTGTATATCCCCAAATCTAATTATCAAATTTCCAATTGATAATTTAGTAAGACTAGATTAACAAATAGCTGAAACATTTGATATTTCAGCTATAATTATCTTAATGTTTTCTCTAAAATATTAATATAGAAATTAGATAATTTGCATCACTTAGAAATTTCACTGGTGAAAATTATTGAAAGATAAGTCAAATTCATATACTTCAAATATTTTGTTGCTTGTCCTATGTATAATTTCATTTAATAACATTTTTGAAAGACTGTGAATATCTTTCTTCAAACCTTTCTATTTCCTTACCAGGAGTTTTTTAATAGCAAAATAAATTTTTTTGTTTCTCAAAAATACTGACAGTCTAAAGAATGTTAAGCTTAATTTGGAACGATAATGCATAAGCAGTGACCAACTCATCAGAGATAAGGGGTAGATATTTTTGTCAGATTATTTATTAAAATTCATTCATATTTTTAATGTGAATTTTTTATCTGACATCTCCCCAACACCTTCTCTTAAAACATGTGATTTAGAAAATAGGGAAAAGTAAAAATTTTACAGGCAGCTCACTAATTGAGATGAATGTGAAGATTAACTTTATAAAGCTCCGTTGCATTTTCTGGGTCACCGTGTGTGTGTATGTGTGTGGGTGTGTAGTTGGGATGCTAGATAGATGCCATGCCAGTTGCAGAATCCTATTGACCCACAGAATGTGGGAGATATATCCAAATCCATATACATATCTATATCTGTACACACACACATATATATACATATATAAAGTATTGTTGTACAAGAGCACTATGGTTGGTCTCTTCAGAATCTGTGTCATTTCATATTTTCAGAAAGAATACATTTTAATCAATTTTCTAAAAATTGAAGTTATGTTTTTAGTGTTGTTCAAGCATATGGATTTTAAAATAAAACCTGAAAAATGGAAGCTATATTTTTAAAGCAAAATTCAACCTATATACTTGTATATATTAGGAAATGTGTACGGGAAACTTGAATCTGGATAACTCACTATTTTGAAAATAATGTGTTTTAAATGTACATTTTAAAAGATTTTAAAATGAAAGTAAAAATGTTACCCTCATCTAACCATGGTATATTTAAATTCAAACAGTACTTTGAAGTATAAAAATGTAGGTAATAGTGTTTTCTTTAACACACTGGAAAGAACATTCTATTTTTTAATATTTCACATAAGATTTCTTTTTAAATGTTTAATCTTAGAGTTCATATTCAACTTTTCAAATATTAGTAATTTGAGAATAAAGAGCTATAGAAGTGAAATCCACTTACATAAAATTCACTTTAAAAGAAAATGCATGATTACAGGTAGAATGTTTATTTTTAAGTTTTAGTTAAACATAGAAAATATCTGCCCATTATCATCAATGTATGCTTTTTTTTTTTTTTTTTGCAAGTAATTTACTTTCCCAAAATGTGCTTAAAATGGTTTTTCTGGCATAATTGTTTGGATTGTGAAATGTACGTGATTTATTTTAGTATTGTGAAAAAGAATAGGCTATTGCATCTTCTGTATTATGGTTTCCTGTGAATAATTTACCATTTCTTTCTGTTTTCCATTGAACTATTCAGTGGTCGGTGAAGATGGTAAGCCTTATGTGCTGATCTATATACTGTGCCAACATTAAGTAATCTCAAAACATTGTTTTGTTTAATTCAAAACAAGTGGTAAATTACATCCCACGTTTTCACCTTGTGTGTTTTTTCTTTTTATAGTTTCATAGTCCAGCATATGCCAGTACTCTTGATGTCATAAGATTAGAAAATGTGGTTAATTGTCATCAACCCATTAAGTTCTTAAATGTCATTGAATGGAGTCCTTGTCATGTTACAGAGGAGCGTAAAATTGTGGTTAAACATTTTTTAAAGATTACATGGTAGAGCCACAGTTTGTTATGCAGAAGGAAAATTTAGCAAATATTATTTTGCTTAATAGCCTTTAAAAAATCGTATAAATTTGATTTGTAGTTTTATCCCCAGAGTCATTAGATTTTTCCAAAAAAAGAAAGAAAAATTTCAAACTAGTATCATTATGGAGTTAGTCCTTGGTTCTTCTGTGCTATTGAAGGAGAATAGAAACACAAATGATCTAAATATCCTGTGTGTGTTTGTGTGGGGGGTGGGGCGGGGCGGGGAAGGTGTGTGTGTGTTTGGGATGTTCCTTGGTATGTTTATTTCAAACAAATTAATGGATCTACATTAGGAACTAACCCCAAAATTATTGTATAGGAAGCTACTGGAAAATAGACCACTCTTTTTTACATTGTTGGAATCAGCCTTTTATAAATTCCTTTGTAGTAAGAGAGGTTGTTAAATGCCCCAGAGGTCTTCTGAACATCCATAGGAAATAAAGTTAAGTTTAATTCTCATATTCTATGTAAGAATAGAGTTCCAATGTCAAATGGGATATTAGAAATGTAAGTGCCTCAGTGTTTACTGTTCATAAATTTGAGAACAGGGTTTGATAAGGGATAAGTGGAATTCTGGCAGATTTACTTGTAGGTTATTGTGAGTTTATCATAATTTTGACAACAAAAAAAAACTCCACAGTATGTTGAAATGCATTTCTTCATTTTATTCAATAATTTTTCAAGATTTTTAGAAATATTTTTAAAAATCTAAATTAAGAAGTTTATTTTTGGCATATATATATACTAGTTTTCAAAACTTGTACTCCTTTTCTGTAATCCCAGCTATTTGGGAGGCTAAGGCGGGAGGATTGGTTGAGCCCAGGAGTTCGAGGCTATAGTGAGCCATGAGAGCTATGATCACTCAACTGCATTCCATTGTGGGCAACAGAATGAGACCCTATCTCTACAAAAAACCTTCAACTCCAAAGTAGATTAAATATGACAAATTTATGTTGCAAATTAACCAGTAAATCTAAAGGAACTCAACAAAGGAAATTTCACCATTGATTTATTTAGGCCAGATTGGGTTGATTGATATCCTTGTTTCTGGTGATTGGTAAATGAAAAAAAAAAAAAAAAAAAAAAAGCAACACTTAGGATGCCCTACTTTTTTCTAGCAAGCTTGTTGAATATCCATAATCTACAGGCCACTGGGGAAAGAGGCTAGGGATTCTGTTATTAATTAAATGTTACATTTAATTATAGCTCATCCTAGGAGTGAGTTTTCTCTTTTCTGAAAGTAAGTGACTCATTCTTACACATGGTGAAATAAAGCTATTTAGCATATGTTACAGGCATAAGTGGCCCAAAGAGCAAGATCGTATTTGTTTTGAGAGCTCCTTTTAGCATCACTTTAACAAATTTGAATATTTATATTCTTTTTTCTTTTCTTTACCTTTTTTTTTTTTTTTTTTTTTTAAAAGACGGAGTCTCGCTCTTGTCGCCCAGCCTGGAGTGCAATGGCGCGATCTTGGCTCACTGCAACCTCTGCCTTCCGGGTTCAAGTGATTCTCCTGCCTCAGCCTCTCACGAGTAGCTGGGATTACAGGCGCCTGCCACCACGCCTGGCTAATTTATTGTATTTTTAGTAGAGACAGGGTTTCATCATGTCGGCCAGGCTCCAGTCTGGCCTCAAACTCCTGACCTTAGGTGATCCACCCGCCTCAGCCTCCCAAAGTGTTGGGATTACAGGCGTGAGCCACTGCGCCTGGCCTTATTCTTAGAATAACCATTTTGAAAAGAAAATGAATAGTGACAGGCATCATCAATTTCTGGAGTATATATAAAGATTTAAGTAATATAGGTTTATATTAAATAGATTCAATAGCGGCTAATATTGGTTCTGTTGTAATCTGTAATATAAGTAACAGTGATTAAAATAACATTTAAGGGAAAAGGTGTCATTTGGATCAGATGTTTACGTTTAAATACTAGTACTTTTTCTTAAATTGCATAGTTTTTTGAATATCAAAACTTTAAAAAATTTTCAGACATCAAGGATCTTTCCTAAAGAAGGATTTTATCCTTCTTTCAGTAACAACTGAGGTATGTTATTTGGTTTACAAAAGGTTAATTGAAAATATACACTTGTTTGAATATAATTTCTGCTCAGTGGATAGTTCTATCTTTGGTTTTTAATGACCAGGTATGTTTTGAATGGTTTAATCAGTTGTTCAAAGACTATATGTAGTGTTAAAGTATATTTCATTAGATTGTCTTTGTGAGGTAAGTTTCTTAATTATATTCATATTTTCAGTTTGAACATTTGTAACATTCTGAATGTCATGGCAATGGGTTTTATTTGGAAATGTTGTGATATGTTATATATAAAACAATACCCTGTATAGACAAGAATGTTACGTGTTTCCATTTTGTTGTTGTTGCTGTAAGAAGGTTTACATGTATTCATTATAACTCTGCCAAGATTTGAAAGTAATGTGATACTACCTACCAGTTATCTGTATCTGGGTATGATTTTACTTATTCTGTTTCATGGTTTTATAAAATGACTGAAATTTGAGCTCTTTTCTTCAGTACATTGTTTTCATTAACATATACGCATAAACACACACATCTGTGTAGATTTCTTTTTTTTTTAAGGGGTTGCTTGAGGCAAATTTGAAATTAAACTTAAGATTGGTATGTATTCTTATTTTATAGCAGGTATATTTTAAAAATAAAATTTCCCGAAAATGTCTATTATAATGATTTAGATTCTCTTTTCAGGGCCCAGCACTAGAAGATTTCAGTCATCTGCCACCAGAACAGAGACGTAAAAAACTACAGCAGCGCATTGATGAACTTAACAGAGAACTACAGAAAGAATCAGACCAAAAGTATTATTCCTTTAAGTTTTCTCTATCATTATTATTTTAGGATCTACTTTGAGTGACGCCCTTAAATGTGATATACAGAAGGTTTAAAAATCATATATCCTAATTGAAATATCTTTTGAGAGAGAATTATACTCCTACCCTGGAAATTTTTATGGTTACCCTGTCATAGGTTAGAGAATTTCCTTGGTTGCAGATTTTTATTGAATGCTAATATGCCTTCATTAATTTGCAAAAAATTTCTTGATATTTTATTATCAAGAGTAGTTTCATCAGCACTACCTCTTATACTTTGATATATTTTCATTTTGCTTTTATATATAAATTGATTTCATTAGCAACCTGAGGCTATTTTGTAGCAAAACATTTGGCAAACGGTGCTTGATTACTGACGGCTTCATATTTGTTCACACATAAGTTTACTTTTTTATTTCATTTTTATAAGACGTTTCCTCTAGTTTAATTTTTTAAAAATAGACATAGAAGAATTATTCACGATCATTAAAGTGTTATTACAATGAATTGGTGACTTGCTATGTCTTCACTTACGATAAAATTGGGGCTTAAATTGTAGCATGAGAGATTGAAGTTTTGATGCTAAGAATTAGTGTATCAGGTGTGATGTGGCGCTTAATCATAATGAAATATTTGCACTACCTTTGATTCTCATTCACAGTAGCTGTGTTCTGTAAAGTCACTGTGAACACTAAATTATGGAATACTGAAACATTGCTCTTAGGGAGATACAGGGTTAGGTTCTAGGTAGCCACTGGTCACAATGTTTCAGTCAGCTGATTGGCACATAACCTTTTTTTATTTGTGTTTCTGTGTAAAAACACCTTATTTCATATATGATGTTGATTTATTAACTTTGATTTTTTTCTAATAGCACTGTAACTCATGCTTGAACAAAGCTTATCTAAGATTAGAATTTTCTCTGTAAGGTACAGCCTTCTTGTGCTTCAGAACACTAGACAGCACTTGATTGCCATGCTTAGGGGCTATTTTAAACACCAATATCAACAAAAAGCATAAAAATATGAGAAACATTGCACTAAATGAGTAGATTGCAAAAAGGATACATGTCCAGAATATGAGAATACGAGCAAGAAGGCCAGAGTGTCACTGGTTTGACCACAGTTTAGAACTTGAATGTACCTCTGGTGACTCAAATTTTCCCAGATATCTCCATGTCCAAAACAAGAGTAAAGGCACAGAAATGTGAATGTTCTTGCCATGGACTGGAATTAGTGCTAATCCAGAGAGACTTGGTTAAAAATTATGTGGAACATAATAATAGAAGTTGAGGATGAAGAAGTATAGGACTTGTGAAAAATTCTGAATGCTTTTCTGTGAAGTTCTGTAGGTACTACAGTCCCCAGTTATTGAGAGAAGGGGTAACATTATTAGCTCTGTGTGATAAAAGATAATTGAAAACTGTATGAAGAGTAAATAGTATAGGAAAGAGATTGGAGGTAGAAGCCTTTAACAATCCAGGTGAGAGATACTGAGGGCCTAAATTAAGGCATGACCATGGGAATAGAAAGGAGGAATAGATAAAAGAATCATTTCAAAGCCAAAGTAGGTTGTACTTTCACCTGATTGGATGCTGGAGAAGAGAAAACATGGAGGAAGCTTAAAAAAAAAAAAAAGATTTGTAGCTATAGATTTAATTGCAACAATAAGAAAAAAGTTTAGGGCAAAGATAAAGATTTTGTTTATGTTGATTTTTGAAATGTGAAAAATCCATATTAGAAGTGTCCAGTTGGGTTTAAAGATATGAATCTAGAATTCAGGAGAGAGAGGTCTGGAGATATGCATTTGAAAATCATCTGAAGATGGATGATATTAAAACAATTAAGAGATCATCCTCCAACAAGACTGTAGGAAGAGACGAGAAGAAACCTTTGTCATTTTATGTAATACACATTTAAAGGTTGAACAAAGAAGGAGAAAGAAGGCAGTGAGGGAGATTGTGAGAAAGCAGAGGTGAGGAGGAGGGAAAAGAAAATGTAACCTATAGGAAGTCATGAAGGAAAAGAGTATTAAGGAGTGTTAGTCAATAGTGTCAGATGTTAGAGTCAAGGACAGCTAATTGAGGCACAACCGATTGTAATATGATTAGAGAATAGGAGGTAGGTTGAGAGGAATTGGCAAATGACTGACTTTGGGTGGGGGCAAGTTAAAGCTGCCATTCCTATTTCTAGCAGAGGTGAGTGGGAGGACAATGATGATGTATGAGCTAAGGAACACTGTGGAATAGTGTGGCTGAGTTGGAATATAATGAGTTTGATTTGGGACATGATGAGCTGAAGAATATTCTTCCAGCCCTTGATTTTGTGTGTGTGTGTATATGTACATATAAATAAAATTCCTTGTTTAGAAAGCAGGAAGTAAGAAATGAACTCTGTTCTCTTTTGGTATTCTGATTGTCTTCATAAATTAGTAACTCTATATGTTATCACCTTTATGCAAATTGTCTTTAATCAGGTCATGTTAGACAAACTTAAAAAGATGTGACTCTACTTAAGATTAAGCTGCGTACGAGTCCCCAGAGTCCAATAAAACTCTTTTATCTGGAAGCATATGAAGTTAATATTTAATTCTGGGGTTCCTTCTCTTTTTTAGAGATGCACTCAACAAAATGAAAGATGTATATGAGAAGAATCCACAAATGGGGGATCCAGGGAGTTTGCAGCCTAAATTAGCAGAGACCATGAATAACATTGACCGCCTACGAATGGAAATCCATAAGAATGAGGTAGATTTGTTATTCAGCACTTGTCAAGATAAATTATTTTTATAAACTTCATTATGATAGATTGGTTTTTGTTAGAATTATCTTCAAATGTTTATATTTAATGTTAGGGTTTATGATCTAAAAGTATTATTGTGATGTGTGTTATTTAATCTCATTAAAGTTTTTTATTTAGACCTTTATATAAGATTAAACATTTATACTATTTTTTTGAATCAGCTATAAAGTTGATCCTTTGACCAGTTTGGAATAAAGGTTTCACATCTCTAAGAATTACATAATTATAAAAACTTAAACACATTTTAAATGTAGATATCTTATGAGCTTTTAAACATATTTATTGAGCTCAGTTGTTTGCTTATTTTTTTTCCTAAGGCTTGGCTCTCTGAAGTCGAAGGCAAAACAGGTGGGAGAGGAGACAGAAGACATAGCAGTGACATAAATCATCTTGTAACACAGGGACGAGAAAGGTGATTTTTTGTATTTTATTTGTATTTCTTCTCCCCAGAGTTTTCTCACCCTTTTGTCCTAAACTTTATACAATTCGTTTTTTTCTTCCAAATTTAACAAGTTAAGCTTTTAGTAACCTCAGTCTTTTGAACCTAAGTAATTTTCTTTAGTGATAATTACAGGTGAAGTAGGAAAGTTCATCTTGCTATTCAATCCTAGTTTGTCATGCATCCAAACACAGAGCTAGGAACATAGAAAATTCTTGGAGCTACAGTCTGAGGGCCTAGGCTCCTCGGGCATGGGAAGGTTTCCTAAGGTTCAAGTGGAATTAGGGTCGCTTATGCCAAAGAAAAATTTTACTATCAAATAGCTCAGAGTTTTGTGAAGAAAAAAAAATGTATTGTTAGTTTGGACCAGAGCTTCCAAAAGACACTTTGCTAAGTTTCTGTACCACTTGTGACATTTCTTTCTTGATGTATTATATCTTTTTTTCCAGACTAAAAGTCCACAAATTAGGATTCACCTTAGAGAAAAATGTGAGAGGCCTAGTAACAACTCTTAGTTTTCTACTTAATTACAGTGTAATCTGAGCAAGTTCATTTTTAATGCTCCCTAAGTCTCAATTTCCTGAAATATAAAATGGAGGTTAAAATATCCACCCTTTAGGTTTGTTAGTAAAAAAGTAAATAATACACATAAAGCACCTAGTAGTAAATAGTGGTAATAGTAGTATCACTTCTTGAAAGAGTACATATCTTTAATCTGTTAAGAGATACCCACAAATTACTGGTTTTTGTTATTAGGTAAAACTCAGATTAAAAGGATCTAATTTCTTTGGCATGTGTTATTTCTCTGGCTTCCAGGCTTACTGAAAGTACTGTTAAAATCTAATTCTGTAAAATTTTCCATTATTAAATCTAATTCAGTCATTTGATTCTTCAGCAAAATTATTAACATTTTTCTCTGATTTAAAAAATTTTAAGAAAAATAAATTGTGTTTGTATTACCTGCTTTTTTGGATTTTTTTAAGTTACCAACTTCCCTGTTACCATGATTAGTTGGAAATTTACTTTACTTTTTATTTTAGTTGAGAATCTTTTAATTTTCAGTGACAGAATGAATACTTTACCCATGCTGGCTTAAACTAAAAATGGACTTCATTGGCTGACTTCAGGGAGAGCTTGATCTAGGAGCTCAGATGTTATCCCTAGGACTCAATTTCTCTCCACCTCACAGCTGTGCTTTCTACTGTGTTGGCTTCCTTTTAAGGCTCCAAAGCTCTAGGCGAGTATTCCTGCAGGTTTCGAGTCCAGTAGAAAAGGGACAGAGTGAATTCTCTTCGAAGAGTCCCAAGCAAAAGTTTCTGTGCATTTCTTAAATCTGATTAGGTTACAGGACTTCTTGTGAACTGGTTATATAGATGATTGCTCTGATGGGCCACTCCAGATTCAGAATAGAAACAATCCACCTGAAGCGTGTGAACTAAACATGGATATGCATGGATCCCTTAAGGAATTTTAGGATGATAAATTTGGGATGATGGAAGACAAGGGTCTAGAACGTTTTTCTGTTTTATGTCTAGACCGAGTGATAGTGAGGTGTATTTACTGAATAATACTTTGTGCCTAGAATATTGTAATCTTGTAATTTTTTTTTAATTCAGGAAATTCAGCAAAGCAGCATTTTGTATTAGAAGTAATTTGTATACTTGACATTTGAAAAAAATAGGGCTTAAGTGGAAACTGTGTCATTAATATTTAATTTTTGGAATTGATCCTGAGGTGATCAATTTATAAATAATATATAGAATTCTCATGTTTATGATACTTGATCAGAGATAATTTTTTGTTTTATAGTCCTGAGGGAAGTTACACTGATGATGCAAACCAGGAAGTCCGTGGGCCACCCCAGCAGCATGGTCACCACAATGAGTTTGATGATGAATTTGAGGATGATGATCCCTTGCCTGCTATTGGACACTGCAAAGCTATCTACCCTTTTGATGGTATGATTTTCTTAATAATATTGTATGTAAAAAAATTGGTTCTTTAAAAGTATTTACATCAAGTCACTCACTGTAGTATCCTTATTTAAGTAATATATGTTGTCAGAAAATTATTATCCCATTTCTTTAGTATGCATACTTTTGTTATAACTGTATTACAAATGTAGATATTTTTCTTCCGTACATGGAATTAAAAGGAAATTGCCCACGTTACTAGCATCCTAATACAGATTATTAATTAATTATCAATTTTGGTCAGTGCAGAATTTTCACCAGAGTCCTTACTGTGCACATGTCCTAAACAAAGTCGAGGCAGCTTGAACATGTAGCTCAACCCAGGAAGCGGGATGCTGGCGGATGCCACTTCATGCTCTTCCTTGTAGCTTACTAACATTAAGAGACAGGTACAAGGCATAGCTAGCTGAATGCCATCATCATATACTGAGTCCGTAGGCCACCTGTTTAGATGAAAGTGGGAGAGAATGTAGTAGCTACTGACTATGTTATCTCTTACTCTATGAAAGTTGAAGAACAAACTCTGGAAGGGAAGTAAGGCACTGAGGCCTTCTCCTGCAGATTTTTAGTTCCTCTTTATCCTGGACTGTGAAAAATACTTTCCCTCAACTAACAGGAGAACTGAGCGACACTTTCATAAATAAACGGTTGTAAAATGGTGCTTGATTTAAGGTCTTTCTCCCCACTTCGTGTTGGTTTAAAATTGAGCAAAGTCTCTAGTTACTTCTTATTAGAAAATATATTAAATTTAAGACCTTGCAGCCAAGTGCAGTGATGTGTGCCTATAGTCCCAGACACTTGGGAGGCTGCGGTGAGAGGATTGCTTGAGCCCAGGAGTTCGAATCCAACCTGGGCAGTAAGACCCTATCTCTAAAACAAAACAAAAGAAAACAAACTTGCTATAATGTAATCTAGAGAGTAGGGAAGCAATTTGGCACGTGTTAAATGAAGATTCAGTTGTGAAAATTGTTACTGCTAAGCAGGTTGGGCGTGGTTGGGGATAGAGAGTGAAAGAGTTGTGTATGGCCATTCTGTTTCTACCATCTCTAGAGTCAAACCCGTATTTTTCTCTGTTCTCCCTTCAGACTCTCTTTTTTCCTTCTTTCTTCCTGCTCTTTTGCTATCTGGTTACTGTTTTCCTAATCCATACCTGCTGAATTTTTTTAGATAGACTACTAAAATTTGGGAAAAGAGTTGGAATAGTGACATAGGAATTAGAATACCCTGTCAAATCATGTAATGTCACTGTGACTCAGTTAACTTCATCCGTTACATGGGGGTGATGTTATCCAGCCCTGCGGGCTTATTATGCAGCTCAAATGAGAGAATGTATATGAAAGTGCTGGGTAAGCCACAAAGCACAATAGAGATGTTGCTAGTGAGAGTCAGTAGTTCCAGGTACATTGAAATCTAGTAGGGTTTCATTGTATTTTGTGCATTGTATTAGTAACTTTAAAAAAAATTATCACAATGCTTAAATTATGCTTGTGAAAACTCTCATCTAGGACATAATGAAGGTACTCTAGCAATGAAAGAAGGTGAAGTTCTCTACATTATAGAGGAGGACAAAGGTGACGGATGGACAAGAGCTCGGAGACAGAACGGTGAAGAAGGCTACGTTCCCACGTCATACATAGATGTAACTCTAGAGAAAAACAGTAAAGGTGCAGTAACTTATATCTAAACTAACCAGGCACCTTTGTGCCATGTGTGACATAGGAAGAGTAACATAAAATGAAAACACATTCAACAGGTTGAAAAAAATAAGGAAACTTAAAGGGCATCCAAGATTAATTGTTCACTATGTGAGCTGAGTGTAGGCTTGATCTTGTGAATATTACCACAAGAAACATTTTGTGGCACTTTACTGTTTGAGTAACGTTGGTGTGAAGCTTAATTGATGCCTTTTGCTTTATGTCCCGCTTAAGTCTGTGTGAAGGATTTGTGTTTTTCTGCCTTACAAATAGAATTTGATTTATTGGGCAGGAATTCATGGATAGTAATGCTCTCTGCCCCCTTTACTTCAGAAAACACAGTGACTTTAGTGAATTTGAATAGTGAAACTGCTCTGAAATGCTATGGAAAGCCGACTCCCCAAAGAGTGGTTTCTTCTAGAAGTTTGAATTTGTAGCTACAGTTTCCAAGAAGAAAAATAGTAGTTGGATAATTTAGTAAAATAATAACATCATTTTCATTTTCTTACCTATTCTTAACTTTGGTTTCCTAAAGGAAGAAAATGAGCAGGTAGCACATAATCTATTTAAGTAGATTTAAAGAGAGTTTCAAAATAAATCTCCTGGTCTAGCTCTTAGGTGAATAAAATAGATTTTGTTTGAGACCTCAAAATATTTTGAGGTTAGCTGGTAATTTTCAATAATTTACAAGCTTCCTTCCAAACTAATCTCATACTTTTGTATGTTTCATCTTGAAAATATCTTTTGGGAAATACCACTTTAGTGATTATTTAGCATTTAGCAGTTACACATAGGAAAATACACAGTTACATAGAAAAATACACATTTGAAGATAGAGGAAACCTTGAATGGAGGGGAAGTGTTGACAAATTTTAATTTTTAAAGGAGAAACTTTTTGACTATCTGGGTTAGAGGAAGATATGTGTACCGCCTTTAGGGCATTTTGTTATTTCCGCTGAATCATTAGTTATTAGGATAGATAAATTTTTCCAATTAGTTTCAGCAAGCGTTGTTGGAAACACTGTGCAGTCAAGGATTGTGCAGTGCTGGTTGTGTGACCACACCCTGAGTCAGTGGTGTGGGGAAGTAAAGTGTGAAGAAGCAGTAAGATTGGTTTTTAATTTTGCCCATGTTTTAAATTTTCCTGGTGTTTTCGGTAGCTGACTATAAAATGATAGAGACATTTGGGACAGGCACTTTAAACTGAACACCCCTTTTGGTTTTACCAAAGGTCTTCAGTAATTGTTCTTTTCTTTTTCCTCCTGGACTGCAGGTTCCTGAAGAGGGTTTCTGAGGAAATGGGCAAGATGTTGAAGGAGGTTACATGCAGCTGCTTTTGGGGGAGGGTATTAGAGTTGTCAGGCTCAAAGAGAGTGAGAGAAGCAAGTTGCATGAGTGCATGCAGACATGATTTTTTTTTTACTAACTTCATTAGCATTTCCATACATTGTTTTTAAAAATCATAATACCAACCCTTAAGTTCCTAGTTCACAGTTATTCCCACAAAAGAAAAAGCCAACAATAGTGTACCATTTTTCTATTTATTTTATTGCTGTCTAATCAATAAAGAATGCAGAGCTGTCAAAAAATGTGTCTTACATTAGCTGTCCCAACAGGATTGTCTTCCCTCCCAGCTCTGTTTTAATTGGCTTTTAGACCCACTATCTGTCAGATCCTTGCCATCTGTCAGTGTCTGCCTGCGCCACCTCCGTGCTTGCTTAACATCCTGTTGCATGTCTAGCGTGATTGAGCTAGATTTTTCAGGCATGTCTTTAGATTCCCTTGTTCTTGTCAAAGCCTTGTTTTGTTTTACATTTGTAGTGCAAATCACTTTGTCAAACATCTCCAGCACTAATGTTTCCATCTTAGTATTTGTGCACACTGCTATAACTTCCCCACTGCAAACATTCCAGTTTTGGCATTACGAAGAAGTAGCTGTGAACCTGAAGTATTTATGATAAGAAAAAGAAAACATCTCTGCTGTAGCCTACAGCCCAGTTGAAAGAACTCTTTGAAACGTGATACATCTTCAGCACCTCAGTCTGGGAAGAATCTAGTCAGCACTGAAATCCTGGCATAATAAACACAGAAGATATTCACCACCTCAAGACAAAGGACTATTGTCAAAAGTCAGCTGCTTCCATTCAAATGCTGCCTTAAACTTGAGTGCCTAAATCTGTTGATTGCCAACACTACCACTACAGTATCCCACAAAGGGCTTTATGTGTCAGCTCAGTGCGACCTGCTTTAACTCTGCAGCACCGCTGCAGCTGCCGATGTAGCCTCGGTAGGTGGCTATTAGAGCTCTACCATATACAGTGGTGCATCTTCAAATTTATGCATCAAACTAAAGACATGTCCAAGTCCATTTTAATTTCCTCAGTGGTTTTATGAGAAGTTTTATGGGCCTCCCCCAATTGTCTTTTTATTTTGGGTTATGACGATCATGTTTGATAATTACAATGATAGTCTCTTTCCACGTGATGCTTTTGTTTGAACCTGATAAAATTTAGTGAAACTTTGTAATGATCTATGTGCACTTTTACTTGTAAAATGGAATTTCTGTATGTTTATACTTGTAAATATGATTGTTGTTAGTGCTCCTGTTGCTCATGGTGTCCTGCCTCGCATTTGTGATTCTGTTAATGACATGTATCTTAACTAATTTCTTAGTGGTGTTGTAATAGGGAGATGGGGCAGGTGGGGGGTTATTTGTACCACTGAATCTTCATTAATTTGGTTCTTTACTGTTTTGAGGGGAGAAAGAACGTGAAATGGTTTGTGTATTATTGAATTTTAAGCAATATTTTAGAAGCTGTGTGACTGCTTTAATAACTTTTTCCCAGTGTTATTTGAATCATACTACCCGTTATACTAAAGCTGAATGACAATTGTGTGAAAGTTACTGCCTTCATAAGATCAAGTCACCACTGTTACACAGCTGACATATAGTGTATTACCTTTGCAGCTAGTAAACTATAAAGTTTAGATATTGAATCTCGTTACAGGGTTATTTATATAATGTGACATTATTCAGTACTGACAGACTACATGAAGTAGTTTTAAAATCTAGTGCTATTTTTATTTTAAAGGTTAGCAATGAGGAGGAAATGTGATCTGGCTGTGTTTGTCTTCTGTACAAAGCCTGAAGTGCTTATGGTTTTTTGGCTAACAGCCACAGAGGGCAAAGTTTAAGACTTTCTTGTAAGGACTAACTGTTCTTTTCAAGCTACTGTTTGTTTTTCTAAAAGCAGGATTTGCTTCCGTAGGAGGCAAGTTCCTTGATGTGGAATAGTGCAACCTGTATATGGGTTATTATAATAGGAAAGACATTTGTACTTGCACAGTTTAAATCATTCTTAAATTTTGAACATGTGAATTGTCCCAAAAAATCTTTAATTTTTTGGTAATTTTTACTCTTTTTGTGCACATGTTGATTTCTTAATGGTAAATCCTTCATTTAAAGATAGTGTTCTCTGTTGAGAATATTTACATGGAATAAAACAATCTTTTCATGGCCTGTTAAGGTGTTTAGTGTGTGATCTTTCATTGCTATGTGAATCAGAGATGTGATGATTTTGTTCTTGAATGTGCCAAGTCTCAGATAATACAGAGTAGATGACAAATTCCATAAGTGGGACAAGTTTTTTTTGTTTTTTGCAAAGCAGTTTTGGAAATTGTATTCTAATTTTGGTTTCTCTAAGCTTTCCTAAAGGAAAAAAAAAGTTTGCTGTCTCTTTAGAGTGAATTTAAATTGCATGCAATAATTTGGATTTATCTTTCTTCTCCAGTAGCTGTGTTGCATAGACTTTCCTTTTACACCATCTGTCCACTGCAACCATACGAACTGTCCCTGTACCTCATAGCCCAATCTAGCCACTACACGCTGGACAGCATTTCCTGTGCTCCGGCTTGATTCCTAATCAGTTACAACACCCAAGTCTTCCTGGCATTTCAAAGCATGGAAAGAACATTTGCCATAATTAGTGACACATTATCTGTAACTTCAGGAAGTCTAATTTCAGAAGATTCACCTTTTAAAAAATGCAAATGTGAAACTATGACTGCAAACTTTTAGAAACTCAGAAAAGGGAATAAAATTCAGGGTAGATGCTGAACAATGAGAGGTTACGATTGTTGAGATGAAAATTTAGGGATCAATGCCAAGTTTGGAAGTAGGAACACACAAAACAATGAAAATAGCAGGAAAATAGTGTCAATTGTTAAAGCTTCAGATGGACAGAGGTTTGGGGTGGAGAGCTCAAAACAATGAAGAAAGCTTTTATTATCAAAACTAAGATCAGTGAAATCACTTCCTATTTGCGAGGGGAAGATAACGTCCTTGATAACAACAAATGAAAAGTCTCTCTAGTCTCATTGAAAAGGGTTTTATTTTGAAGAATGTACAGGTTAAGTATTCCTTATCTGAAATGCTGGGGACCAGAAATATTTCCGATTTTTTTTTTTTTAGATATTTGCATTACATACTTAACAGTTGAGCATCCTTAATCCCCAAATCCAAAATTCTCCAGTCAGCATTTCCTTTGAGCATCATGTCATTGCTCAAAAAGTTTCAGATTTTGGAGTTTTGAATTTGGGATACTCAACTTGTATTAGCTTAAGTAAAAAAAAAAAAAAAAAAAAGCTTAAGAAACAACCTATTTCAATGAGCTTATATACCTAGGATCAATGTATTCCTGAGTATAGTCACTGTCAGGAATTAGGGAAACTACAGAAAACATAAGATGCACCAAAAGATTGGGGAATTGGCAAACACACATTTTGAAGAGTAAATTCTGAGAAGTTGGACAACAACCCTTGAAAGTATTAGATGATGTTAGCTTTTAGGGGACAGTGTATTGGGCAACTGACTGAGGTTCCTAAGAATAAGCCATGTCAAAATAGCCTCATTTCTTTTGATACAAATGGGGGTAATTCTAAGACATAATTAGTGTCTTGCTTTCAACACAATTTCAGTTTGACAAGATTTCTCACTTGTTTTCTGTGAGTTGTGACAGCACTATTAGGGATATGGGAGCATTTGACGAACTGATTTGGTAAACCCAGAATCTCCATCCTGAGGAGTTTCTTGTGGATAATATGTATATGTATGTTATGAACCATTATAAGATAAATATATCACCCAGTTTAACAAGTAGAATATTACCAGGTGGGCACAGTGGAAGCACTGTCTTGAGTGTGGAGTGAGACAGACAAACTACAAGCTTCCAATTCTGGCAAACCAAGATGAGCAATCCCCAACCATCTTACTCCGTCTTTCTCCCTTTTCTCCATTCTCTTCTATGGCTGAGAGCTCCTGCCACTGGCTCTTGGCATATAGCCAGCACCCAGATGGTGCTGTGCTGTCTGATGAGGGTAGGAGGTGAGATGGCGATCCATTACCTGTTCCCTCTCTTCAGGTGCCAGGCAGTGGTTAGTAAACTAATGACAGTGGTCAGTTGAATGGGGGAAGTCACTGGAAGAGTTTGCAGTTCCTTGTGTCAAATCACAGGGGCATCATTTCCCTGGTGACAGCCATATCAAGCAAAAGATTATACCAACCCATTTGTTTAAACAAACAACTTGAAAATTATTAGTGATTTATAAATGGTTTGTGCTACTTATATCACTTGATAAAGTTTTATGTAGTTTAAATAAAATGAATTATCTTGTTGATTTGTACACTGATTTATATATTTATGAATTTAGTAATATCCCAGTTATCAAATATTTTAAATATTCCATTGTATCTTGAGACTTTTTCACTCATCATTTTTAAGATTTATCCTTGTTTATGCATAATTTTATTGTGTATAGTATTCCATTATAAAAGTATACACAAATTATCCATCCTCTTGTCGATGGACATTTGGGCTACTAGTTTTGCTAGTAAAAATATACTGCTTATGTGTATCTATGTACATGTTTACTGATTTCAGAGTTTCTCTAAAATTGTACCGAGGAGTAGAATTGCTAGGTTATGGTTATAGTTTTCATTACAATTTTAGATTCAAGGGGCACGTGTTCAGGCTTATTACATGGATATATTGTGTGCTGCTGAGCTTTGGACTTCTAATGATCCTTTTGCCCAAGTAGTGAACATAGTAACCAATAGGTATTTTTTCAAGCCTTTCTCCCCTCTCTCACTCCCCGCTTTTGGGATCCCCAGTGTCTATTGTTTCCATCTTTATGTACATGTTTACCCAATGTTTTGCTCCCACTTATAAGTGAGGACATGCAGTAGTAGTTGGTTTTCTGTTTCTGTATTAATTTGCTTATGGCAATGGCCTCCAGCTGCATCCATGTTACTGCAAAGAATATGATTTCATTCTTTTCCATGGTTGTGTAGTGTTCCATGGTGTGTATGTACCACATTTTCTTTTTTTTTTTTTGAGATGGAGTTTTGCTCTTGTCGCCCAGGCTGGAGTGCAATGGCATGATCTCTGCTCACTGCAACCTCCGCCTCCTGGGTTCAAGTGATTCTCCTGCCTCCACCTCCTGAGTAGCTGGGATTACAGGTGCCCGCCACCACACCCGGCTAATTTTTGTATTTTTAGTAGAGACAGGGTTTCACCATGTTGGCCAGGCCGGTTTCGAACTCCTGACCTCAGGCCACCCGCCTTGGCCTCCCAAAGTGCTGGGATTACAGGCGTGAGCCACCATGCCTAGCCACCACATTTTCTTTATCCAGTCAACCATTAATGGGCACCTGGGTTGATTCTGTGTCTTTGCTGTTGTGAATAGTGCTGTGATAAATACACGAGTGCAGATGTGTTTTTGGTAGAATGATTTCTTTTCCTTTGGGTATATACCCAGTAATGCAATTGCTGGGTCAAATGGTGTAATTTTAGTTTTTTGTTTTTTTTTTTTTTTACTTTTCAGTAGCCATTCTGACTGGTGTGAGCTGATATTGTGGTTTTGATTTGCATCTCTCTGATGACTAATGATATAATTTTTTCATGTTTGTTGGCTGCTAGTATGTCTTCTGAGAAGTGTCTGTTCTTGTCCGTTGCCCACTTTTTAATGTAGTTATTTTCTTGCTGATTTAAGTTCCTTATAGATTCTGGATATTAGTCCTTGGTCAGATGTGTAGTGTGCAAATATTTGCTCCCATTCTGTAGATTGTCCGTTTAATCTGTTGATAGTTTCTTTTGCTATGCAGAAACTCTTTGGTTTAGTTGGGTCTTAGTTGTCAACTTTTGTTCTTGTTGCATTTGCTTTAGAGGACTTAGTCATAAATTCTTTGCTTAGGCCAATATCTAGAAGAGTATTTTCTAGGTTTTCTTCTAGGCTTTTTATAGTTTGAGGTCTTTCAGTTAAGTCTTTAGTTCATCTTAATTTTTGTATATTGTGATAAGTAGGGGTCCAGCTTCATTCTTCTGCATATGGTTAGTTTTCCCAGCACCATTTATTGAATAGGGTATCCTTTCCCTATTATTTATTTTGTTGACTTTGTTGAAGATAAGTTGTAGGTGTGCAGCAGCTTTATTTCAGGGGTCCCTACTCTGTTCCATTGGTCTATTGTGTCTATTTTTGTACCAGTACCATGCTGGTTTGGTTACTGTAGCCTTGTAGTATAGTTTGAAGTCAGGTAATGTGATACCTTCCACTTTATTCTTTTTGCTTAGGATTGCCTTAGCTATTCCAACTCTTTTTTCGTTCCATATGAATTTTAGAATAGTTTTTTCTAATTTTGTGAAAAGTGACATTGGTAATTTCATAGGAATAGTGTTGAATCTATATATTGCTTTGGGCAATATAGACATTTTAATGATATTGATTCTTCCAACCCATGAACACTGATTGATTTTCCATTTGTTTATGTCATCTATGATTTCTTTCAGCAGTGTTTCAGCAGTCCTAGTTTTGTTTTGGTTTTTTTTTTTGGTGACTATTGTAAATGAGATTATATTCTGGATTTGGTTCTCAGCTTGAATGTTATTGGTATGTAGAAATGTTTCTGATTGTTGTACATTGATTTTGCATCCTGAGACTTTGCTTAAGTCATTTATGAGGTCTGGGAGTCTTTTGGTGGAATCTTTAGGGTTTTCTAGGTATAGAATCGTATCATCAGCACAGAGAAAATATGACTTCCCTTTTTCCCAGTTGGGTGCCTTTTATTTGTTTCTCTTGCCTGACTGCTCTGGCTAGGACTTCCTTAATTTTCATTTTTAAAATATAATGCCACATTTTCCTCCCAAAGTTATTGTAATATTTTTACACTCCTACAAGCATCGTATAAGGGTTATTCATGTTCCATATCCTGGCCAGCACTTAGGATTCAGACTTCAATTTTTGTCAGTTAAAGGATATAAAAGAGCATTTCATTGTAGGCCTAAATCGTGTTGCCCTGATGATTGGTGTTGTGCATCTTCGTGTTTCTATGTTTCCCCTTCTTGTAAAAACCCTGTTTTATCTTCATCCTTTTTTTTTTTGGTCAATTGTCTTTTTATATTTATTCATGGAAGCTCTTTGTGTATTAAGGATGCTAATTGTGTTAGTTATCTCTTACTGTGTAACATAGCTGGCTGATTTTGGCTAAGGGTTTCTCATGAGGTAGCAGTCCAACTGCTGGCTGAGGTTGTAGTCACCTCAAGGCTTTGACTGGGGCTGGAGAGTCCACTTCCAAGATTATCCATGTGGTTGCTGGTAAGCCTCTGTTCCTTTCCTTGCTGGCTGTTGGCCAGAGGCTACAGTTCCTTGCTATATGGACCTCTCCATAGGGATACTCACAAGGTGGCATCTTGCTTTCCCCAGATTGAGTGATCCAAGACTCAAGACAGAAGCTACAGTCTTCTCATAACCTATCTCAGATGCAACATTTCTGCCCTGTGTGCTTGGTGGCACAGACAAAGCCTGGTATAATGCAGGAAGGGACAACACAGAGTGTGAGCACCAGGAGGCAGAGAACATTGGGGACCATCTTGGAGGCTGCCTACCAACCATAGTATTCTGTTGTCCATTTTATGTGTTGTCAATATCTCTGATTTTTCAGGTTCTCTATGATGTCTTTTGAATGGAATTTATTCATTTTAATGCAGATTAATCATTATTTTATAATTAATGCTTTTTCTAAGAAATTCTTATTTGATTCAAAGTAAAAGATACTTTCTTCTAAAAGTATTATGATTTTGCCTTTCACATGTAGGTTCTTAACTCATCCAGATTTTATTTCTGTATATGATAAGAGGTAAGAGGCCATTTTCCCCCTTTCATTTGCTTAACCAATTGTTCAAGAATTAAAGTCATTATTTCCCCCATTTATCAACAGTTTCACTCTGTCATGTTAAATTTCTGATGAAACCTTAATTACTATAGCTTAATAATAAGCTTTTATATCTGGTAGACACCACCAACCTGGGACCACTGTAAATCAATTTCTTGGTTTTGGATTTTGTAATTTTTACTCCAGACCTGTATGAGGACAGGTGTGTGGTTGCCAATCCTCACTGAACACTATAGTCATTATAATTGTTTTCTTCCTGGAGCTGTATGTGAAGACAGTCATGTTTCCTGGCAACCTTCCTTTGCTGGCAGATGAATGTTTTCTATTCCATTAACAGGGACCCTTTAAGGATTCCTGCTTAATGGAGGCATTTTAAGTTCCCCCAAGACAGACTCTCATTCACTGAGCTGACGTTACTCTTTGCCTCTAGGTCTGCCCCGGCTCTTAAGTTCTCATGAGGAGTTGATTCAAATGTGCTGTACCTTTTTCAGGTGCGGCGGGGAGAGAAGTTTGTTCCTTGGGGATTTCTATCAAGGTTGATCATACACTAAAAGGTATGTTTATTAAAATGTATTCAGGATTTAGTTAGTTATGGTGAGAGGGCTAAGAACATCTGAACCACCATATTGCCAGAAGTAGAAATGTGCTTTGGTTTTTTTCAACAAAAAATAACAACGTGGCACCTTTTAAAAAATGTGGCACATTTTTAAAAACCATCATAGGGTGATAGTTAAGTTACAGTGTAACTTCTGTAACCAATAAATCATATTTTTTAAAGGCTATTTAACATCATGAAGAAATTTTCACAGCCGGTTTAAGATGAATATAAAAGTTGGTATGGTCCTAATATTATTTAAAATAGAAGAAGGAAAAACAGATTATTAAAAGAAGTTTGACAGTTGATGGCAGAGTAACAGAATACGTTAAAGTCTTATATTCCAAATTTTGTACAATAGGGAAAGTTGAGAGGGATATTGCTAAACTAGAAAGAAACTAGAAAGTATCCCCTTTGCAAAATGAGAAACCTAGAAAGCCAACCTAGGAAACTCATTGTTGTACTTATCAGCTAGAGGAAAAGGTAAAACAGTTGATTACTCTGAAATATGTGAAGAGATGATGTTATGTTCATCATACTGGGTGTCCATGCTGCACATGGAATTCAATGAGGTAAACTTGGCCTAACTCCAGCTGGTAGCAAGTACCATAGCTTGAGTTTGAACCCAGGTCCTCTCGAGCTGTTTCTACCTTGTGTCACTATCAATCACTCTGCCTTTTAATCCAGGAACATTAAATTTTTCATACCACTTTCATTCATTTTGGTTTACTATCAGGATACGGTACCTAGGGAAGAGCATGCTTGAGGTAGCTAAGAGGTAGAGTTATTGTACCAAGATGAGTTGTTTAATATGAAAGAGACTGGATACAACTGTTTCACAAAAAGATGTATTTTCATTCATGAGTATTTACATTTTTCATATTTGTTTAAAGAATATCATATAACTGATACCTTCTGAAATGTTTCATGCTTTTAAACTCTTCTATTTACACTTATCTGACATGGAATTAAAACTAAAATGGTCAAATACCATGATAATAGAAAGCAACCAGCCAACATAGCTAGGTCTTCTCTTAAATTTGCTGATCAACATTAGCAGTAGTTACCTTAATAATAAATTATTCATTTTAAAATCAGTAGTAACTTTAGACAATTCATAAATAAGTGTGCTCTGTGCAATTTACACGTTTAATATCCTGTGGATACTAAAAGCTTGTATATTGTCAGATTTGCACATTATTACTTTATCAAAAACAGTAAGCTTTCCCAAAGATGAAGCTGGGGAAACTTGAAAAGATATTCTAAAGGTTCTCTGGAGAGTTATCAAAGCTCTGCCTGCTTTACAGGAGGAGGTTCCAATTTACG
Organism: Homo sapiens; assembly: GCF_000001405.40. Taxonomy (NCBI): domain Eukaryota; kingdom Metazoa; phylum Chordata; class Mammalia; order Primates; family Hominidae; genus Homo; species Homo sapiens. The sequence goes on from NC_000001.11 coordinate 93,562,283, forward strand.
CGAGAGGGCAGTTAAAATCTGGTTGAATTTCTCATATCTCTCTGTCTGATTGACTTGTGCACCTTTGCTGCCCCATAGCAATCGCATTTGAAATTCAGTCTTGCAGATTTCATTCATTTCTTCATCTGGTTGAAAACCTAATGAAACAAAATAAACAAAAAGTTACTTCAGTTCTGCCTAAGATGTGTTAAAAATAGACTGAAAGCACCAGGCGCGGTGGCTCACGCCTGTAATCCCAGCACTTTGGGAGGCCGAGGTGGGTGGATCACAAGATCAGGAGATCGAGACCATCCTGGCTAACACAGTGAAATCCCGTCTCTACTAAAAAAATACAAAAAATTAGCCAGGCGTGGTGGCGAGCGCCTGTAGTCCCAGCTACTCGGGAGGCTGAGGCAGGAGAATGGCGTGAACCCGGGAGGTGGAGCTTGCAGTGAGCGAGACTGCGCCACTGCACTGCAGCCTGGGTGACAAGCGAGACTCCATCTCAAAAAAAAAAAAAAAAAAAAAAATAGACTGAAAGCTTGCTTAAAGTAGCATCAAAATGAACATCTTCTCTCTCTCAGAACTTTAAAAAATGTCCCCAAAGAAAAATATAGGATCTGTTCTATATAAGGGAGAGCAGAGCCCCACCCTGCAGAACCTAAGCACCTTCAGAGAAGAAATAACAGGTAAACTCATTAAAAAACAATAGAGTGAAATTGGTTTGTACAAACCACTGTGGGAAGTAGTGCTGTGGGAAGGAGGGTTCATTGTACCTAGGAGTTCGTTACTTGTTTTTACCAACTTTACTGATGTATAGTTTACATGTCATATGATTCACCTGTTTTTGGCTGTGGAGTTTGATTTATGATGGTAAGTTTTTACATAAACCATTACCACCAGTCTTAGAACACTTCCATCACCTTAGTACCTCTTTGCAGTCAATTCCTGTTCCTACTGCAGACCTCAGTCAACCACTGATCTGCTTTCTGTTGCTACTGTTTTGCCTTTTCTAGAAATATGGGATAAATGGAATCATCCACTATGAACTTTTTAATGTGTGACTTCTTTCACTTAGCATGATGTTTTTGAGATTATTCCATATGTTGCATGCTAATCATTCTTACTGATCAATATTCAGTTTTATGGACATGCCATTGTTTTTGTTTATCCATTCACCAATTGATGACATTTGGATTGCTTCTGGCTGCTATGAGTAAGTGGTTGTGAACACTTGTGTACAAATCTTGTGTGGACATGTGTTTTCATTTCTCTAGGAAAGGAATTATTGGGTCATACAATCAGTATATGTTTACTTTTAAAGAAACTATTAAACTCTATTCCAAAATGGCTGTATCATTTTATATTCACAGCAGTAACATATGAAGACTCCAGTTTTTCCACATGCTGCCAACCCTTAGTTTTATCATTTTTTATTTTTATTTTTTTGAGAAGGAGTCTCGCTGTGTTGCCCAGGCTGGAGTGCAGTGGCACGATCCTGGCTCACCACAACCTCTACCTCTCGGGTTCAAGCAATTCTCCTGCCTCAGCCTCCCAAGTAGCTGGGACTACAGGTGTGTGCTACCACGCCTGGCTAATTTTTTGTATTTTCAGTAGAGACGGGGTTTTGCCATGTTGGCCAGGCTGGTCTCGAACTTTTGACCTCAGGTGATCCACCCGCCTCGACCTCCCAAAGTGCTGGGATTACAGACATTAGCCACCGTGCCTGGCCTATCATTCTTTTTAGTTGTAGCCATTCTAGATAGTGTGGTGGTATCTCATTGTGGTTGGTTTAAATTTACATTTCCCTAATGATGAATGCTTTGAACATCTTTTCATGTAGTTGTCATTTGTATGCCTTCTCTGATGTAGTGTCTATTCAAATTTTTGTCTATTTAAATTTTATCTTCTCACTGAGTTGTAAGAGTTCTTTGTATAGCCTAGATGTAAGTCCTTTATCAGATATATGTGTACTCAATGTTTTCTGCTGTGGTTCATGCTTTTTGTGTCCTAAGAATTTCTTTCTTTCTTTTTTTTTTTTTTTTTTTTTGAGATGGAGTTTTGCTTTTGTTGCCCAGGCTGAAGTGCAATGGTGCAACCTCTGCCTCCTGGGTTCAAGCAATTCTCCTGCCTCAGCCTCCCGAGTAGCTGAGATTACAGGCATGCGCCACCACGCCCGGCTAATTTTGTATTTTTAGTAGAGACGGGGTTTCTCCACGTTGGTCAGGCTGGTCTTGAACTCCCGACCTCAGGTGATCCGCCTGCCTCAGCCTCCCAAAATGCTGGGATTACAGGCGTGAGCCACCGTGCCTGGCCAAGAAGTCTTTACTTAGCTTAAGGGCACAAAGAATTTCTCCTATGTTTTCTTACAGAAGGTTATACTTTAGCTCTTACATTTTGGGTCTATGATCCATTTTGGATTATTGTGTATGGTATGAGGTAAGGATCGAGATTCACTTTTTTGCATATGGATATCCAATAGCAGATACCATTTGCAGGATTATACTTTATCCAGTGAATTATTTTGGCACCTTTGTTGAAAATCAACTGTCAGCCATATGTGTGGGCCTATTTCTTAACTCTATTCCATCTAAGAGAGGATGTGGTCTGCTTAAGGCCAAAGATGTTCAGGCAACTCTTTTAAAGAGAGAGAAGCCTCTAGCCAAAGAGTCATGTGGTTCTCATCCTTTATTATTGCTGGGATAGTTTGTTCTGCCATTAAATATACCTGCCATCTAGATCACAGGATCTTGGTTGTAGAAAGGACAACAGGAATATTTTCTTCCTGATGATGCCAGAATATCCTTGGTGGATAACCAACCAAAGGCCAGATGGTGACTTTTTTTTTTTTTGAGACCAGGCTGGAGTGCAGTGGCACAATCTCGGCTCAATGAAATTAAGAATCAAGGAGAATCGCTTGATACTCCTGCCTCAGCCTCTCAAGTATTCCCTCTCAAAATTCCCCGGCTAATTTTTGTATTTTTAACAGAGACGGGGTTTTGCCATGTTGTCCAGGCTGGCCTCTAAGTCCTGACCTCAGGTGATCTGCCTACCTCAGCCTCCGAAAGTGCTGGGAATACAGGCATGAGCCACTGCGCCCGGCCCCCAGATGGTGACTCCTATTCATACATGCTTTGAGCCCCTTCCCATTCACGTGGTCTGGTCTATGCTGGTGAGCAGATCTCTGCCTTTCCTGGGTTCACTGTCACTTACAGCAATGGGTACTTGCTGTGAAATCTATATTAGGATCGACTGAAAAATTCCATCAGTGACCTTTAAAGTGATTTAAAGCTGTAGAGCAGCTTATGGCACACTTTTCTCAAAACCCACCCTGATGTATTGGCTTATGCAACATCCATGGTAATGTATTCATTGGCTTTGTCTAAGTAGGCACTCTGATACTTGTTGACTTGTGTGCTTTTATTGTTTGAGTAACATACAGCCAATCCTGGAGAACTTTTTGAGGAAGAAAATGAAACAGGTATGCGGTGCTTATACCCACAGCAGATGGTGCAAACGACTAAGTCCCACATCTGGTTCTGAGGCAGCTCCCTTTTAGAATTAAATAAATGGAGTCTCCTGCCCCCACATAGTTCTTAACTTTGTGAATCAAACTGTGAGCCCTTGAAGAATTTAAAAAATTATATAGTAATGGAAAATAGTCATCCTTGATGACTGCCTTGGCAAAGCCCTCCTTCCTGAATGGTCTTTCTGCCAGCAAACCTTCAGCCTTCCAGCCTTCCTCCACACAGACACCAGAGTAATTTACTTTAAAACAGAAATCTGACCATGTGACACCCTCCCATGATTAAACCCTTCACTGGCTCTTCTTCAGCCACGGTCTTATGTGGAAGGGCTTCCCAGCTGCACCTCCCTCTGTAGCCTAGTTGGCCATTCCTTAGGTCATACTTTGCACAAATCTAAACCCAAGTACTTGTGGATCCCAGTTTTCCCCAAGGTCTCTCAGCGCCTTTGCTTGGGTTGTGCCATCTGAGTGGAATTCCCAGCCCTGCTTGCTGGTAACTGCTTTTGTCCTTTAACAATCAATGCAGTGTTTTCTGGGAAGCTGTCACCAGGTGCTTCCTCTTTCCTAACATCTCTGACCAAATCAGTCCCTTCCCCTAAGTGCTCCCACAGTATACACTGCATTTATCGTACCTGCTTAAATTCCTCAGGACATCCAGTTAGCACGGTGCCGCGCGCATGCCACATGTGTGATAAATGCCGGCCGTGCTGACTGAGGAGGCTGCTTTCTGTCACCATAGCACTTGTAAGAAAAATCCGTTTACGCAACACTGCCCCACACTTTCCAGGATGTGTCTGATGCTAAGAGCAGGGGAGCTCACTTCCCAGTGTGACTGGGAAGGAACAGGAATGCAGATAAATGAGGTCTGGATAAAACTCCACCTCCTCATCTTGGCACATCACCTTTTCTAATCTCACCTATTAGAGGTACTATTAATAAGTGGTAGGCAAGTTGGCCAATTCTTGTTCTGTTGCCCAGCGCCCAGGCTGGAGTGCAGTGGTGCGATCTCGGCTCACTGCAACCTCCGCCTCCCGGGTTCAAGTGATTCTCCTGCCTCAGCCTCCTGAGTAGCTGGGATCACAGGCACACACCATCACGCCCAGCTAATTTTTGTATTTCTATTAGAGACAGGGTTTCATCATGTTGGCCAAGCTGGTCTTGAACTCCTGACTTCAAGTGATCTACCTGCCTCAGCCTCCCAGAGTGCTGGGATTACAGGCTTGAACCACCACGCCCGGCCCCAGTTCTTTCTTGACCCCTTCTCTCTGTTTATTCTATACCATTGAACAACAGAACACACAAGGAGAAACAGGGCACTTGAGTCATTCTGGAATTAAGAGGAAGTAATAACTAGCCATATAGGAAATGGAATTCCATTCTTTAATCCTTCCTTTTTGGTCTTTTTCTAAGTGAAGTCAGCCATGCTCTTCCATTCCTTCATTTCAATTACGATACAGTGTTAGAGAACAGCTTACAAAACCCATCTCTTACCTGCCAGGATCCTCTCAGCATTCATCCGGTAGCTGTCTGCAGCCTCGGCCATGAATCGCGCTGTTGCCAAATGGTTCAGCATGATTTCACAGCTCTGGTCGTTTTTTTCCCACATGTCGGTTCCTTCAAAAGTCACAGCCTGGCGCTCCATTAACGTCACAAGCGGCATCAGCAGTGGGACTGATACATTGTTTGGGGGAACACATGTGGACTCTGAAGAATAAGGAGTAGAGTTTTCCATATCACATGTTTTCCAAAGTTAAGCACAGAATGAGGTGACTCATAGCCCTTGTCTTGTTACAGCAACTGCAGCCTTCTACAAGCAACGCTGTCATCTGATAAAAGCCCTGATGAGCCATCCACAGTGCTGCAGATAACTCAGGGCCTCATAACATGCCCTGTGTACTTGTACTCCACTCCCCAGCGGGGTAGCCCCATGCTTGCTCTGCCCACGTGCTCACCTCTGCCTTCATGCAGGAGTTTGCTGAAGGGCTTCAGCTGTTTCTCATAGAGAATGGCAGTTTGGGTGTACTGGTGCCGCAGAGCAGTCCACGTCTTTTCTAACCTTGTGATCTGGAAGAAAGGTGGTGTTTTGGAAAAGGTTCTTTTTAAAATTACCTTTTAGTGGCTGGGCGTGGTAGCTCACGCCTGTAATGCCAGCACTTTGGGAGGCTGAGGCGGGTGGATCACTTGAGGTCAGGAGTTCAAGACCAGTCTGGCCAGTATGGTGAAACCCTGTCTCTACTCAAATACAAAAATTAGCCAGGCGTGGTGGCGTGTGCCTGTAATCCCAGCTACTCGGGAGGTTGAGGCGGGAGAATTGCTTGAACCTGGGAGGCGGAGGTTGCAATGAGCCAAGATCATGCCACTGCACTCCAGCCTGGTTGACAGAGTGAGACCCTGTCTCAAAAAAAAAAAAATAAATAAAATAAAATTACCCTTTTGCTTAAATTTTGGAACAGGTGATAGATACACATGGTAAAAATGTCAAAGTGTCTGAAAGCAGGGTAGAAAGAAAAAATAATCCCCCATCCGCCCCATCTGCATTGCTGTTAGCGCATCCCAGAGATGGCAACTCTCTTCAACTGCTTGTGCGTGTGTGTTTCACATACAGCCTGGCCTGCTGGCCAGTCCACTGTCAAAATTCAAGGCAGTATTGGATGAGAGGAAATAAACATGATGCAAAGTAAAACACCTGAATGAAAAATTACACTCTTGTTATAATAGAAATCAGCATTATCATGAAAATACGGCAGAACTGATGTTGCTTATTTTAAATACTGATCCTAGAAAATTCCAGTGTACCTGAAGAATTTTGAAAGCTCTTGAAATAAAACTGGAATTGACCTCCCCAAAATTCCTGTCTATACGCACACCCCTTTTAAAAATAAATACATGCATATTATATACTACATAAACCACACCCATTCCTTGCCTCAAAAGCATTCAGTATAAGTACATATAGAACAGCCTTATTTTGTTAAATTTCTGCATAATAGTCCACTGTATGGATAGCTATAGTTTAACTCGTCTCTTAAAGAGTTTTATGACTTTTCTTCTTTGAGATGGGGTCTCACTCTGTTGCCCAGGCTGGGGTGCAGTGGTGCGATCACAGCTCACTGTAGCCTCAACCTCCCAGGCTCAGTGATCTTCCCACCTCAGCCTTCTGAGTAGCTGGGACAACAAACATGAGACACCATGCCTGCTACTCATTTCTTTTCTTCTGCAGGTAACTCAGGGCCTCAATTTTCTTTTGGAACAATTTAGTCAGCAGCAGCATACACCACTGACTCTGACTGTCCTAAGATAAATGGTCCCCAACTCATACCCTAAAACCGGCAAGGCTATGTTAAGTTTTCTACATGAAACAAGGAAGGGCATTAGTATTTGGGGAATAAGAGCCAAGTTTGTGTCAAATATTTGAAGAATTTCATTTAATCTTCACAATGCCCTTTAAGACAGGTATTTTGGCTTTTACAGATGAGAAAACAGAAGAGATTAGGTAACTGCCCAAGGCTTCCCAGCTGGTATGTGGTAGAGCTGAGATTCATTTACTTGGCCTTGAAGAGCTCCTGTATCCAAAAGGAAGGTGAGTAGGCTCAGCACCAGCAGACGTGCTGTGAAGAAAAGGCTGTGGCCGCCTTCCTCCTGCTGCCCACCATGCTGCCCTTCCTTCTGTAGACCCCTGCTCCCTACACCCACTCCCTGAGGCATTGCCTTTCTGAAAGAAGCCTCTGGGTCTGGGCTAGGCCCATCTCCTGGACATATTCTCTTGATACTAGAAGCTGAGAAGAGAAGGTGGCAGATGTGGCTATAGTGTAAGGGCTGGGTTGGATGGTGACACGCAAAGTAATGTGACCCTCCTTTTGGGCTTTCTCTGGGTATGCCACTTCCTCCTAGGCCACTGTATGCTCTGGAGGACTGTGTCCTGTCACTGCTGATGTGCTCCAGAAGGGAAAGGCTGACACTGTTAGAAGGCAGGGAGCCGCCTACAAAGCATGGTAATGTGGTTGGGGACAAGTCCCTAACTGCTGAGTTTGATGTCATGGATGGCAACCATGTGATCCCACAAAACATCTCCTTTACCAGTCTCAGGGGAAGCTCTGGGCTGGAAGGCTTTACCCACAGCCTGGCCTGTTGGCTCTGCTGTCAAAATTCTAGGCAGTTTTAGGTGACAGGAAATAAACATAATGCACATTAAAATACCTGAATGAAAAAATGATAACCCGTTATAGTAGAAATCAGTATATCATGAAAATCTGGCAGAACTTATGGGCTGCTTATTTCAAATACCAATCCTACAAAATACCAGTCTACCTGAAGAATTCTGAAAGCTTCTGAAATATAATTAGAATTGACCCCCCACAAATTCCCGATGAAGGCACTAAGTTTTCAACTTTTTATTTTTAAGGTGACCTTGCTTTAATGCAAGTAAATTCTATTCCTGCCATGATCTGACTTGCGGGACATGTGATTGTGGCTGTTTTTCAGTGGCAATGATGGAATTTCAGTGAGTACCTGGCAGGATTTCAGAGCTAACCTGTGGCTATGAAACAGCCAAGCCGAGTGACCAGCGGTTTTGGTGTTACTAGAAAGTTTTGCTGGCTGGACTGTAAACTCATACTCAAGTCCTCCAAGCATCCAGGGCTTGGGAGAACAGAAGTGGGAGTGCTGATCCTCAGCAATAAAGATGGCAGCCTGACTTTCCTCTATGAGGCCTGCTTGACTTCAGATACAGATATTCAGGTTTGACACTCATCCTAAAAAATCCCTGGCACAGCAGATAAATTCAAATGCCCAGTTTCAGAAACGGTAATTAGGGAGTTCTATGGCAGATGGACCAGGAATCCGAACTTTTTAATAGGACAGTCTGTTTTAGGTGACCTGAGATAAACTATTCTAAGGATTCTGATAGAAGCTCTGCAAATGTCTCATTTCCCAGTGATTATCCTAGACTGCCCACACCTGGTGACCCAGATGGAGGCAGTCTCCTTCTTATACAACACACTTTAGCCAGATGTCTCATCCTAATTGGTTCTCCTTGAATCACTACTGTTCATGAGGATGACACTTGCTACTGTACATCAAAGAGAAAGCATGGACTGTCAGCAAATATTTACTGCCTTAAAAAATAGACCCCAGAGGCTGGGCGTGGTGCTTCATGCCTGTAATCCCAGCACTTTGGGAGGCCGAGGTGGGCAGATCACCTGAGGTCAGGAGTTCGAGATCAGCCTGGCCAACATGGCAAAACCCCGTCTCTACTAAAAATACAAAAATTAGCCAGGTGTGGTGGCCCACGCCTGTTATCCCAGCTACTCAGGAGGCTGAGGCAGGAGAATCGCTTGAACCCAGGAGACAGAGGTTGCAATGAGCCAAGATCACACCATTGTACTGCAGCCTGGACAACAGAGCGAGACTTCGTTTAAAAAAAAAAAAAAATAGACCCCAGTCCAGGTACAGTGGCTCATGCCTGTAATTCCAGCACTTCGGGAGGCTGAGGCGGGCAGATCATGTGAAGTCAGGAGTTCCAGGCCAACCTGGTGAAACCCTGTCCCTACTAAAAATACAAAAATTAGCTGGGTGTGGTGGTGCCTGCCTATAGTCCCAGCTACTTGAGGCTGAGGCATGAGAATCACTTAAGCCTGGGAGGTGGAGGTTGCAGTGAGCTGAGATTGTGCCACTGCTAGCCTAGGTGGCAGAGTGAGATTCTGTCTCAAAAAAGAAAAAAAAAAGTAGACCCCAAATACTTAGGACACTGTCCCCTAAATGAAGCAGCTTTCACTAAGATTCAATTTACTTTTGAGATTGACTAAAATAGTCTGATTTGCCAAACATGGCATGCAGATCTCTTTACAGAACATTAAGTACACATAAAGTAATTGGAAATTTACCTGTGGCATTTCCAGGGCTTTCATGAGAGCTGAGAAGGAATAGAGGTCCCCCATGGAATCCTTCAGTTCCACCGCCACCTGGATGATCTTACTCAGAGTGGCCGCTCGGTCCTCCAAAGTGCCCGTGCATCCCAGAATGTCCACTGCAATGCCGATGGCCATTGTGTTGTGTCTGAAAGCCAGGAGATCAGCGGTCAGGTTCAGGGCCAATGGGACTAGGAGAAAACTAAACCAAATCAGCCAAGAGCAGGGCTGTTTTTGTGCCATTTGCTCCTTTTGCTCTAAAATGTGCCGGCAGCACAGTTTAGACGGCCAATCTCAACAGAGAGAACGCCCCTTAGCAGGCTGACTGTGGAGGGCCAAAGTAGGCCACAGAGGGTGCACTTTCAGTCAGAAAGCAAGATGTCCCCGGACAGGGCCACATTCAACCCTGGACCTGGGGGCACAAAGAGGGAGCTCCTGGGGCAAAGGTGCTCAGAAGTGCATGTGGCTCCTAGTACCCTGTACCATGAGAGGTCCATGGAGACAGCAGGTCCCCCAAAACGCCTGAGAATCTCTCCTCGGGGAATCCCAGGGCCACCTCCACTGAGCCCCCTGGATTTGGGGATGGAAGGGACAGAAAAATGTGAGGACATGCTTGATCCAAGACAATAACATGGCCATCAGAACAAAGGCAGGAAAGAGGAGGTAAGAATGGTGTTCTCCAGCCCCACTCCAGAGGCCAGGAAATGAATGGGGAGGAGGATAAAGATTGAATAGTTGATGGGCTGGAATGTGCCTGTAAGGCCAGACCCTAATAAAATCGAAATCTCATTTTCCCCAACAAACCTCCCTTTTCTCATCCTAAACTACATGGGTCAACCTCAGAGACCCAAAACAGGAAGCAGGGTGATCTTTTCTCCGCATGACAACAGGATCAATATGAATGGGGTCAGTCTGCGGCAGAAAGCATAGACTGTGACCCCCTTTCCTTCCCACTGTAAATCAGGACCCAGGAGTTAACTGCTTTAGACCAGAATTGCCTCAGTTTCTTCCAGGCTGTGGTACAAGTGCTGGAGGCGAAGCCCCAGTTTATAGCTGTAGTTACTAAAATACAGCATGCATTTGAACTCCAGGGCCACTCTGTCCTGAACGTTCGGAGCTTACGATGTTACTCCACGCTGTGCTCTCTCCGTGCCCAGGTGTGTTGGTCGGTCTCTTGCTCTCCCTGAGCAAAGGGCAGCAGGGATTCATTGAGTGCTTAGCATCACTCATTTCTCTAATGTTTGTTAAATAGGTAATGGGCTCTGCCTCCAAGTGTGTTTGCGTATATATGCATGTATGGGGCTCACTTGCAGTGTAAGCTTGGGCTGGTACCTAACTGCTCCACTCCTCAGGTTCTTCATCTGTAAAATGGGAGCAAGGGTTGTGAGAAGGAGAGACTGTGTATAGGTGTGAAAATAATTAAAGTGAGCCAGGTCTCAGGCCTGTAATCCCAGCACTTTGGGAGGCTGAGGCAGGCACAATGCTTGAGCCCAGGAGTTTGAGACCAGCCTGGGCAACATGGGCTAAACCCCATCTCTACTAAAAATACAAAAATGAGCCAGGCATGGTGGCACATGCCTGTAGTCCCAGCTACTCGAGTGGCTGAGGAATGAGAATCGCTTGAACCCAGGAGGCAGAGGTTGTAGTGAGCAGATTGCGCCACTGCACTCCAGCCTGGGTAACTAGAGAGACTATCTCAAAACAAAAATAATAATAATAATTAAAGTGCCTGGCACTGGCGGGCACCTAATAAATAGCAGTTGTTACTAGAGTTGTCTCTGTACATGTCTCTCCCTGTGTATCTTGGTCCATTTTCCCTCTTTGTCTCCATCTCTTTCCTCTTTTCTCCATTTATCTCCTTCTCCTGATTTGTCTTTCTCAATTAATGAATCCAAACATAGACCTAAAATATATTTTTATTATTATTATTATTATTATTATTTTTTTTTTTTTGAGACAGGGTTTTGCTCTGTTGCCCAGGCTGGAGTGCAGTGGTGTGATCATGGCTCACTGCAGCCTTGACCTCCCTGGCTCAAAGGATCCTCCTGCCTCAGCCTCCCACGTAGCTGGGACCACAGGCATATGCCACCATGCCCAGCTAATTTTCGTGTTTTTTTGTAGAAACAGGGTTTTGCCATGTTGCCCAGCTGGTCTCGAATTCCTGGGCTCAAGTGATCCACCTGCCTTGGCCTCCCAAAGTGCTGGGATTACAGGCATGAGCCACCACGCCCAGCTGTTATCTGATACATTTTTGGAAGAGTTTTCTTATCCATTTGCAAAATGTTAACATTGACAGAACATTTTAGATGTTGCTTTTAACTATAAACTCACTTCCCATGCTGCATTCAATTGATTCTTTATTCAGTGTTTTCTCTCCCTGTGTTTTAATGGCCCTCTAGTGTTGTATAAATGGTTAACTGAATGGTTATATCCATTCACTCAACCAATATTTGCCTGAAACCTCCTGGATACACCGACTATGGGAAAAACAACTCAGGCTGGCAAATCTGCAGCAAAAGCTCCTGTGGTTGGCAAGAGGAGGCACTCAGATGTCACATGAAGGACACTTCCAGAGCAGTATGCCTGGAATGGGTGAGGTGGTAAATTAAAAATAAAGGGTGGTTTTGTATTTGATTCTCAAATGCAAGAAGGTGATATCATGTGACACATCAGGACCTCTATAACCTTGGCCTTTATTTAATAAACACATTGTAATTAATAAAACTACTCCCCAGGCTCTAAAAAGAAGATCCCACAGGTCACAAGAAACAAGCTAAGGAGCAAGACCCCAGCCAAGAGGCAGTCAGGAGAAAAGACAAATGAAGTGGAAAGTCAGAAAACAGCCAAGAGAGAAGCCCCAAACCTGTCACCCTCAGCCTGTCCCAGCACACTGAATGATACTAAGAAAATAGGGCTCAGATTCATGAGGCCTGGAACCTGCGGCCTTTCAGGCTGAAATGTCTCATGGGAGAAATGGCAAAGTGTGGTGGCACAGCTCACCTCTGCTGATAGAACGAAGCTAGTGGAGCCGGGAGGTCAGGCCCCTAGGGCAGGAGGGAAAAAGGGGACACCCGGAGAGAGGCTGGAACCTAGAAAAGTCTCATCAGGAAGAGCAGGGAAATTCAGAAGCGGGACCTAGAATTCCCCAGAGGCTTAAGCAATGGGTATTCCCGAACAAAATCCGCATGGCCCACTTCTTCACCTCCATCCTCCCACATGGCTGCAATTCAGCATTCTGGGTATTTTCTATGGGATGTATCCACGGCTGCGAGGCCAAAACAGCAGCAGCATAGGAGTCATTTTATCTGCTGTACAGCCGAGGAAACTCTAAAGCAGCGACATCCATCCCCCGAGAAGTGGCTTTTTACCGTGAAAACAGCAAATTCTAATTATAAAAAGTCATCCTTCAATCACATCAGTCACATTTCAGGTGCCCGAGAGTGACATGTGGCTGGTGGCTACTGTAATAGCCAGTGCAGAATGCGTCTGTTACCACAGAAAGCTTTCCTGGACAGCACTGTGACCTGGAACTTCATGGAAAGCCATGGGCAGTCAGTAATGGCAACTAGGACATGGGCTGGACAGACAGAAAACTTAACAAGATAGTCTTGCCCAAATCAACTTTTAAAAAATGTGTCAAAAAGGCTGGCTTTGTGGTAATATGGATATCTAGTCTAGAGCTTCTTTTCTTAAAAACATACCTCATTGTTGGTGTCTTTCTAATTCCTAAACATTCCATTTCAATGGATGCCCAGGGCCCTGGCTTTTCATGAGAAGAGGGGAGGGATGCCTCGGAGGCCCCGGACCAGTGCCGTCATCCCCTAACCTCTGACCCTATTTGTCCACCCCTCAAAGAAAACACTGTCTAGACTCTGCTCTTCCCAGCCTTTCCCACAAACTCCTCCTAATTCCTCAAGCAATCTTAACCCCCAAAGAGACAAAGGGGCAGCTTGCTGGGCAGGAGACCCAGGAGACTCCAGGTGCTGGGGCCCCAGCTCTGCCCCAGGCTGCAGGATCTGTGACTCCTGCTCACACAGGCCAATTGAGTCACTGGCTTCAGGCCATCTATTCTCTCCATCCACTCCTCCAGGAGCAGGGACGGGAACACATTCTTTGTTCCTGAGTTGTGCTGTCTTTGTGTGCAACTCCAGGAATTCTCAGGCTCAGGCTTCTGGGAAGAGTCGCTGTAGGCCATGCGCCCTGAAGTACTGTTACCCCAGGGCTAGGCTGGTGCTGCGCCTCTCTTTGTTCTAAAACCTGCTGCTCTGATGCCTGGAAGGAGCTGGGAGGGTCGGAAGTGCAGAGGACGGCACTGCTCACCTTTCAATTATGTCCAGGCGCAGCTGGTGTCCGTGAGGCAAGGTAATGAGTTCCAGGCCTGAGCTCACCCCCATGTTCCTCCTCATCTCTTCAGAGACTCCAAGTATCCTAGCAACCTGTCAAGAGCCAAAGTTGAAATACACTGGATCAGGAAGTGGGCTTGCCTGATCATGAATTCAGCATATGAGAAGAAACACACTGAACTACGATGGCGTGGACACTTTATGAGTTACATTTCTTTATAAGCAGCTGCTGACAATGCTGTTCTTATATGATGTTTAGGGTGTTTAAATACACATAGTACAGTATAAAACTTAGGGGGAAAAGAAAGACTGGTGGGAGATGCTGACACTGCTCTGCAGATCTACAGATTTGTTAAGTGTTTCTGCCCAGCCAGAGAACAGTTTAGTTCTCTGAGCTTTTGTCTGACACCGGCCGGATCCTGCTGCGACGTTTTGCTGCCAACAGCAAGGCTGCATGTGTTCGGAGCTGACCGATCCCCTGCAGTGGAAGAGCAGAATCTCATCCAAGAGCCTCTCCGCTGTGGGCTTTGCCATTCATGTTCTCACTTAACAGCCACAGCTGGCTGCTATTACCCTTAATTACGCTTCTCCTGGGCTCAGTAAATGCTCTATACGTCTGGAAACTATTAAAAATGTGTACAGTGATTGGAAACCTGAGCTCTCAAACACTCTTCTTTCTCCTGAGAGGCTTTTCTTAAAATCTTTGTCCCAGACAGCTCTCAACCCATCTCAATTCTAGTATGTAATCTCAGTTTATTAGAATCAGGTATTAGTTATTACAATGTCATGGAGAAGTGTTACAACTGAGCCAGTGTGTCTCTAAAATGGGGCCAATAGGCCAGGCAAGGTGGCTTATGCCTCTAATCCCAGTGCTTTGGGAGGCCAAGGTGGGGGGACTGCTTGAGGACAGGAGTTTGAGACCAGCTGAGCAACATAGCGAGACCCCATCTTTACAAAAAAATTAAAAATTAGCCAGGCATGGTGGTGTGTGCCTGCAGTCCTAGCTTCTTGGGACACTAAGACAGGAGGATCACTTGAGTACAGGAGTTTGAGGTTGCAGTCAGCTATGATCATGTCACTGTACTTAAGCCGGGGTGAGAGCAAGACACTGTCTCTAAAAACAAAAGAAAAATTAAACGGCGGCTAATGACACCTCACAGCACAATGATGTACTAAGAGTGGAACTAACAGATGCAACAACAAGTCTAGCCACCTGAACACACGGCAGGCATGGGACGGTTCCTCTCCTTGATCTGGTACACTTGTCCTCAACCTTAATTACCCCAGGCTATCAAAACACATCTGGATGTTTAGGTGGTATTACTAACCCTACCCTGTAACTTCTGTGGCTGAACTACTGTCAACCCTGAGGGGATGACCCTGTGGATGAGCTCTCTAGTGGTAGACGCCACGACAGGATGCAGAATTCCTACTGTGCTCCTACCTGTGCTCTCTGGGCCTCAGTTTCCCCTTTTCTAACATAACTGCTAAGTTCACCTTTCTCAAGGACTTTGCAAAGGATTCAGATAACTTTAGAACCCCTAAAAGCTACCTGAAAATACAAGTTTTGAATCATCAGCCATGTGGAAAGGGGAAGAATTCTGGCCAGATCTTGGGAAAGAGATTTACAACTTGACCTTGGCAAGGCAGCCCAGACGCACGCCATGCACGCTTCCTCGCATATTTAGACAGCTGCCCTCTGTCAGAGGTCCCAAACCCTGTACTTCTGAGGGGTGTCCCCCACGCTCTGGGTGGCGAGATTAAAAGGCCTGTGATTGATTCAGGTTTGCTCTGGAAAACCTGGCAGATGGGCGGCGGCCCCTGCTCTCCAGTCTGCATTTCGTCGGCACATATATGCCATGCCTGGGTCACTTCCCTGGAGCCACGCCTGCTTGCCTGAGGGCTGAGGGGATCCCAAGCTCACACCGCAGGGCCTGCATTAGGTTCCCTGACAAATGCCCAAGGTTATGCAGCTCACTGACACAAAGGAAGGACAAACATGTCTAGAGCATTTACTGTGAGCCGACTCCACAGGGCAGGGTGGCAGAAGCACCCCCGATGAGGCTTCCTTCTGCCCTCCAAATCTTAGCTGGTCTGCTCTGCTGCATCTCTGGACTCCACCCTCTGCTCCTTCTTCCACTGCCTTGGAGGCTGCTGCACGGACCCAGGAGAGCCCTGATGGGGTCCCGGCCCAGCCCTCCTCCCAGCCGCAAGGGCCTTTCTAAAATGCCATGAGATTGCCTGGCTCCACTCACTGGTTCTGTTCCCCTTGGCACAGAGGATCAGATCTGCACCCAACTCAACTGTAAAGTGCCTTGAAGGCAAGAAACTGGTATGAGCCCAGAAGTAGAGACTTAGAAAAGACGTATGAAGCCCTCCCACACCCCACCCCTAACCCCATCTTCTTCCACCCACACAGAATGAATCTGCTGTAAACCAACCCCTCTCTCCATGGGTTTTGACAACTAAGTGTCTGTGCATGTGCGTTGCCTGCCGTCTGCAAGATGCTTTTGGTGTTCATCGGGCCAAAGATGCAGCCTTCCAAACTCATCTTGGACATCTCTGCCCCATCTCCACACCCAACTCCCTGTTCAAGGCCCTGCCCAGAGGCCCCACAGCTCCTGTGCCTTCCCCTGCAGGGCGTTTCCCACCTGGGTTGTGGCCCAAGTTCCTGCATCACTGTCCCTCCCCAGCCCACCCCCACCTGATAGCAGGTGCTCCAAGAGCAGAGACCACAAGCTGCCCTGGCACAGTAGGCGCTCAGTCAAAGCTGAATATATAACACGGATAAACACTTAGTGCTCACTGTGGGCTAGGCAAGGTGCCCTGGGCTTTTAATATATTATTATCTCATTTAGTCCTCGCTGACCACCTGGGTAGCTGTATTCCTTACAGACAGGCACAGAAGGGGAGGCTGTTCAGCTGATGTGGCAGAGGCAGGATTCAGGCTCAGTCGGGCCAAGTGCTTCACTACTGGTCCTCACTTCTAGCTATAGGCAAAGACCTTGCGCACGGTGGGAGGGGCTCAGTGGCTCCTAACTAGGCCCTTGGGGGGTGGGGGCATGGACACAGCAGGACAGGGAGCCTGGAGGGCTCTTAGGACCACCCACTGTCCTGATGGCCTATCTGGGCATCTGCCCACATGGCTGGGAACAAGCACGCGGGGCCCAGATGCTAGCCAGAGCCTGCTCTCAGCTTCTGGGTGGCCCTGTCTGGGCTGCCACTGCACTTGGGATAGGAAACAACAGGTCTTGTTGTATTTCCCTCTTAGAGATGCTGATTGTGCCCGCTTGGAAGTCAGTGGTTCCAGGAAGATAACATGGAAATGGTGGTAGACTCCAGAGACAGGGAAGAAGGAAGTTTCAACATAGCCCTGCCCTGGGGCTGGGTGGGCAGAGTCCAGGCTAGCTCCTGCTCGCTGCCTGGGGACCCCATCCAGCCCCTTGTCCAGGGGTGCCTGCAGGCAGACATGAGAGTGAGGCCCCACTAGGAGGACAAAATGCACCACAGCAAGCCAGGGAGACTGCATTCTTCAGTTGGGAACATCCTTGGGGTCTAGTTTCATGGCTACCAAAGGTAGTGGGCAGGTCCCAGGCCTCCTGCCAAGGGCGGGCAGGCAGGCATCTCTCCTCCACCTAGAGGATCATTAAGCCCTGCCCAGGGCCACAGGAAGGATTCATTCCCCTGGGAATCGGGCTGCTCTGTAAACCCAGGCCTGTTTCTACGAGGAGCTTCCTCTATGGAGAACCCACGCAGGTTCATACCAGGCCAGAGTCTCCCTCCTGGCCCACTGACATGGTTCTGCTCTCAGATTCAGGGCCCAATGTGCCTGACTGACTAGAACAGAAATCCTCAATCCTCCTACCTCCCAAACAGGTTAAGCTCGCTTTAAAGTGAGGTCCGGATAACTTCGCAAATTGCGTGACTACCTGTGAGCACTGCCCGAGGCCATCTGGCCAAAAGTACAGCAGGCCCTTGTTCTTCCAGTGCAGCCCTGGCTCTCTTCTCAAGGCCTGCTCAGCAGAAGTCCACCCTCAGCCCCACCTCCCAGGCCTGGGCAATGAGTTACTCTGGTTTCTGAGTCATCCCTCAAGTTCTGTTGTCAGCAAGGGTCTTGTTTACTCCAGGATGGTCAGCAGCTGCCTAAAGTTCCTCAAGCCTGTTTTGGGGAGCCCTCCATCAACTTTGGCACTCCCTGCAGGAGTGTTCTGAGACTGGACTTCTTGCCATGATTCAACACATAGGAAGGAAAACCCAGTTCCTAAATAAGCCCTGACGTCTGAAGCTAATTGACTTCACTGAGCTACAAATAAAAAAGGGCTTCAAATGCCCAGGAACCAGCCTCTTTATATTGAAAAGATGGACCGAGCCCACCATCGCCTGAGACAACATCTGGTGTCTAGAATACAGTCAGCCCTCCTTATCCGTGGCTTCTGCAACAGTAGATTCAACCAACCAAGGATCAAAAATATTCAGGAAAAAAAAAAAAAAAGCTGCATTGGTATGAAACATGTAGACTTTTTTCCTTGCCATTATTCCCTAAATAATGCAGTATAATAGCTATTTACAAAGCATATACGTTGTATTAGGTGTTGTAAGTAATCTAGAGATGATTTAAAATCTACAGGAGGATTGCATAGGTTATATGCAAATACTATTCCATTTTATATAAGGAATGCAAGCTTCTGTGGATTTTGCTAGCCACTGAAGGTCCTAAAACGAATCCCGACGGATCTGAAAAAGTGACTTAATCTCTCTTAAGGATGAGGTTGCTTTGGGACCACCTATGAACAAAAGTCACTTACATCTAAAATAAACGTTTCCTACAAAAAAATGGTGATGGGCCGGGTGCGGTGACTCACACCTGTGATCCCAGCACTTTGAGAGGCCAAGGCAGGCAGATCACTTGAGCTCAGGAGTTCAAGACCAGCCTGAGCAACATGGCAAAACCCTATCTCTACAAAAAATACAAAGAGTTAGCCAGGTGTGGTGGCATGCGCCTGTGGTCCCAGCTACTCAGGAGGCTGAGGTGGGAGGATCACTTGAGCCTGGGAGGCAAAGGCTGCCATGAGCTGTGAACGCACCTCTGCATTCCAGCCTGGGTGACAGAGTGAGACCCTGTCTCAGAAAAAAAAAAAAAGGTGACAATGTAAATATTTAATCACATGGAAAGACAGTCATGTTTGTCAATGAAAGGTTCAGGGTTTGGAATAGTGTGTACAGACCTGTGGCAAACAGATATTACACATGCAATTATTTACATGTATCCATTTACAGAGAAAATAATAATGTTTTTGCGTAAACCAAATGCTGACAATGGTGATCTCCAGGAAACTGGATTTGTGTGGTTTTATCTTTTAATCTGTATTTTAGAATTTTTTTTTTTTTTTTGAGACAGAGTTGTGCTCTTGTTGTCCACGCTGGAGTGTGATGGTGCAATCTCAGCTCACCACAACCTCCGCCTCCCAGGTTCAAGCAATTCTCCTGCCTCAGCTTCCAGAGTAGCTGGGATTACAGGCGTGTACCATCAAGCCCAGCTAATTTTGTATTTTTAGTAGAGACGGGGTTTCTCCATGCCTCAGGCTGGTCTTGAACTCCTGACCTCAGGTGATCCACCGCCTAGGCCTCCCCAAGTGCTGGGATTACAGGCTTGAGCCAACATGCTCCGCCATTTTAGAATTTTTCTAAATTGAGGAAGGATTATTTTAAAAATCAAGGTAGCTTTAAAGATGTTTATACTAAAGATCATTTTAGTAATAAAATAAATATGTAATGCATAAGTATAATGTAATAAAAATAACCAAGGTCTGCTACTCCAGAAACTACATTTTCATCTACAATCTACTCTCCTGTAGCTTTGGCTTTACCAATTCTGATGGAGCTGAGGCAAGGGGGTAGTTTATAAATAAGCACCAGGTGTGAGGAGGATTCTGTTGCAGCTGCTGATGCCAGCAGGGGTGGGTGGGAGAAGAGGGCGGCCCCCACCCCCGGCAGCAGCCTGCCATCCCTCTGTCTGAGATGAATTTTATAAGCTTCCTGCTTGGGCAAAGGTTGTCCCAGCTTGTGGTTCCCACCCCTTAAATAAATTCCCATGCTGGTGTTATCTTCAGACTTTCCTATGGGCAAAGCATTTAATGGGTGAGGCAGAGTGAGGCCAGATGGATCCCCTCCTTCCAAACCTACAAAAGCCAGAGGAGCACCGGGACCCCTAGCTCTTACCAAACCTTGAAAAGCCAGAGGAGCACCAGGACCCCCAGCGCTTACCCTGCAGTCCATGCTCAGTACGTGCTGGGCGATGACCTTGGGGTCGTTGTTGGTGAACAGTTCTTTTGCACGTTTCAACATTGCTGTTTCCAGGGGCTTATTCTCAGGGGGAAGGAACTTTGACTCAAACTCGTTGGGCCTGAAGGAGGAGACAGTCTCCAGGAGGGGCGTCACAAACTCGCCCTTGTCCCACTGCCCCTTCTCCATCTGAGCTGCCGCAGGTTCCCAAGGTCTTTCCCTGTCATCATCATCAAGGATCAAGTAGTTGACGCCAGAGTTCCGGGGACCTGGCGCCTCATTCTGCTTGGCTGTGAGCAGTTCTGTGTGGCTTCCCTGGGCACATGAGGGTAGCTTTGCTCCCCTGCCGCAGCCTGTGGCAAACGCTGGGTTCAGTTCACAGTAGTTGGCCTCTGAGTTGAGCCAGGCAGAGGGAGACGAGGGAACCTTGAGGAACGGCACCTTGCAGGGCTTAGGCGGGGGCTTAGGGCACAGTTGACTGTCTGATCCCCTCAGCGCCTCCCCAGCCCTGGCGTCTGAGGAGACCCTCCGAACCACTGCTGGGCTCAGGGCAGGCTCGCTTCCCGTCCTGAACACAGGTGAGTTTGGGCAGGGGCTTGTGTCCACACCCGAGGACTGAGGTGGCAGCTTGCAGCCTGTGGGGGATAAGAAAAGGTCAGAGAAAGCTCATCTGTGTGGAGAATATAAAACAAACAAAACCAGAGTGGCAGCTCCCCAGCCCTCCATTCATGCCCTTGGGCTTCAATTTTCATTTTCATTTCCAAAAGAAAATTCAGTGTGACTGTCCCACGCCCAATCTCAGGGAGTCTACAGCATCGTGAGGGCTGGGCTGGGCTTGCCCCATCCCACACTCCTGGGTGCAAATAGAAATCCCGGGGACTGCTGACACCTGGGCTACAAATGTTGTATGGTCATAGAAGGCTGGGACAGTCAGAATGATAAAATATATGAGCGAGGAGGGCATGAATAATGTAATCTTGCCCTAAGAAACAGAAGTCGTTAGCCACCTAAAATGCCACTCTCAAAGGGTGGATCCCAGCCAGCTTCCAAAGGAGAGCTGGAGACAGGGAAGGGAAAAGAGACACTGGGGTAACCTACATGGAGGTAGTTTACGCAGGGGCATTAGGAAAATCCCTTTGTGGTCCCAGGGAAAGTCAGTTATGAAAATAATGAAAACAACCCCCTGTCTTACTAATGTAACTGCTTAGTAGGTCTCCCCATACCCCATACCTTATCACTCTTCCAGCCTTGGAAGCAGAATGGAGAGGAAGGGGAGTTGGCCTGGACAGCTGTTCTGCCAAAAGCCCCAGGATCCACCCGCCCACCCGGGAAAAGGGAGTAGGCTCATTTGTCATGAAGACTACCAGTTTTTAAATGGGCTTGAATCAGAAAACCTGGGTTCAAATGCTGGGTGATTCTGGACAAGTTACTTAACCTATCTGTGCCTCAGTTTCCTCAGCTGTGAAATGGCAATAATCATGCCTACCCTGAAGGCTTGCTACGAGGCCTAAAAGCTGGCATACGGTGTCTAGCTCAGTGCTTCGCCGCCGGATATAATTCTGCAAACCCATTCCCCTCCAGGCTGCAGGCCTGAGGCCTTGTGTCGTTTTCGAATGAGACAACTAGATGGGGCAGGGTAACAGCCTGAAGGAAACCAGGGTAACACTGACGTTCTCCCTGAAAATTCCCCGAAACATACCAATCGGCAGGTAGCTCTCTGACTGGTGGGCTTTGAGGGACAAGGCTCTTCTGTCCTGCATGTGATCCAGGCAGGCGGGCTGGCTACCACTCTTTTCTTTGTTTCTGAAGTAAAAGACACATAGGATGGAAATGTGTTACTAACGTGTAAAATAAAACTTTTAGGCAATGCCATGGGAACTTAAACAAAAACAAAAAAAAAGAAAACTGCTCAGAACGAGAGTGCTACAGCATACCCTAAAAGTAAAGGAATGACCGCTGGAGAAACAAATTACTGATGGGACGATTAATATATGACTGTGTTGTGTACTCCATCCCCCTGTCCCCATGACCAATGCAGCAGCTGAGTCCTAGGATGCCTCCTCTGGGCTGTTCCATCCTGTTGAACAGAGTAGGGTAAAAGTTTTACGATACTCCCGGGAAAATCTGATGAACTGGAATGTGTACTTTTAACAGAGCCTAAAATTACTTACAGGCCCAGAGGGAATGGCTTGCCTAACTAACATGCATTTTCCACATGCTCCATAGTGTTGCAGTTAGGAAGGAAGCTGTGGGGAAACTTCCATTTTGGTGCAAATCTCAGCATCCCCCAAATAACCTGCAGGACTGCCTGGGGAGGCTGCCATCCCCAACCTCCTGGCTGCTCTCGGGGGACCCCCACACAGCCTCCTCCTGCTGAGCTGGGAAAAGGCACCGGCACGGTCACCAAGCAGCAGTTGGGAGGCACACTGTGTAACCACACAAGGAAAAGGTGGAAGGTAACTTTCAACACACTCGCTGTTATTCCTTCTGTCCCTTTCCAATTCAGACTGGGAATTTCTCCAGCACCAAGCACCAGAATCTCCCTAGCTAGAGACAGAGGCACTGCACCAGCCAAGTTGTTATGAACTTTAATTGGCCTTCCCATAAGCATAAAACATTGTTATGTTACAGAAATCACGAAGTTCTTTCCTACCTTTACAAGCACCAAAGAAAAAACAAATCAAAAAACCCCCAAACTCCAAGGAACAGAGAAATTCCAGCAACCTTTCGAAGATAAGACAAGACCGAGGGCAAATTACAAAAGGAAATATCTCCCGAGAAGTGATATTTAAGCAGTGACCACTGCGGCTGGACTCCAGGGGCCAGAACGGCAGGGTGTGGAATGCAACCTGCCTGTGAGCACACACCTTCGCCCAGGGCAGGCCACCAGCCAGCCAACTAGCAGGCCCGACGTCAGGGCAGGTGGCACCTGGCCAGAGCTGCATAAGGGAGCCACTGAAGGACACTGGGGCAGGGCAGCAGGCCATGAGCCATCTTTTCCCCTCCTCCCACTTAAACATTTCTGGGCGTGCTGCGTGTACAAAGTGGTGACAAGTTCTAGGAGGATCTGCATTCCAAAGGGCAAACAGAAAAGTGGCTCTATTAGGCCTGACTTGTTGACTTAAGAGACTTAGTCTTTTTTTCATTTCTTATCTTAAAAAGTTTTTAAACCAGGATCATTCAGGGCCAACTAGGAGGCCTTCCCTGCAGCAGTGGTTCTGTTATCCTGCCGAATACACTCCCACTCTGTGCATGACATTAATTCCCTGCTTCGACCATTCAGCAGCCTATCCTTCCCAAAGGAAACAGAAGAAAAGGTACCCCTTCTAACACTGTAAGGCATCTCAAGTCCAATCCTATTACTATGAAAAGGAGGATTTCTAAATATCAGGTCTTGCCTCCCTCCTTGCAATTGCCCTGAGTTTTTTTGTTTGTTTTGAGACAGGCTCTCGCTCTGTTGCCCAGGCTGGAGTGAAGTGGCATGGTCATGGCTCACTGCAGCTTCAACCTCCCAGGCTCAAGCAATCCTCCCACCTCAGCCTCTCGAGTAGCTGGGACCACAGGCACACACCACCATGCCCAGCTAATTTTTATATTTAAAAAATTTTGTGCATACATAGTAGGTGTATATATTTATGGGGTACATGAGATGTTTTGATACAGGCATGCAATGTGAAATAAGTGTATCATGGAGAATGGGGTATCCATGCCCTCTAGCATTTATCCTTTGAGTTACAAACAGTCCAATTACACTCTTTATTTTAAAATATATAATTGTTTTGACTACAGTCACCCTATTGTGTTATCAAATAAGTCTTATTCATTCTTTCTAAATTTTTTGTACCCATTAACCATCCCCACCTCCCTCCCATCCCCTACTCCCCACCCACTACTACCCTTCCCAGGCTCTGCTAACCATCCTTCTACTCTCTGTGTCCAAGAATTCAGTTGTTTTGACTTTTTGATCCCACAAATAAGTGAGAACATTTGTCTTTCTGTGTCTGGCTTATTTCACTTAACATAATGATCTCCAATTCCATCCACGTGGTTGCAAATAACAGGATCTCATTGTTTTTATGGCTGAATAGTACTCCACTGTGTATATACACATTTCCCTTATCTATTCAGCTGTTGATGGACACTTAGGCTGCTTCCAAATCTTAGCTATTGTAAACAGTGCTGCAACAAACATTGGTGCAGGTATCTCTTTGATATACTGATTTCCACTCTTCTGGGTATATACCCAGCAGTGGGATTGCTGGATCATATAGTAGCTCAATTTTTAGTTTTCTGAGGAACCTCGAAACTGTTCTCCATAGTGGTTGTACTAATTTACATTCCCCTCAACAGTGTAGGAGGGTTCCCTTTTCCCCACAATCCTCACCAGCATTTGTTATTACCTGTCTTTTGGATATAGGCCTTTTTAACTGGGGTAAGGTGATATCCATTATAGTTTTGATTTGCATTTCTCTGATGACCAATCATGTTGAACACCTTTTCATATGCCTGTTTGCCACTGCAGTGGCATGATCTCGGCTCACTGCCTCCTGGGTTCAAGCAATTCTCCTGCCTTAGCCTCCCTAGTAGCTGGGACTACAGGCGTGCACCACCACACCTGGTTAATTTTTGCATTTTTAGTAGAGATGGGGTTTTGCCATGTTGGCCAGGTTGGTCTTGAACTCCTGAACTCAGGTAATCCACCTGCCTCGGCCTCCCAAATTGTTGGGATTACAGGCGTGAGCCACCATGCCCAGCCCATTTGTATGTCTTCTTTTGAGAAATACTCATTTCTCAAAAGAGCAAATCTTTTGCCCATTTTAAAAATCAGATTATTAGAGTTTTTCCTATAGAGTTGTTTGAGCTCCTTATATTAATTTTCATATTTTTTGTAGAGACAGGGTTGTGCCATGTTGCCCAAGCTGGTCTTGAACTCTGAAGCTCAGGCAATCTGCCCACCTTAGCCTCCCAAAGTGCTGGGATTACAGCTGTGAGCCACTGTGCTGGGTCTGAGTCTGACATTCTACTCTCCTCCAGATAATAATTATCATGAGCACTTCCCTAGCACCTCCTCTGTGCCTGCACTGTTCTGAGCACTTTGCATATATTAAATCATGTACACCTCACAAGCTCCATCTTTCTAGATGAAGAAGGTGAGGCCCAGGAAGGTCAAGTCGCTTGCCCATGGTTGAAAAGTTGCCCAATGTGGAGCCGGCATTTGTGCCTGGCTACTGGGTCCCCAGCCAGATGCTGACTAGCATGTGCCGGAGCCTCCAGGCAGCACACAGCTGTCATTTACATTCCACACAGAGTCCTGTATTTTCCTCCCTAAGTTTTGCAGTATAGAAATGACAGTTTATGACATTTCCTCATGGACCCCCCCGCCAAAAAAAAAAACCAGTGAGTAGAATAAAATATGTTGGTTTACGTGCATAAGATTAGAAGCTGGGAGCCGGGTCAGGGCTGCTGTGTGACTGAGGGGCTGGACTGGATCTATGTCCCCGATGCCTGCCTTTTCCCTCCTTTCCTTTCCCAGTGCTTTTAGATAATATGCACAAAGACTCTGAGCTCTGTGAAAGACGGGCCCTATACAAATGCAGGCCAACGTCGCTGACATTTGACAGCTGGGTGCTTAGGATCAGTGAGGTTTTGAAGCCTTGATTTTCCACCAAGTGCCCTGAATCTTTCTCTTCCCCCATTCCCTGAGATTCAGACTACAGACCCCATGTTCTCTGCATCTCCTATCTTAGAAATCTCATCTGTTCTCACCAAGTGAACCACCCTTTCCAGGTGGACCAAGCCCTAATTTAAGTTTTCAGCTCTAACTCCCCTCCTGGACCCCAAAACTGCTGCTGGACTGTGGCACTCAACAAGCCCATAGTCTTCCAGCTCAGATGAAAAAGTGTGTTTTATCCTCCAAAGTCCCCTCCCTCCTGGTCACTCCTGTGGTCTCCAATGTGCCCTCCTCTGACTCTACCACGTGAAGAAGAGTCCTGGGAGGCCAGGCTCCTACATCTCTTGACTCTCCCTCCACTCCACTCCTGCAGCCGGGGCCCTCCATGACTCACTAACTGGGTTTCCTGTTCCTGTCTCTCTCCTCACCCCCGGTACATCACTGTCCATTTCTATTCTTAGGACACCGTGTTCGCTATGCTGAGTCTGTACAGCTCCCTTAAAGCCCTGCACCTGGCATTAAGGCCCCCATGATCTGGCTGGGGCTATCTCCCTAAGCCCACTGCTACGGGTCCCTTGCACAGACCCTTTGTTCCAGCCCTACCAGCACATTCACTTCAAGCTCTTCATACCATTTTCTGTCCCCACACTTATGCCCATGCTATGCCTCCCACCTGGAACACCCCCAGCCCTTTGCAGCATCTATCCAAATTTCCCCCAGCCATCAGACCAGCCTAAGTCTACCCCCTTCACAAGGTATCCCCATCAGCACCCCCCGAAATTCTTCCTCAGCTCCTGTACCATTCATTGCTGACACTGCTCAGCTGGGAGCTAATTGTTCACTGCCTCGTGACAGCTATTCTGCGAACAGTCGGCATTCCTATTAACATCTTTTATTTCTTTGTTCCATGATGAATTCTTCACCTGCCTAACTAACCTTGGGCACCCCGGCGCCCCTCATAGTCCTGCAGAGGAGGCCCTGACCTACCTGAGGAGGTTTCCCCTGGGCAAATTCTGCTCTCGGGCCTGGACGCCACCCATGGTGAGGCTCAGCCTCTTGGCCACATCCGGCCTTCCCTTGGTGAGGCTGCCCTCCCGGGCCTGGCCTGGGGAGGTGCCATAATGCTCCTCCAGGCACCGCAGAGGCACCGTCCTGTTGATGGGCTGGAAGATGATGGCGCCACTCTGCTGGGAGATGGGCCGGCGGTTGCCCACGTAGCAGCGCACCAGGCCGGGGATGGAGTCGAAGCTCTCCATCTCGAACTGGTACTGCACGCGGCTGTAGGCCTCGCTGAGTCGCAGAACTGTCCGGTTGATTTTGAAGTGCTGAGCGAGGTTCTTCCACTGACAGGTCAGGACAAAGTTCCCAGGGCTGGACAGAGAGTCACGAACTAGGAAGTCACCATCTCGCTGCACAAGGTTTTCAGACACCTTTGGGACAAAAAGGTGAGTGAGGAGTAGGAAAGGCAAATTCACATTCCTTCTAAAAGCTTATGGCTACCCACTTCTCTGGGCCAACAGAAGACAATGCTACTATGTCTCTTCTTGGGTCAGCTCTTTAGTTTTTCAAAGATCAAATTCATAGAAGAGCCAATCATTCATTCAAGAACTATTCACTGACCACCTACTCGTGCCAAGCACCACTGCAGGCTCAGGGGATGCAGTGGTGACAGTGGCACACAAGAGCCCACCTTATGGAGCTCCTGTTTTTGGTGGGGAGCTTCTGTTTTAGTGAGGATAAATAACCAGTGGCTATGGTATGTCAGCTGTAAGGTCAGGGAAGAAGTAAACCAGGAAAGGAGGCAGGAAGTGCCGGGGAGGGGATGAGGGCTGTCCAGTAAAATAGGGTGGTTGGGGAGGTGTCACAAGAACATGACGTTTATACAGACCTGAATGATGTAATGAAACAGGAAATAAGAAATGAGAAAATGTGTGCCTGGCAGGCCTGATTTTCCCTCCCCAACAAGTGGAGTGAAGAGAAAGAAGGGTATTTGTTGGTGTCTAGAAGTCATCCTAGGGGCCCTCTCCTAAGATGCCCCTCTCCAGGCCTGGCCAGTGGGGAGGAGGAGTCCACATGCAGGACTGGGGTATAGATTCTGGACACACCAATTACTGGCTAGAAGGCCTAGAACAAAGTCAGGCTGGGGTCCCTCATCTTACAGTTACTATCAGGGTTATGTATTTGTATACATAACATATGTAAGCACTGGAACACAGTGGATGCTCAAAAATAGTTAACAAGCATGATGCTGCTGCTTACAGCAACTGGAGAATTTATAATGTGGTGCAGCCTGGCTGTTCCTGTAGCCTGACCACCTGGGTTTGCATCCTGGCTCAGCTGTATGACTCTGGACAAATTACATAATCTCCTTGTGGCTCACTTATATCATCTGAAAAACACAAATGATAATATTACCTATAGAATGGCTACAAAGATTTAAGGGGCTAAAATGTTAGCAATAACTCGTTATTACGGTTATGGTTATAGTGTTCAGTTATCCAGTTTGGAACGATTTATCACTGAAAATTAATACTCATGCAAGTAGTAAACGAATGTAATGACCATGATAAGGAGACGGACGGTGGTGATAGTATCGGTTTTATAATTCTGACAATTTTTCTGGAACATTCCAACATTTGATCAACAGTATACTTCTGTTAGGTCAAAATAGTAGGCTACCATGGTTACTTTAAAATTGCATCTTTGCCTTAAAAATGTTTTCACATAGAAATGCCACTTCTTAGAATTGAGCCTGTGAAAATAATTGTAGGTATGAACACAGCAATCTTAAAGGATATTGGTCAGAGTATTAGAAACACCCTATGTGTCCAGTAAATTGTAGTGCATGCATACCGTGGACAGACATACAATGTAGGCTGGTGCAGAAGAATATTCTACAGTGGGTGAAAATTCCCAGGACATAGTAAGTGAGTAGAATGGGCTACCAAAAAAGTATATGTAGTACAATCTCATACTTGATTTCAAAAAGCCCGGGAGGATGTATGTACACAAAAGTATTCATCGTGGTTATCCCCAGGAGAATTATGAGGAGAATTATGGATAAGAGTTTAATTTCCTTCTTTTTGCTATCTATGTTTTCTACAATCAATTTTAAACTTAAAAAAACAAAGTCAGAATAATAATTATTTATTTGATTGTGCCAAGAAATCTACTACATTAAAAAAAAAAAAAAAAAAAAAAAAGCCTGGGCACAGTGACTCATGCCTGTAATCCCAGCACTTTGGGAGGCTGAGGTGGGTGGATCACTTGAGGGCAGGAGTTCGAGACCAGCCTGGCCAACATGGTGAAACCCCGTCTCTACTAAAAATATAAAAGTTAGCAGGGCATGGTGGTGGACACCTGTAATCCCAGCTACCAGAGAGGCTGAGGCAGGAGAATCGCTTGAACCCAGGAGGTAGAGGTTGCAGTGAGCTGAGATTGTGCTATTGCACTCCAGCCTGGGTGATAGAGTAAGACTCTGTCTCAAAAAAAAGAAAAAAAACTTACGACATGATGCCCTTCCCCCCAGCCCCTGTCCACACACTTCCTGTCATGTTGTCCTTGGTTAATGATTGGCCAGATCAGGTTTACAATAAAAACCCAAGGGAAATTCTATGCCTCAATTCTGCAGACTTACTCTATTTTTCAATTTTTACAGTATTAAATGAAAAAACATTATTTATGGCAATCACCCAAATGACGATCACAAAGTATATTCTGGGCCATGAGTCTGTGGTCATGGGTTTAATTCCCCTTTTTTCCCACCTCTGGGTCACAGGATCCAGTAGGGAAGTGATGGAGAGTGTGAATAACTGCCAGCTCAATGGGGCAGAGGCAGCCTTGTTGATCTGGGCCACCTGCCCTCTCTCCTCCCGAAGCTAAGCCACTGCCTTGAGAAGGAGGGGCTGCAAATGGTCTGAGGCTGCTGGCAGCTGGCCAAGAGTTCAATTACCTGGGCCACAGCCCGCCCTCCTAGTTCTTCCGGTTACTGACTCTGTGGCTGCTGCCTCCCACAACGCTGTGCTTGCAGACCCCAGGAGCGCTGGCTGTCCCTTCACTTCCTGAACATGTGGATGTGTGCTTTGGGTTCTTGACCTCAGCTCTTCCCAAGGTCTTCTTAGAGAAGGGTCTAAATGAAGTCATTTTTAGAGTATTTGTTTTTGGTTACACAGGTGCTTCCGCCCATGTGGCCTCGGAGTGGGACCCTGCGGGTCATCAATCTGTACATTGCCTGAGAGCAGCCGTGTATGCTCTGGAAGGGACAAGACCAGGTACCTGTCGGGGGATGCGGCCGTGGTACCAGGCATGGCTGCGCAGGTCCTCGCTGCTCAGGAGCAGCTCCTCCTCCAGCTCCTTCTTCAGTTTCTCGGGGGTCCTGTCCATGATGTGCCTCTCCTTGGAGAACTGCAACACAGAGTCAACCATGAGCTCACCCTGCCCAGGCCACACCAGGCCATGCCAGCTGGAGGTGACCGCCTGCTTCACTAATCCAACCAGTTATGCTACAGCCTGCATTCAGGTAGGGGAGCCTGGATAATGATTACAAAGAGCTGTGACCTTTCGTTTCTCCGGCCGCAACCATGTAATAAAATTTTCACCTGCACATGGGGACTATGGTAGGAGAGTCCACCAAGAGGTTCCTTTTACCAGTCTACTCAAGCAGCTGGGCAGGAAGGGCCAGAGAGATGTACAGACAGCAAGACACAGCAGCCCAGCCTGCTCTCTTCCCAGCGGAGAGCTTCCTCATTCTCCTTCAGGACTGTCCTGACATAGCGTGGGGAGGGCAGCTGTTCCCTTCTGGCCTTAGATCCTGGGCCTCTGGGCAGTGAGGCCCAAAGCACAGTCCTTGGGCTGGTAGCGATGGCCCTAACTTCTTTGCTGTTGGTAAACTCATGTTCAGGAATTGAGTCAGTCTTTAGAAACTTTTAGGGCAAATGGACAGAGCAATTTTATGTCTCTTGAATCTAATAACAGAAGTCTGTCTTTATTTCACATTTCTAATATTTCATTTTTATGACAGATAGGAAAGTGAAACAAATTTAAAAAGACAACCCTGGTCCTTCACCTCAGATGTTTGAGAATCAGTGGTCTGCGGCGTTGCACAGTGGCCATGGCAGTGAGTGCTGGGTGGACAGCGGTGGCTCCAGGTTTAATTTAGAACCATGCCTGCTTACAACATGTGAACTGAACCTGGAAACCTGCCCAGTTCCCAGCAAGACCAGGCATGCTGACCAGGAACCGCTTGCTGAAAGTCCCATGAACAGAAAAAGGCTGTGTCCCTGTGGTTCTCCCAAGTTTCCCAGCTTGTCCTTCAAACCCCCATGGGAGCCACAAAATTATTACTTATCACACTACTTTTTAAAAATGTTTATTTATTTTATTTTTTTTGAGACAGGGTCTCACTGTGCTAGAGCACAGTGGTGCAATCTCAGCTCACTGTAGCCTTGGCCTCCTGGGCTCAAGCAACCTCCTGGGCTCAAGCGATCCTCCCATCTCAGCCTCCCTGGTAGCTAGGACTACAACAGGCACGTGCCAC
This sequence comes from Homo sapiens, assembly GCF_000001405.40. NCBI lineage: Eukaryota > Metazoa > Chordata > Mammalia > Primates > Hominidae > Homo > Homo sapiens. The sequence goes on from NC_000001.11 coordinate 93,593,526, forward strand.
CATGCCTGGCTAATTTTTGTAATTTTTTTTTTAGAGATAGGGTTTTGCCATGTTGCCCAGGCTGGTCTCAAACTCCTGGGCTCAAGCGATCCACCCACCTTGGCCTCTCAAAGTGCTGGGATTACAGGCGTGAGCCACCATGCCCGGCCTATTACACTACTTTGCACGTCAGCAAAGAAATAGCTCCAAATCCTTTTCCACCAAACAACAACAACAACAACAACAACAACAAAGCCCTGGAATTTTAGGGCTAGATTCTCATCCTCTAGTGCTTCTTTGCACATTGGCCCATAAGGAGCGCTAGCTGAAGAGTAACTCAGGGGCTGATTTTTAGATGGGGCTCTGGCTTACTATTTGTTTACTTCTCCCTCCTTCTCACTGGGCAGACACTCACTTGGGAGTGTCTGAAGGATGGAATTTGCATCAAAGAGATGCGGACGCTGGCTGTCCAGGGTGCCTGCAGGCTTTAGACGGTGATGTTTGACACCGTCCGCTCCCATCATTAATATTGTACGGCTTCATCTGAAGACAGCTTGAGTGTGGAATGCAGTTTGTCAACTCGGCCACGCTTTATTGTTCGTTTATTGTCTGACTTGCCTCCCACTAGACTGTAAGTTTCATGAAAACAGAAATCCATCTACTTTTTCCCCACTGCCCTTGAGCAATGCCTGAAAACATCAGGCACTGGGTATTCAGTAAACAAATACCCTAGGATGAGAAAAGATGCTGACTTTGCTTAGTTATGGAGATTCTCCCTTTCGCCCTCAAGTCATCTGAAGCCCTGTTTTCGCTGGGCATGCTGCCATTCAGCCAAAAGACCACATTCCTCAATCTCTGTCTCTTCCAGGGAGATGTGGCCACAGGACTCAGTTCTGACCAAGGAGCTGAGATGTGATGGCTGGAGACTCAACACCATTCTGGACGGTGAGTGGGGAGCCACACCAAGGAATTGGCTGGGTGGAAGGTCTGATTGAGGCTGGGTCCCTGATGACTGTGGGGCCAACACACCAGCCCTGGACCGCCAGCCTCCAGGTCTTCTAGGTGATCTACCTTATGGAAGCCTGTGATTTGTGGGTGTTCCCGTCACTGGCAGCTGAACTAAATCCTAACCCATATTGTGACCTGACCCCCATTGAGTCACCCTGACAGGCAGTCTGCAGGCTTAGCCTAAATCCCTTGTGCTGCACCCTGGGCCCACTTCTTGGTCTGACCTCTGAAAATGTGGAGATCTGAAAATATACAGCAGGTCTTGCACAGTTCTTTGTTGAAAATTTATTTGCTTATATCCAAGAAGCTATTTCCACAGTTATCTTTGCATTTTCCTTCCTCCCTGATGTCCTAACACTCAGCCACCTCTCCCTCTCCCCGGCTCCTTTCTCAGCCCTGCTCATAACAGCAAGGGTTATTATTCTTTTTAGCACTTTATATGCATCAATCTTTTATTCCAGGTTTTGAGATAATGCTTTTAAACTGGTTACAAAAAATATAAAATCAGCTATCTTGTTACTTCTGTCCTAATTCCTAAGAGAAGAACAGGAAAATCCTAAATTATTGCTCTTTCTCCCTGTAGACTCCAGAGAGTGAATCCTACAGGGTACTATAGGAGGTAGGGTATTACAGGAAAGTACCTAGAGAGAGAGAAATGAAGATATTAAGATTGACGCTCTCAAATAATTTGGGATGAAAGACCAGACTTCAAAAACTATGCCTTTAAGCTCTTGCATATTTTATGAAAAGTTTGAAGGTTACACAACTGCCTAGACTTGTATTTTAAAAGGGAAGGAGGGAAAGAGAGAGGGAGGAAAATGAGAGGAAAGGAGGGAGAGAGGGAGACCCAGAGTGAACAAGCAATTGCAAAAGGTTTTCCATTTCCAGCCAGTGAGGGCTGGCTCGAATACACTGCAGAGAGCCAGGTTTGCTGCTGGGAGCCTCTGCCTTAGCAGATGATGTGGACAATGTCTCCCAGACAACTGAAGAAAGCAATTCAAAAGGATCACCCCATATGGCCACCTCATGATGACACAGTGGTTATTTTGGGAGTGGAAACCTTCTAGAACTTTCACTACTGCCTTCGTCACATAAATTAATGCAATTATTTTTCCCAGCTGCCTGTATTTTATGAGATCTTGATCTCCCCAACTGTGATTTTGCCACTTTAGATAAGTACTTTGATGGACTGTAAACCCCACAGGTTAGTGAGAGGTGACCATATAACAAATTGTGGCAAAATGTATCCATCTGTATTTCTGAGAACATTGTGATTGATATCTGTGCTTCTTGGGGACCAGAAATGAGATTCCTGCTTCATAGCACTGGTCATGCATGTCTGCAACATTTGGCGGAATTCTGTAGGCTTCCCACATACAACCTGAATTACTGGTGACAGTGTATCCTTTCGCTTTTCTGCTGCCACGTGGGAAGAATTTGGATTTTTTCCCTGGAATGCAAGCATTCTATTCATGGCATAGGCTAGTTTTTGCAACTTGGCTATGAAGCAAATTCTAGCAATTTAAGGTAACACAACAGAGCCTCTGCCTTCAGCAAAGGTTTCATCCCCTCTGTGTGGCTATCTGTGTCCTCTAATTGATCTAAGTTCTAATTTATTCTACGAATGCCCTAAGAATCCTCCTGCCCTTCCTTAGACTACCTTTCTAAGGCAAGGGCAGAAGAGATTAGTACTGTATTCGCTCACATAATATTCGCATGCATTGTTATTATTTGCATAGCCCAGAATGATGCATGAGAAGACAGAGAATAAGGTGTCAGGTCCTAGGCATTCTAACTGCTTCCAATCTTGGGAAAATAAAGAAGACACAAGGACATTGTTCAAATCCACCCCAGTTCCCATAGCCTTTTCTCCTAGCTCATTTCCAACTCTCTCACATTTGTAGACATCTTCTGAACTCAATGTGCTTTAAAGACAGGCTGGACTCAAATCATCCTCAATCCCTCTGTCAGCAAGGGACAGCAGGCATTGTGGCACCCAGAATGAGTAACACGGCTGTGCTCTCTTAGAAAGTTGACATTGAGTGTGAATGGAGGACTCTGGCCCTCTGGACTATATGTTTTCTTCAACTGCCAGGCAGAGAGAGCAAGACAACTTGTGAATAATCATTCGCTCACATAAATGCAATAAACGTTAATAATGATCACATTATCTAGTAATACAACTTTCTCTCCAAGATCAAATTCTCTAACATTTGCCCTTGAGTTTGAACCTCATTCCTAGAAGGCATCTGATTCCTTGTTTTTCTAGTGTTTTGTCTTGAGGGGAAGGAGGTGGCAGCAGAGGAGGAGTCAGAGAGACAAAGTTGGTTTTCGCTGCCTCAGCAGAGGCTCCAGCCATCCTGAGCTCACCCCACACAGCAGCTGTGGGCTCAGCCTCCAGAGGAAGGGATGCTGCTGGGCTTTGGATCAAGAACATTGTGCCCACAGGTCTTGCCAGCTTCATTCTAGGGACCAAATCTACCTACAACCATGATGAGACCACAATGAGACAAACATGCAGGCAGGGCTCATATCTTGTGCTTCAGGAAATTTGAGTAGTCCTTTTAGAGGCACAGGGAGAGTAAGAAAAGGTACTATGTACATAAATAATAAGTATAACTTCAGCAGGAAAGAAAGAAAAGAAGGGAAGGAGAGTTAGTAACTACTGTACATGGTTACCCACTCACATGGCCCCACTTCGAAATGTTCATGTTTGTCCCAGTCATTAGCATTGGGGTCTGAGATGAGATGTAGGTAAAGTGACAAACAGGGCAAATGTAGGGGGTGGATGAGGCCCCCTCTTGTCCAACCAAATTGCAGGATAGTTAGAAAATTAATAAGTTACTATAATTGATGCTTTTCATGAAAATCTGAGTCTAGCTACATCTTTCCTATCCCCAGCATTTTAATAGCCCTGATATCAAAAAGTGTTACAGCAAGGTGTTTAAGAGCCACCTCAATCCACAGGCCACTGTGCCACGCACCTGCTGTGTGGCCTCGGGCAGGTGACATTAACTCTGTAGAGCCTCAGGCTCCTCATCTACAAAATGGGCATGATAATATGTCATGAGGTGTTAATAAGGATTAAATGGGTCAACATCTGGAAAGCACTAAGAACATCCCTGGCATGTAGTCAGCACTGTTAATTGTCATAATAGACTCATATCAGGATGCTACTAATCTGTTTCTATAAAATAAGCAGACTTCATGTTCAAGGTCTGATGCAGGAGGCTGAGGGAGGCAGGTGTTTGGGAGGCAAGCAGTTAAGGAAAGCAGCCTGGAGCCTGCCAAGTGCCTGGAGGCTGCCTGCCACAAGTTTCTTCAATCCTCACTCACTGCCCGCCTGGCCCAGCACCTCTGCTCGGTTACACGGAGGGGACTGGTCCTAGCTTGCTGGGACTGGCTCCAAGAAATCATAAATATCACTCTGAATCTGGAAAGCACATCTCTGCAGCCCCACGTGGCCCCAGCAAGTCCAGTCTTGACAGGCTGGAATAGCCAGGGCCCAGGAGATGATTGGAAAACACATTCTGGAGGCACAGAGCCAGGTCTGCAGACGTGCTGGGAACCTCGATTAATGCAGAAACCCACATTTCAGCAGCTCTCCAAGGAAGAAAAGCCATTCTGGCATGGGAGGAATGGAGCTAGGGGTCTCCTGCGTGAGCATCAGAGCCTGCATTTCAAATCAGGCACAACAATGGACCCTGGAGGCACAGGAGATTCGAGTTCTGAAGACGGGACGGGGAGGGGTGCACTTGGGCGATCTGTCAGAAACCCCCAGAGGAGGCTGGGGACACTCATTCGCATGTAGGAGACAGCAGAATTTGAAAAAGGTGGCATCTGCATTATAATTAATAATTATTTTACTCTATCCCTGCCTGTAAGAAAGGCTTCCTAGTTCCCACAGGATTTTAAATTGTGCAAATCGGCAGGAAAGACTCTATCCCCAGGCCTAGGAACTGAGGGTGGAAAGAGGCTGCAGAGGCCATGGCCATCCATTGTCATGACCAAACAGTTGCCAGCATCTGGCTGCCAGTGGGGGATGGATGCACTGGTCCCTGCCCTCAAGGAAGGCACAGTCTCCTTGGAAGATGACACACAAAGAACAGTTTAACACATTCCAAGCTCTAGAAACATACTGCTTGTCCTGCCATCTGCTCCCTGTCCCTCCCAGCTTGGCAGCCGGGGCAAGTTACCCCACCTCTTTGTCCTTTGGTTTTCCCTGTGGAAAAATGAGAAAAGTCACTGTGGCCAGGAGTGTCCTGGAAACAGCTTCATGGAGATGGGAGGAGGACAGATGTCTGGAGAATCAGGGTTGGACCGTGAGGATAAAACTTAAGGACAGGGATAGGAAGAGTATTTGGGACATTTGAGCTAAGGGACATTTCCTTTTGTCTTTTGAAGCCAAAAAGAGCTGGCCTTGGCTGGAAGGTTCTGGCTAGGAGGAGAGGGCTAAAGCATGCGAAGGCACAACAATGGTATGTTATGTATTTTATATACATCCAGCAACCCCGCCACTCCCCAGGAAAGCCACATCTTCACCCCAAGCATGCGTTCTGACCCCACCTTCCTGACCGTGGCCAGCTGGCCCAGGAAGGGTGCCTGTACCAAGTTGGTCCAATCAGAGTTCTTCCTGGGATTTTTCTAGATGGAACTGAGCGAAGAAGATACTCTATCCCACTTCAGTGAAAACATCATGAGGCTTGAAGCATGGAAGTTGCCTCACCCCCGTGTTTCCTGCCAGGTGGAACAAAGTGCTGAGAGAATCAAACCAGCAAGCAAAGAGAAGAGGAGCAAGAGATGGAAAGTGACCTCTAGCATGCACATCCCTAAGCCCCAGCTGATTATATCAGCCGGCAAACTCCTCTTGTGACCTAGGCTAGTATGAGTGGAATCCCTGTCACTTGTGACCAAAGCAGTCCTGACCCAGAAACGCAGGGACTGGCTGAGGGCAGCCCAACATTGGTGGCTGAGGGTTTAGACCATCACACTCCAGAAAGTCAGAGTCACGGAAAATCTTTGCCCAGGAAGGCAACAGGTATATAAAAAGATACTTTTAGAGAGATCTGGCTGCAGTGAGAGCAATGGGCTGGATGGGGCCAGGGCTGGAGGCACAGGTCAGAGTCTTTTGAAATGTGCTGACAACGCCCAGATCTCCATCTCCAGCCCTTAGGGTCGGTGCCTGGTAGGGATATTTACTGGAATCCGCATTAAAGCTCAGATGTCAATATGGATAAATTGAACTCATCCCCTCTGCAAAGCCTGATCTTCGCCCTTTTCCCCAGTCACTGGCATCTCTTCTGTCCTCATTACCTGAACTAGAACCCTCAGAATCGGCTTCCATTGGTTAAGACATTCCTGATTCTTTTACCTATCCCCATTCGAATCCCCACTGTTTAGATTACTGTTCTTTTCTCCTAGAACTTCTGCAATAGCCTCCTAACAGTTTCCCTACCTCCCATTTCTAGTCCCACAACCTGCCACCTACAATACCACCAACCTTGTCATATTGCCCCTAGGTTCAGAGATTTTAGTCCAAGGGTGCTCCAGCTAAGGCCGACATGACAGCCACAGTCTCTTTCAACTCCTCTCCCACCACACACACATATACACAGAATCAACGAGCTTCTAATATTTAGTTTTCATTCATGCCAGGGTTCGGGCCTGGTCCCTGGGGGCGCAGACCCCAGTCCTGCCCTGTTCCTCCAGAATCCTGAGCTTTAAGCACCATTTCCTGTTGCCCCAGGGAGCTGACCCATGGCCCCTGACATATACTGAACTTGCAGACACACTGGGATTTGGCTCTGAATTTGCTAGGAGGCCCAGATCATGAGAGGGCTGTGGATGCAAACAGGAAGCGTCCCTGTGGGCCCCCAGAAATAACTGTCAGAGGCATGACTGGCAGGGGAGATGGGCAAGGGTCCTGCCATTATGAAGTGGGTTCCAAGAGTCAGCAGAGTTGAGGCATTAAAGTTTTCAGGACATTATTTGGGGCTGTTGGCTGCCAAGGCCTGAGGAAATATTGGTTATGCTTCCAAGGGCTCACAGTGACCTCCAGATAAAGCCCAAAGCCTCCTTCATAAGTCAAGTAATGCCTTTTTCCACCTGGCCACAAGCTAACTTGCTAACATGTTCTGACGCAGGGTCCAATTGCAGGAACCTTCCATGGCTCCCTGAACAAAACATCCCTCATGTCCTGCCTCCATGCCTTTGTCTTGTGGTCCAGCAGACAGTGACACATCTGTAGAGGTACACGGCCTGGCAGGAGTCCAGGATGGGAACTGGGGAACAGCCAGGGGAAAGTCAGACAAGGTAGGTGGGGACCTTGAAGGCCAAGCAGAGACCATGCCTTATTTACCTTTGGCTCCCAGAGCCTGGCCCAGTGCCTGGCACACAGCGAGTGCCCAGTAGACAGTGACTGGCTGGAACCATGCTCACTTGCTTGCCCTCTGTCTAGCAGGTTCCTTGTCACATTGGGTGTGGAGGAGAGGAGAGAGCTTGGAGGCTGGTCAAGAACAAGTGACCTTGGGCCATCTCTACACTTCTGAGCTTGTTTCTCTATGCATAAGGAGTGGGGATAATAACTCCCACCTTACAGGACTATAGGACCTGATGCAGGTAAAGCATCTGGCACTATACCTGGCACATGGATGCTCGCTTGACACAATGTGGAATTTGAACCCTCTTTCAAAGACGGCTTTTAGCAACAAAATGGAACTACTTCACTAAAGAAGTAAAGAAAAAAAATTACAAAATCCATCAGAGGTTTTAGAGATATCTGGCCCTCGATAATTTAGTTCTAATGGAATAAAAAAGCTAGAAGTTGGAAAACTGATCTCTACTTAGGCACAGGTTTGTTTATTCGTTTATTTCAGTGCAAAGTCAACAGTTCCTGGGATTTTGAGTAGCACTCAATGGTTCTATAGATGCAGGGTGAGTAAGCAGGCATACTGTCGCTTGGTGGCAAGCACTTTGTATGCATATATCTCACTATTAACAAGTATATGTATTAGCGCCAGGTGGCTCACATATCCACAAATACACAGGTGACACAGCCCAGCATGCGAGTGCAAGACAGTTTTGTGTTTGCACAAGACTAAGAGGTCCTTGTATGTAGATTCTGTCTTCTTGGACACTTAGTTGTTGAGAAATTTTTTGTTGAATTTTAAAAACTGAGATGATTTTCTAGTCATTCATTTATTCCATGATCAAGCCTGGCAATTAACTTGGTTGAATAAAGAAAAAGAAGAAGGAGGGAATGTGTGCATAAAAAGAGGAGGTGGGGAGGAGAAGGGAGAGGAGGCTGGAGAAGGAGCAAGCTAGCAAGCTGCTGGGCTATTCTATCCTAGTTGGGAGTGTCAGGCTCCAACACCCGGAATGCTATCAGGGTTCTCAAACAAAAGCCTCCTTTCTTCAGTTTTGGAACAGTTTATTAGCTTGAGGGAGAAGTCCACAACAGTCCAGGCCTCTTATCAAATTGTATCAAACAACTCCACAGGTTGGGATTTTCTAGAAATCCTATCCAGAAATTTTGATTACAAATAAAATTATAAGTCTGACTGGAGTTCTGGATCTTCGATGTTAACATTGGTCTAATTTCTTTTTCATTTTTTTTTTTGAGACAGGGTCTTGCTCTGTCTCCCAGGCTGGAGTGCAGTGGCGCATTCATAGCTCAAGTGATCCTCCCGCCTCAGCCTCCCAGGTAGCCAGGACTACAGGTCTGCACCACCACACCCGGCCATTGGTCTAATTTCTAAGCAAGGCCAGTGTCTTCCAATGAGCTCAGGGTGGGAAACCCCACGGGGGTTGGGCTGTGAACTGTACCAGGTGGCCCAAGCTGGGGGTCCAAAAAGACAGATCCACATCTCAAATCCACTGAACTCTGGGAATCCCTGTGATGACCTGAGACCTGCATCATCACTGCCCCCAATAATGTTGTAAACATGTAAAGAAACTGAATCCCCAAAAAGCACACTTTCAAAAGCACTACACAAAGCAGTCTGAACCCTTCCTCTGAAGAAGGCTGCTACATCTGGCATCGTCTTACAAGTAAATCCAACCCGAAATGAAGTTCTTTGGAGAATTCAGAAACTCAGCCCTTTTGAACCCCTGCCTTGCGTTGAATTTCAAGCCAAGTTTACAACCAAATTCTGAAGTATATAAAGGACTTTTAAAGACCCAATTGGTATTTTTACAATTGAAAACCTGCATAAATTGATCATGAACCCAAAGAATGAATAAACCCCAATTACTTTCATCACTCTAAACCCTGCCCGAAGCTGAAAATAAAAATCCAGTTCTCCACAAGTTTGAAGACCAGTTACTTCTAGTACGAGCCCTTGGGTGTTTTCATCTAAAGTAGAACAGAAAGAACAGGAATGGCACTTGTGGCGATCCTAAAGCCTTGCAATGAAATAATTAGTAGATTGGTTCTGTTTCACCTTTTACTGACACTTGCTGGTTTTGTGGCTTACTTAAAAATAGTTTATTTTATTATAATCCAAAGATAAATGAAGAAAGGTTTGAATTCACCAATCCTACTTTTCCCACTGGGATGCTAGGCTAGAAAAATAGTTTCTTATGCTAATAACTGTGATTAAAGCCAAAGCATTTACTTAAATAATTAACTTTACAAATAAAAAAGTTCAAAGAGAAAAAAATTCATATTTTATATCCCTGTTGGGTAAACAAAACCAAATGTGAACGTGGGCAATTGGGCATCTTTGCCTGACCCAGCCCAGTGGGCACATGGTGGCCTGGCCAGCGGTCCAGGACGTTGCCAGAACCATAGCTAAGGAGGTGCCACTTGTACACAGCTGTCATGGATCTATATATTGATTACAACAGCTGCCCAACATATGACAATAAAGTGTCCTGAGGAAAGGGTGTCTTACTCTTATTCACTCAAGAGGCACTCTACAGGCCAGCAGGGAGGGTCCCTGAGTGTGTCCCTGAGACTTCTCTGCCTTTTAGGTGTTGGACCCTTGGCAGATGAGGACCTCTGGCCTCACTGGGCCCCTTGCTATGAGCCAGCTCCTTCAAATTCTCTCATTAAAGCTCAGTGAAGCAGCCTTTGCAGAGAGCTTCCTAATCCATGCACACTTCACCCTTTTGGCTAAAGTTCTGCAGAAATAGTCAGGGGCTCCATTTTCAATCAAGAGTTTGATAGTCACTGGAACACCGTGCCTTAAATGAAACCCAAGGACTTACTGCATGCCTGCCGTGCTACTCTGCCTCTCTGGCTAGATCTGAGGCAGCCGCAGCTGTGATGGAAGGAGGACTCCATGCCCTGCAGCAGTCACAGCCTTTTTGAGGAGACAAAGCATTTGAAGAGAATGTGCAGCAATAAACATCTATCTTATCTGGGGTCAGTGAGGGTTTCTGGTCCCTTCTGACAAAGAAATTGGCAGCAGAGATTCCATAAAAATTTCAATAAGTTTTAGCATTCTGAAACACTTCAATTAGTTTGATGTTAACGTTTAAGCACCTTGATGAAATAAATTTATCTCTTCCAAATCCTAGAAAGAATCTCCCTTTCGGCAAAGATTCTGCAGATGGGTTTTGATGCCATTTTTCCATTTTGTAGTTAGATCTCTATCATTTATCACACTGTAGACCAAATGGTCGTTTTAGTGCCATTAAAAACTGATTTGCAATTTGCTGTTAAATTAAGATGTTTCATTTTCCTACTGTATATGATTTTCCTTTTCACAGATGAGTGAGGATACAAGGGGCAATCAGACCCTAGTGCAGACAAGAAAATACCATCAAAACCCCTAGAGATCCCAAATCTAAGAGATTTCCTTTTATTCATTATCAAACCTAATCAATCTCTTATCAAAAGAGGCTCAGAAATCATGTATAGTAAATATGAAGAGGATATCTGTAGAACCCCTTGCTTATCAAAGTTCTGAGAAATTCCCATTAAATTTCTGTTATCCATGTGTGCAAACTAAAAAGACTAATTTAATTTTAATTTGTGCAGACTGAAGTCTTAGAGCAGAGCACTCTGTAAGCAGGCAGCAGTAACTTAATCCTACATGACAAACTAATTACATTAGAATCATTGTGATAGGTGCCCATGCCTTCTTTGATGTTAAACCCCTGTTACCTTTGATCCACAGTCATTCTCTGGGCAAGGTCTCTTGCACACATTCCCATCCTGCCAGATCATGAAGCTGTTGCTTTTGAAGCTCAGTTTTATTTTGATAGAACACCAAGGGACTGAAAATTATTTCTCACTGATTTTGTTCTGAAAACTTCGGGTAGAATTCTAAGCTTGACAGAATGTAGCACATACAACGCCAACAAATGTGGCTTCTTTTCTTCACTAAGATCACCCACTCACTGGTGAAACTGCTCAATGTACTCATTGCACTGTAACGTCTCTCTCCATCCCTTCTTGACCCCAGTGAGTTTGCCCATCATGTTTCTTACCCCTTGATAAACATCATTTACCTACAGCCTCACTCAAAGCTCAGCTCCAAGGGGGTCTCACCTTTTCGTTAATAGATAAACCGAAACACGATGAGATTTCCAACAGGCCATTTGTTAACATCTTGCCACGCTGAAAGCCCTGGCGGGTACCTTCCGTCTAGATCAAATTTAGATGATGACTTCCTGGAGCAGCCCACAGAGGACCAGACATCCAAATCACCCCAAGAGGCAGGCCTGTATTCTCATTCCTCCTAGAGAGAAGTCGGATGTGCCACACTTCAGAGGAAGGCCGAAGGTCAATGGGTGCACTTAATCATTATTGGACTAGAGAAATGAAGGGCTTTGATAAAAGCTAAACACCAGTCCAACCTACTGTGAAAACCCTGTCTAAACTACTTTGCTCCCTTTAACCATGTCCTCGAGCGACTTTGAATAATATCTCTCTTGCTTTCACAGGGCTGGCACTTGGGTTAAAAGAAACAATGCAAGTGAAATATTAATCGCTGAGTTCAGCAGCAAGATTACACTCAGTAATAGTAGTGCTTTCTTAACATCTTTAAAGAATGAAAAGAACAAAGACTGCCCTGGCTAAGGCAGACCCTAATAAAAGAGTTTGAAAACCGGCTGATCAGAGTTCAAAATGCTAGAAGATCCAAGCCAGAAATCCTCACCACTGGTAATTCAATCTTGTTAATTCAACATCTTAATGCAAATTATGAATGATCTGGAACACAGCTATTCATCAAACCAGATGTCCTATTTGCTCTTCAATAAGAATGTCAGCAAATCAAAATCAACTTAATTCAAATACTCTCATTTCCTAATTCACCTTGAATGAATGAGATGAATTAGGAAAAGGAGAGTACTGAATGAACAAAATGCACCGTAGTTGAAAGACACCCAAAGATGTAATTGGAAGGAAAAACAAGATATGCCAAACACATGGAGGAAAAGCCAAAGATTCAGACAGCCTTCCAGCGTGGGGTGTAGAACAAATGACTTTCAAATTCTCTCTCTCCAAAATAGTACCATGACTAACTACCATCTTAGAACTCTGCTCTGGGACAAAGCGCATCACATGTCAGTGCTAAGTACGCAGCAGGCTTGCAGTAAAACAAAATGATTCATCACAAGATGGGTTTTGGCCAGACATCAACTGCACCACTTTCAATATACAACTCACAGGTCACTTTAAAGGTATATTCCTTCTAGAGGAGCTCAAAGCACTAGATACCCACATATCTCATTTAACAAGCATTTTAAAAAATGCAAACAGCAAACATCCTACATGTCATGCAGAGAAACAGAGAACCAGAAACTGGACTTAAAGACACAAGATACTCAACCCAATACAACTCAGATCTCATGAGTTCATACAGCATTCCTGTGGGCTAAACAGTGAGCAAGAATGTTTACATCTCACAAGAAAATAGGGTGGTGGTAGGGACAGAAAGAAAGAGACAGGTGAGAGTGGTGTTTAGAAGGTAATATCATGAAGACCTACTCATTAATTACATGTGGAAAATGAATAGGAGGAAGGGGCATGGGCATTCCAGAAAGATGACTGAGCCACCAACATCCAATAAAAATGCACGAGGGCATAGTGGGTTTGTGGAAGAAGATGTAGAACTAAGGTCTGCTGGGCCTTCTGGATGGAGTCACTTACTGGGCCATGGGGTCCAGGTGCTATGGACATAGGTTGACTGGAGAGCCTATCTGGAGAACTACGGCTTGGGAGTCCTCAGTATAGAGGGGTATTCTATCCCAACTTTCACCAAACAGATGGGATACAGCATGAGAAGAGGGCTGGGGGAGGCTTTTCAGAGGCAGACTAGAAAGAGAAACCCAAGAAGACAGTAGGACTGGACAGGAAGGACACAGGAGAACAAACAGAATGCAGTGTCCTGGAGGTTGAGAAAGCTGATTTCAGGAAGAAATGGTCAACATTGTCAAGTGCTGCAGAGAGTTCCAATCATATCAGAATTGGACAGCATCCGCTGCACTTGGCAATGTGCAGGTCACTGGTGGCATAAAAGGGGCTGAGTGGCCAATGGAAAGGGAGGGAGTAAAGACTGTGTTAACTTACAAGTGAGAGTTTATGCATGTATGATATACAGAGGGACATAATAGACACTGGGGACTCCAAAAGAGGGGCGGAGGGATAGGGAGTGAGGGGCTGACAAATTACCCATTGGTACAATGTTCATTATTTGGGTGGTGAGTACATTGGAAGCTCAAATCCCACCGCTATGCAATATATCCATGTACAAACCTGTGCATGCACCCCCAGATCAATAATTTTAAAAAGACTGTTAACCAGCTTCGGGGTGGAGGAAGATGGGGACCAGGAATGAGCATGGAAACGAGGAGGGTTTTTAACATGGGAAAGACCACAGCATGTTTCTAAGCTAAGAGGAAACACGATCTCGTTATGAGAGTTAGAAGGACAAGGCCTGAAGAGAAGGTGGAGGGAGGAAAATTAGGGTGAGCTGAACTAGGACAAGCAGGACAGATGGGAGGCTTCAGGGGCCCAGGGAGGACACAGGCATGAGTTAGGGGGATGCTGCTGCTGCTCCTCAAACTCATCCCACACATAGAGTCCAACGCCCAAGCTCTCACTCACTCCGCATCCAAGCCACTTGCTGGGTCCCCACTGCCCTTAAAAAAAAAAAGGCCCAGCATGCTCTGTTCCCCAACCACCTCTATGGGCTCATCTCCTTCCACTCCTCAGCTTCAGCCTCAAGCTCCCGTATAGGAAGCTCTTTCCCTCTCCTGTGCCTTTTGTCCCTATGGCTCCTACAGTGTTATCTCCTTCAGGAAGTCCCCTGATCCAGGGCTGGGTTAAAGACCTCTCCCTGGATCTCACAATAGGCTGTGCATCCTTCCTGCCTTTGCACCCACCACAAAGCACAGCGTAAGCTGCTTGTATCTCCATCCGCCCACCAGACACAGCAGAGCTCCTTCGGGCGGAATGTTCACCTCTGTCTTCCCCCTCCTAGTAGGCCCTCAGTGCACATGCTAGGGGTAGGCTGGGGAAGGGCGATGAATCAATGGCTTCTGAGTCAGAGGCTGGATGGATAGTTCCTCAAATCTCATCTTACTGAGAATCCAGATTTTACTCATCAGTCCTTTCTACATAACTATTTTTGTAAAAGCACACACATATCTAGAGTAGACACTGGGGAGAGTTCTTCTCCACAAGAACTAAAAGACATGAAACATAGCACTTTCATGAGCTAGACAGAAAAATAGGCCATAAGATTCTCATGGCCAGAGCCAGATTTCAACAGTAGCTCCTGGCACTGTGGACACACACTGGAAATACAGCTGAGGCCAGAGATGGTGTCCAACCTCCTGAGGCTCTCCTTTCCTTCCCAACCAGGACAGGCTGAGTCTCCTCTGCTGTTCCTGGGGATACCCAAGATACCCATCAGCTAAAAGGCCCCCAAGCTATCACTGACAACATCTTTAAACCCAGCAACAGGCCTGGGTCCCCCGTGCACTGCTGACCTCTCGCGCAGGCTGTGCGGGGAGACCTTTGTGGTCGGAGCACACCAAGCCTCCAGCGTCCTCCCCAGTGTTTAGCATGGCCCATCCCTCTGCAGTCCTGGAGGTGCTGAATCCACTAACAGAATTTTCCCAAGATCCCAATCCCGTCTCTGCTTCCCACTTAGGTCTCTCCAACAAAAACAAGTTCTTGGCCAGGATCCCAGCTCCAGGGTCTGCTAGGGAACCGGGTCCTGGGACACAGGCTCTGTCAAGCATGTCTTTCCCCTGATATTGAAACCAGATCCCACCCAACCAGATGCCAATGGAATGCATTTAAGCCTCTTTCAAAAAGCTACACTGTCCTTTCTTTTTGGAGGGCTGGAGAGATAAGTGAGCAACTAGCAGCTGCCACGAGGAGGGGCTGAGTTACTTGGAAAGACATTTCCTGCAAGGCTTCTTCCACCTTGCGCAGCTCGTGCTGATGGTGCATCTGCCCCACTGACAAAGGCAACTCAGGCCATCGTCAATGCTGGGATGTGTCACCAGTCCCCAAGCTGTCACCGTAACAGACAGACCAAATGACCAGCCACAGGGAAGATGAGCAGGGCCTCTGCTGCACCACACACACGCACCGCCACAGAAAGACAGTTTCACATGAAACCAAGTTCCAGGGGCCTGGCACTCTAGGATGGGCAGATGTGACTCCTCAGGCTGTAATATGGATTCCAAGAGGCTCCAGATATTTTTTTCAGGGTAGGGGAAATGACTTTAAAGGAAAACAAAAAAGAAACAATACTACATAGCACTTCCTGGCTGCAAAGACAGTCGAATATAAGTCTAGGAAAGCACATGTCTAACATCCCTGCCTTCTGTGGCTGCTCATTGACAAGACCATGGCCACTAGACTTAAGGCCTGGTTAGCTGAGACTTACTGATTCCATCTATCCACAGGCACCACACCCCAACCTCTCTATCTGCGCTCTTTCAGAAAGGTGGCTTTTCCGCCCTTGCAAGGTAATTCCCGTCTCTTAGGTTCCTCTGACACAGGCACCCCTGACCTTCCTCAGGCGCAAACATTGACAAAGTGACAAGTTTCAGCTCCTTTGTCCCCTGTCCACAAAAATACCTAAATAAATAAGTTACTAACAGTCAGAGACACAAGGGGCCAGAAGAGGTAGGGGTTTGTTTCCAGTGCCAGCCCCAGAAATGTGACCCATTGTGCTTTTTACCAAGTTCCTCCTCTAGCTCACCAGGGACCTGGGGGCGGGCCTGCCAGCGGCCACTCCCTGTGCTCCCCTTCCAGGCTGATGCCTCCCTGCCTGCCCACACCGGGGTACTCCACGTCTCTACACTTTGTGCGTGCTCCTCTCTCCACGAAGAAGGCCAATTCTCCTCCTTCTCTGGATAACTTCGACTAATTCACCAGACTCAGCAAAGGCTCTGCCTCCCTGCAGGAGGCCATCCCTGATCCTCGCCACTCCTGCCCCATCTATGCCAGGCATGTGCCTCCAGGGAGCCACAGCACCCTCTAAAGAGAGCAACACCAAATCAGTGATAACCGATCGTTTCCTTCAACCAGAGTTAAATGTCTGCAGAATGCCCACCAGGCATGGTATTACAGCAGAGATCCCCACTGGACCAACAACTCCCACTGGGTCCCCAGCACCGACACATCCGAGGTACCACAACCGGTGACTGCTGAGCTGAACTAAGGATGCAATGGGATGAAAGCCAATGGGGAAATGTGCCTCAAATACTTATTAACCCCTGGTACAGGAGGCCTGGCTGCTGGGATTATTCCTAGATCCTCTGTGACTTCTCTGACCATGTCACACACTAACCTTCCCAGTGAACCTTCTGCTCTGAGCAGGCCTGGCCTTCTGCACTCCTGCAAATGCCAGTGGCTTTTCTATCTCTGAGCTACTGGGTCTGCTGCTCCCCCAGGCTGAAATGCCGTCCCTATGCCATTCTTTTCTTTGTCCATCCAAATCCCCAGTTATTAAAAAAAGGAGAAAAATTTAAAAGGGGTTACCTGTTCTTAAAAACAAACAAACAACAACATCAAAAACAAAAACAGTCCCACATCCTCCCTGAAGCTTTCCTAAAAACTAAGGCTCACACTGTTCTCTCCCAACTGAACTGCAAAATAAAGTATTAACATACACAATATCATCTTATTTTAGGCGTCAATTGTCTTAATATAGTACAGTAGAAAGAACGCTAGCAGCCAGGCATGGTGGCTCACACCTGTAATCCCAGCACTTTGGGAGGCCGAGGTGGGCAGATCACCTGAGGTCATGAGTTCAAGATCAGCACGGCCAACATGGTGAAACCCTGTCTCTACTAAAAATACCAAAAATTAGCCAGGTGTGGTGGTGGGTGCCTGTAATCCCAGCTACTCAGGAGGCTGAGACAGGAGAAGGCGGAGGTTGTAGTGAGCCGAGATCACGCCATTGCACTCCAGCCTGGGCAACTACGTCTCAAAAAAAAAAAAGAAAGAGCACTAGGCTTCAGCCCAGAAAATCTGCTTTCTATTCCTAGTTCCCCACGAAATGATTCTGGGCGGGCTGTTTCTCTGAGCCTTGGTGTGTCCTCTGCGGAAAGGGTAAATTATTGCCCTGCTCACCTCACAGAGCTTATTTTCAGACTCCAGTGAGACAAAGTTGTTGAAGTCTTCATAGCATAGAGAGCTTGTTTTGAGACTCCAATGAGACAAGATGTGAAAGAACTCATACATTTGAAAGTCTTTTGCAAATGTAATGAAGTGATATTATGACCTAATAATATCCTTGTGGTAAGTCTTTGAAGGCAGGAACCATGCCTCAAATCTCATTTATTGCCCCACACCTCCCACAAATCCCTCCCCACCTAACAGAGGGCTTATGCATGGACTTTACATTCAACACCCATTCTACATTCAACACGCATGGACTTTAGAACTTGAATATGTCTGTTAATGTTATGATCTGGAATATCTCCATTACAAGTTTCTTTCCACTGGGCTTAAATAAAACACTTTCGTCTTTTTTCCCCCAGAAAAAAGATCCAGTAGTCTTTTATGTAACGGCTGTCTACTGTGAACCCCTTCGGGATATTAAAGTCATGACCCTCAACATGGCTGGAACATCTTGTATTTGGCCCCAACTCTATGAGGGCCAGCACATCCCTGATCCTTCTCTCCATTTTCGGCCTCCCATTTAATTCCTTTCCAAGGTCTTTATACACAAGTCCGTATGAGGCCTCTAAATACATCCTAAATTCTGTAAGACCGCTGCAAATAAGATCTTACTCTCTAAAAACACCTGTATAATCATTCTCCTATGTAAGGAGGGACCCTCTATATTTTTAGTTTTGTTCCCATACAGCAAACACTATTAATACCATCGTACTTTCTCCAGAGATGATATGGATTAGACCAAATGGAAAGTTACCATGGCTACCGCAGTGTTATTTTTGGTATGAGAAATTCATGCCAAGAGAAGCAGTATACATGGTCAAGAATTGGAGCTTTATTTCCTCTTTGCTATCAGGCAATCAATCCCAATTTAATTTTGAAACTCTAATTGCAACGGAAACTAATTATGAGCAGCAAGATCTGGAACCCCTAATTAAAGTGGGAGTCAATAAAGCGACTCGGCATTATCAACTGGGGCACCACTGGCAGGATGGGGGATTAAGTACAAGCAGATTTCTTTCCCAAGTAACTAGCTAAGCAAAACAAAACAGGGAGACTCATCTTGAGGGTGCAGTTGGTAAACCCTAAGTTGGGACCGAGGGCTACAGTTTCCAGTGAGTGAGCAGCTCAGGCCTTCTCTCTGTGCTATGAAGACTTCGACAAACTGGGAATAGAGTAGAAGTCCAGGCGGAAAGAAGGGTGTTTCTACCACAGTCAACCACCAAGAGTGGCCACGGTGGAGAGATAGAGAGTGCACAAGCTGAAGGACAGCTGGACCCGACTACCCCATATATTAAGTGGCCTTTTCTATATATTATGTAGCCTTGGGGCCGTAACTGCAGACCAACAGGTACCCAAACAGAAACTCATCCCTCAGACCCAGATATTTATAGGCTGACTCCCTCATACACCCAATGCTGAGTTGCACTTCACTGAATTAGCAGAAGTTGGCTTGTGGAAGGACTTCTATTAGAGTGAAACCCACTGCCAATCCCCGAAGTGCACCATACCCTTTGGGACCTCCTAGTCTATCTTGGAAGCTTTAAAATACTGTTAATGGCATGACTTCATCTGCCCCACACTTGAACGATCCATATTTAGGCCAGAAACCACATGGATCTCGCATCACTTCACTGGGCTCCAGGACAGAAAGGGGCTCAAGTCAGGAAGGGAATGCTTCTAACCAATGATTAATTACTCATCCTCTGTCAAATTTCTTGACAAAGGGACAAAAATGAACACTCCTACCAGGGAGCAAAATCAATGGAAACTCACCCTTTTCCCACTCTGTATATTTTTAAACAAAAAGGTTTTCTCCCACTAACAGGTAGTTTTCCTGATTTTTTTAAAAGCGTATTGAGAAGAAAGAAGCAGAACATCATAACCCTGCTGCAGCCTTTTCAAAGGTAATGAATGAGCCAGTCCCACAGGAGAGGGAGCTCTGCTTCAGGGTGGGAAGGATTCCTTGAGAGCTTTCAGAGTCCAATTTCCCAGGAATAAACGAGGTCCGCAGTCAGGCTGGGGCCGACAGGCTTTTTCCAAGGCAGACAAACCCCAAGATCCACGAAAGCCTATATTAATCTTAATTCCTAGTGCGTCACAGGCAGGCAAATAGAACACAGGCCTCATCTTGAATTAGCCAAAGGAGGTTCTCTGAATATTTTCATCAAAATAGTGTATTGACATATTATACAAAGCTCTTGGCACCGGTGTCTTATAACAAATGTTAAAATGTGAGCAGTAAAGACAACAACAGTTCTGAACCCTGAGATGTTTTGAAACCTGGCTGCAATTTGAAAGGAAATATTGTGTGGCTTCTGTACATTATGTACATTATTGATAAGTAATGGACCAGCAGGATAAACAGAGAAAAGGGCTCAGCTACCTTGTGTTCGTTAGAAATGAAGGAAGAGAGACAAAGAGAGAAAGAAGAAAAATAGCTCTGTCCTATTGAGCTACTTTAGTATAAAATTTCAGCCTACAGAGAACTGAAAGTGTCCTGAAAAACAGCTTCAGCCCAAAACAGACAAGGAGCCCTGTTCTGTGCCACTGGGTTCTGCTTCCAGGGGAGGTACACCACTAGGGGCTCTTGAAGACCCATCAGTCAAAGAAAGCACCTCTGTTTTCACAATCAGCAAGCTGCAAACTTTTATCTATTGCCCTTTAGGAAACTCATGCTTTCAGGGTCCCCCAAAAGATTGACAGATGTACTTTATTTCCAAACCAAACCTACCTTGACTCCAATGAAAGACTTGCGGTGATAGAAGCAGCACAGAGCTGCTGAGAGGGCGTGGAAAGCACTGCATTCCTTAGGCATCTTTCGGTCTTCAGTCCCGGGGACCACACACTTTCTTTAGGGTTAAAAGAAAGGGGGCTTCGGACGTTAAAGCCCTAGCCCACCACAGCAGCTGTGCTGTTTCTGCCCAGAAGTCAGGGAAGTCGGCAGCCGGGGGAGTGAGTCGGCTCCTTCTCCCAGGCTAGTCTGGGACTTTTCCCCTCTGCTGAAGCCAATACGATCCACTCGCTCAATTCTCGCAGGCTGGTGTCCAGCCTGCCATGCACACAGTGCCAGAAATTCTCATGTGACCAGACTTGCTTTCTGATGAAATTCTAACCCCTCTTAGAAGAGGCCTTGGGCTTTAGCTGTCCCCTCAATTTAGAGACCAGGCAGAAATCATTAGCAGCCCCTCTCCCCCGACCCAGAATTTCCTTCTGGGGCTGAACTGTACCATGCGACCTGCTCCTAGTGGTTCTGTCTGCTTGTCACTCCAGCACCCAGAGGTTTAAGGAAGCAGGGTAAGTTGTACATTCACACCACCTTGTTATGAACAGAGGCTCCTTTGAGGAAAGGAGGTGGCCTAAAAGTGACTTTCCCTAGGAGAAATACTAGATGTACTAAGTAACCCAGGCAGGATCCCTGTCCTCACTCTCCCAAGCCCACCTCCAGAGCTGTTTATTTTTAATTAAGATGCTCCTGGCAGCCAGTTTGCAGCTGATAACGTTGGCACAGCCATCACTACTGGCAAAGCAATATTGCCTTTTGGTGTTTAATTAGCAAGTCTGTCAGCAAACACCCTGAGCGCCCTATGCCCTCCCACCTGGCTGTGCAACCTGTTGGGAGGATGGGGACTGTGTACCCACTTCTGACTCAACTGTTTGTCCTATACCTTCCTTTAAATCCTTCACTTTAATTACTCATCGCCACTCTGATTACCCACTTTGCGTAACCTAGATCCTGCACACAAACCTCGCATCCAACGCAGCCAAGCAAGGCCCTCCTGGATTCCCTGCGACCTGAGGCCTCTACCCCTACCAAGAGCCACATAACACCTTTAGGGAAAACTAACTGCTTTTCCCTTCATTCCAGTTATAGCGGATGCTCAACGAGTTCTTTTTTTTTTTTTTTTTTTTTAATCAAATCCAGATTTCTGCCTGTAGCTCTTCCTCTCCTATCCTACCGCTCCAAATATTAACTTTTTGTGGCTTCGGCCTCAAATATGGAATGTGTCCTGAAGCTTTCTAAAACTTCACACAGGCAGAAACTTGTAATGAGGAAGAAACAAGATCTATTCAGTCCAGAAAGGAACAATACCAGATGAGGCATGAGGGAGGTATGAGAAATATCCAACGGGATTAGCGTCAAATCCTCGGGAGACCTTGGCCTTTGGACTAGGTCAAGTCTGCCCACAAAAATAGGAAATTGCTCTGGGCCCAGTGAGCAGGTATGGAGAGCCACAGTCTCACACCCACGCAAGGGCAAGGGCCCGGCCTCATCAACGTGTCAACATGGGGATGGAGCTGCTAAGTGAGGCGCTATTGCCACAGCGAGTGTGGGCGATGACTTCCTTTCTGCTTTCCTCCCTCACTCATTCTCCTCTCTGACTCTGGAGGTCTGGTCTGCAGTCTTGACGGCTCCCAGGCCACAGAAAGTCCACCAGAGAACCTAGAAGGAAGCACCAAGGTGGCAGAACTCAGAAGGGTTTTCTGAGCTGGAAGAGCCCTTGAAGACTGTCTGGTCAGTGGGTCCCCACTGTCCTCGAAGGTCCAGTACCGCACCTGTGAGGAAGCGTTTTCTGGCTTGCCCTCATTTCCGTTAGATGGAGTTCAAAGGGTAAGTCCGTGTGAGCAGCCAGGCCCAGGCCCCAGCAGTTCTGTGAGCATGACTCATCAATCAGGCCATTAGCCACCACAGAATGGGCCATTTTCACCTGGTATTCTCCTTGGAGAGCAAATAACGATTCCTTCAAGCTAAAAACCTCCCCAAGAGGCTAGACAGGCACCATCCCAGGCCTGAGAAAAGGGAGGGGGGCAGTGACTGAAATCCTGCACAGAAATTCGTGAGATTAGTCAGCCAAGAGACTCCGAAGCCCAGACACCCTTCCCCCAGAAATCGTGAATGAAATGCATTCCTGAAAGTAATATGCAAATAACTCAGACATGTAAATCACATAGAATTACGAATAAAGTGCTCCACAGCCAGGGTAAAAACAAAACCAAAGACACTTAGGTCACTGTGGTATCACAGCTCTTGTTACCTGAGGTTTTCTCTGTTTATTCTAAGAATATCTCCAAAATACCCAAAGAATTTGTTCCACCGGGATTAAATAATGACTAATCTTATTAGGTAACTGTTTCCTAAGCATCTTTTATTTTTATTTCACACCAAAAATAATTTCTGAAGCAGCACTCAAAGGTTTTAATCAATTTTCTCCTGAAACGGTCAAGGAGAGAGACTAAAATAACGTGTTGTTTTTGTAACTAAAGATGATAATTGCATACATTCTCAAAGTGCCCTTCACTGACTTGTTAAGCTTTTAAACGCTGCCTATTTACGCTGATCAATTCCTCCCATTCTCCCCACAATGATTATTCTAGTTACAAAGAAATAGAGGACCAGACCTGTGTACCACTCAGCAGAGAACAAAGGGCTAGGGACTCCAACCTCAGACTGCAGAATCTGGTATCTGATCACATAGAAACACAAATAGATTTTTTAATGTCTTATAATTAAACCTGTTACTCACACAGCCCCGTGAAAGGGCTGTGACCTGGGGCAGTGGGCCACTTTCTGATGATCTGGTGTGTGGGATTTGGGACTCATCAAATTTGGATACAGGGCTTTCTAAACACCATGCCCCTTTCGGGATAGGGGAGGGCATTTCTAAGGAACTCCCAGGGACTGAGGAAGGGAGGGGCCCAGTCAGGCAGCTCTGAGCTCTGGAAAAGGTCCTACAGGGTGAACTCCCATCCACCGCCCTTCTCTGGCTGCCTGGAAGGCTCACTCCTTTGCACCGAGGGAAACACTTGTGATTAAAGCCATGGCTGGGAAGCCAGGTGGGTCCTTGAAGGAAACCTCTATTACCTCAGGCCAAATGTTGCCCACCCTCTAATTCAAAAAGGGGGTTAAGGCAGGCCGGAGGAAGACCCCTGCATAAGCACTGCCCTCAATGCCAGTTTTTCCTTGGGCAGCCCTAATACTAACCTGCCCTATTTAGTAACCATGGAAACAGGAGCTGCCTGCCAGCCATATTCAGCAGACACATGCTTCCTGTTGGCAGCAGCCCCTCAGCTGAGAAGGGCCAAGAGAGTGAGTGCAGAGTCCTTTTCCCAAAGCACCACGGTCCCTGCTAGAAGATCAGGCTCCCAGTGAGGTAGGCCCTCTCTCCAACAGGGCATGGAGGGAGATGGCAGGAGAAAGATATGCCTGCTAGGTACCTGCTTTTCACTGTTTCAGCACATCTGGAACGTAATACTGCCCATAGCCCCAAACCCTCCCCAAAGCAGCCCAGAATCAGGGCATCAAGCCTTACACTGAGGCACTCTTGGGCTTTGTCAAGCGGCCCCATGGACAGTGACTCTGCCCATGGCTAGAGGACAGTGACTCACCCCAGGCTTCAAGGCCTGGCTTGTTCCTGCCCAAAGGGACATCGGTCAGGGGTGAACACCAGTAATCGTGATCAGAACAGCTCAAAACATCTTGTGGCAACTACTAAGACCCTTTATCCTACTCCCTCTCCCCTAAAGATCAATGCTTTCTGGCTTTTTGCTTCCCCTAAACCCAGGTGATCTGGCTCTTGCTGAACAAAGACAGCTTTAATGAGCCAGGGCATGAGGCTGATGCAACCAGCTCCATCTTTCCTGGTGCCCTGGGAAGTAGGCAATGATTAGCCTGGACCTTGCCCCACTCAGCACCAGCCTGGCGTCACGGTGAGGACAGCCTCTGCAGACTCGGCTCTGTGGAGAGCAGTGTGGCAGGTGCCTGGGAAGCCCTAGGCAGATAAAGGGGCAAGTTGATCCGCAGCCTTGCTTCTCAAGACTTCCCCAGCACCCACCCTATCTCTGCCTGATTCTGAACAAATAAGCCAGCAGCTCACACACCTTCCCACAAAGAGCCAGAGGGCCTGAGGGAGGAGAGCTGGGAAACCAGGGAGGACAGGAGGAAAGGACTTTGTGCAAAAGGTCAGCTCCTCTTCCAGCCAGGCTCAGTAGCTACAGAAGCTGCCAAAGACAGTTCTACACATTTCCCTATATGCAAATCTGATTGATTTCTTGCTCCGAAAGGGAATGC
The DNA here is from genome assembly GCF_000001405.40 of Homo sapiens. Lineage (NCBI taxonomy): Eukaryota > Metazoa > Chordata > Mammalia > Primates > Hominidae > Homo > Homo sapiens. The sequence goes on from NC_000001.11 coordinate 93,618,182, forward strand.
AAACAAGACTTAGTGGGAGGAGGGCAGGCAACAATGCCTGCGCCCTCTGGCCCCCTTTGTGTATTGCTGTGGACAAGACGTTCGCCTGCCCTGGTGAACACAGACAGTACATTTAGGAGTGCGTGCTGTACATATCCTGGTCTAACAGTTTCCCCAGATTCCTCAAGGGGATGAAAGAGTATGGCTGTTAAATGGTCTCTATCCGGAAGCAATATTGATCTGCCTAGCACATAAACAAAGAGACTAAAGTACAGTCTTCACAGCAGATTTCTCTCTGCTGGGCCTTCTGTCTTCCCTTACCAATTTCTGTTTCTCTAACTAGCTATTAAAATTGTATAACTGAGTAATGCGAAGCAAAATTAGGCACTGTGCCCTGTTTTGCTTTCTTACGCTATCACACACAATTCTGCCCCATTCACCTCTCTACCACTACCACCTAGTTCCTGGTGTCACCCCAGAAATCTTATATTACACAAGCTCAATTTTCTGTTTTTAGCGTTCAGGCAAAAAGAAAGAAAAGAAAAAGAAAGAATACATACAGGACATAATCCCAAGCTCTCAAATGGCAGACTCACTATCTGATGATCTTGGCCTTCTCTGAGATTCTATGAAAGTCATGGGCCCTCCTTCTAGAGCAAAAGACACATACTTGCAATGCTTTACAATTAGAACTTGTCCAATCCGCTTTACTATGTTGTTCCGTTTTGCTCTGTTTTAGGCATTTACCAGCCTGAAGCCGTGGGTTTTTTTTTTTTTTGTTTTTTTTTTTTTAATCTGAGACGGAATCTCGCTCTGTCGCCAGGCTGGAGTGCAGTGGCGCGATCTTGGCTCACTGCAACCTCTGCCTCCCAGGTTCGAGCAATTCTCCTGCCTCAGCCTCCCGAGTAGCTGGGACTACAGGCACATGCCACCACGCCAATTTTTTTTTTTTTTTTTTTTGTATTTTAGTAGACACTTGGTTTCACCATGTTGGCCAGGATGGGCTCGATCTCCTGACCTCGTGATCCGCCCACCTCGGCCTCCCAAAGTGCTGGGATTACAGGCGTGAGCCACTGTGCCCAGCCAAAGCCATGGTTTTTAGTTTCTGTCTCTAGTGATAAGTGGAAAAGAGGGATGAGGAAGGGGCTTTACTGGCCCAACCAGAAACAGAAACTAAGAACCCATTCTCCCTCTTGGACACCTCTGCTTCAGGGGATTCTTGTATCCACTAGAAGCCCATCCATATACCCCTTGGAGTCTTATCCATCCAAGATGATTCACCACCTACTTCCCAAGATTCCTTTTCTTCTACACTTACTATGCAAGCAATTACACCTGGAGCAATCACTTACTTCTCCTGCCATCTCAGCTCCTGGGTTTTCTTTGCTGTACACTTTTCTCTTTCCCTTTCCATCCACTTTTGGTAGGCATGAGCTATGTAAGCAACTAATAGGCAACGACCACAAAGCCCTTCAGAGGTCCCTCCCATGCAGAGTGCTGCAGAAATGGGCAGACGGGCATCTGCGAGGCCCTCTGGAGGCCTTACCAGCCAGGAACAGCTGCCTCTCTCCCACCTCCACTGCGCCAGTTCTCTGTCTCACAAGCACCTCTGCAAAATGGCATCTTCCAAAACTGAGCTGTGAGACAGACACCTGCTTGTCTTCAAAATGGCTCTGTAACACACCCTGGAGGTAGGAGGCTAGAGAGCGAGCCAGGATGGGTTCTGGTCTTCACCACTAGCTAGCTGGGTGACTTTGGGGAATTAATTAACTTCTCTGAGCCTTAGTTTCCTCCCCAGACTTACCAAGTTATTGTAAGCATCAAGTGAGATATCACATGGAGGGCCTGGCACCCAACACATAGTAGGCACTCTACAAACATGAGCTTCCTTCCCCCTTCGAAAGAAGGGACAACAAACCCCATCTTCCCCACTGTACTCGCAGGGCACACGCCCACCCACACGCTGGGCTACAGGAACCACGCCTGTAGCCACGAGAAGAGAGTGGACACCCACCCATGCCATGAGCCACTGACCACTGGCTGGCTCCCAGCTGGTATACTTAGGAGCTGGTATAATAAGGAGACTTCTAAAAGCTTTTAGCCTTAAAATATATGTTACTCATTAAATTCTAAAACTGCTTATTCAAATACCACATATGGTTTTAATCACACTTGCCCAGATGTCTCAGGATTGTCTACTCCAGAGTCTCTGTCATGTTAGGAGTTGTTTAACAGGCAGCAGGTGTATCCACAGCATCTGCTCACATGATCCTAACCCAGGGGACTCCTGGGTTCATCCACAACTACCAGCTCTCCATGTACCACCCTTGTCTGAGCCAATCTGACTGGGGATCCTGTGGGCCCCCTCTGCCTATGGGGCCTGGGTGGTACCCCTCCTTTCCCATTGCCTTGGGACCAAGCTAGTTGCAGAATTGGACTTCAGCCTCAGTCCTGATTGGATGCCCTACAGGATCCTCACTCCTCCAGCCCCACCTCCTCCTGCCCTGGCCCTGCAATTCAGCCCTGGGAACAGATCTTCCACATGTGTTTAGCATCCCCAGAGAACCACCTCTCACATGCCGACTCCTTCATATTTCCCCGCCCTGTATTACTGGGTTGTCTGATACCAACCAATTCTAGAACTACAACCGTGTCTGGTATAGCTCCTCAGATGTTGTGACCCCTCTGCCCTCTCTAGACTTTCTCTCTGTGTCCTCCCAGATACTGCCTTCTGCCTAGATCTCCTTCTCTCAAGTCCCTAATGGCAGGAATCTGCCAGAGTTACAGTGCATTCTTCTAAAGCCACACATCCCTATCTCCACCTAGAAAGGCTGCCAAGTGGCTGAGTGGATGAACCTGCCTGCAAGGGATCACCCGCCTAGGAAGGCAGGAACCCAGGGGCGGAGGGCGGGGTCAGTACCAGGTGAGAGGTGGAGTCAGGAGTAACCCCACCCATTCCAGCCTGGAGAGAAAATGGTCTTATCAATCGCTTTTCTGTTGTCAAGCAAATTCTAGCCATGCAAACAAAATATTTCAGTGGGAAAATATCTCTTTTTCATGGTCATAAGCTGATCATGGGCATTACCATCTAAGTGACGTACTGGATAATTCTGTATCCTGCCAAAGTAGCTGTGAGAATCAGTCCAGATGAGGAGTTCTGAACCTAGGGGTGGACTGGGGCTTCCATGGGCCACTAGAAACTGTATACAAATTGTTGTGTTCATTGAGGAGAGGGGTTATGACTTTTACCCAATTTCAAAGAGTCACGTGACCAAAAAATTCCTTCTGATCCAGAAAGACTTTCAGTGGCATGTAGGAAGGGAGGTGAGAATACCTTGGTGGTCACAGAAGTGAGTACGGACTGATAAAGCACCCTGGCTGGCCACCTTGCACACACCCGGGTTGTAGCAGGGATGTGGCTGGTAAGAGGAGGGGATAGATAGCCTTGAGGCAAGTAGTATTGCAGTTTCTTATGGCCGCTGGAGCAGCTTTAACCAGCACGGGAACCCCTTCACTCAGTGGGTGGATGGACCTTGTTTGCATGTAATACTTAGGACAGAAAATTGGAAGAGCTACAAGTTTGACTCTCAACAACCCCTCCTCACCACAGACTTCAGAGATGCCTTGAAGAAGCCTGCAGCCGTCACAGATATCGTTTCACCTCACTCACCCCATGTGAAAGGTCCCCAGAAGCCACATTGGTTTTGTTTTTGTTTTTGTTTTTGTTTTGAGATGGAGTCTCACTCTGTCGCCCAGGCTGGAGGGCAGTGGCGCAATCTCAGCTCACTGCAACCTCCGCCTCCCGGGTTCAAGTGATTCTCCTGCCTCAGCCTCCCGAGTAGCTGGGACTACAGGCACCCGCCACCATGCCTGGCTAATTTTTGTATTTTTAGTAGAGATGGGCTAATTTTTGTATTTTTAGTAGAGACACAGTTTCATCATATTGGCCAGGCTGGCCTTGAATTCCTGACCTTGTGACTCACCCTCCTAGGCCTCCCAAAGTGCTGGGATTACAGGCGTGAGCCACCATGCCAGGCCAGGAGCCAGCACTTCTACAGAGAACTTTTACCATGGTGTCCTATTTCATAGTCACACTAGGAGAGGAGTATTATTATCTCCATTTCACATGTGGGATCAAACAGCTCTTAAAGTTAATGATTAAAACAACAACGAATCAGAATGGCTGGCTCTATCTGGTGTGATGAGGGAAGCACGGAGAACACCTGGTCACCAGAAGTGCTTTATCTTATGCAAATCTGAAAGGCAGACCTCCCTCCAACAGAGGGACAGATACTCTTGGCAACACAGGCAGCAGATCTCATCTGCAATAGTCCATCAGAGGTCCTATTCCGCTCACAGCTGAAAGGAAAGTGCAGGGCTGGGAGAGATGGATGCTGACATCAGAATCTGAGAAGAACCAGGAGGCAACAAAGGCTTGCTGCACAAGAAGGGCTAAGGGACCGCTTTTGTCACATGGAAACACAAACAGTACCCCTTCCTCTATAGGAAGAGGCCAATTCAGAGGGTTCTGTGCATGGAAGGACCTCATTGACTGCCGGCCAGTTTCTTCACTTCCTAACGTAGTCAACTGCCAAGCATAATGCTGTCTGCAGGAGTGACATCCAGAAGGTCAATATTTGCCCTTCCTGGTGCCAAGGTGGGGACAATAAATTCCTTTGCCAGTGGCTCAAAGATTTGGGTACGCCTTGCAGTGTATATCCAAATGGGTGGAAGGGCTGGGTGGAGGAAGGGAGAATTACTAGGGAGAGCAGCAGAAACCCATCTGGGTAACTATCCAGGAACACCAGGACTCCCGGTTGGGTCACTTGTGATAAGATGTGGGAATCCATCCAAGGACAAGCTATAGATGGGCTGGGGATCCACAGCCCCTCTGGACATCCCCACCCCCTGCCCATAACTTCTCTGTAACAGTAGCAAATCTGGCAAACTTGGAGGCAATGGGTATCCAGTACATAAACCAGGAGGGAGATAAACTAGGGAAAGATGGGAATAGGACTTGAAAAGATTTTCTTTTTTTTCGCAAAACTTAGCATTCATGTCTCAACATTTTATATATGTATCCTGAATAGAGATAATAGAAATATAGCAGAATATACTTCTGATCCTAAAAATGTAAGGGGGGGAATGGTATAGATAGCAGGTGGTGGCTATTATATTTAAAAGCTTTACTGAGTAGCATGTGTATTCATCCTTTTAATGGATGTGTGAGCCAATCAGAATACTGAACACTGAATGGTCCAAGAGTAAGCAGGTGAATGACATGAGACCAAACAGAGTCCTTCCCTGAGACTTTTCAAACTAGGGCTGAGAGAGACATCCCCTTTTCCCCTTGGACCACAAGCCTTAAGAATATAAGCCTAGAGCAGCCCACAGCCAGGCCCTCACTGCATAAAGAAGCTGATGGAAGAGAATGTGGTCAAAGTGCTGAGAGAGGCAGATGCAAGAGACTAAGGTCCTAAAAATGTTTTCCTTCCCAGAAGTAGTCATCAACCCAGGCCACTCCACCCCTGCCCTTCCCAGAGGTAAGTTTCCTAGCTCACACCATCAATTTGGGTTTACAGGCTCACCTTATCAGTGTAAGATTAAAACTTGAGATGGAGATGTAACATACTGTGTCTGGCTCTGTTGGAGATTATGTGTATAAAATGTGATCTCTGTATCTGAGAAATGCTACAAGGAGCCAACATGAACTGATGTTACATGAAAACATGCATATTATACACCCATTAATAATAGGGTTGTACACTCATGTGTCAGCAATGAATGGAAATTAATGGTGTTTTGCAGTCTATTCCAGGGACTTCCATGGAAATAATTGAGTTGCCTTGAGTTTTCAAGGATAACAATACACGAATTTGCCTCTAGGAAGAGGGAGAGGGATTCATGTTGTTGGAATGTACTGTGCCACTGGTGTAGGGGTGAGTTCTGCTCCCACACCCAGCACCTCCCAGCCAGGGGAAAGCACAAACAAACTGCATTCTCAGCCCTGCTTATGTGGCATCAGCACCATCCTCAGCTCCTGGAGGATGTTTCCAAAAGGCTTTTCTGCTATGTGGAAGGCCACAGGACCCAATTTAGAGGTACTGGCTGAGACATCCCCTTATTGAGGCCAGGTGAGCTTTTCCCGGTACAGTCACCTGCGAGGGCAACCCTCATGACTTCTTTCCAGGTCAAAGGACAGGACGTTTACATCATCTCCAAATCACATTCAAATCTTCCCAAATGTGCTCCTTAGACAGTCCTTAGGTGGACATGGCCTGGAAGTTTGGGAGCCCCTGCTCTCAGTCTGTGTGGGCCCGTAGGGGTTTCCTTCTCCCCTTAAGAAGCCCTAGCTCCAACCCTGTCCTCCAGGGTTCAGCTACTGAAGCACTCATTAAAATGACTGGTGCCCTTGTCTGTTGGCCTCATGACCCATGTCTTATTGTCATCATTGGAATGCCTGAACATGATAGGGGCCCACTGAACATTTGGAGATAGCTCAGGGATTCTCAACCTGGGGTCCACAAACACCTGGAACTAAGATGTGCAGTAAGTGTGCATGCATATTTCTAGAGACGTGGCTCTTGTTCATGGTATTTGCAAGAAGGTAGGGGCCCTTCCCTGTCTCTCCAAAAATAGTTCAGAACTGCAGAGGCGTGAGGGATGACAGGCCACACAGAAGTCATGCTCCTCACCGGGTAAGCCAGCCTTGCCAGCCTCTGGCTGAATTACGGCTGCTTCCCACTTTGGCCCTAAGAGTCATTTTACGGCCAGGCGCGGTGGCTCATGCCTGTAATCCCAGCACTTTGGGAGGCCGAGGAGGGCGGATCACGAGGTCAGGAGATCAAGACCATCCTCACTAACATGGTGAAACCCCACCTCTACTAAAAATACAAAAAAATTAGCCAGGCATGGTGGCGGGGGCCTGTAGTCCCAGCTACTCGGGAGGCTGAGGCAGGAGAATGGCGTGAACCCAGGAGGCAGAGCTTGCAATGAGCCAAGATTGCACCACTGCACTCCAGCCTGGGTGACAGAGCAAGACTCCATCTCAAAAATAAAAGAGTCATTTTACTCTCTCAAACTTTGAACTAGCTGGGATTCCAAACTGGGAGAGGCTTCCAGAATGCAGTAATTCCCAACTCACACTACCTGTACTCTGTTCAAGTAATCCTGAAACCAGGAGGTAAGGGGACTTGACTCTATTCTGTCAAGGCTTTCATGTAGAGACCATGAGGAGACAGACAGGAGGGCACTGAACCAGGATGGATTCAGCTGGACCACACAGACCCCTTCAAAATACACCCACCTGGGCCTGGTAAAAATAAGAATCCGGCTGAAGACTGGTGGTCACAGGAAACAGTCCATCAGTTTCCTTATTTCTTCTGTACAAAAAGCTCTTTTGAGAATGTGAATGGGGGCTTTATATAGTAAGTTCTCATCCACAGGCTAATAAATATGTGAAATGGCTTCTCAGACCAGGTTCCTGCAGCCTGGACACTGAGGTCATTCAAGAAACAATTAGATGCCATCTGGAGAGGGCTGGGACTCGAAAGGAAATTGCCTTGAAGGGCCAAACAGCATGTTCTCATTCCCAGGGTCTGACACATCCTTATCTTCATTCACATAAAGGATGGATGGAGCTCAGCCAGCAAATCCACACTGGGAGCATAGAAGGAGCCAAGGCTGCAGCAATTAATAAAAGCTTAAGGATCAGGAGAATGCGCACTTCCAGCCTGTCCCAAGTAAATGGATCCCTGCAACAAATTTCTCCCTCGACTACACTTGCATACTCAGGCAGAGCACCTTGCCATAACCCAGCCTTGGCCTCACCAAGCTTGGGGTTTTCAGAGTTTTAATATAAAGCAATGAGAGGAGAGTTACAATTGCTTCTGGCCTAGCACTTTATAGTATATGATGAGCAACCAGATCTTTACAGTATATCATGACTTGGTTATGTTACATAGAGTTAGCATTTCCAGAGGTGTCACAATCCACTCCACTGCAAGGAACAGGCCCACAATTGAGAACCCTTACTTCAAGGATTGACTCTCAATTTTTTCCTTACTTTTAAATGAAAATTTAATGTCTTTCCTACATTAAAAACAAGTCTCTTTAAATGTAAATGCAACTGTTGGGCAAGCTGAGCTTAAAAGTAAACTTTGCTAGAGAAATAAATATGGATTTAGATAAACAAGAGGGGATTATTTGTGTTTTAAGTGTTTTTGCAGCTTTTAGTCTCTTAAGTAGCAAAAGACCCTCTGGTACAGTGGTGCTCAAAGTGTGTTCCACAGGCTGATCTGCAGGCTGGGGGGTCTTCTGGGGGTCTGAGAGGTCAAAACTTATTTTCATAATAATACAGAGACATTTTTTGCCTGTTTCACTGGGTTGACATTTATACTGGTGGTGCAAAAGCTATGATGGGTTAATTCCTGGTGCCTCAGCACAAAGCAAGGCAGAGGCACCAAACTCTACCAGGGGCCATTGCACTCTTGACTCCCATTGGCTCAAAGAATTGAAGAAAAATAGCCAGTTCCACCTAGAAGTCTTTGATGAAGCAGTGAGAATTACTCACTTTATTAAATATGGGCCCTCGAGTACATGTCTCTTTAGTATTCTATACAATGCAACAGGACATGCACAGAAAACAATTCTGCTGTGTTTCCAAGCACAGAGTTTGTGTGAAGGAAAAGCAACTGTGCAATTGAATTGTGGGCTCAACTAGCTGCTTTTTCATAGAGCACAATTTTTACTTCAAAGAATGTCTGACAAACTTGGTTATTCAGACTCGGGTATTTATTTGGCAGCCATTTTCTGAAAAACGAACAAAGTGAGCCTGTTACTTCAAGGAAAACAACAGACAGTGTTTGTTGCCAATGATAAAATTCCAGGTTTCAAGTGAAAATTAGAATTTTGGAAAACTTGTATTCACCACATGAGTTTGACAGCTTTCCAATACTTTAATGATTTTTCTGATGAGATCGGTGGTCATATTAATGAATGTGAGTTCTGATATTACATAGTGAAATATGTAACATTTATAAGATCTGCATAACTCGTAAACCAATATTTTTCAAATGGCCAATGCATGATGATATAAACTCATGCATGGGTAAAAGATCCATTCAAATTGCAAGAGAGATCCATTCAAATTGAATTTTAAGGAAATAAAACAAGTTCATTGACAGGATTTCAGAGTCCACATTGCAGTTAACTTTTAAGGAACTACAACTTGTTGAACTCTAGTATCAAAGACCAACAACTATAATGATCTGAAGAGGCTATTAAAATACTCCTCCCTTTCTGAACTGCATACCTGTGCAGGGCCACATTATTTGAGACTTCAACCAAAGTAACACAAAACAACAGAGTGAACACCGAAGCAAATATAAGAATCAAGTTGTGTTCTATCAGACACTAAAGAGATGTGCAAATATGTAAAACAATGTCATTCTTACCACAAATGTACATTCACTGGTATATAATGGGTTTATTCTTATTTTTAAATGAATTACATGAAATGCTCATCAAGTAAAAATAAGTTAAATAAACATTTTAAAATATTCCATTTTAATTTCTAACATGATGAGTATCAATAGCTAGAAGTCACATAACAAAAACTTTTTAGGGTCCTCAATAATTTAAAAAGTCTTGAGACAAATGAATTTAAGAACTTCTGCTCTAATATTTAAGTTACTTGCTTTACATAATTTTGATTGAGCCATAAGTTTTCAGTATCTTACCTATGGAGTAGACTAAGGGATATAATTACAGGGGTGTTTTTATTTTTATAAGTAACTATCATAAAAACACTATTAGAAAAAAATTAGAAACTGAGAAAAATGTAAGAAACGACAAATAAAAAAAACTTTCGGTTGCCAAGAAGTTTTATTTTGACCCATTATGTGACACTGAATCATTCTACTCCTAGATTTTTATCTTCTGAAAATTCTTACACTAACGCACACCAAGCCACCTCCACTGACAACAGCACCATCCTACCAGTGTCAAGCATGGCTCCTCTCTTCTCCCACCTCATGTCCAATCCATCAGGAAGTGCTGATGGCTCTGCCTTCACGTTACATTCCTAGAACCCCCTTATTTACCACCTCCCCTGCTCTCACAGGTCCAAACTACCATCATCTCTCATCTGGACAATCACAGTAGCCTCCTCACTGGTCTCCCTGCTTCTGCCCCTGTCCCCTGCAGTCTAGCAGCAACACAGAAGCCAAAGTGAACCTGAGATGCCTCCCATCTCATTCCAGAAAAAATTGAAGTCTTTACTCTGACACACAATCCCTCGCACATCACCTTCTGCCACTCTAACACCAGCTGCTTTCACCAGCTCCAGCCTCTGGCCTCCTCGTTCCTCCATGGAAGAGGCGGACCCTGGCTTCAAAGCCTTGCCCTTCTTCTTCCCCTTAGACATTACAGTTGACTTGTATTTCCACTCAAAAGTCACCTTCTTGGTGAGGCCCTTCCCTGGTCACCCTATCTAAAATTTAATGTCCCCTTACTCCAACTTTCATAGCTGCTTTCCCTGATGCATCTTTTCTGCTAAGCACTCATCGTCAGCTAACAGGATTGACTTGACTGTCTTTCTTATTGTCTTTCCAGTCCTCCACCCCCAGAGTAAAAGCTCCACAGGGGCAGGGATATTGTTTTGTTCACTGCTGTATCCTCAGCCCCTGGAACAGTGACCAGCACAGGGAAGAGACTCAACAAATACTTACTAAATGACTATGTACTAACCACAAAATTGTTTCTAACAGAACATTAGCAAAACCCAAATGTCAGTAGGCAACTAGTTAACTATAACTGTATTTCATACAATGGAATACTGGGTACCCATTCGAAAGAAGGAGGGAGGCCCATACGTTTAATATGGAATGATGTCCAATGAAAAAAGCAAGTTGCAAAGTTATATGTAGTTAGACAGTTTGGCAATAAATAAAATTCCTCCCAAACTCATTTCTTAACGTGATCTTCTTCTCGGAATCTCTTTTCCCATTCAAGCAACATGGAGCACCTACTGCTTCTCCCAAGGCTCCTCCCACTGTTCTCTCCTGCTCCAGTCAGCCTGGGCACACGCTGTCTCCCAGGCATGGAGTCTTCTGCCTTACCCAATACCAGCATCCTTCCTGCCAAGCCGAGATGTTTTTTCAGATACCAAATCACAATTCAAATACAAGTTGTTCCCAGGAAACTTCTTGGTTACCGGAGGTAACACTTTGGGCCAAATGCAAACCTCCTATCTCAAAATCTACATACAGTATCATAGCATTTTAGAGCTCTTCATTCAAGAACATTGACAATTAATTCTAATAATAAAATTCCTTGACAATTTAAATCTGCATTTTCATGTATTGTAAACACAGCTCTTCTTTCTGAAGTTGAATACAAGTCCTGACATGCTATTACATTTAATATTAAAAGCTCTTAGAATATTTAGAAACCGAATTGTAGCCAAATGCTGAACTGTTGTGACACTGATGAGCACTAGAGGGCAGAGCTTAACAGCAAATGATTCTAAAGCTAGCAATCCAGGCCTCTCGTTTTGGTGTTGAAGTTACTGACTCCCTATAGTTAACAAGATCTCCCAAAGAGTAGATAGGTCTAAGTCATAGAAGTTGCCAGAACTACACTTTTAAAAACAGTGTATATCTCTGCCCAAATATGTGAGTATTTAAGGTGACAACAGCAACCCCACAGTTTTTATCCTGTACCAGGTGGGCAAGAGAAGGTAGACTGAGGTTAGGTGCGGGAACCTCTTTGCTGTTTTGCAATAAAAACACCGAAGGATTTCTGGAAAAATTTTAGAGACATCAGCATTACCTGCTTTGCAAAATATAAAATTTTTAGAACAACCTCATTCCCCCTTCCCTAAATTTAAGTGCCCAGTGTGTGTACATTTTAAAATAACTGAAGAGTACAATTGGATTGTTTGTAACTCAAAGGATAAATGGTGATGGATGCCCCATTTACCCTGATGTGATTATTACACATTGTATGCCTGTATCAAAATATCTCATATACACCTACTCTGTACTCACAAAAATTAAAAATTAAAATAAACGCCCTTGTGCATCTGGTGTGGGTGCTCACTCACTAAACAAAAGAAGGGTCTTTGTCCTCAGGACTCACATGCTAGTGAGAAGTCTTATTTTTAAAAGTAAACAAATAAGGCCGGGTGTGGTGGCTCAAACCTGTAATCTCAGCACTTTGGGAGGCCAAGGCAGGCGAATCACTTGAGCTCACAAGTTTGAGACCAGCCTGGCCAACATGATGGTGAAACCAGGTCTCTAAAAAAAAAAAAAAATACAAAAATCAGCCAGGTGTGATGGTGCATGCCTGTAGACCCAGCTACTCATGAGGCTGAAGTGGGAGGATGGCTTGAGCCTGGGAGGCAGAAATTACAGTGAGCTGAGATTGCGCCACTGCACTCCAGCCTGGGTGACAAAGCCAGACCTTGTTTCAAAAAAAATAAAATAAATAAAATTTGGGACAAATGAGGATAATATACAGAGTAATGAGATAGTGACTTGGGGACTGCTTTTAGTACGGATGTCAGGGAAGGCTGTTCTGAGGCAGTGAAATGTGTCAAATGAACCAGCCATATAGCTGGTATTTACTGAGTGCTAAGTACATGTGGGGCACTGTGCTAAGAACTAAGAACTTCACATGTATTCACTGTTTAATCCCCGATCTTCCCATTTACTGTTAAGGAAATTGAGCTCCAGAGAACTTCAGTAACTTGCCCAAGGTCATACAACCAAGAAACGGCTAAAACCGGGCTCTGGATTTGTATTAGTTTCCAGGACTGCCAAGACCAATTACCACAAACTTGGCTACTTTAAAATAGAAATGTTTCTATTGTCTCACAGCTCTGGAGGCTAAAAATCCTATATAAAGTATCCGGAGGGCCACAATGGCTCCAAAGGTTGCAGGGAGGAGCCTGCCTTGCCTCTTCCTCACCTCTGGTGGTTGCTAGCACTCCTCGGCTTGCAGACTCATCCCCCAGTCTCTATCTGTCCTCACATGGCCTTCTCCCTCTACACCTGTGTCTGGTCCAAATCTTCTTCTTATAAGGACACCAGTCAGTGGATTAGGGCCCATCCTTGTCAAATATGACCTCATCTTAATTTGATTATATCTGCAATGACCCTATTTCCCAATAAGGTCACCATTCACAGTTACTGGGGGTTAAGACTTCAACATATCGCTTTTGGGGGACACAATTCAACCCACAGCAGTGTCCTAGCACTCACTCCAAACCTCTCAGCTATTCTGCCTCAGAACCTTCCAGGCCAATGGGAAGGCAAAGCCCCAGAGACACTAGGGAAAGCCAGGGTGGCAGAGGACAGTGACTATTGGGGTGGCAGGAGATGAGGTTAGAGGTGGACAGGCCACACCAGATTCGAAGTCCAATATGGAGCTGAGTCCCGTCAGAAGCCACAGTTTCAATTCTTGCCTGCCTGTTAGTTTTTGAGTCTCTCAGTCATCCCTACAGTTCGGGATCTCAGAAGAATCCTTCCTCGAGTTAGGGAGGATGGTGCCTCAGCTTCAAGGCTGATGCCTGCAGCACAGAATACAAATTCACACAGAATGTAAATCTGGTCTTATTCCTCTCACTGGCCAGACCATGTTCCTTTCAGCACCTCCAGAGGGCAGCTCCAGGGTTTGACCTTATCTCAAACCATCAAGTTCAGGAGGCCCAGTGAGAAGTCCCTTCTCTCTGACTTGTGGCACAAGAAAACCCATCTCAGGCTGCATGGACAAAGCAGTGTCTGGCCTGAGGAGTTATCCACGCAAGCCCCAGGCAGGAGCAGTCAGGGTTCAAGTACCCATGCTGCCCCCACACACCTGTTCATCCATCTGGGCTAAAGATGCCAGAACCGACCAGGGCAGCAGAGAGATGCTGCTCAGAGCTGACAGGTACACCTCATAAGATGCAGAGATGCGTCCAAATCCTGCACAGTGTGACAAAAGCACTATCCTTGTGATTGTGCAAGATCATAAAATTTGCCCAAGGACTCACTTTTGTTGAAAGCCTGTTATGCATTATTGGGAAGGCAAAACAGAAACAGCAAAGGTGCAAACAGCCTAGAGCAAGGGTCAGAAAACTCTGTAAAAGGTTCTGTTAGGCTTTTGAGGCCATAGTGTCACAACTACAGAGGCCCTAACTTAACAATGGTTCCACTGATTTTCAACTTTACGACGGTGCTGAAGTGATATATATTCAGTAGAAACTGTACTTCAAATTTTGAAATGTGATCTTTTCTGGCCTAGCAACATGCACTATGATACTCTTAGGTGATGCTGGGGTAAACTATAATATTCAGTAGGCTAAGCTATAATATTCTCTAGATTAGGTGTATTAAATGCATTTTCAACTTATGATATTTTCAATTGATGATGGGTTTATTGGGATGTAGCCCCATCGTAAGTGGAGTAGAATCTGTACTCAATCCCACCATTATAGGAAAAGCAGCCACAGACAATACATAAATGAATGGGCATTGCTGTGTTCCAATAAAACTATGGATGCACATAAAAACTGGAACTTTATGTAATTTTGCCACTCTTCTTTTGATTTTTAAGAAGCCATTTTAGCACTTCAGGAGGCCGAGGCAGTGGATCACCTGAGGTCAGGAGTTCAAGACCAGCCTGACCAACATGATGAAACCCCGTCTCTAATAAAAATATAAAAAATTAGCCAGGCGTGGTGGCGGGTGCCTATAATCCCAGCTACTTGGGAGGCTGAGGCAGGAGAATTGCTTGAACCTGGGAGGCAGAGGTTGCAGTGAGCCGAGATTGCATGGTTGCACTCCAGCCTGGGCAACAAGAGCGAAACTCCACATAAAAAAAAAGCCATATTAAAATATAAAATCCACTTTTAGCTTAGTGGTCATATAAAAATAGGTGGTGGGCTAGATTTGGTCTTAGGCTATAGTTTGCTGACCCCTTGGTCTAAAGATATCCACAAATGCTCGAAGATTAACGTCACTGTGGTAACAAGGTTTCCAAATGGACATCTCCTTTCCTCCCTATTTACTGGCTTCTGGCACAATGCTAGGTACTGGTGTGGTCCCAGGAACTGCCCCTAGCTTCTCTCCCTCACCTGCACCATTTACATCCTGTTAGAATCTCTCAGCTTCCCTAATAACTGGGTCTTAATTCTATCTCTAAAAGCCCTTCACCATGTGGCCTAACTTTCCATTCCCACTGCGACTATCTCAGGTTAGGCTCCTGGTAACACTTTCTTCCCACCTGGTCTGACCTGACTGAACAATTACAAACACATGGTATATACTAAAAAATATCTGTTGAATGAGCCACTGCAGTCAAAAATCTTCAAGCTCGGCACTTTTTCCATCTCATCAAGGGTCTGGCCTCCCTGGTGTGGCCCATCTCAAAATGGAAAATTTCTCCTACTGAGGTGGCAGCACTTAAGGACTGAAATACAAGGCTTTAACTTGCCTTTTTTTGTCTGTTTTGATACACTCTGGCTCTATCGCCCAGTCTGGAGTGCAGTGGCGCAATCTTTGCTCACTGCAACCTCCACCTCTCAGGTTCAAGCAATTCTCCTGCCTCCGCCTCCCGAGTAGCTGGGATTACAGGCGCATGCCACCATGCCCGGGTAATTTTTGTATTTTTTTAGTTAGTAGTCAGGGGCTTCACCATGTTGGCCAAGCTGGTCTCGAACTCCTGACCTTGTGATCCGCCTGCCTCGGCCTCCCAAAGGGCGTGAGCCACCACACCCAGCCTAGCTTGCTTTTTAAGGTCAGGCTTATTGGGTATAATTTGCATTCAGCAAAAGTCACCCTTTTCAGTACAATTCCATGAGCACTGACAGCCAACCCCAGTTGGGTAACTACCACTACAATCACGATATTTCTATTTCTATCATCCCTGGAAGCTCCTTGGTGTACTTCATCTCTTCTCCAACCTCTTTTCAACCATTTATTTGTTTTCTGTCACTATAAGTTTTGCCTTTTCCAGAATATCATACAAATGTAATTTTAGAGTACGTAGCCTTTGAGACTGTCTACTTTCACTCAACGTAATGTATTCAAGATTCACCCATGATATGGTTTGGCTGTGTCCCCACCCAAATCTCATCTTGAATTCCCATGTGTTGTGGGAGGGACCTGGTGGGAGGTAATTGAATCATGGGGGCAGGTCTTTCCCATGCTGTTCTCATGATAGTGAATAAGTCTCATGAGATCTGATGTTTAAAATGGGGAGTTTTGGCTGGGCGCAGTGGCTCATGCCTATAATCCCAGCACTTTGGGAGGTCGAGGTGGGTGGATCATTTGAGGTCAGGAGTGCGAGACCAGGCTGGCCAACGTGGCAAAACCCCACCTCTACTAAAAATACAAAAAAAATTAGCTGGGCATGGTGGCCCAGGCCTATAATCCCAGCTACTTGGGAAGCTGAGGGAGGAGAATTGCTTGAACCGAGGAAGTGGAGGTTGCAATGAGTCAAGATCATGCCACTGCACTCCAGCCAGGGCAACACAGTGAGACTCTGTCTCAAAACAACAACAACAACAACAACAACAAAAAAAAAACGGAGTTTCCCTGCACAAGCTCTCTTCTCTTGTCTGCTGCCATGTGAGATGTGCCTTTCACCTTCCACCATGATTGTGAGGCCTCCCCAGCCATATGGAACTGTAAGTTCAATAAACCTTTTTCTTTTGTAAATTGCCCAGTCTCGGGTATGTCTTTATCAGCAGCACGAAAACAGACTAACACAATGTGTGTTTCTGCGTATATCAACAGTCCACTCCTAGGCTGGAAGCAGTGGCTCACACATGTAATCCCAGCACTTTGGGAGGCCAAGGCAGGAGGAAGGCCAGAGTTCGAGACCAGCCCAAGCACACAGGGAGACCCCATCTCTACAAAAAATAAACAAGTTAGCTGGGTGTGGTAGTGAGTGCCTGGAGTCCTAGCTACTCAGTGAGGTGGGAGGATCACCCGAGACCAGAAGTTTGAGGTTACAGTGAGCTATGATTGCACCACTGAACTCCAGCCTGGGCAACAGAATGAGACCCTGTTTCTTAAAAAAATAAGTAAATAAAAGTCCATTCCTCTTTAAGGTTAAATAATATGCCATTATATGGGTGTACTACTTTTTTCCAGTTGAAGGACTTTGGGGTTGTCTCCAGTTTTTGTTTTTGTCAATTACGAATAATGTCACTATAAACATGCATATAGACTTTTATACGGACATGTGTTTTCATAAGGTTTTACTCTTTATAAATGGCCACATTTTCATAGACCTGAAGGATAAGATTCCACTGAATGAGGGAGACTGTCATCCATACCTAGGATGTGGGAACATCCTACCTCAGCATTTTTAATAACTGTAGTAACACCGAACCTCCCAAGAATATTTGCAGAGAATGTTTTTGGGGTGGAGTGGAAGAAGTTGGATGGGAGCTCCCTTTCGTCCCTCTGCATGTGGGCCCCAGAGCGGGCCAGGGCTGTTTTACATTCACTGCTGGCGGTGTTTGATCTCTGGTCCCACAGGGGATGGCGCTGGCTCTGCCAATGTGCACACTCAGGCAAAAACCTGCAGAGCCAGCCAATCGGCCCATTATTTGGTTCATATAACTTGTTAAAATCTCATGGAATGTACAGCGTGCCATTGTTTTTGTAAGTCCCTTTCATGGCTTTGTGAGCTGGCTAATTCAGAGCAGACTGGCCTGCTTTCCTGCTGGAAGAAAAGGCTTCTCTCAAAGACAGCTATTTAATTGTGACCATGGCTGCAGCCATCTTGAGCACAAAAAGGGAGCTGAAGTCACATCACCCCTTCTCCACTGAGGTCTCCGGCAGCCAGGGCACTTATTCTTGGCATTGGAATTTGCATAATTACTCCTTTTTAAATATGCTGGGTGACCTAATATATCCCCAGCCGGCTGCAGGAAATGGCCTTGCTGAGATCTGAGCCTTGGATGGCCTGTAACGTCTATAGACCTAGAAGACCCTTGGGGAAGGAGAATTTTCAGAGCATTGACCCCAGAAAGGACAGCTTCCTGAGTTTCTCTGGGGTCATCTGCACTGTGAAGGGAGAAGCTGCAGGGCTCTGTCCCCACTCAGGATAACAGCTGCAGCCTTGTCCTTTCTTCTCCTAACCTGCGCAACAAGCTCAGAGACTGTAGGTCATTCTATTACAGCTCACAGTGGGTCTAACAAGAACCCACCAAGGCTGACTACAAAAGAAAGAGGACATGCGTTCACTAGGAATCTAGCCAGGAACAAAAGGTTGCATTCCGTCCTGACACTTCCTCACTGCGGTAGCCTGGAGAGCAGGCCTTTGTCCACAGGCGGGCAAGCGTGCTGTTTACAGCCTGGCCACAAAAAAACACTTGCCTATTCATGGCTAATTTGAAAAAAAAAAACAAAAAAAACAGGCATTCCAATATTTTTTTCTACTTCACCATATTTTCTAATGTAACTTTTTTGAGGACAATTTATTTTAAAATGGAAAATGTATAATAAACACTTCTTCTAAAAGAAAAATCACCCAGCCCTGCCCTAGCCAATCACTTCCTCCCTTAAAAAACTACAGCTTAAACCACCCCTAGAAAAGAACTCTTTACTAAAATAACTGTAGGGCTGGTGTGTGAAGAGGCCAAAAAGAATTAGTCTTGGCCCAGCATGGTGGCTCATATCTGTGATCCCAGCACTTCGGGAGGCTGAGGCAGGAGTATCACTTGAGGCCAAGAGTTCGAGGCAAGCCTGGGCAACATAGTGAGACCCTGTTTCTACAAAAAATAAAAAAAAATTAGGCATGGTGGTGGTCATCTGTGGTCCCAGTTACCTGAGGGGGCTGAGGTGGGAGGATTGCTTGAGCCGAGGAGTTCAAAGCTTCAGTGAGCTATGATCCTGCTACTGCACTCCAGCCTGGGCAACAGAGTAAGCCCCTGTCTCAAAAAACAAAACAAACAAAGCAGCACTAGTCTTGAGGCTAAAAGGAATATAGGTATAAAGGGGAAGGAGAAAATGTAAAATTTTTTTTTTTTTGAGACGAGTCTTGCTCTGTTGCCCAGGCTGGAGTGCAATGGCCCAATCTCGGCTCACTGCAACCTCCGCCCCCCAGGTTCAAGCGATTCTCCTGCTCCAGCCTCCTGAGGTGCCTGCCACCATGCCCAGCTAATTTTTGTATTTTTAGTAGAGTCGGGGCTTCACCATGTTGGTCAGGCTGGTCTCGAACTCCTGACCTCAGGCGATCCACCCACCTCGGGCTCCCAAAGTGCTGGGATTACAGACATGAGCCATCGCACCCAGAGGAGATAATATACATTTATATTTAGTGCTGGTTGTGGGGGCAACTTCTGAAGCTTAAAGATGCAGTTCCAGGGGAAAATAAAAGGAAGAGAGTGATAAAGAGTGGAAGTGAGCCTAGGCTTCATAGGTTGAAAGGGGGTTACAGAAGTGAACCATAATGGATCACAGAGCAATGCAGGAGTGCTGGGGTAACTTCCACTCTTCTGGGAACATGGTGGTGGCAGTTATGATCCATCATGACCTTGGTCTTCATATCCAAGATACAACATGAAATGGTATCCTGTTCCAATCAATACGGCAATCTTAGGATCAACAGGGATATCGCACAATTAAGAACTCCTTACCACTGGCTACAAGATTTTCCTCTCCAGCCTATTCTAGGCATGGAGAATCCTATAAACGTAAGCTAGAAGGAACAATAGCCCACTCCAAGGTTTCTATCGTGGGGACAATGGAACCCACAGAGAGCAGGTGGCAAATCCAGGGTCACATTGCTAATTAGAACAAAAGTGTGGGCTGGGGCGCGGTGGCTCACGCCTGTAATCCCAGCACTTTGGGAGGCCGAGGTGAGTGGATCACAAGGTCAGGAGATCGAGACCATCCTGGCTAATACGGTGAAACCCCATCTCTACTAAAAATACAAAAAATTAGCCAGCTGTGGTGGCAGACGCCTGTAGTTCCAGCTACTCGGGAGGCTGAGGCAGGATAATCGCTTGAACCTGAGAGGCGGAGGTTGCAGTGAGCCAAGATTGCGCCACTGTACTCCAGCCTGGGCAACAGAGCAAGACTCTGTCTCAAAACAAAAAGAACCAGAGTGTGGACCCAGCTCCCTCCCTGGGGTGGGGGGTCTCAGGGGATGTGAATCTCTGTTGGACAGCTATCTGGGAAGGGGAACACATGGAGCTGTTATCATTTATTAACATTTTAGCACTACTATTTTATCAAATTTTCTAAGCAACTACTTGATAGTGATCTAAGAAACTGGACACAGTGTAATTGTGTTTTAACGAAGTAAAAATCTGGGCAAGTGCAATGGGGCAGTGAGTAGGTTGAGCAGTATAGAGATAAAATTCTACTTCATAATTTTGCCTAGGGTTATTGGCTCTAAAAGATATTTCCTCCTATTAAAAAAAAATGTTTGGTTTTATCTAGGGTAAGGTATGCTAGGTACGCAGAGGAAAATTCCAGAGCTGTACGCCAGGAACCGAAGTCACTAGCTACATGGTAAACAGCAGGAGGAAGGTGGAGCCACTCTGGAGGGTTCAGCTTTCCAACCTGGAAGAAATCTTTCCTTTCAATGCAGGGAAACAGAATCAATTACGTTTGACCACAGAAAAGGACCTCATGATTAGACAAAAGTTAAAACCAAACTATCAAGATGATCATGTTCTGAGCTACTGTGGGGGGAAAAAATTGTGAGGAGAGAAGGTTAGGAAAAATGTGAAAAAAAACAAAATTCTCTCCTGTAAGTGCCAGAATTAAAGAGACGGAAACAGTGAGGAATGAGATTCCCCAAATCCCTGGACTACTTTGGATCTGCAATTTATTTTCCTCTCACATCCAAATATCAAATTGAGCCTTTGGGGTCTTGGTGCTGTCAGGAGTCCCAGCAGGAGGCCAGCCTGCTGGACAAGGTAAAAGAGCTGCCCAACAGCCCTGGGGCTTCCCAGCCATGCATATTTTCCTCCATTCCACTTGGGATGAACGACCGGTAGCTAAGCAACCGAGAAACCGGTCCCCTTTCACCTGGCATGAATGTACTGCAACACAAACGGTGCACGGTGCTAGGAGGACACACATACAAACTGCCAGAGCTGAATGTTGGATTCTTCCTCCACCCAGCTCTCTCCTGCCATGACACTGCAGTCCCCTCGCCCCACGAGCTATGAGGGTCAGCCTCAGAACCTTGTCTCTCCCAGACCCAAGGAGGCAGGAGGCAGTCCCAGACCTCTCTCTTCTATCTGGGCACTGAAAAAACCAAGGGAAGATGGTTGGAAAGTCTCCGATGGGGAGGGGAGCAGCATTTTTTTTTTTTTTTTTTGAGATGGAGTCTCACTCTTGTCACCCAGGCTGCAGTGCAATCGTGCGACTTCAGCTCACTGCAACCTCCGCCTCCCAGGTTCAAGCAATTCTCCTGCCTCAGCCTCCCGAGTAGCTAGGATTACAGATGCCCGCCACCACACCCGGCTAATTTTTGTATTTTTAGTAGAGACAGGGTTTCACCATGTTGGCCAGGCTGGTCTCGAACTCCTGACCTCGGGTGATCTGCCCACCTCGGCCTCCCAAAGTGCTGGGATTACAGGTGTGAGCCACCGCACCCAGCAGGGGAGCAGCATTTAAAGACACAGGGAGGGAGGGAGACCTGGGGCTGGAGCTCCTGCCAGTATTTGGACTGCTGTCTGTTGGCCACAACTGGGTGCTTCCCCTGCCTGGATGAGACTCAGGATAGGATAAGACTCCCCCTATTCTGGAGTCAAAATGGATCCTAAAATTTGGCTTCTTGATGCTTGTTTTTTTCGGCCAATGAATCTGAACCTACTGGAAGGGGCCTTTATGACACAACATAATTCACATAGAACTACTTTTCTCCAAGCTCAAGAGGCATTAAGTGCACAAGCGGATTGTAGATAAGAAGTTAAGGGGGTCAAACTGCACCTCAGTTTAGCTGCAACTCTCTCACCTCCCTTGATTTATCTCCAGCCATGAGGCACCAGCTGGCATCAACTTATGAGGCCTTCCTGGCACTGGTCAGCCCGGCTCCACAGGGCAACTAAGTGTGAGAAGTGCTACAACAGACCCAACCCAAGAAGATGGGTCCCTGGGTCCCCTTGGACCTTTACGTCAGAGACCTCTATGAATGTGCTTTCAGAGCCTTAGTGTCCATAGAGGCAAATGAAAATACATACCCTACATTGGCTCAACACATTCCCAAACCATCCCTCTAAACCAAGGGTGAAGTGAGAAAGAAAAAAAAAAGTGGTGCATTCAGGAAGGATACAGACACATGATTTATAAGGCTCTGACTAGATTCAGATCAAGTTAGGAGGAAAGGGTACCCTTCGGAATACCTCAACAAGTTCTTGAAAAGGAGAACCCTCTGAACCTCAAAGAGCAGTTCCATCACATCTCACTGTCAGGAGAAGGCAAAGAGAGCCCAGATAAACAGAAGCCACTGACAACTCCAATATCTCTTCTTTGTCAATACCACTCAACTCACAATGATTGATATTCATAAATGAGATGCAATAGCTTGCATAATACCTAAACAGGCCATTCCAAAATCCTCTATATTTAGCTTGAGAATGCACTACCAAATTATCTTAAAAGGGTTTAGACTTTTGTAAAAGAAAAAACTGGTATTGGAGTAAGAAGAAGGCAGTACACTTGCTGAGCACAGCCAGACTGGCCCGTGGTAGGAGATAGCCAATTTCTGAAACAAGGCATGGAGTGATTTTTAAAGAGCTGTTGTTACACACTGCAGAATTCTAGAGTGCATTTTTTGTTAAGTCATATCACAGTCTATGCAAATAGCATCCTCTAATACTTTGCAATGCACAACCTGCACAAAACATGTGATGCATCCGGGAGGGACACAGATACATATTTATAAAGCTCTGGCCAGATTCTGGTGTGGTAGCCCTGCAGGTTTAGGATTATACATTTTCTCCCATGAAAACACAGCTCAGTTGTCATTCAGGTATAAGAGATGGGAAAAAAGAATATCCACCTCCATTCCAACAAACCTCACTACGACCGCCCCAAGTGGCCAAGTGGTTCTACTGGAGCTTCCTCCTCTTCCGTCCATCCTCTGGTCTTTTAAAGAGGGAGGAAATGGCAGAACTCTGGGGGAAGGCATGGGTACACACAAAAGCGACATGCCTACATACTCTGAAACTAGGATGCTGCTGCCTTTGGGATAGCGAAGGTGGAATGAGACTCCTGATTCTAAACTCTAACTCTTGCTACGATTTCTCCCAAAAAATAAGTATGTTGTCATAAATCCAAGAAACCAAATGTGAGAATCAGACTTCTTTCTTCTGTAGGAGGTGACAGAATACAGTTTCAAAAATAAAAGAAAATAAAGCAAACAGCAACACTGGAAAATGCGGAGGCAGAGGGAAGAAGTGAAAAGCATCTTTTCTTCCTGCTCCGAAGAAATACATTATTTAGAAGGGTTGAATACTTAGAAGCATTGACCGCCAGTCCGGCTGGAAAGTAACTAAGTACCTAATATTACTACTTGGCCCCAGATTAGCCCTGAACAAGAGGGTGGCTGTTGGAATGGAAAAGATGACTCATAAAATCTCAGGGAGCCTTCGGTCCTCCACTGAAGGTAAATATGGGTCCACAATTCCTCATCTACATTCCAAAATCCAAAAAACTCTGAACACTAACATTAAAAAAACCTTACTTGGCAGCAAACTCATTTGGTGGCAAAATGTGACCTGAACTACACAAAATCATTTGTCATCTATTTATCCCTCTTAGTGTGAATATTCTTACTTGTCACTGTGAAAATAATGAGTGTGATTATGGAGTGCTGACCCCAAACCTCTCTGGGAGTATTACTATACGTACCATATTACCTTTCTGGAAAACAAACAAACAAACTCTGAATTTTAAAACACACCTGGCTCTAAGGCCAGATAAGGGTACCTGTAATAGGATGACGTGAGACCCCTACAAAATTTACCAAAGGCCTAAGGGAGTCAAATTTCCTCCCTGTTGTTTTGGAGAGTCTAATCAGCTTTTTACACAAACCAGGCTGCAGCATTATTTAGCAACTCTGTGTTCCAAATGGGAAATCTACTACCCAGGGTCACGGCTACATGTTTAATTCTCATTTCCTACCTTCACATATTCCACAGTTGGGTCCAGAAGATGTGGATCCCTGAAAAGAGAAAATATAAATATGAGAATGGTTGGGAACGATGCATTCTTACATTGAGTATAATGTGTCCAACATTATTTCACCCTATTCACTAAGTTACTAAGCTGGGCCCCATCTCCCAGGCAGTATTCACAACAGGGTGTGTGTGGTGGGGTGGGAGATACCACCATGACCTCAGTCTAGAAGCTCCCACATGCTTTCCTGTCAAATTCAGGCCCCAGAATGTTAGAGTATTTACATGTGGTAATTCTAGATTTACTTGAGCATAGAAAGTGAAAGTCTGAAGCATAGAGCTCAGGGGAGGGCAGAGGTGGGAGACAGGCAGGACTGGGTACGGGAACGTGTGGCACTTTCGGTCACTGGTGGTGTCTGGGTTAATCCCCAGAACGTCCCCACCAGTAACTGTGTTGTGCCCACATTGACAGTAAGAAGAGAGAGGCTTAGGTGGGTGGAGGGGCTGCCCCAGGTTGCCCAGTGCCTGGGTGATGGAGGGAACGGAGCCTTCTCTTCTCATCGCTGGCTGTTACCCACCCACTCCTGGTGAAAATCTCAGCAATTCATCCTACTGTTCTGTGTGCCCAGTGTTTTTATTCCCCCATATGGGCCAGGTGTGGTGGCTCATGCCTGTAATCCCAGCACTTTGGGAGGCCAAGGCGGGAGGATCAAGGCAGGTGGGGAGTTCGAGACCAGCCCGACCAGCATGGAGAAACCCCGTCTCTACTAAAAATACAAAATTAGCTGGGTGTGGTGGCGCATGTCTGTAATCCCAGCTACTAGGGACGGTGAGGCAGGAGAATCGCTTGAACCCAGGAGGCAGAGGTTGCGGCGAGCCAAGATCACACCATTGCACTCCAGCCTGGGCAACAAGAGTGAAACTCCATCTCAAAAAAAAAAAAGAGGCCAGGCGTGGTGGCTCATGCTTGCAATCCCAGCATTTTGGGGGGGCCGAGGCAGGCGGATCATTTGAGGTCAGGAGTTGGAGACAAGCATGACCAACATGGTGAAACCCCGTCTCTACTATACTAAAAACACAAAAAAAACCAAAAACAAAAAATAGCTGGGCGTAGTGGTGAGTGCTTGTAGTCCCAGCTACTTGGGAGGCTGAGGCAGGAGAATTGCTTGAACCCAGGAGGCGGAGGTTGCAATGAGCCAAGATCACGCCATCGCACTCCAGTCTGGGTGACAGAACAAGACTCTTTCTCAAAAAAAAAAAAAAAAAAAAAAAAAAAAAGAAATTTTTTTAAAAATACAGAGAGAGAATAAAACAGTAGTTATGGGGATGGGGGCAGAAGGCAGAGGAAATGGGGAGATGTAGGTCAAAGGATAAAAAGCAGCAGATACGTAGGATGAACAAGCATAGAGCTCTAATGGACAACATGAGGACTATAGGTAATACAATTGTACTGTATATGGGATTCATGCTGAGTAGATTTCAACTGATCTTGCCACAAAAACAAAAAAGTGGATAACTATGTGAGATGATGAATATGTTAATTTGCTTCAACTTTAGTAACCTTTTAAATATTGCATGTATTCCATAGCATCATGTTGTATATCTTGGATACATACTGAGGACTAAGCTCAGATTTTTTAATCTTGTCCAAATTCCTATCTAAGGGGTCTGGAGAGTCATGCCCTACAAACCATAAATTCTCATCAGATGGGTTTTATTTAACCCTATATATCGTGACTTACTTTCCAATCTGACTCTGGCATAACATGTGACAAGAAAGTCAAAATATTTTACCCCAAAACATGTTTCTTTGCCATATTTTGGAATGGCCCTGCAAAACTGTCCTTTGTGGGGGAAAATTTGCATCTGTAAAGAATCTCTAGTAACATAGCTAAATCTTTTTCTTCCAGGCCCTCCCAATCCTAAAGAAATTAACTAAAAGTCTAGCACCTTTTAAAGACTGGAACAGGAAACATTTGTCATCTGTTGTCTCTAAGGACAGCCACTATAAGACTTCAAAGGAACCTTGGTCTCCACAATCTTTTATCTTAACCTGAACATTTCCTTTCTATCAATCCCCAGTCTTTAGACAAACTCAACCAATTGTCAACCAGAAAATGTTTAAATTCACCTACAGCCTGGAAGCCCCTGCTTTGAGTTGTCCCACCTTTCTGGACCAAATCAATGTATTTCTTAAAAGTATTTGATTGACGGATGGCTCATGCCTCCCTAAAATGTATAAAACCAAGCTGCGCCCCAACCACCAGGGGCACATTCTTTCAAGACCTCCTGAGGGCTGTGTCACAGGCCACGGTCACTCATATTTGGCTCAGAATAAATCTCTTCAAATATTTTACAGAGTTTGACTCTTTTCATTGACAATAATTTGATGCCCAAACATGTGGGGCCTCAGAGAAGACTCAGGACCCTGAAGGAGTTGCCCAAAACTGGAGCTAAGGTACCAGCCAGGGCCCATTGAAGCCTCACCCAGTTTGAGCTTCTCCTCTGGTGGAACTGGTAAGTCCTCCTGAGCTCTGGACCTCCTGTTTTGGTTGATGGTCCTTAATTTATTCTTGAGCTGATTTTTCTCCTAGGAAGTTGTTGTTTAAGAATCCTAATTCCAGTTCGAAGGTGCATTCTAAAGGGTCTCCTCTATTGCTTTTTCTCTCAGAATTAATCTCAATTTGGCTTGACTGTGCATATTTGCGTGAGAAACTGAACTGTTGTTTTCATAGGTAAATGAGAGACTGAGTTTTTTCAGCTCTGAAGAGAAAGGGCATTTGCTCCTCCCAGCCAAAAAGCGCCCATGGGTGACTGGGGGCCTCGTGGGAGTGTCTAGGGGGTTGGCCCCCCACAATGTGCAGCAACCCTGCAGGGAAATCCTCAGTGCAAATTAATTTTTAAAATGGCTCATCCAGGACACATATCCATCCACCACACAAAAATCCTAGGCCAGAGCTCAGTTCCTCCTTTCAAGGGGGAAAAAAAAAAATGTGAGAAAGAAATACTCTAAAAATAAGGAGAAAATAAGGAGAATGATCCCCTTTTGAGTACTCTGTAGGTTTTATGGCACCTCTACTTCCCAGAGTTTATGTAAAATAGAAGTAATATGGTCTTTGTGCACATTTACATTAAGGAAAAAGAACCCTAGGGTCGACCTGCAAACTATAGAGTTCCTAAATTCTCTTTTTCTGTCTTCCTTTCTGCCTACTTTAAATCTGCTGTTACTTTTCCACTGAGATAAAAACCACTGTTTGGATCTAACAGTTTTTTTTTTCTTGCAAGCCAGTGAATTTATACTTATTTCATGGCTAAAGTACTAAAGTAAAGCTACAGGATCTTTGTGTGTGTGTGTGTGTGTATATATATGTATCCATGTATATTTAAAAGGCCATTATAGACTATATATGCATTTTATGATATGCATATATTATACATTATATATACATGATATATAAATATATAATTTTATAATATTTATGTTTAATTGGCAGCTAAATTTATTTTAATTTCCCTCTAGCACACCAAACTTTTTCTCCCTGTAGCTTATAATGTAAATTTTGCTATCGGATCTTCACCTAAGTTCTTTCCTTTCATATGAAAATTTAGGACTATTTAGCTGAGAACTGCCTAGAGTGATGCAACATGTTATTAAGAATTTTTAACTAGAAAAAAGGAAAAAGGAAGTCTTTATGAATCTATAAAATGTATTTCTATCAGCATGCCTAAATACCTCTATGTATTTATACATTGTGTAAACAGTGTTTCACTACTAAAAATATATAAAGAGCTCTAATTAATTGGCTTAAAAAATATATAAAAGCACTTAATCAGATACTTAAAAGACTAGTCAAATGCTTTTAGACATAACCCTATAAAGTTTGAATTAGACAAAGATATTTTACCTTTAATGAGAACATTAAAAATAAAATGTTTTCCTGTAATTCTTAAATTGGAAATTACCCAGATACCCATGACTTAAGTAAAATCTTTAATAAATAAGGTGGCTTTAAAATTATTGGTAGGCTGGTCACGGTGACTCACGCCTGTAATCCCAGCACTTTGGGAGGCCGGGGCATGTGGATCACCTGAGGTCGGGAGTTCAAGACCAGCCTGACCAACATGGAGAAACCCTGTCTCTACTAAAAATACAAAATTAGCCTGGCATGGTGGCACGTGCCTGTAATCCCAGCTACTTGGGAGGGTGAGGCAGGAGAATCACTTGAATCTGGGAGGCAGAGGTTGCGGCGAGCTGAGATGGCGCCACTGCACTCCAGCCTGGGCAACAAGAGCAAAACTCCGTCTCAAAAAAAAAAAAAAAAAAATTATTGGTAAAATACTAGCAATGTTTATCCCTGCAGAATACTATAACATTTGCCATGAGGGTTATCAACTATAAAACCCAGCCCAAGACAGAATAATCTTTGCTTGTGTATACCTATGAAATATTGTTGGCTTAATGAAAATAACTAAATGCTGAGTTATTGGAATAAATAACCTTAAAATTAAGCATAAGTTTTATTACTTAAGTAAATACCTGAAATTCACAGCTATAAAAATAGTTAAAAGGAAAATAACTTTAAATATTAGCTATCACAGTTTTTGTTAATAGTCTAGGTAAACTATTACATTAATCAGATAAATGTAATGGAATAAATGCTTACAAACAAACTTGTCATAATTTAGAATCTAAGGTTATTATTTGATATTAAGTATCTGGGTAATTTCTGATTTAAGAATTACAGGAAAACATTTTCTTTTTAATGTTCTTATTAAAGGTAAAATATCTTTGTCTAACTCAAACCTCATAGAGTTATGTCTAAAACAAGGTAAAGGAATCAGGAAATAAGAGATGAAAAGAAAGTTAAAGATTTAAAGAGGTATTTTTGGTAAAGAAGGTAAAAAGGAAAGTAATTTTATAAGAATGATTCTTGTGTGGTGAATTTTTGCTCTAAACATGAATGCCCCTCCCACAGAATCATAGGACTGTTTAAGAAGCCTAATCAAATTTGCTGTCTTAGAGATGCACCTCCTTGCTGGGAACCCAAATCCTTTTCACCAGAAAAGGTAAAATGTTCTAGGGGTAAAAAAGAGTTCCTGAGACCAGAACATAAAAACATACAGGTTAACAGAAGTATAAAATTTAAGATGTTTAAACAAGCTTTATTTAAATTAAAGCCAAATAAAATTTACAAATCAGCTCCTCAGTTACACTAGTGGCTAGCAGCTAGCATGACCCAATTATAGAATATTTCCAACACTGCAAAAAGTTCTACGGGACAGTGATATTCTAGAGAAAACACTTCTTCTAAATAGAAGGACACTCTGCTTCCAAAGAGACCCTCACTTTGCTGCTCTTGGTTATGACTTAGTAACTAAAGTACCAAAGGAGATTTGAAGCGCTCTCACGTATAAGGTAGCCCCAAACAATGGCATCTGAGACCAGCTGTACGATAAAGTTCCTATGTATTGTTTTCTTGAAATATGTTTTTTTTTTTCGAGTCTTGCTCTTGTCGCCCAGGCTAGAGTGCAATGGTGTGATCTTGGCTCACTGCAACCTCTGCCTCCCGGGTTCAAGCGATTCTCCTGACTTAGCCTCCTGAGTAGCTGGGATCGCAGGCATGCACCACCACACCTGGCTAATTTTTGTATTTTTAGTAGAGATGGGGATTTCACCATGTTGGCCAGGCTGGTCTTGAACTCCTGACCTCAACTGATCCGCCCACCTCGGCCTCCCAAAGTGCTGGGATTACAGATGTGAGCCACCGCGCCTGGGTCCATCTTTTCTTTTTCACTTAAAATTCTGAAATATCTGGGTGCCAGTGGACTATCTCTACATGAGGAAAGTAACATGGGTCAATCAAACACGACATAGCATTGGATGAATGACTCAAATTAGGGAAAATTTTATTAAAGCCATCCAAAGCCATTCCCTTGAAATGTCTGCAATAAAAGCAGGGCTTATGAGGTGAGGGTTGTAGTTCTGCTTTAGTGAGAGGCATAATGGGATGGAGGAGAGAGGTGCTATGTGTAGAGGTAAATGGTTTGATCTTGGTAAATGGTAAAAGTACCAAAAGCTACTCTTGGTAAATGGAAATTACACATTAAAAATGAAAAGGGATGGTCTTCAACGAGGTTTGACTGAAATAGAGACCCAAAAGGAGACTCGTTAAAAATTAAGGTCTTAAATGAATGACATTAGGATAATTAAGAAAAAGAAAGAATAAAATAGAGAATTTTTCGTTAACTGGCTAAAGAGGTTTGAGGTTTGTCTTCCCAGCTTCTCTCCTAAAATCTCTAACATTAACTATCATCAGTCAGTGCTTGCTTATATTTCCTCCTACTTGTGATTAAACCTTCCTAATTCATAACAGTACTCCAGTGTCCTGACAGCAAAACTGAGGACCAGCTATTTGGAAACCCCAAGTTACCTGAGGAGCCTCATTTTCCTCTTCTGTCTGAGGCCCGCCATCACTCCAGCCAAGACGGCCTCTCCCAGCCAGTGGGTCTTGGTCCAACCTCCTCCAGGAAGCCCTCCCTGAGGTACCTTCCCTCAGCCTGGCTCCTGGCTGCAGCTTCCCTGGTCTGCACCACTCCTGCAGGCTGCCCTGTGTCATTAGCTGTCATTCCCCCTGCTTGGACCTAACTTCCACAGTGAGACTGACTGCTCTCACTGACTGTTCCCTGCTTTAGAGGGCAGGGAACTCTTCTTGAATACCAGCTCCAGCTTCAAGGAACCAGAGAAGAAAAATTAAGATGCATAAGAAAGCTCTAGTAACTAGGATAAGAAGACTGAGAACAAGGAGAGCCAACTGCTGGAAGCAAAGGGCCCTGGGCTAAGGGAAGACACAGATTGCTCAGCAACTCCTAGTTTCCTTCTCTTCTGCCAAGAGAAGTGTGTTATGGTGGAGGGCCAAACAGGAGCACAGGGGAGTTCACCCAGGGGTGGGTTGGGGGACATCTTGAGTGCTGGGTCTGCACAGACAAGCAAGGCTATGGGGACAGCACAGGACACCTTGTCTTGAGGTGGTTCCATCTTTGTGTGGGGACACTGCTAACTGCAGCCAGTGCTGCCCCAGAAACCACCCACACACAGCACCTGGCTTGGCCAACTCTGGTTATCCACCTCTTTCCCAAGAGCTTGAGGTTTAGCCAAAGAGAACTAGCTTAGGAAGTGTGGTGAGTGTTCACATGCCTCTCTAGAGAAAGGGAAAAAAAGATTGTTTCAGCTTTCAAAAGGTGAAAGGAAAAAAAAAATCATGTAGCTGGGAAAAAAAAAAGGCAAAAGGAAAAGGGTTTTACAAATAAATCTGGTAAAAACAGCAGGTCCTAGGCAAAATTTAACCAGAATGACTTGTTCAGCACCTAAAAAAAAGAGTTACAGTCACAAATCTGACTATATTGCCTTTTGTGATATGACGAATAGACCAGCAGATCTAACGAATGCTATAATTAAATCATATCTGGATTTCAACAAGGAAGTTGAGGAAGTCATGACATTGCTATGACCAAACAATTTATAAGACCCCAAGTTATCTAGTATTCCGTAAGGTAGATTTGTTTGAACTCAACAGCCAGCACTCTACCCACTCTACCCGCAACCAAAAAAAAGCCCAACAACAAACCACTGATTATCTAGAAAGGTCCTTATAAGTGGACAGAAGTGTTCCATCCAAGCCTCCATTCCATTCATACTATTATGATCCCTTAAACGAGAACTCTGATGGCACAGTGATCAAATTCATTAATCAAGAAAAAAAAAAAAGAAGCCTAGGAGGGTGCGATGGCTCACACCTGTAATGTGTGCGAGTAAGGGTGTGATGGCTCACACCTGGCTCAACACTTTGGGAGGCCGAGGCAGGCAGATCACTTGAGGTCACGAGTTCGAGACCAGCCTGGCCAACATGGTGAAACCTAGTCTCTACTAAAAATACAAAAATTAGCTGGGCGTGGTGGCAAGCGCCTGTAATCCCAGCTATTTGGAAGCCTGAGGCAGGAGAATGACTTGAGCCCAGGAGGCAGAGGTTGCAGTGAGCCGAAATTATGCCATTGCACACCAACCTGGGCAACAGAGCAAGACTCTGTCTCAAAAAAGAAAACCAGAAGGGCTAGTTCATGTAACAGTCACTCCAGCTGAGTGATAATGAACACAGGCTATAAAGCCAGACTACCTGGTTTCAAATACTGCCTCTATCACTTACTACTGTGTGAATCTCAACACAGTTCACCATGTGACCACAACCTCTCTATGCCTCAGTTGTGTCATCTATAAAATGGGAATAATAGTACTTGTATCATAGGATAGTTGTGGAGACAGAGCAAAGGTGAAATTTATCAAAATACTTAAAACAGCACCTGGCATTAGTAAGTAATATGTGGGCATATATTAAGTGTTATAAGTGTGACCTGTGTATTAAATCACATTAATAAGGTCTTCCCCTCTCCCCAAAAAATTCGGTGATGGGCAAAACCTAACCCGATGAAACAGAACAGGAATAAAATTTGAACTTCTAATTTAAAAATTCCACTTGTGCAAGTAGAAGATGGGAAAGATGTGAAATCTGATTGACCAAGTTTAATTGTGAAATAGCAGGATACAGTTATCATAGATGCCAGTGGGATGTTAGGCTACATTGACAGAAGATTAAAAACCATGAATGAAAGGAGGTAGGAGCCATTTGTCAGAGCACATCTGGAATATTCACTTATACCCTAAAAGTAAATAAAACAGGAATAAATAGAACACTGGCTCCCCAGGACAGGTCCAGAAAACCAGCAACCAGGTAGAGAGAGAAGGTACTGAAGCCACATAACATGGGAAGAACCAAAAGGAAGAGGAACATTTAGCTTGGGTGAGAGTGGGCTTGGGGAGAAGGTAGACACAGGCTGCTTGTCAGTAACAGCTTAGGACTTCTGTATGGAAGAAGGAGCAAATATTCCGTTTAGGCACAGCCAGAGGGACCTACGGGGAGGAAGATTTTCACCTCACTTAAGGAAGTACTTTCCAAAAACTACACCATCTGAAAATGGGATGAACTGCCTTCCAAGATGGGTGTGAAGGTCCATGGTCATCTGGCAGATGGGAAGCTGGATGGTCCTCTGTCCAGACTGTTGGAAAAAGCTAGCATGTGAGAGCAGAGACTGTATCTATCTTAGGAAACAAGAAAACATTTATTGAGCATTTACTTTGTGCTAGTGATTTACATAAATTAGAAGATTTAATTTTTATAATCCTGTGAAGAAAGGGGTACTATCCTCAACTTACAGACCACAAAACAGAGGAGACTCAGCTAGGAAGAGGAGTCTGAGGTTTGAACCAGATGTGGACTACATTAGACTGTATGTCCTGGTACAATGGCCAGCAAGTTAGAGGCTCTCAGGAGTAATGGTTAAAGAAGTCGATTAGATGTACAGTTGACCATTCAACACTGAGGCTACAAAAAGGCACAGAGAAGTTGCCAGGTAACTCTCCCACTCTGGCCTTACCCCTACCCTACACTCCCTTCCCCTCCCCCTTTTATAAAAGGGAAGCCAAGAGAAGCGGCATCACATTTAGGATGCCTCCCAAGCCCGTGTCAGCACTGATCTCATCAGGCCTGTGGAAGCATCCACACCGGGTTCCCCATGTCAACATGTTAGCCCATGCGGCCACACACAGACAAACCAGCGGTGCTCTCTGGCAGTGAGGCCAAAAAAAGTTAGGCAAACTACCCAGAGAACTTCTGAGGGGGTATTTGGCACTTCCCATGAAATTATTCTGCTTTTCTTCATCTAAAACGCCTTGAGAGCCGAGAAAAGGATAAGACTAAAGTTCCCTCTTAGTGCTGCTCCCAGGTGAACCCAGCAAGGCCTGCTACGGGAGCCTTGTTCATTCTGTTCTGAAAGCAAACAGGAGTTCAAGTGTTCTCAGATTCTAGTTACAGGGCTCCAAGGGGTCCTGGATCTGCTTATTCTCCTCACCCTTTTTAGAGAAGCATGGGAAAGAATACAAGGACAGTATCATAAAACCAAGTTAATGCATTACAAATCCAAAAGCTTTAAAAAATCTGAACCAAATTAAAATTATATTTAAATGCAGAAATGCTGTGTCTACTTCTTTCCCAGCCAGCCACCCAATCGCTGCTAACCAAAAAGAAGACATTCTCCACACCCAGACACCCTTTCCAGGGAGCTAGAAAACATCACAGTTGGCCCTATAGACCGAGCCTCTAATTGGAAATAGAATATCCAATTATTTACACAAGACTGTACAGCAAACAGTTCTTGCACCACAGATTTCTATTCTCTAAGACAGATCACTAGAAAACAAACAGAGAAACTTGGCGATATAAATGAAAAGGTTTTTTTTTTTTATAATTTTTTTTGGCTTATGCCAATTATGAGTCCTCACCCTGTGATTCCATGGTGGGTGCATCTCTACTTGCAACGGAGGGTCTGGCAGGCACCTCGGCCCCTCCTGGCAGGCACGCTGCCCCACTGTGAATGGCCAACAGGGAAGCCAGCAGGGTGAAACTGGACTCCCTCATTATTTTGCTTTTAAGCTTATGAAGTTTTAAATAACATCACTGTGTCTACTCTGGTTAAATCATTCTTTCCAGCATCCCACTTTTTAAAGTTCAAACTTTAGAAATGTTTAGTTGAGTCGCAGAAATGATATTCTTACTATTTTAGTTTGTTTCTCATTAGTAACCAGATTGACAATTTCCTCCCTCTTAAAAGGACACTTGATCTGTAAGTGTTTGTTATTTTGAATTAAGAGGTCCTACTCTTCAGCAAAATTTCACTAGTACAGACCTTCTTTTCCAAGTAGTTGAAATACAGATAGGGAAGGAAGGTTACTTGTCAGTCTTAAGTTATAGAATGTTTTAAATGAATGACTGTTTACTTCTTTAATTATTGAATAAATTAATGGCTAAGAGTATTGCCAAACAAATGTTTTTAGATATAACAAAATGGAATTGTTTGCAATACTATCAATATTTCATGCAATGGAGGAATGTGAAAAGCTAGCGCCAACTACTGCAGACTGAGTAGGATAAAGGCTCCCTTTAAGCTCCACGCACACTAGCAATCTGTAGAGGTGGCACACCTCCTGTGTGCACTTGGCATGGTGTCTGTATTCCAGTTCACTGTATTGTATATTTTTTTATATATGCTCTTTCCCTCTACAGGGTGAGCTTTCCAACAGTCGTAACATGTCTACTTTACGCCCAGTCATCTCCCATAGTTCTTGTATTCAGCCCACAAACATCATCAAGCATCTATAATATGCCATGCACTAGGCTAGACAATGGAAACACAGGAACCAAACACAAAGCCCCTGACTCCAGAGAGGTTACAGCACAGGGCGGAAGACAGCTTAACAGACCCAACAAAGCTCAGGTTGGCGAGAAGGTGCCAGTGGGTGGGAAACACTGTGGAGAGGCCTCCAGGCAGCATCTGAGCTAGGTTTGGAGCACTCAGTGGGGACTTGTTTCAGTGAAGAAGCCCCACATGGGGTAGGTGGTGATGCGAAATGCTCCAGGCAACAGGAGAAGCATGTGCAAAGATATAGGGACACAAGGCAACATGGTACATTTGGGGGACTGCAAGCTGTTCAGGAGTCAATGCCACCTGAGCGCAGGCCACCATCATCTCCCGCTGGACACCTGCAATACCTTCTGCATCTCGCCAGCTCCACAATTTGCTCTCTACCCAGAGCCACGATGGTCCTTACTCAGGCTGCTCCCACCTCATCAGAACAAAACCCTCAAGTCCTCACCATGCCCTATGAGCCTGGTTGGCCTGACCCCAGCCACCAGTCCAACTTCATGGTGGCAGGCAGAATTCCTAAGACAGCCCCCCAAAATTCCTATCCCCTAGCTACTCAGTCAAAAATTAGTCTGGTGTTTAGATTAGTGCTGCTGCACAGGGATTTTGTAGATGGAATTAAGGGCTGAAGTCAGTTGATGTTACGAGACAGTGATCACCCAGGTGGGCCTGACATGAAGTATGACGGGGATCTGATGTGAGGGACCCTGCCGCTGGTGCAGTGTTATGAGAAGGCCTATGGCACAGAACTGCAAGTGGTCTCCAGGAGATGGGAGCTGCCCTCACCACCGACAGCCAGGAAACAGAGACTTCAGTCCTACAACCGCAAGGAACTGAATTCTGCCAATAACCTGAATGAGTGTGGGAGCAGATTCTTCCCCAGAGCTGACATCCTAAGTGGGACACCCTGAACTGAGACCTCAGCTGAGCTAAGCCAGACTTCTGACCTACAGAAACCGTGAGGTAATGAATGGGTATGAAGTCGCCAAGTTTTTGTTACACAGCAAAGAAAAATGAACATGCTCATTGTCTATTCCACTCTTCCATCTCAGTCACATACTGACTTTTTCTTCCTGTTGCTCAGACATGCCAAGCCTGCCTCTGCTTCAGTGCCTTGGTACTGACTACTCTTTTGCCCAGAATATTCATCCCCAGATACTCAGGGGCTTGCTCCCTCCCACCATTCAGGTCTCTGTTCACACACCACCTCCTCCGAGAGACCTTCCTTACCTAGCCTATTTAGATTTGCCCCACCACTCCCCTCTATCTGCTAATCTGGCTTTATTTTTTTCCATCATACCTGATATTATAGTAAATGTCTGTTTGCTCAGGGTCTATCTTTCCCCTGGAATACAACCCTCCAAGGGTGAGGCTTTGTCCAGTTTACTCACCTTGGTACCCTCAGTGCTTTGCACATGGCAGTTGCCCAGTGAGCATTTGCTGGATTCTTGAGTAAGAGAACAATAAACCTAAGCGCAGCGTTCGGGGCAGCAGCAGGAACAGTAAGGGGCTGGGAGCTGAGGCTGGAGAGGAGGCAGGGCCAGGTCACAAGGGGCTTGGATGCCACACAAACATGCTTAGACTTTATCATGATAGCAATGGGATTTATTGAAGGATCTTAAGCTGGAAAATAACCAGAGATTTGTGTTTTTGAAAAGTCCCCCTGCAGCAGCATGGAAATCAGATTAGCTGGAGGGCAAGATAGACTCAGAAAGCCCAAAGAAGAGGATGTTGGCATCATCTGGATGAGAGATGATGATGAGACTTGAACTAGAGTGTGGGAGGTGGGGGGATGGTGTACAGATTTAAGAAATTTTTCCAAGAATAGATAGCTCTTGATAAATGACTGGCTTTGGTGAGTGAAAGGGAAGAGAGAGGTAAGGACACCCACAGAATTCTTTCCAAGGAAACTAAGTAGATCATGCCTGGCACATGGCAGGCACTCAATCCATTTGTTAACAATGAATTAGCAAATACCTTTGCCTCCAAGCACTATACTATACTAACTTTCAAGACCACTGGGATCTGAATAAATAAGAATTCTCTTCATTACTACTTACTTCTGTGGCTATCAGTGCACATATGACTGCTGCCACACAACTACTGAATAGCAAATAAGCTCTCCTTCCCTCTCAACTGGTAAATCAGCTCTTTTAGGAGAGTCTTTCACATCCTTCAAATTATGGACACATAAATCTTTCCCAAAAAGTACAATGAAACATGACAAACATTTAAGGGATCCCTTCAGACCAACAAAAATAGTCAACCCATGAAGGAAAAGCAGAGAACAACAAAACAAGGGAGCTGTGCAGACACTAGTTAAGAATGCATTTTTAGATCTTAGGCTTTCCTTTTGGCATCCTTTTCCTTCTTCGTGCAGGACATTCTCTGTTTTCATTTGTCTAGGAGTCTCTGTATTCACCCTTGTTCTTAATAGTTTTGATAGGCACAAAATTTTAAGTGCCTCATCTTCCCTTTTGGCCGATGAAAATCTGCTATCAGTCTAATTGTTACTGTGCTTTCTTTGCCCTTTGACTGCTTTTGAGATCTTTTCATTGTCTTTGGTGGTCTAGTTTTATTGCAATGTGTCTAGGTGAAGATTTACCATTTCTCATTATTATTTAAAATTTGACCATTGCTTTTTCCTTTCTCTCAATTTTCTCCTTCTAGAGCTCTGGTTAA
This sequence comes from Homo sapiens, assembly GCF_000001405.40. Classification (NCBI taxonomy): domain Eukaryota; kingdom Metazoa; phylum Chordata; class Mammalia; order Primates; family Hominidae; genus Homo; species Homo sapiens. The sequence continues at coordinate 93,656,289 of NC_000001.11, forward strand.
ATGTACTTGGGGCTTTTCCTTCTCCTTCAGTGTCTCTTTCATACTTTCCATTGCCTTTTCTCTCTGTGCTATGTTCTGTGTGATTACTTTCTGTCTTTAATTCATAAGTATTTTCTCCAGTCATATCTAATTTATTATTTAACCTAGCCATTGGGTTTTATATTTTTATTGATTATAGTTTTTTATTTCTAGAAATTATAGTAGGTTCTTTTTATATTTTCCTGTTTATTCTGAGACCACTTATGATTTTATCTTTTTAAAAAAAAATGTACCATACATCGTTATTTTATAGCCTGTATCTGATATTCCAATATCTGAAGTCTTTTTTTTTTTTTTTGAGACTATCTCACTTGTCACCCAGGCTAAAGTACAGTGCACAGTCATAGCTCACTGCAGTCTCGACCTCCTGGGCTTAAACGATCTTCCTGCTGCAGCCTCCTGAATAGCTAGGACTACAGGCATGTACCACCACACCCAGCTAATTTTTTAATCTTTTGCAGAGACAGGGTCTCGCTATGTTGAGCCTCTTGCCTCAGCCTCTCAAAGTGGTAGGATTACAGATATGAGCCACTGCACCCGGCCTCTAATATCTAAAGTCTTTGTGGGTCTCAGGCTATTGTTATTTCTGCTGACTTTCACTCTTTGGGGCTTCTTTTCCAGTGTGTATGGTTGTTTCTGAAAGGGAATTTACATTCAGCCAAATTTGTGGATAACCTGAGTAGCATTCTGTTGAGCAAGTTTTCATCCAAAAAAGATTTGCATTGTTTCGTTACTAGTGGGCACTGCCAACCCAGACACTTTGATTTCTCTATTTTGGATTTATCTGAAAGCAGGTAATAGGAATTTGAATTCCCAACCAACATAAAGACTTGACCCGTGGTTATGGATTCTTAGGAGAAAAATTATTGCCATTATTTTTTCCCATCAGCATTTGTGTAGAGACAATAGGTTTCTTTTTTGGTTCCCTGAAACAGAAAATCAAAATAATCCTATAAACATTTAAAAAAACCTGAAGAAGTAGTTCAATATCTTCCCACAAAGAAAATATCAGGCCTATATAGTTTTACTATATAGCAAATTCTTCCAAACTTTGGAATTATTTATTACTTGAAAATTATATGAACTCTTCCAGAGACAAAAAAGAGGGCATTATAACTTTGATACCAAAAACAGACAAAGTCAGTAAAAGAAAAGCATAGGCTAATATCACATGAGTAGGTATGAACAAATCCTAAAAAAGTATTGACAAACCAAATCCAAGAATGTATAAAATATATATCATAATCAAATAAAGTTTATTCCAGGCATATACAGTTTAACATGAGAAAACCTGTTAATACAATTTACCACATTCACAGATTAAAAGAGAAAAATAATTTTGAACATTGAATTGATGAAAAAAGCATTAAAAGAATCCTTTAAGTCTGATGTATGGCCCACAAAAAAAAAAAATGAAAAGAAAAAGAAAAAATAATCCTCACCTTTTCATAATGTCTGGAATTAAAAAAGCTTAATGAACTGGACATGCAAGAGAATTGCTTCAACCTGAAAAGGGTATCTGCCAAAAACCTCAGCAAGTGTCATTCTAGATGGTGAAGTATTAGAAGCATCACTAAAATCAATCAGTCAGAAACAAGACAGCATGTCGCTTGTTACTGCTTCTTTTTTTTTTTTTTTTAGACAGTCTTCCTCTGTCACCAGGAGTGCAGTGGCATGATCCTGGCTCACTGTAACCTCCGCCTCCTGGGTTCGAGCCATTCTCCTGGCTCAGCCTCCCGAGTAGCTGGGATTACAGGTGCCCACCACCACGCCCAGCTAATTTTTGTATTTTTAGTACAGATGGGGTTTCACCATGTTGGCCAGGATGGTCTCAATCTCCTGACCTCGTGATCCGCCCGCCTCGGCCTCCCAAAGTGCTAGGATTACAGGCTTGAGCCACCGCGCCCAGTCCGTTACTGCTTCTTTTCAACATTGTCCTGGAGGTCTTAGCCAGTACAGTTAAATAAAGTAAAAGAAATAAAAGGTATCAGGACTGGAAAAGAAAGAACAAAACTGGTTGTAATGATTCAAAACAGTAATGAGTCACAAATGATGACTGTCTGCATAGAACACACAAAGAATCTATGCAGAGCTACTAAGAGAGTTGAGCAGAGTTCAAGACCAGTCTGGGCAACATGGTGAGACCCCGTCTCTACAAAAAAAAAAATACAAAAATTAGCTGGGCATGGTGGCACACTCCTATAGTCTCAGCTACTCTGGAGGCTGAGATGAGAGAATTGTTTGAACCCTGGAGGTGGAGGTTGCAGTGAGCCGAGATGGCACCACTGCACTCCAGCCTGGGCGACAGAGTGAGACCCTGTCTCAAAAACAAAAAAGAAAGTTGAGCAAGTTTCTTGGATATAAAAGCGCTATGCAAAAACCTTAGATTTAGAACTTACTGAGGGCAGGGACTAGAAGGCTTACATGTCTTGGATGGAGTTCTTGCTTTGCTGGTGTTTATTCATCCTGAATGAACTCATTCCTAGAACACTTAATTACAATGTAACACAACAAGATTTAAGATGAGTGTAGCCAGTAGGCTGAACCTCTCTGTTTACCAGAAGCAGTGGGGCCCATGAGGAACAAACACCTCAGCCTTGGAGTCCACTAGTCTACCATTTAACCAACCCATGCACCAGGGTATGTCACACAATCAGGAAAGGTGAACTACACAACTGGGAGACAGTGTGCCCTCCACAGGCAAACTGGGGGCTTCCGCTCATTTGCATGTGTATATGGCCTTAGAATCCAGAGGCTTCACCCCTTGTTCTCCAGCATGAAGCTTCAGCAACATCTCAAAATCTTAGCTGGGGATAAGAGGGAATGAAGGGATAGGGGAAACAGAGATAGCAACAGGTTTTTTGTTGTTGTTGAGACAGGGCCTTGCTGTTGCCCAGGCTGGAGTGCAGTGGTGCAACATTGGTTCACTGCAGCCTCGACCTAATGGGGTTAAATAAATCAATCCTCCTGACTCAGCCTCCTGAGTAGCTGAGACTACAATCGCATGCCACCATGCCTGGCTAATTTTTTTATTTTTTATTTTTTTGTAGAGATGGGGTCTTGCTATGTTGTCCAGGCTGTTCTCAAACCCCTGGGCTCAAGCAATCCTCCCTGCTCAGCCTCCCAAAATGCTGAGATTATAGGCATGAGACACCATGCCTGGCCAGCAACCGGCTTTAAGTCTATGAAGATTTTGCATCTACTGGACAATATTCCTTCTACTATAATAGAAATATATATTATATATATGGTTACATATATAAGTATAATAATGTTCTATTAGATAAGGTTATTACATGGGACAGTCTAGCATTCTCATTTTATATTTTTTAGATGACAATCACGGTTCTAAGGTCTTGCCCAACTCACCAGCCTAATCTCCTCACCTTGCTCCTTACACTCCAGCAAATTTAACTACTTGGAATTACCTGTATCAATAGGCCTGGGGTCCCCATCCTCTTCTCATTCATCCCTGGCTTCTCTGACCACACGTTCCCACCCCCACCCACACACACAACTCATACAATCAGTGACATCTCCTCAGTGCTCCTTTCCTATGAATTATAAAACTTTGTGATGACAAACAATTACAATTCGATATACCATGTGTATTCCCGTCTATGTCCCTTACTGGACTATGAGCTCACTAAGAACAGGGACCACACTGTATTCACCTTTGTACCTCCCGTGCAGTTGCTCCATGTATGTTGGTTTGAATAAATGAACGTGTGTGTGTGTGTGTGTGTGTGTGTGTGTTTTCTCTAATACGCGGAAGACCTAGACCTTCCTCCCACTACACTCTATGAGTTCACTAAGGGAATAAAACATTGGAAGGAGAGAGGGAACAAGAGAGAAATGTTGTTCTTGGATTGACAGGCCCCCTCATTAAGGAGATAATTTAGCCACAGGCCAGCGACCGAACTGTGATGGCCTCAGACAGAACTCCCTCAGCAACAGAACAGCACTGCTGCCAGAGCAGCGCCTGGCTCCCCAGCCCCAATGAGACCAGATGTTTTCAAAGTGATACTGTGAGAGGCTGGCTGATCTTGTTGAAAATGAATCTCTCTGAACATGTTTAAAATACCAGGGAGAAACTTAATCAGGGAGATAACCAAGAGAACAGACAGAGTTTACCATAGGGCCATTTCTATCTGTTTACCAGGAAAAAGAGAAAACAAACAGGCTTAAAATGGGACACGCCTGGTGAGTGCAGAAATGACATTTTTGGAAAAATATCAGCTAGTGTGTGCTTAGATTAGCAGGTTATTTACTGATGTTGGGAATCATATTAAGGTCCCAATAAAGAGTTACTTTCTTACTGCAGGCAGGGGAATATTGTGCATATAGCCTTTGCTAAATTTAAAAGCAATGTAGCTAGCTTGCTTATTTATTTGTTTGTTTGTTTGATACAGAGTCTCGCAATGTTGCCCAGCCCAGAGTGCAATGGCACGATCTTGACTTACTGCAACCTCTGCCACCCAGGTTCAAGCGATTCTCCTGCCTCAGCCTCCCAAGTAGCTGGGATTACAGGCGCCCGCCACCATGCCTGGATAATTTCTTTTTTTTTAGACGGAGTTTCACTCTTGTTGCCCAGGCTGGAGTGCAATTGCACGATCTTGGCTCACTACAACCTCCACCTCCCGGGTTCAAGTGATTCTCCTGCCTCAGCCTCCCAAATAGCTGGGATTACAGGCACCCGCCACCATGCCTGGCTAATTTCTTTTTTTTTGAGATGGAGTTTTGCTCTTGTTGCCCAGGCTGGAGTGCAATGGCATGATCTCCGCTCACCACAACCTCCGCCTCCCGGGTTCAAGTGATTCTCCTGCCTCAGCCTCCCGAGTAGGTGGGATTACAGGGATGCGCCACCACGCCCTGCTAATTTTATAGTTTTAGTAGAGACGGGGTTTCTTCATGTTGGTCAGGTTGGTCTTGAACTCCCAACCTCAGGTGATCCACCCACCTCAGCCTCCCAAAGTGCTGGGATTACAGGTGTAAGCCACTGCACCCGGCCTACAAATTTTTGTATTTTTAGTAGAGACGGTATGGGTTTCACCATGTTGACCAGGCTGGTCTCGAACTCCTGACCTCAAGTGATCTGCCAGCCTTGGCCTCTCAAAATGCTGGCATTACAGGGGTGAGCCACCATACCTGGCCCAGTGTAGCTTTTTTTTTTTTTTGAGACGAAGTTTCGCTCTGTTGCCCCAGGCTGGATTACAATGGTGCAATCTCCGCTCACTGCAACCTCTGCCTCCCGAGCTCCAGAGATTCTCCTGCCTCTGCCTCCCAAGTAGCTGGGATTACAGGCATGTATCACCACACCCGGCTAAATTTTTTTGTATTTAATAGAGACGGGGTTTCACCCTGTTGGTCAGGCTGGTCTCGAACTCCTGACCTCAGGTGATCCACCCACCTTGGCCTCCCAAAGTGTTGGGATTACAGGTGTTAGCCACTGCGCCCAGCCCCAATGTAGCTTTAAACAGAGAACTATAAAACTTCTAGATGTGCGCTTAAATATTTTTGTTTCATCCCCTTGCAAAATAAATGAGAAGAGATTCAGTCTTCCACATCTTAAAACATACCCATTGATCTTATTTGTTAAAGTATGTTTTACTAGCAGTTAGCAGGATTAAGGCTGACACTCATTTTATATTCTGCACCCAGGGTTAACACGTGATGCGAGAAATTCCTTTTCACGAATACAGAAGAATGTTAGGGATACTTCATGATTAAAGCAATAGAAGTGCTTCAAAGCAGGAGAGGTCTAAACAGAAGCTCACTGCTCTGCAGTCAGGGGCAGATTCACCTTCCATTTCTGATGTCTAGAGTTAAAAACAATTCACCAGGTATGATTTGGGCAGCCATGTGTGACCAACTCCGATGGTCAGAATATTAACTTTAGTTAATGCTCCTGAAAATCACGGGAGCTTCTTTAACAGCCATAGCATGCTGCTGACTCATTCTGAGGCTGCAGTTCTCCAGATCTTGAAATATTTTTCGTGTGTGGCTGTTTAGCCAAACCCCATACTTTCATTTGTAATGAATGGTTTTGGACTCTGGTGCTAGTCTTTCTTTCTCCCTCTCAAGTTGTATTCAACTAGGTTTGGTTTGCTGTTTCAAAATACCAAGATCTCTTTTTTTTTAAAAAAAAATCTCATTTCTGTTGCTCTGACCTATTAACAATTCCCCTAGATTTGTCATTCATGTATGTGATCTGTATGCCAATATTATTGTCTAGAAGATTTTTTTAACTGATGAAAACAGGGGACACAGCCTCCAGCGTGCTTCCTGTATTATCATCTAGCCTGAATTTTCCTCACCCCACGGATAGCACCAGTGACTGATTTGCATGCATGCCTTCTCAACATTCTTCTAAGCTTCCAACCAAGTAACCCCAGGAACTAAAGTTAATCTGGTATGACTGGCTTTTAGCAAAGCCCTGATAGCTACTAACGATGACTGCTTCCTTTATCAAGTATTCAAAAATCGTTGTCTTGATAATCCACTTTATAATAGAATATTTCCTGAGATCGATGTCAAGCTTATCATTTTGTAGCTTTTCTCTCTCTAAATCCTTTTTTAAAAATTAAACTATGTATCCACCTGCATCCTTCCTGTAGTTCTTGTTACTCCATTATTCCTCCAACATCACATGATTTGATGATCTCAGTCTCACACTCCCTCAGTCTTCTTGGACTTTGGGGCTTCACCTTATCGGGTGGCATTAGAGTCTCTTGTCATGGCCTCATCTACTCCAGGCCAGCGATTCTTGCTTCACATTTATCCTACCCTTTCCAGTCAGAGAAGTCATTTCTTGATGGAAAAAAATGCAAGCTGAACAGAAGCTTAGCAGTTTGGTTTCTCTCACAAGCCCCTCTCTTTGGTCTTATTGTTCCAAACATAACTTCTGAAAGCCCTTTTGTTACCCTTCACATTTTTCACAATCCTCTTTTCACTCTGCACTCTGTTTCTTTACAGCCCAGAGCCACCCTCTGATATGGACCTTGGTTGCATGACCCGACCTTCCCTGGGTCTGGCTCAGGGTCCAAGGTCAGGAAAGCACAGAGGAAGTGGCAGCACAGAGAAGGCAGGTCCAAAGGAAAGGGTTATCTAGAAAGTGCCACCTGCAGTCAGCAAGTCAAGGAGAAAAAGTAACATGATACCTGGAAAGATGTTAAGGTCAGAGGTCAGGAAAGGCAGGATTGCTTATCAATCCAGTGGAGCAATACAAAGGGCTATACCGTGGATGAGAAATTAGGTCAGTTGCAAAGAAGATGGAGAACAGGTGCTGCTAAGGAGAGGTAGTTCAAATGGGCATCCTTCCTCTGAGGGCTCCTTACATGCACAAAGACCTGGCCTTTCTGTCTTTGAATCTCCAGCACCTAGCATAAAGCCTGGCACACCAAAGTTCAACATACTTGTGAATGAATACATCAAAGTGGCCCTGGCTCCTCATTACCACACTGGGGGAATCCTTTAAAGGAGCAGGTTCAGACTGGAGTCAGTCTTTCATTCACATCCTTAAACAGAAGAGCTATCTGGATGGCCACATACCTCTTCCTCCTTTGGAACTGGGGTCACAGCATTGTTTTTAATTGTCCTGAACTGTGTTTCTCTTTTTAAACTTGAGGCCATGGGATTGTGTTTATCATGTACCTCGACCTTGGGAATCCTTTTTCTTACAGTCTAGGGTAGACTATAGACAAGAACACATTTCCCTCCCTGGCTGTCAGAGATTCTAAGGCCTGATTACTTCTAAAATGCCTGGTTCTTTCATTTCAACAGCGAGTTCCTACTTTTCTTTTTACTTTGAGACGGAGTTTTGCTCTTGTTGCCCCAGGCTGGAGTGCAATGGCAGGATCTCGGCTCACTGCAACCTCTGCCTCCTGGGTTCAGGCGATTCTCCTGCCTCAGCCTCTCAAATAGCTGGACTTACAGACATGCACCACCACGCCCAGCTAATTTTGTATTTTTAGTAGAGACAAGGTTTCTCCATGTTGGTCAGGCTTGTCTCGAACTCCTGACCTCAGGTGATCCGCCCACCTCGGCCTCCCAAAGTGCTGGGATTACAGGCGTGAGCCACCGCGCCTGGCCCAGTTCCTACTTTTCTATGAGTCAGTGTCTATCTTATCTGAAAACATTGCAATGCCTGATGACTGTGTTCATGAAAAGAATGGCAATTCAACTCCTTTTTCAGGCAGTTTCCCTAATCATGTTAAAACAGCATCATTTAAATATCCTGCATATTACACTATGGTGAGTCTATATAGGAATCCAAGACTAATACACAGTGGTACTGGTTGATAAAAACTTGACCCAGTCATGGGTTAACCTGGGCTCAGCAGAATTCTAGTGACAGCATGAAGCTAAAAGCCACTGTTGAAATTTTAACTTGGCAGCAGTCAGTCAAATTGAATAGGGTAAGAACAAGAAAAACCGTATCAAGGCCAGTATGTCTCTTGGCAGGCAGAGAGGATCTGGCATCAGTGAATCATCAGGCTTCAGGCTGTCTAAGCTCAAACACAGCACTTCTGATAAAAGCAGATGCTTTGTTTGGCTGCTATCTATCTGCCCTTCCTCCAATCCCACCAGTCCCATCTACCCCACCCCCACCCATTCCCTACCGGCTTCTGAAAGAGTGTGTTTGTAAAGGCTTTTTCTAACTAATCGAGAGGCAGAATAAAAATGCTATGGTTTTGAGATAATGTCCTCAAGCCTCTAAGAGGAAGGGCTTCTGCCTACCAGATAAAGGAACATATCCCCTTGACCTGTCTTCCCGGGCAGACACCCATCCTCAACGTGGCCACCTACCTAAACCTTGAAAAAGCAGCCATCACCCTTTAGGCAAAGGCAGACACTGCAGTGTCCATGTACCTCCTCTGTCTACAGGGTCCTTGGGGAATGTCCAGGACCGCTGGGAAGAAACCACAGGAGTATAATCACCATGCTGCTGACACAGACCCCAGGGAGGGTGGCCCTGAAAACATGTCTGCCTTATTTAAAAAAATCAAGTAGTGGATAAAATATGCTTTAGTTTAAATGGCAAGATAGTCTCCTATTGAATTCTATCATCAAAAAAAAAAAAATCTTCTTTTGAACACCAACCCTATCCAGATCCTATCTATCCATATCCTATCTTATTTCTCTGCACTCGGCCTCCTCTGCTGACTCCCTGGAACAAACTGTGCTGGGATTCCTCTGAGGTCGTTCTTAGGGTTCCTTCCCTTTACTCTTTACATAGAGCTCTAGATCTCTCCTTTGACGATGGCATCCATTTCCATGGCTTTAATTTCACTTCTGTGCAGACTCCTAACTTTATACCTTTCAGGCCAGACCTTTTTTGCAGAGCTCCAGGCTCATAATTCCAACCGCCTGTCTGTTTAACACCTCCACTTAGACATGCATGCATCTCAAACTTAGCAAACCCCAAACAGAAGTCCTGATTCTCAGCAATCTACCATAACCCCCTTCCCTAAGAAAATGCAATCAACCAAACAAATAAAGCCTTGGTCCTCTCCCAAGCTTCCCTATCTCAGCAAATGCCCTATCCCATATACCCAGCTGCCTGAGCCATGCTTGACTATACCTCTCCCCCACCCCACCATATCCAAACCTCAGCAGATATGGCAGACTGTACCTGCAAACTATATCTCGAATCCACAGACTTCTCTCCTCTACCACCACGCTAGTGCAGAACCCCACCTGCTCCCTGTACTTTTACAACCACCTCCTGCCTTCCCTCCTCATCCTCTTCTCCATCAATCCTCCTCCACAGGGAGACAAAGCAATCTTCTAAAAACTGATCGTGCCATTCCCTTGCTTAAAATCCTTTAAAGGTAGATTTCCTTTTGCCCTACAGAGAAAATCTGAAGTCCTTACCCAAATCTAGACCAGTGCTAGCCAATAAAAACACAACGTGAGCCACATGGGTAATTTTAAATTTTCTGATAGTCAATTTAAAAAATAGCTGAAGTTAATTTTAATCCTTTATTTAACCTACTATTTCAAAGACATTATTTCAACACGGTTACATAAAAATTATTACTGAAATATATTCTCTTTTTATATCAAATCTTCAAATTCCCATGCCAGAGAGGCCTTCTCTCCACCAGTCTAAGTAACTTGGGGTCCTCTGATGTTGTATCTTCCTTGTACCTCCTCATTTTGTAGTTACGTACTTAATGATGCATTTGCCTGAATGCCCCCTAAACTGAGAACTCCCTAAGGACAGGGGATACATCTATTTCGTGCTTCACTAGGTACCTGGCATCTAGCACAATGCCTGGCATAAAACAAGCTAATAAATACGCATCGAAGAATAAACAGCAAAGACACTGATATTAAGCACAAGAACAATCAGGCAAAGGCTCGGGGCCCGTTCACTGAAGACAGGCTCTGTTTTGTGTATTAGTACGATGGTATGCTGATATTTTAGTGCACTGCGTAGTTGTTATACCTATAAACTGTTGAGTGTTGGCCAAGGCTCATTGCTGTAGGGCAGGCTCAGATAGAGGGATTCCAGCCAGACTCCATCAACATGTGAGAAACTTTCTCCCACAGAAGCTGCCGTCATTGAACGTGATCTCAGGTTACACCAAAGGATTAGGCACCTCCCAGCTCTAGCCTTCCAGGAGGAAGGAAGGAAGGAAATCCATCAGTCTGAGCCTCCTCTATGCCAGGTTCTGTGTTAGGCACCCTCACATGAGATTGTATCTGATCCTTAGAGTCACCCTTTGAGGACATGGAGACTCAGAAAGGTAAAATAACTTACCCAAGGTCACAAAGCTACCAAGTCAGGCTGCTGGAATCAGCGTCAAGGTCACTAGTGGCTTTCTTTGATAGCCACGGCTACGTCGACATCCCAGCAAGGGCCTCAGTGGCTTTGAGCCAGGCGTCCCAGCAGAGCTGAGCAGGAGAAGAAGAAACTGCTGGTGACCAGGTGGGAGCTAGGAGCAGGCATGGGACCTGCTCAACGCAGATTCCCAGTAGGGTGTACCAGGGTCAAGTGTGAAAGTCAGAGCTCTGAGATTCTGTGGAGCCTTCATATTTAGTGAGCAGTTAACCTTCATAGCACTTCTCGGATGGGTTATTTACGCTCCCACTTTATGGTTTAGAACTTGCTATAGAGTTCACACATCTAATAAGTGGCAAAAACAAGGATATGAACTGAAACCTCTGGATTATCTGTCTTGTGTTTTTTCTCCTCTTCACAAAAGGAGTTATTTTATCTTCAGTGATTATACTCACAGGCAAACTGGACCTACAGACAGATCACACTGCATAAAAGCTGGGGCAACTAGGGAAGGTTTCTCAGACCTCTCTAACTTGTAAATAACAGCACAGTCCTTCAAACAAGGCCCTATATGCTTGTCTTTGGGGCCTCTAAGAAGAGAGCTTGAAATTCTACATCCAATCCCACAGCTAGCCTCTTGGTGACAGACTGGATAGTGACACCATTCCGAAGCATGACCTGAGGGCATATCAGCCATGTGGCTCAGGCCGGTCTGGCCACCTAGACCAATCCCCCTGAGGACAGTCTCCTTCCAATCAACCACAGCAACTACTCCTTTAGCTTACAACTAAGACTTCTCCAGCTTGTGTATTCTAGCCAGGCTAGGCTGGCTCGCAAATCCACATGTGATAAGAATATGAGTAGTAATTTATAACTGCATAGCACCTCTGTTTACAAGGTGTTTCAACATATATTGAGGGGCGTGAAAAACCCAGAAGACTAAAATACCTCACCTTTCCCAAATAGCATGCTGGTGGCCTGAAAAAAAACATGATTTAAAACAGGTCTGTCCTGGGGTGGGAGTGAGGAGGGGGCAGTCCAGAGGAGATGTTACACAGCTCCACTCAACAAGGACTGCATTGTGTAATTCTCTGATCATTTTCTTGGTTGTGGTTTGCAATCTGTTAACAATTTTTTTTTGCCCCAGAACAGCTGAGAATGCGTAGATCCTGGCATTTAGGTTCAAATCATCCTTGTCAGTAGAGGATTTAGGACAACCATCAGACAGCTGGTAGATCTGCAGGCACTTCCCACCCTCTGGGCTTCTTCAACCCAGGAGCAGCGCAAGATGCAGGGGCTGAGCTCACCTCTGACCCAGCTGCTCCTGTCCTCAGCACACCAGAGGCCACCAGGGACCGGGACATTCACCATTCCTCGGAATGCACTAAACCATTCGCAACAGCTGCGTTCAAACACCGAGGGGTATTTCAAAATGTTACTAAAACTCAACTTTAAACTTATAAAAACATCAATTCAACCCATGGACTATTACTTTTCAGAAACATTCTTGAACTTGGGCTGTTAAGCCATTGTCACTATGCTAAGTATACCTTCTATTAAATAGAATCTATTAATCTAATAAAAGCTTTTTTTTTTTTCTTTTTTTTTTTCTAAGACGGAGTTCTACTCTCGTCATCCAGGCTGGAGAGTAGTGGTGTGATCTTGACTCACTAAAACCTCCGCCTCCTGAGTTCAAGTGATTCTCCTGCCTCAGCCTCCCCAGTAGCTGGGATTATAGGCATGTGCCACTACGCCCAACTAATTTTTGTATTATTAGTAGAGACAGGGTTTCACCATGTTGGCCAGGCTGGTCTCGAACTCCTGACCTCAGGTGATCCACCTGCCTCAGCCTCCCAAAGTGCTGGGAATACAGGCAATGAGCCACCGCACCCGGCCCAAGATTTTTTTTTTTAACTCAAAATCCAATTTTTTTCTCCAAAAAGTACACAAAAAGCTTCCAATTTGCAGACAGCAGACATGCCTGGGTATAAATAAACTGCAGATGTTTGCATGTGGACCTTCGCATCGTACATCCTTCTGATTAACCCTGAGCTAAAGGCTGGTGTATTTGCGTGTCTGAGGGAACATCTTGCTTTGTTAAAGAGAAGGCAGTAGTTACAGAAACCAATGGTTCTGAAGAGGAATAACTAAAACCATTTTTCAGATGAGGGCATTGATACAGCCCAGAGTTAGGGCTTTAAATCAATGTTTTAGAGGAAAAAAGCTGCATAGATTCTGGACCTTACATCTTTGCTTCAACCTTGAAGATCTGACATTGTGACAGGGTAGGTTACTTACTGCCTGGGAAAATGTACTGCTCATTTTAACTAGGGATAATTCTGCAGACTTTCTGGCCACTGTCAGTTAAAACACTTGTGACGAGTCAGTCAGTTCCACTCATGCAAACTAATGAAACACCACATTGTCCTACCACATGCTCCCACAGCACAAGAGGCCGAAGGAATTAGGCACTCACAGCTGTTCCCAGGAATGTGTGCCTCCACGTACCCACAGGCAGGAAAAAGACCTGAATGGTATCCAAGCACTGATCCCTCAGCTATCCTAGCAACACAGACATCCCGACAACAGGAACCAGTCCCCTCTCAGCCCAAGGAAGATTCCAGATTTGAATACAAATTCATCCTTGAGAATGAATTAACAGCATTTGCAGTGACCTGGATGAGATTGGAGACTATTATTCTAAGTGAAGTGACTCAGGAATGGAAAACCAAACATCATATGTTCTCACTGATATGTAGGAGCTAAGCTATGAGATGCAAAGGCATAAGAATGATACAATGGACTTTGGGGACTTGGAGGGAAGAGTGGGAGGGGAGCGAGGGATAAAAGACTACAAATAGGGTGCAGTGTATACTGCTTGGGTGATGGGTGCACCAAAATCTCACAAATCACCACTGAAGAACTCACTCATGTAACCAAATACCACCTGTATTCCAATAACTTATGGAAAAATATAAAAATAAATAATAATAAAAATTCATCCTTGAAGATAAATGAATCAAGGGGATATCAGCTGAACAATGTGAATGTCAAGAGGAAATCCTGTCTGCAGACCTCTCAGAGAAACCTGGGTCTGCTTGCAGAACAAAGGCTCCTTCTGTGACATCAAGCAGCAGGTTTAAGAGCTCCCTGGCTTCTGGCTTTGGCCCTCTTTCAAAACCACAAGTACATCCAAGGGCAGCCAAGACAACAACAAAGCCAAGAGATACAGTCACCAAAAGAGAAGACCAACTCCCCCTTCCAGGCCTGCCTTCTGCCTGGCTCTCAGCAGGCAAGGCTCCATTCTCCCCAAAGTAGGTGTCCAAAGCACTGAATACAAGCAGGGTACTGACCCCTGTGCAAGAAGATAGCTCAGAGGATGCCCACAGCTGGTGCCAACATTCTTCGGAGGCTATGGAACACACTGTCTGGGGAAGGCCCTATAATACTTTCTAGGTTCTAATCCTAGCTCAGTTATCCATTAAGGTATGATCTTAGGTGCCTCAACATCCCTGAACCCATTTCCTCAACTCTAAATGATGACACTGATGATGGTGATAACAATGTTCATAATGAAATCTGCTATGTCTCTCACACAGGGTTACAATGTTCAAACAAGGTAGTTTATGAACATATCCTTTAAGCTATCTGAAAACTATAAAATGTAGGAGATAACAATTAATAATATTAGGATAATTATTCATGTTATAATTATTGGGATAATTAATAATGGAGGAATTAATAATGGAGGAAATGACACATGTAGATATGAAAGCTTAATCATGCAAGTTTTAAGGTCAAAGAGGAGACTTCCTCTGCTTTGTCTTGGGCCTCCGAGAGGATGTATTTTCAATGAATGTTCAATTATAATAAAGGTTATTATTATTATTTTTTGAAATGGAGTCTCACTCTGTCACCCAAGGCAGAGTGCAGTGGCGTGATCTCAGCTCACTGCAACCTCCACCTCCCAGGTTCAAGCGATTCTCTTGCCTCAGTCTCCTAAGTAGCTGGGATTACAAGCACACGCCAATATGCCCAGCTAATTTTTTTGTATTTTTAGTAGAGATGGGGTTTCGTCATGTTGGCCAGGATGGTCTCGAACTCCTGACCTCGTGATCTGTCCACCTCGGCTGCCCAAAGTGCTGGGATTACAGGCGTGAGCCACCAAGCCCGGCCTATAAAGGTGACTTTTTAATGATTAACAAGCTAAACATATTTTTTTGGAAAAGAGCAAACTTGCAACAGAGTACTTCACAAGACAAAGAGGTGCTTATCTGGAGGGCCTCCCTCTGAGCAAGATAGAGGAGGCAGGAGACATCCAAGGCGGCCCACTATCTTCATGCCAATACCCGTCAGGCCAATACCCAACATGATGAGATGCAATGTTTTCAGAGCTGACATCTGGGCAAGTCACTGTCAACTGAAATTAACCCCTGAATTCACTACGAAAAGAAAAAAAGAGGTGACTGAGCTGGAGTGAATGGTTGGTGTTTCGCAGCTCCTTTCAACTGGAAGAGTTGAATGAGAAGTTCCATTTCTCTCACTGTATTTTTGCTGTGGCACCTTTGGCAAAACCTCCTTCTCTAGAGCCTTGGGTTCTCATTCAGGCTGCTTGGTCCTAGCTCTGCATATGCAAAAACTTTGTTTATATCATTGCTGGTTTCAAAAAGGAATTCAGGCAGCTTATAATCTTATTAAGAATACTTAACAAAAAAAGAATATAAGGTATTTTGTACTCCTCAAAATTGGGAACACCTCAGGAGATTTTTTTTTTAATGTGTTAGAGAAATAAATATATTAATAGTAGTACAGAGCAGGGTAGGACTTTACGACCCTTTAACAGAGAACCATGTGCCTTCTCACTCAGCACAATTTTTGAGGGATATGCATTTGTTACTTCCTGTATTCATCTTTAACAATAAGATATTTTCAGTTAAGAAAAAAAGATGTGAATTTGGATTAATATAGCTCTCAATCATAAACAAACCCTAAACCAGGAGTGCTTGTTAAGTCTTCCACAGCCTGGACTTCAAACTCAGGACCTGCACCCACCCTCCGATAAGATCTTTTACAGAAATATGACCTCTGTCCAAGTCAGTTTTCAAATCAAAAAGCTTTACACTCTTGGCAGCTTGACAGCTTGGACCTTGGGTGTTTACCAAGAACTTCCCCAAGATAGGAAGGGTGACTCCATCACTACTGCCTCCCCACCCACCCCCCTAGTGTGGAGTTTCCCTTTGTAAGAGCTGGCACCTAGCCAGGGCCTCAGAACTTCAAGGAGTAAGTCTATAAACTGTCTGTGTCTAGTACATGGTAGACATCTAGCTCAGGACAGTTTAAGTTAATAAATGAAAAGCGGTCCACCATAAGCCAGCTAACAGTTGGTTCTGACTCCGTATCACACAGCCTGGCATCTGTGCTCATCTTTAGCAGGCCAGAAGTTACCTGTCTTTGCTGCTCACCTCCTGCATTCTTGCCCCTTAAGTGCCAATTATGCGATGTTAACAATCCTGTGCACAGGTATGCACCTCCATGTTCACCCATTCCAGCAGTGGCTGCCTGCCAACTTTCTGAGCTGGGAGGTCACCCACCTAGATTTTGTGGAGCCGGTCCAGGGCCTTCTAACCCCCAGGATACCCCAAGGAATGTCCTAATCTGGTGACAGAAGCAGTTCAGGGCTCTCTAGTGGTTTCTATGGAGATTATCTGGGCCTCCACTTATTTTCTTCTTGTACTACTGCAATTATGGAACTGAGAATAATTCTGAACTCTTGTTCGCCTAGCTTTGCACCAACACCAACACTGTTCTCCTCTCAATGTGCTACACTCCAGCCACAGGCCATTCCAGTTCCTTTTGGGGTTTTCAAACATGCCAAACTTGCTCCCATCTCCAGTTCTCTGCACTTGACTTCCCCATGCCTGCAACAGCCTGGAAGGCCCATGGTTGCTTTCCCTCATTATACAAATATGAGCTTAAATATCATCTCAGAAACCTGTTCATCCTACCAAAAACGTACCACCTCCAATAAATCTCCAGCATATCACTCCATTTCCTCTATAGCATTTGGTATAATCTGCAGTTGTCTTATTTATTTGTATATACTACCTAATGCGCTCACTAGAATGTAAACTCTGGGAAGATATTGCTTCAGATGCTCCACTGCTACCCTGTTAGTCCACATATTTCCACCACCCTATAAAAGGGCAAGAACAGATTGCTCAATAATTTGGCTGCTAGAATGTTTTCAATGCTGGACCAGCCCTTCATTTAAGATAATCAGGACTGAGCAGAATTTTCCTGGTAAGCCCTGGGGCTTATGAAATCAACATACTCTAATATAGGTGCTCCATATATAAATATTGAACAAATAAATGAGCTAGGATCCAAGTGGCTTTGCGACAAGCTTGGACAAAAAGAGAGATAACAAAAGAAACAGTCCCATTCTTTACCAGATAGCATCACAGGCTGCTGATCTTCCCCAACAGGAAAAGGAGTGCAGTTTCCAAACTAGCTCTAACAGGCAGAAACCAATCACAGCCAGGCCCATTACAAACCCAGAGAAAAAGCATTTACAACCATAAGGCTCATTTACCCAGATCTCTGTCACAGAGAGGGAAAAATCAATTCTTGTCCTAAAGTATTCTGAAGCTGACCTGCTGGTGCATCCACATAAAATTTTATTTCAGCATGCTGACAACTAAATATAAGGAGATATGGGGTCTAATTTATAGACATCCTGGCATCTCTATAGAAGTGGATGGACATAGTTCAGAATCTGATGCTATGATAAAAAGAAAATACTTGGGCTTTCTTTTAAGGGACTTAAGAGAGGAAGCTGGATTTTAAAATATCCTCAAATGTTACATAATGTTAAGAAGTGGTTTTTATTTAGGTGTTATAGTTTTTTTTACATTGTGGTTATACAGTTTTTAAAATAAGAGTCCTTATCTTTGAAAGGAACATACCAAAATATTTCCAGATGAAATAATATGAAATCTGAGATTTGCTTCAAAATAATACCAAAGGAGGGAAGTAGGTGGGAGTACAGACAAAACGGGACTGGCCTTGAGCTGGTAACTGTTGGAGCCGGCTGACAGGTGCATGGGAGTTAATTATTCGCTCAACTTTGTGTATGTTTGATGTTTTTCCTAATAAAAACTTCGGAGTCTCACTCTGTTGCCCAGGCTGGAGTGCAGTGGAGCGATCTTGGCTTACTGCAACCTCTGCCTCCCGGATTCAAGTGATTCTCCTGCCTTAGCCTCCTGAGTAGCTGGGATTACAGGCACATGCCACCATGCCCAGCTAATTTTTGTATTTTTAGTATAGACAGGGTTTCACCATGTTGGTCTGGTCTCAAACTCCTAACCTCATGATCCACCCATCTCAGCCTCCCAAAGTGCTGGGATTACAGGTGTGAGCCACCACGCCCGGCCATAAAAACCTTTTAAAAAGCTGTTTAAGACAAATCATCTTCACTAGTGAAATTACAGAAGTTACCTGAAGGTGAAGGTTTCGCCGTGCCGGTCCTGCCATGGGCTCTCCTGGATGCCATCCTGGGTCACAGGCGAGTTCTGCCGTGGGGATTTGGAGTGGGGGAGGGTGCCCATGTGACTGAAGTCATCACAGGACCTTATGGGAGGAGGACCTTTTTTCTTCCGTGGAAGGGTGCCATGTATAGACACATCTTGATAGGCATCTGGGCGATGCTCAGCGAGAGGGGACCTGCTGCTCAGAAGGTCCATGGATGAGGCCAGGGGGAACTGGTGATTCACCGGCATGTTTCTGGGAAGGCTTGCAAATTTTCCTGCAGCCATAATTCTCAACTCTAAGGGGGAAAGAAAAGAGTGAAGGTATAAATCTATGAGAGTCACAAGAACTGACTTCCTACTTACAAAAGGAAATGGAAATATGCCACATAAAATGAAATATTCACAGACCATTAACAGATCAACATTTAATGGCATCACTAGTGGAGTCTAATAAGAATGGGAAGTTTACTTATCTTCCTCCTGAAATGATCCTACATAGGAATTGTCCTGGGTTGGCAGCAAAACCAAGAGGGCAAACACTTTCAGAGTTGTTAGAGGCATATAAGCCATGCACAACCAGCAAAAAAAGATGATTAAGAGAGGACTCATAGTTGCAGTAATAAATGTACGAAAGAAAATATTATAAACTGTTAGATAATTAGCTCACATTATTTTCACTGCCCTGTAAATGATAAGAACAGGCAGGGATTATTGAAATTCTTTAGCTGCTAGAATTGTCTTCAGTGCCAGACCAGTCCTCAGTTGTGCTACACAGGATGGGACAGAATTTTTCTGGCAAAGACCCAGTGTTTATAAATAAATCAATGCACTCTAATTAGTGAACACGGGCTAGGGTCAGGGTCAGGAGGTGGGCCATTCTGCCATACACCAGCAGGCTCAGCTGCAGAGGAAAGCCACTGGGGTGGGGGCTGCATGTACATGGCCCCCACAGAGGGGTCAGGATCTGCCTGCCACCAGCAGGGTTAGGTAATGCCCATGGGTGCCTGTACAGTCGGGGAAGAAGAGACAGGAGAAGGGAAGAAGAAAAGAAAAAAAATGGTGGGGGGCAAAGGAAGCATGGAAAGGGAAAGGAGAATGGCACGTCAGGCTGTGTGCAGCAAGTAGCCCCGACACTCTCTCCTATCTAGGACCATGAGTAGAAGCATTTACCCTGAGCAGAGTCAGTGCCTCCAGCTCCAAAGCAAACTATGGTTTTGGCCTAAGACAAATTATATAATACATTTTTAAGGCCAACACACAGAGGAAAAGAAATAGGAGACAAAAAAAAAAAAAAAAAAAAAAAAAGGCTGGCCCCTGGAGATAGAGGCTCCAGGATCTGTCTTATACTAGTCATGATATCAGACTCTGGTCTGGACAGCACTGCAGGGTGGCCAAGCCCAACATACAGCCCTTCCCACGGGCTGGTGAGGAGAGCTGCCCCTTAGTCTGTTCTCCAACCCAGCAGCCCTCTTTCCTCACAAACCACCCTTTCCACTGCATTACTCAGGGAAGAGCTTTGCATGAAAATCCTCACTTAATAGCACTACTGCAGAGTCAGTTCTACAAAGGAACTGCGGACTTGGGACGTGGTTTGAAGACAACCAAGAAGAATGCAACCCTCCACAAGCTGATAGAAGTGGAGCCGAGACAATGACATTAGAGTGTGTAAAGAAAACGCATGTGTTTGTATGTGTGTGTACAACAAAACACACACGTTCCACTGCTTCCACATGAGATAGGGGAAAGTACAGAAGTCCTGGGGGTGAGATGGAAGGAGCATCTTTACTGAAGGTGTACAATCTTAACTCTGTCCTCGGTTCATTGTCAAATCCAGTAATTCTGGGGGCTGCCTGCTCCACGTCCAACTGGGACCACACAGAAGGTCTGCTCACAGTGGGTGCAGAACAATAGGACAGAGTCCTGTGCAGCCCCTCCCAGCTCTGGCCAGTACCTGGCACACTGTCAGCACTTGCTCAATGCTAACCATCCTTATTAGAAAGGAAACCAAACTCCCTAGCCCCACCGCCTGAACACAAGTGACGTAAACCGACTAGGATTCTTCCACCCTACACACACACATACACACCACAGTTGTGACTTCTCACAGACAGGACTGGGTCATTTCAAAGAACCTCGTGGGGAGGCCTGCAGCACCCTACAGAACTTCTTCATGTGCATAGGGCCACACTGTTGATCAAATCTATTTCCAATAGCATGATGGGCAAAAGTCACCCTAGCACCACTGCCTTTGGCAGCCTGTTTCCTCTCTGCTTCCCCAAGATCTACTTAGACTTCAAGATTGTCCTAAAGTGTTCTAAAATGTCCTTCAAGTTACCAACACCTCAATTTATTCTCCAATAACAAGGGATGTTAATACTTCCCCTTCTTACCTTCAATTCAACAAACATTTAAGTGCCTATTTCATACAAGACACCTGGAGAAACAAAGATGCCTAAGGCCCAATACCTGACTATGAACTCTAAGAGAGAATAATTCATAGAGGCCCTTATGCTGAAAGGAACAATTAATTTTGACAAAAGGACTTGAGAAGGCTCAGAGAGGGCAACAATAGAGACAAAGCATTTTGAAAAGTTAACATGTGGGGAAAAGCCTCCCGGGAGGATGGCAGATGCATAAAGGCATGGAAGTGACCCCACAGGCTCAGGACATTCCCAGTTGTGTGCTGTGGCTCGAGTGAAGCCGAGAAGCATTTCCCAGAAGCAACTTAGGTTAGCATCAGACCATGGAGTCTTGAAGGCCCTGCCAAGGTGTCTGGACTTGACTGGAAGTGCTAGGGAAGATCTGGAAGGGAAGGACCGAACCCAGTCTGTACCCAAGTAGGTGACTCTGGTTGTTCTGGAGGGGAGAGAAAAAGGAGGCAGGGAGGTTACTGAGGCTGATGGTGAAACCCATGGAGGAACAATGAAGAATTCTGACCTGGGGCAGCAGCTGGGTAAAGGGAGAGAAAGGAGAGAGTGATGAGACATCAGAGCTTGAGGCATCTGGCTGGAAGGAAGGAGCCTACAGCCACAGAAGGTGGTGCGATGCTGTAACATGCCAACTAGTTTCAGAAGGGGACCCACCCCTGCAGGAACCAAGCACAGCACTGGAGCTGCTGCATGTGAGGTATCAGCAAACAATTTGGTCTAAGAGGAGGTTAGATACTGGTATGCACAATTAGAAGTGAGGGCAGATGGAGATTTTTAGGAATCATCAACATAAAGGCAATATTTAAACCAGAGAGTAGATCCCTTAACTTGTTATTATCAGATGTGATAACAGCTGTGAAGTACCTCTTAAACTGTCAGGAATCATACAATACCCATGAATTATACCCCTGCTCTCTCTTACCATGGCTTCTTCAAGCCTATAAGGACCAAAGCAAGGAATGAGTTCTACTATAAAAACGTAAACCATTGGTTCTCAACCTGGCTACACATAAGAATCCTCTGGGAAGCTTTTAAAATCCTGATGCCCAAGCCTCAGCCCAGAACAATAAAATGAGAATCTCTGTGGGCGGGACATTAGCATCAGTCTCCAGTATTGACCAATGTGAAGCCAGGATTGAGAACCACTGGATTAGTGAGTCTTTTTGGTACACAGCAATTGAGTCATAATTGTTTACCTGCAAAACAGAATTCAATGATGATGAAGGAGTATCATTCAATCAATAGAAACATTGATTCTTCAATGCATACATTCATGGAGGGTCTCCTTTATGGCTGGCACTATGCTAGGTGTTGGGGACAGCATTAAACAAGACAGAAGTGGTCTGTCCTCATGAAGCTAATAATACTCTGGAGGAAGCAGACAATAAATTATGACCATAAGTACTGGTAATTCCCAGTCCATTTTTCTAGATAAGGGAAATAAATGTTCATTTGATATATATTCTCTGAGGGCTTATGGTGTACCAAGGCTAAGGATATAATAAATTAGACAAGCTCCTGCTCTCATGGAGGAATCCAACCTATACAAACAAGAAAATGAGTTAACATCCAAGTTGTAAGCACGCTAAGGAATATAAACAGGATGAACTGACAAAGGATGACTGTTGCGGGTGGAGAGCTACTTTACATTAGGGTGGACTGGGAAGGCCTCTCTGAAAAGGTAACAATGACATGAGACCTGAAAAAAGGCAAGGGAAGGAGCCAGTCAAAAAAAGGTCTGAAGGGGGTTCCAGGCAAGGGATCTGGCAAATGCAAAGGTCTTGCCATAGGAACAAGCGGTTGGAATGACAGCTGATGGAGACTAAACCCAAGTCTCCAGCCTCTGGCTCCCATGTTTTCTCCACTTGGAAATATTTCTGTCTCAATGTCCCTAGTCATTATATACTTCTTATGTACCATTTGATTTTTTAAAAATAAAATGGTATGACTCAGAACCTAGGCTTTGGAGGCAGATATCTACAGGTTCAAATCTCTACTCTGCCACTGACTTACCAGCTGTATGGCCTGGGACAAGTTACTCAACCTGACGGTTTCTCATTTTAAAAAATGACTTAACAGCTATTTCATAAGATTGTTGTAAAGATTAAAAGTGATTGTGTATACAAAGTTCTTGAAATACTGCAAACACTTAGTAAATAGCAGGTCCCCTCTAAGCAGGACAGGGGCTGCTCTTATCTATCTTGTCAGATAAGAGTCACTGTATCTCTGTTATACTGAGGGTTCACAAAGGAAGTAACTCTGAGAGTTCACAAATGAAGACTGCAACTGGGAAGGATGGGGAGGGAAACGTTTTAACCTAGAACAATAGATGCAAAGACACCAAGCCAAGTAGGACATGGACACGGACACAGACACAGACACACGTACAGGCAAACCAAGTGAGCCTACATGCAGTCTTTAGAAAAAAGCCCAGGTGAGACTCTGGCCATCTGACTTCTCTCTACTGTGCAGGAAAACAAACACAATGTCCTGACTCAGTCTAATGCCAGATTTTGAAATATTATACAAAAGTCAAAGACTCTGCATCTTGATATGAAAATCTGAGACTCATGTGAACATCAGGAACAAGAGCGAGGCTGACAAACTTTACCACATGTGCTGCCTTCCTGGGCCTGGTCAGTCGCTGGGCTTTGAAATGTTTGTGAACTGAGGCCCAACTCACTTGCTTTACAATGATGTCTCAAAGAAACTGATGATCTTGCAAGCTGAGGCAGAGATAAGCAGCCCACTTGTTTGGATTTTACTCTTTTATTTCTGAAACGGGATATTTTCAAGTTTAACTCATAATGGTTATCTGATGTGAGCTTTAAGAACTTTTCATTATATTTTAAACTCTGGAAATGTAACCGTCTCGGCTGCCCCATGACAGAGAATTTACAACTTGGATCTGTAGTTTTATAACTTCTCTGGAGAGTCAGATGGAGAGAGGAGATGAAACAACCACACATATTCAATTGGCTTATCCACTTAAAATGAAGTTTTGCTTGGGTTTAGGAATTAAGAGTATCTCTTTATTTTTGAAGTAAACTTATGAAGTCTAGCCAAATGATTCAAGTATGAATAATTCCTCCATGGATTGTATTTCAAGCAACACAGTACAGGATTTACCCGATAAGGTTCTTAAGATTAGCATCCATTTGACAAGCAGTTCTGCCTATATGAACAGGAGATTTAGACCTTGGTTAGTCATCCTGGAAATGCCAGCCTTCTCAGCAGCACTTTAGAGAAAGTTGGAGTTGGAGTGGTGTGGGATCCCCTGGCTTGGCAAGGTCTTTACGTTATCCTCAATACCCCCTGGCACGCCCGCAGACAAGCGCTTTGCCTGTGGGCTTCCCATTGTTACCCGGGTAGCCCCTTCCCACTTGGACCTGTGTTGAGCTGGGCCCCACCCCCAGCACTGAGGCCTCTCCCAGCCTCCAGGATCTCAACTCAGTCCCAGGCAACACAAGGGAGGCTATCAGCTCCCAAAATGACCTTCCCTCGGCCAGCGTACTTTCCTTGGGGAGGTCTGTGTAGCCTTGGGAGATAAAGTCAAGGTTTAAAACAATCTGAATGCACGGCTCTACTTTCCATCTCAGCTAACAGCTTTAAGCGAAAACAGATATGAGGTTAGGAAAATGGTTTTTCTCCTTTGCACCTTGCTTCAAGCGAGTTAACCCCAACCATGACCCGACCCGCCGCCCCACGGAACACGCCGCCTTGCCAGATGCTTCGGAGTCCGCTCAACCTCCTCCTCGACGAGTGTCTACACCTGATTACACCGTTTTAAAGCGGCGGCGCCCTCAGCGGCCTAAGTGGGTAAGGACAGTTGGGCTGTACGATCTATCGGAACCTCCTTCCCACCGTCCCTCCCTTCCTTTGCCTTCCCTCGCCTCTCCCCACCGCGACGCAGAGGGAGCAACACAACCAACTATTCATTCTTTCTCAACAAAGGGAGAGAGGGAGGGAGATGTTGTCAACAGTTACAGGGCAGGCTCCTTCGCTTTCTTTGCAAACTTCCCAAGAGATTACCGGAGAAACTCGCCTCCTCGGAGCCTTGGGCTTCCACCAGAGCGCTCTGGGCCCTCGCATCTGCCCGACCCCGGCCGGCTTCTGCGAAGAGGGGACGGGCGGGACAGGGCGGGGTGGCCGGCAGAGCAGCTCCGACGGGCAGGGGGTCGGGCGAGGCCAGCGCCCGGGAAGATGCCGCTCGAGTGCCACCGAGCAAGATGCCTGGCCGCCAATCGCTGAGCGCTCCCCGCCGTGGGCCACGTCTCGGGGAGTCCCAGCGCGCTCGGAGGGCCTGGAGAGCGCAAGCCCCAGCCCCACTTCAGTCACCCCCGCCCCCAACGCCAAATCCGCTGGCGGGGGTGGGTAGGGACCAACAAACGCCGGCTCTACTTTCCCCAGAGCCTAACTTTGTCCAACAAACTTCCTAGCGTGTCCTCACCGGGGTGGGGGAGGCCCAGGCGCCCCGGGAGGAACAGCACCCCGAGGACGCTGGGCGCGCGGCGGAGACTCACCTCCCGGCGCGGCGCTGGGCGCTCGGGCTCTCAGGATCTCTGGACCTCCGGCTGGGGCTCAAAGGCGCCGCGCGGCCGGCCTCGCACCGCCCGCGCCGCGGCTGCTCCCGGAGCTGGGGACGCTCATGGTCCGCGGGGCGTGCCCGCCGAGAATCCCGCGCGCGTCTAGCCGGTGCGCCCCGCAGCTCCGGCTCCGGTCCCGGCCCCGTCCCCCGCCCGGCCAGCAGCAGGCGCAGCTCTGAGCCGGCGGCGCGCACTCCGGCCCTCAACTGGTGATTTGCGGCTCCGCGGCCCCACCCCGGCGAGCCGATTCGCGCTGCCTTGCGGAACCCCCCGAGACATTTACATTCGGTGACCTAGCCAGGCCCTCCTCTGCCCGGATTTTAGAGTTTGGCTCTCTTCGTATCTCCCCAAGGAGCCAGTCCTCAAGTATAGCTCGATCACTTCCTTTCTGAAGCTCTCTCCAGAGACAGCCTCGTCGAATCCACTCCTTCCCCTTCCCCGCGTTATTTAATTACCCAACAGATCTGCTTTGCTCGTCTGCAGACACCTGGCTGGCTTTCAATGTGAAGGGCTTTGATGAGACAAAGCCCCAGGTAACCACAAATGAACCATCCACGGGAACAGGCAAATCAATTGCACTCGTATGGACGTATTGAAAGCAAAGTGCGAGTTGGCGGTGGCACTTCAGCACTAGATGATTTGGTGGGGTGAAAAATTGGAGCCCACTGGAAAAGACTTAACACTATCTTATATCAAGATCCATTATAAAGTCATAGAAATAGTAGAAGGATAGACAAACTGACCAATGGAATAAAGTCCAAAAACAGATTTACAATATGTGGTCACTTGATTTATGTCAGGTGCTGCTGTGCTGTATTGGGGGTCAGATTAGCTCTCTCTTTCCAGTAAATGATGCTGGATCAACTGAATCCCCCCATCCCCAGTCAATTCCAGATGGAATTTTTCTTTTCGAGACAGAGTTTCGGTCTTGTTGCCCAAGCTGTTGTGCAACGGCATGATCTTGGCTCACTGCAACCTCCGCCTCCCGGGTTCAAGCAATTATCTTGCCTCAGCTTCCCAAGTAGCTGGGATTACAGGCGCACGCCACTATGCCCGGCTAATTTTTGTATTTTTAGTAGAGACGGGTTCACCATTTTGGTCAGGCTGGTCTCGAACTCCTGACCTCAGGTGATCCACCCACCTCGGCCTCCCAAAGTGCTGGGATTACAGGTGTGAGCCACCGCGCCCGGCCTCCAGATGGATTTTAAAGGTAAAAAGTAAACCAATAACACGATCCAAAGAAAATGTCCAAAAAAATCTTCATTACCTTGGGGTAGACAAAGACGATGTCTTAAACACATGTAGTACTAATATAAAGAAAAAAAACTCATCATTGGACAAGATTAAAATTAAGAGCTTCTGTTCATGAAAAGACACCACGAGTGAAAAGGCAAACCGCAGAGTGAGAAAACATAATTGCAACACATACATCCAAAAAAGGTTTGTTTACAGATATATAAAGAACACCTACGGATCAGCCAGAATAAGGCAGAAAATCCAATTAAAAACAGGCAGAATATTTCAACTGTCCTCAAGAGAGGACAAACAGGCATTTCTCAAAAAAGCCAATAAACATATGGAAAATATCTCAATTTATTAACCATCCCAAAAATGCAAATTGATATTTCAATGTGATCTAACTTCATACCACCCAGAATGACTAAAATTAAAGGGCCTGACCATACTGCTCGTCAAAATGAACTTTTTACAACCACTTTAAAAACCTGCTTGGCATTATCTAGAAAAGCTAAATTAACATGTATCCTATGACCCAGCAATTCCACCCCTAAGTGTGCACCCAACAGAGATGTATACACATATTCACCAAAAGATGTTGAAAAATGTTTATAATGTATCTCTTTATGACGGCCAAAAAGAAAACAACCCAAATGTCCATCAGCAGAAGAGAGATAAACTGTGTAACATACAACATAGTAATAAGAATGCATGAACTCATTTACACTCAACAAGATGAGTGAATCTTACAAATAGGATATTGAGTGAAAGAAGCTGGCCGCAAATGGGTACATACTATATGATTCCATTTACATAAACTTCAAAAATAGTCAAAGCATATCTGTGATGTTAAAAGTGAAGACAGTGGTTATATTGAGCTGTGGATTATGACAGAAAGGGATCCCAGAGGTGACTTCTGCATGCTGATAATATTCTATTTATTAATCCATGTCATTTTATAAAAATCACCTGTCCTTCAGTTTATAAAAATCAATTGATTTGTGCATGACTCTGCTTGTATGTTTTACTCCAAAGAAATTTTTTTTAATTGTACTGTATTGGGTGTACCATTTTAATCCCTCTTAGAAACAGTTGTTGGTAAGTCTACAAGATTCTAAGTGCAGCATCCTTTAGAATGAGTACCTTTCGCTTATGAGTGTTTTTGTGGGTTAGTCTTTATCCTTCCTACTTCATTAGAAGCATGAATATTTGATTTTTGTTGTATTTTCCCCCAAGTGTTTAGTGCAGTGAATGTCAAACAGACCAGCTAGTATATTTCTAAATCGAAGTATCCGAAATTCATTTACTGATTTTCTGTTGCTCTGAGGTGTCACTGAGAACAGTGGAAAAACATTAGTTTTTCTTGATTTTCAAAGTTCCCTGAGTACCTACTATACAGTATCTACTGCATAACCTACAAAGTTTCTAGTGCAGAGCATGGGGGAGGTAGCAATAAAGAAAGACCAGAAGAAAACCTTGGGCAAGCCATTCTTCCCCTCAGTCCCTCCATTTCCTCATGAGTAAGTGAATATATGCCCACCTCACAGGTTTCCATGAGAAGTCAAGGAAATAATGGATGTGAAACTGCCTAGCACATAGCAGGTTTCATTAATTATCACTAGAATTGATGACACATTCTATCATTTGTCTTCACAATATCCCTGAGAGATAGGAGGCATCTCTATCCTCATCTTACATGGGAGGAAACAGACTCAGGAAGGTTAAGTAACTTCAACCATAAATTCATTCAATAAATACTTGTCGTATGCCTACTGTGTGCCAAGATGCATAGCTAGTGAGAAGCAGAATCTGAATTTGAATCAGGTGTTTTTTGTTTTTTGTTTTTTGTTTTTGAGACAGTCTCGCTTCTTTGCCCAGGCTGGAGTGCAATGGTGTGATCTCAGCTCACTGCAACCTCCGCCTCCTGGGTTCAAGCAATCCTCCTGCCTCAGCCTCCCAAGTAGCTGGGATTACATGCACGTGCCAGCATGCCCAGCTAATTTTTGTATTTTGAGTAGAAACAGGGGTTCTCCATGTTGGCCCAGCTGGTCTTGAACTCCTGACATCAAGTGATCTGCCTGCCTCAGCCTCCCAAAGTGCTGGGATTATAGGCGTGAGCCACTGTGCCCGACCTGAATCAGGTATTTTAAGTTCAGTGGATCTTTCCATCAAACCACAACCACATTCACATTTGTATCCCCTGGGCCTGGCACATGGTAGATGCTCAATATATGTTAATGGTTTAATAGTGGGAGTAATTTAAATATAATTTTTTGACTAGGTAGTATTCACAGAACCATTGCAGTATGGTTCACAAGTTAAAACTATATAATAAGGTATCCTGTGAAAAGTTCCCCTCTTACCTCTGTCTCCCATCTGCCCAGACCCCCTCCCACTAGAAATAAGTACTGCTATTAGTACTGCTATTAATATTGTATGTGCCTACCAGAGTTTCTATGTGTGTGTGTGTGTGTGTATGTGTGTGTGCGAGTGTTATTACCCCCTCCCTACACAAAAAGTAACATACTATACCCATTGTTCTACACTTTGCTTTTTAAAAACCACTTAATATATCTTGGAGATTTTCATATATTAGTACAGAGGGACTCTCTTCATTCTTTTTTGCATAGCATTTCTTTGAAGAGATGAACCATAATTTACCAAACATTTAGCTTGTTTCCAATCCTTTCTTATTACAAACCATATGGCAATAAATAAAATGTGCAAGTATTCTGTAAAATAAATTTCCAGAGGTAAAATTGCTGAGTCCAAGGGTATATGCATTTGTAATTTTGATAAATAATGCCAAATTGCCTTCTATAAGGATTGTACCAATTTCTACTCCCCAGCAATGTAAGAAAATGCCTATTTCCCCACAGCTTGGCCAGAAGGTGTTATTAATAACCCCTTCAATTTTTGTCAACTTGATAAGTAAAATATGAATTTCAGTGTAATTTTAATTTACATTTCTTTTATAATAAGTGAGGATGCTTATATTTTCATGTTTAGTAGACTTTTTTTTCTTTTTTGGAATTTGTATTCCTGTTTTTCTACCCATTTGTAGGTCTTTTTCTTACCAATTATCTAGGACCTCTTTCCACATTAGGAAGTTTAGCTCTTTGTGCTATGAGCTTCACATATTTTTCAATGATAATATTAAAAGGGGTGACATATGCAAAATACTGTTATTTTAGGAAGCAAGTAGAATGAATTAGAGAAGTGAGAGACAAGTTGGGGGCACTGATCAGAAGGCTATGGAATCACTTCTTGCCAAATGACAAGGGCTTTCTCTAGGCTGGTGGGAATAGAGGTAAAAGGCCAAAGTTATTACAAAGAAATAATTGACAAGAGTTATTAATTAGCTCCAGGCACTGTGGTGCATGCCTGTAGTACCAGCTACTCGGGAGGCTGAGGTAGAGGATCACTTCAGCCAGGAACTTGAGGCTATAGTATGCTATGATTGTGCCTGTGCATAGCCACTGCACTCCAGCCTGGGCAATACAGTGAGCCCCATTACAAAAAAAAAGTTAATAATTAGCAATGATAACAATTACGATAACATTAGCTGTACTTGGTTTAGAAGTAACTACATGCCAACTACTATGCTAAGTGCTTTACAAGCTTTAAGCCATTAATCGATACTTGCCCCATTTCACAAATGAGAAAAGTGACTTTACCAATTAAGAAACTTACTCAAGTTCAAATGAGATTTAAATGGCAGAACCAAAGCTAACCCCAGGTCTGTCTGACCCCTGCTGCTTGGCAGAGTGGAGGAGAATTATCAAAGGTCTTCAGTCAGAGTGCCTGAGTAACTGCCTGGCTTGGCAACAGATGTCAAAGCTGGAGAACAGCTCCCTTTGGCTGGAGGGACAAACTCAGTTTTAGAAACGCTGAGCATTTTTCAAAGCTCATTCTTGTCCATGACCACTCTTGCTATAGTGTCTTTGTGAGTCAAAGAGGGTAGTATCCCTATTTTACTGGTGAGAAGACTCAGGTACCACAAACTAAATAACCAGATGTTCTATTCCCTAGGAAACCTTCCCTGACACCCAGCATAGGTCAGGTTCCCCAGTTAAATGTGCCTTACAGCACCCTCTCCTTCCTGGAATTTGTCACAGCCAGTAATTATTCATTTCCGTTATTGCTGTTGAATACCTGTTGCTCTATAGACTCTAAGATCTATATCTGGTTTTGCCTTTGTTTTGTTCTTAGTTTGGGGCCTGGCACTCAGTACTTATTGAATGAATGAACTCCTTTGGCTTTTCACCTTTATATTACATCATAAATCTCCCCATAGGCTAAATAAATATAATCCCCTGGATGTTGGTCATGCTATAAACAATTTTAGAATTCAAACTTCTTCAAGTCCACAACCAGGCTTCATCTAAACATTTATTTTATTTTTATTTTTATTTATATATTTCTTTTTGAGATGGAGTCTCGCTCTGTCACCCAGGCTGGAGTGCAGTAGCATGATCTCAGCTAACTGCAAACTCCGTCTCTTGGGTTCAAACGATTCTCCCGCCTTAGCCTCCCAAGTAGCTGGGACTACAGGTGTGCGCCACAATGCCAGGCTAATTTTTGTATTTTTGTAGAGACGGGATTTCGCCATGTTGGCCAGGCTGGTCTTGAACTCCTGACCTCAAATGATCCACCCACCCCAGCCTCCCAAAGTGCTGAGATTACAGGCGTGAGCCATCACACCCAGCCACACTTAAATTTTTAAATATTGCAACCCTGGGTTCCTTTGCCCAAGAGACACATGAACAGACAACATAACAATGACTTCTGAGCAGCACAAAAGCCTTTGTCAGGGAGCACTCAACCTGGAGTTGATCCCTTCCTGCCACAAAGTAATTGGTTGAGTCCCATCCCGTAACAGCACTAATTAACAGGCAGCTGGGGTAGGCATTAGATGAAATGCACTTTAACAAAGAACAATCCCTAAAGTTCTTGCTTTGCCAAGCCCTAACAGTAACAGGTAAGGAATAACAAGTGCTTAAGCTATCACCAAGGAAGATCAATCAGAAAAGCTGAACTTGAACAACTGCAGAAAGAAAGATAGAGAATTCCCTGAAGTTAATATATCATAACTACTGATACAAAGAGCTGGCAACACTGATATGGACCAGAAAGGCAAAATTCTGCAATATTTTCAGAAGTCTTACCCTCTAGGTGCCTGCCCCTGAAGAGCTAGCCATGAACTTGGTGTCCAGTCTACTAGGCAGGGAAGTCAACTCAGCTTCCAAAAGGCCTGTGTGATAGCTGCATACTTACTATCACGTTGGCCAGAGAAATCATTGTCTGAGGACTATGGCTTACTAAACCTCAGTAAATACTATTGAATAAATAGTGACAGAGTGAAGAAAAGATGAACTTCTTGACAACATAGGCTCATTTTCTATGCAAAGTACACCTCAACCTGATTGTCTATATTTGAACCACCCATTTCAAGACTTACTCTTATCACCGGACTCTGGAGCCTGTTTCCCATTTACATCCTCAGTCTAATTACTAGCTTTTTTTTTTCACTAATTATCTTCTTAATTCAACAATTCAAAGAAATACACCAAAACGTCTCTGGATAGGAATTCCAGATGATTTAATTTCCTCATTTACACAGCTTTCCTTTCCAGTTTTTCCTTACAGTAAGCGTGTGTGTGTCTGTGTATATATATATGTATGTTTTTTTTTACATTACTTATTTATTTATTTTTGAGACAAAGTCTCACTCTGTTGGCCAGGCTGGAGTGCGGTGGAGCCATGACAGCTCACTGCAGCCTCCATCTTCTGGGTTCAAGCAACTCTCCTGCCTCAGCCTCCCTAGTAGCTGGGATTACAGGCGTGTGCCACCACACCTGGCTAAGGTTTTTTTGTTTGTTTTTGTTTGTTTGTTTGTTTGTTTGTTTTTTGTATTTTTAGTAGAGACAGGGTTTCACCACGTTGGCCAGGCTGCTCTCAAACTCCTGACCTCAGGTGATCTGCCCACCTTGGCCTCCCAAAGTGCTGGGATTACAAGTGTGAGCCACCATGCCTGGCCAGCATATATTATTTTTATCATGTAAAATGTTACTTAAAAACAAATTCAAAAACATATTTTAAAAATATAAACAAAGTTTTAAAAATTCATTGAGCATCTACCATATGGAAAGCATCACTAGCCCTGGGAGGTATGAAAGTGATCACATTACCAGGACTTTCATCCTAGCAGGGAACATGGCATGGATCTGGAGTGAGAGAAGGATGAGCTGCAGCAGAGCTCCCAGTGCTGTGGGAACGCAGAGAAGGGAGAGATTAAAAGTGCTGGGGGCTGGGCGTGGTGGCTCATGCCTGTAATCCCAGCACTTTGGGAGGTTGAGGCCAGTGGATCACCTGAGGTCAGAGGTTCGAGACCAGCCTGGCCAACATGGTGAAATCTGCCTCTACTAAAAATACAAAAATTAGTGCTCACTTTGGCAGCACATATACTAAAAAAAATATAAAAATTAGCCGGGTGTGGTGGCACGCGTCTGTAGTCCCAGCTACTCAGGAGGCTAAGGCAGGAGAATCACCTGAACCTGGGAGACGGAGGTAGCAGTGAGCCGAGATCGCACCATTGCACTCTAGCCTAGCAAACAAGAGCAAAACTACATCTCAAAAAAAAAAAAAAAGTGCTGGGGACAGACTGTTGATGCTGGTGATGCCCATAAAAATAAAGAAGAGGGAGGAGTTGTAGGGGGGCAGGGAGCTTGATTATGGAAATGAAGAGAGAGGAAACAAATGTATGTAAAACCTAGTGGCGATGGCCACCTGACTGCCTTCTTGAGTTATGACCGGAAAGGGCTCAGTTTAGATGCTTCAGGCTACCCTGGGGTTGGGGGTGGGTGGTGATGATGAGCTGTGCTGCCTTGTTCTAGCGCAGGAGGAATGCAGATGGTTGAGGGAAATGCAGGGAACAGAAAGCATTTATGCTTCACCAACTCCCCTATACAGAAGGAGCCAGACTGACAGAAAAACCTGACTTGCTTGGATGTACCAACTCAGTCTCTGAGAGCAAAGTCAGCCTTCCAGGGGTTCACTTTCCTGTACATACTAAGATAAACATCCTAAAATGCTCATGGCAGCATCATTTACAGATAATCTGTAGAGGAATTATTTAATTATAGCACATCTATACCTGGCATGCACTCTGCAGCTGATAAGAATGAGGTAATTCCATAGGTACCGATAGGCAGCTGTGAAACGTTAGGTGAAAAATACAAGTTGCCCTTTTCATGTGAAAATAACAGACTTCTGTAATTGTGTGCATTTGTGTGGGATTATGTACAAATGTCTTGAAGAATTTCCTCCCATCAAACCGAGAAGTGAAGCTGACTGGTGAGCACAAAGGGATGCTCCTTTTCTTTCATGTTATTCTAAACTGACTTTTTTCTGATTATCACTAATTACTTTTATTTTGTTTTATAATTTACACAGTGCTTACTATGTGCCTGGTACTGTTCTAAGAACCCTACATACATTAACTCATTTGATTTTGACAATAATCTTATAAGGTGGCACTGTTCTTTTCCCCTTTTACAGATGAGGACATGGTCCTTGCCCAGGTCATATAGCAATATGTAAAGGAGCTGAGCTCTGAACCCAGGCCATCTAGTTCAGACTTTGTGCTCTTAATCACTAGGGTTCAGTGCCTCAAAAAGACTAAATAAACAAATAGCACTGCTTTTAGAATCAGACACATCTGCATTTGAATCCCAGATTTTGCAAGTTAGCTGTGCAATTCCTAGCAACTGTCTGAATTCTAGATCAGTTTCCCCATATGTAAGATGAGGATAATAGTTACATACCTCATGATGCTGTTGTGAAAATTACAAAAAATATGTTTAGTGCCAGGCACTTAGTGAGCACTTGATAAATGTAGACTATTTTGACTATCGAGATTAAACTACTAGGCCTTTAATGTATATTCGTTTTCTAGGCCATTTTCTTGACTGGCTGCCTGACATTATTGGGTGCTTCAAGGGTGAGTGGAAAGGGGGAACTTGGGAAAAAGGGGGAATCTGACTGAAAAAGTAGAAAATGCTAAATTAACACTTCTGTTTCACAGTTTTGCCTAAACCGAGTCCAATTAAACCATTAAGATGAATAATATGTGTATGAGTTTTAGAGTCATTCTGGGGTAAAATATCACTATACTCAGGAGGAGAATATGGAGCCTCAGGGATTGCCCAAGGCCACTGAGCAAATTACATAGCAGAGCCAGGACTGAAGGTGAGACATTCTAATTCCACATCCCATCCTCTTTCCACAACACCCACTGCCTGAGCCAGTGTGGGGCTATCAGGGTTGGGAAGTGGTGACTTCAGCCTCTCAGAAGGAAAGCATTATAGAAATGATAGTGGTAATGGTCCCACTGGGGAACAGCCTCCCATTACTTCACAGGCTGCTGTTGCTGAGTGGGAAAAATGGTCTCCCCTGCACTTCAGAGCTAAATCGAAGCAGGGGCAAGTATGACAGACACACCCCTTCCCTGTGGGGTACACACAGCCTGGGGTCAGATTACTGTCCCTTTCTCTCGGCTGTTTAAGGTGCTTATTTTTACAGGAGTTATCATTCTACAAAGCAGGACACAATCCACCCTGCAAGAGACAGGCGGCCTTGGCAGGCAGGTGGTTGCCAGTGGGTGGTGGGAGGGGCCAGATTAGAGCCTTGGTCCTTGCTCCCAGCTCAGCAGCCTCCTGCTTGTGCCTGTTCCTTCCTCATTTTCCACCCAGGAGCAGAAGGGGCAGGCAGAGCCCAGGAAGGAATGTGCATCTGTGAGGCTCTGACCAGCAGCCCATTTTTCAGGCTCAGTCAATCCCTGCAAAGTAAGGGTCATTATCCCATTTTCCAGGAAAAAAAAAATGCAAATGGAAATGGACAGGAAAGACCAAGAGTTCTCAGCCTTTTTTCTAATAAGACATGAATATGTACAATTCACTCCCACGTGAGTGGCAGGGGTGTACGATCCCACACCATTCTCTTTCACTCAAGAGACCTTTTGCTGCTAAAATGTGGACAACTCTTAAAGCTGGACTTGGTTACACTATTCTCTCTACTTTTGCATATGGTTGAAAAATGCCATGATGAAAAGTTAAATAATGTTTCTAAAATTCCTTTGGAATGCAAGTGAGTGAAAGTGGTGCTATGATAAAGACAATCTAGGGTTGGCCAGTTTGATTTTTAAATAAGTGATTTATAACTGACACTGCATCATTAGGAATGAAGTGCTCGCCGCACAGCTCGGCATCCAGTGCAAGAGCAGCTGGCACAGCAAGCTGGAGGGCTGCAAGAGGCTGTCAGTTTGGCCCTTTCCTCTCTGGTTCCTTCCTCACAGGAACCCCCCTCCCCAGTGCACACACAGCTGCTGTGGGGCACTGCTTTTGCCTCCTCTTGTGTGGTAACCATTTGGAACTGCTTTTAATGGTGCTGTCGACAGTACTGAGGTTTCCAAATGGTAAGAATAATTTCCAGATAGTAACACAGTCAAGCATAAGGAGACACACAAGAATTGGCCTAGGTGTCTGCAAAGAGGGAGAGAGCACCAAAGGTTCTGATGGGGGAAACACAAACTAAATATGAATCATAAAAGCTATGCTTACCAGCCCAGGGCTAAGAACTTTGTGTGCATCATCTGAGTTAATCCTTTCAGCAACCTAGAGAGGTGGGGGTTATTAAGCCCTTTTTATAGACGAGAAAATGAAAGCACAAAAAGGCAGAGTAACCAGCCAAGTTCACAGAGCTGGGATGTGGAGCTCCCTAAACTGGCCTCCCTGACTCCACTGCCCACTTCATCTCCCAGTGTGAACCCTTGTTCCTCAGAGTGAGTGGGAGAGTTTGGGGTTGATTGCTTGAGCGTGGTGTGGAATGGCACAGTGAATCTTAAGAGAAGCAAGCAAGCTGGGTTAGGTAAACTTAGCCCAGTGCCTGGCACTTGCTAGGCATTCCATAGATATTTGAGATTTGGACTTTTGAACAGAGTTTCAGACATAGGGTCAGAGTGTGTGGGGGTCTCAAGCAGGTCAGGAACCACAGTCAAGCCTCTACATACACTTGAATTTTCCCCATGGCAGGAACCCACATTGAAGGTTCACAGGTGTGTCCTAGCGCCGTCCTGGGGCTGTGGAGCAGCTGCCTCTCCAGTGCCCGGGGTTTGCCATAAATGCCGAATCTCAGCCCCACCCTAAGGCACTGACTCAGAACCCACATTTTAACAAGCCTCCCAGTGACCTGTGTGAGAGGCACTGCTCCAACTCAACAACCCTCCTGCAAGGGAGCAAGCCAGCAGTCATCCTTCTACCCAGTACAGGGGAAATTTCTTTTTCCTGTACTAGGCTTAGGGAATAGCACTTTGGGGGGCTAACCCCTGGTGCTGCCCTAACCTCTTCCTCACAAAACCTTTCATACAGCTGTGAGAGGCAAACTTCTCAGTTGTCAGCATTTCCAGGAAGAAAGAACCCCTTGAGTGATCTCCATGTGACCTCGTCTGTCTCAGGTTCATGAACATGAAGGTGAGAGCAGCTCTTCCTCACAGCATGACCAGGCAGTGACAAACACGCCACATGGAAGGAAATGAGTGAACAATCCTCGCATATTCTGAAGTGAGTCATTGGCCTTTCTTGTGGACTGGGTACTGGATGATTAAATTTCTGGTTTCTGTTTCTTATTTCAGAATATATTGATGATGAACACATAGCGTCCCCCAAAGTGCAAGGTGCTGGGGACAACAGATCAGGTGGTCCTTTAAAACACTTTATACAAAAATAATATTATACTGTTACCACCTTGGTAACACAGTAAAAATAGAGGACAGGTAAGATGCCTCTGTAAACACGGACTGCTGTGATTTTGGTGACTAGTAGGGGGCAGAAACTCGAAAGTAGCTCCAGGGACGCTCACCTCTTGTGCTCCTATCCCACTGTCCATCTCCCATCTGCTCTGGGCTCTCAGTGTGGAGTGGAGCTGATAGTGGTCTCCACCACCAAGGCTCTGCCTCTTGCTTGAGCCCCTGAGCACCTACTCTTGGCACTCTGTGTGCTTTGCCCACTTAATCCTCACGACAGCTCTTTGAGGCAGGTATTATTATCCCTATTTTATAGATGAGGAGATTGAGGTGCAAAGAGAGGCTAAGTTGCCCAAGGTTGCATGTCTAAAAAGTATCAGAGGATGAGAATACAGATCTGACCAGGATTCTAAAGCCCACGTCATTCCCTCCACACCTGGTAGCTTCAGCCTTGCCCAGCTCCTGGTGGAACTTCCGGTAAGGGATGCTCACAGAGCACAGGGTGGGGAGCTCCCCTGGCACGTGGAAATCACATCACACTGTTGGCTGGCAACTCCACTTCCATGTCAATCTGGTGCCAGCTCCGGGATCCTGAAATGCCCTGCATGAATCATCAAGGGACAAAAAGAGGAGACTTTCCAGGGACTGACGCCCTCCCAGCCACCGTGGGATCCCGGCTACTGTGACTGAGCCCAGTCATGACTCCAGAGTGCTTCACATCACATCATTCTTTCTCAGCATCCAAAATGTGAGTCCTCTGGGCATGAATTCTCTCCTCCACTCCACTCTCCATGGCTCTCCTGGTCCCTTCCTCTTTCTTCTCCCTACCCCTTTCTTTTCCAAACCTCTCATCCATTCTTCTCTATAGTCCCCTTCTCCATACTTGGAGGCCTATGCCTTCTTAATATCAACCTTCTCCAACTTTCCTGATCATTAAAGTCACCTGATCATCAGAATCATGCACATCCCCTGGCTCCTGTCCCAGAGGTCTGAATTGGAGAGATCCAAGTGAGACCTGGCAGCCAATGTTTAACAAGAGCCCATGTGTCCTTATGATCAAACACATTTGGGAGACCCCAAACCACACTCCTCCTGTTGTAATCCACCAAACACTGTTCCTAATTCACCCTGGAAATGGCTGGGGTCCTCAAAGCCACCCACTCCTGTCCTGTGACAGCACCTCCAATGCTCCAGCCTCAAAGTAAAATGACCTCCCAACTCTGATCACCTTCACCTGTGCTCCACCTCAGCCTACACTCTGGCCCACCTGGGCCTTGTTATTCCCTGGGACTGCTCCTCCCCTGACATCGTCAGGCCAATAGCCTCTTTCTGCCCACATTCCCCTCGCCCTCCCACATTCCTGTTCCCTGGCACCTGGCCCTTGAGCATAATCCTGTCATGCATCGACATCATTCTGGTCTATCAGGCCCCTCCTGGGCTTCCTTCTTCCTTCCCTGCCCACCCATGGTTAATCACATGAGCCAGTTTGTTGTCAGTCTGGACCCATATCCTTCTGTTGTACTTACTCAGGAACGCTCAGATTAATTCATTCCATCTTCTCTGAAATCTTCAGAGAAACCCCACAACCCTGCAGGCCCACCCCATCACAAATCTAGGGTAAGCTCAACTTCATCTAGAATTAGAGCCCATGAGGCCATCAGGCTCCAACTCCCACTCCTTTTCCCCCTACAATGGAACTGACATCACTGTCAACCTCTCCACCTGTCTCTTCACTGTCTCACTCCTGTGGTTCAGTAGAAACCCACCCAGTATGTTCTTGCTGCCATCCATCCCATTCCCATCCCACTCTATCATCACCCTCTTTCTCTCTATCTTTAATGCCTCCCTCTCAGCTGGCTGTTCCAGCTCAGCCAGTTAAGCTGCTCAAGTTTCCCTTGCCCTGAACAGCTTGCTCAATTTTATGCCCCTATCTACCATCTTTATCCAATCTCCTGTCTTCCTTTCACTGAAGGCTCTGTAATTCTCTGCAGTCAGGCCTGCCTCAGCCCCTCCTCTGAAATTGCGCTCCCTGAGGTTGATAATGACTTCTTCAGTGTATGATCCTGTGGACAGGATTCAGAACTTGTGTTACTTGGCTTTTCTGCTATATTTGACATTGTTGACTGCTTCCTCTTTTGTGAATCTTTCAGCTCTTGTGACCTCTGAGACACCGTTTTCTCCTGACTCTTTTGCTACCTCTCTGACAGTTTCCAGCCTGTCTTTCTGTGTGTCCTCTTTCCCCAACCACCTTGAAAATGGGCATATCCAGGTCCTGCACTTGGTCTACTCTGCCTGGTTATCACACATACTTCCACAGTATAATGCAACCTGCTACTGCTTCTCTCTTTTTTTTTTTTTCTTGAGACAGGATCTTGCTTTGTCGCCCAGGCTGGAGTGCAGTGGCAAAATCAAAGCTCATTGTAGCCTTGACCTCCCATGCTCAAGCAGCCTCAGCCTCCCGAGTAGTTGGAATTACAGGCATGAGCCACTGTGCCCAGCTCTGCCTCTTTAGCTTAGTTTTCACATCCAAATGGTTTGCTAAATGTTGATTATGGGACAGACGGTTTAAAATTTGCACACTCCACAGCCAGCTTCCTCTTCTCTTGAATTCCCACATATTAGGATGGCATCTCCATCCAGCTATTGCCCAAGCTGGAACCCTGGGAACCACCCTGGGTCCCAGTCTCTCTCCATTTCTACCCGCACACAAATAACACACAGCCAATCTCTCACCAAGGCCTGGGGACTTTATCCCTAAGGAATCCTCAAAGTCATGCCCTCCTCTCCTTCCCCCACCACCACTCTGGCCCAGGGTCCCTTCCTCTCTCGCCTGGACTCTCCATTGCTTCCCAGCTGGTCTCCCTCCCTCCCATCCTGCCCTTCTCCATTCTGTCTTCCATGCAGGCCCCAGAGTGATGTTTCTGAAAGGCAAGCTTGATCCATCCCTCTACCACTTAAAGCCCTTCAAGAGCTTCTTGCCACCCATAAGTGGAAATTCAAATTCCTCAGGATGCTTCCCCTGAACTCACCCTTTATTTGGTGCCTCCAAGCCATTGCTCCTACAGTTTCTTTCATTCTCTATCTAACCAACTCCCATCCCTTGCCCAGGCATCGTGTCCCCAGCAACTTCTCTTTTGGCTCTGGGTTGGCACTTCTCAAGCGTGTTCCTGTGTTACTTTCCACTTACCAGATTATATGGTAAATCCAGCTATTAGCTGTGGAGAGAAAGTTTGAAGACTGTTTTAAGGTGTTACAGCCTCCTCCAGCCCTGATTGATACTCAGTGACTGGGAGCTGGCGTCTCCGTGCACCCACAAATGTGTCTGAAGCCAGCCCTCCTCTCCTCCCTTAGCCTCTCACAGTGAAGCAGCAGGACCACCCAGGTACAGCGCACCTCGAGCTCTGCCCCTCAAAGGGAGTGGCCTCTCCTGGCTATTGGCAAAGCTACCAGAAACTTGGCTTCAGACCATTCACATCTAAACAGGTGGTCCAGATATTCTGGCAGGGATGTGCATGTGAGTTTAAAAGGGGGAGAGATGGAATCATAAAATGCCATGTTTTCAGACTACCCTAAACCCTAAGGGCTTAGGCTGTTCCTATTTGTGTAACCCAGTTGTGAGGGGATAGTCCAGCTGGGAGGGAGGGCGTAGCCCACTTACCTGCCCACCTCAGGCATCCTGAGATGCCAGAGCAGGCACCCAGGACGCTGTTTATAAGACAGCCTACATGCCCTGCTGGGAGGAAAGTGAAGAGGCCGAGATTGATGCCAGAGGCCCCAGGACTTGGGGACGCACTCTCTTGAACAGTCTTGGGGGCACTGCCATCAGCCTTGGATAGGTGGGGGATTCTCACTACTATAGGAGATGGGGAGACCTTCACCTGGGCCTGATGTGCTGAATGATGCCAGAGAGAATACTATACAATTGGACTCTGTGGCATCCTTCAAGTGTCCTCTGACCCAGCCCTGGAATGGGTCACAAGCCCCTTTAAAGAGAGGGCTAGGCCGGGCGTGGTGACTCAAGCCTGTAATCCCAGCACTTTGGGAGGCCGAGACGACGGATCACCTGGGGTCAGGAGTTCGACACCAGCCTGACCAACATGGCGAAACCCCATCTCTACTAAAAACACAAAATTAGCCAGGCATGGTGGCGCATGCCTGTAATCCCAGCTACTCGGGAGGCTAAGGCAGGAGAATCGCTTGAACCCAGGAGGCAGAGGTTGTCGTGAGCCGAGATCGTGCCATTGCACTCCAGCCTAGGCAACAAGAGCAAAACTCTGTCTCAAAACAAAAACAAAAACAAAAAAACAAAACAAAGAGAGGGCTAGAAAAGCTGGCACATCCAGGCTACCTTCTGTGTCCTACTGAAAGCCAGCTCTGCTCACAGGAAGGGCTACGGCGGAGGCAGGAGAAGCAAGTTCAGAGGAGGCAGCAGCGGAAGCAGGATGGCCAGTCCTGACCACTGAAGCAGAGCATGGGAAGCAGGACAAGGCAGCTCAGCCAAGGGGGCAACTGGGGGCTGAAATCTAGCCTATGCACCTGTATCACAAGCTGTGTGTCCTGGCGCAGGACTGCATTTGCTGGGGAAAGGGGAGCCTATTTCTAATCTGCAAAAAGGTACCATTTTGGATTGTCACAACCTTGACAGATAAGACACTGGTAGCAGCCATGAGAAAGTTTAGGAGAACATAAAAGGAACCCAGGATCTGGTGATAGATGACAAGGGCTTTGGGATCCCCAAGGACCTTACTGGGTGGGGGCTTAGAATTTCAGCCCATTGAGATGCTTCCCAGGCCTGTGACTGTGCCCTACTCCTCCTTTAACCCCTTCAGGACCATCCCACTCACTCCAAGCCTACCCCAACCACGAGGCCTCCGTGGCCAGAGGAGAGAAGGCAATATACTCATGACTGTGGCCCTGGCCACCTAAACTCCAACAACCCATTCCTGAGTGGGGTGGAGGATACTTGATAAAGAGAGGTGTCCTTAGTCTGCCCTGTGACTGCCACTGTGCTCAGCCTTTAGCATCAACCTTCGCTGCTAAGTCAAGTCTGTGGCCAATCTGTCTGTGGCCTAATGTCAGGTGAAAGGGGGCTGTTGAGTTTTCTCCTTTTGTTTCATTCGTATTTATAGCTTTACCTTAACAGCATCCACTACTGACGACAGCCCACAGGTTCTAACCTGCCCAGGAGCTTCTAGGAAGATTATAGCCTTGTTCTGAAAGCTAACAGCACACAACACAAGGGAATCGTGCCTCCTGCTTTTTTGGCTTGGTACAGAAGGTGGACAGGCAAGTGGAGCACCCTCTTAGGCATAGACAGGGAGGGGATGCAGCGCAGGGGACCTAGCTTTTCTGAACCCCTGCTTTCTGCTGTACATATATGTTCATATTTAATTCTCCAACAACCCTGTAAAACAAGTATCATTATCTCCATTTTACAGATGAAGGAACTGAACCTCAGAGAGAAGAGATAACCCTGGTCGGCCAGTAAACTGTAGAGATCCAATTTGAATTCTCCCCTCTGTCTGGCTCCGACACATGGGGTTTTCTTAACTCACACTGTGTCACCTGCAGAGTGTTTCCCTTCGGGGGAGAGAAACCCAAAATAGTGAAAACGAACAGAAAAAGTTTGAAGAGTTCTGCTTCGGCACTTGAAGCCAATCTCCCTACAGTCTTCTTCCTGTTCATGCTTCCAAGATGCTATCAGGGAGGCTGGGCGCTGGGGACATTTACACTCCTTGCCTCCCCAACCCCAACCTCGAGGATTTCTGTAGGGGTGAAATCACCTCATTAAAGCTGTACCTTGTTGCGGGGGCGGGGGTGGATGGGCAGAAGAACTCATGAGGTGATCATATACCGGCCTCAGTGATTCTCTCCTCCTCCCGGCCCCATGTCTTGTTTTTAAACTCCAGCAAGGAAGAATCTTCTTTCCCTCCAGCCAGCCTTTCAACCCACTGCTCAAACAAAGCATTTTCTCTCAGAGGATGATTGCCAAGACCCACAGTTTAGTTCATGTGGGAGTGGAGAGGGGCCATAAATAATAATAGCCAAGTTTACTGAGTGCTTATTATGTAATAGCCAAGCACTGTTCCAGAGACATTACATATAGACCCATTTCACACACACAGGTGCACACACACACACACACATACACACAGTACAAATGAGGAAACAGACCCAGAGAGGTTGCCCGCCATTTGCCAGCTCTTATGAAGGGACTTGGACAGCCTGGCTCCCAGATGCTGCCCTGCCTCTCAAAGATCATCTCC
This sequence comes from Homo sapiens, assembly GCF_000001405.40. Classification (NCBI taxonomy): domain Eukaryota; kingdom Metazoa; phylum Chordata; class Mammalia; order Primates; family Hominidae; genus Homo; species Homo sapiens. The sequence continues at coordinate 93,699,964 of NC_000001.11, forward strand.
CCTGGCTACCCCACCCCATTTTACAGGTAAGGCAATGAGCCCAGGGAGGTGAGGGACTTGCCTGGCCAGTCAAGGGCAGAGCTAGTCAAGTTGTCAGATCTTCTGACCAAAAAACCCAAGGCTTTTTCCTCCACCCTGGGGGCTCAGCACACCCAAGACTCCAGGAGTATGCCAATTGCACTTCACCCAGTTCAAAGTTTAGATCCCCCCTAATGCTTTAAACTAGAAAATTCTTTTTTTTTCTTTTGAGACAGGGTCTAGCCTTGTTGCCCACGTTGGAGTGCAGTGGTGTAATCTTGGCTCACTGCAGCCTCCTCCTCCTGAGCTCAAGCCATCCTCCCACCTCAGCCTCCTGAGTAGCTGGGACCACAGGGGCACACCCCTACACCTGGCTAATTTTTATAATTTTGTAGAGATAGTCTCAAACTCCTGAGCTCAAGAGATCTGCCTGCCTCAGCCTTTCAAAGTGCTAGGATTACAGGCATGAGCCACTGCGCCTGGCCTAGGAAATCCTTAAATGCCTATTTATTTGGACATGCCACTGGCAGACATCTGCACTGTACCTGAGCATCCCCGATGGGCTCATAGAATGCTAACTATAGCTTCCACCTATAGGTTAAACAGAGATTCTGCCCCTCTCCCCTCCTTGGCAGATGGATACAAACAGAAGCCAGGAGGAACAGCAGCACCTCACACATCTAGTAGCACTCCGGCAACGACTCTGAATACTCCCTGCAAGGCCGGCAAATATTTTGATAATCTTTCCCCTACAGGATTCTCCTGTGGAGAACAAATGGACACAGTCGGGAGCTGTCTTTCAGCGGAATTCCACAGGAAGAAACATTTCATCAGTGGAGAGGGTTTTGACTCAGGCCTTTTGGGGAGGGAAGCAGATTGCTCTGAGCTACTGCGGAGGGTAGGCTCTGCCCACAGGCGTCTGCCGTCCCCTCAGGACCTAGCGCAGGGCAGGCATGTGGGCACCCTCAGCGGACCTCACCAGGTGGGAGGCAGATGGTGTGCTGTTAAAAGCACAGCCTTCGGGGCAGCCAAACCTGGGTTTTGAGCAGTGGCTCTGCTGCTTGAAGCTGTGTGACCTTGGGCAAATTCCTTCACCTCTCTGCTCCTGTTTCCCCACTGTAAAATGGGCGTAATGAGAATATTTGCCTCTTGGACTGGCCCTTGAGAATTAGACCCAATGATGTCAAAGGAGCATGGAGCACAGGGCCTGCCACACGCAGGCACTGAATAACCACAGCGGTCATCGTGAGGTCCCCACTTGCCTTGAAGGGAGCTGTGTGGCTGAGTTCTCCGCTGTCACTGGTTCCCTTATTGAGCTTGCCTTAGGGGGCCCAAGGCCTCCTTCCAACCCAAAACGTGCCTTCGAGAGGGGCAGAGACCGGCCACCCCACGTGTCTTCCATTGGAATGGAAGTCAGGGTTCACCAGGCTGGGGGAGGGCATTGATGCCCTCATGTGCATCGGTCTGTTGGGCCCTGAGAAAAGCCCTAAAGATGCCTGGCAGGGGACATCTCTTCACAATGACATATTATTATTTTGAAAAAGATGAAGCCGAATTAGCAAGCATTTATAAAAAGTGGAAACAAAATGAAGCCACTGGGACAAAAGAGACACTGCACAGACCAACCACCGTGTGTGATGAGGGGCTGGGCAGGCCCACAGGGGCCTGTTTTATGTGGTGGCCCTCTTTGTCCCCACTCTGCCTGCTTCCCAGGCCTGCCCCTGGGCCTCTCTCCAAGGATGATTCTGTCTCCATTTTTGGTATCTACAGGCCTTGTGGGACTGGGAGGACTGAACTGGGCCCAGCATTCTCCAGGTGACTCACCAGGCAGGCCATGCAGAAAAGCCACTTCCTGCATCCCTGAGTGGCCAGTCATCCTCCTGGTACCTGCCTTAAGAACATGTGAGCCACCCTCAGGGGCAGGGTGGGACTGGGCTGTGCTCCAGGCATGGGCACCACATAGAGAAGGGCTGAGTGAGTGTAGTGGAAGAACCCAGGCCATCCAGGAGCCTGTGGCTTGGGGTGGGGTTGGGGGTGGACACAGTGTTCCTGGTGCTTTCTCCACAAAAGAAACCTCACCTTCCTAAAGCTATCGATCCACCCACTGGCGCTGTGGCAATGAAATTCTCACGGGGGAAAGTCTCAGGGCCAGCATACCTACCCCTGCACACTTCATGCCCCCAAGCACAGCACGCCATTGCAGCAGGCCCCTTCCTGAAGCTGCGCCCCCATGAATACGCCCTGTACCCATTCTGAGAATCAGGTCTGATATTATGGGAAGAAAATGTGTGCCTAGGCATGGCGGGGAGGGGCAAGTTAGGCAGGTCAGGAGGGAGAGTTTTGACAAGAAATCCAAGCACATGGGCCACAGAGGAGTCTTAAAAACAACCTCAGCCCAACTGTCTCCTGACTGTTCCCCCAACTTATCAGCTCAGGCCCAGGTCAGAGGAGGTCCAGGCTGGCCTGGCACAGCAAGTTGAGCCTGGTTCCCAGACCCTGCAGCTGGTTTTGAGCAATGGAAGTGGCAGTGAGTCTGTGCTCATGGAGTTCCTGGGCTCAGGCCCAGGTGGGGGTGGGGATGGGGGTTGGGGGGATGTCCCCTGTCTTCGATTTGACTCTGCTGCTCCAGTCACAGAGCTCTCTCAGAGGCAGACATGAAGCCAAAGCACTTCATTAAGACAGGAGGTCAGATAACAGCCCCAGCCCTCTTTGGAAACCGCACACCGCCCAGTGGCATGGAACAGGCCAGGTCCCAGCCCTCCCAGGAGTGCCAGGCATTGTATTTCAGAACTGAGCTTCAGCTACTCCCACAGGAAGGAGACGACTTGCTCCTACCTTGTTTTTAATTTCCAGAATACTGCAATCCCCTTAGGAAAACTCATGTTTTCATGATAGAATGGCAGCTGCCCACGCATGTCAGAGGCTTCAGACCTGATCCTGATCCTGATCAAGCCTGGAACAGTGATCTCTGGGCAGCAGATGAACAGCCCAGGGACCAGCAAAGAGAGCCTGCCCTCTGTGGTCCAAGGCTGGCCACCGCGGCCTGTGCTAGGCAGAAGAGCTCACAGGTGTGTCCTGCTTTACTTAACTCAAAGACAGCTGCTCAGAAGTTGCCTGGAATTGGAACTGTGATCAGGCCAGGCCCTCCTTAGGTTTCCAGAGGGACTGCTTATCATATATACTACCTGTGTGGTGAGGGGTCTCACTTGAAGACATAAAAAATGCACTCCAAACAGGAAAACAACTTTTAAAAATTATTGACATTTAACGATCAGCTGTGTGTGTATTAGGGATTTTTAAAAAGTGAAACACAGCCAGGCACAGTGGCTCACACCTGTAATCCCAGTACTTTGGGAGGCTGAAGCAGAAGGATGCTTGAAGCAGGAGTTCAAGACCAGCCTGGGAAACAAAGCAAGACTCTGTCTCTATTTAAAAAATTAGCAGGTGTCGTGGTACACTCCTGTAGTCCTACCTACTCGGGAGGCTAAGGCCAGCGGATTGCTTGAGCCTAGGAGTTTGAGGCTGCAGCAAGCTATAATCTTGCCACCACACTCCAGCCTGTGACAGAGCAAAACCCTGTCTCTTAAAAAGAAAAAAAAAAAAAAGAGATAACCCTGCAGGCTTTCAAATTATATACACATATAATGATAATATACTACATTTATATTATGTAATTTGGTTTACAGAGTGCTTCTATATGCCCATTCATTTATTTATCCAACAATATTATTGAGCCCCACAAAGACCCAGATATTCTCCTAGGCACAGGGAGATACAGCGGTGAGCAAGGTGCATAAGGCCCTCTGCCACTTCTGTTGACCTTACTGTCTGGTTGGGGGAGGCAGACAAATGACAAACAACAGACAAATGAATCAGCAAGACAAGTCCAGGGAGTGACGAGTGCACGAGTCAGGTAATGGCTACAGCCAGACTATCTAATACAGGAGCCACATGTGGTTATTTACATTTAAGTCTAAATGAATTAAAATTAAGTGAAATTAAACATTCAGTTATTCACACTAGCCACATTTCAGGTGCTGAATAGCCAATGTGGCTAGTGGTTAGTGGTATATAGGACATTTCCATCATCACAGAAATTGCCATAGGGCAGCACAGGGCTAGTGAGAGACTTAGGACTGATTTGGAATAGGTGGTCAGAGAAGGCCTCTTTGTGGAGGTGCCTTCATTTGGAATCTGAAAATGAGAAGAAACCAGCAGCTCACAGGCCTGAGTGGGAGTGGGTGTGGGCAGACAGTTTCACTCACTCTAGGGCAAAAGTCCACATTTAGACATAAGTTTGGCAAATTTGAGGAACAGAAAGAAGTCTGGTGTGACTGGAGTGTAATGAGGTGGGGGTGGGGAAAGTAGAGACGATGAGGTCAAAAGTAATAATAAAAACAGCTGTGATGGCTGTTGGGTGCTCATTACATGCATCTATAAGGTAGGTACTGCTATTCTCATTTTACGAATGAAAACACAGACACAGAGAAGTAGAGATACTTGGCCAAAGTTACACAGCTAGTGAGGGACAGAGCTAGGATTCCAGCTGGTGCCATAGCCATGGAGCACTTAGCTATTATACTACACTTCACCACATCTCCAGAGTCAGGGGTGCATTATGAATGCCCTGTGAGGAGTGTGGACCCCATCAGGGTGTGAAAGGAAGTCCTTGAAAGTTTTTAGGCAGGAGTGTGGCATGATCTATTGTACTTTTAAGTGATCCATCTGTTCATGGTGGGGAGAATAGATGGTAGAAGGCCAAGTCAGGGGACTGCCTCATTATTCGAGGTAATAACATTACTGTGGCTCCAACTAGGAGAGCAGCAATTCTTCTTCTTTTTAAAAGCCTATCAGACATTGCACTTCTATTTTTCATGGTTTACTTACCTTCAAGGACTATGGCAGGTTTTGTCTTTTTCCTAAGACAAAAGTACACACACATTCCTAAGAGTTAGTTGCTCCAAAACTCAATAGGTACATGTCAGCATGCATTTAGCTGCAGGAAAGCCAGTTTTTGCCAAGCCTTACCTAGTTCTGTTTAAAGCATCTTTTCTATACATTGTTATCAAGTTAGACCAATGATCTTCCTAGACTGGGAGGTCTGACTTGAGCTGGTTCTAGCTCCACCCGGGGTTGTTTCCATGTTTAGGAGAAGGGGGTGGAGTCCTGATCCAGGTGGGAACCCAACTTGTGGGGTTTCTGCGTGGAAAAGAACTTCACGGGCTGGGTGGTATGTAAGCATCTCCATCTCGTGCATTTAGAGTGGCAGGTCTTAGGACTGCAGTAATTGGTCCTCCCTGGACCAATTTACCCTGTGACATTGACTTTGAATGTAGGGTGTATGTGTTCCGGGCTCCCTTGTAAATGCGGAAATAAAGGAAAACTGACAGACCTCCCAGGGAGAGAGCAGGAATGTTATGCCATATAAACCCACTACCAGCCCTGCAAACAACTGCCAAGGTGCTTCAATAAAATATAACTTCCGACCACCTCCAGCCCTAACACTCCCCTGTCAAATGCCAATTGTTTGTTTAGAACTTCTCCTCCCACTAGGGTTAAGAGGAGCAAGGTGGTTCAACTGCAGTTTCCCCTCCAGCCACTGCTCCCTTCTCAGGGTCTGTTTGGGATACAAGTCAAGGTCACAACTCTGTGGTGCTCCCAGCACCTGAAACCCTCCCCACCTTACGGCAGGTTATTCAGCCTCCCTGTGGCTGCCTTTCTTCACCACTGAAATGAGGATAATTATGGTAACCATCATTCTACCTCATAGCACTGTTGTGAGAATTTAATGAGTTAGAATGAATTAAATGTCAGACAGAACAATTATGGTCAGCTATGATATCATATTGTCATTACTGGAAGGGAGAGGATAGGAAAGGAGGTGGCTGAAGCCAAAGCCCGGTCTCAAGGCTGCGATGAATAAGGATCCTAGAGTCACCCAGAAACAACTACGCTGGAGCTTCTGCAGGTTAACAAGAGGATTCTCATACACTCCAGGTACTGCCCCAGAAGTCACTTTGTAGGCTGGATCAACACCACCCCACAGCTCCAGCTGCAGTTTCTGCCCTGCACTCTGGGGCAGAGCAGCAGGGGGCCAGGCCACTTCCTACCTTGCCTCTTCCTCCTTTCTCCAGGCCAGCTTGGGTCAGATGAAGCAGCTCCTGTAGTAGAATGCAAAGGAAAGACCATCTCAGGTGGGTGTGAGGCAATTACAGTAGCTTCAGGGGAGGCAGAGTCACTTGGGTTCTGCCAGTGGGTGAGTAACCTGGACCTCAGCCTGGTTGGATTCAAGTCTACAGCCCCTCCTGGAGTCACCTTCTCTGGGCTGCAGAGCTCACACCGCCCATTCTGCCTAGATGTTTCTTTGCCTGTTGTCTCAGCAGGTTACAATTAATTACAAATAACAGTGACTCACAGGACAGCAGTTCCCTTATTTGCCAGGGAAGTCTTATTAAGATTAAGCTATTCTCCCAGGAAAGAAAGGTCTTTACTTTTCAATAGAGGTAGAGGGAAGCAAGCAGAGGACTGTGATTACAGCACAGACTCTGGAGCCAGATCGTCTGGGTTTGAATCTGGCCCCATCACTTACAAAGAGGTGTGCCCTGGGACAAGCTAGTCAGCCTGTGACTCAGTTTCCTCATCTGCAAAATGGGGATGTAAATAGTACTTACCTCATAAAGTTATTATGAGAGTTAAATGAGTTAATATCTATTTGGAGCTTAGAACTATGCCTGGCACATAGTAAGTGCTTATATAAATGTTTGATAAATAAAAGTCCAATAATGGAGAATTACTTATATAAATCTACATAATTCAATATTACACAGCCATTATAATTTCTATAGCAACATGGGAATCCATTCATGATCTATTACTAAAGTAAACAATATACAGTTTAATAGTATACAGTTTAGGCCGGGCGCAGGGGCTTACGCCTGTAATCCCAGTACTTTGGGATGCAGAGGCGGGTGGATCACGAGGTCAGGAGTTCGAGACCAGCCTGGCCAACATGGTGAAACCCCGTCTCTACTAAAAATACAAAAATTAACCAGGTGTGGTGGCGGGCGCCTGTAATCCCAGCTTCTCGGGAGGCTGAGGAAGGAAAATTGCTTGAACCTGGGAGGCAGAGTTTGCAGTGAGCTGAGATCATGCCATTACACTACAGCCTAGGTGACAACAGCAAGACTCCATCTCAAAAAAACAAAAAAAGTATACAGTTTAAAACAAACTGTATAATATTATTGCTGAAAACAGAAAATAAATCTATATGCATTTAAAAAAATACTAAAAGTATATACACCAAAGAGTGTTTCTCTGTTTTCCAAAATTTCTGTATTTTGAAGTACAGTAATTAAATAAAACAGTGAAAACTATTCAGAAAGGGATCAAATGCAGTAGATATGCAAAATCCGCATTAAATAATTATGCTTTAAAATAATAATAATAGGCCGGGCATGGTGGCTCATGCCTGTAATCCCAGCACTTTGGGAGGCCAAGGTGGGCAGATCACTTGAGGTCAGGAGTTCAAGACCAGCCTGGCCAACATGGTGAAACCTCATCTCTAAAAATACAAAAATTAGCCAGGTGTGGTGGCGCGTGCCTGTAATCCCAGCTACTCAGGAGGCTGAGGCAGGAGAATCGCTTGAACCCAGGAGGCAGAGGTTGCAGTGAGCTGAGATCGCACCACTGCACTCCAGTCTGGGTGATAGAGTGAGACTCAGTCTCAATAAATAAATAAATAATAATAATAGCTCTGACGGTCCCCAAGCCTGGATCATTCAGGATGTTTTCTAGGCTGAAGCTGGACATTAGATCAAAAAGAAAACAACGTAATATTAAATGCTTGTATGGATATGGTGTACTATCTTTCTTCTGGAAATAATCAAAAGCTAACTACACCAACACAGCCAGACTTCAATCTAACCTAAACAACAGATGACCCACATACACAAAATAAACAACGAGGTAAATAGCAGTGTGTAAAAGCAATGGATCTGACAGGTTTTGCAAGGTGGTAAGCCGAGGGGGCGGCTCAAAAGTTGCCAGCATAGACAGGAGGGGAGGGGTGCGGGAGGGTTCCTCTAGCCATTGAGTCAGAGGTTTCAAGAAGGAAATGGAACTTCGCAGACTGCTACAATAAAGGAAGGAGATAACCATATCCTTCTACTGCTCACTTATATAGAACCTGAATAGAGAAAAGAGTAAGTTGAGAACTTCTGAACCATGACCTTCAGTAATGGGCCAACTGCTCTACTCTGACACCAGGCCACTTCTCATCCTGCTTCAGGGTCTCACAGAACAATTAAACCCCTAAGCACCTTGCCTCCGGCCTCTGGCAGATGGGACTGATGTTAAGCTAAACCCACAGGAGGTAGGATGAGTCCAAAAACCATCTTAACTTTGTTTCCAAGGGGCCTTTTTTGGTTTTGCCTGTTTTTCTCTCTTTCTCCCTCATCATCTCACATAGCTAATCCAACCAACAGTGTGGACACTTTACAAATTGTCATAATCTTTTCTGTCCCCATATTTTTGTCCATAAGTTCTCTCCCCAGTGTCCCATTACTCTCAGAAAAGGAGAAGATCTTTGGGAGAAAATAAACATATTAGTAGCAAATTCTAGAACTGTACTGGCTGAATAAAACTTTGGGCTCACAGAAACCGGTTTCAGTTCACTCTTCAATCTTTTCAAATGTCACCACCATAGAGTCCCCTATATAACTTACCCTATTCACCACCACATCATATCTACAAAAAAAGACCATCTCAATAATCCCCCAAACACCTGAATTGGCTGGAGTTGCTTCTTTCTTTCCAAAGAACAATGGGGTCCTTGGGGCTCCTTTGCCCCGCCAGGGCTGTGCCAAGGACACAGGCAGGAGGAGGTTGGCAGGCTGTTTTATTTTTTAGCAAGCACTGGCAGTACTTAGAGCATTCAGATGATTTCTGTTGATGCTCGTGGGGATCAGCTTCTAAGCTTCGGGCTTGCAAAAACAGGGCTCACAACTTTCATATCAGGAGAGTCGATTGCACATGTGAAGAGGCCAATTAAAAAAAAATCACAAGGAGAAGTGCTGCGATAAGCTAAGTAGGCTTTGTTCTGTTTGGAAAAGGGAGGGCCTGGGAGCCCCGATGAAGTCAGAGCTTTTCCCCTCCCAAGGGCATCTGTTTCCAGGCTGCAAAAGAGAAGAACGAGGGGGAGTCCACAGGCTGCAGGGCAGCAGAGCAGCGTGCTCATGACTGCTCAGGCACATCTGATAACAGCAGGCCTTCCTGGAGGTGGGCACATTCTCCTCCTCTGACCCTGAGTTGGAGAGGTGACACTGATTTACAGCTGCATCTCTTCTTCTTCCTGTCCCTCCAAGCCAGCCTGCGGTCTGTTCAAAGCACACTCAAGGGAAAGAGAGACCAATGAATCTGCCCAATTGGGAAGTGGTTTTGAGCAAGCACTGATGTTCTGACAACACACTCTGTCTTCAGATTGGTCCCTTGCCCTTCAGTGAAGTGGGTCTTGATCTGTACAGGTGTTGGCCAGGGGCTCCAGGACACAGAGCCTTCTCTCTTAGTGTGGGTGACCCTGTATAAGGATGTCTTACTGGCATTAGATTAGGATTGACATTAGTGAATGCTCAGCAGGCAGTCCCCCTTGATTGTCCTTGGAACAGCAAGAAGGAGGGAGGGGAATATCTCCTAGACTAGAGATGGGAAGAGAAAAAGGAAGGCTGTTTAATGGAAAACTGTTGTAGTTTTTAAAAATTGTATTTACAATCTATAGGATTGTAGATTGGGAAAAAAGTCTTTATCTGATCAACTCAACCGTCCTATATTAGGACTAGGGCTTTGCTGCTATAACATAATCATGGTGGAATGTATCTCCTTGATGGATCATCATGTAATTTTTTCATATCTCTATCTTAAATATATATTTTTAAAAGAAAAATAGAAATTATCTTTCTATAATCAATTCATGAAATGAATGGGCCTGTTCGATGCTGTGTTTATTTTGCTTTTCTGCAAAGTTGTTTTGGGGAACATTCCATATCTTTAGATTCTTTGTCACTTAGAGAAAAAAGATTAGGCCAGTTGGACGAAATCCATGAGAGAATGAAATATGAGTTCAAGTGTCCTAGTCTCTGTAAAACAGTATAAACTCACTCCCGGTGGATAGGGGGTGGGAAGCTGGGAAGCTGGGAACCAAGAAAGGCTGATCAAGAAGTGGGCTCCCTCCCTGGACCTGTACCCCTTGTTTCTGGCTTTGCCCCTGCTGGAGGGACCAGTCCTGACCAGTCAGGGAAGCACAGCTCTCTGCTGGGCCTGGCTGCCTGGCATGGCTGGAGCTGGAGAAGCCTTACCCATACCATGCTGGATGTTTGCTACGTCTCCCTTTGCCTCTTCCCTTGGAGACCTTGAAGGGCACCTTTGAGTAGGGAAAACTAAAAACCCAAAGTTACTAATTTGGAGGATTGGCAGGGAGAGACTTTATCCTAGCCAGGATATCTGGGTTTCCTTGAAGCCCCTAATGCTGGTCCCTCAATAATTTGATTTCTTGTTGCTCCTAATGCAAACTTGTTAGGAAGACCCCCAGGCCACACCCAGCAGGTCTCGACCCCACCAACCTTTCGGCCTCATTTGCTCTCTGAACTCCTGTCGCATTGGTCTTCTTTCGGTTTCTTCTGGTCCTGTATTCCCTCCTACCTGAGGACCTTTGATCATGCCATTCCCTCTGTCTGGAACACTCCATCCCCTCCCCCTGCTTTATCTAGCTAACGCTTTTTGTCAGTTATCTTTTCTGGCATAACAAATTACCCCCAAACCTAGTAGCTTAAAACAAACATTTGTTATCTCACATATTCTTTGGATCATGAGTCTGGGAGCAGCTTAGCTCGATGGTTCTGGTTCAGGGTTTCTCAAGAGGTTACATTCAGGCTGTCAGCCTGGGCTTTGGTCATCTGGAGCTATAGGATCTCCTGCCACGCTCACTCATTGTGGACCTCAGTGCCTCTCAGGCTATGGGTGGAGATCTCAGTTCCTTACCATATGACCCCTCCATGGGCTGACTGGGTGTTCTCAGGATGTGGAAGCTGGCTTCTCCCAGAATGAATGATAAGAAAGAGAGAGAGAAGGCACCCAAAATAGAAGCTGCAGGCTTTTGTGAACTAATATCAGAAGCAACACATCATCCCTTCTGCCATGTGCCATTGTTACACAGACCACCCTTGATGCAGTGTGGGAGGAAACTACACATGGTGTGAATACCAGAATGGTGATCTCTGGGGCCATCGTGGGAGGCTGGCTTAATTATCGCTTCCTTTCCCTTAAGATATACTTGTATGGTATGGGTCCAAATGGCCTCATTCATGTCTGTCAGGTGACTGACCATTGGCTGGGACAATGAAAGTGAAAGGGCCATGTGTCTGTCATTATTCAGCCAGCTAGCCTGGGGGAGTCCACGTGGCAGCTACAGAGTTTCAAGAATGAGAATGGATAGGTATGAGGCCTCTTAAGGGCAAGATTTGGAAGAGGTACAATGTCACTTCTACCACATTCTATTGGCCAAGACAAGTCATGAGGCTAGCCTGGATTCAATCGGTGGAGAATAGACTCAACTTTAATGGAAGAAGCCGCAAAGGGGTGTGGATATAGGAAAAGGGGAAAGTGCAACCATTTCTGTAAACACAGCACACCAGAGTATCCCCAGAGCCTAGTACAGTACCTGGCACATAGTAGAGACTCAATAAGCAAAGTATTTCTTACAGGGATGAGTTTGAACATTTTACCTTTAGTTGTCCTCATCTTGTTCTTAGCCTGTCTGCCTCACTGCTAAGGAAGCACCTACAGACAAGAATCCTGTCTTATTCATGTTTGTGACCTGCAAAACATGGACATTGCATAGAACTCTACTAGATGATGAAAAAAATGCAATGCCAACTCTTTTCAAACCCTCTCTGCACGTCTCTATTGCTATTCCTTCCTCAAAGCTTAGGGGCTTCCACAGCTGATTTGCACAGGCTTTGCAATCCTGAGGACCAGGGCTGAGATCCTAAATTTCGTTTACTGACTGTGTGATCTTGGGCAAGTTCCTTCACTCTGCTGAGCCCCAGTTTCTTCTCCTACAAACTGGAGGTGGCTACTGTTGTGGGGTGAAGTGCAACTGGATATGTGAAGTGCTGAACATGTAGCAGGCACTGAATAAATGTTATCCTCTTCCCTTTAATTCCCTGTATCAACTTGATCATTGTCTGACCCCTCTGTCCCCGACCCTGGTTCACCCAGCCTGTCCCAGGAAAGCCACATCTGTCCCATGCTTCCCTTGGTCTCAAGAATGCAGTCAATGGCATAAAGCTGAGTACAGCTAAGCTCCCATGAGTGGTACAATTCCTGCTGCCACACATGGGCAGGAACACTGGATCATATGGGATTGTGCCCCGCCTGGCACAGCTCCCCTAATCCAGAGGACGTTCACCTCGTGCTCCTCAGGTTTCCAGAGGTCCAGCTGCCTCTGTTGCTCTGTCCTTCTGATTTGTACTCTCCAGCCATCATAAAAGTGCTCACTGTCTAGGTCCATGTAAACATACTCTTGACATTTCTTCTTTCCAGGTCAGCTGTCTTCTCACTAGGTTCTCTCCTTTCTTTTTTCTTACCCCTCCCTGCCTTATTATTTTTGACCTTTTCCATATGCCAGGCAGCATGCTAAGCACCTTACGCTAATTGTCTCATTGATTTTCACATCAGCTCTATGGCATAGGAACCATTATCACCACTATTTCCCTTATGAAAAGATTGAGGCTCCAAGAGTTCACATAACCTCTTCATGGCCGCACACTTGGTTAGAATCAGGATTAAACCTGGGTTCTCGTCCCAAAGCTATACTCTCTCTCTTCACACCCTTCACTTGTTGCCTAGTTTTGCATCCTGTGGCAACTTCCTGCTAGAATGTTCCTTATCTCTATATGGCTGGTCTAGATGTTATCAGCATTTTCTTCAAAATTACCACCTTCATCCTCAGCTTTCATCTTCCTTTTTCTCTAGGGCAATACAGTTCAGTAGAACTTTCTGTAATGATGAGAATGTTCTCTGCACTGTCCACTATGGTTGCCAGGAGACATATGTGGCTTTTGTGCATTTGATATGTGGCTAGTATGACTGAGAAATTGCATGTTCAATTTTATTTCATTGTAATTAACTTAAACTTAAATAACCAGACACGGGTAGTGGCTTCTGTATTGGACGGCACACTCTAGGGTCTTATCTTAGTGCAGTTTGTTATTGGAGGGAGAATAAGTGGCAGGAGGTAGTGAAAGGTAGATGGGGAGAAAGGCAGCTTGAGGAAGCCACAGAACTCTTTGTTCATGAATATGGACCCAAGACTAAGCTTCTCAGAAGGACCAATTATTTAATGAGGTCCAGATTCCTGGTCCAAGATTCTTTCCTGGACCTCTGCCTTCCAATCACCAAATTCCTGGTGATGTCATCAAGCATGCCAGGCTGTAGGAATTATGTTGAGGCTCTTCAGAGAGGCAGCCTTCCTGAGCAACATGCAGAGTGAAATGTGCTCATTTCAGGGTAGGGCAAGTGTGAGAAGTCTTACTGAAGCAAGAGTTCCTTGCTGCTAAAATCAATACTTAGTAAAAATGACCTTTGGCCTGTAGCTGCAATTGCATAGAGCTTCCCCCTTCAAGATTTCTAGAATTGCAGATTGAAAAACCCACAGCAATGGTTCCAAAAACTGAAATGCCATTTTTTTTTCTATTAAACCATGTAGCCTCTAGGACTTTCACACAAAGCAATCTTAGAAGTGGTTACTTAGTGAATTTGACTGTAGTGAGCCTTCAAATGTTAATAAATTTCTATTTGAAAATTATGCCCATTTCTGGAAGCCAAAATTCATTCTTTTACTTACTTATTCATTCATTCATCCATCCACAAACATTTTCTGAGTACATGGGAATTCTAAAATGCAGGTGGGGGAGAGGCATTTAAAAAATTAGAAAGACAATTTTTATAGATTCAACTGTTTTTTTTGAGATGGAGTCTCGCTCTGTTACCCAGGCTGGAGTGCAGTGGTGCGATCTCAGCTCACTGCAAGCTCCGCCTCCTGGGTTCATGCCATTCTCCTGCCTCAGCCTCCCGAGTAGCTGGGACTACAGGCACCCACAACCACACCCAGCTAATTTTTGTATTTTTAGTAGAGACAGGGTTTCACCGTGTTAGCCAGGATGGTCTCGATCTCCTGACCTCGTGATCCGCCCACCTCGGCCTCCCAAAGTGCTGGGATTACGGGCGTGAGCCACCGCGCCCGGCCCCATCATACTTTTATTATGGAACTTAATACACTGAAATGTATTTCTTCCCATATCGCCTTCTGTCTCTAGGTTGGCAGTCCTGGAGGTCTAGGACACCATCTTATTGACTACTGTGTTCTTGGCCCCTAGAACACTGCCTGGCACATAGTGGGAGTTTATTAAATATTCCCTGAAGGGACACAAAACCACAGAAATGTGCTCCTAGGCTAGGTCCAGGGTCACCACAGCCCAGCAGTCTGTCTCTAACATGGGAGTCCTTCAGAACATAAGCTTCAAAATCCCTGAGGAATCTGAAGCAACTTACCCTGAGATCAGCCTTCATGAATTCATCAAATCCCTCTTGGCTTTACTTGTATTTTCAGCCTCCAGTGTGAAGGGATAAAAATTCTTTTAACATACTAATCACAACTAAGACCGCCTTTCTTTTTTTTTTTTCAGATGTCCTAAAACTTCATATAGTTCAAAGGTTATCCTGTACCTACTTCTAGCAACACAATATTTAAATGAAGATTTATAAATTAATTAAAAACCTAAAAAAGATGATAATAGTCTCATCCGTGACTTTCGCAGTTTTGTAAGCTTCTGTCATATCCATTTTCAACTCCTGCCTTTACAGACCAGAAAGATTTCTCAGGAAAAGCATTTTTTTTGAAAATAAAATCTCCCATTCCATCTGTTTATCATCTCTGCATACTCTCCTCTGGGTACCTTTCCTAAGGGTCAGTGACAAAACCTGTACAGAATATTCATTCATTTATTATTTACTTGAACACTCATTCAACAATATTTATTGCATGCCTACCATGTGCCAGGCACTGCAATTTTGTATTAGGCAAAAATGGAATAAAATTACAAACCAGGAACACCTCCTTGTTCTTCCCCCCTGCTATTCTTCCTGGCTCAACTTCTAGAGCAAACACTGATGTCTGGCAGTTCATCACCCCTTGTGTTTACCTACTTTCTTTTCTTGTTTCTTTTTTTGTTTTGAACAGTTAATTATCTTTTAGAAATGTTTTCTTAACTTTTCACAAAGTAAAATTGTCTTTTTTCCCTGGAAAGGTTGTAAGTTCCTAGGAAAGATGACAGAAACAAAGATTGCCTTGGAGATTTTCATCTACCCCTTTGCAGTAGGCAGGACCATTTTAAAGGTGAGGAAAAGGAGGTTCTGGAGAGATCAACTCAGCTGCCCAAGATCTCTCAGCTGATTGATGATGGGGCTGGGATTCTTACTGAACATGCCTGGTTCTAAGCTACCAGAACTGCCAAATCACCAGCCTGCCTCTTAGGGTGCCAGAGCTGGTGGCTCACACTTACTTGAGTACCCCAGAGAGCTGAGCTCAGAGCTGGCCCACAGCAGACACTCGAAACTATTTATGGACTTGACTTGATTTAAATAAATGCAGACGGTTTGGCTGACGCAAGGCAATTAACCTGACAGCACTTCTTCCCTCACGTTATAGACAGATGGTGGCTCTTCAGGAGAAATGTGAAGACCTGGAGTGTTGTGAATCATTATCTCTTCCTCTCCCCAGCTAACCGAGATAAAAGCTGTAGGCTTGGCCTTGACGTTGCCCTTTTTCAATTTCTGTCAGAACAAGCCACAAACCTTAATGCGTTTGAGTAGCGCTCAGCCAGCTTGCAATTATTTGTGGTGACAGGGAGCAAGGATGGCATCCACCAACCCTGCCAAGTTTACTTTGGGCCACAAATGTCAGCGTCTCTCCCCTGCCCTTCCAGCAGAGGTTTGCGAGCTGCAGGGTGTTGGAAGGGCCCAGAACAGTTTGCAGGAGTGAGAGTGCAAGATGCCACCAGGAGTGAGTGGTCTCAGAAGGAGCCAAGAGCTAGCTCCCTATGTCTTAACACACTCTAAAAACACAATGGCTATTTAAATGCTCCTTTGGTGTTGAAAAATGATTCTAACAAAAGATCTTTTGCACTTTTCTAATTTTGCACCATGTGTATGTATTACTTATTCAAAAATAAATGAACTTTAAAAGAAGATCTGCATATTCTCACATCCAAAGCCTAAAATAGCAATAGCATACAGTTGATGTCACAGCACTGGCCTGAAGTCAGCGGAACTGGGTATTATTAGTTTCTACTTTGCCACTAATATTGTTTGTAAAACACCAATTTCTCTGCTCAAAACCCACTGAAGCTCAATCACCTACAAGATAAATTCAAACTCATTAGCTTGGCCTGTGAGATCAAGGGTGATCTGACTCTTATCTCTCTGTCTTAGCATAGATTTCCCCAAAACCAGGCCCTAAAAGGATTTGGTTTCAAGTACTGCAAGATCACTTGAGGGAGCTGATCCCCAGAGTGTGGTAAGGTAGAGGGGACGTTGAGACAACCAAGAGGAATGCCGAGAAAGGGTGCCTCATGAGCAGGTGACCACCATAGGAAACTTGGGTTCAATCTCCCACAGCGCCTTGGAGAATCTGTGTAGAACACACCTTGAAATTATCTAAGGGAAAGGAACTTGTGGGATTTGTCCATTAGCTCCCCTCCTCATTGGCTGAGGGCTGACTGGAGGGCATCCACTCTGATCTTCTAGTCTGCTTTATGCAGGAGATGGACATGCTCTCAGGAGCAGAGCATGCACTCAGGCAGGGAGATGCAGGTGCACGAGTGGTGAAGCTGTAGATGGGCTCGGTAGATACAGACTGAGGCCACAACACTTTGCAGTTCTATCAACAGGTGGAATCAATTTCTCTACTCCTTGAATGTGGGCTGGCCTTTTGATGAACAGAACGCAGAGGTTACAAGGTTGTAGAGGTTCTTAGCTAGAACTCAAGAAACCGCACAGTATCTACTTATACTCTTAGATCTGTGCTGCTGCCATGTGAATAAGGCCAGGCTAGGCTGCTGAAGGATGAGAGACCTCATGGAGCAGAGATGAGTCATCCTAGCTGAGTAACCCCAGATCAACCAGTCCCCAGCCAACCTGCTACTTGATCACAGACACATGAGTGAACCCAGCCCAGCCCAGAAGGAGGCCCAGCTGAGCCCAGCCAAAATTGCTGAGTTTGTAATTGTGAATTAAATAAATTGTTGTTGCCTTGAACAACTAAATTTGGGGGCAGTTTTTTAAGCAGCAAAAGTTAGTTGATTTTGCATTTAGGCCAAGGGCTACATGGAAGTAAGAATTGGAGATAAGAGGCTGGGCGCAGTGGCTCACGCCTGTAATCCCAGCACTTTGGGAGGTCGAGGTAGGCGGATTGCCTGAGGTCAGGAGTTTGAGACCATCCTGGCCAACATGGTGAAACCCCATCTCTACTAAAAATACAAAAAAAATTAGCTGGGCATGGTGGCATGTGCCTGTAATCTCAGCTACTCAGGAAGCTGAGGTAGTGGAATTGCTTGAACCAGGGAGGTGGAGGTTGCAGTGAGCCGAGATCGTGCCGCTGTACTCCAGCCTGCACGAGACTCCACCTCAAAAAAAAAAAAAAAAAAGAATTGGAGATAAGAGAACTGTGCGCAACCAGATTCCTGTCTTCAGGTGACAGGATGGTTTCCTTTGCAGGGTTGTTATTGGGGCTGCTCATTGTGGAAAATTGCGTAAGAGTCTGAGAGTGTGGCCTGCGTTTTTGGAGGGGTCTAAGCTTAATATTAAAAACAAAATCAAAGCAATTGCAAATCTCTTTTATTTATGGTGGCAGAGGGTTGAACTTTTTGTCTGTTCATTTGCAGATTACTCTAAAAAGACAGGGAAGCCTAAAGTTCACTTCACTTGGTTGTTACTTGGTTCTGTTTGTCACATTTAATATTTCCAAGTGTCTAAAGACTTTCTCTGGAAACTTCCTGCGTTCACAGCTCTTAAAATAAAATAATAAATTTAAACATACTCCTGCATTCTTGTAGCAGATGTTGAATTCCAATCAGAGGATGAGGAGAAGTTTCATGACAAAGGACATGTCATTTGGCCTGAGTCTGGTAAAATAAATGGAATTTGGGCAGGTAGAAAATGAAGGAAGATAGAAGTAGTTTTCTAAACTTTGATACATATGATCAGACTCTCCCTAGAAAGACTGAAACCACTAGACCCCAAAGATGAAGGTAGAATGCGTACTAATGCAGCAGGGTGAGAAAGCGCTGGCATGTGGTGCAGAGGGAGGCTGCAGTGTGAGGAGCGATGCTGGGCCAGGACACAGCAGTATGATGGGAGAAGGGCAGGGATTCTGGGGTCAGGCTTAACTACTGGCTCTGCCATATCCTAGCTGTGGCCTTACATGCACTACTTCACACCTCTGGGCCTCAATTTCCTCAACTATAAAATGGAGATGATAGCTACATTAAAGGGCTGTCATGAAGATTAAGTGAACTAATGTAAAGTCCCTCCAGGATGCTTGGCCATAAAGTAAATGCTGTCTAATTTTCACAACCATCTGAACTACATTGTTTTTCTTTTTTTTTTTTTTTTTTTTTTTTGAGACGGGGTTTGGCTCTGTTACCCCATGCTGGAGTGTGGTAGCATGATCTCGGCTCACTGCAGCCTCAACCTCCCAGGCTCAAGCAATCCTCCCATTTCAGCCTCCCATGTAGCTGGGACTACAGGCATGCACCACCACACTCAGCTAATTTTTGTATTTTTTTTTTTTTTAGAGACAGGGTCTCCCTATGTTGCCCAAGCTGGTTTTGAACTACTGAACTCAAGCAATCCGCCCGCCTCGGCCTCCCAAAGTGTTAGGATTACAAGTGTGAGCCATGACGCCCAGCTGAAGTATATTCAAAAAGATGTCAATGGATTCCTGGATGATGGTGCCTCACATGGCCACTTGCCTCCCCAGACCACCAATAGAGTTGCAGGTTTATTAGTTTATCTTTTTCCGCCTGTAAAATCGTTTCTGGGTGAAAGGGAAGCCTCCAAATAAACCCCACTCTCATCTCCAGGTTCTCATAGAGCCCACTACTCTGGAAGGTCCAGCTGGGACCCTGCCATTAGCAAATGGTTGATGCTCCATGTTGTATGAGGGCCCTCTATTGCATCAGCTTTTGCTTTGACAAAGAAATTAAAAAGGAGTAAGTTAGTCTCTATATTTAAACTTTCTTGTTTTTTTTTTTTTTTTTTTTTTTTTGAGACAGAGTCTCACTCTGTTGCCAGGCTGGAGTGCAGTGGCACAATCTTGGCTCACTGCAACCTCTGCCTCCCGGGTTCACATCATTCTCCTGCCTCAGCCTCCCGAGTAGCTGGGACTACAGGCGCCCACCACCACGCCCGGCTAATTTTTTTGTATTTTTTAGTAGAGATGGGGTTTCACTGTGTTAACCAGGATGGTCTCGATCTCCTGACCTCGTGATCTGCCTGCCTCGGCCTCCCAAAGTGCTGGGATTACAGGTGTCAGCCACCCTGCCCAGCCTCTATATTTAAACTTTCAATGTGGAAATGCAGGCACATAATTAGTTTAACGAGCTAAGCACTGGTGATAAATGCTGAACTGCAGTGGAGAAGTCCTTTGAACCTGTACATAGACAATCAGCAAGTGTTTCATGATGTTCATGTTTACGGCAATTCTGATGGAGAGAGAATCTCTGATCCTTCTGGGAAGAGGAATTGGGTCCCTTGATGCATGAAGATTTGAATGTTCACTTATGATTTGCTCAAAGTTGAATTTTACAATTTTTTATTTTAGAGACAGAATCTCATTATGTTGCCCAAGCTGGAGTGCGGTGGCTATATTCACAGGTACAATCATAGTGCACTATTGCCTTGAACTTCTGGGCTCATGTAATTTTCCTGGGCACTGGTATGTTGTAGAATAAACCCGTGGGTCTTTCTTATAAAAATCCTCAGTCAAGCAAGGGACTGGGATTTGTGAAGCTCTCAAAGAAATGAGGTGGTGGCTGCCAGCTGGCTATGCCTCACTTCCTTGGGAAGGCCTCTCCTTCCACCTGTTTCTCCCCTGAAGTTCCACAGGGTTTTAGGATGCTCTGGGTTGCCTGGGGCCTCAGCTCTGTGGACGTGCAGCTTCCCCTGCACATTGCATCTCTGAATGAAGGCTTCCTCTGGAGGCTTTAAGAAAAAAGTGTTAAGACAAAGAGGGCAAGTTGAAATTGTGAGATACTGCAGAAAGAAAGATCCTGGACTCTGGAGGCTGGTGCCACTCTTTCCTGGCTGTGTGCTCTTGGGCAAAACAGGACCTAACTTTGGAGTATCCTTCTTCACTGCTGATACAGGGGCCTGCAGGAGCATTCAGTAGAGGGGCTTCTGCCTCCAGACCCTGGTCTCTCTGAACAGTGGTGCCTTACATGGCCACTCGCCTTCCCAGACCACAGCGCCTGATGGAGACCCGAAGTTGGGTCGATGCTCCGGTGCTGCGACTGCCTCCTCCACAGGCCAAGACTTAAAACTCCTACTGCCTTTGTTCCTTGTGTGTTTGTTTTTTCCTAATAAAAACTCAGAATCACTTTTATTAAAATAAATGAACAACTACAAACAAAAGGTAGAAAGGAGGAGGATGCTCCCCGGAGCCAGAGGAACACAGACCCACCCGCCCCTACACACCCTGGGCCTGAGGGCCTGGCCCTTTGGCCTTCCTTGTGTCTTTTTCTCACTTGTGGGGAGGGGAGAAGAATGAAGAAGCTGCCGGAACTCCCAGGCCCTGCGCTCTCATGGTGTCTGCCTGCCCTGCCATTAGCAGGGCAGGAGGTGGCTGGAGTGGAGCAGGGTTGGGAGTGCATCAGGGTGTCGGGCAGCAGGGCTAGCCTGAGCCAGCTCCGCAGGTGCTTCTGGCTGAGGCGAGGCTGACCCTGGGAGCACCGCTGGAATAGTGGCCACTGGTAGCGGCTAGATTGGCAGCTCTGGGCACTTTAGAAGTTCAGGGATGCCTCAGACTGGAAGGGTGGCATCTAGGTGGGGCAGGAAGGAAGGGTAGGAAAGGTTCCTCTGAAGTCAGCATGGCAGGGATTAGTAGTAGCTGGGAGGGGACAGTTACTCAGTTCCTGCCATGCCCTGCAGACTGGAGCCCAGGGCCCAGTGGCTCAGAATCCTTGGGAACAGAATCCTCAAGAACAACATCTTGAGCCTGGAGGAATACAGCAGTGGTTTGCCCAGGTTGTCCCCTCTGCCCAGAGAGTTCACCTCTACTTTGTCAACCCAGAAGAATCCTGGCATCCCTTAGGATCTAACTCAAATGTCCCCTCCCCTGGGAAGCCCTCCCTGACTGCATGCAGGAAGCATTCCTCTCTAAGCACACATGACTTTGTATTGTTATTCTCCTGGGAATGCGACGGAACTTTTCCTAGAGATACAGGCCCCAGTGGCCAGGAGACCTCTAGAACAGACTGGAACCCTTGGTAAATGTTTGCTGACCTAAGTATGGTGGAGAATGCTTGAGGCACATCTTCTATCTGTGCTCCAAGAAGGAGAACGACCCCTCACCAAGCCCATTCTCGTGGCCTCCACTTAGGAACTGATGCCTCTCACCGATTCCAATGGGAGCTGTTCTTTCTGAGCCTTTAAGTTCTGCCACTGCTCACCTCCTGAGAGGCCATGTGACAAAGTAGGGGAGGTGGCCTCTGGAGCAAGGGTTCCTCAGGTCCGAATTCTGTTTCCACCACCTACTAGCCATATGGCTCTGGCCAGGTTAGGAGATTGCCAGAGTGCCTACTGGCTATGAGGACTAAAGGAGTTACCATATGCAGGAGCACTTAGATCAGTGGCTGGTGCATCACAAGTGCTCAGTAATGACAACTATTATTATTATTATTGTCTCCCCAAATCACAGAAGCAGACCTCCACACTGTCTCAGGGACTGTCCTGAGTGCATAGGGAGACAATGGGTGTGTGGGGACTGGCCATCCTGCAGCTCTCCACAGTCTCGGCCAGGTCCCATGGGGGAGGGGCGGCCATGGCCGGTGGCTAAGGACAGGCCTATGGAAGGGAGGGCCTGGGGGTGACCTGGCTCCCGGTACCGGATCCCATGCACTCATAAGCCTCTCCAGAACTCCCGAGTGAGGGCCTCCTAGAGCTCAGGCCTGCCTTTCTGTTTTTGGCTTCTTGGCCTTTACTGCGTCCTTGGGGACAGGCTACTATTTTAGGTAGCAGTCAAAATAAAACTGAGATTAACCCAGAATTCTTGGCAGTCAAACAATACCATAATTATGTGCTTTTTAACTTCAGAAATCAGATAGCCACAGCTGACCCGCCACGGTCCATGGGGTGCCCTGGGGATACTAAGGCCTCCATCCTGCGCTGGGTCACCTCTGCACACTCTAAGCCGCAGGCAGCCACTAGAGGACTGTGGGGCTCTGAGGGACGCTATTTCTCCTCCTGGGAGCCATTGTCTGAACAACAATACAACTTGCTTTCACACGAGACGTTGCCAGGTTGGAAGGGTGACTTATTACTTTCTATATCATAAATCCTCTTGCCTAAGTCCCAGTCCCAGGGACTGGTGGGCTGTGAGGGAACAGAGGAGGCTTGTGTTCCGGGCTGGGCTCTCAGGGCAGGAAATCACCCGGAGGAATATGTTTGTGCTTTGATTGCTGACAAGGGCCGCAGACCCTCTAGTCAGGCGAACAGGCCCCTTCCTCTTTGCAGGAGCCAAGGGGGAGGGGAGGGAATTAGTCACACACAAGAGCGACAGGATTAGGCCCCTGAGAGTAAAATCCTTCACTCTAACCCAGAAAGAGGAAAAAAGAATGGGAGATTCAAATAGATGGGGGTTGAGATGATGTCAGTAAAGGTCACCGCCTGAAGAACAAAGAAGCAGCCGTGATTAGAGGCTTGGGCAGACCTCTAAGCTCTCAGGCAAGACCTCAAAATGCCTGGAAGAAAGAAAGGAACCAATAGACCCCAGCTCCAGAGGCAGTCCCAGAGGTGTAGCTGGAAAAAAACAATTTTCCCTGAAACACTGACTTGGCCCCAGGAATAAGGTCCTTCTGGAAACCTGATGCTCCTAGCAGGGGTACACATCTTAGCAAGGAAAGTGGTTTGCAGGGAGATTTGAAATAGAAACACACACTCCAGTGTCCTCTGGCCGAGCTGCCCTGTTGGCATGGAGGCAAACAGATACCCTGCATGGTGACAGGCTTGCATTCCTTTAGGGAAAGGCCATCTGGGCGTGGACACCCAGCATTCAAAGGAGCGATGTGCTGGAATGGTCTGGCTGCTCCCTCCACACCACGATGGAAGCTGCTTTTGCTGATGACTGTAGCTGCGCACTGTGCCCCTCTCAACCTTCAGCATCCTCCATTGACTCCTCGCTCCAGGGTCCTCAGGCCCAGTCTTTTCCACCAGCTCCCTGGGAGAGTCTCCTGGGAAGAGCACATTTCTTTAAGGATGGATTCTGACTTTCCACTTGGTTTTAGTTTGTTTGATTTCCACCCCCTCAATGCCTTTATTAAATGTCTTTCTCTGCCACAGGAGCCTCAGGAACAACAAGACTTGGGAGGTTGTTCTTGAGGACTGAATGATCCTGAGACATGAACCTTGTCTCAGAGACAGGACCTTGAATTTGATCTAGGAGGCAGGCAAAGGAAAAAGAGGCTGTGATAACCACTGAAGGAGGCCAGGAGTTTTATACAGCTGGGACTGGAATGCAGGGCCTCTCGGCAGTTCTCTTGGTAAAGGCGGATGGGTTTTCATGCTAGAAGGGCTACCCTGCTCTTATTTTCCCATCCTGTGTGGTCTCTAATTACAAGGAGATGTCGAATTCCATTATGAAAGAGAAGCCACTTGGCCACCTCCCTCTGGGGACCTCATAGCAGTGCCTTTGTCTCTGCAGACCTGGAAGAAATGAACTGATCCTCTGTCCAGGCCAGTAGGAGCTTTTGATGAACAGGTTGGGGGGCAACAAAGTGATTAAGTAGGGCTGAGCACTAATCCCACTGAGCTGCAGCCTGTGCTTGGGCAGCTTAGCCAAAGTGAAAACAAGGGGAGCCACAGAGGGGAGCCCCACAGAGGGGAACCGAGGCCCCCAGAGTTAGGATGCCAGCGCTGGTGGCTGGGGGGTCCATGTCCAGCCTCTCAGGTGGGGACATTGGTAAAGAAAGGGCCACCATCACACCAGTCCCATTGTGAATGGACTTCCGAAAGGCTGCGTCCATTACTGGCCTGCAGTGCCTTCCTGGTCTGTTTCTGCTGCTGGGGCAGCCCTATCTTTGGGCCTTCATACACAGGAGCCCTTGTTTGTTGGACTGTTATAACTCCCAAGGAATAGACGCCACCAAATTTGTACATGTAAGTGGTGCCT
Source organism: Homo sapiens (assembly GCF_000001405.40). Lineage (NCBI taxonomy): Eukaryota > Metazoa > Chordata > Mammalia > Primates > Hominidae > Homo > Homo sapiens. Next base: position 93,724,478 of record NC_000001.11, read on the forward strand.
GCAGAGTTCAGAAAGCTGCCGTAGATTCTTTCTTGTGCAAGGGGGTGCATCAAAGGATCACACTGCAGAAAATGCCTGCTTCCTGCAGCACTGTGAGCCTGTGTCTACAGGGATGACCGGCTGTCCAGTCTGAGCTACCTGGCTCCCCTCCTGCCACCCAGCCTGGTGTCCAAGGACTCTCATCTGGGAAAGGTCCCATCTAGTGGGCCTTGGAGAGGTGGGCCCCTTCTCTGGATGGGCCACAGGAGAGGGAGGTGCTGGAGAAGATGGCGGGAAGCCGATGCAATGTCCTTACTACCCCTGACCTGCCACTGGTATCTGAATAGGATGGGGCTGGTGGAGGTGTCCTCAAGGGTTTCTCTCCACTTCCACCCACCAACCCATAAAGACCTCTGAGTGCATTAGCCCTCTAAACCATTCTTAGCTGAAACCCCAGGAAGGGGTTTCAGTACTTGAAACTGCCTGACGGAAGGGTCCAAGGGAACTGATGAGTGAGGGAAATGCTGTGAGCACCTGTGGGGTAAGTTGCACCAGCCAAGAGCCTCTGTCCCTCTTACCTACTTCTCCTCACCCTGCTCTGCTTTGTCTTTCGTAGCCCACAGCACTCGTCGCTTCCCACTACACTTCTACGTAGTTCACCTCCTTCTCTTCATTGTCTATGTCCCACTCATGTGTAAGCTCACAGAGGCAGAGACCCCGTCTCCTTTATTCAGCAATACATCCCAAGCACATATAATATTTCCTGGCACCAGTAGGCACTCAAAAATATATACTGAATGAATAAATTTCATGTGGGATGTGGATGCATGATGGTATGTGAAATATTATAAGATTAGACTTCCAGAAATAAGCATTACATAGGGACTGTGAGGGCCTTAAAATGGCCCAGCCTGCCTGTACTTCCTTTGCTAATGAGGCCGAGCATCTTTCCACATATTTATCACATATTTGTGTTTCTTCTTTTGTGAAATGCCTGCTTATGTCTCTTGTTCATCTTTTCTCTTGGGTTGTTTGTCTATTTCTTTCTGATTTGTAGAAATCTTTTACATATTCTGGAAACAAATCCTATATTGATCCTATTGTGTATCTCTCAGTTTGGGGTTTGTTTTTTCTATTTCTTTGTGGTATATTAATTTTAATGTAGCTTAACTTATTAATCTTTTATGATTAATGCTCTCTGTGTCTAATGAATTTTTTGTATTCTGAAGCCATAAAGATATTCTTCAGTATTCTCTCTAAAAGTTTTAAAGGTTTGTCTTTCACATTGAAATCATTAATCCACTAAGAGTTGATATTTGGGTAGAGGTGAAGTAGGGATCCAATTTTTTGCCTTATTAACCACCAATTATCATTACTTATTTACTAGCCCTTTCTTTTTCCAGGAATCGGCAGCTTCACTTCTGTCTTATATCAAGATTCCATATTTGGCAGGTCTATTTCTGGGCTCTCTATTCTGTTCCATTGGCCAGTTTTTCCATTCTGGCATCAGTACATTTTATCTTGATCACCACTTTATAATAAGTCAATAATATCTGGTAGAGAAATTCCCTCTTCCTTATTCTTCTTCTTCAGAGGTTATTAGCTTTTTTTTTTGTTTTTTTGTTTTTGAGACAGGGTGTCACTCAGTTGCCCACGCTGGAGTGCAGTGGCAAACACAGCTCAATGCAGCCTTAACCTCCTAGGCTCCAGCGGTTCTCCCACCTCAGCCTCCTGAGTAGCTTAGACCACAAGTGCATACCACCATGCCCAGCCAATTTAAATATATTTTTTTTTGAGAGAGAGACAGGGTCTCATTATGTTGCCAAGGCTGGTCTCAGACTTCTGGGTTCAAGCAATCCTCCCACCTTGGCCTTCCAAAGTGTCAAGATTACAGGCATGAGCCACCGTGCCTGGCCTATTAGCTATTCTTAATACTTTACAGCCCACCTAAATTTGGAATTATCTTGTCATGTGTCTCAAAAAAAATTCTGTTGGGATTGTGAGGGGAATTGCATTGGCTTAACTGCTTTAATTAATTATTTTAGGGAAAGCTGATGTAATTGTGATAGGGAGTTTTCCTGTCTATGAACTCAGATTACTTCTTGACTTTTAGGCCTTCTTTAGTACCTTTGGATAAAGTTATACTTTTCTCCACATAGCTCTCACACTTTTGCCCACAATCTGGATTGTGTCTTATAGTTGATGGCATCTTGCAATTATAATTGGCAGTCTTTTTCCTTTCTTAGAGTGCATAAAGTCGTGGTTCATCGTATCACTGATGGTGTCTTAGATTCTATGAAATACACTACTTTTATTGCTTTGCAGTAGTATCTTTTTTAAAAAAACAAACCACTAAATTTCTGCCCACAGGTGGTGACTACAATTAATTTTTGTATATTGATTTTGTATTTATCAACAGCCTGTACTTCCTTTACTAACGAAGCTGAGCATCTTTCTACGTGTTTATCAAACATTGGTGTTTTTTCTTTGTGAAATGCCTGTTTTATGACTCCTTTCATCTTTTCTCTTGGGTTGTCTTTTTGATTTGTAGAAATCCTTGCAGAGCTTTTGTTTATCTAATAATTTTAAATCTGTTTTCTGTTCCTTCCATTGACTCTTGTACATGGTGGCTTTGTTTCCTTGCGCATTTTGCAGTCTTTCATTGTAAGCCTGCATTGTCATGGTCTTAATCTGTGGAACTATGGTCCTAAAGTGGGGATGCTTTCCTGCAGAGGGAGTTTGCATTTGCTTCTGTCTAGATCCAGATGATGCATTAATTTGGAACCACATAAGCCCCTTAAGAGGTCCCTGGATTTAATGTGGCAGCCTTACCTTACCTCTAGCCCAAGGCTTTTTCTTCTGGACTAGCTCCTAGATAGGCACTTACTCTCAGGTCAACTTTCACTCTTGGTTATTTACTGCTTTACCCAGGTTTAGTTTCAACTCTTGAATTTGGGTCAGAAAAGACTGGGAGAGAACTTAGGGATTCACCATACTTCTTGTAAGCTCGGCAATGTATTAAAAACTGGACTTTATTCAAGAATTTGGGATCCAGTCATTTTGTAATGGGAGAGTCCTTCAGCCTATCTGTGGCCATTACCTCTTGCCCTCCACTCACGAGGCAGGTACCTTTTAATCCAGACTGCACACTTTAGGTCAAACCATCAACTCTAAAAAATTACCATTACAGAAGTTATACATGCCTTCTGTACAAAATTTGGAATAAACAAAATAGTACAAAGAAGAAAATTAAAGTTACCTATAAATCCCATTCCCACCCTGGGATATAATCACTTTAATATGTTGGTGTATGCAGCAGGTTGAATAGTGGCCCCCCCAAAAGACACATCCACTTTGAAACCTGTAATTATAATCTTATTTGGAAAAACTATCTTTGCAGATGTAATGAAGTTAAGAATTTCAAGATGAGAACATCCTGGATTTGGGTGGGTCCTAAATCCAATGGCAAGTCCTTAGAAGAGACAGGGCAAGAAACAGACACAGGGGAGAAAGCCATGCAAAGACCAAGGCAGGATTGAAGTGATGCTGCCACAGACTAAGGAACGCCTGGAGCCACCAGAAGCTGGGAGAGGCAAGGAAGGATTCTCCCCTCTACCCTCCAGAGGGAGTGTATCCCCACTGACACTTTGATGTGAGGCTTTTGGCCTCCAGAATTGGAAGAGAATAAATTTCTATTGTTTTAAGCCATCAAGTTTGTGATAAATTTTTTACAGCAGCCCTAGTGAAATGAGAAATTCCTTTGTCCCCCTCGCAGGGCGTGTGACAGGGGGAGTGGCTCACTTCCTTAGTACCCCGCTGCTCAAACCTCTAGGGGAGCACACAGACGGGCAGGTCGTGGGGCTCCCACCCCATGGCAGTGTTGAGAGGTTGATGTTTACAGCTCCTGAAGCCCCAGTGGGCGTGTGTTACAGGGTGCTCTTTTAGTTTTGCTGTCTATAGGCGACTTGTGTTAACCAGTTCAATTAGACCCTCTACCCTGTTGCAAGGACAGAGGGCTTTCTGTATCCTGGGTTCTTGCCTTGGTGTACCAGAAGAATTGGATCACGCGTGGACTTGGAGAATGAGTGCAAGGTTTTATTGAGTGCAGATAGCTCTCAGCAGATGGGGAAGCCAAAAAGGGATGGAGTCAGGCTACTTAGCTGCCCGGGCTCTCCTCCAACTGTCCCAGCCAAACTCTGCCTTCTTCCAGTGCTGGTCAATGGCCTGCAGGCATGCCGGCATCTGTCATGCCCTCTTTTGCCAGCATACTTCCCTCGACGTCCTCTTGACATCGAGCCACTTGTGTCTTCCTCCACCGATCTGCTTCTCTCAACATCCAGCCATCTGTGTGTCTGCCTGCTAGGGTCTCAGGGTTTTTATAGACATAGGATGGGGGCGCGGCAGGCCAGGGTGGTCTTGGGAAATGCAACATTTGGGCAGGAAAAAAAAAATGCCTGTCCTCACTTAGGTCCGTGGGGGTGGAGCCATAGCCAGGGACCACGCCCTCCTCTACCCAGCACTTCCCTTCCCGGCTTCCCTATCATTTAAAAGGACCATGCTCTTCCTTTCTGTATCACTAGGACACTAACACATGGTATATCTGCTGTACACTGTATTTTCTAGGGTCAAATTCCCCAGGAAATACATTCTGAGGCAGAGATTTTCATGTAGGCAGTTTATTGGGGAATGCTCTCGAAAACCATACAGATGATCTGGACTTATGGGGTTATGTCCCTATAAACCTACTGTGAGTTGAAACTATCTTAAGTTGAAAATGCACCTAACCTACTGAACATCATAGCTTAGCCTTGCCTCCCTTAACTGTGCTCAAAACACTCACGTTAGCCTAGAGTTGGGGAAAATCATCTAGTATAAAGCCTATTTTATAATAAAGTGTTGAGTATCTCATGTAGTTTATTAAATACTGTACTGAAAGTGAGAAACAGAAAAGTTGTATGGCTACTGGAATTACGGGTTCTACTGAATGTAGATAGTTTTTGCACTGTCAAGAAGCCTAAAAATTGTAAGTTGAACCATCATATGTTGGGGACCAACCAGATCTGACATGCTGTGAGAGGAGTAGCACTGGGCAGAGGGGAAGTTGAACTGCAGTGCAGTTGTCACAGAGGCCTTAACCCACCCCACCGGAAGCCCTGACGCTGGGATGGCTTCTCAGAGTTGTCTGAGATTGAGGCCAGGGAGCCAGGCCTTGATACCTCTGCATCAGCCAGTCATCAGGAGGGGTATACTGTGGGTGGGCAGCTCCCCTCAGAAGAAGGCAACGTCTGGGATGTCCTGGCTGTGAGCCCTCAGTGGGCACCACTCCAGCATCTGGGGAAATGAGAGCCTCTGTCCTGAGATGGAGAACTGGGGCCACATCAGCTTGCACTAAAATAACCTTCCAGTCATTTCTACGCTTCTCTCTAGTACACATTTTCAGTTTTAGCACTTAATTTCTGAAACACTTGAATCTTATGCATGTTTATATATAAATTTAGCAGAATATTAAAGCATAAATCTATTATCAAACACTAGTGCATTTTATGTCTTAAATTGTATAGAACAGGCTTATTTTAAGAAAGTAGAACTATTCCATATGACTAAATTATCATGTGATTTTTTTCCCAGGAAGCAGTTTTCTTTCCATATAAGCATCTCTCAGTTCCTCCAGATGTCCCTCTTGACACTAGTTTGTTTTTAACACATATTATTCTCGCCTGGTGAGCTTTTCTCCTTGGAAGCCCTCCCTGTCCCTCCCCCGCCAACACCTGGCTCACTCCTGCCCATCCTTCACGTCCACAGAGAGGCCTTCACTGACTCCCCTTACCCGAGCTCTCTGACAGTACCTGGAACTTTCCATCTTATTGCTCATCACGCTTGTAATTGCTGCTTCAAAACTGGGCTGACAGTGGGTGTGCAGAGATATCTGGTTAACTGCATGGCATTCCAGCCCGCCACACCTGGGACCTAGATTGAGTCTTATTTGCCACTCCACACCTTCAGCACCCAGCAGAGTGCTGTACATTTGTGGTCCCTTGCTAAACATTTTTGAATGACTCTGTGATTTTACACAGTGGTTACATGTTTATACACATACGTCCTGTACTCTGCATATCCAAATCGCTTTCCCTCATACCAAGGAACTGAAAACCCCCAGGGTATGGCCCTGTTAGATGCTCTACTTGAGGTCTGTGGCACCAACCTGGCAAAATCCACACATCCAGCACCACTGACCTTTTAGTAAGTGCTGGAGGGAATGTCTGAGTTACTTAAAAAACATGTCTGGGATCTCCCCTACAGAAGATTCCAAGTAATATGTGTCGGTACTCCCTCATCCGGAAGGTGGAGCTTACCTCCTTCCCCCACCTCCCTTGAGTGTGGCTTGCTTCAGAGAGTACAGAATGGAAAGTGGGGAAAGAACTTGGCAGTAGAGAACCCTGGCAAACACTCCTCAGCTAGGTGATCCAGGTGAATGGACATCAGGAATAAGTCATGTGGGCAGCATGTGCCCTTGGTACATTGTGATGAGAAAGGTACTGCACCTCTGTGGTCTTCCTCCCCAGAATTCATAACCTTAGTCTAGCCATGGGAGAAGCAGCAGACAAATGAAAACCAAGGGACAATCTACAAAACACCTGACCAGTAAGTACTCTTCAGAACTGCCAGTGTCATCAGAACAAGGAAAGTCAGAAACAGTCAGAAACAGGCCAGAGGAGGCCAAGGACGACTCTGTGCAGTGTGGTATCCTGGATGGGATTCTGGAACAGTAAAGGACATGGGGAGAAAACTAGTGAAATCCAAATAAAGGGTGGACTTTACTTACTAGTATAATGTACCAGTATTGGTTTCTTAATTGTGACAAATATTCCATGGGAATATAACAGGTTAACAACAGGGAAACTGAGTGAGGATTCTATGGGAATTTCCTGTACTATCTTTGCAACTTTTCTGTTTATCTAAAGCTAGTTTGTTTTTTCTTTTTTTCCAATCTAGGAGAGGCACAACAACGATTCTATGCCAGGGGAAAGCCGCTGGGCCTGCTCCGCCCTCCAATTAACCCATTTTATCTGAGAGGCTGGAAAGGAAGAAGGTACAAGGCCAGGGGCTCAGCTATGAAAACATGTTCTGAATGGGATAAAAACAGCAGTGGGAAGCCTCTGTCTTATATAAATAAATAGTAGATGTTAAAGTAAAATAAAATAAAATAAAATAAAATAAAATAAAATAAAATAAAATATTTCAAGTGCCACCTGAATCCAAGCAATTTTCTCTCCCTTTGGCACAGTGCATGGCTGAGAGATTACAAAATGAGATTCAAAATCTCCCAAACAGTCCTTTTCAGGCATAGTGCCCCAAGTGCCTGGGGAGTAGGGAGTGGGAATATTATCCTCCCAGATTTCAAGGGGCCTTCCCCTCACCTGCCCCCACTGCCTCTGGGCAAAGAGAAGGAAGGTAGCAAGGGCTCTGATCCTGGAGATGGTAGAAGCAGAGGCCCCGTGGGTGAGGCTCAGAGGTGGGCCTGGCAGGCAAAGCTGGGAAACAAGACCAAAAACAGCAAACCGCGTGGACAGCTGACTGTCCATGTCTGCACATCCAGGAGAGACTCTACTCTCCAGGGAAAGTGAGAAAGAAAAAGAGAGAGAATTGGCATATTTAGGGAATAGAAAGAGGTTCACAGAACGGGTGGCTTCACAGTGTGGAGCCAAAATTAGCAGGGCTAGTGTTTAGGACAGGGCCCTGGGGGTGAAACCTGTTCCTAGACAACGTGTCCAGTGCCAGAAGATGCTTTGTAAAGCCAGAAAGCCTCAGGACAGACAAATCAGCACCAAGAGGTGGAGGGAGACAGAGAATGAAAGAGGTTTGAAATGGAAGATCTGGCCAGGTGCAGTGGCTCATGCCTGTAATCCCAGCACTTTGGGAGGCCAAGGTTGGTACATCACGTGAAGCCAGGAATTTGAGACCAGCCTGGCCAACATGGCAAAACCCTGTCTCTACAAAAAATACAAAAATTAGCCGGGAGTGGTGGTGGGTGCCTGTAATCCCAGCTACTCCCAGAAGGCTGAGGTACAAGCATCACTCGAACCTGGGAGGCAGAGGTTGCAGTGAGCTGAGATCACACCACTGAACTTCAGCTTGGGTGACAGAGCAAGACCTTGTCTCAAAAAAAGAAAAAAAAACGAAAAGAAAAAGAAAAGAAAAGGAAGATCTGATTTGAAAGGACTGAGAAAAACGACTTCAGCAGTTGCCTTGAGGCCCCCTAGGGGAGATCCCACCGTCCTTCAGCCTTGATGCCTTCTCCAAAACCCCAAACTGCAGAAAACAGCCTCAGGAAAGTAAAGAGATCTCCCCTCCTCTCAACCTGCCTGACTTCTCAGGGCAGCAATTTCAGAAACCTTTGATACAGACTGAGAACTGCACAATGGTGCCCCTTCCTCCTACACCTGCAGCAATGATCATTTCTAGACAAAGACCAGCTAAACACAAACAATAACTACAGAAGGAGAAGCATTTGCACTGCATTCAAACTATTAATGGAGTTAATATCTGAGTCCCCCAGCAAAGAAAGCAACACGAAATACAAAACTGAGACCAATGCAGCATTTTACCAGGTCTTCTACCAGAGCAGAATTTGGGACTATGGATCCTTGCTAGACTCTGGGTCTCGGCTGCTTTCTTTTTTTAAAAAAAAGTCCCTGAGGAATAAGTGCACTGAAAACTCCAAATATTCTAGCCCCTCCCCACCAGCAGCTGAAGATTTGTCTCCTACTCAGGCCCGCCTGAGGACAAGTTCCCTGGAAGTACAGACACACCAAACCAGAAGAGTCACAGGAAAGATAAAGATGCCCCGGCTTACTTAGTATTTTGGATTTTTTTGTATGTCCCCCCACCCCCCGACCCACCTTACAAGACAGTGGGCAGGACAGTGGAGGGGGATTAAGGACAAAATGCCCAGGAACAGGAAGCCGGTGTTCAGGAGGAGGGTTGCGCTGGGGGTAAAGGAGAGTTTAGAGGGGACACACAGGGCTCTAGCGGGATATCCCCCAGGACTTGATTGGGGCAGCTGCCTCCCAGTGGGGTGGTGAGGAGTGACAAAGCCTGCCTTCCTTGGAAGGAACTTTGCGTACCCCAGACAAAAGGCACAGTGTAAACACAGGTCAGTACCCTTTTCTCTACCCAGAGACTTCAGCACAGCTGGATGATGTGTGTGTGAGAGTGTGTGCACACGCATGCACCTGTATGGGCACTCTTAGAACATATGTGTGCACACATGTGTATGCACGTGGGTTGTGTTTGTGTGTGTGTGCATGCATCTACCCTTCTCCAGATCCTCTCATTTTCTCAGAGCCCTTGGCCTGTTGGGGACTAGTATAAAGGTTATTCAAACATTCTTTTTTCTTTTAAGCATTAGGCCAGATAGGCATAGTAGACAAGTTAATTTGAAAAGCAGAATCTAAAACCAAAATCCAATCTCTGAGGGGTAGAAACCAGTGACTTTTCTCCTAAATATCTGGCCTTATTGGATTTCTATAGGGAGAACTGGGTTTTCTTTGGAGGAGAAAGTTCCAGGCTGCTGAGCAAATGTAGGCTGGCTGTCTCTCTCAGCTGGCAGACAGGATGAAGACAAATAATAATACACATTCGTAATTACATGGCCTCTTCAGATGGAGTTCCAGGTGTCTTATGTGCCTCATCTAATCTATATTCACAACATTTGTGAAGTATGCAAGAGTACTGACATGAAGTTTCAAGGCGCACATTTGTGTTTGGTTCATAATCATGTCAACTAGAAGTGACTGCATTATCTTTCAGTGCAGTGTTCCTCAAACTGGAGTGCATGGATATATTTTCAGGATGCATTGGATTCCCTAGTTTAGGAAACATTGCTCTATGACTTCAGCATTCTGGTAGGATCTGTCACATGGTGTGGTTGAACCTGAGGCCTGAGCTGGAAGGAAATGGTGGGACTGCAATAGGGTGGGTGGCTGGCTCCTGCAGTCACTGAGGCCAAAGGAGGGAGACACACAAGAGTGTGCTCTGACCTGGGCTGACGTCTGAGGAGGTCAGATGGGGTGGGAGGGGGTGTGGTGTTCCAGGGCAGTGGCGGTACCTGGGAACAGGTGGCAGCAGCAGTACAGCTTTGCATGGGCCACCCAGGGCAAACCATCTAGTGCAGAGGCTGTTACTTCCAGGCGGGGAGGGCCCCAGCAACGTCGGCAAAGCTATCTGTAGTTCCAGCACTCAAGGCAAATCAGGAAGCCAAGGCAGGGATTCAGAGATGTTACTGGGCCAATCAGAAGGGGCTTCAGAATAGCGGGCACACAGAGGATGCCCATTCCTGGCATCTGACACCATGTTAAGGCAGCACGGGGCTTTCTGTGCGAAACGCTTTCCTGTGGCTGACTCCTACTCACCCTTCAGTTATCATACTAAATGTTAGTTCCTCTGAGTGGTCCTCCCTCACTCCCAGACTAGGTTAACCTCTCTACCAGACACCCATGATAATCTGCACATCCCTTTGCATTCCTTCTTCTATTGGTGGTTAGCTTCTTGGAGTTTGTTTAACTGCTCTGTAAGCTCCTTGAGGCAGGGATGGTGCCTATCTTGCTCACTGTGGTGTTCCCCATCACTAGCAGAGTTCTAGACACATAACAGGGCTCAGTAGATATTTGTTGATGCAATGCAAACAATGTGAGTTTTAGGCCCTTTGGGTTTGGTGGATCCGGGCCTCTGGTGCCCCCTCTGGCCTGGTCAGAATTGGCTTGGACCTCAGTGTCAAAAGCTGAGCAGCAATCATCTACACAAATGCTCTTTCACATGTGGAACCACATTCCAAAAGCCTGGATTGTGGGATGATTTTCCATGTGATTCTCTGGATCTGACTGTCCAGATAAGGACCCTCCTCTCCCACTCCTCACATGGACTCCACTCAAAGCCGTGAGCTCTGTCATGGCAGACAACATGGGATCATTTTGAGAACTTCCCAAACATCAGGCACTTTTGCTTTCGGAGACCACATCCCATATTAAAAAATTATTAAAATGTGCTCCACATGAAATAGAACATATATAACCACATCAGAGTTGAGCTCAGATGCAGCTGGCTAGTTGGAATCATTTTATATTTTGTAGACATTTAATTCAATTTATCAATTTTGATTCTGGAGTTTCCTTTCCTTATTTTGAAAAATACATATAGTTTTTCAAGTCTCAAAAATCTTTACAGGCCCATGAAAAGCTCATTTATCCATTTATTGCATAAAGTGGTCTTGAGATAATATTCTCAGAGAGAAAAGATGATATTTTGGACCAAGGCAGCTCGCTTCCATGGCCTGCGCCAGTAAATAAGCTTCTAGCTTCCACTGGTAGGAGCCAAACTTCCTTAGGAGTTTGAAGCACAGCATTTGGTGGCCTTCCTATGGATTCTGCAGGCAGAGCAGAGAAAGAACATTCCTGCCACCAGAATTGAGGGTTGTATCTATGAGTGGGTGGTAAGCCCTAGTTCCTAAATAAGGTATTTGGAATGCAAAACAATCCAGCCAGACTAGTCACTGCACACTGACCACAGTGTGAAACTTGGAGCATCTGGGAGAGAGAAAACAGACAGCGTGGTAGGAAGAAAGAGGAGCTAGTATAATTATTGAATTAAATTAAGAAAAGAATCATGCAATTCCATTTTAAAACAATAAATTGAACATTCAATTGTATGAAGAGATGTGATAAGAAGTTTATTTATTTATTTTTTGTTTTTGAGATGGAGTTTCACTCTTGTTGCCCAAGCTGGAGTGCAATGGCGCGATCTCGGCTTACTGCAACCTCCACCTCCCTGGTTCAAGCTATTCTCCTGCCTCAGCCTCCTGAGTAGATGGGATTACAAGCGCGTGCCACTGCACCCAGCTAATTTTTTGTATTTTTAGTAGAAACGGGGTTTCATCATGTTAGAGGCTGGTCTCAAACTCCTGACCTCAGGTGATCTGCCCGCCTTGGCCTCCCAAAGTGCTGGGATTACAGGCGTGAGCCACCGTGCCTGGCCAATAAGCAGTTTAATTATAAAATATGCCAGACACTCTACTAAGCCCTACAGAATGGTAGGTGCCCTCAAACTGTTCATGTATGTAGACAGAAATATGTGTGATTCCTTTGCATAATATGGTAATGGAACAAAGAATACCAGCAATAATTATGGGGGAATGGACAAGAAGACAGTAACTAATATGGCACTAAGGGGGTCCAGGAAGATTTTACAGAGATGATGGCCTCGTCACTGGATTTTGAAGGATAAAAGAAACTATTCCAAGTGATAAAAGGAGGGAAAAAATTCCCAGGAAAAGTAGGCAAAATGAGCAAAGCTATGAAAATAAAAAATCATCATGGTTAACTTTCGTTGAGTGCTTTCTGTGTGCTGGGTTTTGTTAGGCTTTTGCATTTTATGCTATAGACCTTTCTGAAAGCATGGTCTACGGTCCATCTGCATCAGAATCATCTTACGCATGTTGAAATGCAGATTCCAGCTTCTCCTGTTGGATCAGAAGCTCTGGGATGGGGCTCTCTAACCTGAGTTTTAAGAAGCTCTCCAGGTGATCCTTTTGCACACTCAAGTTTGAGAACCACTGCTAGAAGCCATTTAGATATGTGACCATTTTTAAGTTGTGGAGTGCTGTGGTCAGATTTGCTTTTCAGAAAGCAAATTTTTGAGCAATGTATGAATTGGAGAGGGGAAAGCCTCAAAGCAGAACAGTGGTGATGGTGAAAGTCTGGAGTAGAGAGATAGCAGTTGTACTGGGTTGAATGGTGTCCCCCAAGAATTCCTGTTCACCCAGAACCTCAGAATGTGATCCTATTTGGAAATAGGGTCTTTTGCAGGTGTAATTAGTTACGATGAGGACATAGTGGATTCGGGAGGGCCCTAAATCTAGTAATTGATGCCTATATAAGAAAGAGGAGAGAGAGATGTACCTAAGCACAGAGAGACACACAGGGAAGAAGCCATGTGACAACAGAGGCAGAGCCTGGAGTGATGCAGCTACAAGCCAAGGAATGTCGGGGATGTTGGCAATCACCGGAAGCAAGGAGACAGGCACAGGATGGTTCTCCCCTTGGAGTCTCCAGAAGGAACCGACCCTGCTGACATCTTGATTCTGGACTTTTGGCCTCCTGAACTGTAAGAATAAATTCATGTTGTTTTAAGCCACCCAGTCTGTGGTCATTTGTTACAGCAACCCTAGGAAGCCAATACAGTGGTATCAAGAGGCATTTCAGTGGCAAAATCATAAGGACATAGGGATCAGATTGGAGAAAGAGTGAGGTATGAACAATTAATTATTCAAAAGTTTCTGTTTGGGTGGTCAATGATGAAACTGTGCAACAATAAAGCATGGGCTTGGGGTAATTTTTTTCAAGATGGGCTCTTGCTCTGTCACCCAGGCTAGAGTGCAGTGATGTGATCATAGCTCACTGTAACCTTGAAATCCTGGGCTCAGGTGATCCTTCCATCTCAACCTCACAAGTAGCTAGGATAAGCAAGCACAACCATGCCAGCCTTATTTTTTTATTTTTATTTTTTAAAGACGGGGTCTTGCTTTGCTGCCTTGGCTGATCTTGAACTCCTGGCTTGAAGCGATCCTCCTGCCTTGGCCTCTCAAAGTGCTGGGGTTACAAGCATGAGCCACTGCACCCAGCTCCTGGGCTTGGATTTAGAAGATCAGAGTTTAATTCAAGCTTTGAAATCTACCAATAGTAAGGTGGTGGAACCTTAGTTTTTTCATCTTCAAAGTAGGGACAATATTACTCACCTCATAGTATTGTTATGAGGATTCAATGACATATCATCAAGAAATGTGGACATTCCTGACACTCAATACTTTCATGCTCATTTCCAAAAAGGGAAATTTAAAATGAAATGAAATTGAGGAGAATAACTTGTCTAATAGGCATTCCCAAGCCACAGTTACCACCTCAATGCACTCTGAGCCTACCCTGCAGGCCGGTGATGGAGCTAAGCTTGTGCTCCGCCCTCCCCCGCCATGGGTCTCAGTGCCAAGGATGAGCTGCACTGGGAAGGAATGCACAGAGGTCCCGGCAGAGCTGACCGCAGGTCGGAGATGAGTCTCCGCCTGGCACTGGCATCTTCCATGGTGGTTAACAGCTTGTCTGTGAAGTCCCCATCAGAGGGCTGGGCAGGGCAGGGCAAGGCAGATCAGCAGCTAAGTCCAAGGAAGCCTGGTGGGAGATGCTGGTGGGGAGAGCACTGGTCGGGGAGCAGTTACAGTCATTAAGAAGCCAGTCCTGAGTCAGCCAAGACAGGGTGGGGCGGGGGGTGCCAGGGTTAGGACTGGGGGTGCCAGATAAAATACAGTCTATCCAGTTAAATTTGAACTTTGTATTTATTATTAGTTGAATCTGGCAACTTTAGTTAGGACCCTTCAGGTGAACAAAGGATAACCTGAGAGCCAGGGCCAGAGAATAGGAGCCGTGGGAAGAGCAGAGGGGCAAAGCCTTGGCCTCTGTCCTCTGAGGATATGTTTTCCTGACCCCACCCAAGCAACTGGTGGAAAGGCACCTGGCACTGCCTCTAATCTCCTGGAATTCCCACCTTGACTTGCTGGACAATACTGAACGTTTTTCGTCCTCTGTGCTGTAGGTGTTAATCTCCCAGGTTCTGCTCCCTGGGTTTCAAGCGGTACAACTGGGAAATAAACTTCCTTTCCCCAGGGAAATTGTCCTCTCTGGGTGGCATGGTTACATGACAGCTGCCGCAACCTTAGATGACCCCTACTCCAGTTAAGACGAGACATTTCAGAGCCACAGAGGAGCCTGTGAGATGGGAAATGCAGTGCTACTCAAGGATGGGTGAAAATTAGGGTTAAGTAGTGATTAGAATCAGTTAAGTGTTAATAGAAGGGGTGCCTAGATGTTCATATCTCCCAAATTTAAGGACCTCTATATTTAAAAAAGAACTAGTAATGACTGATTAAAATCTTTATGTTTTAATCTTTTAATACAGTATTAAAATATTCTAAAATAAAAAATGACCAAAAATGTATAGTGTCATCTTTGACCCAGTTAACCTTGCCTATAGAAATGTAGCCTCTTAGAACGCATGCAGGGCCCTGAGCTGGAAGGATCCCACAGCTGGTTTAATGCTCTGCGATTGTCATCTTGCAATTCTTAATAACTTTAGAATGAGGCCCTCCCTACATGTTCATTGTGCACTGAGCCCTACCAATTACGTACTCAGCCCTGCCCTAAGGGGATGGAATATGCCTAAAAAATGAGTACAGTACATGGAAGAAAAGAGCTGGCCAGGTGCAGTGGCTCATGCCTGTAATCCCAGCACTTTGGGAGCCTGAGGCGGGTGGATCACCTGAGGTCAGGAGTTTGAGACTAGCCTGGCCAACATGGTGAAACCCCGTCTCTACAAAAAATATAAAAAATTAGCCAGGCATCATGGCCCATGCCTGTAATCCCAGCTACTCGGGAGGCTGAGGAAGCAGAATTGCTTGAACCTGGGAGGCGGAGGGTGCAGTGAGCCGAGATCATGCCACTGCACTCCAGCCTGGGTGACAGAGTGAAACTCCGTCTCAAAAAAAAAAAAAAGAAAGAAAGAAAAAGAAAAGAGCCTCCGAAATACCAGCCCAAATTTGATACGTGGTGGCACAAAATCACAACAGGAAGGCATTTTCATCTGGGGAGAAAAGTCAAGTCAACTCCGGCAGGTATCTTGTCACCCAGGAAGCTGCTCATGGTGACACCAAATGCCGACAACAATGGCTAGGTGTGTGTGGCATCCAGGCCTAGGAAACTCAGCATGTCCACAGAGATGTTCTTTCCCACAGACACAGGCGTTAACAGCACAAAGTCAAAGGGGCATGCTGTGGAGGGAGAGGCTTCCAGCCTCAGCCACAAGCTGGGCCATCCACTTTTAACTGCACAGAGAGCAGCCTCTAGATCCTCAGACAGAATCTCCCTGCAACCCCAGTCCCATCAGTCTGTCAGGGTCTGTCCTCACCCAAAGACAGACTTGCTCAGTGGGCCCTGGGTGGGCCTGAACTTCCAGCAAGATGCAGGGAGACCACTAACAGGAATGGGTCCTTGAGCTTGTTGTCCACTCTGCTCACTCAACATTCTTTCCTTCTTTTGTCTTCTGCTTAGTACTCCCCTCACCCCACATGCTGGCCCCTGCTCCTTCCCGCCCCAAAAACCCTGATGCATCTAGATTCCCACAGGATCAGTCGCTCAGCGGAGCAGAGGTCAGGGAAGAGGCGGCCTTTCCCATCCTTTTTGTTCTAGTCCAGCAGCCCGGCCTAATATCTTTGCTATCTTAGGTGATAGGCATTAGGGACTAGCTGCCAAGCAGAGAAGCCAAGTGGGAAATTCAGTAGGGCGGGCTTTTTGTTTATTTCTAATAGGAAGTTAGGAATTAGCCGAAAGCACTGGCTGTGTTTCCAGCTGACAGCCTTGTGTTCAGCCCTTAGATGCAAGCGCGTCTGCCGACTTCCATATCCTCTGCAACCGGCTTTATTGACAACAGCTGCAGATGGCCAGGGTGAAAGCGTGGCTTTTTGCCTGCTTGTCTCTGAGCTAGAGTCCTTGCTCGGCTGACATCAAGTGACCAGTGCCTAAATCTGTTAGGTGGCTTCAGGAAATATGCTCAATGGAGCCAGAAATGTAATTTAGAATGTGGCACTTGAAGGAAGTTGTAACTAACATCAGTTAATGGTAGGGGTTAGTGGTTAGGCCCCAACATCCCAATGACAGCAACGGCAGCAGGGCCCAGACTTTTATACTGGCTTGCAACTTGGGGAAAACATGCTGAATAATAACAGCCTATATTATTATTAATGCCTGATACCTCCACAAAGCCATTACAGTTCAATATCAAGATCATGGACTCAGGTCAGACTGTTTGTGATGCCTCACTGTGACACTTGTTAACTCTGACCATGGGGAAATTACTCTCTGTGCCCGGGTTGTCTTTTCAGTAAAACAAAGATGATGAAAGTGACTACTTCATAAGGTTGTTGTAAGGATTAAATGAGCTAATATTCATAAAGCACTTACAATAATGCTTAGCACATAGCAAGTGCTCAATAACTGGAAGCTATTATTTTATTTTATTATTATTATTATTACTGGAGACAGAGTTTCACTCTTGTCGCCCAGGCTGGAGTGCAATGGCGCTATCGGCTCACTGCAACCTCCACCTCCCGGCTTCAAGTGATTCTCCTGCCTCAGCCTCTCGAGTAGCTGGGATTACAGGCGTGCACCACCACACCCAGCTAATTTTTTTGTATTATTAGTAGAGACAGGGTTTCATCATGTTGGCCAGGCTGGTCTCATACTCCTGACCTCAGGTGTTCCACCCGCCTTGGCCTCCCAAAGTGCTGGAATTATAGGCATGAGCCATCACTCCCGGCCTTATTTTTTAAATTTAATCTTCACAATGATGTGGTAAGGAACGCATATTGACAGATTAAAAACTAGCTCCAAAGAGGTTAAATCATTTGTCCATCTAACCCAGATGGTAAGTGATGGAGTCTTAATTTAAATCAGAGCCCGTGTACCTGCCTCCACCACATGGTGTTTCAGTGTAGACAGGAGAATGGAGAGTTGTCTGGGTCTGGCATCTCCAAACAGTGTTCCTCACTCCTAAAATATCCCTTTGAATTTATCCAGGGCACTGGAGAAGGGAAGGTGAGTGGTGCAGGGTATCAGAGTGAAGACGTCTCTTTTGAAGAGCTATTTGCTAACCAGAAGACTTAGGAATAGGAGAATTAAGGTGAGGGACATTATGCTTGCTGGATTATGCCTCCTGCTATAATCCAAAGAGCTCTCTGGAGTGAGAATTCAGCAAGCAGAGTTGCTCCATGTAACCACCAAAACTGTGTCTTTATAGTCTTAGGAAGAAAGTGGAAAACTACAGTTCAAAGTTTAAAGCAAGAGGCTTATTGACTCCTGAGTTGACTAGGTGCTAATAGTTTCTGATAATCTCCCAAATCTCAGTTAAGTGTTCCTCACACAGGCTGTGATTAAAACCTGCTACTCCCAGGGGACCCTGGAAACGTTCTCTCCGTTTGCCAGGTTCCATTTTCTCTAATTGGCTTGCACACCTGGGTCTGCTTAAAATGGGATTTTCACCCATTAGAAGCAGTTTTCTATCTACACAGATTTCATCCTTGTCATCTGTTTTTGGTGAACTCTTTCCCATGCTGAATTAGTCTGGGAATAAAATTGCTGGTACTAAAAGTCTCTTGTATTTAAAACCACTGACAAGACCTTCCTAGGTTTCTGCTGAAGTAGATTATTTTACAAATTGAAACAGGGGTCTTTTTTTGTAAACCTACTATTTCAAAAACAACAAACAACAAACCCACATATAATTATTTCAGAAATGCTACCACACAGAAAAGAAATCCTCTTGCCAAAATGTCATCATATAAAGAAGGGAACTGAAGAAAGGGCATGTGTTGAAATGCCGCCTCTTTCATACTGAGTAGAACTGGAAAGAAAATGAATATTCTGCTTAACTCCATAAGCCTTTTTTCAAATCATTCTTTATTTTAAAAAATGCAATCTATTTTATTAAATCATATGTATTGAATCATAAGCAGTCAAATTCTTTATATAGGTTAATAAAAAATATTTGATCAGTTTTTGTTATCAGAAAAAAATGTTGATACAGTGCCAAAGTGAATACAGTTGAGAGATTACTGGTTTGGGTAACAGAAGACCTGTGTTTTTAATACAGGTGCTAGGTGTATTTAAAACAATTATGCTGTGTATTTTTTCTTAAAACATTTCATCTAATAGGGAATGAGAAATAGACCATAAATTAATTAATCGCACTTTCTCAAAGTTTTATCATCATGCAAGAGAGAAAAATTGAGTCCAGAAAAAAGACAGATCTGGAGGTGACCCTTCCAGATCAGTGGGCTAGTAATACAGGCAGAGCTTAAGAGTCCTGTAAACAGCCCCAATTGCTCCATAAATCTCACATATTCCAGCTTAGTTTCCACTGCTCTGGAGCATACAGCCTCTGCATTGGGAGGTTCATAAAAAATAAATTCATTTAAACTTACCAAATATTCCCTGTACACTGTTAAAACATGGACCTCAAGGGAGAAAGCGCTGATATGGTTTTTCCTTGAGACACCTGTCTAATTTGGATCTAAGCACATGGTGTTTTCCCAGGTTAACTCTGTTTGAAAAATGTTGTAGGGACTTTGCTAAGAGCACTCAATCAGCCAGGAAGTACAGACAAGCTCATTCTTACCCAGCTACAACTAAGTACACTGACTACATTATTTGTCTATAATGTAAATAGGTATTTATTTAATGTGTCTCTTTGTATAAAGATCATAGATTGGTCTGTGTGCCTGTCATTTCTCAGTCCACATTACTGTTGTCTGTTTCTTAAAAAGAAAGGTTAAGGCTAAATGGTGCCAACAGTATGATATCACGATGTCACATAAAAGGATGCTAGGGAAGGGCATGGGGATGTGTAGTGGGAGGGGACAGAAAGTGCAGGGAAGACCCATGGATCTAACCTAGCCAGGCCTGATTAGCCTGAGGCCTGGGAGGCAGCAGGCTGTATGCAAGAATAGCCCCCACCACCCACACTGTACATTACAGTTACCCAGGGCATTCATATCTGCAATCTCCCCTCACCCTAGCAATGGCCCTGTTAGGTAAGCATTATTATCCTCACTTTAC
Source organism: Homo sapiens (assembly GCF_000001405.40). Lineage (NCBI taxonomy): Eukaryota > Metazoa > Chordata > Mammalia > Primates > Hominidae > Homo > Homo sapiens. The sequence continues at coordinate 93,744,166 of NC_000001.11, forward strand.
AGATTGGAAAGCCAAAGCTCAGAGCATGATGAGAGTCTTAGTCACATTAGAATTTAATGGCAAAATCATTTATTCCCAATGGTGCTTGATTGCAGGGTTAGGCCCAGGTAAAGTATGAAGTTGGCAAGCTGTCCTGATCAGTCCCTTTCTTCCTCCTGAGGATACGTTTCAACAGGGGTAAATACCCATAAAATGAGCCTACTTTAGAGGTAGTCATATTGAGAAGACCATGTTGCTAATGTAAAGTGCTTCTCCGATAGTAGCACTTTACATTAGCAACAAATGAGTACAAGAGAGAATCTGGGACCTTCCTTGGATCTCTCTCAGTCCACCAATCTGTATTGTATGATGAAGAGGCTGGCCCTTCTGCATACACAGGAGCTAGAGCCCTGCTCAAGGCAGAGGTAAGCTGGGTTTGAAAGCTAGAAGCATCCTGAGCTTCCCTCTGGGCTCTCTCAGGCACATCCCATGAAACGTTTGTCTTTCCCACTGTACTGTCGATCATAAAGGGGACCAAGCCTGAGGCCAGCAGAAACCCCTGTCCCGCCTTCCTTGGCTCAGTTCTCTAGACCTCCCTCACTGACATGATTTATTGCTTTCATTAAACAGGATTCTCAGTCAAACGCAATGGGTTTCATGTCTTCCCCACGAGGAAATCCCCTTAGGAAGAAAGCTGCCATGGTGTCTGAGAGAAGAAAGAAACTACAAATGAAAGAGATTTGCCCAAACTGCAGTTTCTCTTTCCCCTTCCAGGCCTTCTCTAATTTTACTTTGAGCTGGGCCAAAACCCAAAGGCATTTCTTTTTTACTTAATTACCTCCAGGGAACCATAGCTAGAAATCAGGCAAGCACATGTCTACCCTACCCAGCAGGTACACTCTTGTTGGATGGCTGGGGTCAGAAGTTTTATGGGTGACAGCAACTCTCTTTCCCACAGACAAACAGACTCTTTCAAAGAGTCAGTGATGGAAAGTCTCCCAGGTGGAGCCCACCATGTGGGGCAGAAGCAGATGCTCCAAGAACCTGCTGGTTTGGCCATGTGACTGGGAGTGGAGGGAAAGAAGTGATGCTGCCAGCTTGGCTGTGCAGATGGGAGTTGGCAGTTGGATTCAGCCTCTGCCCACCTCCAAGGAGTTAGGTGCTTTGAAGACCGATGAGTTCACCCTTCAGCAAATGAACAACAGCGTTTGTGAGAAGAGCAGAGGGGCCCATGGCTCAGTTGTTTCCAGAATTGCTTTGTCACAGGCCCTTGTGATTATTCAGAAATTACCAAATGTTAGCTTCTTGAGCTGAAATGTTTTATGCAAATTAAAGGTGGGAGATCAAGATGCTTTTATCTTTCTCCTACCCCCCACCATTTTTCTTCTCCTCAATGAATCCCCTCTATCACCAGCACAATCAAATAAACATTCCATAGCCTCTTGTCTCTTGCTACTTGATGTGCAGAAGAAAGTGTCCTGGATTCTCATCTTGTCTCTTCCAGGTGTTCATAACCAGGTGTGGGGTGGGGAGGCAGGGGTAGCAGGCAGGCAACCCTATCTACTTGTTCATTAGTTCCCCATCTGAAAAGTAAGGCTTTTAAGAAATTTTATAGCTGGGCGTGATTGCTCACACCTGTAATCCCAGCACTTTGAGAGGCCAAGGTGGGAGGATCACTTGAGACCAGGAGTTCAACACCAGCCTGGTCAACATAGTAAGACCCCATCTCTATTTTAAAAAATTAAAAACAAAACCAAAAATATTTTACTCTGGGCATGTTTCTGGGGGAGTGTGATAAGTGAAAGTGCTTAGAACTCTTCAGAAGATAGAAGCTTTTATTCACTTAAACATAGTATTTGTGTGAAACTAAAGGTGAGACAGAGGTCTTGGGATGATAGAAGGCTGCAACTTGCACGAAAAATTCAACAGAAGCCTAATGCTTTCCTTGTGCTCTACTGGGTAAAAGGCAGCTGGCTGTGGATCAGCTCAGGGATTTGCAAGCATGTGGGTAAGAAGATGTCAAGAGCATCTAACTTGCCAAGTCTTCTGGGACAGGCACAGAAGGGAGTGGCAGCAGCAGCCACCAGCCCAGGTCCAAAGGAATATGGCTGGGTGCCAGTCCTGTCTAGGAGATGGAAAGAGATGCACTGGGCTAAGATGCTACAAGGCTGTGCTCAATTCAAGCCTCCCACCCCAACCCTCACACCTCCCTCCAGCCTTTCAGGATGCCTCTTGAAGTAAACACTTGCAAACACTAGATGTAAAGTTGAGACCTTCTATGTTCTTAATCCTTAAAGAAACAGAGCTTCATGGGTAGTTTAGAGTCTTAAAAAGAACACTAATATCTTTTGTAGAACAGAGCAACTTTCTCAGAGCAGCAGAAAGGGAGAGGCCATTATTAAATTTGTTCTCCCCACAGCCTGCGGGCATCCTCGGTGAACACAAGGTTTGCCCAGCACGTACACCTGTAAATGTAGTCAAGGCGCCCCAGGCTCAAAAACCCAACTCCACACCCTACCATTCTGAGCCACTCCTTAGTTTCGACTTTCTCTTTGTTTTTCCCTTTGCAGTCAAATTGTCTTTAAAGGTGATCCACACTCTGTCTTCACTAACACAACTCCCACACTCCTGAGACCCCTGGAGTCTGGCTTTTACCCCCACTTGCCCCTGAAAATGCTCTCCCACAGGTGACTGGCTACCTCCTAACTGTCAAATCCAATGGCTGCTCAGTCCTGCTCAAAGCCCTCTCTTCCCAAGGCTTCTGCAACACTCCTACTCTTCTCAATCTCTTTTTATCTTGTTTCTTCCTTCTCCGTTTCCTTCACCAACTCTTTCTCCTCTGTCCCTTAAATATTGGCTTTCCTCAGGGCTGTGGTCTTGGTCTTCTTTGTTTTCTTCATTCTTCATATTTTTAATGGACATTTATCACTCTTTATGGCTGAGCAGCCCCTCTAAACAGGTTTCTTCTTTGAAGTCTCCACCTTAAGAGTTTAGGTGGGAAGGAGAGGTAGTCTGGATACTGGTTCCTGCTTCCCTTGCAGCTAGGGTGCACACATGCAACCTTGGCTCTGGCAACCAGATGCACCTGAAAGCCACCTTTGAATGGGAAACCAGGCTCAAAAGGCATGCACTGGTAGGCTCTGTTCAGGTGAGGACTGATGCTGCTATGTCCAGGTTCTAGAAGTAGTGTCCAGTGTCCAATAGCACAAGCTGTAGTGTCTGTGCCCAGCATTGTTGCAGACAGTATAGGGGCTACCCTCTACTTTCCACAGGGATCCTTCTCTTATACTTCCAATCTTGAGTAACAGCATCACATCATCCTATTTGCAGTTGCTGGTGTCTGTCTTCACCCAATGAGATTAAACGAACCTTGAACATATCTCTTGATTTTGTCTCCTCCCCTGTGTCCCACCACCACTATGTTAGTTTAGGGTCTCATTAGTGCTCACCTGCCCTATCAAAACAGCCTCCTAGTGAGTTTCCCTGCCTCTCGTCTCTCCCATTCCATATAATTTGAGCTGCTACCAGAACTGTCTTTCCTGAATGTAAATTGGACCTTGTTACTTTGCTCTTTAGAATCTTTCAGCACCTCTCTATTGCTTTGAGGATAAAATCTAAACCCTTTAGCATGACACTCAGGTTCCATCTCCTGCCACTTCCCCCAGTGTGCTATGCTCCAGCCATACCCAACTGCTTGTGTTTCCTGTACATGCCACACTGATGAAAACCTCTAGGCTTTTGTTTACTATGATCCTGGAGAGTCCTGCCTGCTCCAACATTACCTGCCAGCAGTAATGACCCATCAAGTGCCTCTGGTCCCAACTGAGAACCAACCCTGGTGGTTCATTGGAAGGCCCTCACCTTTAGTGAGTAGAAATGTCTGCTTCCCTGAGCCCTGGATCTAATGTCCCTAGAGTAAACAGAGTCCTAGGTGCCTCCTTTCTTCCTCATTTCCTAATTCATTCATTTATTTATTCAACACTTCTTTAGTGAATGCCCACTCAATATTAGGTACTGAGCTAGGTGCTGGGATTGAGCATAGAGAGATAGCCATTGCCCATCTTGGAGGGCAGAGTCAGCTGAATGTCCACTGTTTGGGGCTAGCTTGCTTGCCTGGGCTTTTGCACTGTCTTCTGAATTCCATTTCAGTGGCCAGCTCCCCCATACCCCACTGACCAGCACCCATCTCCCTTTTTACTCTCCATTCACGAAGGGTTGCATCCTAATTGCGATATCCTTTCCTTCACCTAACTTGATCTCCAAGTCTGTCATTTACCCATCCCCAAGAACTGTTTCCACCTAGAAGCCCTTAGCACTGCACCTGACTCCATCCCTTGGATCAGATACTTTGATTATTAATGCCATTCCAGACTGGACTTCGATCGGCCATATTCAATGATCTTGTGATTTTTAATTTCTGGCTCTTCATTAAAGGGAAGTAGCCCCTTTGGTCACCATCCCTCTCAATATTATTTCTCACTGCACCAATCTTCTTTTGTCCTTACTGTCTGCACAATTAAAAGCACCTCAAATACTGACCTATATATTCTTATTGTCTGCACAATTAATAGCACTTCAAATACTGACCTACATATTTTTCCATAGTGTCGCATGGCCTGGAACTCTATTCTTGCTTGACATAATGTTGTATACAAACCTGGCTTGTTCATTGTGGACTGTGTGTATGTCTCAGCCCTCCAGCTAGATTGGGGTACATGGGAATAGGAACTGTGTCCTATGCTTCTTTTAGCTCCCAGAATGCCCAACACAATGCTGAAGACAACGAAGGTGCTGAATCAACATTTGACTGGGTCCTCAAGTAGCCTCACCACCATAATGTGCCAGTTTAGTTTTAAAAACTAAATTATCATTAAGTTTAGAATTACAAGATGATCTGCATTAACTACAGGGCATTATATAGGTCTCAAAGCAATGTTACTATATCCTTCAACAAAACAAATAATGGTATGTGTGTGGGCCCCCACACACACAAACAAATAATGGTGTGTGTGTGTGTGTGGTAATTGCATATTAATCTCTCACTATGGCTTCCAGAGCCACTAATGAAGAACATACTTGGGTTTAAGTTTTGGTTAATGTTTCTTCATGGTTTTCCCTCTTATTACCCTTTCCTCACAGTATTTTTAAAAATATAAATCATGGGCTGGCCGAGGTGGATCACGCCTGTAATCCCAGCACTTTGGGAGGCCGAGGTGGGCGGATCATGAGGTCACGAGATCGAGACCATCCTGGCTAACATGGTGAAACCCCGTCTCTACTAAAAGTACAAAAAAATTAGCCAGGCATGGTGACAGGAGCCTGTAGTCCCAGCTACTCGGGAGGCTGAGGCAGGAGAATGGCATGAACCCAGGAGGTGGGGCTTGCAGTGAGCTGAGATCGCACCACTGCACACCAGCCTGGGTGACAGAGCGAGACTCCGTCAAAAAAAAAAAAAAAAAAGAAAAGAAAATCCAATCTCTAGAAACCCAAATTAACAAAACTGAAACTAGGAAGTAAATTTGCACAGGCGCCTTTACTAGGAAATTCCCCATTCTCACATTACTTTCAAGTCAATTTAAAATAGACTTAAAGTATAAATGTTTAATTTCCACTCACCAAATCAGGAACACAAGTATTACGTAAAGCAAATTGCACCTGCACAAATTTAGTAATTTTATACTCTTAAAAATCTTCGTTCTTGATATTTGCTCAGTGAGTAATTTGCTTAAAGATGATCTTGACTTATTTTTTTTTTTTTTTTGCTTCTCCTGCTTTGGTTGAAATGTTTCAGCTTAAAGATATATGATAAATGGGGGTTTCCTTATCTTAATATGAGGCACCAGAATTGGTCTCAGTTGAAGGAATTTGTACTACAATTGAGCAAAGATTATTCTTTCAACTCCTTTGATATTTGGCACCAGACCAAAGAATCTAAAATTAGCTGCCTTCAAGAATCCAGGTGTGAGCTAAGTGGAAGCAATTCAGTTTGGCCCAGGAAATCACAGAAGTTGTTCAAAGAGCAAACAGAGTTCTGATCAGACTGCTTCCTTCACTAAAGCCAACTGCTCAGGACTGCCTCCTTCAGCAAGGAACGGAAAACCACTGCATTTCAGGCACCAGCGAGGGCATCTTGTATAAACTCTTCATCTTGTAGCTCAGGGGAATGAAGTGGCAGCCTTTCCGAGGCTGTTTCCACATCTGCAAAATGGGATTTTGCTACCTGTCCTGCTCACCACTCAAAGGCACTGTGAGGATCAAGTGAATGTGCTTTTGAAACTGTAAACATTCTGTGAGCATAAGGCATTATTATTTTCTATAGTCACTATGACGGTTTTAAAATTCTTTAACAGTCTTCCCATCCAGAGCTGCCTTCTCTTTGAATACAGACAGCTGACCTTAGAGACTCACTTACAACCAACAGAATGCCACAACTTTCTGAGGCTAGGTCAGAAAAGGTGATTCTGCTTCTGCCTGCCTGGTTCTCTTGGGACACTTGCTCTGGGAGAAACCAGGCACTGTGTTAGAAGTCTAACTACCCTGAGACCACCACGCTGTGGGGAAGCCACACAGGGAGGCCACGTGTAGGCCCTCTGGCTAGCAGTCCTAACCAACAAGGCCCTCCCAGGTCAGGCTCAAGACATGTGAGTGAATGAGCTTTGAGGTGATTCCAGGTTCCAACAGTCAAGATACCCTGGATCTTTACCCTTCCCAGATGATGCCCCAGATATCGTGGAGCAGTGATGAGTCCTCTTTGCTGTGCCATTTCTGAATTTCTGACCCGCAGAATCCATAAGCTTGATAAAAAATAGTTGGGGTTTTTCTGCCACTAAATTTGTGCTGTGTGTGATGCAGCCATCGTAATCAGAACAGTCACACTGGGTAACAATGACCATGGTAACCAAGAAACACCACCAAACGCCCGGCACACCGGCAAGCCCTGCACACTCACCTCCCTTCATCCTGACCAGAACTCAGGGAGGAAGTCATCATTTTCCCTTCACACAGTGAGGAAACTGAAGACCAAGGGGCTAACAACTTCAGTTCCATGGGGAGGAAGTGGCAGAGCTGGGGCTGATACCTCGGCTTGGCTTAACTGCAAAGCCCACCCCTAAGCTGCAGCTGACTCCTCCCATGCAGTGGGTGACAGGAAGACTGTCAACATAAACCTCTGGACTTCCACTCTGACGGCCTTTCCCTTATGCCCTCATCTATTTGGTTCCCCTGGTTCCTCTCTTTTCCCACTTGCTACCTACAATACCCTTTTTTCAAGAAAGGAATGAAGCCTCTGCATTTTCTGACCTGGGTAACTTTATACCTGGTACCAAGCTGGCCTGGTATCACCAGAGAGGTTTCCAGACTATGGCAGCAATCCTGCCATGCCTCGGGCTCAAACAGCCATGTAACTTCACCTCAGAAGCCCTGCTTTGCCTCATAAACCTTGGCCAAGCCCATCGGACCTAGTTTTCTTCTAAACTGCAGGGAGAAAATATCAAATAATTCACAGAGCAACTCATTTACACATTCCAGTCTCCAAACATGCTGTATCACCCCTTTCCTCTTGGCCCCCAGAGCCATTAGCACACTTGTGACAAATTATCTAGAAGATTCCCCACATGCTGGTGCTCTCAGCCAGCCCCACAGGCTGGCAGCCTCCAGACTGCTCCAACACAAGGGCGTGTGGCTGGGGCTGCTGCCCTGGCAAGGCCTCCCCAGCCTGGCGGGGAACAGCCATGCCAGCTTTGGCTCTGGTATCTGTGGATGCCCTGGGTTACAGATCCGCCCACATGACCCAGATAGACGCATGTGATTTTGAATGTCTTTAGGAACACAGCTGAGAATGCATCTCTTTGCTGTGCACTTGAAGGTTTGCTTTGGCTTTTCACATTTATTCCCTGGGCAGTACCACCTACACACTCATTTCATCCAGCTCTCACCCACCCAAACCTCAGACACTTCTTGCTGGCAAGAGGCCACCCTCTTCAAAGGCAGGCATGAAAGAAGCTGGGCACTTACTCCTCCACTTAAAACTGTCACTACCACAGAGTGTGAAGGGAGCTGGTTTGTCCTACATTGAAATCTCCTGTAGAGGCCATTTCTGGTCTCTTGTCATGACTGTGATGCTCCTAAAAGGGCTATGACTACCCAACTAGCCCCTCTGCATTAGGAATGGCCCCAGAGCTCATGGGTAGGGAGCTGTGAGGTTTCTCCTTCCCAGGCTAGGGCCAATTCAAGTCAGCAATGAGCATCTACCTGGGCATTGGAAATACTAAGATGCATAAAACAAATTCCTGCCCCCACCCACGGCTGCAGACATTTGTCCTCAATCTTGACTTTCAGTTGTGCCATCACATGTCAATCGGTTGTGAAGTAATTTGTTATCAATAATAGGAAGTACCAAAGGTTTGAAATAGGAGTGCATTCAAAATAAGAATGAGCAAAGAGTGGATTCATGGGTATGCATACGGTATCATTGCTCTCATTTGCATTTGGACGCACTTTCTTTGATGAAGGAAAAAGTGTTGGAGAGGGGTGATCTGAGCTCTGTGACATTTGTGAGTGTTGTCTGTGAGCCCAGTGAAGGCAGGACGTTGGCTTGATCCACACATGGCCACACTCCATAGCTCTAACAAAGAGAGTGCCTCCTTCACCATTTCTCATAGAGAAGGGACTAAGCTTGACTTCTGTCTTTCAAGAAAACAGAAAAAGCAGTCGAAACTGTTGCCTTTTGACTCTGGCAAGATTTGTTTGTTGTTTGTTTAGGAAGAGAAGAGTACACTGGTTATAGCTATGGCAGTATTTTTTATTACTGCAGGCTTCACCTCTCTATTTGATATCTCACAGATGGCCCGTGATGAATCATGTGACGCACAGTGCTAAGTTAATCTCTCTAATGATATTAATGCTATTTACTTGTATTGTGCTTTAAAATTACAGTTTAAATGTGAACACTTTTGCATTCATTGACTCAGGTTCAACTTTAAGAACCTTTGAAGTAAGTCTTGTCTCTACCTACTGTGAAGAAATAACCTCAGAGAGGTCTTGCTCAAAGTCTATAGCAGGTGAATGATACAGCTGCGATTCAAATCCAGATCATGTGTTTCCAAGCGGTGTTTTTGTATTCCACTCAAGCTGTGTTGCACCCAACTTCATAACAGTGAAGAATAAAGATGCAGCTACACTTTCAACGTTGACATCTCAAGGAAATGTGGCCAGTTTCATATTGTTGGATGGGATGTCTCGCTGGCTTAGAGAAGCCTATCTCTTGGTAGTGGAGACACATCAACCTCTCTCTCCTCGGTCTGTCTTCTTGACTTTGTCTAGTGAGGCAGCCATTCTGCAGAATTTCATCTGCTTTAGGTATGCAGACCCTGCACTGCATGCGCGCATATGCACGCGGGTACACACACACACACACACACACACACACACACACACACACACACACACGGGACTAGGACTATTCCAGACTTGGCAGGGGGACTTTAATGGGGAGCTCAACCCACTGACTGCCTGAGAGCCCAGAAGTGTCATTTCTGACTATCTAAAGACCAGAGCATCTACTTGCTGCCATGGTTGGCTGCTGGGCTGGTTTTGGGGTTCTTTTGCATTACGGGCTTATGGGTACTTTAATGTGACTTAAATCACAGGAAATCTTGCAGAGAAGAGCAGATAAGAAATGCTCCCACAACCTTGCTCCCTTCCCCCAACACACATGTACACGTACACATACACACACACACACACACACACACATGCACCCTTCTGCACACCTACAGCAGGCACTGGCTCTGTGACTAAGATGCTCCTCCCAGGGAGTCACCTTTGGCAGGTGCCTGGACTGTGACATGGGCCACTGAACTGCTCATCATTCGTCTTTCAAAGCCAAGGACTTTTCACTCCTCAGCAAAGTATTTCTCAATCAAAATGCTTATTGAACTTAAAACTGAATGGCCATCTAAAGGTTGGGACTAGCACTCCCACAGTCGAAGAAATGAAACTTTTGGCTTTGCTGATGCTGAGTCTTGGCTCAAGGTTCTGAGGCTGGATGAAATTCTGCCCTGTACTTGCAAACATTTGCAGAACTGCTCAGTCAGCCTTCCGGGAAAACCATGCCCACATCCTACTGGATTCCTCTAGCTTTGGTGTTGTCAACACAGAGATCACTGAGAGTTTAACTCCAAATCGCAGGCCTCCATTGTTCCCTGAACACAAAGGGCAAGAGAGAGAGTAATCAGATAACAAATGATGAAATTATGGTTTTTAGTGGAAATACCTTCCATTTCTACAGCACTTCATCTTTTTGGAGAGCTTGCATAATATGGTTTGACCCACAAAACATATCTCAGAGGTGAAATTGAGCCAGACTTACTTTTTTATCTCCATTGTGCAGATGAAGAATCAGAAATATATACAGTCAATGATGACTCACATATATGACAGTGGTCCCATAAGATTATAATGGAGCTGAAAAATTCCTGTTGTCTAGTGATGTCATAGCTGTGGTAACATCGCAGTGCAGTGCATTCCTCACATGTTTGTGGTGATGCTGGTGTAAACAAACATATTGCACTGCCAGTCATAGAGAAGCCTAGCACATACAATTATGTAGAGTACTCCATAATTGATGATAATAAATGACTATGATACTTGTTTATGTGTTTATTATACTATAATTTTATGTTATTTTAGAGTGTACCCCTACTAAAAAAAAGTTAACTGTAAAACAGCCTCAGGCAGTTGCTTCAGGAGGTATTCCAGAAGAAGGTACTGTTATCCTAGGAGAGGACAGCTCCATGTATGTTGCCCCTGAAGACCTTCCAGTGGGACAAGATGTGGAGGTGAAACACAGTGATGCTGATCATCCTGACCCTGCCTAGGCTGAGGCTAATCGTGTGTGCTTGTGTCTTAGTTTTTAACAAAACAAAAAACTTAAAAACTAAAAATATTAAGTAAAAAATTTTAAAAATAGAAAAAAGCTTAACAAATATGAATATAAAGAAAATATTTTTGCATAGCTGTATAACATGTTTGTGTGTTGTGTTATGAAAGAATCAAAAAAGTTAAAAAAATAAAACATTTATAAAGTTAAAAAGTTAATGTATTATTGAAGAAAGAAAAATAAAGTTTTAAAATAAATTTAGTGTAGCCTGAGTGTACAGTGTTTATAAAGTCCTCAGTAGTGCACAGTAATGTCCTAGGCCTTCACATTCACTCACCACTCACTCACTGACTCACCCAGAACAACTTCCAGTCCTGCAAGCTCCATTCATGGTAAGTGCCCTATACAGGTGTACCATTTTAAATCTTTATATTGTAGCTCTACTGTATCTTTTCTATGTTCAGACATGTTTAGATACACAAATACTTAGCATTCTGATGCAGTTGCCTACAGTATTCAGTACAGTAACATGCTGTAAAGGTTTGTAGCCTAGGAACAATAGGCTATAGTCTATAGCAGAGGTATGCAGCAGGTTATACCATCTAGGTTTGTGTAAGTGCACTTTATGATGTTTGCACAATGATAAAATCACCTAATAATGCATTTTTCCAAATGTATCCCCATCATTAAGCTACACACGACTATATATAAAAAGATATAGAGTGAAGAGGTATGTGTGTGTTGTACGTGTGCGTGTGCATGTGTGTGCGTGCATGCAAAAGGGAGGAAACATTTAATCACTTAAAATTATCTAAGATAATATCTAATGACAGGGACTTTTGTATCATTTAAATTTTTTGTTGTGTCCCATCTCGAGGTTATCTGGAGTCACACTGACTCCAGGGCTCAAGCCAAACAGAGTGGAAATTCCCACAGCAGGAGCCAGCTTGCTACTGAAGTTCACCTGCTCTTGACAAGTAAGAGTGGGGAGAATACGTCCCCAGTTTCATGGGCTTTGTGGCTCTCCTGTCTAGAGCCTCTGACAATTTCAGTGAATTGTGGAGAACTGCCAATAGCACAGACAAAATGCACAGAACTGATAAGCAGGATTTGAGAGTGATCTATAACCTAAAAGAACCAAATTAAGCTGCTCTTTAATTGCATGCAGTGGTCTAGAATTGTTTTCTTTCCCCCTTGTGTGTTAGTGCCCTTGGTGGCTTGGGTTCCCCTTCTCTTAGAAAACAATGGTTGGCCCAGGGTCACCCAAAGGCTGTTATTGGAGTGTTCACTCTTAACCCCTTCCCAAGCCATTCTATCTCTGTAATACCACTCCCTGGTCTAATAATCAACACCCCACCACCCTGAAGTCGTCCAGAACCCTCCTTTGCATGGGACACGAATGGCTGGTGCTTCATGCCAGGAACCACCCTGGTGACTAACCGAAGAGCCCAGCACCACTTTATGTTATACAAGTTCTTGTAAATTTTGCATTTCATTTCTCCTATTCTCTGGGATCTCTTAAAAGGTGGGGGAAAAGCTGATAAAGCAAGTCAGTATATGTGCTAATTTTCCAATTCCAATTAAAATGGTTATAAAACATTTTTAAAAATTACTTTTGAACAAAAACCTTAACAGAAACTGAAAGGGCCTTGGTTAGTTCCTAAGAGGCAATATTCCATTTGGAAAGAAGTGTGTCTGTGCCCACTGTCCATGCTCCATAAGGAACACTCCAGGGAATGCCCAGGTGCAGCCTCTGGGAAGGGTTAGAGTGATTTTTGGCATCAACAGCACTCAGAGAGTCTCATGGCTTTGATGACTAGTCCCTGGCATTCCTATGGCTGCTGTGCCAAGTGCTATGTAATGGTTATCCCCAAATGTGGGGGTGCCTGGCCTTACAAAATTTACACTCTAGGCTTCTAGAGTTGCCTGGAATGGAAAAGGCAGAGATGCTGAGCTGGACTGGCCTCTTTGGAGTTAGGGAGGGGTGGGGAGGACCTGCAGGCATGTCCCCTGACTAGCTGCAGTTCCAGTTCAGCTCCCACAGTAGGAAAGTCTCTGCCGGTTGGGGTCTGTTCTGGGTCTGATGGGCAGGTTAGTGTGTTTTAGCCTCTGGAATCCATGTTGAGGTGCAAAGAGGAAGACCTTTACTCCTGTCTTCTGTTATAGTGAGGAGTGGTCTTCCAAAAGGGGCACACAATCATGGGGCCTGGGGGCTGAAGCCCGGCCAAAGAAGTTGGGCCAGGCCTACCTGATGACCTCTCTCCTCCACACCACTCTTCTCCCACAGAGGAGTGGAGCAGACAGCAGCTCCCCCCATTTTCTCTTTTCTCTGATGTCCACTTTGCGTTCACATCTCACTCCACTGAGACAGCTGCTGGGAAGTCTCGCTGCACCAATTCCGAGGCCAACTTTCAAGGGAGAGAAGCAATGACTGGGAGGGAAGTTTGCCTAGGCAACAAGGAGTAAGATCATTTTGCAATATGTGTTGGGTTAACTGTTGTATAAATAGTTGACCCTTCAGCGAGCATCACGACTCCTCTGCACTTCATTTTTTCTCCTCTTCCTTCAATTGGGAAAAGGCAATCCTGCATGGGTTGCAGAGGGCTAGGCAGGCATCCTCCAGAGTCAACTCTTCCTCCTCTGGGTCATTCATTCATCACCCTCCCAATCTCTTGGGTGTACAGTCTCCAGGCATTGCTTCTCCCACCACACAGCTTCCTTGCTGGTGTGAGAGTAGCCTGCAGAATGCACATGCTGGCCTCTGTGCTGGCAGCCTCTTGCCCATTATTTCTAAGTGCCATGGGTCAGGTTGTCTGGGAAACAGACTTTGAGAAGGAAATTTACATGCAAATGTGCTCTTGGGAACAATACCCATGAGGGAGAGAAAGGAGGCTCGGACACAAGGTTGAGTAGTGCAAAATCGTACTAGAGGCCTCAACTGATCTCACGGGGAGCTCTGAAGCCAAGTTGGCCCTTCAGAGATATCTTGAATGGAGGGAAAGGAGGAGCCCTTGGTACTGCTGCATCGTCCACTTGTGCCTGGGGCATGTAACTTTTGGGAGGCAGCTCCCACTGGCTGAAGGCAACTCCCAGGGAAGGACCGACCCATCAGCAGGCAGCACTCCCGAAGTCAGGAGGACTAGTGTCTTGGTTCATAAGGGAGATGAGGGCAGCCTGCCTAGCATTTGTACCTGTCAGAGACCAGAGAAAGAGGAGTATAAAGCTGCGGCCTCTGGTCTGCACTGCTCTAGGTCAACGCCTTGGCCTGATCCATCAGGATACAGGGCCAGGGGAGGACAAAGAAGAGTTTCCAGGGAGCCCTGCCAGTGGCTGGAAAAGAACAAGTGTCAGCTGGAAGCTGCAGGGCAGACCCAGTGTGAAGAAGAACTGGCTGCCATCTTGTAGATGGAGCCCAGACGACCAGCTTAAGCCTAACAGGAGAGTTCCAGTGCAGACAAAGAGTTGGTCTGGAAAACACCCCTAATCGGGAGCCAGTTCTATGATGGTCTAAATCTATGACACTTTCACTAGATTCTCAAAGGTGATTACAACCTTACTCTGCTTTGCACTTCCTAGTGTATGTCATTTTTAAAGCATAGCAGACTCATAGGCACTGGGTGAGGAGAATAGCTGAGAAATGTTCTTGGGAACTGAGAAATACTGACCAAAGCTAGGAGTGATGTCTGCCTATCAGCGTTCACCAAGTCACTTTATCAGGTCCAGTGTGGTTCTCTGCTCTGTGTTCACCCCCTGGGTATCACTGCCACCTATCTTTATTTTTCTATTGCATTTGGGAGGAGGGACAGTGGGTGGCAACTGAGGAGAGGCTGTTAGAGAACCGAATAGGAGAAAAGTCCAGCTGTCTGCACTGTGAACCTTTCTCAGGCCATCAGGGGGCTGGTTGGCCAGATGCCAGGGAATGGTGGAAGGTTCTGGGCCTGCATTTCCTAGCCAAGAGCATTCAGTGTATAACTCTTAGCACCCTGTTATCCCTCTCCCAACACTATTGTGCAAAATTAGGTATAACCCCAGCCAGTCATTATCCCCAAACTAACCTCACAAGCATACATCACAGGCTGATGCAACCCACATCCTGCGGCACAGTTAGCCGGCCCCTGACAACAATGTTTAAAGTGTGGCCAAGGGTGAAATATTGCCTCACTGGTCTGAAAAGGCTTTTGCCACCAACAAAAAACCATTATGATAACAGGAAGGCGCCGAAAGCTAAGCATAGTATAGACAGGAAAGATCTCTCTTTCTCTACCCTTCACAAAAAAGAGAGAGGTTTTTAACCCTCCAGTGTCCGGCTAATTTCCTAAGTAACACTGGCCAAGGGTAACTGCAGCACCACACTGAGCTGGGCATTCAGGAGGGGCAGGAGTAGTTCTTGGCTGGAAGGCTGTCTGCCAGACAGCACCAGAGGTGGCACCTGGCTGTGTTACCAAGCGGCCTCTATGGGTGCTAGGGGAAGGAGTGTGTGGAGCAGAGAGTACCATTGGGGCCTCACAAGCAATTTTTGCTTTTTAAGTTTCCTGTTTTTTCTTCATTTTCATGCCAACTGCATCAATCAAACATTTAAATAACCAAATGACAAATGTTGCTGGAAAGCCCACTAGGTACCTGTCAAGCACCACACTAAATGATTCAGGGGAGAGAAGGAACACACCTGCCCTTGCGTTATTTGGAAGAAGATAATACACATAAGAAAGAGAAAATGATAGCCTGATGAGCTGCCATGAGCACACCAGAAAGCCACACAGGAGGTGCTGCTGAGGTCCAGGGCTGGAACAGACCAGTGGCTCATTTTTCCTTTTAGGTCCCACTGTCTACCATGGTCCACGTGGACCATCAGCCACATGCCTTGCCCCTCGCTGGTCTCAAAGGTGGCATGAAATGGAAATATGGTCAATCAGAGATCTCCATTCCTTGGGCCACAGTGAAAGGTCCAGGGATAAACTGGACCTATCCAGTGAGTGGGTCAGTAGGTCAGGGAAAGCTTGCTGGAGGAAGGGTAACTTACGTAAACTAGGTGTGAAAGCAGGAACAGGATTCAGATAAAAAAGCAGGTGTTCCAGGCAGAGACCCAGCAAGTGCCTGGCATACAAAAGGCCATGGTGAATGAATGAATAAATGTGGCCCACAGGAAAAAAAAAAGGCATTTCTGGAGTTTTCGGGCTAACCATTCAGAGAGGTCATCTAAGAGACAAATAGGGGAAGGGAGGGTTGAAAAGAAAGATTAGAATCAAAGGAAGTCTTGCACTAGGAATTAAGGTATTTGACTTTGATCTTTCATGATTTTCAGTGGGGACTCAGCAATAATCCAGCTTATAAGGCGATAAAGGTCTGACTTCGGGTGAGACTCAATGAGAAGTGGGGAGCAGGAGGGTGTCTTCCAGGTATAAAGCATGATGAAGCATGGTAGCAGGTGCTTTACTCACTCCAGTTAGGATGGAAAGGAAGGGACAGATATGAGAGACATTATGGAGACTAATAAAATAAAGATAAATTTGAGAAATCAAATTTGGATGCTGTTGTGGTTGCATTAGATTTAGTTGCAAATGGTAAAAACCTATATAAATTAGCTTAAAAAAAAAAAGAAGAAGGAATGTATTAGCCATGTCACTAGGAAGTGTAAGGAAACTTCTTGCTGCAGGCACAGCTCCACTCATGGCCAGGCTCCTTCTGTGGGCAGGCAAGTGTTCTAGGCAGCCCCAGACTCATCTCCCAGCAAACATAGGTGAGCTTTCCCATGACCTCTGGTAGAAAGGTCCCAGGAGAGACTCTGATTGGCCAGGCCTTGGTCAGGAGTTCATCCCTGGACCTATCACTGTGGCCCAAGGAATAGAGGTCTCTGATTGGCCAGATTTCCATTTCATGGCACCTTTGAGGCCAGAGAGGAGCAAGGCATGTGACTGATGGTCCACATGGACCATGGTAGACAGTGGGAACTAAAAGGAAATATAAGCCACTCCTGTTGGAAGAAGTGAGATGGGACAGCATGTAGGACACTCAGAAATGATAACTACTGTGGTTTTATGCTGGGGCCATTAACACAAATATGGAAAGCAGGAACTTAGGGTCAAGGAGATGATTTTAGGCATGTGGAGTAGAATCCTGCTGGGACAGAGCTGGTGGCAGGAGTCTGCCCCCTGTAGAGACACAAGGCTGAGATGACGGGGGTGTGGAACCTCCACTCCCTAGAACACTAAATCTCCAAAGCAGTTTCCACCTATTTCTGCTGACCCCAACGTCCTGAGCCAGTTTTGTCTTTAAAAAGTTGGAACCAGTGAACACAACCAGTGTAGAACTGCTCAGAGAGGAGGTCTGGCCTCCTGAGGCTGAAGCTCCAACCCTGCTTCTGAAATTCACCCACCCCTTCCCCACTGAGATTAATACCTAACACCTTAGTAGGTGCCATCCTATCACCAAAGGACACTCCAGCTCAGGCAAGGACCACCCTGGACCTGCTGAAACCACAGGCTGGTCTTTGGTTGAAGTCTTTTCTTTGTTTTCACCATGAGAGCAGGCGTAAGTGGTGACCCAGAAAGGCTTGGAGACAGATGAATTACCTTGAGAGCACCTAGCCCTGCAGTTACTGTGTGCCCTCAGCCATCCCAGCTGGGGCAGCCACGGCAAACCCCCGAGCTCAAGCCAGCCAAGCCAGCATGAATGTGGTCTTCTAATGTTTCACTTTCATGGGTAATCTGAACATCCCCAGGCCACCTTCCTGTGGATCCTGTTTAATTCCAAAGAAATTCAATAACACAAAGATCGTGTTCTTACCCCACTTGCCTACATGCCCATGAGCCAGTCCATTGATTACATCAATAGCATCCTCCCTGCTATTCCTGTCCCCTTCCGGTTTTCTCTCATTGATATCCTCACCCAAGAAGCCACTTGAGGGTACCATACTGCTGTCTGGGCTCTCAGGGTTTATGATAAGAGCACCAGCATGCAGGCCCACAGTGCTGACTTCCTGCAAGAGTTGGGATCATGGTTTTCTCCCTGACTCTGTGCCACACCTTGTCACCAGGGTCCCACAGAAGCAGAATATGTGCTCTAAGTATCACAAAGTACCTCATGAAAATAGCTCTTTAAACTTTTTCCTTCAAGCTCTCTCTCCATAGGGGCTGAAGACAGCAGCACCAGGGACCAGGCTGAAGACAGACACATCTCACTCCTCCATTGTCCTTCTCTCACTTTCATGATGCACAGTTAACAAGCAAGAGATCTTTCCACCTCCTTTGCTAAGAAATGAAAGCCTCCATGCACATCAACTCATGCTAACAGACCCCTGAAGGGTCACTGTCCCCAGCTCTGCTCTGTGCACCATCCACATACAGAAAGACAAAACTGTCAAGCAAGGCTCCCCATCATGGTGACCATAGAATTGGGTCAGAACTCAGAACCATTCTGCTGAGAGCTCGTGTACACCCAGTGGCAGTAGCAGTGGATGCAGACAAGTTAGCAAGGGCAGCAGGAGGACATGTGCTGATGGCCACACCTGGCTAAGACCCAGAGCCAGGCAAAGGCAGGCCAGGCCACAGAGGGACCTGACGTGCTACGGACTCATGCTTCTCTGCTGAAATGACACCCTTCACCCCGAACCCAATCATTGTCACGTCCTACCACATATTCCATCCCCAACCCCAATACTCTCTGAAAAACCCTTGTTCTCCTCCCATATTGCTTCCTCCTCCCTCTTCTCTGCAAAGATGGCCCTTCAAACCCCAGCCTGATCCCAACCTCTTTCCCAAAGCCTCTTCTAAGTTGCCTCACCCACTCTCTCTCTCTCCCTCCTGAATCATAGTCAATTAATCTCCCAGTCCCCTCCATTCCACCTCAAGCTCCTTCAAATCTCCTCTCTTCTCTCCACCTTAGCTTAGGCTCCCCCATCTCTTGTCAAATGACCACTCCTTGCCTGTTCTTCCTGCTTTCTCTCTTGCCCCTTTCAATCTATTCTCTACACTGTGGGGTTCATTCCAAAAGACAAATACAATCATGTCATGATCTACATAAACTCTTCTACAATAGCCAACACTGTTTTTCTATTTTGTTTTGTTTTTTGAGACAGGGTCTTGCTTGTTACAAGTGTGGTAGCATGAACACAGCTCACTGTAACCTCAAACTCCCAGGCTCAGGCAATCCTCCCACCTCAGCCTCCAGAGTAGCTAGGATTACAGGTGCACGTCACCACACATGGCTAATTTTTAAATGTTTTTTAGAGTTGGGGTCTCACCATGTTGCCCAGGCTGGTCTTGAACTGCTTGCCTCACGTGATCCTCCTGCCTCGGCCTCCCAAAGTGCTGGGATTATAGACATGAGCATTGCAGCCAGCCTGCTAACACTTACTGTTGAATGCCTACTGCATGCTAGGCTCTGTTCTAAGTGCTTACATGCAAAATGTGTTGAAATCTCACAATAACCTCATGAAGTAGGCATTATTTCTCCCATTTCATAAAGGAGAACACTGAGGCCAAGAAAGGTTAAGTAACCTGGCTAAGGTCATACAACTAGTGACAGAGCCAGAATTTGAACTCAAGCCTCCAGGCTTTAAATTCCTCACTCTCGAGCAATGCACAGTAATTATACTGCTTCTCAGTTGTTCTCCAGTCTTCTTAGCTCATTTTTCTGGCTCCTGCCCACCTCTCTCTCCAGACTCATCCATTTTCACTTGCCCACATGCAGCTTTGCTCCCTCTTCCACCCCACTGGTGTGCCAGTAAATATTTAACATTGGCTTTCTGGAACATAAAGGCCTGACTTGCAGCATTTGCCAACCTCCATGGTGTAAATGCTACCACTATGGCCGATTTCAAGCTATGAATATGATGTCACTGAATGCAGAGTTGGGAAGAGATGCGCACAATCAGTCTGTGAGCTGAGCTGGCAGGAGCTGGCTCCAGCACACCACTGATGGGATCCAGCTCTGTCACCCTCCATGACTCCACTTGTCAAGGATGGACTACCTTGGACCTCACACACCCCTCCACCTGATCACACATAGATCCGGAAAGTGCTGTTGAAAGCCCACATTTATTTCTTGTCCACCACTGGAAATCTTAAGGCAGAACTGAAGGCTGCTGTCATTTCCAGACAGGCCCCTGTCTCCTGCTTGCCACAGCAGATTTGACTCATCACAGCCCCTGCCCTCCTCCACCAGAACACCCCACGCTGCTGCCTGGGTCTGTGTGTCTGCGCTTCTCAATCCTCCCACACTTCCAGGGGGCCCATCTCTTCTCATTCCTTCCTGTGATGATGTTTCTGGAATATGGATGTCCCATAGGCCCCTCCCATTCAGCCATTCTTAGGCCTCCTTCATCCTCTTTCTCCATAGACCCAACCCTTCCTCCATGTCCCAGTCTCTGACACCGCCATTCATCGCATCAGCCAAGCTAGGAACATGGGCATGATCTGAGACCTCCCTCCCCTCTCCCACCCCAGCCCAGGCACCAAGCCCTACAGAGTCTACCCTTGTGATATCTGTGGCCTCCATCTCCTGCCTCTCACAGTCACATCTCTGCTGCGGCTATCACCACTCTCTTCCTGAATTGCTGCCACAGTCTTCCACCTATGTGCCTCTGCTCAGGCCCATCCCCACATCGCTACCAGGAGACCTGGCTCCCCATGACACCAAGCCTGCCCCTCCTGCCTCTCTCCTCAGTGCCTAGGGTGCCCAGAGTCCTTGCCTCTCACCCGGGCTTCCACACCTACCTGGGTTCTTCAGTGTGGGGGACCTGGTCAGAATGCTTCCTCTCTTCAATTTTGGTATCTAGCTCTCCTTTGGGCTCTGTATATGCCCCTGATTGAGCACTTCTGCCTCCTAAGTGGGAGTCTGGGTCCAGAGGTTTCCTCTTGCCCGGTCTACCCCAGGCCACATCCACAGTCCTAGGGGAAGGTGTCCGCCCCACTGTAGCACACATGTTTGCATCTCCTGTTCAAGTGGGACCTCGCTCTTACGCCAGGCAGCCCTAAGGATTGAGCTCCCCTGCTCAGAGGTCAGAGGATATCCCCAAGGTCAGGATGAGCTTCAGTGGACATCCCGGGGGCTACTCCTAGGGGAGGTGGCTAAAGGTGGGCATAGCTCATAGCTAGGACCCTGTATTTTCCTCCCAACTCCTAATTAAGGACCAAGTGGTTTACCCAAAAAAAGTACTTGCTTTCCCTTTGTGTGTCTCCAGTGCTGTGTACAATAACCACTCCTACTAGGTGTGGCTTGAGAATAACATTTTCTTAATAAATATTTAATGTGGTGTTACCATAGAAACCACACTCACCATATAAGAATGGTCAGTTTTCACAGCCTCACAATCAAATGTTAATATTAATACTACCTACTGAGACTACAGCACATTTCCCTGGTCTTGGTTATTCTGAATCTTGTGGGACCTGGGGCCATCTCTAGGATCACCAGTCAGCATCTCTTTTCTTTAAACTACTCTACTGAGATATGATTGACAGGTAGAAAACTGGACATAGTTAATGTATACAACCTGATGACTCTGTAGATACCACCTGTGAAACCATCGACACCATTCACCAAGGCCATCCATCACCTCTCAAAGTTTCCTCCCACTCCCTTTATTATTATTATCATTATTTTTGTGTGTGTGGTAAGAACACTTAACATAAGGTCTACCTTCTTAGCAATTTTTTTTTTTTTTTAGAGAGAGTCTTGCTGTCACACAGGCTGGAGTGCAGTGGCACAATCTTGGCTCACTGCAACCTCCGCCTCCCAGGTTCAAGCGATTCTCCTGCCTCAGCCTCCTGAGTAGCTGGGACTATAGGCGCCCACCACCATGCCCGGCTAATTTTTGTATTTTTAGTAGAGATGGGGTTTCACCATATTGACTGGGCTGGTCTCAAACTCCTGACCTTGTGATCCACCCACCTCGGCCTCCCTAAGTGCTGAGATTACAGGCATAAGCCACCGCTCCTGGCCTGCAAATTTTAAGTATATAATATAGCATTCAAAGCTACAGGCACTATGGTGTATAGTAGATCTCCAGAACTTATTTGTCTTGTGTAACGGAAACTTTGTACCCTTTGACCATCATCTCCCCTTTCCCCTTCTGCCAATCGCTGGCAACCACCATGCTACTCTGCTTCCATGAGTTTGACCAACATCTTTAAATGCAGTACCAGGTCACAGAGATGTGTGGGATAGTCAGTTTACAGAACAACCCTGTGGAGAGAGTTTCCTCAGAGGAAACCACATTGGTGACCCCTCCTAACTCATCCAGAGCCACCTGAGCCAGTGAATTAAAAGCTCTTTGTAGAGAAGTGATGACTTGGGACAAATGCATTAGGTAACACTAAGTGTGCATGTGTTTGGGGTAAAGTGTTGGAGGACTGTGCTGGGCAGTCTTGGAGATGGTGCTGACCATGACTGAGCTACCAGGGTCCTTCCTCCAGACTGAGAAGCAAGAGTGCCCAGGAAGTGGGCAGCCAGAGCTCTCTAAAGGTCCCTCTTCCCAGATGAATTTTCTTTCTGACTGCAGGAATGCTGGGTTCTTGTTGCCTGGTTTGCTGACTGCCGTCCAGAGCCGCTGCTGGCCACAGCACACATCCAGCCTGAGCCTGAGCACGGCTGCCCGTCCACATTCCTGATGCCTTCCTCTTTCTTAGAGTCCGCTTCAAGTTATTCAGAAAACCAGAGTCTCCTCCATCTTCACCGTATCAGCTGTAATCTTGTCAGGATAAACCGATTGTGCTGGATCTTTTAAAGTCTATCTGTTGGAGGTTTCCAGGGAATTTATTTAGTGCTTATCTGATTAACTGGGGCCAATTCACTAAGCTTCCAAGTAATAGAATCTGCTTTAAGCTTCAAGACATCGAAACAAAGAAACTTAGACAAAGATGGCTGAGATAAAAATTCATAGTACAACAAAGGCTATGTTGTAGAGACTGTCAGAAACAGAAAAAGTTTAGGACAGAATTTATATAGCTCTGAGGGTGGGGAGCAGGGCAGGTAATTCAATCCTAGGCAGCAAATGTGTGACAGAGTAAAAAAAAAGCCTCCTTTTCTATTTAAGTAGCCAGCATGTCATTGTTTTTGAAGTAGTTGACTGATTTTTGAATCTGGTACGAGACTATCAAGATCCATCTTTAACACAAGAAACCAAGAACAGTAGTTATCCAGGCAGGGTGGGAACTGAGAACAAGGGAACAAGACTGGGAGAAAGCATTTTTGCTGTCTAAGAGTATTTATACTTTTTGGCTGGGTAGGGTGGCTCATGCCTATAATCCCAGCACTTTCGGAGGCCGAGGCAGGCGAATCACTTGAGCACAGGAGTTCCAGACCAGTCTGGGCAACATGTTGAAATTCCATCTCTACAAAAAAATACAAAAATTAGCCAGGTATGGTGTCATGTGCCTGTAGTCTCAGTTACTTGGGAGACTGAGGTGGGAGGATCACTTGAGCCTGGGAAGTTGAGGCTGCAGTGAGCCGTGATCACACCACTGCACTCCAGCCTGTGTAACAGAGTGAGACTCTGTCTCAAAAAAAAAAAAAAAAAGTTTATACTTTTTGTGTTTCAAACCACATAAATGTATTACACCTTTTGAAAATTAACCCATTTCCTGTTTAGAAAATAAAAGTGCAGCTCACTGCCAGCAATTTTACATAAATATGCTCTTTGAGGCTGAAGGAAATCTGATTTTCGGTATGAAAATAAAATATATAAACTATTTTTGGAGTTATTTCTAAGCAGAACTTGTCTCTAATCCTAATGTAACAGAAATATATATGATGTTCCATTAGGATTAGAAGCAAGAGTATTCTCGGGGCAAACAGAAAATGGGTTAAGTGAAAATAACAGTTTAATTTACTTTGCTATTTTGAAAAATAAATATAACATCCAAGACAACATTTCAATTAGGCAGATCTTCTGAAACTAGATAGGGGTTACAAAAGCACATATTTCTAGTAGTGGAAAACATCATCTATCAAAGAGTTCTGAGGTTTGTGCTCTGCCTTAGTCTAGGCCTTGAAAAAGACAGGAACATAGCAAGGCTGGTGCCTGTCTTCAGGCTTTGCCGAGGTACACTTGGTGAAAATCAATGTGACGTGCTGGGACTACATGGCAAGCAAGTGGCTATGTGCAGGGCTGTCGGATTAGAGTCAATGGCCAGAGCAGCAACGAATGACCCCATTTGCAGAGAGACGTTGTGCTGGAGAAGCCAAGTGCCAAGGAGGAAGGCTGGCAGAAGCTCTGCTCAAAAGACTGAGTGAATGTGTGTGTGTTTGTGTGTGTGTGTGTGTGTGTACAACAGCCCAACAAAAAGCAGGTATATAAATACGAAGCAATCAACAGTAGAATCCATGCCCAAGGTTGAGATAAGTGAAGAAAGAAAATTGTGCCCTGATGGGTTTGAGTTCAAAGTGTGTGGTAGAAACCTGCACCACCCATTTGGGCAAATCAGACAGGCACTAGCCGCTCAGCTGAGCTGGAAAAGTGTCTGTGGGAGGATGCCAGGAAAAACACCATCACCCACCCTTTGAAGGAGGGGGATGTGCTGAATCTTGGTAACTAGGAGAACTTAAAACCGGAGCTGGGAGTGCAATGTGATCACCCAGAGGGAGAATGCACAAACAAAATATGAAGGGGAAAAAAGTTTAATTAAAAAGACAGCAGCGATGAGAGATTTAATTTCAGCCATGCAGCCAGCCCAGGGCCCCTGTGGGGAAGTAGAGATATCGCAGGAAGTGGGGCTGGAGGGGATGCTGGAGGCCTCTCATTTCGTGGAGATAAGGTATCTGGCAGCCTGTAAAACAAACAGGGCGCTGCCTGGGAGAGATGCAGGTACCCCTCAAGCCATAAAATCCCTCTTCTGGTCCCCAGCAAGCACTGATTCTGTGGTAGGTCACCCGAGGGGACTGAACAGTCACAGATGAAAATAATCCCTTTAGTTCAAAGGTCATCTCTGCCACCCTGCTCAAGGACAGCAGGCTTCAAGACCTGAGATCTGAGTGTCGCCCTTTGTCCCCAAGGGCCTTTGAGCGCTGGCTGGAAAAGGTCCTGGAGCGTCTGGGGTTTTACAGGGTAAAGAGAGCAGGGTCTATAATTTCCCAACCCTGGGGGAGGAGACAGAAGGAGCAGCAGACGATATAACTTCCCGAAAAGCACAGCTGGCAAGCACACCCACACCGTTAGGCTGCAACTCCCTGAACTAATTAAAAGGCAGAGCAATGGGAATTTCTGGATTGCTGCATAAGCAGCTCTTGGGGAAAATACGCTCGTGGTATTGCAAACACAGAGCTCCCTCTTCACTTCCAAGAGCCAAGTTGGACACAGGTGATTACAGTTTAGGACTAAATATGTGGGTAGGAATGTGTGTGTGTGTGTGTGTGTGTGTGTGTGTGTGTGTGTGTGTGTGTGTGTGTCAAGGAGCGGGGTGGAGAAGAACTCAGCCAGAGAGAAATGCAATGTGATGGAAATAGTTAAAGAGGCTATGATCTTCTCTCTGATTCCCCTTGAGGACAGAACAATAGGCAAAGGACTCAAATTGCACCACCAGAGAATTTGTGTGGCCACTAGGAGAAAAAAAAAACCCTCCAACTTAGAAGGGAGTGTTTTTGCATTTCAATCTCTGGGAGGTGTTTTCCTCTCTTTCTCTCTAAGTTTGAAGAATTACTGTTCGAGTTTAACCCCACTTGGAGCCAGAAAGATGGGCCAAATCAACACCAAGCATGCTTTTCTGCTTTGTGAATCTATGAAAAGGAAAATTTTTTCCAACTCTTTCCTCATAATAATACTCCATCAATGTGGAGAACTCCTCTGGTGCAGAACTTTCATATCCTGGATTGGGAATCCCAGAGGGAGCTCAGCTGACAGGATGCCCTTAGGAGACCCACTTGTGGGCCACCAGGAGAGTTACTTGATGAGGGTGTTGGGAATGTAGCTGAGCTGCAGGATGTCAGATAAAACCCTGACACCAAGAAAGAGGACAAAAGCAGCGCATCCCCTCTGTCTTCCCTGGGGAGGGCCCAGTGGAGGCTGGACTTTATCCTGGGACAGTGATGGATTGCACTGTCTGGGCTTATGAGACAGAAAGGGGAAAGGCTTTTCAGCAAGATAGTGGGGGACAGAAGGTGGCTCAACTGTCACTTGGCCCAGGCTCCACTGGAGATCAATCCCAAGTCCTTGGTCGAGAAGATTTTAAGTTGAAACAGCAAGAGAATACTTCGAGGCATCTAACGGAAGAGCTGCTGGGGGAGTGCCCTGCCCTGTCCCCACCATAAGGACTACCAGAAAGGAGGTACAGCATCAGTAATGGCAGAGGCAATGACAGCTCACGTAGGCCACCAGGAGACAGTGAAGAGAGTGCCTCTGCTCTGATCCTGGCCTCAGAAAAACTTGAATGATTGCTAAAAATCTATGTGGGCCCCCTGGGACTCTGCAAGTAGAAACTGGGCTATGCCTTCAGTGGGCTTGGGGTTCCAGTGACTCTACTAGGAGGGAGCTCAGAGGCAAACATTTTTTTGTTGCCACTATGTTGTCCCTTTCTGACTATGTCCCTCAGGCAGGCATTGAGGGAGGAGTTTATATATATAGGATGGCACATAACCTGGGAGCATCCCCATGAACATACAGAGGGGGTGGGTAGAAAATACCTATATTAAAATATAAGGAAACTAATGCTTCAATAGGTTATCAACAATTTATCCAAATAGTCGTTGGTGGGAGAACTAGTCATAGGCAAGGAGTTACTAGGGAGGGAGGAAAGACATGGGGCAATAGAGTACCCACCAGTTTTCTAGAGAATTAGCTAGGTCCTACTAACAAATTGTATTTCAGGACCACAGACAGCAGCACAGGAGCACCATTTTGGTGCACACTCCCACCCCATTTATTTCATCTATGCAAGTGGTGTCATCTCTCACCCATTAAACCCAGTCCCGGCTCTCAGTGGAAGCTCTGAGGAACTTCTGAGGTTACACAGAAAATAGTCTGAAGACCACTGTACTATACCTTTCACAAGGGAATGATAAATCAATTATCTTTATTTCCAATCCAGTCCTTATCCAGTACTAATAATACTAGCTAATGTTTATTAAGCATTTACTATACCCATGTACTGTGTTCTCATTTTATCCTTATAACAACCCTACAAGGTTAATTCCATTATTATATCCATTTTATTGATGGAGAAATGGAAAGATGAGGAAACTGAGAGATGCTGAAATAGGAGAAACAGCAAAATTAAGTGACTTTTTCTGAGGTTACACAGGCAATCTAATTCCAGAGCCCATACCCACAGCCACCCTGTCAGAGTTGTGTTCTTGAATTTTATACATGGAATTCAGGCATGAATTGTAAATGGTAAGAGACACGACATAGGGCAACTTGGCACATGAAGTCATCAAGGACCTGGAAAAGCATCTGCTTTAGTGCCTAGGAACTGAGAGTTCTGTTTCCTATTAAGACTCTGCCTCTTATTATTACCTGCAAAAACTACAACAAGTTATATAACGTCTCTATGTCTCTTTTTCCTTTCCCAGTGGAACAATGAAGTGAACCAGGCATCAAGGGCAGATTTGGAATAGGTAAATACCTAGAAGCTGCTAAGGAAAATAAGTCATAAGTTAGAATGTCTGTTTAGTTTTCTAAATTGTGTGATGTTTTAGAGCTGTCAGGGACCTGCAGATCTTAGAATCCATACTCTGCAGGATCTTTAATATTTTATCTATATGAACACCTCACGCAACACAAGAATCCTTCCAACCACATTCCTGAGAAGGTGCTGAGGCCTTTTAGGGCCAGATTGCTCCTTGGGTCACCAGGAAGCTATCCCTTCTCCACAATACACCCTTCCTCTACCAAATGTACCCAAATATAGCACATCATAGCATTTTCCAAAGCTGCTTCTAAGATTGCACCATGTCCATCTCCCTCCCACCAGAGATACTATTTGTGCCCTCTGCTGTGGCCAGAGCAAATCATATCCCACTTCCTCCTGGCAGCCCTTGGCAAGAAGGTGAGTTATTACACCTCTCATAATGTCAACGGAAGGCTAGGCATTTCAAAGGGAACAAGTGAAATATGATTTGTTCTAGCCTCATCAGAGGTGAGGGTCATGGATCAGTGGAGTACAAGAGATAGTCTGGAGACGTCAGCAGGGGCCAAATCACAAGGGACATTGTATGAGATTCTATGCTGAGGGCAATGGAAAGCCACTGAAGGCTTTTAAGCAGGAGAGTGACACAATCAAATTTGGATTTTAAGAAAAATCACTCTGACTACAAGTTGGAGAGAGGATTGGAGGCAAATGTGAGACTGGGGGCAGGATATGCCATGGCCAGACCAGGGCACAGTAAAGCAGGCCTCTAACCTCCTAGCTTCTATCAATGCTGCCAGTGATGGTGAGCTATACCAGCAGCCATAGCTCACTCTTGTTTCACATTCAGCTCTGGGCAACAGAGCCTTTTCTATAGGAATAGCAGGGTTAGCTCTTTCCCAGCATCTATCTCTGCAACTAACTGTTTTAAATCTAATCTTGTTAGTTTCAGCTCTTCCTTTTGGGGTATTGAAATCTTTGTGCATCTTGATCCAACTTTTTCTTTTTTTCTTTCTGTTTTCTTTATTTATTGTTTTTTTGAGATGGAATCTCACTCTGTCCCCAAGGCTGGAGTGCAGTGGCGTGATCTTGGCTCATTGCAACCTGCACCTGCCGGGTTTAAGCAATTCTCCTGTCCTCAGCCTCCTGAGTAGCTGGAACTACAGGAATGCGCCACCACGCCCAGCTAATTTTTGTATTTTTAACAGAGATGGGGTTTCACCATGTTGACAAGGATGGTCTCTATCTCTTGACCTCTTGATCCGCCCACCTCAGCCTCCCAAAGTGCTGGGACTACAGGTGTGAGCCACCACACCCGGCCATCAACCTCTTCTTTTTTACTTAAGGGGAAGTACTGAAAGATTTGCTGAAGGGCCATGGATAGTCATTGGTGGTAGGGACAATACTGAACCCAGATTTTCTGACTCCTAAACCAGGCACCCTGGTATTCTGTCTCTCTAGGAAATTGATCTGTTTACAGGAACTAGAATCAAGATTGACTAGAAGATTGATAGGTTAGTTGGAAAAACAGGTTTTAGCTTGCAGACCCCAAAGGCAGGGAGAGAGGACCCTACGTCCCTTTCTCATGTTTCCTCCTGTTGACTAAAAGATGCCTGCGTTTGAATCTACAATCCACAGGGATGGCATTACAAGTCTTCAGGCAGCTGAAAGTCACAGTTGTTCAAACCAATCATTGTGGCACTTGACAATGTCAAAAGACTTGAGAGAATTTCATAGGTGAAAAAAAAATCTTACAAGCTAATGAATGCTTAACAAAAGCTTCTCTATGGAGCTGAACTAGTTCAGAACATAAATGCTGTTTAGGGAGACTGGACAGGAAATGGGACACCCCTGTGCAGGTGGGAAGGGGAGGGGGGCAGACAGAAAGCTTCCCTGGATGATTTCCTAAGAATCAGTGCCTGTCTCCTGGGTCCTAATCCACTTGATCTCTGGTCAGGATTTATTTCCATAGCCCCATGAAACCTGGTGATTGGACCCTGCTCATGAAAGTCTTAGACCAGGTTCCAGTTGCACAATCAGCTAGTGCCCAGTGCCTATAAAGTATAGGACTGGATTTCCACATGGTGCTGGGAATCAGCAGTGAACTGTGTCCAAAGCTCTGTCCCAGCCTGACCAGGACCTCTTAGGTTAGTCCATTCCCCCACCCCAGCCACCACACCTCCATTAGCTCTTTTTTTCTTATGTTTTCTTTATATTAATGCTCCTTTTTTTAAAAATAAAAAACAGAACAGCCTTCTCCTTCTAGCCAGCTCATCCTGCATCTCTTGTGTTGGCCTCAGGACTTTTACTCAACTCCTTCTCTATTCCCTACTTGAATCCCCTCCTCAAGTCCCACTAAAATGGTGATTTCTGAGTAGCCTTATTTGTAAGCCAAATGCTGTTATTGAAACAACAAAGTTGTCAGATGATCAAGAACTTTGTTGGTCCCTTTAAAGTAAGCATATGCTTGTCTTCGAATAACTATCAATTGGCCACATTTCACAAAGGAAGTTAAGAGCAATCAGGAGTAACTCCAAAATATACTCTTCAGGGAGAAACTACGTAAGCCAGCATTGACTTTTCAAACAGGCACATGAGCATTATTTTAAAAAGGACAAGCAGCAGGGCACAGTGGCTCATGCCTGTAATCCCAGCACTTTTGGGAGGCCGAGGTGGGTGGATGATGAGGTCAGGAGATCGAGACCATCCTGGTCAACATGGTGAAACCTTGCCTCTGCTAAAAATACAAAAATTAGCCGGGCGTGGTGGCGTGCACCTGTAGTCCCAGCCACTCAGGAGTCTGAGGCAGGAGAATCGCTTGAACCCAGGAGGCAGAGGTTGCAGTGAGCCGAGATCGGACCACTGCACTCCAGCCTGATCAACAGAGCGAGATTCTGTTTCAAAAAAAAAAAAAAAAGACAAGCAAACCAAACTATGTACATTTTGACCCTAGCCTTGATACTTATTGTTGAAGCTGTAAAGGAGGCCCCACATAGCCTGTACTGAGACAGTTGACCATCACCCAAGCCCTGTCCCTATGGTCTAACAAACCTCTCCTTGGCAAAGCAACGACCTGAAGTTATCTATCCCATTCAGGAGATCGTATGGCAAGAGCTTCACTAAGCAGTCAATGAGGGAATACTTTTTCAAAGAGCATTTTCTATAGCTTTCTATCTGGTTTCTCACACATCTTCAATGACATCTGAAAAGCTTTGCTGAAGTGAAATGTATTTGTCTGTGGCCAGGTTACTCAAATTGCCTCTCTTCCTTGCCAGGGAATTCCAAAATCTGGCAAGAGATGTCTTGTATAAAGTCCCACACAGCAGGAAAGAAAAGCCATGCTGACACAGAGGACTTCCAGAGGATTAAACACAAACCACATTTTTAAACAAAATAGAGTAAGCTAAAAAGTAAGCTAAAATAAAATCTTACTCTGGTTACCCACTTTCAGAGAAGCCACTAAGCCATCAGAGGCACTGGTGCTACACATTAGCATTTTAGTTTCTTAACTTGGACACACCACCAGCTAAGCAATTGCTGCGTCCAGGTAAATTTAATTGAGTTTAACATCCCTCAGTCCTAGAATCTTTCAACGCTAGTGCCTGTGAACTTACCTAACGACCAGAGGCAGGTGAATCTCATGGTGCTGATGCTTTTATCTCTCCTGGGCTGGGGCATCATATAAGAGGGGATTCAAGGGTGTATCAAGCACTCTCAGCCTGGGGGCAGCTGTGTACTTTTGGCTGTGAGTGCTCTCAGAGAGGCACAGAGGTGCTCTCCATAGAGAGGCACCAGGAGCCAGGCATGCTCCTGACCGCTCCAGCCTCTACCTGCCCAGCACGCGCGCGGCTGGTGAGTCACAGTGTGATGCGGACAGGTCCAGGAGGTTTGTTGTGTGCTTGCTTCATATCATAGGGCACTTCCTGTCCTGAGCTGAAAGGAAGGGCTTTTTTAAGAGATGCATATTTTTTAAAAAATTCATTTTCTATATGTGTTCAAGAAGGTGCATGGCAGCATTATCTCTAAGAGGAAATCACTGGAAAAAAAGTGCCTGCCATTCAGGGACCAATTTGAAATAAATACGATTTTCCACATAATGGAATAAAAAAGAGGAGGATGTGTATTTGCTGCTATGAAAATGTCTCTAAGATATATTGCTGGGTGGAAAAAAAGCGAAGTTGCAAACATACTTAGGCTTACAGAAAGGTCCAAATCATGCTTATTTTTGTATATGCTTAGAAAAATGTCTGGAGCAATTCACAAGAAACTTGAAGCAGTGAAGACTCCAGGAAGTAGAACTGGGGAGGAGTGATCTTAATTTTTCTGCACTTTTTGAATTTTCTTTTTGACTCTGTATGTACCTAGGACTTTTATAATAAAAGGGGTTTTGAAAAATTCCTTTCTTGCCTAATGAAAAGTATTCTCGTCAGCTAGCCAGTAGCTTCCAGCAAACAAAAGGTTTCCATCAGCAATCAAGCTGCAGTGAATAAGTTTGAAAAGAGAAACTCAATTTCCTAGGAAAGTATCTAGAATAGAAGATCTCAATGAGGCTGAGGGAGGGAGGTATCCTCAGCAGTATCTGGTAGGTTCTGATACTTCCCAAGCTGAGAAGCATTAACTAAACATACTGCATGTTAATTCTTTCTAATTTTATAGGATAGAAAATGTCCGCATATGAAGCAGAGATAATAATATAATGAACCCCCATGTCCCCACCACCAAGTTTCATTAATTAACTTGGCTAACTTTGTTTCATAGCCAACCCACGCCCTACTGTCTTCCCACCCCCAAACATGCCATTTTATCTGCGGAAATGTACTACTGTAAGTTAAAGACTCTCCCCTTTGTAAACATTACCACAATATAATTAAGTTTTTTAAACTGTCGATAAGCCATTATTTTATTAAATATCTAGTAAGTATTCAAATTTTCAAACAAAATCTATATATTGTATTTGGTTGTTACGTCTATTATGTCCATTTTATTATAATTTACAGAGCTCTCTCCTGGAATTTCCTTGCAATTTATTTGTTGAAGAAACCAAGTTATTAGTCCTGTAGAGTTTCCCACATTCTGGATCTTGCTGATTCTACTGCCTGTGGTATTTTTTAACATGCCTTTTTGTACTCTCTACTTCCTGTAAATTGGTAGGTAGATCTAGACTTACTCTGATTTATGTCTAATTCTTTGCCAATAGGTGGTATGCTCTGCCAGAAAATAAAGTCTTATGTCTTCCTATTTGTGATCTAGGCTGCCCTTGATGATTATTACGGGTTGAACTATGTTCCCCAAAAGGATATGTTGAACATTTACCCACCAACGCTGTGCCTGTGATCGTGACCTCATTTGGAAACAGGGTTCTTACAGATGGAATCAGGTTAAAATGAGGTCATACTGGATTAGGGTGGGCCTTGATTCAGTCCTTATAAGAGGACAATTTGAACACAGATAGACACAGGGAGAAGACAGCCATGTGACCATGGAGGCAGAGAAGGGAGTGATGGTTCTACAAGCAGAGGAATGCTGAGGATTGCTTGCTGGCAAACAAAAGGAAGAATTCTTTTCTAGAGGCTTCAGAGGAACACAGCCCTGTCAGTATTTTGATTTCTGATTTCAGCCTCCAGAGCTGCGAGACAATAAATTTCTGTTGTTTTAAGCCACCTGGTTTGTGGTACATTGTTATGGCAGCCATAGGAAACTAATACAATTATTGATACCCAGAATTATTATTTATTTAAGAGCTTGCAAATAATATTTCTTCTGCTTTCTTCTTCCTCCTCTTCTTCTTCTTCCTCCTCTTCTTCTTCCTCTTCTTCCTCTTCCTCCTCCTCTTCCTCCTCCTCTTCCTCCTCCTCCTCTTCCTCCTCCTCCTCTTCCTCCTCCTCTTCTTCCTCCTCCTCCTTCCTCTTCCTCCACCTCCTCCTCCTCCACCTCTTCCTCTTCTTCTTTCCTTCTCCTCTTCCTCCTCCTCCTCCTCCACGGGCATGCACCACTGTGCCTGGCTAATTTAAAATTTTTTTTTGTAGAGATGGGGGTCTCGCTAGGTTGCCCAGGCTGGTGGCAAACTCCTGGGCTCAAACAATCCTCCTGCCTTGGCCTCTCAGAGTGCTGGGATTACAGGCATGAGCCACCACACCTGGCCCAATATTTCTTCTAAATTATTGGCTGGAATACTCCTATAGAAAGAAACATTCCCTTCTCCACTATTTGGTTACCCTGAGGTTCAATTTATATGGCAAATGTAGATTCCTTTGCTTTGCTTTCCTGTTTTCAGAATAATGAGTTGGTTCCCCAGTATTATCCAAAGGTGAACAATGGTCTTTATTTTTCTTTTTTGAACATCATTATAAACTTGTGAATTTCCAACAGAATTCATGTGGATTTCAGTCCTTTTTAGTTATTCTTATTCATATTAACATTGTCCCATTTGTGGCCAGTGAGAGCCTTGACAAGTTGACTTCTGAGTCCTGTTGACATGACCCCAGGGATCTCTGACACTTCCCTCACTATCTGGTATATCATGGTGTTTAAGCTTCATCATATGCAATTCCTCCTCTGGACCATCCATTTCTGAAATAAACCCTGGTTCCATTTGGTGGGAAGCATAATTTAGAGACTACAAACCGGTACTAGGGGCATGGACTGCATTTGACTGGTCATTGTTTCTAGGCCTTAATAGTGGTCAGAGATAGGAAACAGATTTAAGATAAGAAAATGTATCATTAGTTTACACTAATATATTTTATTCAAATTTAAAATTACAGAATTTTTACAATTTTAAAAATTTTATATTTGCATCTCTTATGGTGAAGAATCTTGGTTTCTATCAACATTAGCCTAATTACTTATTTGCTCTATCCTATTATATATATAGTGAATAGTATCAGAATAATAATACCAATATTATTACCAGCAATCTGATTACTAAAATCATGGAGTCCTTTTTTTTTTCCTTTTGCCAACCAAACCAGCAGCAGCAGTGAAAGGGAGTTATTTTTGCCTTAGGATAATCTGTTTCTAACGCTTGTTGCAGCCCTGGTTTTACCCACTACTCACACCTCCTACTGGGTTCCCAGCCACCTGCCAGTTCTGGCTCCTCCAACAAGACCCACTTCTCTAGGATCAGGGATTTTCCCTGCTGTCTACTTTTCTCCAACCCTTCTTTGCTCAGCTGAATCCTACTCATCCTGCAGTTTAATACTCAGGTATCATTTCTCGAGGGAAGCCTTTCTGAAGGTAGCACCTCCCCTGTTGTGGTTCTCATTAAACCATTATACAATCACATATTTAATTATCAATTCCCTCACAATATATAGGCTCTTGGAGAAAGGAGGGTGTCTGTCTTTGTTATTGAAAGCCTCAAGCTTTGGTGTGGGGTCATGGTAGGAGCTCAATTTTCTGATACTAATCTCAGGTTCTGATATCTTGGCCAACATCAGAAAAAGCAGTTGAGGAGGATGGGAGGAGGCAAGATGGGAGGAGGAGTGGTGAAGGCAAACAGCTGAGTTTCAAACAGTCAGAGTTTATTGTCTAAAACTTTGAGGGAGAAGCGCCGATGCTGAGTTTTAGGCAATTCACTTTTGTATAGGAAGCATGGTGAAGATAGGCCACCTAATGATTAACAAAATCGTTAGAGTAGCAACAACTTCTAATTGAAAGATGCCATTCCTGAGGTCCAATGACTTGGCCAGGGCCAAGTCATTCATTCATTCATTTGCCCACAGCTGTTTATTGAGCTGTGTTGTATGCCAGGCACTATTTTCAGCAGTGGAGAATAGGGTAGAGAACAAAAGGAAACTCCTAACCTCATGTGGCTTACATTCTAGTGAGAATGACAGGTACCAACTAATAAACAAATAAGGATGAGTCGGTGGACATAAGTAAAATGAAGAAAAATAAAGCATGGCAAGAGGATAGTGAGTGATGAGTAGGGCTATTTGGGTATTGGGATCAGAGAAGACCCCTCTTTGAGGGAAACTTGGTTGAAAAAGAAAGTGAGCCATGCAGATACCTAGGGGAAGGGTGTTCCAGGGTAGCATTAGTCATGTTGACAGAATGTCATTAGAAACCTGAGCCTCTTCCTTCAGCGCTTTAAGTAATTGCTTAGTGCGTAAGTTGTTCAGGAAATGAGAACAAACTTAACAATGCACGTACTCCTGGATAGCAGACATTCTGCTAAAGGATTTTGCAGCAAGGGAATGGTATGTGGCAGCTGCAATACCCACCTCCAGCCCAGCAGGGCCTCTCATGCCCACCTCTTCCCTCCTCCCCCAATCCCAGGATGTGAACAACATGACCCCAGTGCTTCATTTACAATTTGGGACCAGCTAATCCTAGGTGACTCCGGTTCCTGTTGCCCTTGGCCTCCACCCAAAAGGTAAACCCCTCAGGACATGTCTTCTCATCCTCAAACCCACATTGTTTCCAACCTCCTTCCCACTGACCTCATCCCCCACTGCTCCTGGAATTCCCTCCCACCCTCAGGGCCTGCTTAAGGTAGACAACACCCAAACCTCAGCCTTTTCTTTTCTGTTCCCTTACAGGACTCCTCTGTGGCCTTCCTTTGCCACCTTTTTCATGGAAGGCTGCTCATTTTCCCACATCCTGTGGGGACTCAGAAGCGATCAGCATTGTCCTAGCTCCCCTGATACTTTGCTCAACTCTCCTTTGTACAAATGATCTTTGATTCTTATGCCATCTACCTCTTCCTTCTGCTTTTCCTACCAAATCCTGGTTATCCCATAATAGTGACTGAGGAATTGACTCATAATGTTTCTTCCACTCCAACTCTTAACATCACTTGAAATGTCTACACTGGGCTGATGATTCTCTTAAAACTCTTCTGTCACATTTCCTTGGCTTCTTCAAACACAATGACATTCATCTGCTCTCTACTCTGGCCACCCAAAGCAATCAAGTGGCCCAAAGCACAGGCACAGAGACTGGAAAAGAAAATGGAGATGGTAAACAGGAAGTGAAGAGGAGAGGAAAAAAAAAAAAAACAAGATGGAGGAGCCAGGATTTTCTTTGCAGAAAGGGCTAGAAGCTCAAAACTCCATTTTGGGGGTGCGTTTGACATGCATTGTGGATGGTTTCATTTGGTTTAAAATCTTTTTTGATCTGGACAGAAATTAGGGTATTCTGGTTAATAATACATTTTGTTAAAAGTGAACATAACATACATTACTAAATTTACTAAGAAGAGTAAAAAACCTCACTGATACCCCTTAACCATTACTTGCTAAATAATAACATCCTTTGCATTTACAAAGTACTTTCACATATTTTATTTCATTTTAATCTCAAAACAGCCTTGTCCTGATTCCCCCTATGATTCTGCAATGATTTGGCTCATTGTTCAGAAATCTAGATCCCAGTGCCCTGGGTCAAGTGGGGCTGGCTTGAACAAAAGGTACTCTGGAACCCCAGGGGAGGGCCAGTAGGAAAAGAAGGGCAGCCACCATGTATAGAGCTGTGGAGTGGAGGAGATTGCCCAGTTCTCCAAGGTCCAGCTGACTAAAGCACCTGCCCCTAGTCCACTTGGCCTATGCCAGGAGTCAGCAAGCTTTCTTGGAGAGGCAGAAAATAAGACAATACAAAAGAAACAACCATGGCTATGTTCCAGTAAAACTCTATGGACACTGAAATTTGAATTTCATGTTATTTTCACACATGAAATAATACTCTTCTTTTGATTTTTTTCAACCATTTACAAATGTAAAAACCACTTTTAGCTCATGGGCCACATGGCCAACAACCTGGATTTGATACACAGGCCGTAATTTGCTGACCCTCAGTGTGTGCCAGAACAGCCATAAAGGAACCGGGCAGCGGGTCCTCTGTTCATTAGTCCATGAATATTAATATTAACATCAATTAATATTGATAATGCCCATCATTTTGAACATAGTGTAAAATACTATGCAAATGCTTTACATACTTATCATTTAATCTTCATACAATTGAGCAAGTTATTACACCAGCCCTACTTTACAGATGATGAAAACAGGGCTCTGGGAGGATAACCTGCCTGAGGTCGCACAACTAGTAAGGTGAGGAGATCCTTGCCTATCTACAAAGCCCAAGTTCTCAGCCATTATAATGCCTCCCATGCTGGCTCTGCATCATAGGCATACATTTTGGGTTCTCAAATCCTCCTATGCCTGTCTACTTTCCTATCTCTTCCTGCTGTTTGGGTTTTTAGATTCTTACTTTTACCTTCTCCCTGTTCCCCACTTTAAGATTTATCTTCTCCCAAGCTCGACAACTGTTCAGATTAGGCACCTGGAATCATATCTCTTCAACTTTATCTAGGTCCTTGGGTTTGGGTCATCATGACTTGAGCTAGGATAAGGTGCCTTTCTTGGGGCAAACAGGAGCTGCTGGAACCAAAAGGTGGGTTTTGCCCAAAGCCCTTACTGAGTGTCAAAGCCAGGGAAACCCAGATCAATGTGAAGTCTAAAGGATGGGAGAAGGATCCAGAAGGGAGGACATATCAGAAGTCAGGATGTGGACAGAACCGGAATGGAGGGAAAAGGAAGCAAAATTAACTCTGAATGATTTCCCTGGATGGAGCAGATCACACCAAGGCTGTCCTTTAATCATGGTCGGTTCTGAGGGGCCCTGGGTAGATAGGCCTGGCTAGAAGGTATGTGGTCAGAGCAGATATGCTCATCTTGGGGTGTCCCTCCTGTGAGCAGTAATGTTCCTGGGGACCACTTGGCATCTTCAGCTTTGCCCCATTTTTGATTTTAGCCCTAGAGGAGAATACCCCACATGAGTGCAAATGAAACCATCCAAGTACTTTAGAAAACTGGGGCTCAATCCTGCCATGGCTAATCTCTAAGGGACATCTTCAGCAGTGCTGATACTAAGTGGGGCACTGTGGTTCCAGAGAAGTCAGTTCATTTTGAGGCCAGTCCCGAGACAGTAGAGTCCAGTCCTGGGTAGAGAGGGCTACAGAGGTTGTAGAAAGAGCCCAACAGAGAAAATGGAGTACATTAGGAAATACAATCTGAGTGTTCATAAGGACTGAGCAAACAGTGGAGGATAAGGAAGGCCAGGCACCTCTGGGGTCAGCAAGAGGAACTCCAGGTCTTGCCAGCTGGAAAAGATAAAACCCCAAAATGCTGCCAGGCTTGGGAAGCAATGATAACCTCAGGGCAGGACATTCTTTCTTAAATAATGACCCTAAATCACAAGCCTGATGGATAGTATACGATTGATGGATTTAACTACATGAAGCTTAAGAACATCTGTTCATCAAAAGAACCAGGAAGAAGTGAGAGGATAAGCCACAGACTGGGAGGAGATATTTTCAACACATACAACCAACAAAGAATTAGTATCCAGAATATATAAATAATGCCTACAAATCAATCCTATAAACATTTACTCTATAAAAATGGACAAAGCACACAAATGTGCATTTCAGAAGGAAAAAAACATGAACTGGCAAAATCTAAGAAGATTGACAATATCAGAGGATGTGGAGCCTCCCTTTGGTAGGAGTATAGACTTGCTCAACCACTTGGGTAAACAATTTAGTATTATATAATAAAGTTGAAACTGTGAATATCCTATCATTGAGTGAGAATTCTACTCCTCCATATATACCCTAAGCTAGGATTTTTCAATCTCAGCACTATTGACATGTTGGACCAGCTAATCGTTATAGGGGGCTTTCCTGTAGGATATTTAGCAACATCCATAGCCTCTACCTGCCAGATGTCAGTACCAACGCTTCCTACTCCAGTCATAAAAATAAAAAATGTGTAGGACATTTGCTAAATGCCTCTGACATTGCTAAAAATCACACTGGTTGATAATTCTTGCCCTAGGCTCATGTGCAAAGTTCTATGAGAATGTTCAGAGCAGCTGTACAAAATAGCAAAAAGCATAAATATATAGAAAAAAAGGGTTGGAAACATATAGAAAGAGCACAAACATTCACCAAAATAACAGAGAACTAAATTGTAGCAAATAATTGCAATGAAATATTATACAATTCTAAAAATAAATGAACTCCAAAAATATAAGCGACTCATAAATGTTGAGGGAACAAAGTTGTAGAAAAACATATTCAGTATGGATGTTTCTATAAAGCGTAAAACATGCAAAATTAAATAGCATATTGCCTAGGAGTACATACATATGCGTTGTGGTAGATTGCACTTCCCCAAAATGGCTGCAACAACATTTCTGGTCCCATCTCTCTTCCAGAATCTTACCACCCTCCCATCAAGGACAGTGTAGTCAGTATCTCCTCCCCTTGAACCCAGGTGGGACTTTGGGACTGCTTCAATTAATAGACACTATGTGATTTCTGAGGCTAGGTCACAAAAGGCAAGTTTTGCTCTCTTGTCTGGTTTTCTCTCTTGCGATGTTTACCCTTAGAACTCATCCACCATTTTGTGAGGAAGTCCAGGCCTAATGGAGAGGCCAATGTGGAGACAAACCAAGGCCCCAGGGCCTCAACCCAGCATTAACAGCCAGCCAGCAGTGAGTCATCTTAGAAGTGGATCCAACAGCCCTCAGTTGAGCCGCATGGCTGATGCTATATGAAGTGGTGATGAGTTTTCCCTACAGAATCCTGCCCAAATAATGGATCTGTAAAGAAAAAAAAAAAAAAAAAGATTGACACCACTAAATTTTGGGGCATTTTGTTAAGCAACAGATATCCAGAATAGATAGTAAAATCTCTAATGAACAGTAAGGGAATAAACCTAAAATTTAGGATTATGGTTATTGATGAGGTGAGGACAGGGAATGTGATGGAGCAGGATCAAGTGGGGGAACTGCCTGCCCCAGAATGTCCTAATTTGGTGGCAGAGACTACTCAGAAGGTTAAGAGGAGTAAAACCACAGACCTTTCCTACTCCTAAGTGCCAGCAGTGCTGAGGGTGAGCAGTTCCCCCAGCATGAAAGAGCTAAAGAAAAACCCAAGAGCCAAAGGGGAAGAAAGTGTCCTGATTATCTGATAGAGTTGCCTAGTCAGGCCCAGACTGTCCTTTCTGTGCAGGCTGGAGCTTCTCTAGTGGGCTTGATGAAGACTGCGCAGCCAAATGCTCTCCCTAGGCAATGCTCTTGCTTGTTTAATCAACACTTAGAGTTATCTGTTGACATTTTGGAAACAAAATCAAGAGCCTTTGAAAGGACAAAGCGAGCATTGTGACATTAGGAATATTGAGAATTGGTTCTGAACAGTGGATGAACACTGGGCACTTATCTTCCAGAGAGGAGGTCTTTGTGTGCAGACTTAGCTCTAGGCAAGATTGTGGTGTTAGGAAACTTTGACGTTGGTGCTCCCTGTATGAGCTTCCCTTACTCCTGTTGAGAATTCCAAGTTATAAGGATCCAATGTTGGTCAGGCAGTGAAAAGAGCAAATTTAAGGGATTAAGGAGAGTTCTGCTCCACCTTGGGGATCCCCAAAAGGGCCAGCCTGGAAGGGAAGGGCTAGAACTGGGCAGCTGGGCCATTCTGGGAGTTGGGGCATATCATTCATTTCAGTCAGTGGACAGCTGAAGGTGTCCTTCAAACAAGAAACAGCAACCTGATGGTCTCCCCAAATGAGAGAGAGGATTAAAAAAGAAACCCCAAAATGTAGCTTTCTATAGCAAGTACTTTGGAAACACCAAATGAAGGGTAGGCTATTACAATTTTCCATAGTAGAATCTGGGCCTATTTTTTCTAAGGTGGAAAACCTCAAAGTCAAATGCTTGTCAGACATAAAATGTAATGAGTTAAGTGGTAACAGGGAGTGGTGGGGACTGCAGCAAACAGAAGACAGGGTTTTACTAAGGGAACCACCACTACTCAGCTCCAGCTCACTGCTGATAGGAGGAAAGCTTGGCCTAGGTTTATCCAATCTTATGATTGTGAAGAGAAGCCAGAAATTCAAATACGTAAGAATTCACAATTTTTAAAATAATGTGCTAGCTATACCAAACATGTCTGTGAACCATATTTGGATGTATACAAAAAGATCTAGCTATATCACAGGATTGTGAGAAGGATAAAATGAGATGGAATAGAACCAACAATAATTAACTAGTGAATATGCATCATTAATGCTTTTAAGAAAAACCCACAGATATAATACAAAATAGGTCAGGGTCTGGTGACAGGTTGTACTTTCCAAAGATGGCTGCAATAACATTTCCCATCCACATGCTATTTTTATAAGGTAACCATGACACTTTTTCTATCAAATGGTGGAGGTTACTTTTCCTCCCCTGAATCTGAGTGGGACTTTATGAATTCCTGAAACAATAGTATAGTGGAAATTATACGATGTGACTTCCAAAGCTAGTAAGTCATAAAAGTGCCGGCCGGGCGCGGTGGCTCACGCCTGTAATCCCAGCACTTTGGGAGGCCGAGGCGGGCGGATCATGAGGTCAGGAGATCAAGACCATCCTGGCTAACACGGTGAAACCCCGTCTCTACTAAAAATACAAAAAATTAGCCGGGCGTGGTGGCGGGCGCCTGTAGTCCCAGCTACTCGGGAGGCTGAGGCAGGAGAATGGCGTGAACCCGGGAGGCGGAGCTTGCAGTGAGCCGAGATCGCGCCACTGCACTCCCGCCTGGGCGTCAGAGCGAGACTCCGTCTCAAAAAAAAAAAAAAAAAAAAAAAAAAAGTGCCATGCATTTCTGCCTTGCTCCCTGGGAATGCTCATACCTGTAACCCAGCCTCAATACTATGAGGGAGCCCAAGGCCCCTGTGGAGTGCAGAGGACCATGTTGACAGGAACCAAAGCACCCAGCTCACACACTTAGCTGGGCTCTTAGCCAAAAGCTAGCTCTAACTGGCTAGCTATGTGAGTAAACTATCTCGAAAGTGGGTCCTCCAGCTCCCATTTAAGTAGCCCCAGCTGAGACCATGGAGAGCAGAGACAAAGCCATTCCTGCTCAGTCTTGCCTAAATTACAGATTCATAATCAAAATAAATGAATGTCATTGCTTTAAGTCACTAAGCTTAGGAGTGACTTTTTACACAGAAATAGATAAGGGGAACAGGATCAAATGTTGAATTTGTAGCCAGAGACACTCCTGGAAGGCCAAAGAAAGGCCCAAGATCAATTCAGAACCTCCAAAAGCACAGATACCAAAATTTTTAAGTTAAAAGGAAAAGGTGTTTTCCTTCCAGGTTTCCAAGGCTGAGAGAGAACTCACTGAGACAAATAGCAGGGGAAATGGACAATCTGAAGCTTAATTTGAACCTGACATCAGGCTGAGGAAGGAGTGGTAACCCTTCCATAGCTGAGTGTAGCATTGCTCCAAACTCTTTTTAAGTGTGAAGACTAAGCATTTTAGTGGATCATCTGGGCCAATGTTCCTCCAACTGTGATTTTTCACACTGTCCCCTGCAGCTAACTGCCTTAGAATGGGGCCTGGGAAGCTGCATTTTTCAGTCACTTTCCAGATGATTCTTTTGCACCTAAGAATCACTGATTGTTTCTAAGTTTAGAGATCTATACTTCACACATCTTCCATGTAATCCTTTAAGACATTTCTCCTGCAGTTTATTTCTTAAAGAAATGCTCATAGTTTAACATTTAAGCAGTCCGTGTCTTGTCAGGGGAGGGAGCAGGGTTTCAATTCTCAGCTGACAGAGGCCCTGTGTCCCCAATGACTGGATATAGTGGGCTTGGCATTAAGCTTGAAGGAATGGAGGAAAAGGGGCATCTGAGACAGATGGTGGGTGAAAACTTAAGAGGAATAATCATTTAGTTCTGCTCTGATCTTTGTTAATTTCTTTTATTCTGCTGGGTTTGGGTTTGGTTTGTTCTTGTTTCTCTAGTTCCTTAAGGTGTGACATTAGATTGTC
This sequence comes from Homo sapiens, assembly GCF_000001405.40. Classification (NCBI taxonomy): domain Eukaryota; kingdom Metazoa; phylum Chordata; class Mammalia; order Primates; family Hominidae; genus Homo; species Homo sapiens. Next base: position 93,787,410 of record NC_000001.11, read on the forward strand.
TATTTGTGCCCTTTCAAACTTTTTGATGTAGGGATTTAATGCTACGAACTTTCCTCTTAGCACCACTTTTGCTGTTTCCCAAAGGTTTTGATAAGTTGTGTCACTAACATCATTCAGCTCAAAAAATTTTTTAATTTCCGTCTTGATTTCATTGTTAACTCAAAGATCATTCAAGCGCAGATTATTTAATTTTCATGTATCTGCATTGTTTTGAGAGTTCCTTTTGGAGTTTATTTCCAGTTTTATTCCACTGTGGTCTGAGAAGATACTTGATATGATTTCAATTTTCTTAAATTTATTGAGAATTGTTTTGTGGCCTATCATATGGTCTATCTTGGAGAATGTTCCACGTGCTGATGAGAAGAATATATATTCTTCAGTTGTTGGGTAGAATGTTCTGTAAATATCTGTTAAGTCCATTTGTTCTAGGGTGTAGTTTAAATCCATTGTTCCTTTGTTGACGCTCTGTCTTAATGACCTGTCTAGTGCTGTCAGTGGAGTATTGAAGTCCCTCACTATTATTGTGTTGCCATCTATCTCATTTCTTAGGTCTAGTAGTAATTGTTTTATAAATTTGGGAGCTCCAGTGTTAGGTGCATGTATATTTAGGAATGTAATGTCTTCCTGTTGGACTAATCCTTTTATCATTATATAATGTCCTTCTTTGTCTTTTTTTACTTTTGTTGCTTTAAAGTCTGTTTTGTCTGATATAAGAATAGCTACTCCTGCTTGCTTGCTCTTGGTTTCTATTTCTGTGGAATGTCTTTTTCCACCTCTTTATGTGAGTCCTTATGTATTAGGTGAGTCTCTTGAAGTCAGTAGATCCTTGGTTGATGAAGTTTTATCCATTCTGCCATTCTGTATCTTTTAAGTGGAGCTTTTAGAACTTCTCCATTCAACATTAGTATTGAGAAGTGAGGTACTGTTCTATTCATTATGTTATTTAGTGCCTAAATACCCTGTTATTTTTCATTGTGTTATTGTTTTATAGGCCCTGTGAGATTTATGCTTTAAGGAGATTCTATTTTGGTGTATTGTGAGGTTTTGTTCCAAGACTTAGAACTCCTTTTAGCATTTCTTATAGCAGTGGTTTGGTAGTGGCAAATTCTTTCAGCATTTGTTTGTCTGAAAAAAGACTTTATCTTTCCTTCAGGTATGAAGCTTAGTTTTGCTGGATCTAAAATTCTTGGCTGACAATTATTTTGTTTAAGGAGGCTAAAGATTGGACCCCGATCCCATTGGCTTGTAAGGTTTCTGCTGAGAAATCTGCTGTTAATCTGAGATGACTGTGGGGGCTGGAGCCTCTTCTGGCTGGCAGAGATAGACCATTGCCACTCCCTGCTCAAATATTCCTATAACTTCATTTTTTGGGCACTGTTTGGGCATCCTTAATCCATGCCAAGTCACTGCTCAGTCCCAACTACCACCCAGAGTCCCACTGAGTCCTGCTTTCCTTTCAGTAGTAGAAGGAATTTAGGCTACAAGAACTTAGGCTAAAAGTTAGAGAATGTGTGATTTTAGTAAAAATAATACCAGCAAATGTTAAAATATTCCCTCCCTTCCTCCCTCCCTTCCTTTATTTTTTCTTCCTCTATCTTTCTCTCTTTTTTGAGAAATGATCTGTCACTCAGGCTAGAGTGGAGTGGTGCGATCCTAGCTCACTATAACCTCTTACTCCTGGGCTCAAGCAATTCTCCTGTCTCAGCCTCCCAAGTAGCTGGAACTACTAAAATTTAGCACCCAGCTAATTAAAAAAATATGTAAAATTGTTGGCCAGGCTGGTCTCTAACGTGTGGCTTCAAGCAATCCTCCCTCCTCAGCCTCCCAAAGTGTTGGGATTACAGGCACAAGCCACTACACCCAACCTATTAAAATACTGTCTTTTGGTGTGAGAGGAAATGCTCACCAGCAAAGAAAGACACTGAATCTAACATGTAAAGACCTATTATATGTAGGGTTCTTTGCTAAGCCCTCCCTATGGGGGAAAGCAATGGCCCTTTGTAGGAGCTAAAAACCTTAAAAATGTTATAGTCAAGTTGCAAGAATATGTATGTAGTAACATTCCACATCCACAAAAATTGTATGCACAGATACGTATTAGTATATTTATTAGATAATCTGGAAGAACAAACACCAAACTAATCACTGTGGCTGTAACTTGGGGTGGGGTGGGAAGACCAAATAATAAGAAATTTGAAGAGAACAGGTCTCATTTGTTTAGAATGATAGGGCATACAGGATCAAATCAGAATTCTGAAATGTCCTTACGCTATTGTTCACCCCTACATGAAGTGCCATCATCTGGTTTTCCAGTGAAGATGCAGAGGCTCCTATTTTTCCTTCTGGAATGCCAAAGCCCCTTGTTTTATGCTAATGTATCCTCATTAGCATAGGGAGAAACAAGATCAGGATTGCAATTAGGATTATTTCCTTAGGAGAGATTCTTTAGAGGCAATGATCCATTGCACAGTCAGTCATACTGGTGAGGGACCTTGAGGAGTCAGGTGGAAGAATATCCAGCTTGATGTCCTTTTGTAAGCCTTGGGACTTTAGGGCTAAACAAAAGTTAATGGGAAGCCCTTCCCCATTTGGTCAGAAGTAGAGGAGGGAGTGTGTGGGACAAAATGGGCCATAGAAGACTGCCTTTACTTACATTCTATGGCTATTAGTTCAAATTGATGAACTAACATAATTTTAGCTGGAATTCTGTTCTTTCTATGAAATTTGCAATTTCTGCAGCATTTATAACATTTGTAACAGAAATATTAGAAAAATAATAAACAATACAGTGAACAACCGAGAGGTTCATTTGGCTAAAGACAATGAAGAAAAGAAATAACATATTATAGAAAAAAACCCTGAACATACATTTTGATAGTTTGTGCTTAATAGAATAATCATCCCTCTCCCTTTGCTTATATATGTACTTTTTTATATATGTGAGTTGATTTATCCAGAACTGTAATTAACTGATGATTTATAATATCTAATTGCTTAACTTACCATTCATTTTCTGCTGGGAGTACAACTTGAAGAGGGTTGAGTTCCAATTCCCAAAAATATTTGATTATCAGTGTCCTCATTATTATATGGGTTATTCTGTCCTAAAGGTAGCTTTCCTATGAATCCAGTAGTGCACTAAATGGCAGTATAATTTAAATCAAATACTGTCTGCTTTCATGTAAGATCTAAAACACTTATAGTCTTTTTTTTTTTTTGTATTCATTTTTTTTTTTTCTTAATTTTTTTTTTTTTAATTATACTTTAAGTTTTAGGGTACATGTGCACATTGTGCAGGTTAGTTACATATGTATACATGTGCCATGCTGGTGTGCTGCACCCACTAACGTGTCATCTAGCATTAGGTATATCTCCCAATGCTATCCCTCCCCCCTCCCCCGACCCCACCACAGTCCCCAGAGTGTGATATTCCCCTTCCTGTGTCCATGTGATCTCATTGTTCAATTCCCACCTATGAGTGAGAATATGCGGTGTTTGGTTTTTTGTTCTTGCGATAGTTTACTGAGAATGATGGTTTCCAATTTCATCCATGTCCCTACAAAGGACATGAACTCATCATTTTTTATGGCTGCATAGTATTCCATGGTGTACATGTGCCACATTTTCTTAATCCAGTCTATCATTGTTGGACATTTGGGTTTGTTCCAAGTCTTTGTTATTGTGAATAATGCCGCAATAAACATACGTGTGCATGTGTCTTTATAGCAGCATGATTTATAGTCATTTGGGTATATACCCAGTATTGGGATGGCTGGGTCAAATGGTATTTCTAGTTCTAGATCCCTGAGGAATCGCCACACTGACTTCCACAATGGTTGAACTAGTTTACAGTCCCACCAAGTGTAAAAGTGTTCCTATTTCTCCACATCCTCTCCAGCACCTGTTGTTTCCTGACTTTTTAATGATTGCCATTCTAACTGGTGTGAGATGATATCTCATAGTGGTTTTGATTTGCATTTCTCTGATGGCCAGTGATGATGAGCATTTTTTCATGTGTTTTTTGGCTGCATAAATGTCTTCTTTTGAGAAGTGTCTGTTCATGTCCTTCGCCCACTTTTTGATGGGGTTGTTTGTTTTTTTCTTGTAAATTTGTTTGAGTTCATTGTAGATTCTGGATATTAGCCCTTTGTCAGATGAGTAGGTTGCGAAAATTTTCTCCCATGTTGTAGGTTGCCTGTTCACTCTGATGGTAGTTTCTTTTGCTGTGCAGAAGCTCTTTAGTTTAATTAGATCCCATTTGTCAATTTTGGCTTTTGTTGCCATTGCTTTTGGTGTTTTGGACATGAAGTCCTTGCCCACGCCTATGTCCTGAATGGTAATGCCTAGGTTTTCTTCTAGGGTTTTTATGGTTTTAGGTCTAACGTTTAAATCTTTAATCCATCTTGAATTGATTTTTGTATAAGGTGTAAGGAAGGGATCCAGTTTCAGCTTTCTACATATGGCTAGCCAGTTTTCCCAGCACCATTTATTAAATAGGGAATCCTTTCCCCATTGCTTGTTTTTCTCAGGTTTGTCAAAGATCAGATAGTTGTAGATATGTGGGATTATTTCTGAGGGCTCTGTTCTGTTCCATTGATCTATATCTCTGTTTTGGTACCAGTACCATGCTGTTTTGGTTACTGTAGCCTTGTAGTATAGTTTGAAGTCAGGTAGTGTGATGCCTCCAGCTTTGTTCTTTTGGCTTAGGATTGACTTGGCGATGCGGGCTCTTTTTTGGTTCCATATGAACTTTAAAGTAGTTTTTTCCAATTCTGTGAAGAAAGTCATTGGTAGCTTGATGGGGATGGCATTGAATCTGTAAATTACCTTGGGCAGTATGGCCATTTTCACGATATTGATTCTTCCTACCCATGAGCATGGAATGTTCTTCCATTTGTTTGTGTCCTCTTTTATTTCCTTGAGCAGTGGTTTGTAGTTCTCCTTGAAGAGGTCCTTCACATCCCTTGTAAGTTGGATTCCTAGGTATTTTATTCTCTTTGAAGCAATTGTGAATGGGAGTTCACTCATGATTTGGCTCTCTGTTTGTCTGTTGTTGGTGTATAAGAATGCTTGTGATTTTTGTACATTGATTTTGTATCCTGAGACTTTGCTGAAGTTGCTTATCAGCTTAAGGAGATTTTGGGGTGAGACGATGGGGTTTTCTAGATAAACAATCATGTCGTCTGCAAACAGGGACAATTTGACTTCCTCTTTTCCTAATTGAATACCCTTTATTTCCTTCTCCTGCCTGATTGCCCTGGCCAGAACTTCCAACACTATGTTGAATAGGAGTGGTGAGAGAGGGCATCCCTGTCTTGTGCCAGTTTTCAAAGGGAATGCTTCCAGTTTTTGCCCATTCAGTATGATATTGGCTGTGGGTTTGTCATAGATAGCTCTTATTATTTTGAAATACATCCCATCAATACCTAATTTATTGAGAGTTTTTAGCATGAAGGGTTGTTGAATTTTGTCAAAGGCTTTTTCTGCATCTATTGAGATAATCATGTGGTTTTTGTCTTTGGCTCTGTTTATATGCTGGATTACATTTATTGATTTGCGTATATTGAACCAGCCTTGCATCCCAGGGATGAAGCCCACTTGATCATGGTGGATAAGCTTTTTGATGTGCTGCTGGATTCGGTTTGCCAGTATTTTATTGAGGATTTTTGCATCAATGTTCATCAAGGATATTGGTCTAAAATTCTCTTTTTTGGTTGTGTCTCTGCCCGGCTTTGGTATCAGAATGATGCTGGCCTCATAAAATGAGTTAGGGAGGATTCCCTCTTTTTCTATTGATTGGAATAGTTTCAGAAGGAATGGTACCAGTTCCTCCTTGCACCTCTGGTAGAATTCGGCTGTGAATCCATCTGGTCCTGGACTCTTTTTGGTTGGTAAACTATTGATTATTGCCACAATTTCAGAGCCGGTTATTGGTCTATTCAGAGATTCAACTTCTTCCTGGTTTAGTCTTGGGAGAGTGTATGTGTCGAGGAATGTATCCATTTCTTCTAGATTTTCTAGTTTATTTGCATAGAGGTGTTTGTAGTATTCTCTGATGGTAGTTTGTATTTCTGTGGGATCGGTGGTGATATCCCCTTTATCATTTTTTATTGTGTCTATTTGATTCTTCTCTCTTTTTTTCTTTATTAGTCTTGCTAGCGGTCTATCAATTTTGTTGATCCTTTCAAAAAACCAGCTCCTGGATTCATTGATTTTTTGAAGGGTTTTTTGTGTCTCTATTTCCTTCAGTTCTGCTCTGATTTCAGTTATTTCTTGCCTTCTGCTAGCTTTTGAATGTGTTTGCTCTTGCTTTTCTAGTTCTTTTAATTGTGATGTTAGGGTGTCAATTTTGGATCTTTCCTGCTTTCTCTTGTAGGCATTTAGTGCTATAAATTTCCCTCTACACACTGCTTTGAATGCATCCCAGAGATTCTGGTATGTGGTGTCTTTGTTCTCGTTGGTTTCAAAGAACATCTTTATTTCTGCCTTCATTTCGTTATGTACCCAGTAGTCATTCAGGAGCAGGTTGTTCAGTTTCCATGTAGTTGAGCGGCTTTGAGTGAGATTCTTAATCCTGAGTTCTAGTTTGATTGCACTGTGGTCTGAGAGATAGTTTGTTATAATTTCTGTTCTTTTACATTTGCTGAGGAGAGCTTTACTTCCAACTATGTGGTCAATTTTGGAATAGGTGTGGTGTGGTGCTGAAAAAAATGTATATTCTGTTGATTTGGGGTGGAGAGTTCTGTAGATGTCTATTAGGTCCGCTTGGTGCAGAGCTGAGTTCATTTCCTGGGTATCCTTGTTGACTTTCTGTCTCGTTGATCTGTCTAATGTTGACAGTGGGGTGTTAAAGTCTCCCATTATTAATGTGTGGGAGTTTAAGTCTCTTTGTAGGTCACTCAGGACTTGCTTTATGAATCTGGGTGCTCCTGTATTGGGTGCATAAATATTTAGGATAGTTAGCTCCTCTTGTTGAATTGATCCCTTTACCATTATGTAATGGCCTTCTTTGTCTCTTTTGATCTTTGTTGGTTTAAAGTCTGTTTTATCAGAGACTAGGATTGCAACCCCTGCCTTTTTTTGTTTTCCATTGGCTTGGTAAATCTTCCTCCATCCTTTTATTTTGAGCCTATGTGTGTCTCTGCACGTGAGATGGGTTTCCTGAATACAGCACACTGATGGGTCTTGACTCTTTATCCAACTTGCCAGTCTGTGTCTTTTAATTGCAGAATTTAGTCCATTTATATTTAAAGTTAATATTGTTATGTGTGAATTTGATCCTGTCATTATGATGTTAGCTGGTGATTTTGCTCGTTAGTTGATGCAGTTTCTTCCTAGTCTTGATGGTCTTTACATTTTGGCATGATTTTGCAGCGGCTGGTACCGGTTGTTCCTTTCCATGTTTAGCGCTTCCTTCAGGAGCTCTTTTAGGGCAGGCCTGGTGGTGACAAAATCTCTCAGCATTTGCTTGTCTATAAAGTATTTTATTTCTCCTTCACTTATGAAGCTTAGTTTGGCTGGATATGAAATTCTGGGTTGAAAATTCTTTCCTTTAAGAATGTTGAATATTGGCCCCCACTCTCTTCTGGCTTGTAGGGTTTCTGCCGAGAGATCCGCTGTTAGTCTGATGGGCTTTCCTTTGAGGGTAACCCGACCTTTCTCTCTGGCTGCCCTTAACATTTTTTCCTTCATTTCAACTTTGGTGAATCTGACAATTATGTGTCTTGGAGTTGCTCTTCTCGAGGAGTACCTTTGTGGCGTTCTCTGTATTTCCTGAATCTGAACGTTGGCCTGCCTTGCTAGATTGGGGAAGTTCTCCTGGATAATATCCTGCAGAGTGTTTTCCAACTTGGTTCCATTCTCCACATCACTTTCAGGTACACCAATCAGACGTAGATTTGGTCTTTTCACATAGTCCCATATTTCTTGGAGGCTTTGCTCATTTCTTTTTATTCTTTTTTCTCTAAACTTCCCTTCTCGCTTCATTTGATTCATTTCATCTTCCATTGCTGATACCCTTTCTTCCAGTTGATCACATCGGCTCCTGAGGCTTCTGCATTCTTCACGTAGTTCTCGAGCCTTGGTTTTCAGCTCCATCAGCTCCTTTAAGCACTTCTCTGTATTGGTTATTCTAGTTATACATTCTTCTAAATTTTTTTCAAAGTTTTCAACTTCTTTGCCTTTGGTTTGAATGTCCTCCCGTAGCTCAGAGTAATTTGATCGTCTGAAGCCTTCTTCTCTCAGCTCGTCAAAATCATTCTCCATCCAGCTTTGTTCCGTTGCTGGTGAGGAACTGCGTTCCTTTGGAGGAGGAGAGGCGCTCTGCTTTTTAGAGTTTCCAGTTTTTCTGTTCTGTTTTTTCCCCATCTTTGTGGTTTTATCTACTTTTGGTCTTTGATGATGGTGATGTACAGATGGGTTTTCGGTGTAGATGTCCTTTCTGGTTGTTAGTTTTCCTTCTAACAGACAGGACCCTCAGCTGCAGGTCTGTTGGAATACCCTGCCGTGTGAGGTGTCAGTGTGCCCCTGCTGGGGGGTGCCTCCCAGTTAGGCTGCTCGGGGGTCAGGGGTCAGGGACCCACTTGAGGAGGCAGTCTGCCCGTTCTCAGATCTCCAGCTGCGTGCTGGGAGAACCACTGCTCTCTTCAAAGCTGTCAGACAGGGACACTTAAGTCTGCAGAGGTTACTGCTGTCTTTTTGTTTGTCTGTGCCCTGCCCCCAGAGGTGGAGCCTACAGAGGCAGGCAGGCCTCCTTGAGCTATGGTGGGCTCCACCCAGTTCGAGCTTCCTGGCTGCTTTGTTTACCTAAGCAAGCCTGGGCAATGGCGGGCGCCCCTCCCCCAGCCTCGTTGCCGCCTTGCAGTTTGATCTCAGACTGCTGTGCTAGCAATCAGCGAGATTCCGTGGGTGTAGGACCCTCTGAGCCAGGTGTGGGATATAGTCTCGTGGTGCGCCGTTTTTTAAGCCGGTCTGAAAAGCGCAATATTCGGGTGGGAGTGACCTGATTTTCCAGGTGCGTCCGTCACCCCTTTCTTTGACTCGGAAAGGGAACTCCCTGACCCCTTGCGCTTCCCAGGTGAGGCAATGCCTCCCCCTGCTTCGGCTCGCGCACGGTGCGCGCACACACTGGCCTGCGCCCACTGTCTGGCACTCCCTAGTGAGATGAACCCGGTACCTCAGATGGAAATGCAGAAATCACCTGTCTTCTGCGTCGCTCACGCTGGGAGCTGTAGACTGGAGCTGTTCCTATTCGGCCATCTTGGCTCCTCCCCAACACTTATAGTCTTATTTGTCTTCGCTTCCAAACAAAAATATCCATTTCCTATATATTATTTTGAATAGGGGTAAAAATTAGGAACCATGTTTCCATGATTTCAGGATTCCAGATGTTCTGGGGACAGAACAATTCTTCCTGAATTTGTTTGCAATCTAAAACTGAAATTGGATTCCAAATATTATTATTTAGTATGGTTCCATCAACTGCCTGTTGGGAGAACACGGGTATTATTAAAAATGATCCCAATTTCCACTAGCTATACTGCATTATATTTCTGGTTACTGTATATGTGGGTTGCTGAAGCCCTAAGAGTACAGGCTGTGTACCCTGGTAGCAATTTTCCAGGAAGAAGAGGGCCCATATGTTTTCCATAAATGTATACCTTGTGCTTCTGCATCCAAAACGACTGGCCACGTTTTAGAGGCCACTTCTGCTTCCATTTGGATTAGCATGGTCAATAACCTTGTTGAATTTGAACCCATGCTTTTTCTGATTGTTGGGCTTTGGCATAGTCCCTCGTTAGCCAGGCAGTTTGATTCACCCATTTAGCAATAGCATCATTATCTTTCCATGCAGCTTCTCAACCCTCACTTTCCTTCTGAAAGAGTATGCTTTTTATTCTACTTAGGTTGGTAAGTATCAACTTTTCTTGTAAATGTCTTTCTTCATTAAATACATTCTCAACTTGTCTTAATGTCCCAAGTCCTGCCTCTATTGCATTTAAGGCTCTTTTTACAATTTAGTTTGTTTGGAAAAGAAGTTTAGTTAAGCTTTGTTAATAATGGAGTATATCTCCTTTCAGTAAAGTTGGTTCATATAAACTGCCATTTACTTTCATAGGTCAACCTGTAATTATCTCATGGGATAATTGACATATTATTCCAGAAGGAGCTGCTCTTAGGTTAAGCAAAACCAGTGGAAGAGCCTGGGGCCAAGTAATAGGAAAAGCTTTCGATAATTTTCTAGCTGGGTTTTATTTTTGATATATTCATTCTACCAATCAGAAGACTGGGCATGGTATGTACAATAAAAATATTGGAAAATAGGCCAGATTATACAAATTAAGTGAATTATCTGTTCAGTGAAATGAGTTCCCTATTTCTATGTAATTTGGAAAGAATTCCTCAAAAGGAAATTATCCATTCCAACAAACATTTTCCTACTGTCTCAAGGAAATTCTTCAACCCAATGAGAGAACATATAAATCATAACCAATACATATTTATAACCCTGAGCTGGAGGTAAGTGGATAAAATCCATTTGTCAAATATTGAAAGGGCCGGTGGGCAAAGGTAAATGCCCTTGAGATCTAGAAGAGGCTTTCCTGGATTATATATAGGACAAATTGGACATTTAGCACAAACCTTATGAACTACTGTGGGTGAGGGTTTCCAGTAATAGTGTTTTCCCCAGGCAAATATTTTCTCAAGTCCCCAGTGAATGAGTTCATGGACATGCTGTAATATAGGAAATTGATATCCCAAAGGCAAAATAGGGATGTGCTTTCCTGTCACTGGGTCTATATTATATTTTGCAAGTTGGGGGAAAAGCATTCTCCCTTAGTCATATTTGCTTTTTCCGCTTTGGAGCCTTTTCTTGAGCCCCTTCACTTTAAACATGGCCATCTCTACAGTTTCATTTGATATTAGCATTAAGCTAATTTTTATTTTTATTTTTTTTGCTCAGCATCAGCAAAATTATCTCCTTCACTCCAGGGAGTCATGTTTGGAATGTCCAAGACTCTTAACAATAGCCAATTTTTTTTGGTAACTGGATGGCTTCCAGAAGATCAGAAACTTGAGAGCCATGTTTAATAGGATGTCCAGAGGAGGTTAAATAACCTCGCTGTTTCCATAACATTCCAAAGACATGAGCTGCACCAAAAGTGTAATGGCTGTCAGTATAAATATTAGTTATTTGATTTTTGGCCAGTTAGACAACCTCTGGTGAGTACTATTAATCCAGCCAACTGTGCTGACTTTACTTTAGGCAAGAAATTGCTCTCTATGATGTCTACATGAGACACAACGACATAGCTTGTTTGGTATTTTTCAAACTTATCCTTTAGATATGATCCATCTGTGAACCAGGTAACATCAGCATTTTGTAGTGGTATCTCCTGCAAATTCTGACTGGGCATCAAAAGCTGTTCTATTAGTAATAGAACTATACAGCATACAGACTGTATGCTGTTCCATACAGTCATGAGGTAATCTCCTCAGTTGCTTCAAGAAGTAACTTGTGAGATTAAGAGTATTACAGCAAGAGAGGGTAATGTGTGGAGCAGAGAGTAAAAGTACATTGTAATAAAGCCAATCAGTTGACAGAAAAATATTGTGTATGATGTGAATTCAAAAAAGCTTCTGCAGAATGAAGTACATATATAGTCAAGGGAGCCTCCATTAGTTTCCTGAGTAGCCTTGAGAAATATGATAATGCCTGAAATGGCCCTCCAACAAGGGGGCAGCCCGTGAGCTATAGAGTCTATTGCTGACTATCAGAGCCAACAGGTCTATATTTTCCCCCGTGTTTTGGGGCTGGAACACCCAGGATGATGCCATGGCTTCCATAAACAAAGAACAAAAATGGTAGCTGATAATTTGGATGGCTCAAAGCAGGCGCCCTTGTAAGATTTTCCTTTATTTACTGAATAGTTATTTGTTCTTAGGATATCCAATGTATGGGGTCAGGTTGATCTTTCAACAATGCATGTAAAGACTGTTCCATGAAAGAAAAATTGGGTAACTAACTGTGTCAGTAGCCAGCTAAGCCTAAAACACTCCTAAGCTGTCTTTCAGTCTTTGGAGTTGGGTATGCAAAAATTCCAGTTACTTTATCTGAATTTATATGTATTTCCTCCTTAGAAATTAAATTTCCCAAATGTTTTATTTCTGTTAAGCAATATTGGAATTTTTCTTTAGATAACTTATGTCTTGTTTCAGCTAATTGTTCCAGCAATTACAGGGTGTGTTTTTTACAATCATGAAGAATGGAAAAGCATAACAAGAGATCATCCACATACTGAACTAGAGTGGAATTTCCTCAAAATTTAGCTCAGCCATCTCAGCCCTTAATATTTTGAAAAATAGTTGGGCTTCCAGTATAACCTTGAGGCATAACAGTCCAGGTATATTGACAGCTGTTCCAGGTAAAGGCAAACAAATATTGACTGTCAGGACCTACTGGTATGCTAATAAACAAAAAGCACTGCATAAATCAGTTAGTGAAATTCACTGCCTACTGGTATGTTAAATAAAGGAGTGTGTAGGGATTTGGGACTACTGAATGATGGGGAATCACAATCTTGTTAATGGTTCTCTAATCTTGTATAAACCTCCATTCCTTCCTATTAGATTTTCATGCTGGGAGGATGGGAGTATTACAAGGACTGGTGGAAGAGATAATCCATCCTTTATCAATAAAATATTTGATTATTGATTTTATTTCTATTATCGCTTCCTGTTATTGTTTAATATTTGGACATGGAAGTGGTTTATTTGGATCCATTCATATCCATATTGGGGTAGCTGTTAAGATTTTTATGACATTGGTGGATGATTCAGACCATAAATAATTAGGGATTTGGCTTAATAAAGCATCAAGATGGCTGGGCATGGTGGCTCACATCTGTAATCCTAGCACCTTGGGAGGCCAAGGTGGGCAGATCCCTTGAGGTCAGGAGTTCGAAACAAGCCTGGCCAACATGGTGAAACCCTGTCTCTATTAAAAATACAAAAAAATTAGCTGGGCGTGGTGGTGTGCACCTGTAATCCCAGCTAGTTTGGAGGCTGAGGGAGGAGAATTGGTTAAACCCGGGAGGCAGAGGTTGCAGTGAGCTGAGATTGTGCCACTGCACTCCAGCCTGGGTGACAGAGTGAGACTCTGTCTCTAAATAAATAAATAAATAAATAAATAAGAAGGAAAGCAAGCATCAAGTTCTTTATTTGTCTTAATATTTGATGACTGAATTTGGATGATTATCTGCTCTGAATTTTCTGATTTATAATTTTGAATCAATCCTCTTTCAGTTATTTTTTTAAAATATTTTTCTTCTTTCTGAAAAAGAAGTATGAGCACTATAAAGTTCTAGAAAATCTCCTCCCATAAGATGTATCGGTGTAGAAGGCTCCAAAGAAAAGAAGGATGTTCATCTAAATTTCCCTATTGGAAAGGCAGAGATTCTGATTTGTATGTAGTCACTGGTTGAGTATATATCCCTATCATTTGAACTGTTTGATTACGCTGAGGAAGAACACTCTTTAAAAAGGTAGGGTTGAGAACAGAAAGGGTAGCTCCCATGTCAACTAATGCTTTCGTTTATTCTCTATTTATACATAGTTCCACTTCCCGCAGAGTATTGCAAAAGAAAAGGGAAAGCCCTCTTGATTCCCTCGGAGCCCGTATTCCTCTTTTCCTTTTCTTCCTTTTGTTTCTATGCCCATTTCAGTATTCTGCAATTTTTCTTTAGATGTCTTGTTTTCTTGCAATAACAACAAACATCTTTAGATGTTTCTGAGGCTTCTTTTGAAAGCAAGGCCTCTGTTTAGATCAGGTAAACTGAGCAGTAAGTTGTTGAATCTGTAAATTCATGATTTTAGCGGCTTCGTTGTCTTTCTTATTCTGTATAACTGGCCAATTTATCGCAAGTTTCACTAGTTCCAAAGTGTGCACAGAATCCCAATTTATTTGGTGCATTTTGACCACCTTGGCCAATTGCTCATCCAATCTCTAAAAGAAGGTTAAAATTAAAATAGAATCATTCTGATGATTCCTTAGACTTTCTTCATTCATTTCCAAATATTGTCTAAAACCCTTTTCAAATCTTTCAAAGTAATCCAGCACGATCTTGTTTGGTTTTTGTTTACATTGCTGGACTTTAGACCAGTCAGAGGTCTTAGGAAATATCAGGCGAATTGTTTAGGCTAAATGGTTTGTCAGTTCTCAAGCTTTTGCTTGGTCTGCAGCTGTTTGTTTATGAAGACAGTTTCTCAGGCTGGGTGTGGTGGCTCACGCCTATAATCCCAGCGACTTGGGAGGCCAATGCAGGAGAATCATTTGAGGCCAAGAGTTAGAGACCAGTAGTAACATAGTAAGGCATATATAGTAAGGCAACATAGTAAGACCTTATCTCCACAAAAAATGTTTAAAATTGGCCAGGCGCAGTGGCTCATGTCTGTAATCCCAGCACTTTGGGAGGCCAAGATGGGTAGATCATGAGGTCAGGAGATTGAGACCAGCCTGGCCAATATGGTGAAACCCCGTCTCTACTAAAAATACAAAAATTAGCTGGGTGTGGCAGCACGTGCCTGTAATCCCAGCTCCTCAGGAGGCTGAGGCAGGAGAATCACCTGAACCTGGCTTGAACCTGGGAGGTGGAGGTTGCAGTGAGCTGGGATTGTGCCACTGCACTGCAGCCTGACGACAGAGCAAGACTCCATCTCAAAAAAAAAAAAAAAGTTTAAAATTAAAAAAAATTAGCCAGGTGTGGTGATGTGTGCCTGTAGTCCCAGGTACTCAAGAGGCTGAGGTGGGAAGATCATTTGAACCCAGGAGTTAAAGGCTGCAATGAGCCATAATCACACCACTGCACTCCAGCCTGGGCAGCTGAGTCAGATCTCAACTTTAAAAGAAAAAAAAAAAAGAAAATTGTTTAGTGGATCTTTCCAGTCAGCCTTTGACACCCATTCCCTTGCTTTTCTTTCAGATACTAACATGTGAACCAACTGACACAGAGCTAAATGGCCAAGATTCATAATTTCTTACAGCTAGACTAAACTCCTAAGTAAAACCAGTAGGATCCTGGGTAGGATCTGGAAATTCCTTAGTAAGAGCTCTAAGTTCTGCCTTGGTCCAGGGAGTATGGGCCACTGAAGGTTTTCCCCTTGGGTCAGGCTTTTCTCTAATGCATGCTGTCAAAACTTCTGTGGGTTATGGAAGTGGGAGTAAAGGAATATCTAGGCCAGCAGTTTTGAAAGCAAAGAATAAAAGGGTTCTGGAGGATCAGAAGAAGGAATGGTCAGAGGAGGAGTGAGAGACAGTGGAAACTTCAGACAATTTTTGCAGTAGAGAAACAGTTTCCAAAATCTTGTGGCCCACCTTCTGAATGGAAGCAATTTTATCATTCCCTCTTTTAGAAGCTTCTAAATACCCCTGGAAAAAACTATTCCACTCTTTTTGTTTTTGAGCCGGCTCCTTCCAATTGTGCACATAAAGAGACTCCCTCCTTCTCCTTTGTCTGCAACCAACTAATCGTGTTCAGGGTCAAAAGTGTGCTGCTTATGAACTTCACTTCTCAGGCTCTTACCCCAGAGTTAATCTTCTCCGTCTCAGGAGATGCTCACCTGTTGAAGCAGTGAGGTGCTTCAAATGTGGGGTGACCAACCTTTATGAGCATCCCCTGCAGGATCTATTGCAATTGAAGTGTTCTTCTGTTGACGGTGAAGCCCTTTGAGACCAAATTACATGCCATGAGGGATCTCCTGCAATACCTCCACAAGATTTTGTCACCTAAGAATACCCAAGATTCAGGCTGTAGGAAGCAAGTGTCCCATACCTTCAGAGCCATTCTGTCTCAGTGGTTCACATATAGAATGTAAAGGGTTGGACCAGACAAAAGAGCTTTGAAAACACTCGGCTGATCAAAGAAACCGCCACTCTAACCTGCAGCAATGCTTAGTTGACCTGTTTCCTTTCTTCCTTCCTAGCAATTTAGAATAATAATAACAAGCATAGGAAGAATTTAGCAAACCCAGGATTTACTACTCCTTTTACTGATTCTGGAAATATCTCAGAAAAAAGTGAAATAGACCTCTACCAGAAAAAGAGAGAGGTCCAGATTCCATGCCACTCACCCTGTATACCCAGTGGCTCCTCCAGAGTCAGTTCAAACACAATAGGTTCATTCTGGTACTAAGTACTGAGTCCCAGAGAATGAGTCCTGGGTGTCCATGAATTCTGCTAGAATCCTGCCAACTATGCCATCTGTGGTCCCAAAAGGTTAAAATAACTGGCACTATAGACTTAAAGAAATCAAAGTTAATTTTATTCTGACCCAAGTTTAAGAACTATAGCTTGGAAACAAACTCAGGGAACACTGAGAAGGCGTCCCCAGATGGGTACAGGAGGCACAGTATTTATATGTTTTGCAACACAGAAAATGAAAACAGGGAGCAGTGAAGCAAAGGTGACATTCTTAAAATATGCTATTGATGTATATAGGGTAAAAGTTTAATGCATATGTAGGCATCTTAGGTTCTGGAGAGGGATGATTGATCCTATCCTGCCTCTGTGCTTCATCTGATAGGCAAAGTGGCCATAAGTACATGTCAGTGAAATATCTGAAGGCTGGACATAGCAGCTTATGCCTGTAATCCCAGTAC
The DNA here is from genome assembly GCF_000001405.40 of Homo sapiens. NCBI lineage: Eukaryota > Metazoa > Chordata > Mammalia > Primates > Hominidae > Homo > Homo sapiens. The sequence continues at coordinate 93,804,066 of NC_000001.11, forward strand.
TTTGGGAGGCTGAGGTGGGAGGATGGCTTACAGCCAGGAGTTTGGGACCAGCCTATACAACACAGTGAGACCCCATCTCTATTTCAAATACATTAAAAAATAATTTGTTTTTAATTTTGGCAAACTCCAGCCTCACAGGTGAGAATTCAGCTTTAATTCGTAGGCCTAGCTTCTATTACCCATATGCCTAACCTACAGCCATTTTGGACCTCTTGTAAAAATGAAATTTTTGTTCAAATTTTTCTTCTTCTGAGATAGGTATTATGCATACCTATGATAAAGTTTAATTTACAAACTAGGCACAGTAAGAGATTAACAACAATAACTAACAGTAAAATAGAACAATTATAATAATATGCTAGTATCACTACTCTTGCACTTTGGGGGCAGTATTAAGTAAAACAGGGATTCCTTGAACACAAGTACTGTGATACCATGAGGGCCAATCTGATAACCAAGATGGCTATTAAGTGACTAACAGACAGGCAGTGTATATAGTGTGCAGCGCTGGACAAAGAAATGATTCACATCCTGGGCAGGACAGAGTTGGCCAGCATGAGATTTTATCGTACTACTCAGAACAGGATGCAATTTAAAACTTGGAAATTGTTTATTTCTGGAATTTTCCACTTAATATTTTTGGACCGAAGTTGACTGCAAGTAACTGAAACTGCAGAAAGTGAAACAGTGGATAAGGAGGAACCACTGTGTAACAATTTGTTTATCCATTCATCAGTTGATGAATATTTGAGTTGTTTCCAGTCTTTAGCCATCATGGATAGAATAAACTTGTTATGAACACTTGTGTACAAGTCTTTGTGTGGAATTATGTTTCACGTCTTTTGGGTAAATACTTATGAGTGGAATTTCTGGACCCTAAGGTAAATGCATGTTTAATTTATTTTAAAACACAACTGCTTCCATTTTAATGCAGCAATTTTTCTCACAATTTATTCTAAATAAAAAATCATGGATGTGTGTAATGATTTAGCTACCAGGATCTTCATCATAACATTGTTTATACATTTGCTACAATTAAACATACAACCATGTTATAGAGTACCATACAGCAATTTAAGTTCAGGAATCTTCTAGCTCAGGAATTAAAATGTCATAAGCCTACAATAAAGAAGAACATAGGAATCTGCTTTATAGAGATTTCAACAGATTTCTTGGAAACAGAAATAGATGTATGAATACTGACTAATACAGCAGGGTGGAGTGAGCTGCAGCTAAGGGATCAAGATTCTCTCCACAGAAGATGAGAGGTGCTTCAGTCTGGAAATGAAAAGGATCCTAGATAGCAGTAATGGAAAATGGGGCTGAAAGCCATTAAAGTTCTATATGTGCAGCAGTTGACACCCTCGCTTGTATAGATTAGACAGGTGTCAATCACCTTCTTTCAGTAAAACACTGGACAGTGTGTCTCTGAAGACACTGTATAGACTGCCTGTGGAGAACTAGGGCAGCCAACATGGGATTTGGAAGTCCAGAGTGAAGCCCTCTGCATTCCTGCCTTTAGGACCCTCAACAAAAAGAATGACTTATTGTCAACATTCCCTGACAGTGGACAAGTTCTCCCTATGTTCTTAAGATTTTCTATCAGCCTCCTTATTGCCTCAGTCTTAAACAGAAATGAAAAGCCAAGAGTAAACAAACATGAGAGGAAAGTCTGCAATAGGAAAAAGGAAAAATAAACCAACAGACAAACATAATTTTAGAGGAAATAGAGATAATTCATGGGGAAGAAAAGGATTAAACAAATGAACAAAAACTTCTAAAAACCTTAGAGAAAACTAAGAAAAATATGTCACAGTGGCAAAACAAGAAGAGGATGTTATGAAAAAGAAACAATCAGAGAACAAGAAAGAGCTTTTTGAAATTAAAAATATGGTTTCCAAAATAACAATAATAAGGTTAAATAATGAAATTGAAGAAATCTCCCAAGTATAGATTTGAAAAGAAATGTAAAATATGATTTAAAAAAAGATAAAAGTTCTAAAGGGGTGATATAAAGATTTGAGATCTAAATGACAGGAATTTCAAAAAGAGAAAAATGTTAAAACAAAAGGAAGGAAGCATAGTGTTGAAGAGGAAAACTTTGCCTTCTACCGACTCTGAAATTTTGCTGGAATGATCTAACCATGGACAGATTAATATGAGAAAAAGGCATTTGATATGCATAAACACAGGAGCCATACACAAAGTATGAGACTCAAAGAGAGGCCAGATGGTTGAGGCTTAAATATTCTCTTCATAGGAGAGTGATATATGAACCTGGGAGGCAGACACTATTTTATAAATGATTATCTTTGAAAGCTGGATAGGACTAACATGGAAAGTGAGGGGTGAAACTATGCAAGAACAAAGGTTGTCTTATTATGTAGATAAAGTTTCTTAGGTAATCTCTTGGAACTGTCCTCAGAAGCACAGATGAAAACTCTGTTCAGGTGTGGTGACAACTCTTAGTGGTTAATCTTTCCTGGTTATTTGATGAAATTCCTAGGAGGGGGTTTTAAGACAATTGTGTTTCCTTCAGAAGTTTTTTTCAGTATGATAAAGAAACTTCTAGAGAAAGCCCTTCTCAGTGCTTCCAGAAAAAGAATCAGAAAGATGAGGCTGGGGAAAGGTCAGAAAGAGACCTTGATTCTGTGGCTAATTTCTTAGGTCTTTCAATTTTCTTTAACTCAAAGCACTCATAATGTCAAAGCATCATATTTTGGGTTATCGTTTTCTGAACCTCAATAGAAGTTATAAAAGAATAGTAGAAGGCTGGGCATGGCGGCTCATACCTGTAATTCCAGCACTTTGGGAAGCAAAGGTGGGCAGATCTGAGCTCAGGAGTTCAAGACTAGCCTTGGCAACATGGCAAACCCCTGTCTCTACAAAAATTAGCTGGCATGCTGGTGCACACCTGTCGTCCCAGCTACTTGAGGGGCCTAGGTGGGAAGATTGCTTGAGCCCAGGATATCAAGGCTGCAGTGAGAGGAGATCATGCCACTGCACTCCAGCCTGGATGACAAAGTGAGACCCTATCTCAAAAGAAAAAAAAAATAGTAGAATTTTCTAAAATTTAGAAGAGCATATGTCTTTGATTGATATGGCCTGTAGGGGTGGAGGAAAGCCTCCTCTCCATCCACTGAAGGTTCACTGAAAATAAACTGAAAAAAAGACAGATGAATAGGAGAAAAAGACATACAAAATTTATTTAACATCAGAACAAGGATCACTGAGGGGGAAAAAATTATTTAACATGCCAAAGCACAGGGAAATCCCATGAGAATGATTACCCAATAACCCAATGAGAGTTATATATTCTTTATCATAGAGGAAGGGGAGATGGAGAATGATGGGTGTGGGAGTAAATGATTTTCAGGGGAAATGAATGAGCACAAAGAACAATGGCCTGGGAAAAAGTTCCTTTGAGCTCTGCGGAAGGTGGTGGGAAGGCTAGGGGTGGAACTTCACTGTGAACAAAAGTTGTCTTATTATGCAGATTAAGTCCCCCAGCTAATCTCTCCATGCTACTCTCGGAAGAATAGATTAATAGTCTGTGTGGGTGTGGTGATGACTCCCTGTTTCTTCTCTCCAGTGGTTAATCTTTCCTGGTTAGTTGGTGAGATTCCTAGGGAAGGAGTCTTAAGACAACTGCACTTCTTTTGGAAAGAAGTTTCCTGGGTCAGATAAGAAAATTCCAGTGGTTCATGGCTGTAATCTCAACACTTTTGATGCCAGAGGCAGGAGGAATGCTTGAGCCCAGGAGTTCCAGGTCAGCCTTGGCAACATAGCAAAACCCTGTCTCTACAAAAAATAACAAAAATTAGCCAGGTGTGGTGGTACAGACCTGTAGTCCCAGCTACTTGACAGTGAAATTGGGTGTCTGAGGTGGGAGGTTCAGGGAGGCAGAGGTTGCAGTGAGCTGAGATCACACCACTGCACTCCATCCTGGGTGATAAAGCAAAACTCTTTTTTTTTTTAAAAAAAAAAAAAAAGAAGAAAAATGAAAAGAAAAAATTGCAGAGAGTCCCTCTCTGTACATTCAGAAAGAGAATCAGAGAGAAAGGGAGGTGGAGAAGATCAGAGAGAGACCTTAAGTCTGCTTCATTAGTTTAACACGTTAAAGCACCATATTTTTGGCTATTGTTTTCAGAGCCCCAACAGGGCAAATGAATGCCCAGAACAAATGAATCAAAAAGACCCACACATAGCACACCATTGAAAACTTTCAGAGCACCAAGAATAAAAAGTAGATGCTAACAGATTCCAGAAAAAAACCACAGATTCTATTTTGAGTAATATAGTATTTGACCTAGAATTTTATACCCAGCCAATTTATTAGTTAAGTGAAAAGTTGAATAAAGGCATTTTCAGATATGAAAGCAGAATTGTACCTCCTGTATAGCATTTTCTAGAAAGTTACCTGAGAATACACTCCAGCAAAATCGATGTATAAATTAAGAAAGAGGAAGCTGTTGAGGACTTGAAAAATGTGAATTCTGAACATTGAGAACAATGAAGAGAAATTGCAATATGGCAACCACGTTACAGACCCAGAGGAAACAAGAGAAGGAAGATAGAGAACTACACAGTTTTCTAGTTTTGTTTTGTTTTTGGAGGGCAGCTGGAACAAACAGAAGTAGAATCAGTTAAAAAAAATAGCTTGATTAAAAGCATGGAAAACATGATATGAGGATAAGATAAAGAAAATTGGTGGGATTAAAAACAAAAGAAAATAAGATAATTTGTTCCAGAAATATTCTCTATTGGGTAGGGACATTGGTTCCATAAAGAAATGTAATCCTAGTTCACTACTTTATCTGCTGTGAACTATATTTCTATAGCCAAAATAAGATAAATATTATTTTCTGGTCTTCAACTTGTAGAGTCAACATCAGACAAACATAACCAACTCAACAATGATTTCAAAACAAAGCGTAAAAGTATGTAACAGGCTGACAGAGGTTGGGAAGTAGAAGAGAGAGAGAAGCGGGAGGGAAGGGTAGGGTGCCAAGTGCTCCTTTGACAAAGTGAAGAGTAAAGAGATATTATCTATATTTGATGGAACAGGAAATGGGGCTTTAATTATGTTCTTTGAAGTTGAGGAGGAGATGGAGAAAGATCTGAGAATAATGATTTCACTATATTTAGAAGGATGGGGAGGAGGCAGGAGTGGGATAGAAGTAGCTGACTCCTCTATCACTGTAGAAAGTCAATAGAAAAGAATAAAGATGCTAAATTAATAAACAACATCTTCTGTTGGAGGTAACCACCAAAAAAACTCAAAACAAAACAAAAATGCTTAAAATTTTCTTTGGGGGATCAAGGCTGAGGGGTGGTGGTGGGGGGAGTCGTGGGGCAGGTAACTTCTATTTCTCACGATAAAGTCTTTGGTACTATTTGATCTTAAATCATTAAAGACCTGCTGGGCACGGTAGCTCATGCCTGTAATCCCAGCACTTTGGGAGGCCGAGGTGGGCGGATCACCTGGGGTTAGGAGTTTGAGACCACTCTGACCAACATGGCAAAACCCTATCTCTACTAAAAATACAAAAATTAGCTGGGCGTGGCTGTGGGTGCCTGTAATCCCAACCACTCGGGAGGCTGAGGCAGGAGAATTGCTTGAACCTGGGAGGCAGAGGTTGCAGCAAGCCTAGATAGCGCCTTTGCACTCCAGCCTGGGCGACAGAGCAAGACTTCGTCTCAAAAAGATAAAAAAAAAAAAAAAAAAAAATCATTGAAGACCCAATAAAGGTCTTTAACGAGGAATTCTCCCAAACATTTTTAAGATAAGCAGTTTATAAGACGGTGTAAAACCTGGTGGCATGCAGTTAGAAGGATATAAATGGAACTGCTGGCCCGATGCGGTGGCTCACGCCTGTAATCCCAGAACTTTGGGAGGTCAAGGCAGGTGGATCACCTGAGGTCAGGAGTTCGAGACCAGCCTGGCCAAGATAGCTCTACTAAAAAAAAATACAAAAATTAGCAGGCATGGTGGCATGTGCCTGTAATCCCAGCTACTCGGGAGGCTGAGGCAGGAGAATTGCTTGAACCCGTGAGGCGGAGGTTGCAGTGAGCCGAGATCATGCCACTTTACTCCAGCCTGGGTGACAGAGCAAGACTCCATCTCAAAAAAAAAAAAAAAAGAAATTGCTGTTAGAAGTTATCTCCAGGTCTTTGGTTAACAGATTATTTCACTTTCTTCTTTATAGTTTATAAATATACGCATCTTCCATAGCAATTACTATTTTATTGTTACCACACACACACAAAAAGACTTTTTTGACAACTAGCCCTTAAGTTTTCCCTTAGCACAGGGAAAGCATCTCCCAGGGTGAATACTAAACGTGGTTATGACTGATGAAATATTCACCTCTTCCCATCCATCTCTCAAAGTCTCAGACAGGAAACTGGCCCACATCAGCACACTCTGATGCCAGGTCAGGAACCCTAGGACACTTTCATGGCTTCAAAAATGTTCATGAAAACCACATGTCCCTGCAGCATCATCCTTCTCCATGCATGCCAAGGCCCACTGTCAGCAGCCTTTCACAATCCTACACAAGTTCCAGGACCCTCTACAGACACCAGGCGAACTAAGGTGTCACCCGTGCCCAGATAGTACTGGCTAGGGAGTTAATCAGTACTGTGCAAATACTGTCCAAAGCTCTCTGGTCATTCAAATCAACTCATTTCTGACTAGTGGAATTGAGTGGGCATTTAACTCTAATATACTCCCATTAGGCTAAAGATATGTAGAACAGAGCAGTACACTAGTGCTAAAATTCATTTACATTCATTTGGTTCATTGGTTCATCTTACAGATGAGAAACCAAGACCCAGAGAGGTGAAGTCATTTGTCCAAGGTCAAAACTCAAATCTGATTCCCAGGCCAGTGTCTTTTGTCTCTACCAGAATTTTTGAAGGAAGATAATTAGGGTGTCTCAGGCTCTTTGGGTTACAGGTAACAGAATCCCAATTTTAAGCCAAAAGAAAAAATTATCAGAAAAAAAGAAAGACTAGAATCCAAGGGCAGGAAGTACAGCTCGTGAGGGACCAAAGCACAGCCGTGAAAGCTGATGGGGACACAATCAGCTTCTCTCCCTTTGCCTTCTTCTCTGCAGCAGACTGGCCAGTGCGGCTTCCAGATCTACCCTGAAGGTGTGGGACATCCCTCAGACGTGAGAGGATAGTTTCTATGGGACAGATACAGGGTCTGGGGCAGCATAAACCTAAGTGGAGAGGGGTGAATGCTGTAGCAGGGAAGAAAGGGAGGGTTGTGAAGTCTGACTGATATGGAATGCCTTCTAGGCTTTGCATGGAGCTGTGTATACTATTAGTATTGTCCTTGCTTTCAAAGACAGAGGGTGAGGCTCAAAGCAGTTAAGCACACAGCTGCTAAGTATCAGAGACAGAGATAAGTGCAAACACCGGGTCTCTTTCCTCTTAGTTTTAAGACTCTTCCCTTTCCTTTATGCTTCTCTATTATGTAAAATAATCCTCCTGGCTTTGGGGCTTTGGAACAAATCCAACCTATCCGCCATTTTCCATTCTTTGGAAAGAACTGTTGTTAACTGATGCTCCAATGCTTGGGGCCCAAAGTCACCTGGCCTGTGAGCTTCTTCCACAGGTAATCCTGGCTTTCTGGGTTCAGAAACCAATGCTGAAAAGAAACTTACTCACTACTTATGCAGTGGCTCCAACCATTTCCTGTCATTTGTTCTACATTCTGGAGTGTGCTAGAAACAGCTTGTACTGGCTCCCAAGAGCCAACTGACATATTTTTGGAATTTTACAAGCTAGTTGACATCATGTTGTTAGCTTGAAATCGGCCATTATGAGAGAATTTTATAGCTCGGAAACTGACATTCGCTACAAATCAGGGCTCTCCTGACTCCCAGCCTGTTGGTAAACGTTTCCCAGCACATCATTGTCTCCATCTGCCCACTTGCTGCTTAGGAGACTTTTGAAGATGTTCATATGAAAGCTCGTGCTTAATTTTTAGTAATAAATGTCCTGTAAATACATTTAATGGATTGATTTTTTTAAAAAACATCTTTGAAGACTTGAATGCTTCATATCAATTTTGGTGGTAACTCAAGGCCAAAAGTCTAATAGAACAAATGGATTCTTTGTGTAATTCTACTTCCCACTTAGCTAGAATGCTTAAACTCCCTTATTTTCCACGCACCCTTACCATCCCCTTTCCCCAGGCCCTTCCGTCCCAGGAAGCCCACCGCTGGGACCTCCTGTCTAGTTTTCCTACCTCAAGTCTCCCCCTCTCCTATCTGCCCTTCATACCTCTTCATACCTCTATCAGGTCAATCTTTTGAAAGCCCTCTCTCTGTCATGTCTCCACCATAGGCTCTGCACCACCTGCCAAATATGGTCCAAACTCCTGACCTGGCACTCAGGCCCTTCAACTGCCTTTCTGCCCACCATTTCCCTGGGAAACCCAAATGATGAACTGGACTGGACTGTTTTCTAGGTCTTTGCTTCCTTAGAAGGCCCTCCTCTACCCCAGCTCCTCTGAAACCCAGTTTAAGTGGCATTTCATCCATGAGGCTGTCTGTCCCTAATCCCTACTGCCCAGCTAGAGGCACCACAGGGTCAACCCTGGACCTCTTTGATTGTGACTCTCACATGTTCCTCACAGGCATTACCCCTCCAGGGTGGGCTGGACACAATCATCTGCAACACCACTGCAACTCACAGTGTGGTCCAGACCAGCAGCACCAGGTAGTTTGTTAGAAATGTAAATTCTCTACCCCCCTATCCCAGGCCTAAAAGAATCAGAATTCCAATAGTCCTCCAAGTGGTTCTAACACACATCATTGTCTATATCATCTCCATCGGCTTTTTCTACTCTATGTCCTTTTTCATGGCTACCCCTCATAGCAGTCTTTTTACTGTTAACATTTCCCCTGCTCATTCAGATTCCAGCAGTCTTACCTTTTGGAAGGATTGCCCCAGCAAAGCTGTAGGTGGTGGTTCCACCCTGCATCCCTCCCCCAGATGACCCTCCTTTCTCCTTCTCTGTATTTCACAGGCCCTGGAATGCTCCCTGTGTCCCCAGCCCCCAGAGCTCCATTCTGCCTTCAGCTTGGTCCACTGTTCTTCCTCCACCTATAGGTGTGAATTATATTCACTCCCTCAAAATGTTTAAGCAAAGGCCGTCTCATAGGTCAGGTAAATCTATTATCAGGTAAGCTTTGTGTGCAGTCACTCTGGTCAGTCCAGGGCAAAGGTCAGGGCTCCACAGTGGGCTGAAGCCACACTTTACTAAAAAGAGGCCTCACCTCACTGCCCCCACCCCCTCAATGAGAAAGCTTTCACTGACTCAAATCGGGTGTGGCTACCACAAGTCCAAAGCTCTGAAAAACTAGGACAGTTTCTCTCTCTCTCTCATTCACTTTTAATATGGATATAATTTAAAAGTTACAGAAAAATTGTAAGTACAGTATAAGGGACTTCCATGTGCCCTTTGCCCAGATTCACCTATTGCTTTCATTGTGCTCCATTTCTTTTGTGGCCTTATTACTATCTCTGTGTTCTTCCTTGACTATTTTAAAGCTAGTTGGAAACATTGTACCCCTTTACCCCTTAATATTTCGGGATCAAAGACATTCTGTTATGTAAACATATTATGATTGCAACTTTAGGAAACTTAACATTGATACAATACTACTATCTAAACCACAGTTCAAATTCAGATTACGTCAATTGTCCCAATAATGTCCTTTACATTTTGTATTGCTTTTTTCTCAGCCCAGGATCCAATGAAAGATCAATCATTTATTGCATTTAATTGCATTTAGCTGTATGGCCCTCCTTTAACCTGGAACAGTTCTGCCTTTCTTTGACTTTTTGGACCTTAGCAATTTTGAAGGGTACTAGCCAGTTGCTTAGCAGACTGCCCCTGATTTTGAGTTTATCTGGTATTTCAGGATTAGGTTTAGGTAAATTTTTTATGACAGGAAAATCACAGAATTGATGTTGGATCCTTTTCAGTGTATCTTGTCAGGGAGCAGGGAGCACATGGTGACATATGCCCCAATACTGGTATGTTAGCTTTGATCTCTGCAAAGGCAGTAAATGGCCTCTTGGTGGAGGCTGTCCTCTGCTGGTTATTCTCAACATTGCATCACTTCTTGGCCTTTTGGCTAAGATCAAGTGTATTCTCAACATTGCAGCTGCTATGCCTCTGCTGATGTGATTGACAAAGGACCAGATGCCCTGAGTACGAACTCTGACACTTCACTGGTTGTGTGACCTTAGGCAAGTTATTCAGCCTTATTGAACCTCAATTTCCACATCTCACAGGATGGTTGAGGGCGAAGGGGTCCCACAGAGATGGTCATGCAGTGTATTCCTAAGCTAAAGTCTACACTGGCTGCTATGACTTCTAGGCGGGCAGGGCCTGGTGGTCCCTGGAGTGGTAAAGCTGCTCTTCAGGACTCACGTCCACTACCTGCAAAACCTCCAATGGGCTTGGGCTCTGCCTTTGTCGCTGTTGTGAAGGAACTCTGGGCAGCCCTCATGGAGAAGGAGGCCTGGCCTTTAGTGTTTCTGCCCTGTGGGCCCATCTGGGGGTCACCACTGGTGTGTGTACCAGCTGTTACACCGGCATCCACTGGTGTTACAGCCACACAGCTGCTCCCAGGCTGATGATGCCCCTGTGAGACTGAACACAGCTCCTGTGTGGCAGCCAGGAGAGGAGGCGCATACATCCCTTGACTCCCACAAACCAGGCATCAAACAGGTTTAATCCACGGGGCTTTCACCTGAACTAACCCAGGGATTCTGTCTTAAAAGACGGAGTGCAAACTCCGCTCCTACCTAGACTTTAGGTTTCTGTCCACATTTTCTGTACAACCTCAGAAGCTTAGGTGCACCCCCACACATTCCTTCCTCCTTGCCTGCCTGCCTTCTTTCCTACTTTTAATAACTATTTATGGAGCACCAGGCACTGCGTTAGGGCTATATGGAGAGCACAATATACAACTTGCCCCCACAGAGCTACAGTTTATTGGGTAAAGGAAACAAGCTGAGCAACAATTATATCACACCTGAGATCCCTGGGCTGTCTGAGCAGGCATTCAGGTCCCACCGGGCCTCTTGGCTGCACTTATCACCTCCCAGGTGGCCCAGAGCTGCCGCCTCCTCATTATCACTTTATATTTATTCAGTGCTCTCCTAGGATGCCAGCGAGATGCATTTTGTAGGCCCCAGGGAGAAGCTCAGAGACGGGGAACTATGAGAAATAAGCAGATCAAGAAGGAGAGAAAGAAGAGAAACATTTCTCAGCATAAACATGATTAGTTGTTTCTTTTCTTACTCGAATTTACTCTTCAGAACAGAGGCATTTGCAGTAGTGAACTTGAGCTTTCTCTGTGGGGTCTCCATATTTTTGGTATCTTGAGATTCCTGGGGATTGATGACTCAGTAAATGCTGAATATAAAGTGAACCTCACTTGGTAAAGCTGGCGCTGCAGATTAGGTTGTAAGAGGTGGGGCTTCGCAAAGCGGGGAAGCAGCCCTCCCCAGAAGAATGGGGAGGGAAGTCACTTTTCATCCATGTGTGAGATACCATTGCCTGATTCATTCTGCTGCACAGGCTTCTTCTGAAGGGAAAATGAAATAAAACATGGGAAAGGGCCATGTACATTTGTATAGAGATGCGCTATACACCAACAGACACACGGAGAACATGTTTGAGCCAAAAAATATAAATGAGGAGTTCTAATGTAATTTTACAGTGGTTTATTAGGTAGCAACCACACTTATCTCACTGATTAGGAGGTTAGAAGAATGCTGCCGTGGTCAGGGCCTGTGCTAGGTTTACAGGATCTGATTCACACCTTCCCTGATCCCTCAGCCATGTGTATAGTACACTCTACATACAAAGGATGCTGGGGAAGAATGTGAATGGAACATTCACAAACATATTATTACTACTGAAAGAACAAGAGGTACGTATTCAGGCTATCCAGATATGCAAAAGGCCAGCTGCTAGTTGGAAAACTATACTAGAAAATTCCAAGAGAGTGAGGACTATGCTGTCTTAATCACCACTGTATACCCAGAATCTAGTGCTATACCTGGCACACAGTAGGCACATAAAATAAATTAGCTGCACAGAAAGCCCACTGTGACTAGTTTATTCTATCACTGTAGGATAATTTTTGCTCAGGAATTGACAGGAGAATAGAGTTTTATGTTTTCTCATGATCATATCCCCCAAGCAATATTTTGAAATTATGCTGCAATTTATAGCTTTGCTTTCATTGGTGAATAATTCACAAAATCCTTTAGAAATTAAAACTCTGGGCTGGGCGCAGTGGCTCACGCTTGAATCCCAGCACTTTGGGAGGTTGAGGCAGGCAGATCACGAGGTCAGGAGTTCGAGACTAGCCTGGCCAACACAGTGAAACCCCATCTCTACTAAAAATACAAAAATTAGCTGTGTGTGGTGGTGGGCGCCTGTAATCCCAGTTACTCAAGAGGCTGAGGCAGGAGAATCGCTTGAACCCAGGAGGCGGAGGTTGCAGTGAGCCAAGGTTGCACCACTGCATTCTAGCCTCGGCGACAGAGCTAGACTCCATCTCAAAAAAAAAAAAAAAAAAAAAAAAAGAAATTAAAACTCTGTTTAAACAAGCAATAGATGGTAATACTGAAGGCATTTAAGCTATTGCCCACTGAATTCTTGATTGACAATGTCAAAACAACCACCATAGCTAGGAACAAGATATTCAGGAATGCAACAAAAAATGAAGATAGAACAAAACAAAACCCCCCAAACTAAAACTATCTTAGCTATACTTACAAAAACAGGTGCTAACTTGTATTTTGCTGAAGTCCTAAAACTGCCTTCAGGGGCAGGCAAGCAATCAGTACATTAAACCACCACCCCCTCAAAAAAAAAAGTCATAATAATAGAACTAGCCTCTGTCCTGAGCTTGGGAGGGCAATAACTTCCTGGATGGTTCCGCAATATCTGCTTCTCAGCCATCTGTTTCCCTGATCCCCCCACATCCTGTTCAACCAACACTGTTCTGGTAACAGGAATCCCTGCTTCTGCTTTATGTTATCTTTTCAGCTTCCTGTCATGTTTCTGCAGGAGTTTGATTTAGCCTTATATGTGAGCAGGCACTTTTAAGTATGAGGGAAGAAATGGGCCACTGGGCATCAAAGCAGGGGCTGAAGGGGGTCACCCCCAGTGCGGGGGGCAGCAGGCACCATGGTCTGGCATTGCTCTCTGGTTTTTGGGGCTGAGAGCCCAGCATTCCCAGTGGGTCACTTCCATGGTTTTTGAAAGCTACCATTTATTGAGCACTGTGCTAAGTATTTTACATGTTATATTATCTCACTGTATTAACCTCACAGACATTCCATGAGACAACTTTTTTCTTTTTCTCTCATTTACAGATGAGGAAATGAGTCTCTGAAAGTTGAGTGTCGTGACCTTTCATACAGTTCAGAAGTGGCAGAGGTAGAGGTGGAAGTTAGGCTGGCTCTAAAGCCTGTGCCCTTAGCCATTTGGTTCTCTGGCCTTCCCTGTGCTTCTCCATGTCATCTCTGGCAGCATTCCCAATCTTACTCCTTTTCTATTCTCCTTCCCTGTAAGTCTCTGAGTTGCTTCCCAGCTCAAGGTGACATCCATGCACAAACTACATATGACATTCTCCATCCTGGCTTTGATGGGCTACAGCTGACTAGCCCTGTTTACCCCCCCACATCCCTGCCCAGCATCTTTGCAGTATTTTGCCCCACAGCACTTTTTGCCAAGGGGCTCTCCTCCTCCCTGCTTTCCCACCCTCCCAGTTCACCTTCCCCTAGACCTCCTCAGCCCTCTTGGCTCTGCCAGTCCCAAGGAAGCTTTGCTCCCCGCCGCCCCACACCACACGAAGCTTCCCAGCCTACTGAGACTTTAGTGACTGCTCCCTCCTTACCGGTGACGCACTGGTTCCCAGGGCCCCTGGTTTGAGTGTTAACCACGTGCCACTTTATGGTACTCTTAATACTGCTGACTTTGCTATGTTATTTTTCATGTGCTAGTGCTTCCCACAATTAGATTATAAGCTCTTTGAGTGCCAAGTGTCTCCTTTTGTACTTTGTGACAGTTTTCTTAACACGTACATCAGTGCTTTACACACACAAGGAGTTCAGAAATATCTGTTGGTTTCTGTGTGATTACACTCATGAGAGACTGATATCAGCACTGTTAGCCAGGATCACACTAAAGCACAAGTGCCACACAGCTGACGTTAATCTTCAATGTCTACCGCCTCCTTCTCAGGGCCTTCCTCTTCTGCCTGCAGGCTAAATACCTTGGTCTATGCCTACCACGCAAGTCCCCACCTCAGGACTGGTCTGACTCAGTGCTGTGTACCTGGGCTGCCTACTGTCGTGGTTGTGGGTGTCTCCAGAGCGGAAGTGTCTGGGTTTGTATCCCAGTTCTGCCACTTCCTAGCTGTGATCTGAGCAAGCTACTTAACCACTCAGAGCCTGTTTCCTCACCTGTAAAATGGGAGGTAACAGTACTTTCCATCATTAATCAAGTATTTACTGAGGACCAGGCATTTGTTTCATTATATGTCAGGCATTATTCTAGGTGCTGGGTATAAAGCAAATTCTCACCAACAGGGAGCTCACATTCTAGTGGAGAGACACAGACAGGTAATGAAGTAAACATAGTGTGTCAGAGAGTGGTAAGTGCTGTGTAGGAGAGTAAGTGGGTGGGTGATGAATGGTTTTAAAGAGCAGGCTAAGGAGGCACTGGAATACAGCCCCATGGGTCAGTAATGATTAAATGAGCAAATGAGTGTAAGCACCTAAAACACTGCTTGGTACATAGTTAAGTGCTGAAGAATTGTTAGATATTAGGTATCAGCAATGTATATATGATATTTTTGTAAATAGAAAAGTATCAAATGTTTGTTATAATAATGTTGAGATAGAAGCAATGATCCACATGTTGTTATAATTGTATACTCTGTGGGTTGTCCTTTTTTTTTTTTTCTGAGATGGAGTCTCACTCTGTTGCCGGGCTAGAGTGCAGTGGTGTAATCTCGGCTCACTGCAATCTCCGCCTCCCCGGTTCAAGCCATTCTCCCGCCTCAGGCTCCCAAGTAGCTGGGATTACAGGCGTGTGCTGCCACACCCAGTTATTTTTGTATTTTTAGTAGAGACGGGGTTTCACCACGTTGGCCAGGATGGTCTCAATCTCCTGACCTCGTGATCCACCCACCTCGGCCTCCCGAAGTGCTGGGATTACAGGTGTGAACCCCCACGCCCAGCCGGGTCGCCCATTTTAAACTGACTTTGCTAACCAATTGATACTTCGGGAGCACCTTCCCTGGCCACTCCTCCCACTGGTTACCAAGCCCACTTGCTTTTGCTTTTAACTACCAAAATACATGCGCTTTAGCAAAAGATACAAAGGTAGGTTGCTTCCTACTCTTAGCTCTCTTCTGGATCTTTTATTTTTATTTTTTATTTTTTGAGGAACAAACTTACTACTTGAAAGTGGATTAAAATTCTAATCCTAAAATGTGACCTGTATTAAATATTGGACCTTTGCAACTTACAGAGAAAATTCAGGCAGACGCTGCTGGGTGCGAGTATCTTTTCACCTACCACAAACACTATAACTTTGCCAGATTTATTTATATATTTCCAGTTATTTATTTATTTATTTTTCTTTCCAACTTTTATTTTAGGTTCAGGGGTACAAATGCAGGTTTGTTACATGGGTAAATTGTGTGTCATGGGGGTTTGGTGTACAGATTATTTCATCACCCAGGTAATGGGCATCATACCTGATAGACAGTTTTCTGATTCTCACCCTCCTCCTATCCTCCACCCTCAAGTAGGTCCCAGGGTCTGTTGTTCCCTCCTTTGTGTCCATGTGTACTCAATGTTTAGCTCCATTTATAAATGAGAACATGTGGTATTTGGTTTTCTGTTCCTGCATTAATTTGCTTAGGAGCCAGATTTATTTAACAGTAAACTCTAAACTCAGAACTCACTCACACAAACACAGTTAAAGATGCTACTCAAGTATCCAGAGTCCATCAGGACCTCAATTTCTGTGGAAATTGGTAAGAATACCAAAAGAAAAACTAGTTTTCGATGCTCTTAATACTTCTGACACCAAAATGTGTAGGTTTTCCAAACTAAGTACTTGTACTTCTTTAGTTCTCTGCAGACACCAATTAGGATCTTACCATTTAACTCAATTCTGATACTAACTACCTGGAATTAGCACAAACCCTACAGGTTAAGGGATCAGCCCCATAAAACTGACCCCCACTTCAGATGCCAATCACAAGTCTCAGGTCTCCTGTATTCCTGACTGACCAGCTATAAATTGGGGGTTCCCCAAATTCCCTCCTCAGGTTCAAAAATTTGCTATAATGCTTCTCATAACTCAGTGAAACACTTTGCTTACTCTGATTAGTTTATTATGGAGAATAAAACTCTAGGAGCAGCCAATGAAAGAGATGCATAGGGCAAGGTATGTGGGAGGAGGTGAGATGCTTCCACACTCTCTGGGCATTTGCCTTCCTGACATGTGGATGTGTTCACCAACCTGGAAGCTCTCTGAATAACGTTGTTTAGGGTTTTTGTGGAGGTTCCGTTACATAGGCATGATTGATTAAATCAGGGGGCATTGGTGATTGGACTCAGTCTCCAACTCCCCTCTTCCCAGAGGTCAGACGATGGGGCTGAAAGTTCCAACCCTCTAATCGTAAGCTTGATTCCTCTGGTAAGCCGACCTCATCCTGAAGCTGTCTAGCTCCCCCACCCCCACCCAACCTAGAGTTACCTCATTAGCATTACAAATTACATCTTATCTCTCCAGAAATTCCAAGGGTGTTAGAAGCTCTTATAGCAGGAACTAGGGACCAAGACCCTAGTTACATTATAAAAAAACAAAACAAAAAAAACTCCTGTCACCCCTATCACTCCGGAAATTACAAGAGTTTTAGGAGCTCTGTGCTAGGAACTGGGGCAGAGACCAAATGTATTTTTCTTATTTTGTCACAAGTACATAAGAGCCTTACTCGACCTTCAAATCATCATTTGCCTCTTGAAGGTCGTTCTTCAACACTGAGGGGTCTGGGGAGGGTAAATCGGCTGTCCTCCCTTGAGACTCCCTCAGGGATCCTTCTAACCCAGATTCCATTGAAGTTCAGAGATTAGAGGACAGGAATCTCCTGCAGAGGCCAGGAGCAAAGCCTCCTCTGACCTCACCAAGGAGATGACCAATAAGGGAAAGGCCTGTAGAGAGCTCTGTGAAACTGTGGGTGGATGTCTTCGATTTCTCTTTAGAGATAGCCCTTGGATGCAGATGGAGTTCAGAGGTGGTGGTAAAGAAACCTTCAAAAATGTCCACGGTACACATCACGCTGTTTGCCCACACTAAATACCGTAGCCCCAAAGACTACAGGGGCCTTTCAACATGCAGTTACTGGGTGGTGAAATGTTAGAGCCATTTGAAAAGTGAGCAAACGTCTTGGAATCACATTTTGGCATGAGGTCACTCTATTTGTATTTGTGTCTACAGTTGTCCCTCCATGAGGATGCTAATAATAACCACCACCAAATAAAAAGAATTAGCATTTACTGAGCACTACACATATACTTAGCACAGTACTCCCTGTGTTGTGCTAAGCACTTAGCATACCTTATAATCATCACAAAAATTTAATGAAGTAGGTACTATTATTAGACCCATTTTTACCATTATTATGCCCATTTCACAGAAGAAGAATCAATTAGATTGCTCAGAGAGTTAAATATCTTGCCTGAGGTCACCCAGCCTGTAAGCATGAGAGCTTGGGTGTGTGCTTTCTGCACCTTGTATTTAACCACTGTACCAGTCTGCAATAACTGAGTCACTTGCAAAGGAGCACCTTCTAATTCCACCTGGAGGCAGGAGCCAAGCAAGGTTAGGGAAGCTGGGATATGCTTGAAGAGAGTGTTAGTATAGCAAGGGCTGTCTCAAAGAACAAGGCAGCAAGGGCCAGAAACAGTGTGGGCAAAGGCATTGAGGCATTAAAGAACAGAGAAGGTTCAGATGGACATTGCAATCCATCTTTGTGATGTTTTTTTTTTCTTTTTTTTTTTTTGAGACAGTCTCTCTATCACCCAGGATGGAGTGCAGTGGTGTGATCTCGGCTCACTGCAACCTCCACCTCCCAGGTTCAAGCGATTCTCCTGCCTCAGCCTCCCAAGTAGCTGAGATTACTCAGCTCACCATCTCGCATGGCTAATTTTTTTTTTTTTGAGACGGAGTTTTGCTCTTGTTGTCCAGGCTGGAGTGCAATGGCGTGGTCTTGGCTCACTGCAACCTCTGTCTCCCAGGTTCATGCGATTCTCTTGCCTCAGCCTCCAAAGCAGCTGGGATTACAGGGGTCTGCCACCATGCCTGGCTAATTTTTATATTTTAGTAGAGATGGGGTTTTGCCATGTTGCCCAGCCTGGTCTCAAATTCTGAGCTCAAAGTAATCTGCCCGCCTCGGCCTCCTAAAGTGCTGGGATTACAGGCGTGAGCCACCATGCCCAGCCAGCAATACTTTGGATATGGCTGGAGAAAGGCACTTGAGTATTGCTGAAAAGATGAGGCTGGAGGAGCAGGCAGGGACCTGAACATGAAGGGCATTTGATGTCTTGCTACAGAGTTTGATTTTTTTTTTTCCTGAAAGTGAGACAAAGTTATCTGTAACAGACACCTATGCTTACCTACCCATCAACTCATCACCACTCACTCTTGACTCACTGACTAATAGAGCTCCCTTTGTAGATCAGGAAATTTGCTCCACCCATGGCCCTGTGCTTCTCAGAGGCAACCATGGAAATCCAGTTCCCTTGCCAGTGAGTTAGGAAGAGGCATCACTCAAGTCCAGCCCATGAGTCATGAAGGCAATCTTCTGGGGCCCTGGGAAGGGTCCCCTCCCTGCTGTAGATGCACAGGGAGGAGTGTCTCTCCTCCTGCTGAGTGCTGTGGTATCTGGATGCAGTAGCCATCATGCCACTCTGAAGGCGTACAGCGTGGAAATGACAGAGCTGAAAGAGGGGAAGGACTTGGGCTCCTGGGAGTCAATCACTCAATTAACCTACCAGGAGGCACCTTCCCCAGGTTTCTTGCTGGGTGAGGTGCTAAGTGTCTTTATGACTGTGCCAGCTGAGTCAGGGCTTTCTACTTCTTAGGAGTCAAAAGCATCCCAACCAATTCTCAATCTAAACCATTAAAGCAGGAAGTCCCATGGTGACATTAGCATGTTATAAAATTCCTCCAGGAGTGTAGGAAGGTGAATGAGGAGAAGCTGGTGGAAGGAATACAGTTAGGAGGCAGTGGTCTCTTCTTCTGGAGCTATCTGCCCTCTGCAATCTTCCTTTTCCCTTCCACTCCTGAAGGGATTATTGACTATTTTGGAAATGAGGAGAGGAAAAATGCATAAAAATATTGTGTAAGTCAAGATGACATTGACAGGCAAAATACTGACTGTACTTCTGCTCTACTGTTGCTGTCAGAGAAGACAGCCCTGGCAGCCTCAACCTGGTTGGGAAGTGAAGACAAACAAAGAGCTTTTTTAACCTACATAGAAAAGTATCTCATTGTTTTTTGTTGTTGTTGTTATTATTTTTTGAGACGGAGTCTCGCTCTGTGGCCAGGCTGGGTGCAGTGGCAAGATCTCGGCTCACTGCAACCTCTGACTTCCTGGTTCAAGCCATTCTTCTGCCTCAGCCTCCCAAGTAGCTGGGATTACAGGCACGTGCCACCACGCCCAGCTAATTTTTACATTTTTAGTAGAGATGGGGTTTCACCATGTTGGCCAGGATGGTCTCAATCTCCTGACCTCGTGATCCACCCTCCTCGGCCTCCCAAAGTGCTAGGATTACAGGCATGAGCCACCGCGCCTGGCCGAAAAGTATCTCATTGTTTACTTGTCTGTCACCCCTCACTAGAAGGTAACCTAGAATATAAACTAGAATCCAGAAGATCAGGGAGTCTGTCTTGTTTTCGGTATTCCTAGTAGACATTCAACTAATGTTTGTTGAATGAACAAGAACCCTCAGCCACTACCCCAGGTCTGGCCAACGTGGCCTGGCCAACTTTACCACGTCCTCTCTACATCTTGCCTAAAGTGCCTCCTTCACTACCATTGTAAACTGTTCCTGCAAGCACTGTTTAAGACTCCTAAAGAACAAAACAGTATGGACATAAACAGCTTCTGTCCACATTTTCCCTCAGAACCCTTAGTGCTGTTACCCTCTCTAAAGCACTGTTGGCACTGAACACACAGGTCAGGGGCCAGGAGCAGGTGCTCATCCATCCATGGCTGGTGGGTAGGTGGAGGCTAACTCCTTCAGCTAAAAGGGCCCATTCTTTCTTCTCCGTCCGAGAGGGCTAGGCTGGGCTCCTCCAACACACAGACTACAGGCCTCCGGTGACAACTCTCAGTGCTGGGGAAAACACTGACCAGGGTCCGGCAGCTCTCCTTGCATCCCCGACCTTACCCCCACCACCTCTCTCCCTTTGTTCTCATGCCTCCTCTTGGCAAAGACCCTCCTCCTTTCTTAGTGGCCCTCTCTTCCTCCTACTCTGGCTTTATTCCTCCCAGGCTTCCTGTCACACTAACCTCTTTGTCTCCTCTCCCCATTCCTCAGATGACATATTTTTCATGCGCTCTGCAAGCCCAAAGCTGCCCACAGGGCCTTTCTTCATTTCTTCTGTCTCATCAAAAAATGCACTTAATTTGGATTTAACCAAGTTTCCCTCTGGGCACTTTGTTCTGTGTGCCCAGGTGGTCTGGGGGGACCATCCCTCTCCACGGAATATCCAAGCCATCCCAAGAAAGAGTCTGTGAAAGAGGCAGCTTTGTTGGGCTTGGCTGTGAGCCACCTGCCTGGGTTTTGTTCCAAGCCATACCCATCTGTGGCTCTCTGGTAACCTATCAAAACTCACGAGTGCGTACAGAGACCCCCTCAGTGGGTTTAGTCAGCTCTAGAATGGTTTCTCTGGGTGACGTATAACATTACCTCCACATCCAAGGTCAAGTTCAGGAGGCAGTACGCACAAAACCTGACAGTAATACATGATACAATACTGGAGTGCTAACGCCTATGTCCCCCACTCAGCCTCAGGGCTCCAATCTCATTTCCAGGGCTGCCAGCTCTGAGTGTCCACTTGGCCGGCAGCTTCCCCCAGCACAGCTATCCACCTGAAGTGCACTCACCATGGGCAGCCTGGCCTTGAGATCCCATCCTACCCACCCTACTTTCCTTTTAGGAGCTGTATAGCAGCAGCCTCCCTTGGCATATTCTCCCTCTTACCTACAGGGAGGTTTTGCAGGCTTGAGCTCCTCCCTGATCAAGAAAAGCAACCTGAACAGTTAAAAGTTAAGGTCTCTTCAGAGAGGAAAGCAGAGGTCACCCCAGCAGGAGATAGTACCATTTCTTTTGTGGAAAGGAAACAGGTCATGCTCCCTGCCTTTCTGCACTCTCTGCCTGCCCCTTGCCATGGAGATTCCAGATGCCCCTTTTCTCTACTTTGAGCTCGGCCTTCCACCCTCCTTCCCCAGGGCCAAACCTCTGGAGTCAGCACCCACTGGTGGGGCACTTGCCGACCAGCCCCCAGGCCATGCGAGCAGAGGAGAGGGTATCATTTAAAGGGCCCGCAGCAGCAAAGAGGCTTTCTCTCCTCTGTCTTTGACCCATCTCTGTTCTGGGTAACTTCACTAACCTGGTCCCTCTAAATCTGTGCCTACTTTGGAATCCACCAAGAGTCTGTTTCTGCCCTAATTTGCCCACATGCCAGCTCTCATCTGCTTCCCTGACCACAGTTCCAGCCTAGTGGAACCATTTCTGGTTTGGAGCTAGATTCATCTTTCAAAGCAGAGAGTGAGAAGAAAATTCTCTAACTCTTGATGCACAGAAGGAGTTCAGTAAATGTGAGTTGAATTTGATGAAGAATGAGAGAAGGGAAGACAGGAAGCAAGGGAAAGAGGGGAGAGGGAAGGAAGAATTCTGTTCTTTAGAGTGCCCTGCCATGGTAAGGACTCCAGAGTCGGGGATTCTGCAAGTTCTTATTCAAGGAGGAGGGCACTGTCTGGGAGCTCACAGCTTCTCCTGCCAGCCTCTGATGTTCCACACCTGCCTCATGAACAACTCTCCAGACCCTGAAAACACCAGGCCCACCACCTCCTGTCTTTATTCATGCTGTCTCTTCTGCCTGAGCTGCACTTTCCTCTCCTCTTCACTTTACTCATTCCTTCTTCAGGATCAGGTACAAATTTCTTCTGAGACCTTGCCACCCATCCCTTCCCCATCACAGCAGCTGGGGTCCCTTTCTATGGGTCTGTCTACCAGTCTTCGCTCCCATTCCTTCTGTGATCTTGATGGGATATATCCATCTCTGTCTATTTGTCTCTCCCTTTCACAGCTTCATTCATCCACGTATTCATTCATACTTCATTTACTGAGGGCCTACCGTGTGCAGGAAGTGATCCTCATGCTGCCAGGTAGTTTACATTCCAGTGAGGGAGAAGACTTAAAAAGCAGTTACCAGATGGAGAATGTTTTGAGAAGGAAAGTCAGGGTGCTAAAGGAATATATAACAGGAATTGGGGGCAGAACAGTCAGGGGAGATCTCCTAAGGAAAGTACACTGAAGTCGAAACTTGAAGAATGGAGAATCCCATGGCTGGGGAGAGAGGTAGGGGTGTGTGTGTGTGTGCGTGCATGTGTGCATGCACGTGTGTGTGTATAAATGCCTATGTGTACCTGGGAGGGCAGGGGTTCCTGTTCAGGCTAAGCATGTGCATGTGCAAAACCTCCCCAGGGAAAGGGACAATATGACAGGGAGGAGTCATCAGTGGAGGGAAATAAAGCTGGAGAGTTAAGTAGGAAGAGATTGTGGAATACCAGGAAGGCCATGGGCAGTGCCAGCTCCAGAAAGGAAGGGACTGTGACCTATTTGTTTTGGTATTATGGAGCCCCTCAGAGTGCCAGGGCCATACAGGTACTTGAGAGGTGTTTATTGAACAAATAAAGAAATGAAAACACTTTAACTAGAGAAACAGAATTGAAACAGAACATGGTGTCTAACAAGTGAAACAAAAGCACCTCTACAGGCCAGCTGTGCCATCATGAAGGCCATTTCAACCTTTAGCTGGGAGACCAAAAAGTACTGCATCCATCTGGCTGGCACAGGGACAAGTTTGTAATGAGGCACATATGGCATGATTTGAGTTGGTCAGATTTAGCAAAACAGGAGTGTCATTTATCCAAAGCAGGCCTATCTGGAGCCAGTGGGGGAAATCTAAGTGACATCTGCCAGAATGGGACTTTACATAGCAGGGGAGTCTAGCAGACTGTGACCCAGCTCCCTCCGAGAGGGCTGTCTCAGCTACTTCCTGCAGTCTTATGGATCTTGGAGGACCAAAGCATTTTGGAGCTGGGCAGGACCCTAGGCATCCTCTCTTATTCAGCCCCTAATTTTACAAGTGAGGACACTGAGTCCAGAGAGGCTGAGTTACTTACCCTAAGTTAAGGATAAGACCAGGCCAGGTTTCTAGGTCTCCTGATTCTATATCCAGCCTTCTTGTAAACGCATCTAAAAGGAAAGAGGGAGGGAGGGAAAGAGAGAGGAAGAGAAGGGAGGAGGGAAAGGAGGAGAGAAAGGAGAAGGGAGGGAAGGAGAAAGTATGTAGGGGAGAGAGAGAGAAGTGATGGACAGTGTTGGGGCTCAGAAAACAATACCCCAAAATAAGACATTGGCATGCTGAGTACCTCAAACTAAAAGAGATTGGAAGGCCTCAGAAGCAGCCCCAGTAGCAAGTTCTCTCTGACCTTCTCCCACCCTCATGTCTCTTGCCCCTCATTCTTCCCAGTCATAGAAATCACAATTCCTGCAGGGGATAGTGACTCATGCCTGTAATCCCAGTGCTTTGGGAGGCAGAGAGCAGGAGGATTGTTTGAGCTCAGGAGATCAAGGCTGCAGTGAGCTATGATTGCACCACTGCATACCAGCCTGGGCTACAGAGCAAGACCCTGTCTCTACAAACAATAAAAAAAAATTAGCTGGGCATGACAGCATGTGCCTGTAGTACCAATGACTTGCGAGGCTGAGGCAGGAGGATCACTCACTTGAGCCCAGGAGTTCAAGGTTGCAGTGGGCTGTGATTGCAACCACTGCCCTCCAGCCTGGGCGACAGAGCAAGACCTTGTCTCTTTAGAAAATATCATAATTCCTCTTCCCCAAGGCAAGTCATAGAAACTAGAATCCCTCTCTTCCAAATTAAGCTATAAAACCTAGAAATATTACTCTGACCTTCCCCTGCCTTTCTGTGCAGAAGCTAGCCATAAATAAATTCCCTGACCTACCTTGTCTGACTGCAGGTTATCCTTGCTCCAGAGGGGTTCTCCCCTCTGCCTGGGAGGAAGGAATGCTACACAGTAAGACCAAGAAGAATCTGAACAGACAGGCCTTGCTGGGTTCCTGCCCCTCCTTTTTGTGCAATCACATTTCTACACAGCTGTTCATCTTCATCAAATCTATGCATAAAAGTGGACAGTTTTCCCTGGGTCTTTGTGTATTCATTTTTGAAGTCTCCTGCATCATGTAAAACTTTTTTTTTTGAGACAGGATCTTGCTCTGTCACCCAGGCCGGAGTGCAGTGGCACGATCTCAGCTCACTGCAACCACTGCCTCCTGGGTTCAAGCAATCCGTGTCTCAGCCTCCCAAGTAGCTAGGACTACAGGCGCATGCTACCACACCCGGCTAATTTTTGTATTTTTAGTAGAGATGGGGTTTCACCATGTTGCCAGGCTGGTCTTGAACTCCTGGGCTCAAGTGATCCATCCACCTGTGAAACAGCTCTGTTGTCTGGGGTATATACCCTGGCTTTTGGTCTCACTTGAGAAAGAACTCAGGACATGGACACACACGAGGAGTGGGTTCAGGAGTGGAAAGTTTAATAGAAGAAAAGAGAGAGAAAAAGCTTCCTCATGCTGAGAAAGCAGGTCACCCAAAAGAGGGTCTCCGGTCTGCAGTGGAACGCAATTGGTTTTGTACAGGCTTGAGGAGGCGGTGACTGATTTACTTAGGGCTCAGGGGATTGGGTTGACCAGGTGTGCCATTCACATAGCCCAGGAAAAGACTGGCTCTCCTACCCTAGTCTTTTATTATGCAAATATGGCCTCCACCTGGTGGTGGCTATACTTGTACACGTGATTTTACCTGGAGGCTGCTGTGACACCCATAAACCTGGTGACAAGGAAAAGAGGGTGAGAGACCTGGTGACAAGGAAAAGAGGGTGGGAGATGCCATACTGAATGTACCTGGCTTCCAGCTGTCTGCATTTACATATAAAAACTCCTAGTTTCCTTATCTATGCCTTCTCAGTCTGCTTTCTGTTAGAGAAGAAATGGTTTTGGGGCTGCTTTTTATTAAAGGAAAATTCCACCGAGAACTCCCACCCTTTCTAGCTGCCTAAAAATTATTTCTTAATAACTCCTGTATTACCTTGGCCTCCCAAAGTGCTGGGATTACAGGCACGAGCCACCACGCCTGGCCTAAAACTTTGATTAAATAAATTTGCCATGCTTTTCCCTTGTTAATTTGTCTTTTGTTATAAAAGTGTTGGCTGTGAGCCTTATGATGGTTGAGAAAAGGTACCACACATTTCTACCCCTACAATGGCTTACTTCCAGACTTTGTTACTGAAATGGTTTTGATCTGTGTCCCCACCCAAATCTCATGTTCAACTGTAATCCCCAGCATTGGAAGTGGGGCCTGGTGGGATGTGACTGGATCATGGGGGTGGAATTCTCATGAATGGTTTATCACCATCCCTCCTTGGTACTGTATAATGATAGAGTTCTCACAAGATCTGGTTGTTTAAAAATGTATAGCTCCTCCCCACTCACTCTCTCTTCCTCCTACTCTGGCCATGTGAAGTGCTTGCTCCCTCTTTGCCTTCCACCATATTTGTAAGTTTCCTGAGGCCTCCCCAGAAGCCAAGCAGATGCTAGCATCATGCTTCTTGCACAGCCTGTGGAATCATGAGCCAATTAAACCTCTTTTTTTTATAAATTACCCAGTTTGGCCGGGTGTGGTGGCTCATGCCTGTAAACCCAGAATTTGGAGAGGCCGAGGTGGGTGGATCACAAGGTCAGGAGTTCGAGACCAACCTGGCCAACATGGTGAAACCCTGTCTCTACTAAAAATACAAAAATTAGCTGGGCGTGGTGGCACACGTCTGTCAGGACTCTGAGCCCAAGCCTGCATGTATACATCCAGATGGCCTGAAGTAACTGAAGAATCACAAAAGAAGTGAAAATGGCCGGTTCCTGCCTTAACTGATGACATTCCACCATTGTGATTTGTTCCCGCCCCACCTTAACTGAGCGATTAACCTTGTGAAATTCCTGCTCCTGGCTCAGAAGCTCCCCCACTGAGCATCTTCTGATCCCCGCCCCTGCCTCCAAGAGAAAAACCCCCTTTGACTACAATTTTCCACTACCCACCCAAATCCTATAAAATGGCCCCACCCCTATCTCCCTTCGCTGACTCTCTTTTCGGACTCAGCCCACCTGCACCCATGTGACTAAAAAGCTTTATTGCTCACACAAAGCCTGTTTGGTGGTCTCTTCACACGGACGTGCGTCACATTTGGTGCCAAAACCTGGGACAGGAGGACTCCTTCAGGAGACTGGTCTCCTGTCTTTGCCCTCACTCTGTGAGGAGATCCACCTACCACCTCAGGTCTTCAGACCAACCAGCCCAAGAAACATCTCATGAATTTCAAATTGGGTAAGTGGTCTTTTCACTCTCTTCTCCAGCCTCTCTTGCTACCCTTCAATCTCCCTTTCTCGCTACCCTTCAATCTCCCTGTCCTTCCAATTCCAGTTCATTTTCCTCTCTAGTAGAGACAAAGGAGACACATTTTATCCGTGGACCCAAAACTCTGGTGGCGGTCACAGACTCAGGAAGACAGTCTTCCCTTGGTGTTTAATCACTGTGGGGACGCCTGCCTGATTATTCGCCCATACTCCATTGGTGTCTGATCACCATGGGGATGCCTACCTTGGTCATTCACCCACATTCTCTTGGTGACAAGTCAACTGCAGGGACACCTGCTTTGGCTGCTCACCCACCTGCTTCTCCGTGTCTCTACCTTTCTCTTTAAACTTACCTCCTTCACTATGGGCAACTTTCCGCCCTCCATTCCCCCTTCTTCTCCCTTAGCCTGTGTTCTCAAGAACTTAAAACCTCTTCAACTCACACCTGACCTAAAACTTAAACGCCTTATATTCTTCTGCAATACCACTTGACCCCAGTACAAACTTGACAGTAGTTCCAAGTGGCCAGAGAATGGCACTTTCGATTTGTCTATCCTACAAGATCTAGATAATTTTTGTCGAAAAATGGGCAAATGGTCTGAGGTGCCTGATGTCCAGGCATTCTTTTACACATTGGTCCCTCCCTAATCTCTGTTCCTGAAGCGACTCGTCCCAAATCTTTCTTCTTTCTCTCCTGTCTGTTCCTTCAGTCTCCACCCCAAGCTCTGACTCCTTTGAATCCTCCTTTTCTATGGACTCATCTGACCTCTCCCCTCCTCCCCAGGCTGCTCCTTGGCAGGCTGAGCCAGGTCCCAATTCTTCCTCAGCCTCCACTTCCCCACCCTATAATCCTTTTATCATCCCCTCCTCACATCCTGTCCGGCTTACTGTTTCTTTCCGCAACTAGCCCTCCCCGACCTGCCCAACAATTTCCTCTTAAAGAGGTGGCTGGAGCTGAAGGCATAGCCAAGGTTAATGCTCCTTTTACTTTATCTGACCTCTCCCAAATAAGTTAGCATTGAGGCTCTTTTTCATCAAATATAAACACTCAACCCAGTTCACGGCCCATCTGGCAACAACCCTTAGATGCTTTACCGCCCTAGACCCAGAAGGGCCAGAAGGCCATCTTATTCTCGATATGTGTTTTATTACCCAATCCACTCCTGACATTAGAAAAAGCTCCGTAAATTAGATTCCGGCCCTCAAACCCCATAACAGGACTTGATTAACTTCGCCTTCAAGGTGTACAATAATAGAGTAGAGGTAGCCAAGTAGCAACGTATTTCTGAGTTGCAATTCCTTGCCTACACTGTGAGACAAACCCCAGCCACATCTCCAGCACACAAGAACTTCCAAACGCCTGAACCACAGCAGTCAGGCATTCCTCCAGGACTGCCTACCCCAGGATCTTGCTTCAAGTGCCGGAAATCTGGCCACTGGGCCAAGGAATGCCTGCAGCCTGCGATTCCTCCTAAGCCATGTTCCATCTGTGCGGGACCCCACTGCAAATCAGACTGTCCAACCTGGCAGCCACTCCTAGAGCTCCTGGAACTCTGGCCCAAGGCTCTCTGACTGACTCCTTTCCAGATCTTCTCGGCTTAGCAGCTGAAGACTGACACTGCCCAATCACCTCGGAAGCCTACAGGACCATCACAGATGCTTTGGGTAACTCTTACAGTGGAAGGTAAGTCCATCCCCTTCTTAATCAATACGGAGGCTACCTACTCCACATTACCTTCTTTTCAAGGGCGTGTTTCCCTTGCCTCCATAACTGTTGTGGGTATTGATGGCCAGGCTTCTAAACCTCTTAAAACTCCCCAACTCTGGTGCCAACTCGGAAAACATTCTTTTATGCACTCCTTTTTAGTTATCCCCACCTGCCCAGCTCGCTTATTAGGTAGAGACATTTTAACTAAATTATCTGCTTTCCTGACTATTCCTGGGCTACAGCCACACCTCACTGCCACCTTTTCCCCCAGTTCAAAGCCTCCTTCATGTCCTCTCCTTGTATCTCCCCACCTTAATCCACAAGTACAGGACACCTCTACTCCCTCCTTGGTGATGGATGATGCCCCCCTTACCATCCCATTAAAACCTAATCACCCTACTGGGGGAACTAGCCCCCAATATTTCAATGTAGGTTCTTTTCTATTTTCCCCAAGTGTCGGCCGGTCTGAGAAATAAAGAGAAAGAGTACAAAAGAAAGAAATTTTACAGCTGGGACTCTGGGGGTGACATCACATGTCGGCAGGTTCCGTGATGCCCACCTGAGCTGCAAAACCAGCAAGTTTTTATTAGCGATTTTCAAAGGGGAAGGAGTGTAGGAATAGTGTGGGTCACAGAGATCACATGCTTCCAAGGCAATAAAATATCACAAGGCAAATGGGAGTAGAGCAAGATCACAAGGCCAGGGCAAAATTAGAATCACTAATGAAGTTCCATGTCCCGCTGTGCATGCATTGTCATTGATAAACATCTTAACAGGAAACAGGGTTCAAGAGCAGAGGACCAGTCTGACTAGAATTCTCCAGGCTGGAATTTCCTAATCCTAGCAAGCCTGGGAGCGCTGCAGGAGACCAGGGTGTATTTCATCCCTTATCTACAACTGCATAAGACAGACACTCCCAGAGCGGTCATTTTAGAAGCCTCCCCTGGGAATGCATTCTTTTCCCAGGGCTGTTCCTTGCTGAGAAAAAGAATTCAGTGATATTTCTCCTATTCACTTTTGCAAGAAGAGAAATATGACTCTGTTCTGCCTGGCCCCACAGGCAGTCAGACTTCATGGTTATCTCCCTTGTTTCCTGAAAATTGCTGTTATCCTGTTCTTTTCAAGGTGCCTAGATTTCATATTGTTCAAACACACATGCTTTACAAACAATTTGTGCAGATAACACAATCATCACAGGGTCCTGAGGTGACATATATCCTCAGCTTATGAAGATGACAGGATTAAGAGATTAAAAGAAAGACAGGCATAGGACATTATAAGACTATTGATTGGGGAAGTGATAAATGTCCATGAAATCTTCAAAATTTACATTCAGAGATTGCAGTAAAGACAGGCGTAAGAAATTATAAAGCTATTAATTTGGGGAACTAACAAATGTCCATGAAATCTTCACAATTTATGTTCTGCCGTGGCTTCAGCCAGTCCCTCCGTTTGGGTTCCCTGACTTCCTGCAACATCACCCTTACCCTGCTCAATGCCAATATCCCATCCCACAGCACGCTTTAAAAGGATTAAAGCCTGTTATCACTTGCCTGTTACAGCATGGCCTTTTAAAGCCTGTAAACTCTCCTTACAATTCCCTCATTTTACCTGTCCAAAAACCAGACAAGTCTTACAGGTTAGTTCAGGATCTGCGCTTTATCAACCAAATTGTCTTGCCTATCCACCCTATGGTGCCAAACCCATATACTCTCCTATCCCTCAATACCTCCCTCCACTACCCATTATTCTATTCTAGATAAACCTAGCTGACCCCATAGATCCTAAATCCTTTCCCCACTCCTCTTTCCATTCCTTAAAAACAGCCCTAAAAGCTGCTCCCATACTAGCTCTCCCTAACTCATCCCAACCTTTTTCATTACACACAGCTGAAGTGCAGGGCCGTGTGGTTAGAATTCTTACCCAAGAGCCAGGACTGCGCTCTGTAGCCTTTCTGTCCAAACAACGTGACCTTACTCTTTCAGCCTAGCCCTCATGTCTGTGTGTGGCAGCTGCCGCTGCTTTAATACTTTTAGAAGCCCTCAAAATCACAAACTATGCTCAACTCACTCTCTACAGTTCTCATAACTTCCAAAATCTATTTTCTTCCTCACATCTGATGCACATACTTTCTGCCCTCTGGCTCCTTCGGCTAAACTCACTCTTTGTTGAGTCTCCCACAATTACCATTGTTCCTGGCCTGGACTTCAATCTGGCCTTCCACATTATTCCTGATACCACACCTGACCTCCATGACTATCTCTCTGATCCACCTGACATTCACTCCATTTCCCCATATTTCCTTCTTTCCTGTTCCTCACCCTGATTACACTTGGTTTATCGATGGCGGTTCCACCAGGCCTAATTGCCATTCACCAGCAAAGGCAGGCTATGTTATAGTATCTTCCACATCTATCGAGGCTACTGCTCTGCCCCCTCCACTACCTCTCAGTAAGCTGAATTCATTGCCTTAACTTGGGCCCTCATGCTTGCAAAGGGACTACACATCAACATTTATACTGATTCTAAATGTGCCTTCCATGTCCTACACCACTATGCTGTTATATGGGCTGAAAGAGGTTTCCTCACTACTCAAGGGTCCTCCATCATTAATGCCTCTTTAATAAAAACTCTTCTCAAGGCTGCTTTACTTCCAAAGGAAGCTGGAGTCATTCACTGCAAGGGCCATCAAAAGGCATCAGATCCCATCGCTCAGGGCAACGCTTATGCTGATAAGGTATCTAAAGAAGCAGCTTAGCGTTCCAACTTCTGTCCCTCACGGCCAGTTTTCCTCCTCCTCCTCTTCGGTCACTCCCACCTACTCTCCCACTGAAACTTCCACCTATCAATCTCCTCCCACACAAGGCAAATGGTTCTTGGACCAAGGAAAATATCTTCTTCCAGCCTCACAGGCCCATTCTATTCTGTCGTCATTTCATAACCTCTTCCATGTAGGTTACAAGCCGCTAGCCTGACTCTTAGAACCTCTCATTTCCTTTCCATCGTGGAAATCTATCCTCAAGGAAATCACTTCTCAGTGTTCCATCTGCTATTTTACTACTCCTCAGGGATTGTTCAGACCCCCTCCCTTCCCTACACATCAAGCTCAGGGATTTGCCCCTGCCCAGGACTGGCAAATTGACTTTATTCACATGCCCTGAGTCAGGAAACTAAAATACCTCTTGGTCTGGGTAGACACTTTCACTGGATGGGTAAAGGCCTTTCCCACAGGGTCTGAGAAGGCCACCGCGGTCATTTCTTCCCTTCTGTCAGACATAATTCCTCAGTTTCACCTTCCCACCTCTATACAGTCCGGTAACGGACCGGCCTTTATTAGTCAAATCACCCAGTTTCTCAGGCTCTTGGTATTCAGCAGAACCTTCATACCCCTTACCATCCTCAATCTTCAGGAAAGGTAAAATGGACTAATGGTCTTTTAAAGACACACCTCACCAAGCTCAGCCTCCAACTTAAAAAGGACTGGACAGTACTCTTACCTCTTGCCCTTCTCAGAATTAGAGCCTGTCCTCGAGATGCTACAGGGTACAGCCCATTTAAGCTCCTGTACGGACACTCCCTTTTATTAGGCCCCAGTCTCATTTCAGACATCAGCCCAACTTGAACTGCATCCCCAAAACTTGGATAGAGCCTAAAAACTTGCCAACCAAACAAGTAATTATGCTGAACCCCCTTGGGCACTCTCACATTAGATGTCCTGGGTCCTCCCAATTCTTAGTCCTTTAATACCTGTTTTTATCCTTCTCTTATTTGGACCTCGTGTCTTCCATTTAATTTTTCAGTTCATACAAAACCACATCCAGGCCATCACCAATCATTCTATACGACAAATGCTCCTTCTAACAACCTTACCACAAAATCTTCCTTCAGCTTAATCTCTCCCACTCTAAGTTCCCACACCACCCCTAATCCCGCTTGAAGCAGCCCTGAGAAACATCACCCATTATCTCTCCATACCACCCCCCAAAATTTTCACCGCCCCAACACTTTACCACTATTTCATTTTATTTTTCTTATTAACATAAGAAGACAGGAATGTCAGGCCTGAGCCCAAGCCTGCATGTATACATCCAGATGGCCTGAAGTAACTGAAGAATCACAAAAGAAGTGAAAATGGCCGGTTCCTGCCTTATCTGATGACATTCCACCATTGTGATTTGTTCCTGCCCCACCTTAACTGAGCGATTAACCTTGTGAAATTCCTTCTCCTGGCTCAGAAGCTCCCCTACTGAGCATCTTGTGACCCCCGCCCCTGCCTGCAAGAGAAAAACCCCCTTTGACTGTAATTTTCCACTACCCACCCAAATCCTATAAAACTGCCCCACCCCATCTCCCTTCGCTGACTCTCTTTTCAGACTCAGCCCACCTGCACCCATGTGATTAAAAAGCTTTATTGCTCACACAAAGCCTGTTTGGTGGTCTCTTCACATGGATGCACACGACAGCATCAGTAATCCCAGATACTTGGGAGGCTAAGGCAGGAGAATCGCTTGAACCCGGGAGGCAGGGTTGCAGTGAGCTGAGACTGTGCCATTGCACTCCAGCCTGAGTGACAAAGCAAGACTCTGTCTCAAAAAAGTAAAAAATAAAAATAAAAAAATAAATAAATTACCCTGTCTGAGGTATGTCTTTATAGCAAAGTGAGAATGGACTAATACAGCTAGCAATATAGAATAAAGCTCCAGTTCATTTAAGCCTCAGTTGCTCTGTGTTTTGTGTTTTCTGTGTTTCACTCACTTAGTTCAATGTAATTGATGCACCTTCTTTCTTCTTCCTCCTTCTTCATTCCCCAAAACTTCAATGAGCTTCTACCCACTCAGCTCCTGTTCCTGGTCTCTCCTTCCTTTTTACTTCTCTGTTGCTTCCAAATTTTGCCTCCAGATTTACTAGAGAGCCATATTAATCCATTCTCAGTTCGAATTACTTTAAATTCTCATTCCTTCTCCAGGATCCATCTTGTTGCAGCTCTGAGACTGCTGGGTCCCACCCCTTCAAGATTCCTAGCCAATCAGGCTCCACTTCTCTCCCTTTAACCAGTCCTGTAAGTAAGCCATATCAGGTTGGGTTGTAAACATTTCTTTGTTTTCTGGCTTGCAACTTGGAGCCACATTCTCACATTCTAGGTGCCATCTGTAATGAGTGGTACAGTGTGGGTACCAGCCCAGCAGAGTGGTGGGTAGCCTGCTCAATGAGAATGGGCTCTGGCCCTTACTTCATGTTAGTACCTATGAGCTCAGTATCAGCCCCAGTCATAAATGTACCTGAAGAATTAATTGATCCATTCAACACTCACATGAGTCATGTTCAAGGCTCTAGCATGGACTCTTGTTAGGACAGTATCTACAGGGTCTTTCCATGTATCATTATTGTTCGCCACAGGCTTAGAAATGACAAACGCTTGGCCAGCAAGTAAGATCATCCAGAGAAATGGGGGAAGGGATGGCCCCTTTCTTTCTCTCTTTATGCTCCTGGCCTTAGTCTGTTTTGTATTGCTATAAAAGAATACTGGAGACTGGGTAATTCATAAAGAAAAGAGGTTTGCTTAGCTCACAGTTCTGCAGGCTGAGAAGTTCAAGGGCATGGCCCTGCTTCCCGCAAGGGCTTTTGTGCTGCATCACAACATGGCAAAGGAGATCAAAAGGGAAGTGGACATGTGTGAAGGGGGAGAAAAACCTGAGGAGCATCCTGTCTTTATTACAACCCACTCCCTGGAAACCAATCCATATCCATGAGAAGTAATCCAGTCTAGCAACAGTGAGAACACATGTACTACTATGAGAGTAGCACGAAGCCATTCATAAAGGATCCACCCTCATTACCCAAATACCCCCCACTAGGTCTGACCTCCAACACTGCCACACTGGGGATCAAATATCAACATGCATTTTGGTGGGGACAAACTAACTCTATGCAAACCATAGCACCTCTCCATTACTAGTGTTGAAAAACTTGATACTAAGTAGCCCTCCCCTTTCTAGTCATTTATAGTCTGCTACTGAAGATCTGAGAAAAACGGGATGCTAACCTTACCATTCTACAAACGCAGTTATTATACAATTACACTGTCAGGGATCCAGAAGTAAATAATTTGCATTCAAGGGCAGACATTCCAAGCAAGGAGGGCAATTTCAGCCGGTGTATTTGCTACTGGTTGTGACTATCTACCTGATGTCTTGAGATATAATAAAATGCACAGAATGGATCATTTCAAGGAAAAAGTGGGCAAAGACCAAAAAATAGTGAAATAGTGAAATAAGGAGCATCCCAGTGGACCTCCATGTCCTTCAGATGAACTGGGACACATTCTGAGTCTAGTTCCAAATTTCAGTTATTTAGTTATAAATAAACAAAGCAATGGCAAATAAAAACTAAAAAGTGCCAGGCGTGGTGGCTCACGCCTGTAATCCCAGCACTTTGGGAGGCCGAGGCAGGTGGATCACCTGAGCTCAGGAGTTTGAGACCAGCCTGGTGAAACCCCATCTCTACTAAAAATATAAAATTAGCTGGGCGTGGTGGCATGTGCCTGTAATCCCAGCTGCTCAGGAGGCTGAGGTGGGAGAATCGCTTGAATCGTGGAGGTTGCAGTGAGCCGAGATTGTGGCACTGCACTCCAGCCTGGGCAAAAAGAGTGAAACTCAGTCTAAAAGAAAATAAAAAGAAAAAAACTAAACTAAACTAAAAAGTGGGCAATGTATCTAGTTAGATTCAGAAAGCTGAATGACAAACAACAAGATCTCAATTGGGACAAGGATTGCTGATCTCATCTATGGGTCTATAACAGGAACATACCATGGGGAAACAGCAGAAGTTGTGAAAGCTTAGATACCTCTGGCTGGAGGATTTTCTTTATCAATCAGCTTGGTACTCAAGTATGGTCATTGCCTAACTGAGGTCGTGGGCCTGATCCTTCTGACTCAGAAGAAGGAAGGCAGCCAGGAGTTATTCATCTGCCTCTTTTAGATTGGACTGAATCTACATTCTGTTAGACACCATTAGCAATATAACTTTTCTTCCTCAGTTCCCTCACAAAATGAGAAGTAAAAGGTCATAGTTTCCTCTGAAGTAATTTTTTTGGGCCAATATATCAGATTGATTCTGAGCTTTTTGATGGAGTTTTGAGATTTGCTTATTAAGGATTTAAATTCATGCTAATAACAGAAGCCCAAGTGGAATAATGAGAGCTTGAATACCTAAGCCCTAAACCAGTGCATTTTAAACTTTAGTGCAAATGAGTCACTGAGGGGATCTTAGTAAAATACAGATTTGATTCAGCAGGCCTAGGGTGGGGCCGAGAGCCTGCATTTCTAATCTGCTCCCAGGTCATGCTGATACTCCTGGTTCATGGTCAGCATTTTTGCAGGAAGGGCAGAGGGCATTATTTTCAAATTTGGCTACATATGAGAATCACCTAGGGAGTTTAAAAAAAATGCTGATGCCAGGGTCCCATCCCCAGAAATTGTGATTTAACTGGCCTCAGGGTGCATCCTGGGCATCAAGATTCTAGAGCGTGGTAGAGTTTGAAGACCGCTAGTCTAACAAGTCTGCTCCCAGTTGCTTGCTGATTCTCTCCTGATTTCTTTTCTAGGAGAAACTGCTGTAGTCCAGGGTATATGTGAACTTGGGGACAGGTGCCTGGATTCAATCCTGCTGCTTTCCCTGTGGTTTGCCTTCCCATCTGGGAATGGGGCAATGATCCTGCCTACCTTAGAGGGTTGTTATGAAGATTAAGTGAGGTCTGATATACATGAAGAACCCAGAAAAGTGCCTGGTGTGATGCGTTATTACTTCATTATTATTTTCAACTGCTAAACAATTAAGATTCACTAAGCTTTAATAGATGGTTATTTGTTGTGAGGCCCACGAGTGGGGCTCAGAATGCCTTTCCTTCCAAATATGCTTACCAGAAGAAGTCATCCTACTAGTTTGTTGAGAACTTAAAAGGCAGAGATGTCATTCTGAGGGGAAGAAATTTAAGACCTACTCCCCCAAACTGGGTCACTGAAAGCAGGAATTAGGACACTGAAGATCCACTTCTACTTCCACAAACGCATTCAGGCATCATTTATGGAGTGTCCACTGTGTACATGATATTCTGCCAAGCCTTGGGGAGAATTACAAAACAGTTAGAAAGCACGGATGTTTAGCTTTCAAGAGCTTCTGGTCTAATGCAGAAGATAAGCTAGGCACATAGTCAAGTAGCTTCCTTATTGCCTACAGGACTCATTCATTTGTTCAATCAATATTCAAAGCTACTTGTTGTGAGCTAGCCACAATGCTAGGGACTGAGGTTACAAAGATAAAGGAAAAGAAGACGTGCTCCCCCCACTTTCCTCCCACTCCCCCAAGATGCTTATTGTCTGGGAGAAGAGATAGAAAACCACACAGAAAATTATAGAGCTTTGAAAGTACCTTGGGAATCCAGGAGTCCCTCCCCACCACCAGCAGACTAGGCTGCAGAAGAATGTCTGGGAAAATTCTCGGAGGAGGTGACATGGGGCTGCTCAACCCCAGGCTCCTTAGCCTTGCATTTGAAGCGCTTCCGGATCTTTGCCCCACTGACTTTCTCAGCTGTATCTCTTAAGTCAAGCCCATTTCCTATACTCATTCATGCTCTGCTGTCTGACTTTGCTCAAGATTGCAAGGTCCATGGCAGCAAGGACAGCATTTGTCTTCTTCACCAAAGGGTCCCAAGAGACTTGTGGAGAGCCTGGCTAGTCTCAATGCTTAAATGAATGAATGTGGTCTTTTGTTTGTGCAGGGACAAGCCTGACCAGCCTTGAAGACCCAAGTAAGGCTCAGCCTTTGTTTAGCCATCTCAACAGCAGAGACAGGTAACTGCCACTTACAAGATACTCCTACATCCTTCCTGAGCCCTACTAGGCTTGGAAGCCTGGTCAGCCAGGCAACCAGCCATGAGATCTGGAATTGGTGGTGCTGCCTGCCTTAGACACGATATACCTGCATCTGCCTCAGTTTTCCTTCATGACTAGACTTCTTCTCTGAATACCACTCTACCAGTCTAAGTCTTTCAATCAGCCTCCCAAGCCTTCCCCTTTCGGGACCAGATCATGTTCCCTTTATCCTTAGCTGTGTTTCTTGTCCTCTTCTGAACAGGCTGATGGCACAGAACCATGCCTGACTTTGTCACCAGTACTCTGAACCCCAGTGACCTTCTTTACCAGCACCTGCTGCAACCAAGGTCAAGTTTTTGGCACCCTTTTAAACACTGTGCACTGAACTGCTCAGCCTCCATTATTTTCCCAGCCTTGTCCTATCTTCTTCCTCATAACTCCTGAGTCTGGTTTCTACCCTGCGCCCTAGCCACAGCATTCCTTGTACGCAAGTCAGTCCTAGGTTAGATAGCCCATTTCAAATGCAGCCTCCCTGTGTAATTCCCTCTCACAATGTAATCTTTCTCTTCCCTGAAGTCCCGTATCACCACACCTGCACCTCACTTAAAGACCTTTTTATTTTACATCACAGCTGTTTGTGTACCTGTCATCCTTTTTTTTTTTTTTTCCCCAGAGATGGAGTCTCGTTCTGTTGCCCAGGCTGGAGTGCAAATACTGTGATCTTGGCTCACTGCAACCTCTGCCTCCCAGGTTCAAGCAGTCCTCCTGTCTCAGCCTCCCGAGTAGCTGGGATTACAGGCATGTGCCACCACACCTGGGTAATTTTTATATTTGTAGTAGAGACAGGGTTTCACCATGTTGGCCAGGCTGGTCTCGACCTCCTGAGCTCAGGCAATCCACCCGCCTCAGCCTCCCCAAGTGCTAGGATTACAGCCATGAGCTACCTACCACGCCTGGACTATCATCCTTTCTATAAGGCTTGTAAGCCAAGCACATGTGTTTTTCATCTCTGTATGCCCCAAGGTCACTACTGGACCCTCAGACGGTTTTCTGAAAAGATGAAGAAATCAGACAAATTAAATAGGATGCAGTAGTCTCCCTGACCCTCTGGACCCACTCCATTCTGCCTGCACATCCCCTCCTATAGTAATCACTCTAAACACAGCTTTTCTCATGCCAAATGCTTTCCCATTGCCACATTCCTTATCTTGAATCAAGTCTGCCCCTACCCCTTTTGCCGTATCTGGCCTGGATCCTACCTTCCCAACCTCGTCTGTTGACACATCTTCCATCACCCCAAACTGTACTTCCATAAGGACCCATCCAACCCTCATTTTTGTCTTGACGTTATGTTTTTCTTCATCCTGGAAAATTTTCTTTTCCTTCCCCTGTTCCTGCCTGGCCACCTAATGTGGTTTGGCTATTGGCCTGGCTCAGTAATCACACTCAGCACTGAGATATTTTAGGATGAAAAAGCCCTTCATTTCAATGTTGTGAGTAGATTTTAGGATGAAAAAGGCCTTCATTTCAACGTTGTGAGTAGATTTTTCTAGCAAGAAATGAGTCTTCTTAAGTCCTTAAGGGTGGATGGTACCCTTGTCTTGGGAAACCATGTGGTGGGTGGGACAAATGAAAATAAAAATGTGCCTAAGGTTCTTGAACTAAGAACTGTGAGGAATTGAAGCTGAAGGTAGATGTCTTCAGTCTGAGAAGCTAAGTGTTCTGTTCGGTAACAGAAATGAAATGTACAGCTGAGTAGGAGTGGGGTAGGGAGCTGCAGAATGTCCCTCCGGTTGCAACAAATTTAGCTGATGCTGTATCTGTACTGTCCTTTGTTTCTGCAGGATGTGGGATTTCTTTATTAAGAGCTACTTACTAATATAATAGCAAATATTTGTTACACACTTACCATGTGCCAGAACTGAGACAAGTCCTTGAGAGGATTAACTCTTGCAATTCTCATAACAATTTTATAATTTTTCAGGCAGAGAAGTTAAGGATCATGTCCTGCAAATAAAGGCTGAACCAAGATTTGAATGACAGGGTCCTGACTCCACAGGCTGTACTCTTAACTGCTACTACCACAGTTTTTGTTTGTTTGTTTTTTAAATCTCACCCTTTAAAAATTCCTTTTTAGGTATGTTTTATTAGTAGTATAATAGAGCATCCTGGTTCCTTGGGGGTCCAAACTGAAAAATTTTTACCGGTAGGAATGCCCAGTCACATTATGCCACTTTTTCACATGCTACCTTGCTTCATTTGCTTATTGCTTCATATTCATAAATCGTATTTCTCCTAGGAAATTTGGAGTGTCCTTGAAGGTAGGAATTATGTCTTAAACTTTCACTTGGTTCCCACAGTAGGCCTAACTGTATTGTCCCTACTCATTGAATTGAATAAAACTGGTACTCCAGCAACCTTATACCTCTGGAGTAAAGCAAAGCTAGTGCAAATATATACAGTAGAAGTATAGTCCATTTCCAGAGCTTCTGGGAAGGCCGAAATCACTAACCACACAGTAACTTAAAAATAATCCTGCTGGCCAGGCACGGTAGCTCACGCCTCACTTTGGGAGGCCGAAGCAGGCAGGTCACAAGGTCAGGAGTTCAAGACCTGCCTGGACAACATGGTGAAACCCCATCTCCATTAAAAATACAAAAATTAGCCGGGTGTGGTGGCACGTGCCTGTAATCCCAGCTACTTAGGAGGCTGAGGCAGGAGAATTGCTTCAACTCGGGAAATGGAGGTTGCAGTGAGCCAAGATCATGCCATTGCACTCCAGCCTGGGTGATAGAGTGAGACTCTGTCTCAAAATAAAAATAAAAATAAAACACCAACATGAAACCGTATTTAATTTAGGGCTTTGCTGTCCAGCGAACTCAAACTGCAGATGTGCTGCAATCAGCCTAATTGAAAGTGGTTATAACCCATGCTTTGACTCCCTCTGTTGGCAGGAAGAGGTTGCTTTCTCACTTGCGGGAATTCTTAGCTCAGGTTGTATAATGGCTGTTTACTACAGATACAGCCTGAGAAAATTCAGCCAGATTAGATAAGGGGAAGACAACACCCACTGAATCTTTCTCCCCAGATGGCAACTAA
Organism: Homo sapiens; assembly: GCF_000001405.40. NCBI lineage: Eukaryota > Metazoa > Chordata > Mammalia > Primates > Hominidae > Homo > Homo sapiens. The sequence continues at coordinate 93,844,596 of NC_000001.11, forward strand.
ATACTCTTTTCATTTTTCTTACATGCTAACATTGCTACCTATAAACTGCTTAGTTAATTGTTCAGAGAACCACCACACACCTGACCTTGTTTGGCTGTGACTTTCTTCTTTTTTTTTTTTTTTTTCTTTTGGAGATGGGGTCTCATTCTGTCGCCCAGGCTGGAGTGCAGTGGCGCGATCATAGCTCACTGTAACCTCAAGCTCCTGGCCTCAAGTGATCCTCCCGCCTCAGCCTCCAGAAGTGCTGGAATTACAGGCGTGAGTCACTGCACCTGGCCCCAGTCTTCTAATTGCAGGGTATAAGAAGTACAACCTTGATAGCTCACAGAAGGCTGCACAGGGAAAGCCTGGCTTTCCCACACTGTCTGCTAACACTGTATCTCTAATATTTTCCATGATACAGGAATTTTTTTGGCTTCATCTAGTGGAATAAAATATCTAAAATTATTCGTTTGAATCATTAAGTGGAATCAAACACATACACATCTTTCCTTAGCACATTGTTTCTTTCCCAATTCCCCCTTTCCAGAATTTTTATATACGCATCTCAACTGTCACTTAATCACGTCAATGACTCCTCATCATTTGAGATTTGGCTCCAATACCCCAGGCAGAATTCCTCTGTATGGTTTTCCCACAGGCATACAGAGCATCTCTTCTCCCATTTCGGCTGTGAGCAACTCCTAAGACCAGTGGAGACCCTGAGATGCCACCAGTGCCTGGCATATTTCAGAATTCAAAAAAGATTTGTTTAAATAAATACAATTTAAAACCATATTCCATTTTAAAGGCTAATTTTATCCATATGAGAATTCTCCCTGCATGCAATGTGAAGACATTTAATTCATTAAAGGGGCATAACAATTTTATATATATATATATATATATATATATATATATATATATAAAACTTTGTTTACATTAGAGTATAATTAAATAGGCCTGGCACCAATCAGGGCTCTGCCACTTACTGTTTGGAGAAGCGATTCACAATTCGCATCCTTGCACGTTCTTCCTAGATGTGCCAAGAATGCAAGACCCTGATCACGCTTTACTTGGGCCATTTCTCAGCGTTGTGTTTGCAGCGAGCAATCTTGAGGGATGAGGTAATGTCTCCCTATGGAACAAAGAGCAGGCTTGCTTACTGCTCACTATAACATGGTGGGTTCCCCAAGCTCAGCATTCCTCTTCTGTAATGCAACCCATCTTGTGTGTAAGCATGCATCTGGGCCCGTGTGCTTCGTTCCTGTGAGAACTGGGGTCCAGGGAGCCAACTCAAAAATGGTGATACTCTGGCTATTGCTTTTGTTGTAATAGTCTTTTATCTCTGACTCAGAAGTCTGGTGTGTTCTGTCAGCATTCATGAAACCGTGAAAGCTAACGTGTTAGTTTGCAAACATAACAAAATATGATTCATCACAGTTCTCCACGCTCACTAGCTGGGCGTCCCTACACGAGTTTTTTAACCTCTCTTAGCTGCAGTTTCCCTTCTTTATATTATAAAGGGGACGGTGGTGTGTATGTACCCGCCCCATAGCTTCGTCTTGGGGTTAAGTAAGACTGTAAAATCCCTACCACACTGGACTCTTCCCAGGACTTCCCTTTCCCTCTTTGAACTCTGCCAGAGACTATTCTGCATTTGAGGCCTGGCGATGCTGGGCAGGGGCGGGTATGGGTGAAGCACAGGGTGGGCCGCGGCTGGCGGGTTTGGTGCAGAAACGGGCTGTGGCCGAGCCGAGAAAGCGCGCCCAGCGGCCGCCCTGCGAATCCTCCGTAGGCGGGGCCGGGACTGCTGTGAGCTAATAGGAACGGGGGCCGGGCGTTCGGTCTCGCCGCTGCAGTCGCAGAGCAACCACGCGGCTTTGACCGTCTATTTCAAAGGGCTTCGGGGTCTTGCGGATGGGGATCACTGCGGGCACTGGAAACCTGCCGGCCCCCACCCAGCCGCCTCTCAGATTCGTGGCGACCGCACCCTTCTGGGCAGCGGCGCCAGGCCCGCTGCCGTCCCCACCGCTCGCAGCCACCAGGAAACCCCGCGGCCGCGCTCGAGCGCGCGCCCTCCGACCACATGCACCCGCATACGCATGCTCCCAGCGCTCCCACGCGTGCTGACACCCTCCCGGCTTCCGCCCACGCAGTCGCGGGCCCCGGGCGCGCGGGCTCGGGGCAGCTGCGCGGCGTCCTTGGAGGCAGGTGCTGGCGGCAAGACGAGCTCTCGGAGGATGCTGCGGCGCGGGGCGCGTCGCCCCCCTCAGTCCACCAGAGCCCGGATACCTCAGAAATTCGGCTCTGGGTCTGTGGGGAGCGAAATGCAACCCAAACCCCGTTTTTCGAACCCCGCGCAAATAAACACGCACAAGCACGCACACAGACGTCGCGCGGCGGCGCTCGCGCGCAGGTCCAGCCGCGGCTGGGTCGGGCGCGGCGGCCGGGCGCGAGGGAAGAGCCCAGGCCCGAGAGGGGTCGCCGCTTACGTCTCGCAGCCCGAGGGGAGGCCGCTCGGCCTCGGCCGCTCACAGGCGCGACGTAAAGGCCCGGCGTCACCGGCCCGGCTTAACGGTGCAACGGCTGGCCTGGGCCTGCAACTCTGGGGTCCCGGCCGGGCTGGAGCGGCCGCCGGAGAGACCTGGTAGGCGGGGCGCTTGGGGCAGGAAGGGAGCCGGGGAGGGAAAAGCGCGACTGTGATTCGTACGGCTGGGCCCGGACCGTGAAGGGGACCGGGTTGCGGCTGCCCTCACACCGACCAGGTGGGACCGTCGGACTGCGGCCGCCCTTGGCTCAACTGGGTCGCCGACCTTGTTGAGGGGCGACCACTGCGGGGAGACCGAGAGCCTGCGGCTGGCGTTTGAGGCGGATGGCAGTGCCCTGAGCGCGGCGGCTGGGTCTCGGTGACACTGACGACGGGAGGCGCGGTCGGAAGAGCGCGGGGCCGTCGCCTCTGGCTTAACATAGCAGATGCGCTGAGACTCCAACAGGTGGCTCCGTGGCGCAATGGATAGCGCATTGGACTTCTAGAGGCTGAAGGCATTCAAAGGTTCCGGGTTCGAGTCCCGGCGGAGTCGTAACGCTTTTTTCCCTCCCCCCTACAATTTATTTTCTGCCTCCATCATGTCTCTTATTTTTTTTTTTTGCTAAACGGTTTAACTTCTCTCTCATTCCCTGCTCTCGCAGTTCACTGCATTCGGTTCTTGCGGTCCTTTCTTAAGCGGCTCGCAGGGTCCCGAGCCCCTCAGCTCCCCGGGCCTCGGTGGCCCAGGGCCCAGCTCAGCCGACTGGGCAGTCGATGTAGGTCCTGAGAAGAGCGGCGGCGGCGGCGGCGGCGGCGGCGAAGGAAAAGCGACACTGAAGCGAAGGCTCGCGGTTTCGGCCTAAAGGAAAGTGCAGGGGAGGCCCGGGTCTCGGGTGACACCCCCACGCCTTGAGCGGGACTGTGGTTGCGAGGGAGGGACGAGAAAACACGCCTACGCCCTGCGTGCGCTGTGCTGACTACCTCTCCAGCATGGAGGCTTCCAGATGAGCAGACACCCGAATCCCAGCGGGAGCCCGTCAAAAATGGAGATTTCTGCCGTCACTCTGGGACTCTTAATTCGGTCCGTCTGGGGTGGGGCCCAGGAATCTGCATTTCTGATAAGGTCACCCGCTCCCCTCCCCCATTATTCCAGTGCAAAGAGGTCCTAGGCCCAGTGCCCATCAGCTCCTCAAGACAGGAATTACTATATCTTTTTCTGACAACTGTTAACTTTGTACAAGGTTAGCAAATAAATCCAGGAATGAATGGAATCTTAAAACTCGTAAAACAACAATGAAAGGTAATTCACACAAAAGATACAAAATCCAAAATTGTCAAAAAAGATACAGGGAAAAGTAAACATCCATGTTATTCCTATAGTCCAGCCTTGCAATTCTCTCCACAAGCCATTAGTGGTAATGGTTTCTTGGAAATATTTTCAGATTTATTTTATGCCCATATCAGCATTTTTAACATCTTTTGTCATAAATATGTCGTAAATAACAATGTTATTGATACATATCCTTTTAAAAACACAATGGTAGTATGCTATACTGGCTTGTTTTACTTATGAATATATGTAGAGCTGCCTCGTTCCATTGTACGTATGTATGGTAATGATTTAACAGTCCCTAATAGCTGGACATTTAGATTGCCAGTATTTTCCTATTACAAACAATGCATCAGTGAACATCCTTGTTCTTTTATTATTGTACACAAGTACAGGTACATCTATCTGTAGGATAGATTCCTAGAAAGTTGAATTGCTGGTTCAAAGGTTTGTGCGTTCTTAATCTGTACATTTTTTAATATATATTGGCAAATTGCCCCATAGAGATTGTATCCATTTTTCTCTCCTTAGCAATGTGTGAGAGTGCCTGTTTCCCCACAACTCACAAAAGGTGGTTTCTAGCTGTGATTTTAATTCGTCTCTTATATTGATTTTTTAAAATTTGTATTTATATTATTATTATTATTATTTGAGACAGGGTCTTGTTCTGTTGCCCAGACTGGAGTGCAGTGGCACTATCACAGCTCATTGCACCCTCAACGTCCTGGGCTCAAGCAGTGCTTCCACCTCAGCCTCCCAAATAGTTGGAAGTACAGGCACATGCCAACACACCCGGCTAATTTTAAAATTTTTTGTAGAGATGGGGGTCACTCTATGTTGTCTAGGCTGGTCTTGAACTCCTGGACTCAAGAAATCCTCCCATCTTGGCCTCCCTAAGTGCTGGGATGACAGACAGGAGCTACTACGCCTGGACTGTGTCTTTTATTATGAATCAAGATGAGTACCTTTCCATACAGAGAATAATTTGTAATTTTTTTCCTGTGATTTATCTGTTCTTGAGTTGTGTTCATTTTTCTGTGGTATGATGGAAAACAGCCCTTTGTGATATATGTTACACTTATTCTTTTTCAGTCTTTTTGTCGTTTGACTTTGTTTATGGTATTTTGTTTTGTTTTTCTGTCTTACAGAAATTCATGATTCATGTATTTGGATTTATCAGTCTTTTATGGCTTCTAGGTTTGGGGCCATAATACACTCAGATTATTAAGTTATTTCTTTAATGGCTTTATTTTTATGGTTTTGTTTATCTTTGCTTCATCTGGAATGTGTTTTTGTATAAGGAGTGAAGTGGAAGTTTTGTCCCAAAATCACTTTTAATGAACACTCCTTCTTTTCTACACGATGTCATTTGAAATGCCACATTTATAATTTTTTTTTTTGAGACAGAGTCTTGCTCTGTTGCCCAGGCTGGAGTGCAGCGGCACAAATCTCAGTTCACTGCAACCTCCACCTCCCAGGTTCAAGCAATTCTCTTGCCTCAGCCTCCTGAGTAGCTGGGATTACAGGTGCATGCCACTACGCCCGGCTAATTTTTGTATTTTTAGTAGAGACGGGGTTTCGCTATGTTGGCCAGGCTGGTCTGGAACTCCTGAGCTCAGGCGATCCATCTGCCTCTGCCTCCTAAAGTGCTGGGATTACAGGCAAGAGCCACCACATCCGGCCCACATTTATAATTTTCTAAATTCCCACATGCATATGGGTTTCTGGATTCTCTGCTGCATATGGGTTTCTGGATTCTCTGCTCTATTCCACTGACTTTTCTGTTAATTTTGATTCACCAGAACTGTGCTGTTTTACCATTTAGTAGGGTCAGTCCTTGTAGGGTCCAGCCCCACAGGGTCAGTGGGTTTTCGCCCCATGTGTGGAGACGAGAGATTGTAGAAATAAAGACACAAGACAAAGAGATAAAAGACAGCTGGGCCTGCGGGACCACTACCACCAAGATGCGGAGACCAGTAGTGGCCCGAAATGCCAGGCTGCGCTGATATTTATTGGATACAAGACAAAGGGACAGGGTAAGGAGTGTGAGCCATCTCCAATGATAGGTAAGGTCACATGGGTCACGTGTCCACTGGACAGGGGGCCCTTCCCTGCCTGGAAGCCGAGGCAGAGAGAGAGGGAGAGAGGAGACAGCTTGTGCCATTATTTCTGCATATCAGAGACTTTTAGTACTCTCAGTAATTTGCTACTGCTATCTAAAAGGCAGAGTCAGGTGTACAGGATGGAACATGAAAGCAGACTAGGAGCGTGACCAGTGAAGCACAGCATCACAGGGAGATGGTTAGGCCTAGTCAGGCCCTCCACAAGAGGTAAAGGAGTAGAGTTGTCTCTAAACTCCCCTGGGGAAAGGGAGACTCCCTTTCCCAGTCTGCTAAGTAGCAGGTGTTTTTCCTGGACAGCGACGCTACCGCTAGACCATGGTCTGCTTGGCAACGGGCGTCTTCCGAGACGCTGGTGTTACCGCTAGACCAAGGAGCCCTCTGGTGGCCCTGTCTGGGCATAACAGAAGGCTTGCACTCTTGTCTTCTGGTCACTTCTCACTATGTCCCCTCAGCTCCTATCTCTGTATGGCCTGGTTTTTCCTAGGTTATGATTATAGAGTAAGGATTATTATAATATTGGAATAAAGACTAATTGCTACAAACTAATGATTAATGATATTCATATATAATATCTATGATCTATAGTATAACTATTCTTATTTTATATATTTTATTATACTGGAACAGCTCATGCCCTCGGTCTCTTGCCTCAGCACCTAGGTGGCTTGCCACCCACAAGTCCTCTCTTGTTACTCTTTTGTTTTTTTAAACATTTTTCTACTCATTCTTGAATTATTATTTTTCCTCAGTGAATAATAATAGCACTTATTTGGCATTTGTTATATGACAGGTACTATTCTCAGTGCTCTATGTATCTTCATTTAATCCTCCTGACAGCCCTACCAGGCAGATACTATTATCCCCTTTCATGGAAGAGGCATCTGAGACAGAGAGGTTAAGTAACTTGTGCAAGGATACACAGCTAATAAGCAACAAGCCTGGATGAGAACCCAGAAAGGCTGGGTCTATGGGTAAAACCACAATTCCTTATCATCTTTTCACATGAGCTTTAGCTACAGCTAGTCTGGCTCTAATTTTAGGAGGTATTTTTGTTGGAGTCATGTTATATTTATAGATTAAAATAGAATTGGGCCAGGTGCTGTGGCTCATGTCTGTAATACCAGCACTTTGGGAGGCCAAGGCAGGTGGATTACTTGAGGCCAGGAGTTTGAGATGAGTTTGGCCAACGTGGCGAAACCCCGTCTCTACAAAAAATATAAAAATTAGGTGGGCATGTTGGCACATGCCTGTAATCCCAGCTGCTTGGGAGGCTGAGGCACGAGAATCGCTTGAACCTGGGAGGTGGAGGTTGCAGTGAGCTGAGATCGCACCACTGCACTCTAGCCTGGGTGACAGAGCCAGATGAGAGAGAGAGAGAGAGGGAGGGAGGGAGGGAGGAGAGGGAGGGAGGGAGGAGGGGGAGGGAGAGAGGGAGGGAGGGAGGGAAGAGAGGAGAGAGAGAGAGAAAATGAGAATTGAACTAATTAGGATGTTGAGTCTTCCTGTGTAAGAGCAGCAGGAGGAAATAAAGAACAGCTATGCCTTTTCATTTTCAGTCCTGTGCTCTTCTGGAGTGTGTTAAATATAAATCTTGATTTTTTTAACTTTATTTCCAGATAGTTTATCTTTTTTGTTGGAATCCTTTCCTCCACTATATTTTGTAACTGGTTATTATTTATATATAAGAAGGCTTTTGATATTTTAAATAATTTTATATCTCATTAAATTATCTTACTATTTAAAATAGTTTTTCAGTTCTAAATCACAATGAGATACCACTTCACACCCAGTAGGAAGGCTGTAATAAAAAAGACGACAATACAAGCATTGGCAAGGATTGGAACCCTCATTCATTGCCAGTGGGGATGTAAAATGTGTGGCCTCTTTGGAAAACAGTTTGGCAATTCCTCAAAAAATTAAATATTAGAGTTACCATAGGACCCAGCAATTCCACTCCTAGGCATATCCCCAAGAGAACTAAAAACATGTCCACACAAAAATGTGTATAGGAATATCCATAACAACATTATTTTTGTTGCGGTGGTTGAGACAGGGTCTCGCTGTGTTGTCCACGCTGGAGTGCAGTGGAGTGCAGTGGCATGATCACAGCTCACTGCAGCCTCGACCTCCTGAGCTGAAGGGAGCCTCCCATCTCAGCCTCCCAAGTAGCTGGGACTACAGGCGTGCACCACCATGCTTGGCTAATTTTTGTATTTTTTGTAGAGAATGGGTTTCACCGTGTTACCCCAGGCTGGTCTCGAACTTCTGGGCTCGAGTGATTCGCCTGCCTCAACCTTCCAAAGTGCTGGGATTACAGGTGTGAACCACCATGCCCGGCTAGCATTGTTTTTAATAACCAGAAAGTAAAAATAATCCAAATGTCCATCAAATGATGATTGGATACACAAGATCTGGTATACCTATTTGATGAAATATTATTCAGCAAAAAAAGGAATGAAGTAGTGATTCATGTTACAATATTAATAAGCCTTGAAAACATGCTAAATGAAAGAAGCCAATCACAAAAGACCACATATTGTATGATTCCATTTATATGAAATGTCTAAAATAGGCAAATCCATAGAGACAGAAAGTAAATTAGCGGTTGCCAGGAATTGGGAATGGGGAGAATGTGAAGTGACTGACTGCTAATGGGTATGGGGTTTCTTTCTGGGATGATGAAAATGTTCTGGAAGTAGTGGTGATAGTTGCACAACTGTGAATATACAAAAATCCATTGTATTATACACTTTTCAAATGGGTGAATTTTATGATAAGTGAGTTATATCTCAATTTAAAAAAGGAAAAATAGTTTTTCAGTTGACTAAGTTGTGTTATCTAGAAATAGCCTCAAATTATAAGTTTACTTTTTCCTTTCTAATTTTTATGCTTACTATTATTTTTCTTGTAATAGCATTAGCTAGTACAGTAATCCAGAAAATGTTAAATAATTTTTCATGATAATGGTGATAGTGGACTTCTTTGACTTGTTCCTGGTCATTATAGAAATAGAAATGCTTCTTCACTAAGCATGATGCTGGCTTTTGGGGTTGGTGTGGCATGAGCACACACATGTTTTATCACATTAAGAAAATACCTATCCCTATTTCTTTATAATCTATGGAGATTTTTCTTTGATCTCATATTGCGTGATATATTAACAGATTTTGTAATATTTAACTCATTTTACATTCTTGAAATGATCCTACCTGGTTGTGGTGTATACTTATTTTAATATTCTAACATTTTACAATTTTTGCATAGTTAGAAAAATTGACATTTATTTATCATAAAATGAATAGCATGTACAGCATTGTTTGTAATGGCTCCCAAATTGGAAATAATCTAGATGTTCATCAATAATAGTCTGTTTAAAGAAAGTGTGGTAGAGACATAGAATTAAATACAACGCAGACATTTTAAAAATGAGAAATATCTATATATATTGCTATATCCAAGAATATCCAAGATTATGTGAAAAAAGAAGATATGCAGATGAATATTTTAAATGAGATTCCATTTGTGTTAAATAATGCCCATAGTAACAGTAGAAATTATGTATGTTTACTCCTATCACTGTGCATGCATAGATGATTTCCCGAAAGATATTCAAACAATTAACAGTGGTTACTTTAGGGTAATGCTGGTTTGGGGGAAGCAGTGGTATGAAGGGAGGGAGCATTCCTTTTTACTGTATACCTGTATGTAATGTTTCAGGTTTTTTCTTAATAAGCCATCTTACCTTTATAATAAAAAGTTAATTTTTAAAAAGTTAAAGGTCGGCCAGTTGCGGTGGCTCATGCCTGTAATCCCGGCACTTTGGGAGGCCGAGGCGGGTGGGATCACCTAAGGTCGGGAGTTTGAGACCAGCCTGACCAACATGGAGAAACCCCGTCTCTACTAAAAATACAAAATTAGCTGGGCGTGGTGGCGCATACCTGTAATCCCAGCTACTCGGGACACTGAGACAGGAGAATCGTTTGAACCCAGGAAGTGGAGGTTGCAGTGAGCCAAGAATGCACCACTGCACTCCAGCCTGGGCAACAAGAGCAAAACTCTGTCTCAAAAAAAAAAAAAATTTTTTTTTAATGCTAAAGAGGAAGGAAAAAAGAGTACCTACGTGTTCCTGGATCACCTTCACACAGGTAGCTCTAATACTGCTTATCCATTAAAGATTTCTCAAACTTGGTTTTTAAAAAACATTTATTGACCCCTTATGCTCTACTATATGCCTGATTTCAGTGATTAATAAGCCCATTAGGAGCCCATCTGTTAAGCATCTCTAGGAACTCCTCCTGATACTATTGGAGAAACATATAAACTAAATATCTCTTTTCAGAGTGATTCCAGCAGGAATCATATCCTGTAAGTCTTGTACACTGTGTTGAAGAGTGTGGACTTCACCCTAAAGGCAATGGGAAGCCACTGAATAGTTTTTAGTTGAGAAGCAGTAGGATTAGATGTGTGTTTTGTACCACTGTCTGGCTGCAATGTGGATCACGGGCTGGAATAACACAAAACTGGAAGTTGGAAGACCAGCCCAAGGTAGTTGGAGCTATCTAGGTAATAAAATGATGAGGACTGGAACCAGGGAGGTGGTTTGGAGAGAAGGTTAAGTATACAAACTGGAGATGTTTCAAGGGAGGCCAAATTGATGGGCCTTGATGAATTAAGGGATGTAAAGGAGAGAGGGAGCAGTCAGAATGACTCCCATTTCTAATTAGGCAGATGGGTGGGTGCTGAAGTAGTCACTGGGACCACAAACAAAGGAGTGAGAAGTGGGTTTGGGGATGGGGGATGGAAATGAGCTCAGATTTGCATATGTTGAGTTTGAGGTCTGTGGAACATCCTGGCAGCTGGATATACAATGCCAAGCACATAGCAGGCTCTCAGTAAGTATTTATAGAATGAAAGAATATCAGGAAGAGGAGAATTATAGGAAGGGAGAGGGAAAGAAAAGAAGAGAAGGTCTGGAGCTCAGGAGAGAGATCTATGCTTGGGATTTAAAATTCATTATCCTACAGATGGCACTTGAAGCTCTGGACAAAGATGAGATTGTGTAGGGAGAGTGTAGAGTAAGAAAAGATGGGCCAGGCGCGGTGGCTCACGCCTGTAATCTCAACACTTTGGAAGGCTGAGGTGGGTGGATTATGTGAGGTCAGAAATTCAAGACCCGGGGTGGAGCCAAGATGGCCGAATAGGAACAGCTCCAGTCTACAGCTCCCAGCGTTGAGTGACGCAGAAGATGGGTGATTTCTGCATTTCCAACTGAGGTACCGGGTTCATCTCACTGGGGAGTGTCGGAAAGTGGGTGCAGGACCGTGGGTGCAGCGCACTGAGCGTGAGCCGAAGCAGGGCGAGGCATCGCCTCACCCGGGAAGCACAAGGGGTCAGGGAATTCCCTTTCCTAGTCAAAGAAAGGGGTGACAGACGGCACCTGGAAAATTGGGTCACTCCCACCCTAATACTGTACTTTTCCAATGGTCTTAGCAAATGGCACACCAGGAGATTATATCCCACACATGGCTTGGAGGGTCCTATGCCCATGGAGCCTCGCTCATTGCTAGCACAGCAGTCCGAGATCAAACTGCAAGGCAGCAGCGAGGCTGGGGGAGGGGCGCCCGCCATTGCCGAGGCTTGAGTAGGTAAACAAAGCAGCCCAGAAGCTCGAACTGGGTGGAGCCCACCGCAGCTCAAGGAGGCCTTCCTGCCTCTGTAGACTTCACCTCTGGGGGTAGGGCACAGCCAAACAAAAGACAGCAGAATCCTCTGCAGACTTAAATGTCCCTGTCTGACAGCCTTGAAGAGAGTAGTGGTTCTCCCAGTACGCAGCTGGAGATCTGAGAACAGACAGACTGCCTGCCTCCTCAAGTGGGTCCCTGACCCCCGAGTAGCCTAACTGGGAGGCACCCCCCAGTAGGGGCAGACTGACACCTCACATGGCTGGGTACTCCTCTGAGACAAAACTTCCAGAGGAACGACCAGGCAGCAACATCTGCTGTTCACCAATATCTGCTGTTCTGCAGCCTCCGCTGCTGATACCCAGGCAAACAGGGTCTGGAGTGGACCTCCAGCAAACTCCAACAGACCTGCAGCTGAGGGTCCTGACTGTTATAAAGAAAACTAACAAACAAAAAGGACATCCACACCAAAACCCCATCTGTACGTCCCCATCATCAAAGACCAAAGGTAGATAAAACCACAAAGATGGGGAAAAAACAGAGCAGAAAAACTGTAAACCCTAAAAATCAGAGCCCCTCCCCTCCTCCAAAGGAATGCAGCTCCTCACCAGCAACAGAACAAAGCTGGACGGAGAATGACTTTGACATGTTGAGAGAAGAAGGCTTCAGATGATCAAACTACTCCAAGCTAAAGGAGGAGGTTCGAACCCATGGCAAAGAAGTTAAAAACCTTCAAAAAAAATTAGATGAATGGCTAGCTAGAATAACCAATGCAGAGAAGTCCTTAAAGGATCTGATGGAGCTGAAAACCAAGGCATGAGAACTACGTGATGAATGCACAAGCCTCAGTAGCCGATTCGATCAACTGGAAGAAAGGGTATCAGTGATGGAAAATCAAATGAATGAAATGAAGCAAGAAGAGAAGTTTAGAGAAAAAAGAATAAAAAGAAATGAACAAAACCTCCAAGGAATATGGGACTATGTGAAAAGACCAAATCTACATCTGATTGGTGTACCTGAAAGTGACGGGGAGAATGGAACCAAGTTGGAAAACACTGCAGGATATTATCCAGGAGAACTTCCCCAATCTAGCAAGGCAGGCCAACATTCAGATTCGGGAAATACAGAGAACGCCACAAAGATACTCCTCGAGAAGAGCAACTCCAAGATACATAATTGTCAGATTCACCAAAGTTGAAATGAAGGAAAAAATGTTAAGAGCAGCCAGAGAAAGGTTGGGTTACCCACAAAGGGAAGCCCATCAGACTAACAGCTGATCTCTCAGCAGAAACTCTACAAGCCAGAAGAGAGTGGGGGTCAAAATTCAGCATTCTTAAAGAAAAGAATTTTCAACCCAGAATTTCATATCCAGCCAAACCAAGCTTCATAAATGAAGGTGAAATAAAATCCTTTACAGACAAGGAAATGCTGAGAGATTTTGTCACCACCAGGCCTGCCCTAAAACAGCTCCTGAAGGAAGCACTAAACATGGAAAGGAACAACTGGTACCAGCCACTGCAAAAACATGCCAAATTGTAAAGACCATCGAGGCTAGGAAGAAACTGCATCAACTAACGTGCAAAATAACCAGCTAACATCATAATGACAGGATCAAATTCACACATAACAATATTAAACTTAAATGTAAATGGGCTAAATTCTCCAATTAAACGACACAGACTGGCAAATTGGATAAAGAGTCAAGACCCATCAGTGTGCTGTATTCAGGAAACCCATCTCATGTGCAAAGACACACATAGGCTCAATATAGAGGGATGGAGGAAGATCTACCAGGCAAATGGAAAAAAAAAAAAAAAAAGGCAGGGGTTGCAATCCTAGTCTCTGATAAAACAGGCTTTAAACCAACAAAGATCAAAAGAGACAAAGAAGTCCATTACATAATGGTAAAGGGATCAATTCAACAAGAAGAGCTAACTATCCTAAATATATATGCACCCAATACAGGAGCACCCAGATTCATAAAGCAAGTCCTTAGAGACCTAGAAGGAGACTTAGACTCCCACACAATAATAATGGGAGACTTTAACACACCACTGTCAACATTAGACAGATCAACGAGACAGAAAGTTAACAAGGATATCCAGGAATTGAACTCAGCTCTGCACCAAGCAGACCTAATAGACATCTACAGAACTCTCCACCCCAAATCAACAGAATATACATTCTTCGCAGCACCACACTGCACTTATTCCAAAATCGACCACATAGTTGGAAGTAAAGCACTCCTCAGCAAATGTAAAAGAACAGAAATTATAACAAACTGTCTCTTAGACCACAGTGCAATCAAACTAGAACTCAGGATTAAGAAATTCACTCAAAACTGCTCAACTACATGGAAATTGAACAACCTGCTCCTGAATGACTACTGGGCACATAACGAAATCAAGGCAGAAATAAAGATGTTCTTTGAAACCAACGAGAACAAAGACACAACATACCAGAATTTCTGGGACACATTCAAAGCAGTGTGTAGAGGGAAATTTATAGCACTAAATGCCCACAAGAGAAAGCAGGAAAGATCTAAAATTGACACCCTGACATCACAATTAAAAGAACTAGAGAAGCAAGAGCAAACACATTCAAAAGCTAGCAGAAGGCAAGAAATAACTAAGATCACAGCAGAACTGAAGGAAATAGAGACACAAAAAACCCTTCAAAAAATCAATGAATCCAGGAGCTGGTTTTTTGAAAAGATCAACAAAATTGAGACCGCTAGCAAGACTAATAAGAAAAGAGAGAAGAATCCAATAGATGCAATAAAAAATGATAAAGGGGATATCACCACCAATCCCACAGAAATACAAACTACCATCAGAGAATACTATAAACACCTCTATGCAAATAAACTAGAAAATCTAGAAGAAATGAATAAATTCCTCGACACAAACACCATCCCAAGACTAAACCAGGAAGAAGTTGAATCTCTGAATAGGCCAATAACAGGCTCTGAAATTGAGGCAATAATTAATAGCTTACCAACAAAAAAAAGTCCAGGACCACATGGATTTACAGCCAGATTCTACCAGGAGTACAAGGAGGAGCTGGTACCATTCCTTCTGAAACTATTCCAATCAATAGAAAAAGAGGGAATCCTCCCTAACTCATTTTATGAGGCCAGCATCATCCTGACACCAAAGCCTGGCAGAGACACAACAAAAAAAGAGAGTTTTAGACCAATATCCCTGATGATCATCAATGCAAAAATCCTCAATAAAATACTGGCAAACCGAATCCAGCAGCACATCAAGAAGCTTATCCACCATGATCAAGTGGGCTTCATCCCTGGGATGCAAGACTGGTTCAAAATATGCAAATCAATAAACGTAATCCAGCATATAAACAGAACCAAAGACAAAAACCACATGATTATCTCAATAGATGCAGAAAAGGCCTTTGACAAAATTCAACAACTCTTCATGCTAAAAACTCTCAGTAAATTAGGTATTGATGGGACGTATCTCAATAAGAGCTATCTATGACAAACCCACAGCCAATATCATACTGAATGGACAAAAACTGGAAGCATTCCCTTTGAAAACTGGCACAAGACAGGGATGCCCTCTCTCACCACTGCTATTCAACATAGTGTTGGAAGTTCTGGCCAGGGCAATCAGGCAGGAGAAGGAAATAAATGGTATTCACTTAGGAAAAGAGGAAGTCAAATTGTCCCTGTTTGTAGATGACATGATTGTATATCTAGAAAACCCCATCGTCTCAGCCCAAAATCTCCTTAAGCTGATAGGCAACTTCAGCAAAGTCTCAGGTTACAAAATCAGTGTGCAAAAATCACAAGCATTCTTATACACCAATAACAGACAAACAGCCAAATCATGAGTGAACTCCCATTCACAATTGCTTCAAAGAGAATAAGATACCTAGGAATCCAACTTACAAGGGATGTGAAAGACCTCTTCAAGGAGAAATACAAACCACTGCTCAAGGAAATAAAAGAGGATACAAACAAATGGAAGAACACTCCATGCTCATGGGTAGGAAGAATCAGTATCGTGAAAATGGCCATACTGCCCAAGGTAATTTATAGATTCAATGCCATCCCCATCAAGCTACCAATGACTTTCTTCACAGAATTGGAAAAAAAACTACTTTAAAGTTCATGTGGAACCAAAAAAGAGCCTGCATTGCCAAGTCAATCCTAAGCCAAAAGAACAAAGCTGGAGACATCACGCAACCTGACTTCAAACTATTCTACAAGCCTACAGTAACCAAAACAGCATGGTACTGGTACCAAAACAGAGATATAGACCAATGGAACAGAACAGAGCCCTCAGAAATAATGCCGCATATCTACAACTATCTGATCTTTGACAAACCTGACAAAAACAAGCAATGGGGAAAGGATTCCCTATTTAATGGTGCTGGGAAAACTGGCTAGCCATATGTAGAAAGCTGAAACTGGATCCCTTCCTTACACCTTATACAAAAATTAATTCAAGATGGATTAAAGACTTAAATGTTAGACCTAAAACCATAAAAACCCTGGAAGAAAACCTAGGCAATACCATTCAGGACATAGGCATGGGCAAGGACTTCATGTCTAAAACACCAAAAGCAAGGGCAACAAAAGCCAAAATTGATAAATGGGATCTAATGAAACTAAAGAGCTTCTGCACAGCAAAAGAAACTACCATCAGAGTGCAGGCAACCCACAGAATGGGAGAAAATTTTTTCAATCTTCTCATTTGACAAAGGGCTAATATCCAGAATCTACAATGAACTCAAACAAATTTATTAGAAAAAAACAAACAACCCCATCAAAAAGTGGGTGAAGGGTATGAACAGACACTTCTCAAAAGAAGACATTTATGCAGCCAAAAGACACATGAAAAAATGCTCATCATCACTGGCCATCAGAGAAGTGCAAATCAAAACCACAGTGAGATACCATCTCACACCAGTTAGAATGGCGATCATAAAAAAGTCAGGAAACAACAGGTGCTGGAGAGGATGTGGAGAAATAGGAACACTTTTACACTGTTGGTGGGACTATAAACTAATTCAACCATTGTGGAAGTCAGTGTGGCGATTCCTCAGGGATCTAGAACTAGAAATACCATTTGACCCAGCAATCCCATTACTGGGTATATACCCAAAGGATTATAAATCATGCTGCTATAAAGACACATGTACACGTATGTTCATTGCAGCACTGTTCACAATAGCAAAGACTTGGAACCAACCCAAATGTCCAACAATGATAGACAGGATTCAGAAAATGTGGCACATATACACCATGGAATACTATGCAGCCATAAAAAATGAAGAGTTCATGTCCTTTGTAGGGACATGGATGAAGCTGGAAACCATCATCCTCAGCAAACTATCGCAAGGACAAAAAACCAAACACCACATGTTCTCACTCATAGGTGGGAATTGAACAGTGAGAACACACGGACACAGGAAGGGGAACATCACACACCAGGGCCTGTTGTGGGGTGGGGGGAGGGGGGAGGGATAGCATTTGGAGATATACCTAATATTAAATGACGAATTAATGGGTGTAGCACAGCAACATGGCACATGTATACATATGTAACTAAGCTGCACATTGTGCACATGTACCCTAAAACTTAAAGTATAATAAAAAAATAAAAATAAAAATAAAAATAAAAAGAAATTCAAGAGCAGCCTGACCTACATGGAGAAACCCCATCTCTACTAAAAATACAAAATTAGCTGGGCGTGGTGGCGCATGCCTGTAATCCCAGCTACTTGGGAGGCTGAGGCAGGAGAATCGCTTGAACCCGGGAGGTGGAGGTTGTGGTGAGCCGAGATCGCGCCATTGCACTCCAGCCTGGGCAACAAGAGCGAAACTCTCTCAAAAAAAAAAAAAAAAAAAAAAAAAAAAGAAGAGGGCTGAGTATAGAAGACAGAAACCCAGCACAGACATTTGAAGGACAGGCAAATAATGAGTCCTTCCAAGAGACCAGGAAAGGGTGTCCAGAGAGATAGGAAGAGATGCAGGGAAGAGGTGTTTCCCCAAGAACCAATGGAGCAAGTTTCCTCTGGAGGAGAAGGGGGTCAAGAGGAAAAGAGAATCACCTAACATTTTTTGAACACCTGCTTTATGCCAGAAAGTTTATTTAACCCTTACCATTTAATTATCCCCCAATTCTAAGAAGTGTGAATTATCCCCATTTTACAGATGAGAAAGTTAAGATGCAAAGATGTTCTGAGAGTCGGGTGAAATGATCAGCCTAAGAATGGTAGAAAAATGCCTGTCCTTCTGAGGCAAGAGGGAAGGGGGCAGAGATAAAAGCATGAAGGTAGACAGGGGACAACTGAAGGTGTTCATGTTTGAAGACCTAGCTTCTGTGTGCTCTCTTTTACAGCTCTACTCATACCTAGGACCTAAGGAAGGTATTGACAAAGTGGAAGCTGCCTTAAAGGATGAGACACTCCCACCTTTTTGTTGCCTATGACCAATACAGATTCTAAAAGACCAGAGGTCAGGAGCGGTTTCATATCAATTTCCTCCTTATCTGGGACCTTCTACATCCATCAGTTTATATTTTGTAACCTACTCACCCTCAGTATGTAACTTTTGAGTAGTAGTTTGTGCGAGGAACTATGCACGAAGGAAATACAAACATGAGTGAGATAGAGTGAATATTCTTAAAAGTTGAGCCTAGTGAGGGACAGAGAGCATGGATTGGTGATTTCATTAATTAGGATTGGTTTCAGCTATGAGTGTGACAGGACACCCACAATAATGGTGGACTTTACAAGATAAAGGCTTTTTCTCTCTCATGTAGAAATAACAGCTACCAGGGAATAGCAGCTACTTAATCATGAGAGATCCAGGTTCGTTCTTATTCTTCCATCCTCAAAATGCATATTCTTCCATCCTCAAAATGCAGCTTCCACCTCCTGCTCCAAGATGGCTGCTTCTGGTCAACATACCAGGAGCCATCAGGTCAACGTACTAGCTTGTGGGAAGGAGATGAAAGGGCAGAGAAGGGCCCTACTCCAACCTCATCCATCTTTGAAGGACACTTCCTAAAAGTTGCACATACCACTTTTTTCTACTCACATCCCATAGGAAGGTGGGAATTACAGCTTTTTTCCCCCAGGTGGCCACATTCTCAGCCAAAAATCAAGTGTCCTGTAACTACAGAAGAAAGTTAAAGTCCAGCAATTTCTGCCAGTGATGCTGAAACAGGTGTGCAGATAGCTGTAGTTCAAGACAAGAATAAAAGTGTGACAGAGATTTACACTTACTAGTTCTGTGACCATAGATTAATCTCTGTGCCTCAGTTTCTCACTTATAAAATGGGATAATAGCACCTACCTCATAGGTTTACCAAATGCCTAAGTTATTACATACAAATATAATGTTACATATGTACATACGAACTTAGGTACATAAGTGTAACATAAAAATAAGTTATATGTGTAAGTCCTTAGAACAGTCCCTGACAATAAGTGCTATATAGACATTTGTTAAATAGAAATAAGTGGAGTAAAAATAAGCACAGGCAAATAGGAGTATATACATCCGTGTAGAGAATCTGAAAAAGGCTTTCTGAAGCATGTAGACTGTCAGCTCTGTGATGGCTAGGATGACCTCCTTTCCTGTGCACCCCTAGCACCTAGTGTGGTGCCTTACACAGAGGAGATGCTCAAAGTATTGGTTGCTGAATAGGCTTCAGGTCAGTACTATTTTGTTAGGTGAAATGGAGGCAGGAAAGATATTTTAGGTGGAACTAACCATATGAACAAAGACATAAAAGGTGAACCTGTCATGGTACTTGGTGTGCATGGAACTCAGTATATGTTGATTGAATGAATGCTCAGTATCAAGTAGTTTGGTTTGGCTGAAATGTATCAGTCTGGTTTGGACAGAAAAACACATCACTCTAGAGAATTTAATATAGGGAATTGTTCCACAGGTGGCAGAAATGCTGAAAGTGTTGGCAACGCAGATACTGCAACAGTAGGAAACGTCTACCACCTCTAGTGCCAGAGGGACAATGGGAGATGGTGTTACCGGAACCTGGAAGCCTGAGTCATCTGGCTGGTGGGGGCTGGGAGCATGGTGGGGCCACAACCCAAACCAAGGCAGAGGAGAGAAATACCCTGGTTTATTTCCTCTTCATGCCCCTCTGTCTTTTGTCAGTGTCTTACTGTTAAGCCAGTTGGCAAGGGAATCTGGGAAATGTAGTTTCCTGCAATCCAGACACTCCAGAGCAGACCAGAGAAAGGGTGTGAAAAGAGCTGAGAGAGAAATAGGCAAGTAAGTAGCACAAGTGAAGTTTAGGGCATGAGTAGGGAAGCAGTGAATATAAACCTGTGGTGGCGTCATTTTGTGGAGGGGCTTGAATGTCAGGTCTTGAATGTAGGGTTTCTGTATGTGTCATTACGCAGAGGTGAGCCATAGAAGGTAAAATGCAGTATGGCCTCATTAAAACTGTTCAATGGGGAGGTTGGGGGAGAAAAGGGAAACAGTAGCTTCCCTTTGAGTACTTGTTATTTACTAGGCATGGTGCTAGTTTTTATTTAATCATCTCAGAAAAATGATGTGTTTGGTTCCAGATACGTGGAATTTGAGATAACTTACTAGTACTTCATATGGGTAATTTGCACAGTTAATTGGAAATGTGAGTCTGCAACAGAGGGTGGGGGATAGAGATGTAAGGATGGAGACTCTGGTGTCATCTGAAGAGATGAGAGCAGAAGTTGAAGGAGAGGGAGGACAAGATACTCAAGTCAAACAGTATCGAGAAAGAAGATGAGGGCAGGCATTAGGGAAACCAACAATTTAAGTGATGGACAGAGTAAAAAAATAAAGAGTAGGTAGGAGAAGCAGAAAAGCTGATCTTCCTACCGAAGCAGAGTAGCTGAAGCCTCAAGAAGGGGAAGATCAGTGTGTCAGATGACATTGTCTGGTTAGAAGGGATGAAGACTGAGAAAAAAATTGAATATAGCAGTATGTAGGAACAGTTTCTCTAGACTGGTGGGGCCATGAGGAGGTAAGGCAGCCTTCATCAGATGGCCATGGCTGGTTTAGCGGAGGAGGAGTAAGTAGTTTGCTGAGGCTAGGCGTGGAAGTTGGGTTCTGGGAGAATGGAAGTGTCCTGTATCTCCTGCGTGCTCTTTGGGTGTAGAGGCTGCATTAGCTTCCCTGCTGTACCCAAGTGCTTATATAATGCACAGGACTCAATTATTTGTGTTAGCTGACTCGCAGGATGAATGACTGAATTTGGCAGAAAGTATTTAAAATTGAATAAATGGATTGTGGAGTGGCAGTGAAAACCCAGCTGAGTCAATAGCTTCATTATACTTTCCTGAATCTCAATAATCTAGACTGGTAAGAATAAGAATAGTGAGTGTTTCCCTGACTGGGATTGGTGAGGCGAGAGTAACAGAAACCAAAAGACTATTAATAAAGAGACTAGCGGGGCATACAAAGAATTTTTGAAATGTCTGATGAATTGGGTCTAGATTGGTTAGGGAGAAAAATGTATCTTCATGAGGATAGAGGATTCAGAGAATGAGTGGCTGAAAGGCTTGAAATCATGATTTCACAATGTTTGGGGGGTGAGACCCAGGCATCAGCATTTTGAAGCCACCATAGGTAATTCCAAATTGCAGCCAAGGCTAAGTTGGAGACAACTGAAGGGAAGACTAACAGGATAACAGATAACAAGATACAAATTGGGGTAGTCTGAGTTAAGAATCTTGACCACTGAATTCTCAAACAACGAGTCTAAGGCCATGATAGTGATTCGCTAAAGTGAACTGGAAATGAGGGTAACTGGAATTGATAAAATTGAGCTTGAGGAACTACAGGGCCATCTTGATTTGAAGGTATGTCTTGTATGTCCTCCTAGAAATCCTCTATGCACAAACTTACCTAATTTTACATTTCATAGTTCATTGGAGATGTCTCATTTCTCCAGTGATAGAACACTGATCCGCTTATGACATTTAATTATAGGTCATGGTATTGATCCTACTTCTTGGAAGATTTTTCTTCACTTCAAAAACTATGTGACAATGAGAATAATTGCACTTTACATTTTAATTAGACAGATGCTTGGGGAATTGGTTAATTAGAAAGCCCTTTTTGTTGCAACCCTTACTGAAAACTTTCAATAAAGATATTCATCTAATTAAATAGTAAGTACAAATTCCATTAAGTAAACAATTAGGCATTTTTCAATGGTTTGGGATCTATTGTAGGTAATTATTCTGAACAAGTTGTCACTGCCTGAGAGACTGAATACCTGGTACATCTCTCAGAAATGTTAACTTTTTTTTCCCATTATGGTATTTTCTTTAACTTGCTGTTTCTAAGAATGGGATCCTATTAATGTATACCAGTTACTAAGGTTTTGTTGAACTTTTTTATATAGCCTCCCCACTCCCCACTCCTTTTGTGACATCTAGTTATGGGACCCAAAAAAGACATTTTCCCAGGTTTCAGAAGAGGAATATTGGTGTTTCTCTAGAGCAGTTGGTTTATCATACAGCAGAACACTGAACACAGAACTGATTGTGTTGGATGCTAAGAACCTAGCCCAGAGCCCAACTTTATCAACTGTAGTCTTACAGCATCTACTTTGTTTTAAGAACATTTTGGGCCAGACGTGGTGGCTCCTGCCTGTAATCCCAGCACTTTGGGAGGCTGAGGCCGGTGGATCACCTGAGGTCAGAAGTTCAAGACCAGCCTGGCCAACATGGTGAAACCCCGTCTCTACTAAAAATACAAAAATTAGCCGGGTGTGGTGGTGGGTGCCTGTTAATCCCAGGTACTTGGGAGGCTGAGGCAGAATTGCTTGAACCCGGGAGGCGGAGGTTGCAGTGAACCAAGATCATGCCACTACACTCCAGCCTGGGCGACAGAGCGAGAGTCCGTCTCTCAAAAAAAAAAAAAAAAAAAGCATCTTGGAGCCAGATGGTGTATAAATACAGCATTCTTTTCGAAATCTTTCAAGATCTTCTCAGGGGTATCTTGAAGGTCTCTTTCACCAGCACACCTGACTGTGGCAGCCCTTTGGATTCTTTATACTTTTCTGGTATAAAGCCTTCAAATAGTTCCAGTTGGCTGGGCATGGTGGCTCACACCTGTAATCCCAGCACTTTGGGAGGCCGAGGCGGGTGGATCACTTGAGGTAAGGATGGCAAAACCCCATCTCTACTAAAAATACAAAAGTTAGCTGGGCATAATGGCATGCCCAGTAGTCCCAGCTACTTGGCAGGCTGAGGTATGATAATCGCTTGAACTTGGGAGGCGGAGGTTGCAGTGAGCTGAGATGGCACCACTGCACTCCAACCTGGGTGATGGAGTGAGACGTCTCAAAAAAAAAAAAAAAAGTTCCAGTAGGTGAACTGAGTTTAGTGACACAGGCCAAAGTCAGTAAAACCTGTTTCTCAAAAGACTTGCTTATTAAAAAGCAAAACATAACTTCATCCATTATTTAAATATCCAGGTATTTGTAGAAGGCCAGAAGCACTAAAGGATACAATTCTCTCATACTGGGTCCTTATTTTATCCAGTAGAAGGCAAAACATAGTATTCCAGAAACAAAAGTAGTTTTTTTTTAAAATAAAAGAGAACAGACATAGATGCTTCCCTAACTCCAACTATGAATGTTATTGTCAGTTCTGCTATTACTAGCTTTTGACTCCAAGCAGTAAATATGAGATTTTGGACATAGGTATGGGCAGACTGCATGACTAAAACACCAAAAGCAATGGCAACAAAAGGCAAAATTGACAAGTGGGATCTAATTAAACTAAAGAGTTTCTGCACAGCAAAAGAAACTATTATCAGAGTGCACAGGCAATCTACAGAATGGGAGAAAATTTCTGTAATCTATCCATCTGACAAAGGGCTAATATCCAGAATCTACAAAGAACTTAAACAAATTTACAAGAAAAAACCCCATCAAAAAGTGGGTGAAGGATATGAACAGACACTTCTCAAAAGAAGACATTTATGCAGCCAACAAACATGAAAAAACGCTCATTATCACTGCTCATTAGAGAAATGCAAATCAAAACCACAATGAGATACCATCTCATTGCCAGTTAGAATGGCAATCATTAAAAAGTCAGGAAACAACAGATGCTGGAGAGGATATGGAGAACTAGGAACACTTTTACACTGTTGGTGGGAGTGTAAACTAGTTCAACCATTGTGGAAGACAGTGTGGTGATTCCGCAAGGATCTAGGACCAGAAATACCATTTGACCCAGCAATCCCATTACTGGGTATATACCCAAAGGATTATAAATCATTCTACTATAAAGACACATACACAAGTATGTTTACTGTGGCACTGTTCACAATAGAAAAGACTTGGAACCAACCCAAATGCCCATGAATGATAGACTGGATAAAGAAAATGTGGCACATATACACCATGGAATACTATGTGGCCATAAAAAAGCATGAGTTCATGTCCTTTGCAGGGACATGGCTGAAGCTGGAAATCATCTCAGCAAGAACAGAAAACTAACACAAGAACAGAAAACCAAACACTGCATGTTCTTACTCGTAAGTGGGAGGTAAACAATGAGAACACATGGACACAGGGAGGGGAACATCACACACTGGGGCCTGTTGTGGGTGGGGGACTAGGGGAGGGATAGCACTAGGAGAAATACCTAATGTAGATAGGTTGATGGGTGCAGCAAACCACCATGGCACGTGTATACCTATGTAACCTGCATGTTCTACACATGTACCCCAAAACTATTATTAAAAAAAAAAAAGATTTCATATTTGCTGATATCTCAAGGAAGCAGTATGCTGGAAAAATAGAGGTAAAGTGAATAGTAACATAAAGGAAGCTACAACTCACCAAGTATCAACAGAAATGACCAACACTCCTTGGGTGCCAGAAACCAGCTTAGCCAGGGTGCATACTGTACCACTGGAGAAGAGGTAAGCTGGGTTAACTTCGAAGAAACCCTGGCCAACTTAAATTATAGTTTAATCCTGTTTTACTTGGACCACAACACTTAAATCTAGATAAAAACCAATTATTCCTCCCTGTTTCAGTTGCCAAGCAAGGAAAACAGCTCCTCTGCCCAAGCTTTCTAGGTCATATTCTTCATATCTTTGTATCCCAACTTTCTGGATCTGAATTTTATAGCTAACTATAGGGCATTGCCTCTCTACCATCTCCCGTCCCCTACACAGACACACACACACATACACACATAAAACTACCTATTAATTACAATAATGTTTATATATCTTTGATCATTTTTTAAAGTTCTTTGAACATGTTAGCAAACTTTATACTTCCTATCTTTTAATTAAATTTTCTTTAAATAACTAAGCATTGAAAACTTTACAAACCATCAGTTATCTTAAAATGGTTGAGATTTTTTTTCCTTTTTTCCCATAAAGAGTCTACACCAGGGTGGGTCTTTTAGACACCCCTATTTTCTAAGGGCATGTAATCGATTCTCAAATCAACTTTTTCCAAATACAAATTCCTGTATGAACAGGGCCAGTCTATGGTAAATTAATTTAGATGATGGTGTTAGTTTTCCAAACGTCTTTAATAAGTAAATAAAGGAGCAATGTAAAATGTTGCAGTTTGCTTGGTAAATCTTAATTGCGAAATTTCTTCTTCTTTCGGAACTTTTTTCCTGCTGCATTTGCTGCTTTTTCAGCCATGATCTCTGAGTACTTCCTTCGGTTGTATCTGAAAAAGAAAAATCAGAACTTTATGTTTGATATATCAGACATTAGAAGTTAATATAACCTTAGGGTAAAAGTTGGGAATGGAGTGGTGGACAAGACAAGTATAGTCTCTGACCTCATAGCACTTGCTTGCAATCTAGGGAGAAAAAATGGCAACTGTAGTAGGAAGACTTTCCTACTATATGCACTATATCCATCTATCTATCCATATATCCATATATGATCTATATATGCACTATATCCATCCACCAGGCTGTATCAAATGCTTTAAACATTTTTGAGGGATAAAAACACAAAAATCAGGACTAAGCAAAACAAAAAGTCACACTTATCCTGAAAATGCACAGTATGATATATATATTTCTTAGAAGCGACCAATGGTTTTCAAAGTGTGGTCTGTGGAGTAGACCCTTTCAAGGGATTCATTAGGTAAAAACTATTTTCTCAAGAATACTAAGGCATTAATCGCTTTTTTCACCCTCGTTCTCTCATGAGTGTAGTGTTTTCCAGGGGCTACGTGATGTATGTTATCTGCAGAAGCAGGTATGAGCCTCTGTCTTTAGTTAAGCCAGACATTAAAGAGATTTGCACTAAATTATTTTTCATAAAAATATATATTCATGTTAATATGTTATGGGTTATTATAAATGAGTTATTTTTAAATTATTTGAAAATTTATAAGTTTATACATTTTTAAAGCAAAGTATACATATTATAAAATAAATATGAATTCCTTTACCTTCTGAATTCAGAATCAGCCAGCAGTTCTTCCACAATAGTTCTTTTCCTTTGCTTCTTGGGAATTCGTGAATGGTAGAAATCAGCTGGATTGTCAACAATGGTTCCAATCTGTGAACAATTGATTGAAATAAGTCATGCATTGAGTGCCAAGATGCTTTCATACTTCAGTGTAGCTCTAATTATATTTAGAGAAAGGAATGGAAAGAACAAGCTTACATTACACTAATAGTAATGTAAATTTTGCCATTTATTTAAAGCAAAAAAAAAAAAGTAGCATAGTGGTGCTATTATGTTTCTTCAGTAGTTTATAGTAGATCCAAAATTTCTTTGCTAAACACTAAATTCATGATGCACAGTGTAACTAAAGGAGAAAAGTGGAACAGATAATATATACTTTTTGTTCTAGTTTCCCAAATCAATGAATTAGACACATAAATTCTACTACATACCTATTTGGTTTCCTAGGTCATCACAAAGGCTGCCAGTTTGGCCTACTTAGTGATCATTCTGTATTTGTTCATACACTCAACTGAATAAAATTTACAGTGATCACTATGCACCAGGCACTGTGTTACATGTTAGGGAAACAAAGAACATCTGGTTCCTGCAGTGCAGAGCCTGCAGTCTTAAGGAAGCTCCACAAAAAGTAACTAAAATATTAAAGCATAACATGTGCTGAACAAAACACTATAGACGCTCTGAAGACAAAGTGACCAATTGTACCTAAGAGAGGTAAGGAAGATTTAACAAAGAATGACAATTTAGCTTGAATTTGTATGGGTAAAATTTCACCAAACAAACAAGAACTATGGATATGCAAAGTCAAATTATGCAGGGACTGGTATGTACGTGTTCTGACAAGACTGAGTAGCTAAGTGTGTTGGAATTTGTTGGGCTATATGATGAAAGGCAGGTGAACTAGTTTGGGTATGGATTATTAATGGCTAAATGAAAGGATACAGACCCAATCCTATGTCATAATTCATCACTGAATGTTTCTGAGCAGAGGTGTAACACGAACAGATGAAAACATTTTAAAAACCAACTTGGATTAGTACACGTGATACCCTTTTACCCCTATCCCGTATGGACTCTTGCTGTTAGGCTGATACTATTCATACATTCACATAGTGAACTTTATAGGTTCAACAGGTTTTAGCTGACCTGGAAACCATTTGTAACACCATCTCTCTAAATGTGATCAAATTAAAAGTTAGTGGCTGAATTGGGTAATGGCCATTCTTATATGGCCTATGCAGATATGTTCCATACATTAGGCATGCACAATGGAAATATCCTCTATTTTAGGAGTAAACTTTAAAGAACACTACAGTGCTTTCCAAACTAAAATTCACAGATCATCACCACTATTCTGTTTGCTTCATACCTGGAAGTACTTGGGGAAGCCATCTCTATCATTTTTCTTGTAAAATCTTTTCGGGTCCATGCTGGCTCTCATCTTCAGTGCTTTGAGATCATTTTTCAGTTCATTTGTCATTTCTGGAGCTTTCATACCAAACCAGCCATCCCCTGCTGTTTTTTGTCGTTCTTTCTGAAATTATGATTTCAAAAATAAACATTCTAACAGCTAAGAGTATACATTATAATTCATTTCCCCTGAAGTAACACATACAGAAAATTTTGTAAATTAAAAACAAATGGTTACTTTATTGAAAGCACTTAAATCCAGAATCATAGAGATAAAAGGAATTAAATCACAAAAAGTGACTTCTCCGCTAAATTAGGGACAGGATTATCAGTTTCATAAATGAGGGCTCCGTAAAATCTATTTTCTGTCTCAGAGAGTAACTGCTGACTTGCTGGGAGAATAACACACAACTTCAATTTTTATTGTCTAAAACAGACTATATGCAGTAAGAAAATGTATAAAAACACTTTCGTTTCTAGAGCTTATATGTAAACATTTTTATTCAGTCACCCAGGAGTCTCAGAATGCCACTCATACAAGGATCCAGAACCTTGTGTTATTTCTACAATAAAACAAAATACTATTCTTTAGAAAACTCCTACAAGTTATTTAATTTTGTTTCATTCATACAACAAGTATTTAGTTAGTGCCTACCATGTGCCAGGGTGCTCCATATTACAGTAACATTACTAGAATACCATCCTCAACTTTCCTTCAAGCTCTCTGGATAACTAGTCGAAATGGCAGATAGAAGTAATCTATATATATATATATTTTTTTAAAAAACCTCTACTTATAGATGCACTATTGTGGCTGCAAAGATGTGAAAATCTATACATAATGTGTTTATGGTACTATATTTTACAGCCCTTAGAAATCTGTAATTATTTTCTTTGGACTCATATATAGACCAACAGATACAGTTTAATTGTGCAGTTATGTTGTATAAGCTGAAAATATATAGCCAAACATATCTAAGCATTTTAATTAAGTCACTGTACTTACTCTGCGTTTTTTCTGAAGTTGATACTTTGATTCACTATATGGTGGAACACAGTGGTTTTTTTCAAAATCAGGTGTAATGACGGCTTTCTGCAGAAGCTATAAAAACATAAAATTGGTTTTAAAATAATGTCAGAATGTTATATAAGTTTTTCAACAGTTTAAACTTCTGTAAGTTTTAAAATTTTTAGTCAGCCTGGCAAAGTGGCTCACACCTATAATCCTAGTGCTTTGAGGAGGCCAAGGGAGGAGGATCACTTGAGGCCAGGAGTTTTAGACCACCTTGGTCAACATAGCAAGACCCTGACTGTAAAAAAAAAAAAAAAAAGAAAAGAAATTAGTTGGGCATGGTGGCACACACCTGTAGTCCCAGCTACTCAGGACGCTAAGGCAGAAGGATCACTTGAGGCCAGGAGCTTGAGGCTGCAGCAAGCTATGACTGTGCCACTCACTCCAGCCTGGGTGACAGAGTGAGACCCTGTCTCCCCCCAAACCCAGCTCCCTCCCAAAAAAAAAAAGAAAAAAGAAAAAAAAGGCCAGGCACGATGGCTCATGCCTATAATCCCAACTCTTTAGGAGGCCAAGGCAGGACAATCACTTGAGGCCAGGAGTTCAAGACTAGCCTGGGTAACATAAGAAAACGCCATTTCTCCAAAATAAATAAATAAATTTGTGCAGTCAAATCTGTTTATCTTTTCCTAAATGATTTCTGTACTTTTGTTACTTGACTAGGATGATTATATTCTCCTAAAACTCTGTGTGACTAAAGGAACCTCAGGTTAATTAGTATTTTTCTCAGTACAAGAACCAAGTAAGACTGCTCTGTAGCCCTCAAAATAGTTTACAGGAATATAGTACAAGCATTAATTTGGGACTGACATTTGAAATGATCAACTCAGAAATTAACAGTCAGGCACACAATTCAGGTTCAGGCCTAGATGTTTCTGTGTGGTATAGGTAGCCGTCTAGGCTTTCCTATCACTCATAAAAGGGGGCATGATATTTACTTAACAAATGATTAAGAGTTTGCTGTGAGTCAAGTACTGTAGTACATTCAAGGACAGTGGTTCTCAACTGGGAGCATCTGGCAATGTCTGGAGACATTTTTGGTGGTGGTGAGGATAAGGAAGAATGCTACTGACATCTAGTGGGCAAAAGATAGGGATGCTGTTAAACATCCTACTATGCACGGAACATCTCACAACAAAATTATGCAGCCCAAAACATCAGTAGTGCTGAGACTGAAAAACCCTGTTTTAGGAATATAAAGAAAAGATGGTAAGTTAATATATCACATGATCAACAATGAATCAGATCTATGCTAGATGTTATGGAAACAGAGGGGTTGTGAGAAGGACTGGAGGTAAAATATTCCCCAAGGGCAACGATCAATTATTTTGCACTTGCTTGGGGAAAAGCAGGGTAAGTTCAGGCAACTACAGTAGTCTTCAGTGGCAAGAATAGAGCAGATGACAGCTGGGTGGGGTAGAGAGGTACTTTGAAGGATTCAAGAGAATACTGTCACATCTGTGTGTGTGGTGTGTTTTTTGGGGCAGGGAGGAGAGATGTGGTCTAGCTATGTTGCCCAGGTTGGTCTCAAACTCCTGGGCTTAAACAATTCTCCTGCCTCAGCCTCCCAAAGTGCTGGGATTATAGATGTGAGCTACCTTGCCCAGCCGGATTTGTGTTTTTAGACAGAGAAATCTAGAAGTGTGGAGGATGGCTTGAAGAACAAGATGAAAACAAGATCAATAAGGAAGCCACTGGAGTAGTCCAGATGAGAAGCAAAGGCCTGCACTAGCTGGTGACAGTCGCTTGAAAAGGAGGAAGCAGAGAAATATCTTCCCCTAGAGGCTTGGTGACTGACTACAAAAGGAAAAGAGAGTTTGGTTTCATTAGCCAGAAAAAAGAATACAAGAAGAGGATTCCTGGTTCAGGCAGGGAAAGGGGAATTAGTGACGTCAAGTACCTGAGGACATCTAAATGAACAAATAGGTACTTGGATTTAAAGGTCTGAAAGTGACAGTGAGAAGCATCAAGGCTAGAAAATATAGATTTAGGAGAAAACAGTGCAAGGTGTTGGCTAAAGCTAAGGGTTTGGGTAAAGTTACCTTAACAGTAATTCCTTCTGAAATTATATGTAAAATGTCTATATGCACATGTGCATTTTTTTCCGGGTGGAAGAGGCAGGCAGGCATTCACAGCTTTCAGATTCTCAACAGTCTACACTAGTTAAGAACTTAAGAACTAAAAGTATAGCAAGAAAAGGGAAAAAAACAAAACCCCTGGGATCATAATTGGTGGGTGTAAGATGAGGAACACTGACCCTGTATTGATTTATTTTTAAAGCATTATCATTCATAGATAGGATTTTATTGTAAAAAGAAATGACTGTTTTAGAGAGAAGGAAAAAACTAACACATTAGGCCAATGTGGTTTCACTGTAGGAAAATTAAGTCTTTTACCAAGGACTAATTTCTAAAAGTGATTGGTTAGTTCTGTGAAAACCTAACAGCACAATTAACTTACCTCATTTTTCTTTTTCTCCTTGATCTGTGTTAGGGTTCTCTTGTTAGACTGTAGTTTATCTGCATTAAAATTAATATACAAACCACCCAACTGCTTGATACTCAGACCAGGGTCTATGCTGCTGCTTGTCAACTTCAGACTGAAAAAGAAATCATCACTTAAAGATCAAGTAATTAAATCAAAATGGAAACATATAAGATGGCATTTTAAAAAATCACTTATTCTTCTCTTCCCTTGTATTGTCCACAATAAAGAAAAAAAAGCATCTTATTTTTATGAGGAATTCCTGAAAAAAAACTCTAAATAAATATATTTTTCATCATTTTATTTTATTTTTTGAGACAGGGTCTCACTGTTGGCCCAGGATGGAGTGCAGTAGTGACCACTGCAGCCTTGAACTCTTGGGACTCAAGTGATCCTCCTACCTCAACCTCCCTGGGTGGCTGGGACTACAGGTGCACACCCAACACCTGGCTCCATAATGTCAAATGAATGAGCCATTCCATGAAGAACCCAAGGCAGTGATTTTCTCATTCCCCAGGCTAACATTTCATATTTTTATGGTAAATTAACCACTTGAAATACATGTATCAAAAACTTATAAAAATAAAGGAAAAACTTACAGTTTAGCCTTTGTGCTATTTAGGAAGTCTTCTTCATCACTAAACTCATCTTCATTTTCGTCATGGTCTGATGAATCTTCTTCACTTTTTTCATCCTCTTCCTCTTCTTTTTCTTCCTCAATGGCAACCTCACTTGCCTTGTCTTCCTCTTCCAAGTAAAAATTTTTATCAGCACTCATTCCAGGAGTTGTGTCAATTACAAACAATGCATTGTCACATGACAGACTTCCTGTGTCTCCACTTAATGACTCCCTTTGGCCACTATTTTCAACAAAACATAAAGTATCCTCTTCATTCTCACTGTTTTCAGACTGTTGGCTTTCATCACTGCTGAGAACTAGTAAGACAGAATTATCTTTACCCTGAGATGTGTTGGGCGCAGACGTGTATAGTTTGGTATCACATTCAAAATCTACATTCCCTTCACTGTTCATGTCTTCACTGACACTTATAACTGTGGACTCTTCTTCATCATCACTACCACCACAATCACCAAACTTTGTCAAGTCACTTGCTTTTATGGGGCTCTTTTTGTTGTTATTCCATCTGCCTACTTCCACAGTTGCAAATGTTTGAGTTAATGATTTCATTACAGCCTCAGAGTTCAGATTAGAGTGCACTGATACAGCATTTTTATTTTGGGGGGTTGAATGTCTCTGAGAAACTAACTGTTGAAGGCTAGTGTCCTGAAGTTCAGAAAGATTCTTCAGCTGAGAACTTTTCTCATTAATTTCTTTCCCCTCATCTGTTATTCCATTGGCATCTTCATCCAAATCCTTACAATTCTGTTTTGTTTCTTTAAGAGATTCAACATTGGCCTGTTCGTGCACTGTTAATATATTTTCTGAACTTCTGTGGGAGAAATCATCATCAAAGTCATTATTATAGAAATTTGGCTTATTTATCTCAGAAAGAGATCTTGCTTGTAAATGGGAAGTTTGTCTGGTATCTGAATCCTCTGAATTCACAGGTGTACCCACGATCTGTTTCTCATTTCCTGGTACAATCTTACTATCTTTCTTTTCAGTTTGTGCCTTTAATTTCCTCTGCATACTCCTGGTTCTTCTAGTTGCAATTCCAGAGAATGAAATGTCTGAGCTTGATGTCTCAGCATCAGATATAGCTTCTGTATGAGATTCTTGGCTTGGATCTGTCAGAGATTTAGCCTTACTTCTTCTGGCTCCTGTAGTTTTTTCTGTAGGAAGCACAATTCTAGAAATACCTGAAACATGAGATTCTGCTTCAGACACTATTTCTTCAGTGTAAGACTCCTTTGTTGGAGTTACTTTCGGCTTTTTCCTAACACTGGACACTGGGGAGCATGCAATTAAGATCTGCCTTCTCCTAGTTACCCTTAAAATGGTATCATGGTGCTCAGACACAGAATAATTTGACTCTGCCTCAGAGGTTTCTCCATCCGTAGATGGTTCAGTCCCCTTTGGTAGTGAGCCTGTAGTTCTGCTCTTCCTCTTTCTAGCTTTAGGAGTTCTAGGGATTAAACTTTGCTTCCCAGTGGTCTGTGATTCAGCAGTAGTTCGGGCATCAGATCCAGTACTACTTTCTGGATGCGCTTGAATCCCATTAGCAGCAAAACTCTGCAAACCAGAGAAAACACACTGTAATTTAGGTAGGGCTGGAACAAGGGCAAAGCAAATGAAATACTGACCCCAAAAGCTAAAACCCAGTAAACAAGATTACCTTTAAAACAAAAAACAAAAAAACCTGCCCAACTCATGATTTTTAAAAAATCAAAATTTGGCCGGGCGCGGTGGCTTACGGCTGTAATCCCAGCACTCTGGGAGGCCGAGGCAGGTGGATCACGAGGTCAGGAGTTCGAGACAGCTTGGCCAACATAGTGAAACCCCATCTCTACTCAAAGTAAAAAAATTAGCGGGGCGTGTTGGTGCGCACCTGTAATCCCAACTACTCAGGAGCCTGAGGCAGAAGAATTGTTGGAATCCGGGAGGCAGAAGTTGCAGTGAGCCGAGGCTGCGCCACTGCACTCTAGCCTGGGCGACAGAGCAAGACTCCGAATCAAAAACAAACAAACAAAAAAATCAAAATTTAAACACTGGAGCCAACCCTGCATTTACTTCACTAGCCTCATCCTTCCTAGATGTAACTTCAGAAGCAGAACGATTAAAATTTTTCTGTTTAAAGTCAAATATAATGGGTAGACCAACATTCTGACCCACCTATAGAAGAGGGGAGAAAGGGAATATTAACTCTGAACACCGATGTGTTTAGGAACACACTGATGGAATCAGTCGCCGCCCTTACCTTTACGTACAGGAAAAAATCGCCGCCGCTCCGTTCCCTGCATCGCTGAGTCAGAATGAGACAGCCGACTAACGCCACTAAGAGTCACCAGGCGACGACACCACAGCCCTCCTCAC
Source organism: Homo sapiens (assembly GCF_000001405.40). Taxonomy (NCBI): domain Eukaryota; kingdom Metazoa; phylum Chordata; class Mammalia; order Primates; family Hominidae; genus Homo; species Homo sapiens. Next base: position 93,878,664 of record NC_000001.11, read on the forward strand.
GCCTTAAGGAGGTGATGCTGGACAGCTGCCAGCCTCCCCACGTGAAAACGAAGCTTTTTTTCCAGCCCCCCTAAATGGGGCTTGTGCATGGTGGCCGAAATTAACCCTCCTTGGTACCGTGTTAACAGTAAGGTTTAAAAGTTCGAACTGTGCTTCTGCATTAAGGAGTTGAACGACCCAAATAAAGTTATCTAACCTCTCTTCCATACTAAAAATTGCCTTAAGAGACAGTGGTGAAGGCTAAACAGTTTCCGTGACAGGCTTAGCACGGGGCCTGGGAGACCCAAGCGCGCGGCAAGCTCGGGTCCTCTCTGTCGGCAGGTCCTCACCCTTAACCGGACCCTTGCGCCGCCCCGCCTGCCTGAGCGCGGCTCTGCGAAGCGGCGAGAAGTAGGGAAGACTGGATTTCCTACCTTTTGCCCGGAACTTTCAGCCGACGCGGCTTGGATGCTGGCCTTAGCCCGTGCAGATCTGGTAACCACCATCTTTCCGGCTCCCTCGCGACCACCACGACTTCCCTCTTCCCTGGCGCTCCGGAAATGCGTCAGAGAACTGCCTCGAGCGCGTTTTCCGCGCAGATCCGAGAATTCGCGAGAATCTCCGCCCAGCCAGTTCAGGCCAGGGCGGTCAGAGACAAAGGGCCTGGGTTTAAGTGTGCATTTCAGAGCTGTAGAAGGCAAGCCAGATTTTTGCTGGGAAAGACCTTCATCGGGGCGGCGAAGCCCGCAGTGACAGAGGGTCTTAGCGTACCCGTTCACATGAATTGTAAAAACGCACTTACATGCCATTCGTTCTTTCATTTGTTTAGTAGAATCGTTTGAACCCGGGAGGCGTTCTTTCATTTCTACGTTCTAAAGAGCTTAATGTAGCCATTGGTATGTCCAAGGGAGAAGTTTGAGATATTTGTGCTTTTTAAAGAAAGACAATATTTACTCGTGTATTGTGACGCTAACTATAAATAAAATTTAAGGACTTGGTTGGGGTAAAAGGGATATAAGGTGCTCGCAGGAACTGGGAGACGAAGTGGAAAGCTGTATAATCTAAACGTGAGATGGTGTTTAGGGATTGGGAATAGCAGAAAAGAAAAAAACGTTAAAGAAATTGTAAAGGAGAAGAATAAGGTTTTGTTGTTGTTGTTGTTGTTGTTATTGTCACAGTGAAAGGAAGAGTATGACCAGAATCAAGAGGTTTCTTTGGTTATCTTTTGAGATAAAAGGTAGAGAACTATGTTTGAGGGGATGGGAAGGGGTTGAAAAAATAAGTAAACGCAAATTATTGTTGGAGGTGAGAAAGGATGAATGAGTGCCTCACCAAACCTAGTCTCTACTTCATGACAGAAAACCAATTTTTTATTTAAAGTCACAGAACACTGTGTCGATGGACACACTGCTTCCCAGCTTAAAATAGCTTATTTTATAGTCTCTCTTGCAGCCAAATGTGGCTATGTGACTACGTTTTAGCCAATTAGGTATAAATTGTGTGCATGTCTTTAGGGACGGCATCTAAAAGAGAGGAGGCCGTCCCTGACTTTTTTTTTTGGAGACGGAGTCTTGCTCTGTCGCCCAGGGTGGAGTGCAATGGCGCAATCTTGGGTCACTGCAACCTCCGCCTCCCGGGTTCAAGCGATTCTCCTGCTTCAGCCTCCTGAGTAGCTGAGATTACAGGCGCCCGCCACCATTCCTGGCTAATTTTTTTTTTGTATTTTTAGTAGAGACGGGGTTTCACCATGTTGGGCAGGCTGGTCTTGAACTCCTGCCTTCAGGTGATTCACCCGCCTCGGCCTCTCAAAGTGCTGGGATTACAGTGCTGGGATTATAGGCCTAAACGACCTCGCCCAGCCCTCCTGATCTTTTAAAGTGCATTTTACTTCCTGGAAAGTTGGGTTCGCTGGTTTTCAGGCGGCAAGTTTGTGCCATAAGGATGAAGGCATGCTTTAGAGATGGCATAGCAGTGAGATGGAAAAATCAACTTGTGGAGCTGCCCTATGAGCCCTCAAGAGCCGCCTTCTAGATTTTTCACCTGATGGAAACACCTTGTTAAAAGCCACTGTTAATTAAGGATTTTTCTATTTGCAGCCGAGCCTAATGCTAACTGAACTGGATAATAAACAGAGATGTGGGTGTAGTCAGAAAAGAATGCACCTTCCTTTGAGCCAGGAGGAAAGAGTTGATATCTGAAACAGAGAGGAGAATGTGAATGCAAGTATGTTCAAGTGGAGTGAAGAAGAGAAGATTTTGGGTAGATAATAACCTCTGTAAGTAGGTGATACATCTCAGAAGAATGGAAATGGTTTATATCAACATTTGTGGCAAATGTGGTAAGAAGCAAAAATAAATTTTAGTAGGGCCAAGTAGCAGTGAGACTATGTAAGAAGATGAACAGAAGAGAAAGGTTAGATTTGAGGAGGAGACAAATCGTGTAGAAGGAAAGTGAACCAATTGGATGTAGGTTGTGGAGATCAAAGCATCAAAGAACAACAGCATCAATCATAATAGTATTGGCCACTTAATATCTGCTGGATACTAATCTACGTGCTTTACATGTATTCATTCATTTAATCTCCACATCTTTAATTTGAGCAAATGCATGAAAATAGAAATTAAGATGACAGAGGTAGGTGTAGAAAACTGGAGAGAATATTAGAAAATCATGCAATGTCTAATACTCACTTGCAAGCATGGCCCTTTCAAGTAAAGAAAAAAAAAAAGGAGAAAACCAACTCATATACAATCTAAGGTCAAGAAACAAACGTAAGATACTAAAATTGTCAGTACATAGTTATAATATGAGAAGATTGAGCTGGTCTATCAACAAATCTACCATAGGCCAAAAAAAAAAGAAGTGTTTTTACGTGGGCTTACCAGGTTTGCCATATTCTTTGCCTATCTTCTTTATCTGAAGTGGATTTAGGGCAAATACAGTATATTTAATTTTAGGTATATATAGTATATACAATACAGTTGACCCTTGAACAACACGGGTTTGAACTGGGAAGTTTCACTTATGCAGTGATTTTCTTCTGCCTCCACCACCCCTGGACAGAAAGACCAACCCCTCCTCTTCCTCCTCAGCTTACTTAACATGAAGACAAGGATGAAGACCTTTATGATGATCCACTTCCACTTCTCTTCCTTATGATTCTCTTAAAATTTTCTTTTCTCGTTTATTGTAAGAATGCAATATATAATATATACAACATATAAAATATGTATTAATCAACTAGTTATCTGCAAGGCTTCTGGTCAATAGTAGGCTATTAGTAGTTAAGTTTTGGGGTAGTCAAAAGTTATCTGTGGATTTTCAACTGTGCAGGGGGGTCAATGCCCCAACCCCCACATTTTTTAACGGTAACCAGTACTATTACTCAGGCCCAAAAGGAAATTTACCTTAAATAATCTATATTTTACTAATTAAATCCTTAAACTGAAAGGTCAAAGCTCCCTGGAATTTTAGGCATTAACCAAAAGATGAGAGTTTTAGTGCATGAGCCTTCTAAAAATGCATACTATTCATGGTCATTCTGCATTGTTACATGTAAAACATTACTATTAAAATTAAGTTTGACCTGTAAGATGTCCAGTGATCCCATTTTCTGGTCTTCAAACCTTTGAATGTGGGCTGGACTTAGTGAGTTCTAATGAAACGAGTATGACAAAAATGATGGATGTCACTTTCAGGATTAGGTTAACAAAAGGCTGGCTTCTATCTTGCTCTCTCTCAATCATTCACTCTGTAGGAACCTAGCTGTACGTTATAAGCTGTCCTTTGAAGAGAACACTGTGGCAAGGAACTGAGTGAAGGAGGCCTCTGGCCTACACCCAGTGAAGAATTAAGGAACTCAGTCTGACAACGTGTGAGGCACTGAGTCCTGCCAACAACTACACGAGTGAGCTTGGAAACAGACCCTCAGTCCAGCCTTCAGGTGAGACTGCAGTCTTGACTTATCCATTGCTGCATCTGGATGCCTCAAAGTCATCCAGATACAACAATAGATAACCAGTAGTTATAGATTAACTTCATCTCTCCTAAAATTTCAAGTAAAATAAATAATACAGGCCAGGTACAGAGGCTCATACCTGTAATCCCAGCACTTTGGGAGGTTGAGGAGGCAGGATCACTTGAGCCCAGGAGTTTGAGACCAGCCTGGGCAACATAACAAAACCCCATCTCTACAAAATATATAAAAATTAGCCAGGCATGGTGGCATGCGCCAGTAGTCCCAGCTACTTGGGAGGCTGAGGTGGGAGGATCACTTGAGCCTGGGAGGTTGAGGCTGCAGTGAGCCATGATCATGCCACTGCACTCCAGCCTGGGTGACAGAGCGAGACCACGTCTTAAAAAAAAAAAAAAGAAAAAAGAAATAATACAGTATGTACTCATGTCTAGCTTCTTTCACTCAGCATAGTGTTTCTGTAATTCATCCATGTTATTGTGTATACCAGTAGTTGATTCTTTTTTATTGCTGAGTATTTCATTGTATGACTATATAACAATGGATTTATCCATTCAGCTGTTGATAGACATTTGGGTTGTATCTGGTTTTCAATATTGTATTTGGGGGCTTTTAGAATTCTGTAATGTCAAATGATCATTTAAGATTGAGTGCAAACTAAGCTGGGTGTGGTGGCATGTGCCTGTAGTCTCAGCAACTTGGGAGGCTGGAGCAGGAGGATTGTTTAGTTCAGGAGTTCTAGGCAGTAGTATGCGATGATCACACCTGTGAATAACCACTGCACTCCAATCTGGGCAACATAATGAAAACTGATCTCTATAAAAAACAAAAACAAAAACAAAAAACAAAGGTTGAGTGCAAAATAAAGACATTTCAGACAAATGGGATCTAGAAAATTTACTGTCACTAAAGACCTTTGGTAAAGAATTACTAAGGAGGCTAGGTACTGTGTCTCATGCCTGTAATCCCAGCACTTTGGGAGGCTGTGGTGAGAGGATCACTTGAGTCCAAGAGTTCAAGACCAGCCTGGGCAACATAGCGAGATCCTGTCTCTACAAAAATAAAAGTTAGCCAGGTGTGGTGGTGCATGTCTGTAGTCCCAGCTACTTGAGAGGCTGAGGTGGGAGGATGGCTTAAGCCTGGGAGGTTGAGGCTGCAGTGAGCCATGATCATGCCACAGTACACCAGCCTAAGAAACAGAGTGAGATCCCTGTCTCAAAAAAAAAAAAAACAAAAAAAAAAAACTTGAATAGAATGCAAGAATCAACAGTGAGCAAAGAAAGAGGGAAAATAATCAAAATAAGTAATGTTCATTGTAAAACATGAACCTTAAAATAATGGACCAGCAGACACATCAAAATCTTGCATGACATTTTACACATTTAGTCATTGCTGAGGAAACATGTTAAAGCTTTTGTTGACTTCTCTGGTAGCGGAACTACATATGACCATATCCTGATATATTTAGAGGAAATTAGCAAGCTTTCATCTTTTTATGACTTTTCCAAACTTAACCTACGCTTATCTCAACAGAAGCCATTCCTTTCTATAAGAATAAGCTTTTGAAGATGTTTTCCTTGAACTTCTAAAGTTTACATATTAACTACTCCATCATTCAATAGGGGCATATTTACAAACCAGGCAAACAAGGGTTTCTGCCCAGAATGCCTACCACACCTTGTCATCTGACCCTAGTCTAAAGCTAATTTCTTCAGGGAAGTTTTTCTTATCCTTAACCTGCTACTCAGTCCCACTTCCTTCCACATGCCCCAGTCCTTTTCATTACTTCTATCAACAGATACAGCTTTTTTTTTTTTTTTGAAACGGAGTCTTGCTCTGTCACCAGGCTGGAGTGCAGTGGCATGATCTTGGCTCACTGCAACCTCCAACTCCCTGGTTCAAGCGATTCTCCTGCCTCAGCCTCCTGAGTAGCTGGGACTACAGGCACATGCCACCACGCCCAGCTAATTTTTGTATTTTTAGTAGAGACAGGGTTTCACCATGTTGGCCAGGATGGTCTCAATCTCCCGACCTCGTGGTCTGCCCACCTCGGCCTCCCAAAGTGCTGGGATTACAGGCATGAGCCACTGTGCCCGGCCTTTTTTCTTTTTTTGGGGGACAGAGTCTGGCTCTGTCACCCATGCTGGAGTGCAGTGGTGTGATCTCGGCTCACTGCAACCTCCACCTCCCAGGTTCAAGTGATTCTTATCCCTCAGCCTCCCAAGTAGCTGGGATTACAGGCATGTACCACCATGCCCGAATAATTTTTGTATTTTTAGTAGAGACTGGGTTTCACCATGTTGGCCAGGCTGGTCTCGAACTTCTGGCCTCAAGTGATCTGCCCGCCTCGGCCTCCTAAAGTGCTGGAATTACAGGTGTGAGCCACTGCGCCCAGCCAACAGATGCAGCCTTTTATTGCTCTTATTCACATACAGATTCCTCCCTTTCCCCCCAAATATATCGTATATTCCTTGGGTATAGGAGTTATTTTTCATCTGTGTCCATCTGTAGCACAGTGCCTAACACATAGCAGGCATTCAATAAATCTTTGTGGAATGAATGAATGCATAAATAGCTTTATGATTTGGATGTTTTTAAATTATTAATTTATTTTCAAATCATACTCAGTTTGAGTTCAAATAGTTCAAAAATCAATATAATGCTTCAGGATGCTTCCAGCTATTGAAACAACCCAATTAAAAAATATACAACTCACACTTTATTTTAGTTAAATTCATAATGTAGGTAATATTAAAAATTATTATAAACATTTAATAATGCTTTATAATTTGCTATTATAGTACACCACTACAGACACATAAAAAGTTGACTTATCTAATTAAAACATTTTCCCTTCCTATGTTTCTAATTCTGAAAACTATAAAAATATTAAAGTCATGTTACATATTTTTCAAAAATAAAACTGCCATATCCCATTGCCAACTTTACATGAAAAAGGTATATGTTCTGGTATATTAGGAAGTTAATGATGAAAAATATAGGTTCAGAATTTTAATTTGGTGTATTTGAATATGAAAACACAAATGACACAAATGGTTTAAGTCTTCATTAAAACAAGCTTCACATTTCTCTGAATGCATATTTTGCAGAAGGATGAACTGCTAGCCAACATACAATAAATATATCAATTGTTTACATTCCCAAATTTTGAAAATACTGGGTGAAAAATCTAGAAAGACAGTGTTAAAGGAGCATAATTAAATGAACCTTAGACCTTTTATCATTGAAAATTAAGATCCTAATTTTAGTTACTGCTTGGCTGTGGTATGGGAAAGTCTGAACTATTCATGCAAAATAGAATAATTTTTTATTTTCCATTTTATACATAGCTGCTATCCAAATGATCTTTTTTGAAAAATGAAAAATTATTAGCTATTATTTGTGATTCAATTTCTAGCAATGGCCATCATAGTATGGTCTTTTACATCATGTGAAAATACTTGTTGCTTTTGGTGACTACAGTTTCATGGATGGGAATTCAAGATAGACTCATAACAGAACAAATTCCAAGTTACAGTACATTGTGTTAAAGTAAGGCTCCACTGTATTTTGGACATGTAATAAACAAGCTACAGCTTTTTTTTTCATATTTACTGGAAAAAAAACAATTATATAAACTTTCTACCTTGGTCTCACTGGATGCACATCTCCTCAGAAAACATCTCTTATATAAACTATTGATAACTTAGCTTTCAGTTTTAAGTAATTATTTGGTAGTATTACCACTCTCTATTTTATGGCTTTTTAAACATTAAGTCCTTAAATATTTGAAAAGTGTTCACTATATTCTGATAGTTCATGAAAAAAAGATGTGAACATCAGCCTGGAAAACATATATAAAGCCTTAAAAATCAGTGTTTTAAAAGAGTATTCAATAATAGAAAATCAAGAGTAGAGAGGTAAAAGTAAAAACTCATCAAAAAATTCCATACATGATCCCCTTCAGAAAATGAATCTATAGTCTTGCTTCTTTGTCAAGAGTTGAGGGTGCAGGTAGGAGATCACCAAAAAGCTCTGCTGAAGTTTAGATACATTAGCAACTAAGTTTTTTTTTCCCCCACTTTCAAAATAACCCTTCAAACAACCCATTTTTATAAGTCCAGGGTTATAAAAACAATAAATGGGATATTAAAGTTCCCTCTTAAAATATCTTGGCCAGTTCACTGTATAGATTTAAAATAAAATGAACGCTTGTTTAAGGACTTATATGAAAAAAATGTTGGGCATTTCCAAATGTAAAGATGAACTATATATATATTTAATAACATTACATACAATTAATATAAAGGCTAGAAGGCATAAGTAGCTCAATATCTAAACAAGTTTTCCCAGGCAAATCACATGATTTCACATAATTTTTCTTTTTTTTTTTTTTTTGAGACGCAGTCTCGCTCTGTCGCCCAGGCTGGAGTGCAATGGCGTGATCTCGGCTCACTGCAAACTCCGCCTCCCAGGTTCAAGCGATTCTCGTGCCTCGCCTCCAAAGTAGCTGGGATTACAGGAGCCCGCCACCACGCCTGGCTAATTTTTGTATTTTTAGCAGATACAGGGTTTCACCATGTTAGCCAGGCTGGTCTAGAACTCCTGACCTCAGGTGATCATCTGCCTTGGCCTCCCAGAGTGCTGGGATTACAGGCATGAGGTGTGCCCGGGCAGATTTCACATAATTTTAATGATCAAATTACCCAATCAGTAAACCACAAAATCCTACTTAGGAAAAGGGTCTATAATATTTATTTTGAATATGGAACCATAGTTCTTTTTCCCTAGGTTGAGAAAACTTGAGCAAAATTAGTTTTATTTAGGCCTGTGGTTTAAAAATATTGAGATACAAGAGTTTTTTTTTTTTTTTGAGATGGAGTCTCGCTCTGTCGCCCAGGCTGGAGTGCAGTGATGTGATCTCGGCTCACTGTAACCTCCGCCTCCCGGGTTCAAGCGATTCTCCTGCCTCAGCCTCCCAAGTAGCTGAGATTACAGGCGAGTGCCACCACGCCCAGCCAATTTTTGTATTTTAGTAGAGATGGGGTTTTACCATGTTGGTCAGGCTGGTCTCAAACTCCTGACCTCGTGATCTGCCCACCTCGGCCTCCCAAAGTGCTGGGATTACAGGTGTGAGCCACTGCGCCCGGATGAAATACAAGAGATTTTTAAAGAAGTTTTCAAACTATTCAGGTTACAGACACAAATTTATAGAATTAAGGAGATTTATAGTGTACATCAAAGTTCATAGCTTATTTATTTGCAATTTTGTGGTTCGTAAACTAATGAAGAATTATACTAAATGACCTATATAGTCTCTTTTAGCTATAAACTTTCAATTATATTATTCTGCTTTAAAATAATTAAGACCATATCTCAAAGTTGTTTAAGTAGATAATGTCGGCCCTGAATTAAGGATTTTTTTTTCATCCCCTTTCTGGCTTTTAGTCCTTCCTAGTCAGTTATTAATGGGGAATAAATATTACACATTTTACTCAACTGATTCTTAATTCCTAGCTCTATTGCCCCCTCCTCTCTCCAGAGCCCACAGTATCCCAACATATGGTAAATACTCAATACTTATTGAGGATTCTTGAATGAGTAGCAATATATACTATGGATGGATCAATAATTTAAAAGAATCTGGATGGAGGTGACAGTAGTTGCTTTTATAAAACCCCCAAACAATAATTTCAAAGCTTCTAGTCTCCTTTCAGATTTACTTTGGTTTGTCTTTATAAGTAATAAAAAGACAGAATATGGCACAAGAATACAAGGTTAAATTATTACAGCTAAACTATAAGCAAGGACACATAAAAAAAAATTTAAGTTTCCATTCATGTATTGAAGAGTGAATTTTATTTACACTACTAGTAAATCCCAGCTACTCCAGTTACTCTGATATATCTCATCAATGACAGGAAAAATATCTTCTTCCAGTATTTCAGTTTTAACAATTGTAATTAAATTGCTTGGTTATAATAAGAGTTAAGAAGCAATTAATGAATTTTTTTTGGAAATAAAAAATATGTATATACATTACCCTGATACCTAGGCCAAAATATATCTAACAACAAATTTTCTTGATTTATATTAGTCATAAAAATAAAGGAAAAATATATTGCAAGTATTTTCTTTATAGACAATTTCAATTAGAAAACAATAGTTTAAGGAAAGCAATACAGAGGTTCATGAGAATGGATTGATATGGAGGCAAGATAAGTATTTAAAACTTGACAGACAACATACTGTCAAATATGACGAAAGAATATCTGCCTCAATGACACCATTTACAGGCAGTAACTAGATTTTTACACATCTCAATTTTCTCTCATATTGAAGGAAATTACAGGTAAGTTATGCTCCTAAGTCAGTTAAGAACCCCTTCTTTTAGCTTGTAAAATGTAGCCTTTTGATTTGATAATTCCTCTACTTTTCACAATGACCGAATACCGCAGTAGCCACAGCGGCACCCACTCGTGCGCTTGAATGTCAGGAATGCTTTCCTGAAGAGCTTCTTGGAAACTTGCTTCAGAAAGCAGTTCTAAAAGAAACAACAACAAACAAAACTCCAGCGTGTTAAATTGGAAAACAAAAAAGCACTTTAGTATGTAGGTAAGCATTTAACATAACAAAAGAAACACCTCAACATTTAATATATAATATGCTTATTCTTCATGTGTGTGCTATGAATCTGAACCAGAATATTAGAAATTCCCAGGCAGTTATTTAAAAAGTATCTACACCTGTACCCCAGCCTATTTAATTCTTAACTTTTGGTGAGTGGAGCCTAGACATCTGCAGTTTTTTAAAGATCTCCAGGTGATTCTAATGTATAGTCAGGGAAAATACAGGAAAGTCTAAAGAAAAAAAAAGTAACTGATAATCCTATCAATTGGAGATGATATAACATTGTCATGCATTTCCTTACAACTTTTTTGGTGTATATGAGTATATATCTTCATATATATATATATATCTTCATCCATATCTTGAATCTCTATATATCTCTAGATCTTATATCTGTATGTGTGTGTGTATATCCATATCTTACAAAATTAGAAATCACACTGTAGTTAAAGCCTTATTTGCTTATCTTTTTCCACTTATATTGTGAATATTTTCCCATGTAATAGTCTGTGAAAAGATCATTTTTAATAATTTCCCCATTACTATATTACATAGATATCATAATTCATATATTTCCTTATTATTGGTCAAAACATTTATGTTTTTCCTAATATTTTGCTAATAAGAATAATGCCAGGATAAACATTCTTTTTTTAAAAAATATATATATATATATTTTTTTTTGAGATGGCATCTCACTCTGTTGCCCAGGCTGGAGTGCAATGGTGTGATCTTGGCCCACTGCAACCTCCACCTCCCGGGTTCAAGCAATTCTTCTGCCTCAGCCTCCCAAGTAACTGGGATTACAGGCATGCACCACCATGCCTGGCTAATTTTATATTTTAGTAGAGATGGGGTTTCACCATGTTGGTCAGGCTGGTCTCGAACTCCTGACCTCAGGTGATCCACCCACCTTGGCCTCCTAAAGTGCTAGGATTACAGGTGTGAGCCACCGTGCCCGGCCTCGAAAAATATTTTCAAACCAAAAGCGGTTTATTACACACACAAAAAGTTGTGTGATGGTAGGACAGAAGGACTATATATATATTATAACCATATTAATTACAGTACATTAAAATGGTGGTTTGCATTACAAATAAGTCTGTAAGTTTAAATATACTAGTGTTATTATCCAATGTATAGACTTTATATAATACATTTATCAGGAATGCCAAAAAAAGCCATATACACATAAATAATGCCCATTTTACAGGTGACATTTTAAAAATGAAAACACCAATGGCTCTGATGACACTTGGGGCATTGATCCATAAAAACCCTTTCTAAAAATAGAAATATTTGTACCAGCAATGCTTTCTTTAAGCATTTGAATACTTAAATCATTGCAAGACCATTTAAATAAATTTTCATTATCAACTATGTCTTACAAAAAAAAAGTCTACACATAAATTTATCTCCAAATATGGAAGAAACAAACCGTCACAATGATGCAGATGATGAACATTTTAAAATGCATGCCTGGCTGTGGAATGAAGGGCCAAAGTACAAGTACATTCTTAAAGCTAGATACACGCTATATTGCCAACTGCTTTACAGAAAGGCTATACTTTACACTTCTACCAGCAGTTGATAATTTGAGAGTGCCGCAGTGCCAATTCTTTTTTTCTTTTCTATTTTTTTTTTTTTTTGAGGCAATGTCTTACTCTGTTGCCCAGGCTGGAGTGCAGTGGCATGATCACAGCTCACTGCAGCCTCAAACTTCTGGGCTCAATGCATCCTTCCACCTCATTCTCCTGAGTAGCTAGGACTAGAGGTGTGCGTCACCAAGGCCAGCTAATTTAATTATTATTATTATTATTTTTGTAGATATGAGGTCTTACTATGTTGCTTAGGCTGGTCTCAAACTCCTGGACTCAAGTGATCCCCTGCCTTGGCCTCCCAAAGTGCTGGGATTACAGGTGTGAGCCACCATGCCCAGCAAATTCCAAGTTTATATCCAAGCTCTCTATGACTGCTCTGATGCCATATCCCACCACTCCTCTCCTCACTGCCTCACTCCTCTGGCCACACTGGCCTCACCTCCTTGCTGTATCCTGAAAACCTCAAGCACATTCACACCTTGGAGCCTCTGAATTAGCTTCTGCCTTTTCCTTGAACACACTTTTTCCAGATATTCACATGGCTCACTCCCTTCCTGCAGGTCTCTGATTAACATTCCCTTAGTAGAGAGGCCTCTCTGACTGTACCATATAAAACAACAATTAACTTGGATACTCTTTCTCCTTCAGCCAAGTTATCTCCATAGCATATACTACCACTTATCATATGTAACATTTATTTTATTGTCTGTCTCCTCCCATTAGAATATAAATTCCATGAGGGTTGGTTTTTGTCTGACTTGATCCTTTATCTCTAGTACCCAGAACAATGGCTGGCAAATGGTGCTCAAACGTCTATTAAATGCATCAATCAATATGGAAAGATTCCACTGGGGTCAGAAGCAACCTACAGATAGGGATTAAGTGAGCATCTTCACAGTTTGATTTCGGAGTGCTAAAGGACCCACCTACTCCCAAACTGCTGTGATACCTGAATAGCATTAACAGTAAACGCTCAATCAATGTTAGCTATTTTCATGTGCGAGGTACTTTTCTGAGTACTTTACATGTATTAACTCAGTTAATCCACATGCTAACCCTATGAGATAGATTCTATTATCTCTTTATGGGGGGAAACCAAGGCAGAGAGGTTCGGTAAGTTGGCCAAGGTCACACCACTAGTAAATGGTAGTTTTCATATATAGAACACAAATGTCTCCTTGGAAAAGTAACATTAATATGGATTTGTTTATCAGATTTTCTAACAGAGAAGACCCTGAGGGAAAGAGACATAATACAGATTGGATTTAATCGAAATGGGGGGCGGGGAACAAATAAAAATGGAAAGTTCTAAATTCAGGATCATCTACTTTACAATTTTACTCTCTAGTTAAATTGTTATTACACTTCTAGAACAAAGGGTAATGGAAAATAAACCCATTATGGGGAGTAAGGGTAATTTTTAGAACAGGGGTAGACCTTCAGGGAATTTATAAACAAAATTCTATTTTAGATGACAAGCAGAGTTAAATGTTTTACAGTTTTACAGAGTTAAATTTTACAGAGTTAAATGTTTTACAGTTTTTTCAGTTTGGTTGCTTAAAAAAATAAAAAATATGACACAAAATCAGAGACTATGCTATTCATTTAACTGCTTTTAAAATTTAATTATGGTTGAACTCTTTAGTCAGTAAACATGACAAATTAAATCGAGAGTTGCTTCATTATAGATTAAAGTGTCTGAAGGTTCATTAATGATAAATGCAGGATAAGCCTATACATTTTCACCAAAAGTCTTAGAATTAAAAAAGACAACTAAGTATCAAATTATGTAATACAAAAAATATAAAAAAGGATTAAATCTCTCTCCTCATATACATATGCAATATATTTTGCCATAACAATAATGTATTAGCACACATTCTAAATGTCAACATTTAGATATGTGAAAATAAAACACTAGGAACCTTAATCTTTTCCTACTTCCTTTCCTACTAGTAAAAGGATTGAGTTTTTTTCAAGTGAAGCTAGAAGAGGGTACAGGCTGGATCATCAGCTGTTGGTAACAATTACTGTTAGAAGAGCCTCCAAAAAGTAAACAGACACATGACATCTGCCAACATATGGAAAGTTAAAATTTAAATGACTTATAGTTCAGAATAAATCAGCATAACAATTTGTTAGATTTTCACTAAAATGGCTTAAAAAATCAATTTACTTGATTGTGAAAGCTCTACTGGGAAGGCAAAAGTCACTGTATTTTATTCTGGTATGATTTAAATGAAAATGGATGAAGTTTTCAGACTGTAATACTGTAATACTAATGTTTCAAATCAAAGAGATTGTATAGTGGAAAAGGCTCCAAAATAATCCAAGACTTAGGCCAAGTTCAAACTTTGCCCAAAGCCAGCTGGGTGACCTTGGCTAGTTCCTTTCACTCTGAGGCTCTATTTCCTGACAAAAAAAATGTATAGTTTCCGTTGTTGTGAGGATTATAGATAATCTCTCTGAGGCATTTGGCATGATGCTTGGCATTCAAGGAAAAATAACTATTAAAACTCTTTCTCCTCCATCTCCCCCTCCTCTGATGAAACAGTGAAGAAATGAGAATGAAGTAGACTGCTAATAAATAGTATAAAGTCTTAATAGATTATCCATAGCATTCTTAAAATGAGCAAACTGAATCAACCCACTGATATTGTGTCATCTTTTTAGGTATGGAAATAAAAGCTGAATATTTTTTCGGCGGGAATTATCTATGAAATATAATTTCCTCTAATATTTATTAAATCAGAACTTCTATAAAAATGTCATCGAGAATTAAAACTTTCACAAGACATTTCTCACTTATAACCAAACATTTCTCATTTATACCAAAAATATGTAGTAATATACATTACTTAATAATATACAGGCTCTCTGAAACATTTATCTTTGCAAGTTATGTTCAATATTATCTTCCAAGTCTTTCTAGTTATCTTACAAAATGTTGTAAAAAATTATTCTATAAAAGGCAGACAAGCCATTCTCATTAATCAAATATTTCTGATTAACACTAAACGTCTTAATAAAATACCTACTTACCTATCCTAAGATGCTTATTAAGTTTTGAATTAAATTACATGTGCCACTTTTTCCAGATATTTATCTCCTTGAATAAAGTAGCCTTTTGTCCAGGCACAGTGGCTCATGCCTAAAATCCCAGCACCTTGGGAGGCCGAGGTGGGGGAATTGCTTGAGTCCAGAAATTCAAGCCCAGCCTGGGTGACATGGTGAAACCCTGTCTCTGCAAAAAATAGAAAAATTAGCTAAGTGTGGTGGTATGCGCCTGTAGTCCCAGCTACTCGGAAGGCTGAGGCAGGAGGAGAGCTTGAGTCCGGGAGGTGGAGACTGCAGTCAGGTTGAGATCATGCTACTGCACTCCAGCCTGGGCGACAGAACAAGACTCCATCTCAAAACTAAAAAAATCAAGTGGCCTTTTGGTCCAGTCTTTGCTATACTAGATAGGATTATATATATTACTATTTAGAATGTCTCAAAAGATCTTTTCTGTGTAGTTTAATATTTGTGAACCTCAAAAGACCAGATGTTCAGGAAATGATCCCTTCACTTTTTTTTCCCCATTGGTACAGAGATAAAGTTTTCTGAAAATAAAATGAGGGCATATAGGTTTTGAACTAACCATTAAGAATAGTTCAGATAACACTGTATTTTTATCACTGTCCACATTTAAAATTATGTATCAACAAATACCTTTTTGTAAGACAAAAGCTTATGATCAATCTCTATAATGAAAATATCAGTTTTACCTTTTGGATCATTGTGAGTCAACAGCTGTATGTCAAATTGTTTAGCAAATGCAGTCAAATCTGGTGGCATCACACAGCAGGAGGCAAGATTAACTTGGTTACTATTTGGTTTTACCTAGAAGTGAAAATAAAATCATGATATCACTACTAAATTAAATATAATACCAAAAGTAGAAAGCAATAAGCAATAAAATAACTTAATTTTAGAACATATGAAAAATCACAATCCACAGTGATTAAAGTTTACAAAATACTTTTACATTAATATCTTTATTAATATATGCTTTTCTAACCCAGGTTAGTAGTAATAGGGAATAGGAATTCCCTATTACCTTTTCCCTATGTAATAGGGAAAGGAAGTGTAACACTAGGGGAACGAAAAAGCCAACAGTACTACACTTTTTTTTTTTTTTTTTTTTGAGATGGAGTCTTGCTCTGTCGCCCAGGCTGGAGTACAGTGGCGTGATCTTGGCTCACTGCAACCTCCACATACCAGGTGCAAGCAATTCTCCTGCCTCAGCCTCCCAAGTAGCTGGGATTACAGGTGCCTGCCACCATGCCCAGCTAATTTTTTGTATTTTTAGTAGAGACGCGGTTTCACCATGTTGGTCAGGCTGGTCTTGAACTCCTGACCTCAGGTGATCTACCCACCTCGGCCTCCCAAAGTGCTGGGCTTACAGGCATGAGCCACCATGCCCAGCCTGGTACTACACTATTAAAAAGTCTCCTGCTAGAACCATTTAACAATCTAATACATCTGCCTAGAACACAAACATGATTTTTGTTAGTTTGTTAAGTGTGATGGTTTCAGCTACAGAGCAAATAGTTCTTAAAGGTAAAGGATCAAATACAAGTAAATACCTTTAATGTTAAAGTATAAAATATGGCTATGAATCAGACACATTTTGAAAGAGAAGAATTGACAGCTTCCAGTAGCTACACTGGTTAATTTACATTCTGAATCATCTAAGTCTCTCCAATACTTTCTTGTCCTCATTCTGGCTATCATCAAGGAGAAGGGGAAATACTTTCTCTAGGTCTTCCTGTCCATAAGAAACTCTGAAAGCTCTGAAAAGGAGAAGGCTGAAGAAGAAGTAAAAGGAATAAAGAAATACTGAGAGTAAAGGTAAAACGCTAGTAAGTGACTTTCCTAATAATTTTGTAGGTTATTAGACCAGAGAGTGGGAATAATTAATTTATGACACTCACTCCATATCAAGTTGTATGAACTGACAGTCTTACACATCTTTGAATAACAGCAAAATATCTGTTATATATAAAATATTCCCTTACTTAGGAAATTAGAGCCATGGTCTAATAGTACCTAAAGAAAAAGAAGGTTTTTCTTTCTTTTTTTTTTTTTTTTTGAGACAGAGTCTTGCTCTGTCACCCAGGCTGGAGTACAGTGGCGCAATCTCAGCTCACTGCAACCTCCGCCTCTGAGGTTCAAGTGATTCTCCTGCCTCACCCTCCTGAGTAGCTGGGATTACAGGTGCACGCCACCATGCCTGGCTAATTTTTTTATTTTTAGTAGAGACAGGGTTTCACCATGTTGGTCAGGCTGGTCTCGAACTCCTGACCTCATGATCTGCTCGCCTCGGCCTCCCAAAGTGCTGGGATTACAGATGTGAGCCACCACACCCGGCCGTAAGGTTTTTCTTTAGGTATTATTGTTTTCAGCACATAAGTAGAACTGAAGGAAATGGCCTTAATTCATTTGGTATAAATGTTTTAACACACATCTTCTAGTATTTTTGTCACTCATTTTAACCAGGATTAACATTCAGTTCAATCAGAGATATATTTAAATAAAAACAAACAAAAACCTCAAATGATTTAGATAAAACCTGCCTCAAAACTCCTGCAGAAACAAAACAAAACTCCCACATGTGGAAAAGTCACCCCGCAGGGGTGGCCACTATGTGCATGATGCTCAACAGTGTGCAGCAAAGACTGAAAAGGGCAAGTTCTTCCTGGAGTGCTCATGATCCTGCCATCCCTCACCTGTGCCCACTGATACAGCTGTTCCAACTGTGTTTTGTCTAGATCAGAGGTACCTATGGCAACAATCTTTTTGCTCTGAACTAAGTTTTCTAATTCCTCCCAGTAAGGCTGTAAATGCTCCAAGGAAAGATTAACTCCATCTTCAATAGGAGGTGAAGCAATGATCACAGAATCCAGCTGTGCAACTCCAAGGACTGAACAGGCTGATAGGAAGGAAGACACAAAGAAAATAAATGCTTACATCATAAAAACAAATATTTCTAATGTTTTCAAAGTATCCCACTGAATTCTGTCCATATTCTTCACTTGTTTTCAAAATAACAGATTATTTCATAGTTTACTTTTCATTTAGAACATTTCTATCTTTCAAAAATGTGTAAGTGCCCATTTACCTACTTGCTCTGTGTGGCAGACAAGTGGGTTTCTCTGACCTGCCTTATTCCTAGGCAGCTTGCAGCTACTACTACATGCTCCTCTTTCTAGGGAACAAAATTTCTTCTTGTTTCCTAGGTCCCAGAAGTTTTTAGTAGCTCCCTTATCTTCATAAAATTTTCTTCTCCAGTTCTACTTGCTCACTACTATCGCATATGGATGATCACAAGAATTATGACCTAATATTCTGTAACTAGTAGTCACAGCAAAGAATAAGCTTGAGACACTGAAAAACTGAATGTTTGGTCTTAATCCATATTTATAGAGGTAGATAATTTCTTAATTCTATAAAAATAATTTAAGAGCTTATTTTAAATGATTATTCATTCTAAAGTTACATTAAAGAGCCAATTATTTAAGTTTTCAATATATGTAAATACTGGAATAATTTTTTATTTAAGTATTGAATAACTTTAATATCACAATAACCTAAGTGCTAAAAACAGATATACTTGGATTTTTTTTGGATTTTTTTTTTTTTGCCGTTGTTTGGTTTTGATATTTCACCTCTAGTACTAAAAGGGCTAAGAATAAGAACTTCTATCTCCAAACGGATAGTGAACATTTAAGTACATTACACCTTTTACATTCCTCTTGCATATCAAAATATGACCCTACATAAGTCAGTATGATTTTACAGAAGCCTTAAGAAACTAAGCTAGAACTTTAAAAGGTAAAATTGGAATCAACTCATTTTCTTTTTACCTGGACCTAAGCACAAGTTATAACTAATACACCTATACTAATTTAAAGTCCACTATTAAGATAAAAAATTCAGTTTTTGCTTACCCATGTCAACTGCACTTCTAGTTGATGATGAAGAGTTTGATTCTACAATGAACAGTTTTGCTGGGTAACAAAGAAAACAAAACTGATTACTACATTTGGATACACATTTCACTATATGCTAGTATTAACACTACTATAATACTAAGATGTCAGATAATCCTGAATGAATTATTTTTCCTTTCCCAGTCACATAACTTTATAGTTTTAATTTTAAGACATAAATGTATAGTTCCACTATACTTTTAAAATCATGTGCTAGTTGCCAACAAATATATGTTTATCAAAACAAAAAGTAAATATTTATTTCCCATTTATTAGAAGGCAGGTTAGATAACTATTGGAGCTTAAATTACTTGAAATTTATATTTTTATGACTTAAACATTAATAGAGCACATTATATATTCTCCAATAAACCAAAATCTATATACAAAGACTAAATTGAAAATGTAATGAGAAGAAAACTGAAAAAAAAAAAAAAAAAAAAAAAAAAGGCCACAATTCTACCTTCCCAATACAATCATTTTCATTTTCAGACACTATCTTCCAGTTTTTGGTCATATGAAGTAGGGCATAACATTATTTCCTCTTCTATTTGGTTTACCTTTATGTAATAAATATTTAAAATATATGTCTATGTAGTATTTAGTTATCTTAAAATTTCTTTACTTTTAAAAATTTTTTGTAGAGACAGGGTCTCATTATACTGCCCAGGCTGGCCTTGAACTCTTGGCCTCAAAGGACCCTCCCGCTTCGGCTTCCCAAAGTGCTGTGATTACAGGTGTGAATCACCACAATTTTTTTTTTTGAGACAGGGTCTCACTTTCATCCAGGCTGGAGTGCAGTGGTGCGATCACGGCTCACTGCAGCATCAACCTTCTGAGCTCAAGTGTTCCTTTCACCTCAGCCTCCCAAGTAGCTAGGACTACAGGCATGTACCAATACACCTGGCTAATTTTCATTTTTTTGTAGACACAGGGTCTCGATATGTTGCCCAGGGGCTCTTGAACTCCCGGTCTCAAACAATCTTCCCAAGGTGCTAGGATTACAGCACCACACCAGGCCAAGATTTTTTTTATCCTAATAGTCATGTGCTTACTGTAGAAATAACGAAGACCTATAAAAGCAGAAAGACCAAAAAGAATTGCCAGTCTCATCACCCAAATTACTGTTTAGATTTCTGTGTATTCTGTGGCTTTTTTTCCACTTAGGGGTGGCCTTGAACGTATTCTATGTTTTTAGTGTATAATTTTACATACTTTTTTTTTTTGAGACAGAGTCTCACTCTGTCGCCCAGTGGTGCCATCTTGGTTCATTGCAACCTCCTCCTGGGTTCAAGCAATTCTCATGCCTCAGCCACCCAAGTAGCTGGGATTATAGGCCTGCGCCACCATGCCTGGCTAATTTTTGTATTTTTAGTAGAGACGGGGTTTTGCCATGTTGTCCAGGCTGGTCTCGAACTCCTGGCCTCAAGTGATCCACCCGACTCGCCTCCCAAAGTGCTGGGATTACAGGCGTGAGCCACTGCGCCCAGCCAATTTTACATGCTCATTTTTTAATGGTTGAATATTATTTTGTAAATTTTGAAGAGTGTCATTTATTAAATGAGTTCTACTTATTGAACATTTAGGTTAGTAAATGTTCCAGTACTAGTTCCAGTTTTCTGTTTTCGCATATATAATGCCAAAACAAACATCTTAGTAACTTTTTATTCAGCATTATACTATATAATTTCCCAGGGATGAATTGTTAGAAATGTTATTATGAGTCAAAGCATGTGACGTTTTGTGTGAGTCTTATTATATTTTAAAAGATGTGTGCCAGTTTACCACACCACCACCAATTAACAATTGCTCTTCTAACAACATAGGATGCTATTATTAATTTTTTTTTAAAACTTAGTAGGTACAATGCATACCTACCCAAGACCACATTAATTGTCATTTCTTTGGTTACTAGGAAAGTTGAGTCATTTTCTATATTTGTAATATTGAGGTTTTGGTTTCATTCAAATTCAACTTTATATGTACATATTTACTTTATGTAAACTCACTGTTCAAAAAAATAAATGTATTCAATAGACAAACAGGTAGAGTAGCAGAAGAGCAACAAAAAAAATCAAAAGAGGAAATGGAGAAAAATAAGGCTAATGAAATACCCTTACATAAAGTGCTGACATTCGATATATGCAACACATTTTCTTCTACGTTTCTTATATGAGTCCCTTCCTTCCTACTGCTAGGTGATCTCCCTAAAAACACTGCTTCCCTGAGATTACTCCCTATTGAACAGCCATCCTAGCTTCTCTACTAGATGAGAGTCAGTATTTACTATTTTGGTCTAACTTTAGCCCCTATAACTCTATGAAAGCCCCCCCCAATACTATTTCTCTGTCCATGAATTTGTGCCATCTGAAATGGCCTCTTCTCTCTGAAGGATGAGGCTTTTTTGGATAGGTAGAAAGAGGAAAGCTCTTTATATGGGGAGAATTTTGATACCTATAAAAAAATCTCAAGCCCTC
This sequence comes from Homo sapiens, assembly GCF_000001405.40. NCBI lineage: Eukaryota > Metazoa > Chordata > Mammalia > Primates > Hominidae > Homo > Homo sapiens. The sequence goes on from NC_000001.11 coordinate 93,900,358, forward strand.
TAGGAACTGAGGACTTCTAAGAGACCCAAGATGGAACTAAATCATGAATTACAGTCAACCTCAGAAAGAATGTTGCTTTACGTCCTTTCCAACACAAACAGCAATGTGAAATTAACAGGAAAAAATGGGTTTTGGAGTTAGGCATACCTGAGTGGATTCCTGGTTCAACCACTTACTGGTTGTATGACAACCTTCAAGTTATTTAGTATCACTAATGCAATGCAGTAACAGACTTAACTTGCAGGATTGTCTTGAGAATTAAATGAGAAAATATAACCATAAAGTACCAAGCACAGTGCCTGGCACAAAGCAAGACTCAATAAATGGTAGTTACTATAATTAGATTAAAAAGAGACAATACCCTATCTCATCTTACATGTAATTTATTATTATTATCCATCTCAATAATAATAAAATAGCAACAACCACAATAATAACAACATGGTAGCAAATAATAGCTACCTAGAACTTACTTTGAGGCAAACACTGTGCTAAGTGCTTCTTTTGTTATTTCATCCAGTTTACAAAGAAGCCGGAGAAACAGGTACATCCCCATTTTATAGAAGAGAAAACTGAGACTCAGGGAGGTTAAAGTCTTTGTTAGCCCAACATTATACTAGCCTGTAATCTGCACACCCCGAAACTTCAAAGCTCAAGCTTTTAATGACTATGCTATGCTAATTGTAAGGTGAGGGCAGAGATGGCGCATCTTTTCATTTTTGTATTCCTTGAGTATAGTACAGTTTCTGGAATTTGTCACTTACTACATTTCCTGAATGGGTGTTACAGTATTTTCTTTCTCTTCATGTAACTTGCCCAGGTTTCTTTTTATATTCCCAGGTGACCTCACACATTGCTTACCAGTATCTTACCAGGAAGGGGGTGCTTATGCTTGCTTTGGGTGGATGCTGCTTCTAAGCCTTCCCTTTATCCTTTCCATCTCCTTCATCTTAATCTTTCTACTGCTCTGAAGTTTGACACATAAATTACATGACATGATGACATCATCATGAAGAACAGCAAGTTGAAGTTCTATTCTGACTCTTATATAATAGCCAGCACTGACCTCTTATAACTCCATCTTGGAGTTTAAGTAAAATTATGCTAAAAAAGAATTTCTGTATTTCCCACATTTAGTGTCTGAGCAAAGAAAGGCTTATTCTAATGCCTAACAAAATCTATCGCTTCCGCTATGTAACAAAATAAACAGAAAAGACTGGACTTTACCAGAAACTTTCATTTCTTCTCTTTCATCAGGATTTATCTTTTCTACTGCATGAGATACAGTGCATTCCAAGACATCTGGAAACTCCTATAATAAACACAATATTTAAAACAAATATAAAATTTAATGCTTCTGATTAATTATAAAATTTTCTATTATCCATAATGCCTTTTAGAATCAGAGAACCTATAAGACAACAGAGTTCTCTACCTGAGGTCTGGGTGGGCTTCACAAGGGTTGTAAAGCTCTGAAATAAAGGTAAAGTGGGGTGTGTGTGTGTGTTTGTGTGTGTGTATCTATTTTCTAGGAAAATGTATCTCATTTTGACCAGGTATTTAGAAAGAAGCATGATCAAAAAAATTAAAAATAAACAAGCAGTGGAGGGATATGTGAGGAGTTAGAAACAGTAGCACAGCAGATAATTTTACTCTAAAAAGAAACCAATGAAAATAATATCCACTCTAGATGACATAATAAACACGTTCTACATTAATTACAAGCATTTTCTTTTACTTTTTAATTTATTTGGATTTTAATGTTATTTGAACTTTAACCTGTAAGGGGATTTAGTTTTTGGGTTTTTTTGTTTGTTTGTTTTGTTTTGTTTTGTTTTGAGACAGAGTCTCGCTCTGTCGCCCAGGCTGGAGTGCAGTGGCACGATCTCGGCTCACTGCAAGCTCTGCCTCCCGGGTTCACGCCATTCCTCCTGCCTCAGTGTCCCGAGTAGCTGGGACTACAGGTGCACGCCGCCACGCCTGACTAATTTTTTGTATTTTTAGTAGAGACAGGGTTTCACCGTGTTAGCCAGGATGGTCTCGATCTCCTGACCTTGTGATCCGCCCACCTCGGCCTCCCAAAGTGCTGGGATTACAGGCATGAGCCACCGCGCCCAGCCTGTTTTTTTTTTTTTAAATATACTTTTTTTTTAGAGCAGTTTTAGGTTCACAAGAATATCAAGTAGAAGGTAGATTGAACAGATTTCTCATTCACTCCCTACACTCACATCCACACAGCCTCCCCCATTATCAACATACCCACCACAGTGGTATACATTTGTTACACTTGATGAACCTACATTGACATGTCATAATCACCCAAGTCCAGTTTATCTTAGGGTTTACTCTTGGTGCTGCATAGTTTATGGATTTAGAAAACCATATAATAACATGTATCCACCATTACAATATCATATGCAGTAGTTTCATTGACATACAAATCCTGTGCTCTGCCTATTCATCCCTCCGTCCCTGCTAACCCCTGGCAACAACTGATCTTTTTACTAGTTTTTTTTACTAGACTAGCAAAACTATAGTCTACATAGTTTTGTTTTTTCCAGAATATCAAATAGTTGATATCATACATTATGTAGCTTTTTCAGATTGGCTTCTTTTACTTAGAAATATGCATTCAAGTTTCCTCTATGTCTTTTCATGGCTTGATAGCTCATTTCTTTTAAGCACTGAATAATATTATATTGTCTGGATAGTTTATATATGCATTCATAATTTATATATACACTCGCCTACTGAAGAACATCTTGGTTGCTTCAAATTTTAGCAATTATGAATGGAGCTGCTATAAATATCCATGCATAGGTCTGTGTGTGGAAATAAGTTCTTAGCTTCTTTGGGTAGATACTAAGGAGCATAATTGCTGATTTTATGACAATAGTATATTTAGTTTTATAATCACAAGCATTTTATTCTTATTTATTTATTTATTTAATTTTATTATTATTATTTTTTTGAGACAGAGTCTCACTCTCTTGCTCAGGCTAGAGTGCAGTGGTGTGATCTCAGCTCACTGCAACCTCTGCCTCCCAGGTTCAAGTGATTCTCCTGCCTCAGCCTCCCGAGTAGCTGGGATTACAGGCGGGTACCACCACGCCTGGCTTTTTTTTTTTTTTTGTATTTTTAGTAGACATGGGGTTTCGCCATGTTGGCCAGACTGGTCTCAAACTCCTGACCTCAGGTGATCTACCTGCTTTAGCCTCCCAAAGTGCTGGGATTATAGGCGTGAGCCACTGCGCCCAGCCTGTAATCACAAGCATTGTAAACCAAAACTTTTTTTTTCCTGAGTGCAGCAGAAAAAAGCAAAGGCTATTTGAATGTATTTTAATGAATAATTTACAAGGATAATGAGAAAATATTAGTACATATAAATCAGATACATATTAACTTACATTTACAATATCATACAAAGTAAACGGCAAAGGCTTTCCCATGATTCTTGAGCACTTTCACAGCACGTATCAGGGGTTCAGTAAGTGTTTACAAGTCAAGCATAAGTAGAATAAACAGTCATTTCAGAGAAACAGAGATTGATTTAAAAAAAACCATAACTCAATGTCTATATAGTAGCTATAGAGTTACATGGTTGCAGTATGCCCAGGGGAACCAGTATTTCCAGCACATGTCCTTTTCCATACTTTTAAAGTAGCCTAAGTAATGTGCTGTGAGCCTTTGACTGAGTTGGATTTCAAAATGTGTTTTAGGGTTTTGAACATTAACATTTATGATAGTAGCCATATACTGACATTTAGTGGAACACAGTTCCTTATTGTTTCATCAGAAACTGACATTTGAAAAATTACTTCTAGTGATGTTGAGTCTACTAAAGCAATCTACCAATCACAATTGATAATCATTCCTCTCCTAGACCAAATATAAACTGAAATAAAACACTGATAGTGAGGAAACCATGGTGAGAATTAAGCATGAGAATCCTAGTATCTTGTCTGGTTAAAGAGTTGCCTACGGTCTAGATTTTCTGTTTTATGCATAAGCCTACTGGATCAGAGTGCCGTCTCAGCAAATCAACCACAGAGAGTTTATGGCTAATTGCCTATTTGACTTCCCTCACAAAACTGAAGAAATTAACTTCCTGTTTACTTTACTTCCTTTTTGACCTGCATGATTTTTGCATTCACATTTCACTTACCCTGACCAAATCTGGGTTGATTTGGGAACTCCATTCATTCAAGGTTTTTTGGATACAATCATGAAGCTGCAAAAGGAATGCATTTTGAAACTGTTAATCAAAGTCTATATACTTTTCTGTACTTCTACAATAAGAATATATTAATTTGATAAGCAGGAAAAAAAAGATAGCAACAGGAAATACCATACAAACCCCAATTTTAATCCTACAAGGTTTTTGTTTCCTTCAACATACATAAATTCAGGCCTGTTTTCATCCTACTCTTGTTTCTCAAATGTTCTTGAACTAAAGAAGTTGTCTAATTACTTTAAAGCTTTTTTTGTACCAGTGAAAATTTAAGCTAACTGTTGAGACACAAAAGCATTCATAGGCCAGGTATAGTGGCTCATGCCTGTAATCCCAGCACTTTGGGAGGCTGAGGGGGGCAAATCACTTGAGGTCAGGAGTTCAAGACCAGCCTGGCCAACATGGTGAAACCCTGTCTCTACTAAAAATACAAAAATCATGTGGGCCTAGTAGTGCAAGCCTGTAGTAGCTACTCGGGTGGCTGAGGCAGGACAATTTTGCTTGAACCCAGGAGGTGGAGGTTATAGTGTGCTGAGATGATGCCATTTCATTCCAGCCTGGGCAACAGAGCAAGACTCTATTTCCAAAAAAAAAAAAAAAAAAAGGCATTCATAAAGAAACAAAAATAAGGTTTATAAACAAAGGAACTTGGAGTCAAGCCCAGGCTGTCTGACTAGAATTCATATCACAACTATGCTACATTTCTCAAAGACAAACAAATTAAATTATTAGAGAATAAGTGTGGCTGGTAAATCCTACCTCAGATTCACCTGTGCTGTTTATTAAAATTTCAGACTCCTGAGCCTAATCCTAGACCCACTGAATCATTCTCCAAGAGCAGTTTGGACTTTCATTTTAACAAGCATCCTAAGGAGAGTACTTTATCTACGTACTCTAAAGTCTGAGAACCACCAGGATAGACATATCTTGCAGAACTCAACTTGTATGACACTCCAGAAGTCATTTCGTAACATTTAGGTGCACCTCTAACCTATCTTCCATGTTTTCTTAGATAAACAAAAAAAAATTTATACAAATATTATAGTATGTTGTAAATTAATTCAAACATACTTTATTAAAGTGTATTTCAGACTTATTTGATAGTAGTCCAAAGTAAGACATACATTCACATAGTGAGCAAAGACCTATATACATATAATGGAACAAAACAGTCATAAAGCGGTATTTATGCTCACAACATGCCAGGCACTCTAATGGCTTCCAATATATTAATTAGAAAAAATATACTGGTCCATGACTCACTGAACTGATTTATGACCACTAATGGGCCAAACCTGGCAATCTGAAATCACTGCCTTATTAGATAACCAAGGACACAGTGTTTTGCATTCTTCTGTGGGCAATCAATGAAAACACAAATGAGTAACTAGAGGCAAGCCCCTGAATTGCAAAAGCACTTTCCTAATAGAAACAGCAGACACTAAACTTCTGAACTATCTGAACTATGACTGCTTATGATAAAAACTGATACAATCACTTTACTACGTATATCTTAGTACACATGATTACAAGAGATAACTGGTTTATCAATTTAAGGGCACAGAACTACCTATGTTAAGATTTACAATCCATAATAATAATTTACATGCTAGTCACAACAATTCACTTGAATTCAAATTATAAGGTCTAGATCTTTATGTAAAGCATATTTATAATCAAATTTAAGTCAGTGGATGAAAAGGAGTTGATAATCATTCCAGATACAATTATAAGTCATAGTATTTTCTTAAAAATTAGTAAAAATGGAAGGAGCAGAACCAACTAGAGGTTAAAAATTCTATCGGAAGTGCTTTGGCTCAAATCGTGGGATAATTCTAAGAAATTTCCCTCTGGAAGGATGGCTCATTTGCACACTTGAGGCTTTCCTGATGAATTCCTCAATTCAGGAAGGTAAGTCTATTTTTATAGTATTCACCCTCTTCTTGAAACCATTTCTTTAATTAATCTTGGATTCTGCAAAATGTCAGGACAAATAATAAAACAGTCTAATGTTACAATTACGTAGGAAATTCATTGACTTTATCACAAGCCTAATTATTTTTAATCTTGTAAATTACATGTTTGCTATATTGACTAAACATTAACCTTGTACTTGGGTTAATGTTTGTCATTAACATTAATGTTTATGTTTGTTCTCCGCTCTCTTCATTCTTATAATACACACCCAATATCACTGAGTATAAGCATCACCACAACTTAGCCTACCATTAGATCTGGAGTTGTATAAGAATTTTTTAAATACCATGATTCAACCGGTCAAACACCCTTACAACAAAGAACTGGGCAAAACAGTCCTATAATGGTCCACTTACAAACTATTTGATTTCATAAAATTCCAGTGAGACAAAAAATCTGGGCAGAGGTCATAACATTTTTTAAAAAATTAGAACTAGAAGAGACCTTGTAAGAAATTTAACTGAACTCTTGACCCAACACGTACATTTTCTCAAAAATAAGTGATTTGTTCAGTTTACTTAATTTCTTCAGTGAAGCGGAACTGTTCCAAGTAGTACATCCCAATTTGGAGCTCTGGGTGTTACAAAGTTCTTTTACATAGAAACAAAATGTGCCTCCCCTTTTGCTCTTACCAAGCAGTCATAGTTTCCCTACAGTATGATGCCATTCCTTCAAGTTTTCCTGAAATGTTTTCTAGTTTCTTTAGTTTTATCCTACTGTTATGAAGCACCCTAAATAAAACACTAGAAACCAGAATTAGTCCTTTGAACAATGTTTTACAAACTGTGGTGTGTGACTCTGAGCATCAAGAAATCAACATTTTAAAAATTAAAATAAAAGAAAAAATCAGAATATACGGTATAAGGGCTAATATCTTTTTGTGAAACCTGTTTCAGATATACTGATTATACAACTATTAACTGGATTGCAAAGTAAAATGTACTTCTTACTGTGTTTGCAGTCAGAAACTCTTTTGAGTCACTACTTTAGAGTATGCTATTGTGAGATAGGTAAAATTTCACCCAATAATATCAATATACGTGCAAAATTCTGTATTGAACTACCACCAACAGTACTGGAAGAAATTAAGAGTCTATGTACCGAATACAGAAATATTTATCTGTGGGAGAAACAGCCAAAGTAGGTGGTTTAAATAAAACAAAACATACACACTGAGCTGGAACGTGAACACAGAATATGGTACAGACTCAGATTCCTACTAAAGTTACAAGCAAGAGTTCTCATCTCTTGATGGGCACTGACCCCAACAACAGGCCTGGGCACAGGTCCAGCACTTAACTCAGAGGGATGCCGTGTGCTGCTGCATGGTCTGTTACCAACATCTCATAGAAGAGAGCAGAAACCACTTAGGAACACAGCTGATTTAGGAAGGTTTTTCTAAACACACATAGTTTAGGAAGGTTTTTCTCTTAATTAAGATTTATCTTTCTGATGGAACCAGATGACAGGGAGATAGATGCCTGCATGGTGAGCGTTTTCATATATTACCTCTTAATTCTCACAACAACCTGATGAGGAAGGTGTTATTATCCAACTTTAAAGTAATTTTCCAAAGTCATATAGCTCCTAAATCTAAAGATTTTGTTATTTTTTAAATACTAAAATTGTCCCATACCACCAATATGCACAATGTGCAGTGGATGACTATCCGCTCAGAAATGGCCAACAAATAGGTAACAAGTTTGTAATTCCAGATTAATCTCTGTCACCTCCAACTAGTGACTAGTCTTTTTATTTTCCAGTTTTTACAAAACTTTAATTTTTGAATTGATAGATTATATTTGTACATATTTATGGGGCACATGTGATATTCTGTTACATGCATAGAATGTACAATGATATTGTTACATGCATAGAATGTGTACTGATAAAGCATACATAGACGCACAGATAAGTGCATAAAATGTGTAATGACTAAAGTCAGGGTATTTAGGGTATTCCAAAGCCAAAATTGAGTGCTTACTCATTTGCCTCACTGCAATAGAGAGTCTAATGTCAACATTCTAAAAGTTAGGTGTACTATGAATACTACTTCATCTGAATGCACCAAAGGATAATCTCCGAAAATATTCCTTTACCTGGACAGGGTGGGGGAAGGAAGCGAGAGATGTGGAGAGAGACGGAGCGACGTCCTGGCCCTCTGTGACCTCCGTGCCAGGAAGAGGGACCCAGGATGTTTGAGAGTTTTGCTACCAGCCTTAAGCACCGAGAGAGGTGTCACTCAGTGCGCAGCTGCACCGGCTAAGTTTTTTAGACGCGTTGCCCTCGGCAGCGGGTTTGGACCCAAGGTCGCGTCGACACTGGCCTCAGCATCTGACCGCGGGCGGAGCCCAGGTGCGCGCGAGGCCCTGCCACCCTCCCTCGCCCGCGGGCGCTTCTCCCTTGCCGGAACCGCCCGGCCCCGCCCGAGGCCTGCCCCGGGAGCCCCGCGGCGAGTGTCGCCACGCTCACCTCCTCGCTGTGCGTGGACGGGCACTTCTTCCGCAGGCGGCCCCAGTTCAGCAGGTTCCCCGTCTGCAGGTGCAGGGTGCGGGCCCGCGCCAGGAGCGCCTTGGCCGCGCGGCTGTCGGTGCCCATGGCAGCGGCCGCCCAGGGGCCGCGCAGCGAAGGGGCTGCGGGCGGGCGGGCAGGCAGGCGGCCGCCCCACAGGACGCGGTGCCCGAGGCCCGAGAGAGACCCGAGAGGGAGCGCGAGGCTGCCGGCGCCGCGCGGCTGGAGCCTGGTCTGCGCTCGGGCCCGAGGGAGGCCGGACGGCGGCTGGGCGGCGGCGGGAAAGGAAGGCACCGGTGGCTGCGGCTCCGGCTCCGGCTACTGCGGCCGCAGCGGGAGAGCTGATTCCAAACTGAGGGAGCTGTTTCCTGGAAGACAATGACTAAGCAGAAATCGTAGCCGAGAAAGTGCTTCGTAACCGTTACTCATCCCGCGGCGGGGCAGGGGCGGGGCGCGAATGGGCTGCGGGACGCCGGCCCGCAAGTGACTGGCCCTTGGCCTGCGGCGGGCGTGGCGACGGGTGGTGCGCGGCGGGCGCGCGGGTCGAGAGAGCGTGGCGGCGCGGCCCGGAGCGCAGCGCGCGGCAGGGCTCCCCCTGGCGGTCAGAGGACAGCGCGAGGCAGACACCGCCTCCGCCTGGTGAGGTAGACACCGCCTCCGCCTGGTGAGGTCTCCCGGCGTTCAGGTCGCGGCTCCGCCCACGGCCGCCCCAGGGTGGGCTTCCTACACGTCTCTTTAAAGGGCAGCCTGAGCGGCCACCGGGACTCGGAAATGCTACGTAGTTTTCGTTCTCAGAAGCAGCTGTTTATGCGCAAGCGCCCCCTTCTTCTTTTCGCTTTGCTACCTTCAAGGACCTTCTCCCAAACTGCTAATTTTTCTTCATCCGTTAAAGGTCTATTGATTCACATTATTTGCTGGCAGTGTGTGAAGTCAACGAACAAGACTGAGTCTTTGCCCTTGAGACGCGTACACTCTACCCAGAGACAAGTTCTAAGCACAGGAAACAAGTAATTTTATAAGAACATCATAGGGCAGTTATTCTCCAGATGAATTCAGATTAAAGAGGACACTTGAGCCGGTGAGATCACAGAAAGCTTTTATCACCCACCCCTTTAGAGGTGGTCGAGATTATTTACCCCTATTAAATTTCACGTGTGGTGGTGGACTCGGTATAAACATCAAATTGAACATGTATTGAGCTTTCCTCAACAATCTTTCACATTCGTTGAGGTGAATCAGATTATTAAAGGCAAAATGAGATTCTCATTATAAGCGGGGACAATATAGCTATTGAAAAGAGAGATGAACCAGTTGGTAAAATGGTAAGAATTAGGGGAGGGATGGGAAAAAAGATCTTTCTAGGAAGTTAGAAATTGAGCCTGATGTTGAGTAAATATTTGTTGGCTGAATGAATGATGGTAAGAGTTCATTGAACGAGCTTGCGCTGCTTTTTTTTTTTTTTTTTGGATATTGATTTTTTATTATAGTGAAAGAGCTACCCACAAGCACCACCACTACTTAAACACATTTTGATGCACTGTAACATACAATTAACATTTGTTGTAAATAATTCCAACATATACAAAAATAGCAAGAATACTATAATGAAACCCGATATAACTATCTTCTGAACTCAAGATTGAATAAGATTTGTCTATACTTTTTGTTTTATAATACTTTAAGTTCTAGGGTACATGTGCACAATGTGCAGGTTTGTTACATATGTATACAAGTGCCATGTTGGTTTGCTGCACCCATTAATTCGTTATTTACATTAGGTATTTCTCCTAATGCTATCCCTCCGCCAACCCCCCACCCCATGACAGGCCCCAGTGTGTGATGTTTCCCACCCTGTGTCCAAGTGTTCTCATGGTTCAATTCCCACCTATGAGTGAGAACATGCAGCGTTTGGTTTTCTGTCCTTGCGACAATTTGCTCAGAATGATGGTTTCCAGCTTCATCCATTCCCTACAAAGGACATGAACTCATCCTTTTTGATGGCTGCATAGTATTCCATGGTGTGTATGTGCCACATTTTCTTAATCCAGTCTATCATTGATGGACATTTGGGTTGGTTCCAAGTCTTTGCTATTGTGAATAGTGCCAAAATAAACATACCTGTGCATGTGTCTTTATAGTAGCATGATTTATAATCCTTTGGGTATATACCCAGTAATGAGATCGCTAGGTCAAATGGTATTTCTAGTTCTAGGCCCTTGAGGAGTCACCACACTGTCTTCCACAATGTTGAACTAGTTTACACTACCACTGACAGTGTAAAAGTGTTCCTAGTTCTCCACATCCTCTCCAGCACCTGTTGTTTCCTGACTTTTTAATGATTGCCATTCTAACTGGTGTGAGATGGTATCTCATTATGGTTTTGATTTGCATTTCTCTGATGACCAGTGATGATAAGCATTTTTTCATGTGTCTGTTGGCTGCATAAATGTCTTCTTTTGAAAAGTGTCTGTTCATATACTTTGCCCACTTTTTGATGGGGTTGTTTGATTTTTTCTTGTAAATTTAAGTTCTTTGTAGATTCTGGATATTAGCCCTTTGTCAGATGGGTAGATTGCAAAAATTTTCTCCCATTCTGTAGGTTGCCTGTTCACTCTGATGGTAGTTTCTTTTGCTGTGCAGAAGCTCTTTAGTTTAATTAGATCCCATTTGTCTATTTTGGCTTTTGTTGCCATTGCTTTTGGTGTTTTAGTCATGAAGTCCTTGCCCATGCCTATGTCCTGAGTGGTATTTCCTAGGTTTTCTTCTAGGGTTTTTATGGTTTTAGGTATAACATTTAAGTCTTTAATCCATCTTGAATTAATTTTTGTATAAGGTGTAAGGAAGGGATCCAGTTTCAGCTTTCTACATATGGCTAGCCAATTTCCCCAGCACCATTTATTAAATAGGGAATCCTTTCCCCATTTCTTGTTTTTGTCAGGTTTGTCAAAGATCAGATGGTTGTAGATGTGTGGTGTTATTTCTGAGGCCTCTATTCTGTTCCATTGGTCTGTATCTCTCTTTTGTACCATGCTGTTTTGGTTACTGTAGCCTTGTAGTATGGTTTGAAGTCAGGTAGCATGATGCCTCCAGCTTTGTTCTTTTTGCTTAGGATTGTCTTGGCAATGCAGGCTCTTTTTTGGTTCCATATGAACTTTAAAGTAGTTTTTTCCCATTCTGTGAAGAAAGTCATTGGTAGCTTGATGGGGATGGCATTGAATCTATAAATTACCTTGGGCAGTATGGCCATTTTCACACTATTGTTTCTTCCTATCCATGAGCATGGAATGTTCTTCCGTTTGTTTGTGTCCTCTTTTATTTTGTTGAGCAGTGGTTTGTAGTTCTCCTTGAAGAGGTCCGTCTCATCCCTTGTAAGATGGATTCCTAGGTATTTTATTCTTTTCAAAGCAATTGTGAATGGCAGTTCTCTCATGATTTGGCTCTCTGTTTGTCTGTTATTGGTGTAGAGGAATGCTTGTGATTTTTGCACATTGAATTTGTATCCTGAGACTTTGCTGAAGTTGCTTATCAGCTTAAGGAGATTTTGGGCTGAGATGATGGGGTTTTCTAAATATACAATCATGTCATCTGCAAACAGGGACAATTTGACTTCCTCTTTTCCTATCTGAATACCCTTTATTTCTTTCTCTTGCCTGATTGCCCTGGCCAGAACTTCCAACACTATGTGGAATAGGAGTGTTGAGAGAGGGCATCCCTGTCTTGTGCCAGTTTTCAAAGGGAATGCTTCCAGTTTTTGCCCATTCAGTATGATATTGGCTGTGGGTTTGTCATAAATAGCTCTTATTATTTTGAGATACATTCCACGAATACCGAGTTTATTGAGAGTTTTTAGCATGAAGGGCTGTTGAATTTTGTCAAAGGCCTTTTCTGCATCTATTGAGATAATCATGTGGTTTTTGTCTTTCGTTCTGTTTATGTGATGGATTACTTTTATTGATTTGCGTATGTTGAACCAGCCTTGCATCCCAGGGATGAAGCCAACTTGATCGTGGTGGATAAGCTTTTTGATGTGCTACTGGATTCAGTTTGCCAGTATTTTATTGAGGATTTTCACATTGATGTTCATCAGGGATATTGGTATAAAATTCTCTTTTTTGTGTGTGTCTTTGCCAGGCTTTGGTATTAGGATGATGCTGGCTTCATAAAATGAGTTAGGAAGGATTCCCTCTTTTTCTATTGATTGGAATAGTTTCAGAAGGAATGGTACCAGCTCCTCTTTGTACCTCTGGTAGAATTTGGCTGTGAATCTGTCTGGTCCTGGACTTTTTTTGGTTGGTAGGCTATTAATTATTGCCTCAATTTCAGAACCTGTTATTGGTCTATTCAGGTGTTTATAGTATTCTCTGATGGTAGTTTGTATTTTCTGTGGGATCAGTGGTGATATCCCCTTTATCATTTTTTATTGCATCTATTTTATTCTTCTCTCTTTTCTTCTTTATTAGTCTTGCTAGTAGTCTATTTTGTTGATCTTTTCAGAAAACCGGCTCCTGGATTCATTGACTTTTTGAAGAGTTTTTTGTGTCTCTATCTCCTTCAGTCCTGCTCTGATCTGTGTTATTTCTTGTCTTCTGCTGTCTTTTGAATTTGTTTGCTCTTGTTTTTCTAGTTCTTTTAATTGTGATGTTAGGGCATCAATTTTAGATCTTTCCTGCTTTCTCTTGTGGGCATTTAGTGCTATAAATTTCCCTCTACACGCTGCTTTAAATGTGTCCCAGAGATTCTGGTACATTGTGTCTTTGTTCTCATTGGTTTCAAAGAACAACTTTATTTCTGCCTTCATTTCCTCACTTACCCAGTAGTCATTCGGAGCAGGTTGTTCAGTTTCCATGTAGTTGTGCAGTTTTGAGTGAGTTTCTTAATCCTGAGTTCTAATTTGATTGCACTGTGGTCTGAGATAGAGTTTGTTGTGATTTCTGTTCTTTTACATTTGCTGAGGAGTGTTTTACTTCCAATTACGTCGTCAGTTTAAGAATAAGTGTGATGTGCTGAGAAGAATGTATATTCTGTTGATTTGGGGTGGAGAGTCCTGTAGATGTCTATTAGGTCCACTTGGTCCAGAGCTGAGTTCAATTCCTGGATATCCTTGTTAATTTTTTGTCTCGTTGATCCAATATTGACAGTCGGGTGTTAAAGTCTCCCATTGTTATTGTGTGGGAGTCTAAGTCTCTTTGTATTGGCGCTCCTGTATTGGGTGCATATATATTTAGAATAGTTAGCTCTTCTTGTTGAATTGATCCCTTTACCACTATGTAATGGCCTTCTTTGTCTCTTTTGATCTTTGTTGGTTTAAAGTCTGTTTTATCAGAGACTAGGATTGCAACCCCTGCTTTTTTTTGCTTTCCATTTGCTTGGTAGATCTTCCTCCATCCCTTTATTTTGAGCTTATGTGTGTCTGTGCATGAGATGGGTTTCCTGACTACAGCACACTGATGGGTCTTAACTCTTTATCCAATTTGCCAGTCTTTGTCTTTTAATTGGGGCGTTTAGCCCATTCACATTTAAGGTTAATATTGTTATGTGTGAATTTGATCCTGTCATTATGATGTTAGCTGGTTATTTTGCCCGTTAGTTGATGCAGTTTCTTCCTAGCATCGATAGTCTTTACAATTTGGCATGTTTTTGCAGTGGCTGGTACTGATGGTTCCTTTCCATGTTTAGTGCTTCCTTCAGGAGCTCTTGTAAGGTAGGCCTGGGGGTGACAGAATCTCTCAGCATTTGCTTGTCTGTAAAGTATTTTATTTCTCCTTCACTTATGAAGCTTAGTTTGGCTGGATATGAAATTCTGGGTTGAAAATTCTTTTTTTTGAGAATGTTGAATATTGGCCCCCACTCTCTTCTGGCTTGTAGAGTTTCTGCCAAGAGATCTGTTGTTAGTCTGATGGGCTTCCCTTTGTGGGTAACCCAACCTTTCTCTCTTGGCTGCGCTTAAGATTTTTTCCTTCATTTCAACCTTGGTGAATCTAACAATTATGTGTCTTGGGGTTGCTCTTCTCGAGGAGTATCTTTGTGGTGTTCTCTGTATTTCCTGAATTTGAATGTTGGCCTGCCTTGCTAGGTTGGGGAAGTTCTCCTGGATAATATCCTGCAGAGTGTTTTCCAACTTGGTTCCATTCTCCCCGTCACTTTCAGGTACACCAGTCAGACGTAGACGTAGATTTGGTCTTTTCACATAGTCCCATATTTCTTGGAGGCTTTGTTAGTTTCTTTTTACTCTTTTTTCTCTAAACTTCTCTTCTCGCTTCATTTCATTAATTTGATCTTCAATCACTAATACCCTTTCTTCCAGTTGATCAAATCAGCTACTGAAGCTTGTGCATGCATCAGGTAGTTCTTGTGCCATGGTTTTCAGCTCCATCAAGTCATTTAAGTGCTTCTGTACACTGTTTATTCTAGTTAGGCATTCATCTAATCTTTTTTTAAGGTTTTTAGCTTCCTTGCAATGGGTTTGAACATCCTCCTTTAGCTCGGAGAAGTTTGTTATTACCGACCTTCTGAAGCCTATTTCTGTCAACTCATCAAAGTTGTTCTCCATCCAGCTTTGTTCCATTGCTGGCGAGGAGCTGCAATCCTTTGGAGGAGAAGAGGCACTCTGGTTTTTAGAATTCTCAGCTTTTCTGTTCTGGTTTCTCCCCATCTTTGTAGTTTTATCTACCTTTGGTCTTTGATGCTGGCGACCTACAGATTGGGTTTTGGTATAGATGTCCTTTTTGTTGATATTGATGCTATCCCTTTCTGTTCGTTAGTTTTCCTTCTAAGAGTCAGGTCCCTCAGCTGCAGGTCTGTTGGAGTTTGCTGGAGGTCCACTGCAGACCCTGTTTGCCTGGGTATCACCAGCAGAGGCTGCAGAAAAGCAAATATTGCAGAACAGCAAATATTGCTGCCTGATCCTTCCTCTGGAAGCTTCGTCTCAGAGGGGTGCCTGGCTGTATGAGGTGTCAATCAGTCCCCACTGGGAGGTGTCTCCCAGTTAGGCTACATGGGGGTCACAGACCCACTTAAGGAGGCAGTCCGTCCATTCTCAGAGCTCAAACACCATGTTGGGAGAACCACTGTTCTCTTCAGAGCTGTCAGACAGGGACGTTTAAGTCTGCAGAAGTTTCTGCTGCCTTTTGTTCAGCTATGCCTTGCTCCCAGAGGTGGAGTCTACAGAGGCAGGCAGGCCTCCTTGAGCTGTGGTGGGCTCCACCCAGTTGGAGCTTCCAGGCCACTTTGTTTACCTACTCAAGCCTCAGCAATGGCAGACCGCCCCCCGCCCCTGCAACACCCTGCAGCCAGGCTGCCGGCTTTCACTCAGTTAGATCTGGGAGCTGCGGCACTAGCAGTGAGCAAGGCTCTGTGGGCGTGGGACCTGCTGAGCCAGGAGCGGGATATAATCTCCTGGTGTGCCATTTGCTAAGACCATTGGAAAAGTGCATCATTAAGATGGGAGTGTCCCAATTTTCCCAGTACAGTCTGTCACAGCTTCCCTTGGCTAGGAAAGGAAAATCCACTGACCCCTTGTGCTTCCTGGTTGAGGTGATACCCCGCCCTGCTTTGGCTCGCCGTCCTTGGGCTGCACCCACTGTCCAACCAGTCCCAATGAGATGAACCAGGTACCTCAGTTGGAAATGCAGAAATCACCTGTCTTCGGTGTCGATCATGCTGTGAGCTACAGACCTGAGCTGTTCCTATTCAGCCATCTTCGCTTGTGCTGCTTTAATTAATGTGTACATTTGATTCATATGCTGAATTTGCTGTGGCATCATTTCTTGATTGTTTGTATATTATCTGATAGCATGCAATCAATACTTGATTAAAGCTTAGAGTTTACATCTCCTAAACTATTAGACTTGCCTCTTTGCTGGGAACTTATATAACATATTGGCCAAGAATGTTGGTGCTGACATCAACCGGTATTGGCTTACCAACCTTACTTTTACCAGGCACTGGCTCTTTTATCTTACTTACCCAAGTCTCTCTGTATTTCAGTTTCTCTAAACCAGCAAGAGGATAGTTTGAACCATATGAAATTGCTCATAATTGACCTTTTTTTTGTTTGTTTTTTTTGAGACAGAGTCTTGCTCTGTCGCCTAGGCTGGAGTGCAGTGGCGCGATCTTGGCTCACTGCAAGCTCCACCTCCCAGGTTCATGCCATTCTCCTGCCTCAGTCTCCAGAGTAGCTGGGACTACAGGCGCCTGCCACCACGCCTGGCTAATTTTTTTTGTATTTTTAGTAGAGACGGGGTTTCACAGTGTTAGCCAGGATGGTCTCGATCTCCTGACCTCATGATCCGCCCACCTCGGCCTCCCAAAGTGCTGGGATTACAGGCCTGAGCCACCACGTCCGGTGATAATTGACCATTTTTAACCGACAGAAATGGAAAGTCCCATGGTTCCACCAAATAGAATACTTACCACATTGGGCAGGTGTGAGGAGTTAATGATGAAGAGGCATGAAAAGCCCTTAGTAAATGTCCAGTAAGTGAGAGCTCCTATTATTAATGCCCCTACTGTTTCCCCATTACAATGCAGTTCTCACAATATTGGTAAATTTATAACATGAATTCACGGCAGGCATCGTGTTATGTTTTTAAGATTTGCATATGTAAACTCATTTGCTCTTCGCAGCAACTCAGTTAAGTAACTTGTTGAAAATCTCAGTTAGTAATTAGTATTGTGGCCACGATCAAAACCTAGATCCTTCAACTTCAAATTCTTTACTCTTCCATACTATAGATAATTTAAATTCTTGAATGTGCTTATACATGATTTATATGTTTTTAATGCCTGTACGGCTTAAATTTACTACATATTGTACTTAATGATACCCTTGCCATAACACCGCAGTTCTTAGGGAGGGAAATTTAATCTTCTAAACTTATTTTGGGGGAAAAACCAGGGAATGTAAATCAGAAATTGATTATGTAGTCACTTTTAGTAAGTTATTTTTCTCCTGTCTAGAAAAGAGAAATAATATTGATAACATTTCTATCTTTGGGAATATATTTTTGTTTTTAGGTGCTTTAAAGCACTTCTACAAGTGCTGTATAAATACAGTGTCACTAACACTGACTGCTTTTTTTTTTCATGCTTGACATTTATAGGATCTGATATTCAACTGTTTATGTTTTTCTTTAAAAAACCACTCTTCCAGGCCAGGCACCATGGCTCACACCTGTAACCTCAGCATTTTGGGGAGGCTGAGGTGTGAGGATCGCTCGAGTCCAGGAGTTCAAAACCAGCCTGGGCGATAAGAGAGACCCCATCTCTACAAAAAATTTAAACATTAGCCAAATGTTGTGGCACGTGTCTGTCATCCCAGTTATTTGGGAGGCTGAGGTGGGAGGATCACTTGAGCCTGTGAGGCAGAGGTTGTAGTGAGCTGTGATTGTGTCACTGCACTCCATCCTGGGGGACAGAGAAAGACCCTGTCTCAAAAAAATAAAAACAAGACAAACCAGTCTCCTTGTGTGTCCTGTAATACCCTGCATCAGTTTCCCCAATGTATTTGATCACAGAACGCTTTTGAAATTATAATGTACTGTTGGAAGCCCAACAGGAGCTCACAAGCTTTAAGTGTTTAGAACAAAGCAGGCAGCAAAAAAAAGTCTCACAGATTAATTAATTGCTGTAGAAGTGATCACATTTTTATTCATAGTCTTTTTGCTTTATCAAGACAAACAAAATGAATTAAAATTAGTTTTACTTTATTAAGAGACCACCTGGTGCATTTTATTCTTAATAAGGTAAAATGGATTTAAATTCTCAAATTTTAACTCCTGGAATGAGTGTAACTGCTACATTTATGTTGCCATATTCAGAAGCCACTAAATGGATCCTGCCCCATCTAGAGGTGAAGGTTCTTTTTTTTTTTTTTTTTTTTTTCTGAGACAGAGTCTCACTGTGTCGCCCAGGCTGGAATACAGTGGTGCAATCTCGGCTCACTGCAACCTCCGCATCCTGGGTTCAAGCAATTCTCCTGCCTCAGCCTCCCGAGTAGCTGGGACTACAGGCATGCACCACCACGCCTGACTAATTTTTTTGTATTTTTAATAGAGACGGGGTTTCACCATGTTGGCCAGGTTGGTTTTGAACAGCTGACCTCAAGTGATCCGCCCGCTTCAGCCTCCCAAAGTGCTAGGATTATAGGCATGAGCCACCACACCCAGCTGAAGGTTCTATTTTTAAAAGGATTTTTCTGAAACCTAAATCCCTTGAAAATAATACAGCTGTCATGACCTGTTACCATCTTAAGGATTTGGAGGAAGAGAGCCATGGTTTGGAATAGAACATGAACGAGTGCAGAGGAGTGGAAATTACCACAGTTTGTTCTGAAGACTGGATACAGCGGCACCTTCCTGGAGCAGTGGTACCCCTTAAAGGTGAAGGGAACGTGGGTGTTGCAACAGAGGACCATTATCAAGAAGACTCTTTTGGGTTTGGTCTGAGAGGCACTGGGAAACCTCTTAAACTTGAGTAAGGTAGAGTCTTGACTCAAAGTAATAAATTGGCAAAAAACTCCACACCCCTATATTTTAAAATGCTATTCATTTACTCAGTAGATATTTCTCCAGTGTCTAATACTTAAGGTACTGAGCTAGGCACTGCAAATTCATAGTGAGCAAACACATTGTTCCTGTTCTTATGTAATTTACAGTCTAGTGGTAGAGAAAGATTTTAATCATATAATTATAGTAAATGTAAAATTATACTCTGGTGGTTATTATGAAAAAGGAGTACAAATATAACAAATCAGCAAGTGGTATGTAAAATTGCAGTGGAGAATGACTCAATGCTAGGAGACCAGTGAGAAAACTCTAGTAATCACCTAGACATAGGTTAGTGAGAACATGACCCACACTGAATGCAGGCTGTGAATATGAATCAAGACAGAGCTCAGGTGCCTTTGTTTTGCCCTAGTTAGTGGGAAGGAGGGAATCAGGTTACCATGGATTTACTTAGACGAAGCAAAATAGTTTCTTTTCTCAATAGGGAGCCATGGGAGAATGTCCCAGTGGGAATATCAGGGTTGGGGTTGAGCAAGAAAATTTGTTAAAATTCTCATATGTTCAAGTACAATAGAAATCATTCCATTGATAATATGAATCCAAAATATCCAATACTGTTATGTAAGATTGCCTGGAGGGCTGCTGTATTTGCATCTGTTTGTCTGTGTCATCATCATCATCTGCTAACTAAAAATGATACAATTCCTACTCCTCATCTGCTGATGGAAGAGGTTGTTGGCAGTAACTAAAATTTGTATAGTGATGAAAAATACAAGTAGATATTTAAAGAGTCAATATTTGGGTCTAAATGTATACATCACATTGAAAATTCTTTCTTTTTTTTTTGAGACAGAGTCTCACTCTGTTGCTCGGTCTAGAGTACAGTGGTGCGATCTCGGCTCACTGCAACCTCCACCTCCCAAGTTTGAGCGATTCTCTTGCCTCAGCCTCCCAAGTAGCTAGGACTACAGGCATGCACCACCATGCCTGGCTAATTTTTGTATCTTTAGTAGAGATGGGGTTTCACCATGTTGGCCAGGCTGGTTTTGAACTCCTGACTTCAGGTGATCCGCCCACCTTGGCCTCCCAAAGTGCTGGGATTACAGGCGTGAGCCACCGTGCCCTGCCCACATTGAAAATTCTATGATTGACCATGTGATGAAGAGTGCTACTAGTACAGATATCATTGAGAAGTAATGTAACTTGGGGATGAGTGTCTTTTTTTTTTTTTTTTTTTTTTTTTTTTAAGAAAATCACGACCAGGTGCAGTGACTCATACATGTAAGTGAGCACTTTGGAAGGCCGAGGCAGGAGGATCACTTGAGCCCAGGAGTTGGAGACCAGCCTGGGCAACATAGTGAGGCCTCCTCTCTACAATTTTTTTTTTTTTTTTAAAGAAAATCACGTTATTCCAACTAACTCCGCAAACAGTAACACCACAATGGCAGGTTTAAGGAGGCCACACAAACATTTGCCCAGCCCGAAATTCTATACCATCTCAGTGAACTTGTATACAGTAAGAATGCTCTTTTCCATTGCAATTCTGAAGCAAGGAAGCTATTAATGAAAGAGAAGTTTAACTGATGGTTTTGCACTTTATACTTTTATTATCAACTATATTTTTATGCTAAATTATCTTGGTGAGGTGAGCTGATTTTTCATTTCTTCAATCTGAACTTTTTGACTAGGCTAATTCACCTGCAAGTCTGCACTGTTTCAACACCTTAGTGAAACCCTCACAGAGCTTTATGTCACCCTGGTTCTGCGCACACTCTAAAAACTGTTTATCTCATAGAAGCAAGGGCGAAACTGCTGCTGCTGTTGCTGCTGCTGTGCCAGCTGGGTTTCTGAGGGCCCTACTTAGAGATGTTAGGCTTTGAGGGCTCAGCATTACTTACTCTTCTGAAGCTCCCAGTGATGGCCTGACCCAGTATGTGCCTGACAGCCTGACAGCCATGCCAGCTGCAGCAGTTGTCATTTGGGTCATCAGACCTGGCTGTGGGGTACAGCAGCAGGTGAGCCAACTGCAGATGATGGGGCTGCTGCTAGTGCTGGCCTGGGTGCACTTCTCATCTGAGGTACCTGCTGGAGACGCCCAACTGGCCCAGGCAACCATGAGGAAGGTGCTTTGACTTCTGCAAGCATCGTAAGTGTGTGTGGTAACTTTACCTCTAGAAGTGTGGACCTCTGTCTGAGTGTCAGTTTTAAGATTTGAATAATCATCCAGGGTGAGTTTGAAATAGTTATTTCTTGGCCTGAATAGATGAATATTAGGATTGGAATTAGACTCATAGCAAAAGCATATGAAATAGTTTTTATGTAGTGAGGATAAGAGGTATCTTAGGAAATGTTAGTAATTAAGATGGTAAGTGAAGTTATGATAGAAGAAGAGAACAAATTTATTGCTTTTATTTGGAGTTACACTCATTTTTTTAGCTCCTAACTCCAGCGGATTATTTCTATGCTTTAAAAGTTGAAAAACAATATTATTCTACATGGAGGCATGAGTTAGTAGTTTTTGCTTACTTTCTCAGTAAATAAGGAGTTTTAGGCTTCTGTTGTTTTAGTCACAATATAATGTTTTGTTTAACAATATTTATAATATATGGGTACTAGAATAGTTTGGGGGTTGTGATAGGAGAAGAAATATATAAGTATTAGAATATTTTTCTCGTGTGAATGATGGTTTAATGTTTTGTTTTGTTTTGTTTTGTTTGTTTTTTTGAGGAGTCTCGCTGTGATGCCCAGGCTGGAGAGCAATGGTGCAATCTCGACTCACTGCAACCTCCACCTCCCGGGTTCAAGCTATTCTCCTTCCTCAGCCTCCTGAGTAGCTGGGATTGCAGGTGTTTACCACCACACCTGGCTGATTTTTGTATTTTTAGTAGAGACAGTGTTTCACCATGTTGGCCAGGCTGGTCTGGAACTCCTGACCTCAGGTGATCCACTTGCCTTGGCCTCCCAAAGTGCTGGGATTATAGGCATGAGCTACCGTGACCAGCTGGCTTAATGTTATTAATGTGGTATGTACACTTTCCTCATCATATTGTGTTTAATATGTAGGGTAAATATAGGGCTCTAATTAGTATATTAAGTCCTATTAGGATAGTGGTAAAACCAGCTCACAAAAATAATGCTATAACTACAAAGAATTTTCCAATTAGGTTCATAGTGGTGGTAGGGCTAGATAAGTTAGCTAGCCAGTACTCATCATGTTGCTATTAAAGGCAGTAATATTTGTAGTTTGAGAGCTAATAGTATAGTTCAAGTATGGATTCGCTCATAGATTGGGTTTTTGAGGCACAGCAACATTGATGACATTAGGCCACGGACAATTATTAGGGCTGTGGCTCCTGTAAAACTTCATGGCATTAGAATAAAAATGGCTAGTTTTACTAGTGCTACAAGACTTACGGATGAACAGGTAATGATTGATTTTAAGTCTTGTTTGGTGTAAACAAATAGAGCTGTTACGATAGTTCCTCCTAGGGATAATATAAGAAATGATTAGGTTATGTATTCTGTTAGTGGATTTAAAATTGCAAAATTTCATTTTATACTACAGCCTCCTAGTTTTAGTAATGTGGCTGCAATTGGGGCTTCTACATGCGCTTTTGGTAGTCAGAGGTGGAGGCCGTAAAGGGGTATTTTTACTAGGAATGCTATTATGTAGGCTAATCATGGGAGACATTAGATCAGGAGCTTGGTCATGTTTGAATTCAATAGTGGTTCTTAAAAAAATTAATGAGTCTGAGGAATTTTGGATATAGATTAATGCTATGAGTAGGGTTGAACAGCCAATCAGTGTGTAGGACAGGAAATAAAGTCTTGCATTGAATTGT
This sequence comes from Homo sapiens, assembly GCF_000001405.40. Lineage (NCBI taxonomy): Eukaryota > Metazoa > Chordata > Mammalia > Primates > Hominidae > Homo > Homo sapiens. The sequence goes on from NC_000001.11 coordinate 93,923,424, forward strand.
TCTCTTCAGCCTCCTCATCAAGTGACAGTGATTAGAGTAGGGATTAGGGTTGCTGCAAAGAGAATATAGAATAGAATTAGTTCTATGGCAGTAAATGTCATGATTAAGAATATTCGTAGAAAAATTAATATTGGCCGGGTGTGGCGGCTCAAGCCTGTAATCACAGCACCTTGGGATGCCTGAAGCTGGAGAATCACTTGAGGAGTTAGAGACCAACCTGGGCAACATGGCAAAACCCTGTGTCTACAAAAAATGCAGAAAAAATAGCCAGGTGTGGTGGTGCGCACCTGTGGTCTCAGCTGTTCAGGTGGCTGAGGTGGAAGGATCGCCCGGGCAGGGAAGGCTGCTATGAGCTGTGATCACATCACTGCACTCTAGCCTGGGTGACAGAGTGAGACCCTGTCTGGAAAAAAAAAAAAAAAAAAAAGAAAAGAAAAATTAATACTGAGAAATATAGTTTTTTTCATGTATCTGATTTTTTTGAGAGATGGTGTTGATTTCTTATAATTATTAGGGAAAGTAGTCAAGTTGGACTTGGATGGGGTGGGATAAGATAAATATTTAAAATTATGGCCAGATGCAGTGGCATGTATCTGTAAATTCCAGCCACACAGGAGGCTGAGCTGAGAGGATAGGTTGAGCCCAGGAGTTTGAGTCCAGCCTAGGCAACATAGTGAGGCTCTGTCTGAAACAAAACAAAACAAAAAACAAACAAAAAATTGTAATGAAACAAAACAAAAAACAAAAAATTAGAATTTTACAATAAATAATCATAACATTATGCCTTCGAAACATAATAATGAAAATAGGTGTGACTGGTATACTGAAAGCTGTATTAAGTATGCAATATAAGCTAGAATAATGTTAATATAAATGAAGGTATATTGGTAATTATGAAATATAATTTAATGGGTTGAAATTGTTTGTTTTAATTTAAACTAAAAACCATATTTAATTAATTCTAGTCCTTTTTGCATCCATTCATAAACTAGGCCTGGGGATAGGATAAGGATTAAAATTAGTGCCATAATGAGTATGAGTTTTGAGTTGTTTATTTGAGATGCTCATGGTAATGGTAATTAGAGGGGATTTCTAGATTGAATAATCAGAAAGCTATAGCTACTAAGAAAAATTTTATGGCAAATCATAGCTGGGCAGATGCTGTTGGATCAAATCTGCATTTGTATATCCTTGATTTTTCTGTATAGATATTTAATTGTGGTAATCAGAATGCAATGATGATAAGCAGTAGTGCTAGTAATGTATTAGTTAATAAGGTTAATGTAAGATTGATTATTCTTTTTCAGGTTGATACTGAAGTTAATTTATTGGAGGCCAATTGTGCTGATTAATACTAAAATAGGATCCTCATCAATAAACAGAGATGTATACAAATAGTCAGACTACATTTACAAAATGTCACTCTCAGGCAGCAGCAGCACATCTGAATGGGTGATTAGATGTGAAGAAGTGAAATTGCAATTAGCCTGGGCAATATAGGGAGACCTCATCTCTACAAAAAATACAAAAATTAGCTGGCCATGGTGGTCCATGCCTGTAGTCCCAGCTACTGAGGGGGTGGATGTGGGAGGATCACTTGAGTCCGGGAGGTCAAGGCTGCAGTGAGCCAAGATCACGCCACTGCACTCCAACCTGGAAGACAGAGTGAGACTCTGTCTTAAATAAAAGAAAAGGAATTGCGATTGACATAAGAAGGAAATGATAAAAATGGTGACACCAATAATTACATTGATACAATAAAGAGAATCATTTTGTATCACAGGCCTTTTTGAACAATTAATGTGTGGTGGCTTTGAAATGTGTTTTCTTTGACTACATTTTGTTATCATTGATATACGGTTAATGTATCAGTTAGTACAACTAAGGATAGTAAAAGAATTGAACTAAAGTGAAATTATACTACTAAATGCTATGAGCAGAACTGATAAGTGATCAAGAGCTGGTCTGGTGGGTGACTAAGCATTATCATCTAGGTAAAGCCTAACTAGAAGCTTGAAGATGTTAGCCTGAATTAGGGCAACCGTAAATTCAGGAGTGATAAGTAATGAGAAATGTAACTAAGGCTGTTGCCGGGCAAATGGATATTAGGATTAAGGTGGCTCCACTGATTAAGCATATGGTAGATAGCCACTGTAATGTTGGCTGTTAATTGTACTGCTAGGGCCGTGGGTTGAATAAAAAGGCTAATATTATAGTTTCAATAATAACTAGCATGGGGATAAGTGGAAAGGTGTTCCTTGTGGTAGGAAGTGAGCCATTAATAATGCTTTGTTTTGTGGTGAAAGCAGGTAATTACTGCTCCTGCTGATAGTGGGATAGTTATACCTAGATTTTCTGATAATTGGGTGGCTGGTGGGAGTGAGTGGGGTAATAATCCTAGTGAATTTGTTTAGCTGATAAATAAGTGAAATTAATATTAGAGATCAAATGTGTTCTTTGATATTATGTATTGTTATTGTTTTAGTATGAGTTGCACGAATTACTGTTGAACAGAGACTGTTCAATAGATTATTGATTAGGTGATTGGGGGCAGGAAACATGATATTTAGAAATGAAATGATTAGAATAACAATAGGTAGTCCTGTTATTGTAGGGGTAGTGAAAGAAGTGAATAAATTTTTGTTCACTTTTTTTCCTCAAGGGATCTAGTGTTTTGATGCTTTGATGTTCTTTGGTGATGGATTTAAAGAATAAATATAGTTCAAAATTTTTAATTGAGATAGAATATATAGTACTAGAAATATTGAAACAAGGGTGATAAATCGGCAGGGCACAGTGGTAGCTCATGCCTGTAATCCTAGCACTTTGGGAGACTGAGGCAGGAGGACCACTTCAGCTTAGGAGTTCGAGATCAGGCTGGGCAACATAGTGAGATGCCCATCTCTACAAAAAAATTAAAAAATTAGCCAGGCATGGTGGCACACGTCTATAGTCCCAGCCACTCAGCTGGCTGAAATGAGGATCTCTTGAGCCCAGGATGTTGAGGCTGCAGTGAGTCCTGATTGTGCCACTGCACTCCAGCCTGGGCAACACAGCAAGATCCTGTCTACAAAAGAAAAAAAAACTGATAAATCATGTTGATGTGTCTAGTCATAGCATTTCATTATGAAGACATTAATACTCTCAGTCTTGAACTTAAAATATTAAGGTTATTTAGCTTCACACAATGACATTATAACAGATGATCAGTTTTCAAAGTGTTTTGGTGGAACTAATTCAAGTACTATGGGTATAAAGCTGTGATTTGATCCACAAATTTCTGAGCATTGTCCATAATACAGGTCTGGTTGTGTGGGTGTTAGAGTTGCTTGATTTAAACGTCCTGAAAATGTGTCTGTTTTTAATCCTAATGATGGAACAGCTCATAAATGTAATGAGTGTAGGATATTTTTAGAGAAGATTAGTATATGAGTTGATATTTCTATAGGCAGGACTACTCAATTATCAACATTGAGTAGTGGTACTTCTCCTGGTTTAGATTTGTTATAGGGATTATGTAGGAATCAAAATTAGGTCTTTGTAATGTGTGTATTCATAACTTCAGTATCATTGATGGACTATAGTTTTTATAGTTAGGGAGGAGTTACTAATTACATCCATTATGTATATTAATAGGATTTGTAAAGATGGTAAAGCAATTAGGATTAAAATAATAGTGGGTAAAATAGGTCATATCAGCCGGGCACGGTGGCTCATGCTTGTAATCCCAGCACTTTGGGAGGCCGAGGTGGGCGGATCACCTAAGGTCAGGAGTTCAAGACCAGCCTGGTCAACATGGCAAAACCCCATCTCTACTAAAAATACCTGTAATCCCAGCTACTTGGGAGGCTGAGGCAGGAGAATCACTTGAACCTGGAGGTGGAGGTTGCAGTGATCCGAGATTGCACTCCAGCCTGGGCAACCAAGAGTGAAACTCTGTCTTAAAAAAAAAAAAAGTTTATGTTCTCTCTACTTCTTAAACATCCATAGTACTTGTGTGGGTTAGTTTAATTGTTAATAAAATAATGTAAAGAAATAAAGGGATAACTAAAAATATAATTATTAAAGCGTGATCATGGAAATGCAAAAGTTCTTCTGTAATAGGTAATGCTGCATCTTGAAGCCTAACTGGAATGGGTATGCCATAAGGATATAAAGGATTTTAACTTGTAAGTTAACTTCAACTAAGTTATTTAGTATTCTTACTAATATCTCACTTGTTGAGAAAGCCTAGTGGTTATGGGTCTGGCTTGAAATTGGTTATGTGATTTTGATTCCTCCCTTTCTTATCTTAAGCTTTTACGTAAGCAGGCTCTTCAAATGCATGATATGGGGGTGGGCAGCCATAAGGTCATTCAAAGTTTGTAATGAAAGCCCCACTACTGAGGCTTCTCATTTTGAAGTAAAGTCTTCTCAAATTATGAAAATTTTTAATATTCTGTTAGTGAAATAGAGGAGCCTATTGATAAGATGATTTTTCATGTTGTATATGCATCAGGATAATTAGACTATTGTTATGATATGCTGGATAAACCAAGGAAATGTTGCAGAAAGTCAGGTTTATACGCACAAATATAATTGTAAAATGAATTTTGGCTCAGGTTCAGTGTGTAACCTAAAAATTGTGAGAATCAGTGAACAAACCCTCCTATAATAATGAAAACTGCTCCTGTTGATAGAACATAGTAGAAATGTGCTACAACATAATATGTGCTACAAAGAACAATGTCTAGTGATGAGTTAACTAGTACAATTCCTATTAGGCCCTCAACTATAAATAGAGAAATACAGCCTAAGGCTCAAAATACAGCTGGAGATCATTTAATATTACCTCCATGTAGTGTTGCTAGTCAACTAGATACTTTAACTCCTGTGGGAATAGTGACATGGTTTGGATTTGTGTCCCTACCCAAATCTCATGTTGAATTGTAATCCCCAGTGTTAGAATGGGGCCTAGTGGGAGGTGATTGGATTATGGGAGTGGATCCTTCGTGAATGGTTTAGCACCATCCCTTTGATGCTATTCTTGTGATAGAGTTCTCATGAGATCTGGTTGGTTAAAAGTGTGCAGCACCTCCCACTTACCCTCTCTTCCTCCTGCTCTGGCTGTGTGAAGACATGCCTGCTTTCCCTTTGCTTTCCATCATGACTGTAAGTTTCCTGAGGCCTCTCCAGAAGCTGAGCAGAAGCTGCTATGCTTCCTATACAGCCTGAGGAACTATAAGAAAAAAGAATAAGAAAATATGAACTTAGTCTCCAAGAAGTCTGGGATTATGTTAAATGACCAAACCTAAGAATAATCAGCATTCCTGAGGAAGAAGAGAAATCTAAAAGTTTGGAAAACACATTTGGGGGAATAATCAAGGCAAACTTGCCCAGCCTTGCTAGAGACCTAGACATCCAAATACAAGAAGCACAAAGAACAACTGGGAAATTCATCGCAAAAAATCATTGCCTAGGCACATTGTCATCAGGATATCTAAAGTTAAGATGAAGGAAAGAATCTTAAGAACTGTGAGATGAATGCACTGGGTAACCTATAAAGGAAAACCTATCAGATTAACAGCAGATTTCTCAGAAGAAACCCTACAATCTAGAAGAGATTGGGGCCCTATCTTCAGCCTTTTCAAAAAAACAATTATCAGCTAAGAATTTCATATCCAGTGAAACTAAGCATCATCTATAAGGAAAGACAGTCTTTTTCAGACAAACAAATACTGAGAGAATTCACCACTACCAAGCCACCACTACGAGAATTGCTAAAAGGAACTCTAAATCTTGAAACAAATCCTGGAAACACATCAAAACGAACCTCTTTAAATCATAAATCTCACAGGACCTAAAAGAAAAATACAATTTAAAAGGCAAAAAAAAAAAAAAAACCCAAAAAACCAAGGTACACAGGTAACAAATAGCACAATGAATGAAATGGTACCTCAAATCTCAGTACTAACATTCAATGTAAATGGCCTAAATGCCTAAATGCTCCACTTAAAAGACACAGAACTGCAGAATGGATAATAATTCACCAACCAACTATCTGCTGCCTTCAAGAGACTCACCTAACACATAAGGACTCACATAAACTTAAAGTTAAGGGGTGGAAAAAGGCATTTCATGCAAATGGACACCAAAAGCAAGCAGGAGTAGCTATTCTTACATCGGACAAAACAAACTTTAAAGCAACAGCAGTTAAAAAAGATAAAGAGGGACATTATATAATGGTAAAAGGCCTTGACCAACAGGAAAATATCACAATCCTAAACATATATGCACCTAACACTGGAGCTCCCAAATTTATGAAACAATTACTAATAGATGTAAGAAATGAGATAGACAGCAACACAATAATAGCAGGGGACTTCAATACTCCACTGACAGCACTAGACAGGTCATCAATTCAGAAAGTCAACAAAGAAACAATGGATTTAAACTATACCTTGGAACAAATGGACTTAAAGGATATATACAGAACACTCCATCCAACAACTGCAGAATACACAATCTATTCAACAGTGCATGGAACATTCTCCAAGATAGACTATATGACAGGTCACAAAACGAGCCTCAATAAATTTAAGAAAAGTGAAATTATATCAAGCAGTCTGTCAGACCACAGTGGAATAAAACTGGAAATCGACTCCAAAAGGAACCATCAAAACCATGCAAATACATGGAAATTAATAACCTGCTCCTGAATGATCATTGGGTCAAAAATGAAATCAAGATGGAGATTTAAAAATTCTTTGAACTGAATGACAATAGTGACACAACCTATCAAAACCTCTGGGATACAGCAAAGGCAGTGCTAAGAGCAAAGTTCATAGCCCTAAACGCCTACATCACAAAGACTGAAAGAGCACAAACTGACATTCTAAGGTCACACTTCAAGGAACTAGAGAAACAAGAAACCAGCAGAAGAAAGGAAATAACCAAGATCAGAGCAGAACTAAATGAAATTGAAACAACAACAACAAAAAATACAAAAGATAAATGAAACAAAAGCTAGTTCTTTGAAAAGAAAAATAAAATTGATAGACCATTAGCAAGATTAACCAAGAAAAGAGGAGAGAAAATCCAAATAACCTCAATAAGAAATGAAACAGGAGATATTACAACTGACACCATAGAAACACGAAAGATCATTCAGTGCTACTACGAACACCTTTATGTGCATAAACTAGAAAACCTAGAAGAGATTGATAAATTCCTGGAAAAATACAACCCTCCTAGCTTAAGTCAGGAAGAATTAGATACCCTGAACAGACCAAGAACAAGCAGCAAGATTGAAATGGTAATTAAAAAATAACGAACAAAAAAAAGTCCGAGACCAGGTGGATTCACAGCAGAATTCTACCAGACATTCAAAGAAGAATTGTTACCAATCCTATTGACAGTACTCCACAAGATAGAAAAAGTGGGAACCTTCCTTAATTCATTCTATGAAGCCAGCATTACCCTAATACCAAAACTAGGAAAGTACATAACCAAAAAAGAAAGCTACAGACCAATATCCCTAATGAACATAGTTGCTAAAATCTTTAACAAAATACTAGCTAACTGAATCCAACAACATATCAAAAAGATAATCCACCATGATCAAGTGGGTTTCATACCAGGGATGCAGGGATGGTTTAACATACACGAGTCAATAAATGTGATACACCACATAAACAGAATTAAAAACAAAAATCACATGATCATCTCAATAGATACAGAAAAAGCATCTGACAAAATCCAGCATCCCTTTATGATTAAAACTCTCAGCAAAATCGGCATACAAGGGACATACCTCAATGTAATAAAAGCCATCTATGACAAATCCACAGCCAACATAATACTGAATGGGGAAAAATCAAAAAGCATTCCCTCTGAGAACTGGAACAAGATAAGGATGCCCACTCTCACCACTCCTCTTCAACATAGTAATGGAAGTCCTAGCCAGAGCAATCAGACAAGAGAAAGAAATAAAGGGCATCCAAATTGGTAAAGAGAAAGTCAAACTATCACTGTTTCCTGACGATATGATAATTTATCTCGAAAACCCTAAAGACTCCTCCAGAAAGCTCCTAGAACTGATAAAATAATTCAGCAAAGTTTCTGGATACAAGATTAATGTACACAAATCAGTAGCTCTTCTATATACCAACAGTGACCAAGCAGAGAATCAAATCAAGAACTCAACCCTTTTTACAATAGCTGCAAAAAATAAAATAAAATACTTAGGAATATACCTAACCAAGGAGGTGAAAGACCTCTACAAGGAAAACTACAAAACATTGCTGAAATAAATTGTAGATGACACAAACAAATGGAAACACATCCCATGCTTGTAAATGAATAGACTCAATATTGTAAAAATGACCATACTCCCAAAAGCAATCTACAAATTCAATGTAATCCCCATCAAAATACCACCATCATTCTTCACAGAATTAGAAAAACAATTCTAAAATTCATATGGAACCAAAAAAGAGCTTGCATAACCAAAGCAAGATTAAGCAAAAAGAACAAATCTGGAGGCATCATACTACCTGATTTCAAACTATACTATAAGGCCATAGTCACCAAAACAGCATGGTACTGGTATAAAAATAGGCACATAGACCAATGGAACAGAATAGAGAATCTGGAAATACACCCAAATACTTACAGCCAACTAATCTTTGACAAAGCAAACAAAAACATAAGGTGGGGAAAGGACTCTCTTTTCAACAAATAGTGCTGGGATAATTGGCTAGTCACATGTAGGAGAATGAAACTGGATCCTCATCCCTCACCTTATACAAAAATCAACTCAAGATGGATTAAGGACTTAAATCTAAGACCTGAAACTGTAAAAAATATAGAGGATAACCTTGGAAAAACCCTTCTAGACATTGGCTTAGGCAAGGATTTCATGACCAAGAACCCAAAAGCAAATGCAATAAAAAGAAATATAAATAGCTGGGACTTAATTAAACTGAAGAGCTTTTGCATGGCAAAAGGAACAGTCAGCAGAATAAACAGACAACCCACGGAATGGGAGAAAAATCTTCACTGTCTACGCATCTGACAAAGGACTAATATCCAGAATCTACAACAAAGTCAAACAAATTGGCAAGAAAAAAATATCCCATCAAAAAGTGGGCTAAGGACACGAATAGGCAATCTTCAAAAGAAGATATGCAAATGGCCAACAAACATATGAAAAGATGCTCAACATCACCAGTGATCTGGGAAATGCAAATCAAAACCACAATGCGATACCACCTTACTCCTGCAAGAATAGCCGTAATCAAAAAATTTAAAAAAGCAGATGTTGGCATGGATGCAGTAATCAGGGGACACTTACACACTGTTTGTGGGAATGTAAACTGTAACAGCCACTGTGGAAAACAGTGTGGAGATCCCCTAAAGAACTAAAAGTAGAACTACCATTTGATCCAGTAATCCCACTACTGGGTATATACCCAGAGGAAAAGAAGTCATTATATGAAAAAGATACTTGCACACACATGTTTATAGCAGCAATTTGCAATTGCAAAATCGTGGAACCAACCCAAATGCCCATCAATCAATAATGAGTGGATAAACTGTGAGATATATATATATATATATATATATATATATATATATATATATGATGGAATACTACTCAGCCATAAAAAGGAATGAATTAATGGCATTCCCAGCAACCTGGATGAGATTGGAGATTATTATTCTAAATGAAGTAACTCAGGAATGGAAAACCAAACATCGTTATGTTCTCACTGATATGTAGGAGCTAAGCTATGAGGACACAAAGGCATAAGAATGATACAATGGACTTTGGGGACTTGGGGGTAAGAGTGGGAGTGTGGGGGCGAGGGATAAAAGACTACAAATAGGGTGCAGTGTATACTACTCAGATGATGGGTGCACCAAAATCTCACAAATCACCATTAAAGAACTTACTCATATAAACTGCTGGGTGTGGTGGCTCACGCCTGTAATCTCAGCACTTTGGGAGGCTGAGGTGGATGAATCACCTGAGGTCAAGAGTTTGAGACCAGCCTAGCCAACGTGGTGAAACCCCATCTCTACTAAAAATATAAAAATTAGCCGGGCGTGGTGTCACATCCCTGTAATCCCAGCTACTTGGGAGGCTGAGGCAGGAGAATCGCTCGAACCCGGGAGGCAGAGGTTGCAGTGAGCTGAGATCACGCCATTGCACTCCAGCCTGAGCGACGAGAGCAAAACTCCGTGTCAAAAAACAAAAAACAAACAAACGAAAAAAAAAAACTCATGTAACCAAACACCACCTGTACCCCAGTAACCTATGGAAAAATAATAAAAATAAATAAATAAAAAACATTATTACCAGCACATAGGCAGTGATGATGACATTATAAAATTTGATCATCAACTATCAGGGCCACTGATTGACCCATTTCAGTTCAAATTAAAAGATTTAGGAAAGTTTCTACTATTCCAGCTCAAGCATCAAATAGTAAATGCAGTGTGTTAATACCTTTGTGGTTTGTCAAGATTAATGAATGTAGACAGTAAGGTAAAATGGCTGAGTAAGCTTTAGACTATAAATCTAAAGAGAGATTGAGCTCTCTTTTTACCAAGTCTTGTGGTGAATATTTAAAGTGAATTGCAAACTCAAAAGAGCTGCTCTAATTCTTCCAGGGTTTCTCCCACCTTTTTTCCCTTGATGGCAGAAGTAGATTAAACCCAGTTGATTAGAGTTAGCAGTTAACTAACTCTCTGCGGGATTGGATGCCACTGATCTGTCTAGTAAGGATTTAGCTTAATTAAGGTGTTTGATTTGCATTCTGCTGATGTAAGATAGAGTCTTGTGTCCTTATTTTTCAGGAATTAAGTATGGAGTACTTTCTTAGTCTTTTTTTTTTTTTGTAGAGACGAGGTCTCGCTATGTTGGCCAGGTTGGTCTTGAACTCCTGGCCTCTAGTAATGCCTTGAACTGTCTTGGTCTCTCAAAGTGCTAGGATTACAGGCATGAGTCACCATGCCCAGCCTTAGTGATCTGAAGGTTCTTGGTCTGTCTAAATTAAATTCCTAGTCCAGTGTTGAGAATATTGGTGCAAGTCAGAGGGAAAAAGGTTGATAGTATAACAAGTAATGATAGAAAGAATGTTTTGTATTTTTGAATTGTCTCTTTGTTTTCATGTTGTTGGTTGTTGGGAATATTGTTAATGATGCTCAACATCACTAACAATTGTATATAAAAATGTAAGTTGAATAATGCATGATAACTATAAATTTTGGTATAATAATGCTATTTTGGGGGTTAATTCCAGAATAATGATTAATTTGGGTAAAAATCCTGTAAGTGGTGATTGTAACCCTAAAGATAATAGGATTATAAGGATTGTGGAAGTTATTAGTGATAATTTATTTTATGTATGTGGAAGTGATAATGTTGTGATAGTTGTGTTTAAACTGAATATTATGAATACAGTAATTTTTAGTATAATGTAAATTCGTAGACAAGATTATTGTAATTGATGAATAGGTTAAGTTTTTTTGTCATTGTGTCTGATTTAGTCCTCAGCCTCCTACAAGAATTAATATTATAGCAATGATTGGTATTATGTTTAGGTCAATTGATGATACTTGGAGTAGAATTGAAATTGGTACCCGTTTTGGTCATGTTAATGGGATTATGCCTGATATTAGTGGATTTCCTTCTGTTATTTCTGGGACTCAAAAATGGAATGGGGAGAGTCCAAGTTTTATAACTAGTGCCACAGTAATTATTAGGGATGCTGTTGGGTTGGGGATTTTTATGATTGTTCATTACCCAGAGTATAATGTATTAATAATAATAGCAAGTTATTCAGAAGATTTGGCTAAGGTCATTGATGAAGGTAGCTATGCTAAACAACATTTTCAATGTACATGAAACAGCCTTATATCAGAAGAAGATGCCATCTAGGACTTTCATAGCCAGAGAGGAGAAGTCAATGCCTGGCTTCAAAGCTTCAAAGGACAGGCTGACTCTCTTGATAGGGCCCAATGCAGCAGGTAATTTTAAGGTGAGGCCCATGCATTTACCATTGTGAAAATCCTAGGGCCCTTAAGAACTCTCCTAACTCTACTCAGCCTGTGCTCTATAACTGGAACAACAAAGTCTAGGTGACAGCACATCTGTTTACAGAATGGTTTACTGAATATTTTAAGCACACTTTTGAGACCTTCTGCTCAGAAAAAAAGATTCCTTTTAAAATATTACTGCTCATTGACAATGCACTTGGCCAACCAAGAGCTCTGACAGAGATGTACAAGGAGATTAATGTTATGTTCATGCCTGCTAACACATCCATTCTGCATCCCATGGGTCAAGGGGTCAATTTGACTTTCAAAGTCTTATTATTTAAGATACATTTTGTAAGGCTATAGCTGCCACAGACAGTGACTCCTCTGAGGTATCTGGACAAACTAAATTGAAAACTTTCTGGAAAGCATTCACCATTCTGGATGCTACTAAGAACATTCATGATTCTTGGGGGGAAGTCAAAATATCAACATTAACAGGAGTTTGGAAGAAGTTGATTCCAACCCTCATGGATGACTTTGTTGGGTTTAAGATGTCAGTAGAGAACATAGCTGCATGTGGTGCAAATAGCAAGAGAACTAGAAGTAGAACCTCAAGATGTGACTGAATTGCCAAAGCCACCCCAACTTTCAGCAACCACCACCCTGATCAGTCAGCAGCCATCAACATGGAGGCAACATCCTCTACCAGCAGAAAGATTGACTTGTGGAAGGCTTAGATGATTGTTAGCATTTTTTAGCAATACATTGTTTTAAAATATAGGTATGTGCATTTTTAAGGTCTAATACTATTGCACACTTAATAGACAATAGTATAGTGCAAATATAACTTTTATATGCACTGGGAAGTGAAAGAATTTGTGTGACTCAATTTATTGTGATACTTCTTTATTGCAGTGGTCTGGAACTGAATCCTCAATATCTCTCAAGTATGCCTGTAGTTAGAAACCAACCTGGATTGCTCCTATCTGAATGCATATCACATAGGACTTTAATTGTTAAACAAATGAACAATTAACAATGTTTACGTCAAAGGGATGTTCTGATTCAACATCAAAGTTGTAAATCCTATTGTCAATATGGACTCTAGAATAGGATTACACTGTTATTCCTAGGGTAACTTTTTCTGTTGATTGAATTGTTTGGGTCAGTTGATGATTATGCTACTTCAACTGGATAGGTCTAAGTGTTAATCATTTGGAGGTTATGTTGTGCTCTGAGGTCACCCCAGCTGAAAGTTTTAGTCCAGTAAGTACAGTGTTATGCTTTATAATTGGGTTGTTTGCTTTTATATGGTCTCATTAATTTAACCTTCATAGGGTCATCTTGTCTTATTTTTATATCCTTGCCTCTTCATGTGAAGGCCAATTTCATGGAAAGTAAGAGACAGTTAATCCTTCCTGTGGCCATTCATTCAAGTTCCTATTTAGGGAACCAGTGATTATGTTGCCTTTGCATGGTCAGGAGACCAAAGCTGTTAAACATGTCACTGAGTAGGCAGTGCCTCTAATACTAGGTTGCTAGAGGTGATGTTTCATTAAACAGGTGGCATTTGTGTTTGCTGAGATCCTTTTACTTTTTGAGATCTTTCCTTAGGTGCATGCCTGTGTTGTGTTAATAATTATTTGAATAAACAGTCAATTAATTAATTTAGTTTTCTTTAGTCATTAACTATCAGTGGATATCCGATCTAAGTTTCTGCAAGGAGATTTTGTTTCTTGTTATTTATATTAACAGTATTTCTTCTGGTTATAAATAGGTTAATCAGTAAAATGTTAGGGGCTTATGGAAATAGTTGGGATTAAGATATCAGAATTGCTGGGCTTGAATGAGTTCTTAATTAGTGGCTGGCTACTTTTAAGCCACCTATGACAATTTAATAACTTACACTTTATTAAAAATTATTTCTTGTTTATAAAGAGGTGTCCCTTTTTAGATTAACACTTAAACTTACATTAAGATTAACATTTCTTTAGGTGAATTTAAAGTTGAACTGAAATTCTATTCTGAATAACCAGCTATCACCATATTTGGCTGACTTTTCACCTCTACTCAGGGATTTTCTTACTATTTTTGCTACATTCATGAGTTCTTACAACCATCCATGAGTATCCTGTCTAATTTCAGTGTTTTTAGCTAAAGTTCTCTTTATGAAGTTGTTCTAGTTAATTCATTATGCGAGAAGTATAAGCCATTAGGTTTGCTTTTTAAATTTATCTTTCCCTTATGGTACTTTTTCCATAGCATGTAAAGAAATTTCTGTCTCCTATACTTTTTGTTGTGAGTGAATGTTTTGTTCTAAATAAATATAATTATTACTTTTTGTTTGTGTGTATGTGTGTGTGTATACATGACATAAATGTGAATATACCATTATTTTATGCAATTTATTTTTAACTTAATAATATATTATTGTGGTATGTGTAGGTCTGTACATAGAAGTCTACCTTGTCCATATTAAAGATGACCTAGTCTACTGTATGGATATAATTTATTCTGTGTATTGATGGCATCATAGATTGTTTTCGGTTTTTGCTAGAATAAACAGTGTGACAACATTCTTAGTACTTGACTCTTTGTACACAGGGGAACATTTTTCTCAGATACCTAAAGGTAGAATTGCTGTTCTGAATGGTGTGTACCTTTTCTACTTTAATAACTACCACTGACCCAATTTGCACTCAAACTGAAATTCTGTAAGACTCCCCATTTCCTCCCACCATCACCAATACTAGATAGTATCAGTCTTTTTATTTTTTTGCCAATCTGATGGGTGGTAAATAGTATCTCATTATTCCTTAATTACTAGTAACATTTTGTTGTTTTATGATATATGGTGCTTTTACTCTATATAATTTTGCACCGTTTTAACACTAAGGTTGTATCATAAGCACTTTTTCCCTGTTACTACAATGAATTATTTTCTAGTCTCTGTTGACACACACACACAAGGACATTGCCAATTTTTGTTATTTTTTTGGTCTTAAGACATATTTTGTCAAGGTAGCTATCATGTATCTATTGATAGTATGTAACCTTTGGGGACAAACAGATTTTGTTTTTTGCAAGAGTGATTTAAACAGGTTAAAAAAAGAATCCACAAACCAAGTTTCTTCTCTCTTGATTCCTGTTTCTGTAGCAATTCCAGTGGAACTTGTTAGACAACATCACATATCTCTTCATGAAGTACTGGAGGCTGCTGTCCAATTACTGAGTTGGTGGTTTGCCAGTGGGACATAGACTACATTGGCTTATAGCTATAGGAATCCCAGTTACATTATTTGGTAATGCACTCTGTGGTGGAAATCTTAAATTGACATTCAATCTCCAGATTTCTTCTAGTGTGTCTTCCTATACAGAGCTTGGGGGCTAAACACTATAATTCCCAGAACCCCTTGCAGCTGTTTCTGGATACAAATTAGTTGACATCAATTCCATGTACTGTCTTTAGACTTCAAAGACTGGAGTGTAATGAAGGGCACTTCCTACTGATTCAGCTGTTGAGTTTTGCTGCAGCTGTGGTGTGACGTCCTAGCTCCAGATTTACAGGTGTCAGAGGGTGGTTAGAGTTGTTTTTCTGATCCCTGGAACACAGTGATGGCCATGCACTCTCAAACTCAGGAGATTCAATGGTAAACTCCTGCTTACTCCCCCCCCCCTTTTTTTTATTATACTTAAAGTTCTAGGGTACATGTGCACAATGTGCAGGTTTGTTACATATGTATACATGTGCCATGTTGGTGTGCTGTACCTGTTAACTCGTTATTTACATTAGGTATATCTCCTAATGCTATCCCTCCCCGCTCCCCGCACCCCACGACAGGCCCTGGTGTGTGATGTTCCCCACACTGTGTCCAAGTGTTCTCATTGTTCCCACCTATGAGTGAGATCATGTGGTGTTTGGTTTTCTGTCCTTGCGATAGTTTGCTCAGAATGATGGTTTCTAGCTTCATCCATGTCCCTACAAAGGACAAGAACTCATCCTTTTGGATGGCTGCATAGTATTCCATGGTGTATATGTGCCACATTTTCTTAATCCAGTCTATCATTGATGGACATTTGGGTTGGTTCCAAGTCTTTGCTATTGTGAATAGTGTTGCAATGAACATACGTGTGCATGTGTCTTTATAGCAGCATGATTTATAATCCTTTGGGTATATACCCAGTAATGGGATGGCTGGGTCAAATGGTATTTTTAGTTCTAGATCCTTGAGGAGTCGCCACACTGTCTTCCACAATGGTTGAACTAGTTTACAGTCTGACCAACAGTGTAAAAGTGTTCCTATTTCTCCACATCCTCTCCAGCACCTGTTGTTTCCTGACTTTTTTATGATTGCCATTCTAACTGGTGTGAGATGATATCTCATTGTGGTTTTGATTTGCATTTCTCTGATGACCAGTGATGATGAGCATTTCTTCATGTGTCTGTTGGCTGCATAAATGTCTTTTTTTGAGAAGTGTCTCTTTATATCCTTTGCCCACTTTTTGATGGGGTTGTTTGATTTTTTCTTGTAAATTTGTTTAAGTTCTTTGTAGATTCTGGATATTAGTCCTTTGTCAGTTGGGTAGATTGTAAAAATTTTCTCCCATTCTGTAGGTTGCATGTTCACTCTGATGGCAGTTTCTTTTGCTGTGCAGAAGCTCTTTAGTTTCATTAGATCCCATTTGTCAATTTTGGCTTTTGTTGCCATTGCTTTTGGTGTTTTAGTCATGAAGTCCTTGCCCATGCCTATGGCCTGAATGGTATTTCCTAGGTTTTCTTCTAGGGTTTTTATGGTTTTAGATCTACCATTTAAGTCTTTAATCCATCTTGAAATAATTTTTGTATAAGGTGTAAGGAAGGCATCCAGTTTCAGCTTTCTACATGTGGCTAGTCAGTTTTCCCAGCACCATTTATTAAATAGGGAATCCTTTCCCCATTTCTTGTTTTTGTCAGGTTTGTCAAAGATCAGATGGTTGTAGATGTGTGGTGTTATTTCTGAGGGCTCTGTTCTGTTCCATTGGTCTATATCTCTGTTTTGGTACCAGTACCGTGCTGTTTTGGTTACTGTAGCCTTGTAGTATAGTTTGAAGTCAGGTAGCGTGATGCCTCCAGCTTTGTTCTTTTTGCTTAGGATTGTCTTGGCAATGTGGGCTCTTTTTTGGTTCCATATGAACTTTAAAGTAGTTTTTTCCAATTCTGTGAAGAAAGTCATTGGTAGCTTGATGGGGATGGCATTGAATCTATAAATTACCTCGGGCAGTCAGCCAATATCATACTGAATGGGCAAAAACTGGAAGCATTCCCTTTGAAAACTGGCACAAGACAGGGATGCCCTCTTTCACCACTCCTATTCAACATAGTATTGGAAGTTTTGGCCAGGGCAATCAGGCAAGAGAAAGAAATAAAGGGTATTCAGTTAGGAAAAGAGGAAGTCAAATTATCCCTGTTTGCTGATGACATGATTGTATATCTAGAAAACCCCATCGTCTCAGCCCAAAATCTCCTTAAGCTGATAAGCAACTTCAGCAAAGTCTCAGGATACAAATTCAATGTGCAAAAATCACAAGCATTCCTATACATCTATAACAAACAAACAGAGAGCCAAATCTGAGTGAACTCCCATTCACAATTGCTTCCAAGAGAATAAAATACCTAGGAATCAAACTTACAAGGGATGTGAACGACCTCTTCAAAGAGAACTACAAACCACTGCTCAACAAAGTAGAAGAGGACACAAACAAATGGAGGAACATTCCATGCTCATGGATAGGAAGAATCAATATTGTGAAAATGGCCATACTACTCCCCCTTCTTATTATGACCCAGGAACAGTTCTCCTGGAAGAACAGTTGAGCAGTGTCATTCTGTGAGTGATTCTTGGAGGCCCAGCCGAGTTTGTTTCCCAACCTTCAATTATGTAAGTACCTAATTCCCTGTACTAAATACCTTCTGCTTAAAGTGGAGTACTTCCTATTTCCCACAACTGAACCCTGACTGGTATCATTTCTGTTCTTATAACCACATTTGAAATATACTACTACATAGAAAATATCATGTATTTTTTTCTCCTCTCTGACAAAAGCAAGCATTACTTTATAATTTTTAGGTATACATTGGTAAGGTGTTTACACATTTGGGCAAAATGCCAATATTATTTTGCAATTTGTACACAAAATAACACCCATAAGTATGCTATACCTATTTAAAATTATTTTTCTATAAAACATAATTGCAAAGTTCTAGGAAGATTAAAATAAGAAAAAAGTCCCTCATAATCCTGATATACATATTTGAGGATTATATTCACAGATAGATAGAAGAATGATAGATGATAGCTATCTAGAGAAGCACATGGTAGAATTGTTAGGAGAATAAGGACGTGGTGTCAGACAACCTTAGTTCAAATCTTGGCTCCAACACTTGCCAGCAGCATGTGTTTGATAAGTTTTTTTCTTTTTCTTTTTTTTGAGACAGAGTCTTACTCTGTTTCCCAGGCTGGAGTGCAATGTTACTATCTCGGCTCACTGCAGCCGCCACCTCCCAGGTTTTAGCGATCCTTCCACCTCAGCCTCCCGAGTAGCTGGGACTACAGGTGCTCACCAGCATGCCCAGCTAATTTTTGTGTTTTTAGTAGAGATGGGGTTTCACCATGTTGGTCAGGCTGGTCTCAAACTCCTGGCCTCAAGTGATCCACCTGCCTCGGCCTCCCAACTTATTGGGATTATAGGCATGAGACACCACACTCAACTGTGTTTGGGTAAATTTGTAATCTCTCCATGGCTGTTTTCTCATCTATAAAATGGGGGTAATCTTAGCACCCAACTTGTATAGTTATTATATAAAAGAGAATATATTTAAAGTTCTTAGCATAATGCCTGGCATATGTAGCTCAAATAATTAACTGTCATAGGAACAGGTATGTGATTATCTTTTTTTGCATGATTTACTCAGAAAATACAAGACTATTAGTCCAAAGATTCTTAAACTTTCCTTCAAGGAAGTGATACTTCTTGATTTCTGCTTTTAGTTATTTCTACATATAATTTCATATAATCTATGGTACATTGGCTGTCTTCCTCAAAGACTCATCCAAGGAATACTAGATAATAAATGACCTTCAAATGTATTCAAAACTTGCCAGTACTTGCTAATTCTCTACAAGTTATATTTAAGAACTGAACAGTGTTGATCCTACTTTGGGTTTGTATTAAATTGCTTGATGTTGGTTTGGGGACCAGTGGACTTTAGAACTAAGTATAACCTGTGAGTACACAGAGGAAAGTGGAAACCTAGATTCTGCCTTTACTGTCCCCAGAGATGGCTGTGTCCAAAGATGAACACAGACTAAATTCAGAAAACATGTTCATCTTTAAAGGAAGAATTACCATTGAAAAACCAAAAGGTGGCCGGGCGCGTTGGCTCACACCTGTAATCCCAGCACTTTGGGAGGCCGAGGCGGGCGGATCATGAGGTCAGGAGATCGAGACCATCCTGGCTAACATGGTGAAACCCCGTCTCTACTAAAAATACAAAAAATTAGCCGGGCATGGTGGCGGGCACCTGTGATCCCAGCTACTCGGGAGGCTGAGGCAGGAGAATGGCGTGAACCTGGGAGACGGAGCTTGCAGTGAGCCGAGATCGTGCCACTGCACTCCAGCCTGGGCGACAGAGCAAGACTCCACCTCAAACAAAAAAAGAAAGAAAGAAAGAAAGAAAAACCAAAAGGTTAGAGAGAACCCCAGGTTGCTGGGGAATCAGGAGCCCATTGTTCTAGCAGAGGCTCTCACAGAACAGAGGAGCGACCTCAGGCAAGCCATGAACTTTCCCTAGTGTCAGAATCTCATTTGTGAAGTGAAGGAACTGGTTTGGATGGTACTATTTCCCAATGGCTGGCTCACTTATCAAAAAGAAGAACTTTCCTGAATAATTGGCAACTGAGAAAGCAAAGTTGTAAAAGGTTTATTATCATAACAGTTTTAATTCAGATATGACAGTGTTATAATAGAAATACAGGCCAGATAGAGTGGCTCACACCTGTAATCCCAGCACTTTGGGAAGTCAAGGTGGGCAGATCCCTTGAGCCCAGGAGTTTGAAACCAACCTGGGCAACAGAGCAAGACCTTGTCTCTACAAGGACTAAAAAAATTAGCCAGGCATGACGGTGCATGCCTATAGTCCCAGCTATATGCACGTTATAGGCTGAGGCGGGAGGATCACTTCAGCCCAGAAGGTCGAGGCTGCAGTAAGCTATGATTGTGTCACTGCACTCTAGCCTGAGCAACAGAGAAAGACCTTGTCTCAAAAATTAAAAAAGAAAAAGAAAAAGAAAAAGAAATACTATGAGAAAATTGTCTGTATTAGAAGATATTAAGTTGAGATATTCATATTTGCCTATACTCAGATATTGCATTGTCAAATACAGTTTTTGTATAGTAAGAATCAAAGACTGGCAACTGTGTATGGCTAGGTGGATTATCTTGGTTTTGGGGCCTGGGGACCAGAAATTTACTTTTTAAACAGGTTTTTAAAAAAAATTTAGACACTTTGGCTGGGTGAGATGGCTCACGCCTGTAATTACAGCACTTTGGGAGGCTGAGGTGGGTGGACCACCTGAGCTCAAGAGTTTTAGATCAGCCTGGCCAACACGGCAAAACTCCGATTCTACTAAAAATACAAAAATTAGCCAGGTGTGGTGGCGTGCACCTGTAATCCCAGCTATTCAGGAGGCTGAGGCAGGAGGATCATTTGAGCCCAGGAGGTCGAGGCTGCAGAGCTGACATGGCACCACTGCACTCTAGCCTGGGTGACAGAGGGAGACCCCCTCAAAAGAAACCCCTTACCCATTAGTTGTCATTCACATTTTTTCCCAATTCCCTAGTCTTAAGCAAAAACAAACCTTTCTGTTTCTATAGATTTGCATATGTTGGACATTTTATATAAGTTAAAAATATACAGTAATATAACACAAATATTCCCCTTATTTTCCTCTAGTATTTTAAAAACTTCTTTTAAAAATTTACTATGTTTAATTAACACATTGTAATTGTGCATATTTAAGGGGCAAAATTTGATGTTTCCATAAATGTATATGTTGTATAGTGATCAAATCAGGGTATTTAACATACCCATCACTGCATGCATTTATCATTTCTTTGTGGTGAGAACATTCAAAAGCCTCTCTTCTAGTTATTTTGTAATATACAATACCTTACCGTTTACTATAAGTCACTCTACTGTGTAACAGAACACTGGAACTCATTTCTTCCATCTAATTGTCACTTTGTTTCCATTGACCAACCTCTTTGCCTTCTCCGCCTTCACCTCCCTTCCCCAGGCTATGGTAACTACTGTTCTACTCTCTGCTTCTATGATAGCAACTCTTTCATTTTTTAGATTTCACCTGAGTGAGGTCATGAGGTATTTTTCTTTCTGTGTCTGGCTTGTTTCACTTAACCTGATGCCCTCCAGGCTCATCCACGTTGTCCCAAATGGCAGGATTTCATTCTGTTTTATGACTGAAAGTTCTCCATTGTGTATACAAACCACGTTTTCTTAATCCATGCCTCTATTGTTGGACACTTGGGTTGATTTCATAACTTGGCTGTTACATATAGTGCTGCAATAAACATGGTAGTGCAGATATCTCTTTGATAGACAGATTGCATTTCTTTTGGATATACACCCAGTAGTTGGAGTGCTGGATTGCATTGTAGTTCTATTTTTAATTTTCTTTTCTTTTTGAGACAGGTCTCACTCTGTTGCCCAGGTTAGAGTTCAGTGGTGTGATCACGGCTCACTGCAGCCTCCACCTACTGATTCTCAAGCAATCCTCCTGTCTCAACCTCGTGAGTAGCTGGGACTACAGGCCAGCACCACCATGCCTGGCTAATTTTTTTGTATTTTTTGTAGAGATGGCCATGTTGCCCAGGCTGGTCTCAAACTCCTGGGCTCAAGTGATCTTCCCGCCTCAGCTTTCCACAGTGCTGGGATTACAGGTGTGAGCCACCACATCCAGCCTATTTTTAATTTTTTGAGGAATCTCCATCCTATTTTCCAGAGTGGCTGTACTAGTTAACAATTCCACTAACAGTGTTTAAATGTTTCCTTTTCTCCACGTCCTCACCAACACTTATTTTCTTTCATCTTTTTGGTAATAGCCATTCTAACTGGAGTGAAGTGGTATCTCTTTGTGGTTTTGATTCACATTTCTCTGATAATTAGTGATGTTGAGCATTTTTTCATGTGCCTGTTGGCTATTTGTATATGTTCTTTTAAGAAATGTCTATTGGCCGGGCGCGGTGGCTCACGCCTATAATCCCAGCACTTTGGGAGGCTGAGGTGGGCGGATCACCTGGTTAACATGGTGAAACCCCCTCTTTACTAAAAATACAAAAAATTAGCCAGGCGTAGTGGCACGCACCTGTAGTCCCAGCTACTTGGGAGGCTGAGGCAGGAGAATCCCTTCAATCTGGGAGGTGGAGGTTGCAGTGAGCCGAGATAGTGCCACTGCACTCCATCCTGGGTGACAGAGCGAGACTCCGTCTCAAAAATAAATAAATAAATAAATAAAAAGAACTGTCTATTAAAGTTTTCTAATTTTTTATTGGTTTAATTTTTACACTAAATATTTATCTCATTTGGCATCTATTTTGAAAAAAGACATGAGTAGGCATGTGTAATTAATATACATGCTTAAATCTGTTTCTAGTCTTTCTGTTCTCTTCATTGATGTGTCCTCTATCCAGTAGCACTATGGTATTATTTATTTTATTTCATTTGTTTTTGTCTCACAGTGTAACTTCATTTACATAGATAAAACTATGCTATGCCATTGAAGGACGCACACACATATGTTAAAAGTGGAAACTAATGGAAGAAAATATTAATCACAAAATTCAGGACAGTAGTCACTTCTTAGAGTGATGGTGAGGTTGTAAATTAGGAGGCGCCATGGCTTGCTACTGGGGTGCTACTAAAGTTTTATTTACTAACCTGGGGGAGGTTACTCAGAGGCTCACCTTAAAATAGCTTTTTACACTCCACATATGTTTTTCTAAAAAATTATTACTATATAATATAATATTTGTCCATTTTTATGGGGTACATGTAGTATTTTGTTATATGTATAAAATGTGTAATGATCAAGTTAGGGTATTTAGGGTATCCATCATCCATAGAAATTTATCATTTCTATGTGTTGGGAACATTTCAAGTCTTCCATTCCAGTTATTTTGAAATATCCAACACACTGTTGTTATCTATAGTCACCTTACACTAATTGGAACTTATTCCTTCTATCTAACTGAGCTTTTGTACACATTAACCAACCTCTCTTCATTCCACCCCCAACCCCACACCCTTCCCTGCCTCTGGTAACTTTTTTTTTTTTTTTGAGATGGAGTGTCACTCTGTTGCCCAGGCTAGAGTGCAGTGGCACGATCTTGGTTCACTGCAGTCTCCGCCTCCCAGGTTCAAGCAATTCTCCTGCCTCAGCCTCCTGAGTAGCTGGGACTAGAGGCACCTGCCACCACACCAGCTAATTTTTTTGTGTGTGTTTTTAGTAGAGATGGGGTTTCACCATATTGGCCAGACTGGTCTTGAACTCCTGACCTTGTGATCTGCCCACCTCAGCCTCCAAAAGTGCTGGGATTACAGATGTGAGCCACTGTGCCTGGCCTCTGGTAACTATTATTCAATACTCTGGTAATTATTATTCTACTCTCTGCTTCCGTGAGATCAACTCTTTTAGCTCCCACATGAGTGAGAACATGCAATATTTGTTTTTCTGTGCCTGGCTT
Organism: Homo sapiens; assembly: GCF_000001405.40. NCBI lineage: Eukaryota > Metazoa > Chordata > Mammalia > Primates > Hominidae > Homo > Homo sapiens. The sequence continues at coordinate 93,947,250 of NC_000001.11, forward strand.
ATTTCACTTAACATAATGACCTTTAGTCCCATCCATGTTGTTACTGCCAATGACATGATTTCATTCTTTTTTAACTTCTGCAATAAACATGGGGGTGCAGGTAACCCTTTGGTATACTGATTTCCTTTCCTTTGGATAAATACCCAGTAGAGGGATTGCTGAATTGTATTGTATGGTAGTTCTGTTTCTGTTTTTTGAGAAATCTCCATACTGTTTTCCATAATGGCTGTACTAATTTACATTCCCACTAACACTGTATAGTAGTTCCTTTTTCCCCGCATTCTTGCCAGCATCTGTTATTTTTTTGTTTTTAAAATAATAGCCATTCTAACTGGGGTGAGATAATATCTCATTATGGTTTTGATTTGCATTCCCTTGATGATTAGTGGAATTGTGCATTTTCATGTACTTCCTGGCCATTTGTATTCTTCTTTTCAAAGATTTCTGTTCATGTACTTTGCCTGCTTTTTAACGGTATTACTAGGGTTTTGTTTTGGTTTTTTTTTTTTTTTTGCTTTTGAGTCATTTGAGTTCCTTGTTTATTCTTGATATTAGTTCCTTATCAAATATTAGTTCCAGTAGTTTGCAAATATTTTCTCCCATTTTGGGTCTCTTTACTCTGTTGATTGTTTCCTTTGCTTTTTACCTTAATATAGTCCCATTTATCTGTTTTTAGTTTTGTTGCATGCCTTTTGAGGACTTAGCCATAAAATCTTTGCCCAGACCAGTGTTCTGTAGGGTTTCCCTTATGTTTTCTTTATAGTAATTTCATAATTTTGGGTCTTACATTTAGGTCTTTAATTCACTTTCAGTTGATTTTTGCATATGGTGAGAGGTAGAGGTCTAGTTTAATTCTTCTCCAAATGAATATTCAGTTTTCCCAGCACAATTTATTGAAGAGGGTATCCATTCCTTAATGTGTGGTCTTGGTGCTTTGTGAAAAATTCATTGGCTATAAATATGTGGATTTACATCTGGGTTCTCTATTCTGTTCCATTGGTCTATGTGCCTATTTTTACACCAATACCATGCTGTTTGGTTACAATAGGATTGTAATATATTTTGAACTCAGGCAGTGTGATGCCTCCAACTTTGTTATTTTTGCTCAGGATTGCTTTGACTATTCAGGCTCTTTTTTTGTTCCATACAAATTTTGGAATTGTTTTTTTCTGTTTCTGTGAAAAATGACATTGGTATTTTGATAGAGATTGCATTAAATCTGTAGATTGCCTTGGGCAGTATGGTTATTTTAACCATATTAAGTGTTCTGATCCATGATCATGAGATATCTTTCCATTTGTTTGTGTCATTGTCAATTGATTTCATCAACGTTTTGTAGAGTTTGTTCACTTCTTTGGTTAAATGTATGCCTAGCTATTTTATTTTTATTTTTTTTTTGTAGTTACTGTAAATGGAATTGTTTTCTTGCTTTCTTTTTCAGCTATTTCATTATTGGTGTATAGGAACAATATTGATTTTTGTCTGTTGATTTTGTATCTTTTCTATAACTTTACTGAATTTGTTTATGAGATCTAAGAGTTTTTTGGTGGAGTCCTTAGGGTTTTTTAGACATAAGATTATGTTATTTGTAAAGAGGGGCAATTTGAATTCTTCTTTTCCAATTTGGATGCCACTTGTTTCTTTCTCTTGCCCAGTTGCTCTGGCTAGCACTTCTAATACTATTTTAAATAGGAGCAGTGAAAGTGGGCATCCTTGTCATGTTTCAGTTCTTAGAGGAAGGTCTCTCAGCTTTTCCTCATTTACTGTTATATTAGCTGTGAATTTCTCATTTATTATTGTATTAGTCCATTTTCACACTGCTATAAAGAATACCTGAGACTAAGTAATTTATAAAGAAAAGAGGTTTAACTGACTCACAGTTCTGCATGGCCGGGGAGGTCTCAGGAAACTTACAATCATGGTGAAAGGTGAAGGGAAAGCAAGGCACATCTTACATGGTGGCAGAGGAGGGAGAGGGCAAGGGGTGAATTGCCAAACACTTTTAAACCAATAGATCTCATGATAACTCACTCACTATCATGAGAACTGCATGGGGGAAACTGCACCCATGATCCAATCACTTTTCACCAAGTCCCTCCCTTGATAAGTGGGGATTACAATTTGAGATGAGATTTGAGTAGGGGCACAAAGCCAAACCATATCATTCTGCCCCAGGCCTCTCCCAAGTATCATGTCCTTCTCACATCTCAAAACATAATCATGTCTTCCCAACAGTCTCCCAAAGTCTTAACTCATTCCAGCATTAACCCAAAAGCCCAAGTCCAAAGTCTCATTTGAGACAAGGCAAGTCCCTGCTGCCTGTGAGCCTGTAAAATAAAAAAAAAGTTTTTCCTTCCAAGATACAATGGGGGTACAGGCATTGGGTAAATATTCCTGTTCTAAATGGGAGAAATTGGCCAAAACAAAGGGACCATACCCCATGCAAGTCCAAAACCCGGCAGGGTGCTCATTAAATCTTAAAGCTATAATCTCCTTTCACTCCGAGTCTCACACCCAGGCACATTGATGCAATGGGTGGGCTCCCAAGGCCTTGGGCAGCTCCACCCTTGTGGTTCTGCAGGGTACATCCCCCATGGATACTTTCAGGGGCTGGTATTGAGTGCCTGAGGCTTTTCCAGGTACATGGATGAGCTGTCAGATCTACCATTCTGGGGTCTGGAGGATGGTGGCCCTCTCCTCACAGTTCCACTAGGCAGTGCCCCAGTTGGGACTCTGTGGGGGTGCTCCAACCACACATTTCCCCTGTGCATTGCCCTGTTAGAGGGTCTTCATGAGGGCTCTGACCCTGCAGCAGACTTCTGCCTGGACAACCAGGTGTTTCCATATATTCTTTGAAATCTAGGTGGAGGCTGGCATGCCTCAACTCTTGTCTTCTGTGCACCTGCAGGACCAACACCATGTGGAAGCCATCAAGGCTTGGGGATTGCACCCTCTGAAACCATGGCCTGAGCTGTACCTTGGCTCCTTTTAGCCATGGCTGGAGCTGAAGTGGCTAGGACTCAGGGCACCAAGTCCTAAGTCTTCACAGAGCAGTTGGGCCCTGGGTCCAGCCCACTAAACCATTTTTCCCTCCTAGGCCTCCAGACCTATGATGGGAAGGGCTGCTATGAAGATCTCTGACATAGCCCTGGAGACATTTTCCCCATTGTCTTAGCTATTAATATTCAGCTCCTCATTACTTATGCAAATTTCTTCAGCTAGCTTGAATTCCTCCCTAGAAAATGGGTTTTTCTTTTCTACCTCATGGTCAGGCTGCAAATTTTCCAAACTTTCATGCTTTGTGTCCCTTTTAAATAGAAGTTCCAGTTTCAGATAATCTCTTCATAAACACATATGACTGAACAATTTCAGAATCAGCCAGGTCACCTCTTGAATGCTTTGCTCCTTAGACATTTCTTCTGCCAGATACCCTAAATCATCTCTCTCAAGTTCAAAGTTCTATAGATCTCCAGGACAGGGACAAAATGCCACCAGTCTCTTTGCTAAAGCATAGCAAGGTGACCTTTACTCCCATTCCCAATAAGTTCCTCATCTCTGAGACCACCTCAGCCTGGACTTCATTGTCCATATCACTATCAGCATTTTGGTCAAAACCATTCAATAAGTCCCTAGGAAGTCTCAAACTTTCCCACATCTTCCTGTCTTCTTCTGAGCCCTCCAAACTGTTCCAACCTCTGCCCATTATCCAGTTCCAAAGTCATTTCCACATTTTCAGTTCTCTTTATTTCTGTACCCATCTCTCAGTACCAATTTTCTATATTAGTCCATTTTCACACTGCCATAAAGAATAGCTGAGACTGGGTAATTTATAAAGAAAAGAAGTTTAATTAGCTCACATTTCTGCATGGCTGGGGAGGCCTCAGGAAACTTACAATCATGGGGGAAGGTGAAGGGGAAGCAAGGCACATCTTACATGGTGGCAGGAGAGAGAGAGAGCAAGGGGGGAACTGCCAAACACTTTTAAACCATCAGATCTCATGATAACACATTCATTATCATGAGAACAGCATGGAGCAAATTGCCCCCATGATCCAATCACTTCCTACCAGGTACCTCCCTCGATACGTGGGGATTACAATTTGAGTTGAGATTTGAGTGGGGACACAAGGCCAAACCATATCATTAATGTTGAGGTATATTCCTTCTATGCCTAGTTTGTTGAGAGTTTTTATCATGAAGGGATATTGGATTTTGTCAAGTGCTCTTTTTTTTTTGCATCTGTTGAGACAATCATAGTTTTTGTCCTTCATTCTGTTGATATGATGTAATTACATTTATTGATTTGCATATGTTGTACTATTCTTGCATCCCTGGGATAAATCCCACTTGACTGTGGGGTATAATATCTTTTGATGTACAATTTGCTAGTATTTTTTTGAAAATTTTTGATCAGTGTTCATCAGGGACATTTATTGGGCAAAATTCAGCCCCGATATTTCATGTAGGTTATTTTCTATTTTCCCTAAGTGTCGGCCGGTCTGAGAAATAAAGGGAAAGAGTACAAAAGAGAGAAATTTTAAAGCTGGGTGTCCAGGGGAGACATCACATGTCGGCATGTTCTGTGATGCCCCTTGAGCCGTAAAACCAGCAAGTTTTTATTAGTGGTTTTCAAAAGGGGAGGGAGTGTACGATTAGGGTGTGGGTCACAGAGATCACATGCTTCACAAAGTAATAAGATATCACAAGGTAAATTGAGGCAGGGAGAGATCACAGGACCACAGGACTGGGGTGAAATTAAAATTGCTAATGAAGTTTCGGGCACGCATTGTCATTGATAACATCTTATCAGGAGACAGGGTTTGAGAGCAGACAACTGGTCTGACTAAAATTTATTAGGCAGGAATTTCCTCGTCCTAATAAGCCTGGGAGCGCTACGGGAGACTAGGGCTTATTTCATCCCTCCACTACGACCGTAAAAGACAGCCGTCCCCAAAGTGGCCATTTCAGAGGCCTCCCCTCAGGGGCGTATTCTCTTTCTCAGGGATGTTCCTTGCTGAGAAAAAGAATTCAGCGATATTTCTCCCATTTGCTTTTGAAAGAAGAGAAATATGGCTCTGTTCCACCCGGCTCACCAGCAGTCACAGTTTAAGGTTATCTCCCTTGTTCCCTGAACATTGCTTTTATCCTGTTCTTTTTTCAAGGTGCCCAGATTTCATATTGTTCAAACACACATGCTCTACAAACAATTTGTGCAGTTAACGCAATCATCACAGGGTCCTGAGGCGACATACATCCTCCTCAGCTTACAAAGATGATGGGTTTAAGAGATTAAAGTAAAGACAGGCATAGGAAATCACAGGGGTATTGATTGGGGAAGTGATAAGCGTCCATGAAATCTTCACAATTTATGTTCAGAGATTGCAGTAAAGACAGGCATAAGAAATTATAAAAGTATTAATTTGGGGAACTAATAAATGTCCGTGAAATCTTCACAATTTATGTTCTTCTGCCATGGCTTCAGCTGGTCCCTCCATTCGGGGTCCCTGACTTCCTGCAATAGATATTGGCCTCTGGTTTTCTTTTTTTGTTGTGTCTTTGTCTGGTTTTGGTGTCAGGTTGATGCTGGCCTCCTAGAATGAGTTAGAGAGAATTCCTTCCTCTTTAATTTTTTTGAATAGTTTGAGGACAATAGGTGTTAGGTCTTTATAAATTTGGTAGAATTTGGCAATGAAGCCTTCAGATCCTGGGCTTTTCTTTGTTGGGAGTCTTTTTATTATGGATTCAACCTTGTTACTCATTATTGGTCTGTTCAGGTTTTCTATTTCTTTCTAATTCAATCTTGGTAGGTTGTATATGTCTAGTAATTTATCGATTTCCTCTAGTTTTTCTAATTTGTTAGCATATAGTTGTTCACAATAGTCTCTGATGATCTTTTATATTTATATGTTATCAGTTGTTATGTCTCTTTTTTCATTTCTGATTTTGTTTATTTGGATCTTCTCTCTTTTTTCTTGGCTAGTCTAGCTACTGGCTTATCAATTTTATCTTTTTAAAAAACCCAGCTTTTTGTGTCACTAATTCTTTGTGCTTTTTAAGTCTCTATTTTATTTCTACTCTGATCTTTATTATTTCTTTTACTAATTTTGGGTTTGGCATGTTCTTGCTTTTCTAATTCCTTTAGGTATATTGTTAGATTGCTTATATGAAATCTTTTTACAGCTGGGTACAATGGCTCACGCCTGTAATCCCAGCACTTTGAAAGGCCGAGGTGGGCAGATCATTTGAGGTCAGGAGTTCAAGACCAGCCTGGCCAACATGGTGAAATCCTGCTTCTACTAAAAGTACAAAGATTAGCCAGGTGTGGTGGCGAGCACCTGTAGTCCCAGCTACTTGGGAGTCTGAGGCAGGAGAATCGCTTGAACCTGGGAGGTGGAGTTTGCAGTGAGCCAAGATCACGCCACTGAACTCCAGCCTGAGTGACAGAGTGAGACTCTGTCTCAAAAAAAAAAAAAAAAAAAAAGAAATCTTTTTACTTCTTTGATGTAGGTGTTCATTGCTAATTGCTATATACTTCCTTCTTAGCACTTCTTTTGCTGTATCCCATAGGTTTTGGTATGTTTTATTTCTATTTTTATTTGTTTCAAGAATTTTTTTATTCCCTTCCTAATTTATTCACTGAGCCAATGGTCATTCAGGAGCATGTTGCTGAGTTTCCATGTATTTGTATAGTTTCCAAAATTCTTCTTTTTATTGATTTCTAGTTTTGTTCCATTGTGTTCTGAGAATATTCTTGGTATAATTTCAATTTTTTAAAAATGTATTGAGACTTGTTTTGTGGCCTAACACATAGCCTATCCTGAAGAATGTGCCATGTGCTGATGAGAAGAATGTATGTCCTGCGGCTGTTGGATAAAATGTTCTTTAGATGTCTTTTAGGTCTATTTGGTCTAAAGTGCAGTTTAAATCTAAAGTCTTTTTGTTGATTTTCTGTCTAGATGATCTGTCCAGTGCTGACAATGAGGTGTTGAAGTCTGCAGCTTTTATTGTTTTGGAGTCTATCACTCTCCTCAGGTCTAATATTTGCTTTATATATCTGGGTGCTCTGGTGGTGGCTACATAAATATTTAGAATAGTTTTTTTTTTTTGCAAAATTGATCCCTTTATCCTTATATAATGACCTTCTTTGTCTCTTTTTACTGTTTTTGACTTAAAGTCTGTTTTATCTGATATAACTATTCCTGCTTGCTTTTGGTTTGTGTGGAATCTGTCTAGTTCTTTAAAAAAATTTTTTTAAATTTTTATTTCTTGTAGACAGGTCTCACTATGTTGCCCAGGCTTGTCTTGAATTCCTGGCCTCAAGGGATCCTCCTGCCTTGGCCTCCCGAAGTGCTAGGATCATAGGCATGAGCCACCACACCCAGCCTTTTTCTATTTCTTTACTTTCAGTCTATATGCCTTTACAGGGAAGTGAGCTTCTTGTAGACAGCATATAGGTGGGTCACATTTTTTATATCCATTTAGTAGTCTATCCTTTATGTGGAAAATGTAATCTGTTTACATTCAAGGTTATTATTGATATGTGAGGACTTAATTCTATCACTTTGTTCATTGTTTTCTGGTTATTTTGCATATCCTGTGTTTCTTTCTTTCTCTCTTGTTTATCATTGAAGTTTGGTGGTTTTCTGTAGTGATAAAATTTTGAGTCCTTTCTCTTCTTCATTTGTCTGTGTTCACTGCACCAGTGAGTTGTATACTTTGGCGTGTGTGTGTTTTTTTTATTTTTGAGTTGGAGTCTCACTCTGTCACCCAGGCTGGAGTGCAGTGGTGCGATCTCGGCTCACTGCAAGCTCCGCCTCCTGGGTTCACGCCATTCTTCTGCATCAGCCTCCCAAGTAGCTGGGACTACAGGCACCCACCACCATGCTTGGCTAATTTTTTTTTTTTTTTTTTGTATTTTTAGTAGAGATGGGGTTTCACTGTGTTAGCCAGGATGGTCTCGATCTCCTGACCTTGTGATCCACCCGCCTCGGCCTCCCAAAGTGCTGGGATTATAGGTGTGAGCCACCACACCTGGCCTTTGGTGTGTTTTCATGATGGTACTTATGGTTTGAGTTTTGTTTTTGTTTTTGCTTACAGGTATAGGACTCCCTTAACCATTTCTTGCAGGTTTGGCCTAGTGGTCATATGGTTGTTGTTGTTGTTGTTTTCTGGGAAAGACTTTATTTCTCCTTCATTTATGAAATGTAACTTGGCTAGGTATAGCAAAGTTTTTTGTGTTGTTGTTGTTGTTTTGGCTTGGCTGAAGGTTCCTTTTTTCTTTCAGCACTTTGAATATATCAACCCATTGTCTCCTGGCCTGTAAGGTTTCTGCTGAGAAATCTACTGTTAGTCTAATGGGGATTTCCTTATATGTGACTAAATGCTTTTCTCTTGCTGTTTTTAGAATTCTCTCTGCCTTTGAATTTTGGTGGTTTGATCATAATGAGCCATGAAGAAGACCTTTTTAGATTGTATCTATTTGGGGATCTCTCAGCTTCCTGTATCTGGATGTTTAAGTCTCTTGCTAGACTTCAGAAGTTTTCAGTTGTAATTTCATTAGAAAGGTTTTTTATGCCTTTAGTCTTCTCTTTACCTTTTGGATTACTCAAAATTTGTATATCTGGTCGCTTTATGGTGTCCTATATGTCATGTAGATTTTGTTCATTTTAAAAAATTAGTTTTTGTCTGAATGGGTTATTTCAAAAGACCTGTCTTGAAGTTCTGAGATTCTTTCTTCTGCTTGCTCTAGTCTATTGTTGAAGCTGTGGAAGGAATTTTTTATTTCATTCATTAAATTCTTCAGTTCCAGGATTTCTGTTTGGTTCTTTTTTATGATATCTATCTCTCTGGTGAATTTCTCATTCAATTCTGAATTGTTTTTCTGATTTTTTTGTATTGTTTATGTTCTCTTGTATCTCACTGAACTTCTTTAATATCATTATTTTGAATTATGTTTCTCGTGTTTTATAAATTGCTTTTTCATTGGAATCTGTTATTGGAGAATTATTGGTGGTGCCATGTTTCCTTGTTTTTTTTTCATGTTTCCTGTGTTCTCATGTTGATATTTGCCCATCTTGTGTAACAGTAGCTTCTTCCAATTTTTTGGATTGACCTTCATTGGGGACACATCCCAAAGATGTGTCTATGGTATTGGTTAAGTGGGACACTTTAGCTTTGCTTCTGGATACATGAAGTAGTGTAGTCTTCATGTGATTTCTTCAGCTGTAAACAGTGTCAGTGGTGTCTGTGATTTCCTCAGTGGCTTAGAGTGTGGTTATTCATGGAGGCAGTGATAAGGTTTTGCTGGGGACAAACCTGAGGACCTGGGATACCAGGTAGGCTGGTCCTTAGGCTCCAGTCATGGCAGTGGCTGGCTGAGCATGCCTGTCCTTGGGTCCCTGGGGAGTATACACCGGCACTAGTGTTAACAGGTCTCAACAGGCCAATTCTTGGGCCTCCAGATGGCTTGCTTGGGTGATGGCAATGGCAGTGGGAGGCCAGGCAGGTTCATGGATCCTCTGGGCAGTGTGCATGGTGTGGGTGATGGCAGTAGCAGTGATGGCAGTAGCTGCTTGGGCTCCAAAGCAACATGTGTTGGTGTTTGCAGTGGCTGCAGCAGGCTGGATGGGCCAGTCTCCAACCCCTCAGGTAGTATATGCAGTGGGTGCTGGCTGTGGTGGTAGTGGCAAGTTGGGTGGGCCTATCCTCAGGCCCCCAGGAAGAATGCACAGATGCCAGTGGTGGTCAACAGGCCCCCAGGCAGTGTGCTCGGGTACGGGGGTGCATGTGGTACCAAGCCAGGTGGGACTGTCCTCAGGCTCCCTGCTGGTATGCTCAGGTGCTGGCTGTGATGAGTAGGGTGGGGTGATCCCCACACACCCCCTCCCTTGCTAGAAGATGCACATACATGTTTTACTTACTCTTTCTGGAAAGATGATATGTTTAATAATTTAAGAATATTTTTAGAAGTTCTTACTGTCCTATGAGTACCCTTTAAGTATGTATGTAGGGAAAATTTCTTAAAAAGCCAAAGGTATGGATCCTTAAACTTAGAAAGTTTCAGTGCCATCAATATAAATGTTATGCTGTGCTGAGCATTCACAGTTCACAGAAGCAGAAGGTCTATGAGGGTGTTTGTTCAAAATCTTCAAGCCATAGCTTGCAACTTCCTCTCCTCTGTTACACCAGATGGGCAAATATCAACATGAGGACACAGGAAACATGAAAAAAACAAGGAAACATGGCACCACCACAACACATTCAGTCTTTCAAGTCAGGCCTTCACAATGTCCCTTCCATACTTCCTTTCTGCTCTTTCTAATGCCCACATTCCAATTTAGGTAGGCACTGCCTTGTGCTTGGATCTTGCCACCCCTTCTGCCTGGCCTGAGAAGCTTTTTCTGACCTGTCTTGACCATGCTTACTACCAAATGTAAATGCCATTAATACTGCAAATGTTTAGTAGTAGAGCTATCATCAAATGTTCCTCAATACAGCTTGTGATCTAGTAAGTCACTTTTAGGAAATCTCACTACCTCTTGGGTAGAATCCAAATTCTTGGTAGCCCTGCACTCATGGCCCCAGCCTGCCTTCTTCCTCACCTCCTCTGACTCCTGACTCATGCCCTACATTTAAGGCAATTGGACCTTGTGGCTTTGCCCCTTCTGTGCCACATTTTCCAGCCTCCATGACTTTGCTCTCCTATCTCAACATCCAAAGCAGCCCAAACTACAAGGCGTGTCTAACATGCTCTCTTCTTCATGAAGCCACCCTTGCCTCTGTTCTGCTCTGCCCCTGTCATGACCTGATTCTTTTCTGCCCTAGCTTATGATTGGTTGGCAGTCCTGTCTAGCAGTTTGTCTTGACTCCCACCCTTCCTATGCTCCGTGTCTTTTCCTGCTCAGAATCCCTTCTGGGATTGCCCATGACCTCAGTTAAAGTCCAACAGGGGGGAAGGCCCTCACACCCCTCCAGTCTGGTCTCAAGTCATCCCCATGTGTAAACTCTGTGCTCCATCCAAAGGCTTCTCTTCTTTGTGTTTTGAAACTCCCAGTGGTTTCCATGGCCATGTCTTGAGTCCATTCTCTCTCTCCCTCTTTGCTGGCCTCTCCTTTATTTGCTTATAGAAACCCAGCTCTCCCTTTTACACTAAATTTAGATGGCAGCACTCTTTTGTGAAATGTTTCTTCATTATCCTGGTTAAACATTATATATCCCACCTGTGAACTGTTGTGACATTTAGCTTCTGTTGACATTTGTTACATATTTCTGTAAATTGTCATTATTTTTGTATTTTGCTTACCTAATCAATTAGTAATCTGCTCCTGGAGTTGATGTGCTATTTCTTAGACTTATATTTTTAACATCTGGTTTTGAGTGTTGTGTTTCAGTGCCATAGATTGCTTGGTGAAGATGTGTTGATTGAATTCAACTGTGAATAATCACAGGATTCCCTGGCTTAGGCAGCTATACATTTACCTTCTTCATATCTTACTTTTCTTGCTTGCAAAATTGTGCTAATTTTATTCTGTAAAAGAATGGCATGGAACTAAATTGGACAGACCCTCTATATTTTTTCAATGTGGCATATTTTTATTGTTGCTTAAAATAAATTTGCTTCCTAGCTTAGATGCAATAGAGGAAGCCAGTTTCTCGGGTGTTGCTGCAATCCCCAGCTAACTTGTGGTAAAAGCTGATAGGGTTTGGATTCTACTAGATAGATTGGAGAAAAAGAAACCACCAAACACACAATTTCAGTACATTCTACTTAGTAAAGCCCTCAGAGTAGAAGCCTAAAACAAGCTCTGTACACAACAGGGGAATCAGGCTGAGGCTTTTCCTTGGGAAGTTAAAGCTGTGACACAGACTCAGCCCTGTGCTGCTGGGATCTCCACCTGGAGCTCCCATTAGCACCTTCAACTCTTGACAGCTAAGATGGGCTCCTTATTTTCCCTCCCAAACGTTTTTTTTTTTTTTTTTTTAATCTTGGTTGGTGATACCACCTGGCAGTTTCTGGGAGCCATGGGAACCAGGGAAGGCTTTATCCCTCCTGCTCCCCACGCTGATTTTTCTTCTGAAAACCACCATTTTCAACCATCACAGAAGCCTCCTCATGCCATGGATTTCTACAGTGCCACCTTGGTGATCTCTCTAAACTACAAATGAATATCTTTTGCCTCGTTTGAAAGCTGTTTCTGTTTTCTATGAACAAGATGCCCCACTTCCCCTGTCTTCCTGGTGACAAGCTCATCCTTGGAAACGCTACATAGATGTCTTTTCTTCTGGGCTGTTTGATTCTCCCAGTGACTCAATCTGTCTCCCTCCTCCCTCTGGTTGCGTAGCTACCCTAAAGGTCCATTAAGTTAAGGGCTTCCCATCTGTCTTCTGTACTGGGTGGTGAGTGCTGGGATAGTGGTGGTAGTGGGTTGGTGTTTGCTAACTCTGTCCAGCACGCTGCCTAGCAGCTAATAACAGAAGCTCAGTTAATACCTGTTGACTTGAATATGCAAACAAATCATCGCATCCTAGTAATCCAGAGAAGATGGGATATGCTGTCTTCTAAGTAGGCATCTTAGAGCCCCCCAGGCAGCTACAGATTGGGTGTCCCTAATCTGAAAACCTGAAATCCAAAATTCTTCAAAATCTGAAATTTTTTGAATGCTGACATGACTCTCAAAGGAAATGCTTATTGGAGCACTTAGAATTCTGCATTTTTGGATGAGGCATGCTCAACTGGTAAGTGTAATGCACACATTCCAAAATCTTAAAAAGTCTGAAATCTGGAACACTTATGGTCCCAAGCATTTAGAAGAAGGGATACTCAACCTGTAATAGCCACTGCATGGCTTTGTCCTGCCCTGTTTCTGTGTGTATTCAACAGGGTGACCCTCTTCCTCTCATGTCCCATCTACTTTCCATCATCCACCCCTTCCACATCAGTAAGTGTATTTCTCATACCATCTACATGTCATTGAATTTGGAGTAAGTAGACCTAGGAACTTACACTGGCTCTGTTAGCAATTAGTTGTGTGACCTTGGAGAAGTCATCTATTTTTTTCTCAGCTTCAGGTTTTCCATCTGTAAAAGGGAAGAGTGGTTATTAGACTAAAATTAGTAGTTTTAGATATGTTCTGGGGTTAGAAGGCAACAATATTGGGGCCTAGTCCCTGCGTTCAACCAGAATAGTTCTGTCATGGTGTGTTTTATTTACATATCTTGGTAATATTTATTTTGAACAAAGCTTTCAAAAGGTGTTTGAAAATCCCTGGCTTTGATGAATTATAAAATCCCTTTCCTCCTATTATCTCAGGAACCACAGTTCCTCATTCATTAATAAAGAACAGGCTTTGCTAGTCTTCTGAAAAGGATTATTGCTTGCTGGGAAAATTCCTTCCCCTTTAGTTTTCTTAAAATCGAAATTTAATCATAGGTCCCACTGCTTCTCTGAACTGGCTTGGCATGTAAAACCTGACTTGCTTGTTTGTTTGTTTTTAGAGACAGGGTCTTGCTCTGTCACCCAGGCTGGAGTGCCATGATGTGATTCTAGCTCACCACGGCCTTGAACTCCTGGGCTCAAGAGGCCCTCCCACCTCAGCCTCCCCAAGCACTGGCATTGCAGGTGTGAGCCAGCATGCTTGGCCTCGTTTCTATTTTTATTGTCTTTCCAATCTTTGCTCTCAGTTTATGCTGAGATTTGATAGCTGATCATAAAACTCAGCTCTGTGGGGATGTCATCTTGGAGATAAGCTGCTACTCTAAGAGGCTGGAGGCAGGCCTAGGCTTGCCTTTTGTGAGGTGAGTGGGAAGAGAAGTTCTGGGCATTGGCAGGATTCATTTGAACATACATCATTTAAAAAGCATTTGTTAAAAAACTAGTATGAAAACTAAAATGCAGTGCATTTGAGTATAAAAGGAAAAAGAATTTATTGGGTGCCTCCCACAAGCAATGTGCTGTGGTGAGGAGTAAAAAACAAAGACTACACTGTGTTTTCTCTTCCAAAATCCTCAGACCAAACATCTTCTAAGAAGCCATTAAATTAACCTAACATTTGGGGTTCATAAATGTTTGTTTCCTGTTGAAAATAAAAAGAGAACTGTGAGCCATTTTGACCTTGCTGGTAGAGCCTTCAAAGATGGATTTAGTTCAGACTTGCTCTCTGTGACCTAAATCTGCATTCTTTGCAGTTTGTACACTAATAGTTCAAGGATAGAAGGCACAGTACAAACTTTGTAATAACTGTTATTAGTGACTGAATTGCTGTTTGTTTTATTTTTTTTAAATGAAGCAAACTCATCAAAGAAAGCATGGACTCTTGCCTTCATGGTTTTGCAAGTACTGTTCCTTCAATCTGGAACATTCTTCTTCCTGTCCTTGCATCCCCTTCCGATGGTTAACTGATTTCTAAAGTCCCTGTTTAGAGTGCGAATCCTCTGGGAAGCCCTCCCAAGTCTGAGTTATGCAACCCTCTTGTGGTCTCCTAAAACATCTTGTGCTTACCCTTGTACATAGAGCTTACTGAGTACTAACCATAGATGTACTTTACCTATTTGGATTCATTTTATCCTCTCATCATGATAAGGTAGGCCCTGTTATTATCACCATTAGATAGAGTGGAAACGAAGTTGCGTAGAAGTTAAGTGACTTGCCTAGGGTCACTTAGCTAGCCAGTGTTGGAGCAGGGGAGTCTAGCTCCAGAGTGCATACTCATAAATGTTCATGTACTCTTGGCATCCTGGCATTTCCAGTACCAGAACAGCCTTGCTGGCAGTGTTTTCCAGGCCTAACAATTTGCTTGGCACTTAGAAGGCATTAGTGTATACTTGTTGGAAGAGTAGATGAAGCGTGACCCTCACCTCCAGGAACTTTCTGTGTGGTGGCTTGGTCACAGAAAGTTATGATATGAGGTCAGAGGCAGAGATTTTAGGAGGCTTGAGGACCTGGGAGGAGGGAGAGACCCATGCTGCCTGGGGGTTGGGGGCTGGCTCCAGTGTGCTTAACTTTCCCGGACAAGGAGCTGGTGTCTCAGCCGGACAGTGACCAGCCTCTCTGGTTGTGTCAGGACAACCTGGAATGTCTCTTGAACTAGTCACCCAGATAACCTCAATTTTAAGAGAAATATTAAGTATTTGATTTGTAGAAGCCTATTAAAAACAAAAACATTTTTTTTTCTCAGTGCCAAAGAGAGAAGAAGTTAAACTTGCCATCTGAACAATGGAATTCCCAAAGCACAAATAAAGAGCAACTTCTTTTGTAAAAGGATTTTGAGTCTAAAGAGCTTGTCTAGAGGAAGCTATCATGAGCCACCCACATTTGCAATGCCCCTGGTGTGGAAGGGAATAGAATGTCAGCAGAGGTTGGCTGAGAGAACCACAGGTAGGACACCATGCCTCCCTGAGGATGGTAGCCTGAGTTCTGGTCCTGAGGCATTGATGAGAGCTGCCACAATTCACAGGTGTCCTTAACAGCACTCATTCATACATGTTCAGATAGGCTTTAGTTTAGAGAATAGATATATTACAGCAGGGATGTCAGCACATTTTGCTGTAACCAAGTCTGTGCTTGGTCTTTCGCTGTTTCCTGAACATGCCAGACTCCTTAACTGCACTTGGGTTTCTTGCCTCTTCCGCTTCCCTTTCCCCTGGGTCCCTCCCAATCCTTCTCCCTCTCCCATTGAGCCTTCCCAAGTAACTCCACTGCTCACTAATCTCCCAATTTTTGGAAATGCCACAGTCTTTCTAACTTGTAACTTCATGGTTTTGCAAGTGCTGTTCCTTCAATCTGGAACATTCTTCTTCCTGTCTTTGCATCCCCTTCTGATGGTAAAGGTGGTGTTATCTGACATCAGATTGTGGAGTTTAAGGTCTGCTTCTGACGATTTTTTGGACATGCCACTTAACCTCTCTGAGCTATCCATTTCCCATAGGTAAAGGGGACATGAATAACAGTTTCTGCGGCATGGGGTTGTTATAAGGATTAACTGAAGAAATGCAGGTAAAGTGGTAGGCACAGTGCCAGGCATACACCAATCCCTGTGGGCCAGTCCCACAGAACAGGGCCCCACCTTCCTTTGCTCTGGGTCCTGATGGTGTCCCAGCAGTGGCTTTGGAGTTGGAGGTGGGCTTGCCATCCACCACATGCAGCAAACACAAACAAAGTGATGTTGAATTGGGGCTGAAGTTACTATTCTAGAGTTTATGTGGCTGGGTAATGGGGAGGATCCTCTCTGGGCTACAGAATAGAATGTGCTTAATCACTGGCTTATTTGTTAACCAAGTCAGGGAAAGTTTGGCTAAGGACCCTAACTTACATTTGGGGTTGTAGTCTTTACTCACCCTATTGCCCGCCTCATCTGAATCCTTTAGATTTGTAAAATGCCAGAAATCGAAGCCAACCCAAACAGAACAGTAGGGTTTATTGGCCCAAAACTGGCAGGGGGACCCGGGACCAGCCTCTCCAACAGGTGACGTCTATTATCACGCGTCCTGAAGGCGCTTCCAGCTTCCTGGTACTCAGTCCTCCCACTGCTGGCTGCAGAGATTTTTTTTTTTTTTAAATAAGGTTAAAAAGTAACCCTTCTCACCATGAATAAGCAAAAACACTGAGGCAGAGGTATTGCACGCTCAAAGTGAGTAACTTGAATTTCAGCTGCCAGATTTCTGAGCTTACTGCCAGGGCAGAAAGAAACAGCAGATCTGAGCTGTGGGGATTCTTGGGCTTTGTATTTGCCATTACGGTCAGAGACAGGCCAGTCTTTGCTTGTGGATTTTTATTTGTACACTTCTGAGCTCTCAGTTGTTTAATCCAAAGTAGCTGGAACTATGGGGTAGTAGATGGGTGACACGACAAGACATGAATTCTGTGTGTGGGATTAGGATTTGGTCTTGATATAAGCTCAATTACAATGGTTCATGGGGAAATTAAAAAAAAAAAAACATAAGCCCTATTGTTCTGGGCCCAAAATTTCCCGGCTGTGAACAGTTGTTAACATTTGCTAAGCTCTTACTGTGCACTATGCAGGTGCCATGCTGCGTGTATGACAGTTATTGCTTCACATAGTCCTCATAGCAACCCTTCAAGGTGGATGTTAGTCCTATCTGCACTCTATAGATTCAAACCGAGATTCAGAGAGGTTGGTGACTGGCCCAAAGTCAAATAATTAGAAAGTGGCGGAGCTGGGACTTGAACCCAGGTCTGACTGATGCCAAAGCCTGTGCATTTAATAGAATAGAGGAAAAATCTCAACAAACCCTCTCCTTTCCCACTACCTCAGTTAGCTCAGTGGGAATAGATTGCTCCCATCTTCCTTATAACATAGTTGGCAGCCTCTCAACTCCAGCATCTTAGGAAAGGGGCATGGGTTTGCCTCCAGAGTTCAAGTGTTGGGGAGGGAGGCTGAGGCTGGTGACACAGCACAGCACCACAGGGCTGGTTATTGCCTGGTCTTGGCAAAAATAAGGTCCAGACAAGATCTGTACTGTGGGAAATGAGGTGTGGGGAGGCATGTCTCTTTCCTGTCAAAGGAAAGGTAGCTAGCTGCCCAATATAGATATCCTTGTTTGTAAAAAGCACCAACCACAAGGGTCTTCAGGGGATTTTTGCCCTGTGACTCACAATATGAATGTATGATGCAAGGCGAGTTTGTTTTAGGTGGGAGGATTTGGGTTGGGCTGTCTCCAGAGCTGAGGTCAAGGTTGGGTGTAGCCCAGCCTATGTGCTTTTCAGATTGGCCAGCTTTTCTCTTACCTTCCTACTCCCAGGATCATAGCCAGCACCAAACCCAGACCTTTACAGGCTCTGGGGTGGAGTCAGAGCTAGAACTCCCATTTCTGGTGCACCATCCTCTCCTCTGCCAGGCCTTAGGGCTCCTGTTTGCTCCTGGTGAATCAGCACATTGAGAACTCTGGGTGAGGGGTCTGCGGCCTCAGTGACCTCCGTCGGCATTTAATTCTTTTTGTGTGTTGAGGTTTCTCTTCCAGGAAGAGATATTTGGGCCAGTGTGGCTATTTGTTGGAGTTTTGCCACCATCTGTACCCTAGAACTGTGTGGAGCTTACAGGTGAGCAAGTGAGAGCCCAGCCCAGAATGCTCTGTGCCTGACATGAGAGTGCCTGAAAGGTTAGGCCAGACCAGCAACTTTCTCATTCAGCAACTGTTTATTGAACCTTTTGCCCAGAACCAGAGGCAACTGTGACAAATGCTACTGCCCATGCTGGCAAAAATGCGCACAGTCTGGTAGGGGCTATAGACATATAACGAGTCAAACATTCCACAAAGTAGTAATGTTTCCACAGATGACCCTGGGTGGTCCAGGAGCAGAGCTGATGGTGTCTAACCCAGGGGTGTTCAGGGAGGACTCTTGTAGCAGGCACATACTATTCCCCAAACTGTCACCTCTCTAATCTGGATCCCCTCCCACCACACCAGCCCCTTGGCTCATTCTTCTATTCCCAATTGTATTATTGCCCTCTGCAGAGAGTCACAAGGGATGGGACATGAGGCTGGAGAGGAAAGCAGGGCCAGGTCACACATGTCTCAGTGGAGACACTGGACATTTTCATGGGAGCAGTAGGGTGTGAGACTTCAGTTCCATCTCTCTCCTGTAACCTAAGCATTTATGAGAGAGAAACCCTTTTTATCCCATGGTGTCAGCCCACAAAAGAAGAACTTCTAAGAAAAACTTCTAAGAGCTCTGGAGGCAGAACAAGTTCAGGGGCTCTATGCCAGGGTTAACAGGTAACCCTGGCACTCCACGCTGGCCACCAAGCCAGCTTTTGACCTTGGTCATGATTCTGTTCTGGAAACTGGACCCAGGGAAGCTCCTGTGCCTCCTGCAGCTCTGTGCTTTATTCCCTGTCACAGGTATTGGCATGCACTAGATGATGTCATTGTGGACTCATGTTGTCACCAGCAACGGTGAGGAGAAGAGCTCAATCCTTGAAAGCCAGTGCCATATCCTGTGTATTTTTTTCTAAATGGGACTATCTTATTGTAAGTTATTATTACTAAAGTTTTATGTACATGTATATTCCTTATAAAAAAGAAACATTCCAGAATTTTATACAATAGAAAGTGGAATTTCCTGCCTCCCCTTACAGTCCTGTCCCTCCCAACCATTATCCTTCCAAACTTTAAAAGAAATGCATATATATGTAGGTCCAGACATTTCCTGTTGCAGTATCTTTCACCCAAGCAAAAACAAGCCCTCAGGACCCTCAAAGTGTCCCCCAGTTCTTTCCAGAAGTCCCCCAAAGGGTGCCTTACATGTGTCCATAAGCCTGTCTGGTGCTTGTAGTCCATATGGCAACCTCTCTGTTTCTCTTCTCCCACGTTTGCTCCCACCCTTGTGTGTCTGCTGCTCACAGAAGCTTGGAGAAGTTCATGGGAGCCAGACACCAAAGTCCACGTCGTAGGTGCTGTCTCCAGGTGCCTCCTGAGTCTCCAGTCCTTGGTTGGCATAGATGGGATGATGGTGTCCAGGCAGAGGTGGGAGAGGACAGTCTGCTCAATGTGTGCCAGTGTCCTTTGTCATCTGGGTCCCCAGTCTGCTCTGCTCAGATCCTGCATCTCATGAGTTCTCGACTGAGTAGTCCCCATCAGCTTCTGCTGCTAATGCCTCTTGTAGGTGGCCTCAAAATCAGCCTGGGGATCGAGTGGATGGGAAGAGGCTATTCTCTCTCTCACTGTTCTTTTCCCCTTTCTTTGCCTCTGCCCACTCTTTCAAATAAAACTCTCTTCTCTCCTGTCCTTCATCTTCAAAGAGTTTAATTTGTAGAAGCCTTTTATGTATTATGATTATTAACCTTCTATTTATCTATACTGAAGACACTTGTATCAGTTTGTCTTTGACATTGTTAGTGGAAACTTTTGTTCTTAAACATTTTCAAAATTTTAGTTAGGCAAATAGGCCTAAATTTCCCTTTATAACCTCTGTGTTTTGTATTCTGTTTGGAATGGCCTCTTCTATTCCAGATTACAATATTATCTTCTAGTAATATAGGAGCTTCATATTTACATTAATCTCTTTTATCCATTTGGAATTTATTTTTGTGGATGTTGTGGGGTAAGTGGAATTTCTTTAAAATTCCCTATAGTGTTAGATGTAGAAGCTCAAAGCCACAGATGGACTGAGCTGGCTTTTAGCTGTGGATACCCTGGCAGCAGGTGGGGGAGGGAGGGCTCAATTGCTGAAAACACAGATGACTGCGCTCTTGGCCAGCTCTGTTTCCTGCTGAAAATAACTCTTGTACCTTGTGTTGTCAGGGCCGGTCTTTCCCTTGCAATTTAGTTCAGGCTTCAGAAGTTCAGAGGGATGTGTTCAGGGTTGCATTATTGCTGCATGCAGGGAGAGGCTGAAGGATGCCTGTGAACCATGAAGATTGAGTTTCAAAGAGGGCCAGGACTCTCCTGTTCACAAGGCCTTGCCCCGCCCTGGTGGGGTAGGCAAGGAATCCTGGAGTTCTGAGCTGCACTAAGCTGCATGGCATCGGATGGCATCCTCCATGCCTCCTGGCTACCTTCCTTAGTGATTGTACCTCAGTGCCTGGCATCAAAAATACGTATTTGATGCCTGTGTGGGCATCAAAAATACTTATTTATTGAGTTGCTAGGAAACCATTAGCAAGGAAATGGGGTGTCCAGGAAGATGATGATCAGAATGAGAACTTTAATGGCAGTCTGTAGGGGAGGTGACATCCATCCATTCATCCGGCAAATATTAGTTGAGTGCCTACTGTGTACTAGGCAGTTTTCTAGGAGGATGTGTTGTTTTTCCAGTAACAACTAATTTGATTCTCTGACACCAACCGGGTGTCCTGCAATTCTATTCAATTTTGGCATTAACTACCCGGAGTTAGTGCAGACCACACAGGTTAAGGCTCAGTCCTATAAGAATGCACCCCCCACCCCCAACTTTAGATGCCAGCTGCAAATGGTGTCTACAGGCTACCCACACTTCTGCCTGGCAGACTGCAAAATCTAGAGTTCCCACAACCTCCCCAGCACCAGGTTCAATAATTGGTTAGAACAACTTACAGGACTCAGGAACATATGATCCTAGTTTATTATAAGGATATAAATGAACAACCAGATGAGGAGGTACATAGACTGAGGTCTGGAAGGGTCTGGAGTGCAGGGGCCTCTGTCCTGGTGAAATTGGGGTATATTCTCATCATATGGAAGTGTTAAATCTGGAAGCTCCCCAAGCCCCATTGTTTAGGGCTTTTATATGGAGTTTCATTACATATGCATGATTAATTAAATCACTGGCTATTGGTGATTGAACTAAATTTCCAGCTCTTCTTCCCTCTCAGAGGTTGGGAGAAGGGCTGAAAGTTCCAGCTCTCTAATAACATGGTTGGTTCCTTTGGCAACCAGCCCCCATCCTGAAGCTATATGGGGGTCCACGATGAGTCACCTCATTAGCAAAAAGTCAGGTTTGTTCAAAAGAGGTTTATTAGGAATAACAAAAAGACACTTCCATCACTCAGAAAATTTCAAGGGTTTTAGGAGCTCTCTGCCAGGATGCAGGGAGAAATACCAGATATGTATTTTTTATTATACCACAGTAAGATATCTGTCCTTGTAGAACCTACAGTCTGGTGGGAGAAAACTCCCAATAAAAAATAGACATAAGTTCTTTGACATATTGGAAGGCGATAAGTGCTATGGGGAAAAAGCAGAGCAGAGTAAAGGGGCTGGGGGATAGGTGGGCAGGAGTGGCAAATGTGTAGCAATTTTAAATGTGTTTCAGGTGAGAGCTAATTTAGTTTTAGGCAAAAACTCAAGTATAGTTGTGTGCCACATAACTACATTTCCATCAACAGCCTTAGGCAGGTCCTTCAGGAGGAATTCCAGGAGAAGGCATTGCTGTGGTAGGAAATGACAGCTCCATGAGTGTGATTGCCCCTGGAGACTTCCCAGTGGGACAAGATGTGGAGGTGGAAGAAGGTGGCATTGATGACCCTGATGCTGTGTTTGCCTAGGCTAATATGTGTGTTTGTGTCTTAGTTTTTAACCAAAACATTTAAAGAGAGAAAAAATAAAGAATTTAAAAAGCAGTAAAAAGCTTATAGAATAAGGATATAAAGAAAGAGAATAATTTTGTTATTGCTATACAATTTGTGTTTAAAGCTAAGTGTTATTACAAGAGAACCAAAAAGTTTAAAAAATGTTAAAGTTTATAAAGTAAAACCGTTAATTTGTTATTAAAGAGAAATAGTTTCTGAATAAATTTAGTGTCACCTAAGTGTACAGTGCTTATGAAGTCTACAGTAGTATTCAGTAATGTCCTAGGCCTTCACATTCACTCACCACTCACTCACTGACTCACCAAGGGCAACTTCCAGTCCTGCAAGCTCTGTTTATGGTAAGTGCCCTATACAGGCATACCATTTTAAAATGTATTTTTGATGTTTAGATATGGAAGTATTTACCATTGTGTTACAATTTTCTACACAGTATTCAGTACAGTAACACACTATACAGGTTTGTAGCCTAGGAGTAATAGGCTATACCGTATAGCCTAGGTATGTAGTAGGCTAGTCCATTTAGGTTTGGGTAAGTGCACTGTATGATGTTCACATGACAACAAAATCGCCTAATGATGCGTTTTGCAAAATATATCCCCATCGTTAAGCAATGCATGATTGTACTGTGCTTGGTGCAGAATAGAATCATTAATAGAAAATATACAAAGGGTATGATAAGAAATTAAGTGTATGGTTGAAACAAATTGCTGTGATTCATTATTCCTATTCTAATAATGAGTTGGGCTCTATTTTGGTTGATTGGCATCAGGAAAATACCAGCAGTACCTCTGGATCAGGTTCAGAGTTAACTTGAGGCGGGATAAAAATAAAGAACTGAGCACAAATCCAGAATAGCCATATTATGTTGTGGTCATTTCATGTGCTAGGTGAGCTGAGGACAAACAGAACTTTAGATAGGTGTTGTTTGGGCTACTATAACAAAATTCCGTAGACTGAGTGACTTATATACAACATACATTTATTACTCACAGTTCTAGACGCTGGGAAGTTCAAGATCAAGGTGCTAACAGATTTGATGTCCGGTGAGGGCTCACTTTCTGGTTCATGAACAGCCATCTTACCACTGAGTCCTTACATGACGAAAGGAGTGAGGGAGCTCTCCAGGGTCTTTTTTATAGGGGCACTAGTCCCAGATTAGCCCTAATGACCTAATCACCCACCAAAGGTCCTACCTCTTAATACCATCATACTGGCAATAGAATTTCAACATGTGAATTTGGGGGTGGGGGGAGGGGACACAAACATTCAGTCTACACAGTAATAGGCATAGAAGAAATCCCATTAGAAATGGGATCTGTGAGGCCAGCCCTGAAGACATTTATTTTTTCTTCCTCCTTTCATAGAGCTGGATGTTTATCTTCTTGAGATACTGCACTCATTTATTTCTTAGAAAAAGCTTCTAAGAGATCCTCGAGCTCATCAAAGCATGTACATTCTTCAGACAGCTGTGCTACAGTTGCCTTGAAGTAAATAGTACAACAGCATCTAGAGAGCCTTAGAACTGAGGGTGACTTTAGAAGATATTTGATCATTTACTTCAACTCCTCCTTTTACAGATGAAGGAATTGCCCAAGGTCAGTACAGAGGATTCATGAGAATCAGATCTTCTGACTTCTTACATGGCGTTTTACCCACCATATTCTGCTGCTCATATTATAATCTTATGCTTAGAATTTGGAATTACCATATATTTTTGTGAAGGGATATTTAGGGGTGACTGATTATTTTCTCCTTGCTGAGAACTTTACTTCTCAGATACGTCCTGGCACCCTACTCCCACTGTAACTGATTGGTTTAGTTGGACCCATTAGATTCTTATTCTGAGATTTTGGACTGAGTCCAGGAATTGGGAATGGATTCATGTTAGCTTTCTAAGCTGTAGAAGGAAGGTCTTCAAATTTCTTCACTGAAGTCTTACAAGCTGTCTTGTCCTATTTCTTGGATTTCATTCTTCCAACAAAACCCTTGTTTTATTGATGCTAACTCAGATTGGTTTCTGTTATTTGCATTCAAGAAAGTCTTAAACAAAAACCAAAGAAGCCAATGATAAGATACATCAGTTGCTTCCAGATCTGAGTTTTTAAAAACAATGCATTTTAAAAATTGTGGTAAAATACACATGACACTTACATATTAACCATTTTTAGTTTTTGAGACAGAGTCTCACTCTGTCACCCAGGCTGGAGTGCGGTGGCATGATCTTGTATCACTGCAACTTCCATCTCCCAGGTTCAAGCGATTCTCCTACCTCAGCCTCCTGAGTAACTTGGATTACAGGTGCCTGCCACCATGCCCAGCTAATTTTTGTATTTTTAGTAGAGATGGGGTTTCACCATGTTGGTCAGGCTGGTCTCGAACTTCTGACCTCAGGTGATCCGCCCACCTCGGCCTCCCAAAGTGCTGAGATTACAGGTGTGAGCCACTGCGCCCAGCCTCCATGTCTCCTTTTAGTTCTTTGAGCATCTTTAAGACAGTTGTTTTAAGGTCTTTGTCTAACAAGTCTGTGATTTGGTCTTGCTCAGGGACAGCTTTTGTTGGTTTACTTTTTCCTTTGAAGAAGCCGTACTTTCCTGTTTCTTTGTATGCCTTGTGATTTTTCTGTTGTTGTTATTGAAACTGGACATTTGAATCTAATATCGCAGTAACTCTGGAAATCAGATTCTAACTCTTCCCCAAGGTTTACTGATTTTCATTTTTGTTTTTTGATTGTTGTGGGCTGTCTCTATGCCAAGGATCAGCCTGAGGTGCAAACCTAAAGTCTTTTCAGGTCTTTTTAAAGCCTGCACCTTTCCCTGGGCATGCACAATCATTTTCTAAACTGCCCTGTGTGTATGGTTGCTCTTGAATGTACAAGACTTTACATGTTTGGCTCCCAAAAGGGGAAAAAGAGAAAAATGAAAGGGTAGAGCAGGGAGGAAAAGGACACAGCACTTTAAATCCCCCAGAATTTGCTTCTGCTTGAGGAGAAAGGACTTGCAACAATAGGGGAAAGGGAGCAATAATGGCTGCCTGCCTGTGCCTGCATCTTCAAGATCAGAAGCAACAATCAGTAATCAGAACACAGATCCCCAATTTTTGGAGCAGAGGGTCCTTATTGTCTGTCCTGCCTTCCGCTAGTTGCCAGCAAGCTGCTCCAGGAACACATCACAGCTGCCTGCCCTGGGCATGAGTGATGGGTAGCTGCTATGAGCTGAAGTTGACTAAAATTAACCCACACTTTACCATGCAAGCCTTCCCCTGGAAATTGGAAGTCTTTTAATAGACTCTAGAGTTCCAAAATAGTCACATCAGACAGATCCTGCCACCGAAATTGTTGTGTAGGTGGGGAGATAGATTCCTGGTGCTTCCCTACTCTGCTATCTTCCCAGAATCCTCTCTTCAGATCTGAGTTTTATTTCAGATCTTGATTTGGAAGTCTTGGTTCATTTGAGGTGGCTCATTACATCATTACGTAGGTAATGGTTGTATCATTAAAACATAATGGTTGTACCATTAAAACATGAGGGCTATACATAGTTCTCCTGGAACTGTGAAACAGTTGAGTGCTTATTGTGAGGGGTTTGTCCTCAAGAGCTTATATTGTGTTGTATTCTGTTAGGAGTCTTGATTTGTGTTTTAATAATGGTTTTGTAAGACTGAAAAGTGCTTAAGTTGAGTGTCCCAGAGGGCAAACCCTTTTCATAAGCAACCTCAGTTTTCTGCCTGTAAAGGAGGAGTAATAGTAATAATGTTAAGAATAGTAAATTAAATTAAATTAAATTAAATTAAGTGAGATAATATATTGATGTTAAGAGAGACAAATCTGGCTGGGCATGGTGGTGCACATCTGTAGTCCTAGCTACTCAGGAGTCTGAGACGGGAGGATTGCTTGAGATAAGGAGTTCAAGGCTGCAGTGAGCTATGCTCACACCACTTCACTCCAGCCTGGGCAACATAGTGAGACACCGTCTCTGAAAAAGAGAGAGAGAGAGAGAGAGAGAAAGAGACAAATCTGGATTCAAATCTCAGCTCTGCCTCTCATTACCTGTATGAGTTTGGCAGATCACTTAACCTCCCAAAGCTTGAGTGGCCTCAGCTAAAAAGTGAGGGTAAGAATAACTACTTCATAGGATTATTTTGAAAGCTCCTGGTTTGTAATAGAGACCTGACAAATGTTAGTGTTCCTCCCATTTCTATTATGTCTTTTAAGCCTTCTCTGTTTTGCCATGAGTAGGTTACAGAGCCACAGCTTTGCAACATAATTGTTACAGCTTGGGGCAGTCATAATTTATAAATTGAGATGACAATTTGAGAATAGGAAGGACTCAACTGACCCACCTGAAATATAATATCTGAGAGGAACCAACCAGATACTTATAAAATCCTTTGTGTGCCTAAGATGAAGAGCAACCCAGCTGTCTGTGTGCCTTTGTGTGTGTGAAAATATTGATCTCCTGAAACTCACTGTAGTAGTCCATTCTTGAATTACTATAAAGAAATACTTGAGACTGGGCAATTTATAAAGAAAAGAGGTTTAATTGACTCACAGTTTTGCAGCCTCAACAGGAAGCATGGTGGCATCAGCTTCTGGGGAGGCCTCAGGAAGCTTCCAATCACAGAAAAAGGCAGAGGGGGAGCACACACGTCACATGGCCAGAGCAGGAGAAAGCGGGGGGAGGGGGGTGGGAGGGGAGGTGCCACACACTTTTAAATGACCAGATCTTGGCCAGGCGTGGTGGCTCATGCCTGTAATCCTAGCACTTTGGGAGGCTGAGGTGGGTGGATCACTTGAGGTCAGGAGTTTGAGACCAGCCTGGCTAACATGGTGAAACCCCGTCTCTACTAAAAATACAAAAATTAGCTGGGGGGTGGTGGTGCATGCCTGTAGTCCCAGCTACTTGGGAGGCTGAGGCAGGAGAATCGCTTGAACCTGGGAGGTGGAGGTTGCAGTGAGCCGAGATCACACCACTGCACTCCAGCCTGAGAGACAGAGTGAGACTCCATCTCAAAACAACAACAACAACAACAACAACAGCAACAACAAAAACGGATCTTGCAAAAATGAAATCACTGTCATGAGGACAATACCAAGAGGGATGACGCTAAAGCATTCAGGAGAAACTGTTCCCATGATCCAATCATCTCCCACCGGGCCTCACTTCCAACACTGGGGATTACAATTCAACATGGGATTGCACGGGAACGCAGATCCAAACCGTATCACTCACCTTTGCCATTTGGTGTCTGAAAATTTATTCTGTGGTTCTGAGTTGGGTCCCCAAGCTGAGAGTACTTGGGAAGGGTGAAGGCATGGCAGTGGGGCCCCCTGATCTTTGATTTTGGCCTTGATGGTATTGGGGGCCATCCTACACTGGCAGGCCAGACATGACCAATAATTATAGTTTTTTGTTATAATTGTTGTGTACCCCAGATGGAAATTCTTGACTATAAGACTGAGAAACAGCCATGTCCCTTGAACAAGACAGTAAACCCAGGTGTCACAGGTATGGTGTGCTGGAAAGAAAGTGTAGTGGAAACAAGATGGGGGTGGGGACAGACCATTCTGGGTGAACTCTACCACTTACCAGTTATATGATCCTGAATTTCTCTGAGCCTCAGTTTAATTCTCATAGTTAATGTTGAGGTAATAATGTCTAGAATTAATTGACATGAATGAGTTTCCTGTATGTGGACATGTCTGACTTATATGTCCCACTTTTGACAAAATAGCTATAAAATGTATAAACATATCATTTTGGAGACTACCTGAAGGCTTATTCTAGTTACAACCAATTCCTAGATCTAACAGTTATCTTGGGACTTCAGGTATCTTTATCCCAGATCCGAATGGATGGTGACTGCACTCCCTAGTTGGGCCAGTTTTAAATCCCTGTCTCTAGGTGTCATGGGTGTCATGAGCAGCAGAGGGATGATCATCACTGAATTGTCCTGACCCATCAGCCTCTTGGTCTCTGCACCAAGATGCGCAGGTACTTTGTCTGGGTCTTACTAAACCCAACCACTCAATTCCTCATGTTAACAAGTTGTAATGATTTTATTGCTTTAGTTCTTTAGAGTAGAATAGTATCCTTGATAGCCATCTCAAGCTTTGTTCATGGTTTGTTTTTGTTTTGAGATAAAGTCTCAGCTCTGTCACCCAGGCTGGAGTGCAGTGGCTCGACCTTGATCTCAGCTCACTGCAATCTCCGCCTCCCGGGTTCAAGTGATTCTCCTGCCTCAGCCTCCTGAGTAGTGGGATTACAAGCATGTGCCACCATGCCCAGCTGATTTTTGTATTTTTAGTAGAGATGGGTTTTCATCATGTTGGCCAGGCTGGTCTCGAACTCCTAACCTCAAATGATCTGTCTGGCTCAGCCTCCCAAAGTGATGAGATTACAGGTATGAGCCACCATGCCTGGCCTGAGCATGATATTGAAAGTAGATTCCAAATGATCAACTCTCTAGAAGCTCCTTATTAATTATAAATATGTTTGATACTTGTGTGAAACTTATCCTTTAATTAGTGACATAAGGTTGATGTTTCTTAAATATTTTAGGTATCGACTGCACGCAAATATCATCAGACCACACACACACAAATATGACGTTTAAATGTTTATGGCCTATAAATTGACAGACAGTTTGACATAGAAAAGCCAAAATGTTTAATTTAGGTCCCTGTCTCTACCTTAAATTGAGCTATCTCCTTATAGACGTTTAAAGCACCTGAATATGATTATTTTTTCTGTTTTCTTCTCCAGATCTTTAATGCTGTCCCACCAGATGGCAATGGGGTCACAATACCAGCAAGTTCCAGTCAGGATTCAGCTGGTGAAGGGGCAATTATGTTAAGCATAGGCCAAAAAGTTATCTGGGAAGTGTTTAGTCAACAAGTGGTCCCAGTATAATAGCTGGTGACTGGGTGGCCTTGGAGCTGAGTTTTTAGCATATTGGCTGGGGGGCTGAAAGTGAGTCCCAGCCCACCCCACCCATAGAGAGATCTCTTGCTCATTTCAGACCTGCTCATTGGAGTAGCTGCTTGCTACCAAGAGCCAGAAAAAAGAAGCCCAAGACTTGTTTCTTGCCCTCTTGCTCTGACATCATGTTCTAAAATTATGATGCAAAATGATACTTTCCATAGCATTGTCTAAATTTGGGAGAGATGAGACTCTTGCTTTGGAGGAAGCATGGGAAGATGAGACAGATGGTGGGTGCTGATAGGACCTGGAATTTGGTGTGAGCAGGTTGTGAGTAACAAGAAGAGATAACATCACCTAGCCTTCTGTGCTGTCAGCCAGCGTCAGCCACCCAGCCTGGGTTTCTGACCATTCCCAGTATCCCCAGGTTATAAGAAGGCAGTCGCTACAAAAACCCACATACAAAATATTTATCAGTGAATTTATCAGTATTGGCTGCAGGAAGCTAGACTACATTAATCAGGGTGAGGTCAGCTCTAGGAGGTGCTTTCATTGACATTTCAGGGGTAAATAGCTGACAGGACCTGAACCCAAATTCCCCTGGGTCTTTTGTTAACAAAATGAGCACAGGTTCCATCCTGTCAGGAGCTTCTGCAGCCTTGGCTAGACCAGACAGGGATCTGTTCCAGGCTCTAGCCCCTAGCTGTGTCCTCCAGAATCCATAAGCCCATCAATGGACCTGGGGCCCCAGGGCTTTCATGCTTTCACAACCAGCACACCTCCTTGTCTTGGGTTTTGGGCTACAAAAGAGGCAAAACAAAGCAGTCCAGGACCACTCAGACATGGCCTTCCCAGTGGCCTCTCTTCTCAGGAGACTGTCACTCTCAGAGCCCACTCTGAGCTTTGCAGCCCCTGGGCAACAGAAGGTTACAGGAGGATTATCAAAGGATTAGGGGGCTCTGCTGAGTGAGCATGTACAGGGTGCTTTCTGTAAGAGTGATTTTTCTGAAACAGTCCTGATCATGCCACCCCTCTATAACTCCATGTCTCCTACAGCTGTGTTTGGAAAAGTGTCACCCAACAATCCCCTGCATCAAACTCACCCTGGGAAGGGAGGGATTATCAACCTGCAGACTCCTGGGTCCACTCTCTGGCCATTGAATCTGAATTTCTGCATGCAGGGTTCAGGAGCCTACAGTTAAAACAAGCTCTCCTTGTGATTTTATGTTCATGAAAGTGTAAGAGTCAAAGTACACCACAAGCTAAAATCCAAATGGCTTAGCTTGGAGTACAAGGTGCACCAGCACATAGCTTGACTGGTTTCTATCTTCCCTGGAAGCACCTACCAAACACACATCTCCCCACTTCTAGCCATACTGATGCATCTCAGAGAACTTGCCAGGGTCTCTCTATCACTCCCATGCTGCTCCCATTCTTAGAGTACTCTCTCTACCATTCCCCTCCTCTCCTTACTCTTCCCCCTTGTTATTCTGTTAGTCTTCTTAACAGTGAGTTTAGTCATCATCTCCTTTGGATCAGGCATGCCTCCACTTCCTCCCTCTTAGTGAAACTCACCCTGAATCATAACACTGGATATTTGCCTTTCTCCCCATGGGACATTGAGCCCTGCAAGATTGGGAATTGTGTCTTGTCCTTGGTTTCTCAGTGCACTCTATGCTTCTCGACCCATAGTAGGGGCTCAGAAACAGGTGAGAGCTAACAAAGATCTTCAGTTAGAGATACCAGAGCTTTGAGTCTATTTGGGTTGGTATGTCTTCTTAACAAAACCTGAATATTGGTGGTTTTAAATTCTGGTCGCTAAAGGACAATAAAATTAATAAAAGAAATAAACCCAAGATATGAGATTAGCTGTGTACATTTAACTAAAGATTAAGTTAGGTATAACATACGGAACAAATTACAAATAGAGGTACCACCACAGTATGTCCCTGTTCTAACTCTGCAAAACCACCCACCTGAGGCTGGGGTTGGACTGGTGGGGGTGGCAGATGGGTGGGCTACCACTGGGAGTGAGGGAACCCAGGGCCTGAAACTAAGACATGTACCTCACCCCAGGACTTTGAAGGAGAAAGGAGGTCTGAGTGGGCATTTGTCGGCGTACTAAGGGTCAGTGCTCCTAAGATCAAGTAAAAACCATACCAAGTCTTAAAGGTAGGAATTAGAGTAGGGGCCACAAACAACACCATCAGTGAGGGTCAGGGGTCAGACAAAAACTGGGCCAAGAATGGGGAAGAGTTTGGGAAAGGTATAGCTGGTATGCTCCCACCAGCTCTTGGGAGGCTTGGCAGGCTCTGCCATGAGGCTTTATAATGAAGGCCTTGTTTTGGGCTGTCAACCAGAGGGAAGTTGTGGGTGCTGGTGAGTGTTCATGGCAATAGATACCTATGGAAGGGTGGGCATGTGGGCATGGTAGGCAGGAACTCCTTGATAAGATTCTCCCCAGTCTCCTCTCTCTGCTATTAACCAAGGCTTTCATGGCTTAAAAACAGGCCAGCACCCCTCCCTCTGCTCTGGTCAACCATATGTAGCCCCTTTTTCATCTCTTGCTCTCCCAAAATAAACTCAGATCACGAAATGGTGCGCCCATGAGTTTGCACGTTTGAAACTTTATTAACACTCCTGAAGTTCTTTCTTTTTGCAGAGGCCTCTGATAGAAGATGCAGTTTCCCTAAACAGCCAGCTTCTGTTACCTTGGCAGACCTTTTAACCTTAGCCTGACAAGAAGCTTGTGTCCGCCTCCCTGTGTTAACTGTCTTTTTCCAGAATCCCAGGGTGTGTCAGCAGCAGAGTGTTTATTCCAAATGGCTCACCATGCATGTTTCTTTAGCTTTCTTACATCCTTTTGTTTTATTATTTTCAGCTTGGCCTGTATTTGCCATTTTTTTCCACTTCATCAAAAGGTTGAATGAAAGGATGTCTATTCATCAGATTTCCATGGAACCATGCCATCAGGGAGTATCGTGAAGGCAAGTTGTCCTGGCTCCCCACCTCCGTCCTGGCCCCGCTGCTCTCTGCTTGGCTGTGTATGCACAGCCCTGCGGGTGCCTGCCTCCAGGTGGGAACCACTCCTGGGCTCTCTGCATATGGCTTCAGCATTGTTTCAACCCCCTTCTCCATCCTACCTTGCTGTTACAGTCCCAAGATTTGTTTCTCACTAGTGTTTTAGGTCCTGCAACTGCACTGTGTTTTTGAGAAGAGAGTCTGACATGTATACGCAGTACATGCCATTTGGCCTTTGCTTGATACCTGTCTGCTCCTCTGCTGTTCTTTTTAATTAAAAGGGAGAGAGGTATGTATGCGGGCTGGAGCAGGACTGGGGCCGTTAAGACTTGAGCCTGGTCCTGGCTCTGGCATTCAGTTTCCCTCTGACCTCAGGCAAGTTCCCTAAACCTTGGCTTTTTTATGGGCTTTAGTGAGTAGCCTGGCTGTTTCTTGGAAAACATGTTAAATATGTTGAAAATGCTAAATATTGAAAATACTTTCTCAGCTGCATCCTTTGGCAAATTCCAGATTCCTTCCTATCCGTCTTTGGTTTTGCAAGGTCCAAGGTCAGATATCCTAGTTTCCCTCTGCCTAAGCCTCTTCAGTTAGCTGGCCCAGTTTTCAGGGAAATAGGAATATGAGGCATAGACATTCATTAATTGTAGCTGTTAAAATTCCCAAGCAAATCCAAGTAGAATGTGGTTATGAAAGCCAAGGCCTGTTGCCAAAGAAAGATGTGTGTGTGTGTGTGTGTGTGTGTGTGCATGTGCACGTGCATGTGCGTGCATTGTGGGATATGTGCTTGTTATATAACTTCTGATCCTTGATCCCTGGATGTTATCCAGTGAGTAGCTGGTTGGATTTGGGGCTTAACATGGCTTGGGAGCTGTTTGGAGCCTTGGTGGGAACTAGATGACTCTGTGTTGTCTCAATCCTGCTGTGTAAATAGTCTCTTTCCCTGATCCATCTGCCACAGCCCAGCTGCTTTTCAGCTCCAGTGATCCTGCTTACTGATTCTCCTAGAGACAGAGATCTGAATGGTTGGTGAGGAGCCCATCCCAGGCTGGCAGGAAGGATTCTGGGCACTCTGGGGACATCTTTAATGGACTGTACCGTAAGATATTTTCAGTGTGGGACTTCCAAGCTTGCTCTGTCAAGGAACTTTAACATCCTGTGCAGCTGCTTGAGTTCTCTGGAGAGAGCTGTCTGTCCCACCTGAGCTGAGTTCCCTTCCCCCTCTAAACTAAGCTCCTTCCTCCTCTAAACTAAGCTCCTTCCTCAGAGCTGACCCAGGGCCCACTGCTGCCGCCAGTGCACAGGGGCCTGCAGGCCTGTTACAGCATTGGCTTAGTCTGGAAGGTCATATATCTGGCTGTTGTATGAATAAAAAATAGTATTTTCATCCTATCACTTAAGTTACCCAAGCTCAGCTGCTGTAGCCAGAGACCCTCACTAACTTGGGCCACCTAGTGGTCTAAGGGGACTGTGCTGCAGTCCTGCTCCACACAAACGCTCAGGGACCCAGAGTCCTTCCATCTTGTGGCTCTGCTATCCTGAGTCCTTGAGGCTGTTTCCATGGTCGAAACTGGGTTACCATAAATCCACATGTCATATGGCAGAGTCGGGGAAGACAGCGTGGAGGGGCAATGCTTCTTGGACTTTGGACACATCCTTTCTACTCTGTTCTGCTGGAGAAAACTTAGTGACAAGGCCACACCTTACTATGAGCTTGAGAAATGTAGCTCTTACCTGGGCGACCACCCACCAACTTATTACTCTGTTACTGTAGAAAAAGAAAAGAATGGATTTGGATGCATAGCTAGCGGCCTCCCTACATTCCATCCTTATAAATCATTCAGATACTTTGTGAATTGTGAATTCAAAGCCTGTTGTCAGCCGGCTTCAAGGGTATGTGGCCTGTTTAGTTGCACAGGATTCTACACTCATAGGGCTCTGCATTTGATTTAATGCTCTGTTACTGCCTTCTTGAAAGTCTAATTTTTTTAACAAGGTGACCACATTTTCATTTTGCACTGGGCCCCACAGATTACGTAGCCCGTTCTGTCTGCTCTTTCCCAAATTAACATTTTTGTTCTACCCAATTCAGTATTTAATGAAAATACATTTTATAGCAAGATACCATGAAAGATCATGTGAGGGATGCAAAGATGAGTAAAATTCAATATCAGAGATCTTGCAGTCCAGTAGGGAGCTGGGAGAAGTGAAGTAAGTTGTCATTCAGAAGAGTTGTGCACATATGGCTGTGAATATTCATGGGAATGAAGGCAGCTTCTGCTTGATGGTGATGTTGGCAGGGGTGGTGGCTGGTGGTGTAAGATATTTGCTCTGGGTAGAATATTTTAATTTTTATTTCTATTTATTTAATATATTGTAAAATATTTGTAGAGATGGTGTCTTGCCATGTTGCCCAGGTTGATCTCAAACTCCTGGGCTCAGGCGATTCTCTCAAAGTGCTGGCATTACAGGCATGAGCCACAGTGCCCAGCAGGGATATAATATTTTTAAAGGAACCATTTCAAGCATATAAAAATATAGAGAATAATCTTAAAAATATCTGTGTGCCCACCACTTTTTTTTGTCAATTCTTAACGTATTGCCATGTTTGTGTCACATATTTTTAAGAAATTTAAATATTACAGATACAGTTGAGCCTCCTTTGTAGCTCTCTCTGATCTCATCCCCTTCTTTCCCTGCCTAGGAACAGACAATCACTTCCTGAAGTTGGTGTTGATAATCCTCATGCATGTCACAATATTTTTTTTTTTACTATATACACATGTATCTATAGTATTTAGTATTTTACGTTTTAAATTTTATAAAAATTGCACCATACTTCACTTATTAATTCAGCAAATACCTTATTGTTTAAATAATTTCAACTTTTATTTTACATTTAAAAAGTATATGTGCAGGTTTATTACATGGGTGTATTGTGTGATGCTGAGGCTTAGGGTATCATTGGTCACATCACCCAGGTGGTGAGCATAGTATCCAATAGTTAGTTTTTCAACCCTTTCCCCCTTCCCTCCCTGCCCCCTCTAGTAGTCCTCAGTGTCTATTATTATTATGCCATCTTTAGGTCCATGAGTACCCAATGTTTAGCTCCCACTTATAAATGAGAACATGTGGTTTTGGTTTTCTTTTGCTTTTTAATTTTCTTAAGATATTGGCCTCCAGCTGCATTCATGTTGCTGCCGAGGACATAATTTTGTTCTTTTTTATGGCTTCATAGTATTCCATGATATATATATATATATATATATATATATATATATATAATCTCACATTTTCTTCTTTATCCAGTCTACTGTTGATGGGCATCTAGGTTGATTCCATGTCTTTGCTATTATAAATAGTGCTGCAGTGAACATATGTGTGCATGTGTCTTTTTGGTACAATGACTTATTTTCTTTTGAGAAATAAATCATTCTGGATGATTTATTGGGACTGCTGGGTCAAATGGTAGTTCTAAGTTCTTTGTGAAATCCACAGTTGCTGAACTAACTTACATTCCCACCAACGGTGTATAAGTGTTTCCTTTTTTCCAGTCTCACAGCATTTATTGTTTTTTGACTTTGTAATGATAGCCATTCCGACTGGTGCGAGATGGTATCTACTTGTGATTTTGATTTGCATTTCTCTGATGATTAGTGATATTGAACGTTCTTTCACGTGTTTGTTGGCTGCTTGTATGTCTTCTTTTGAGAAGTGTCTGTTCATGTCTTTTGCTCACTTTTCAATGGGATTGTTTTTTGCTTGTTGAATTAAGTTCCTTATAAGTTCTGTGTATTACACTTTTGTCAGACGCATAGTTTGTGAATTTTTTCTCCCATTCTGTAGGTTGTCTGTTTACTCTGTTGGCAATTTCTTTTGCTGTATAGAAGTTCTTTAATTTAATTAGATCTCACTTGCCAATTTTTGTTTTTGATGCAATTGCTTTTGAGGACTTAGTTATAAGTTATTTCCCAGACGAAGTCCAGAATGGTGTTTCCCAGGTAGGAAGTACTTTATTAACTACTATAGCCAAGTATTGTTTTAGGCATTGGAGATACAGCCATAAAAAATAAATGAAAATTTATTCTCTGTATTCCAGAGGGGCAGAGAGACAATAAGCAAGATAAATAAATAAAAACGTGGTATGTGACAAAGTGACAACTACTAACAATATAAGAAAAAGCAGAGAAGGGAATATGACATGAGGATGGCTGTAGAGGAAATCAAAATTTTCCTTAGAGTGGCCATGGAAGATCTTGCTGCCATTATATATTTTTACTAACATTATATTTTGAGACTTACCCATTTCTAGTTCATTTTCATTACTACATAACATCCATTGCATGAACAGGTCATACTTTATTTACTCATTTTCTCTTGATTAGCATTCAGATTGTTTTTAATATTTTGCTTTTATAAACGAGGCTGCAAGGAACACACCTGAGCATCTCCTCCTGTGCACATGTCCAGTTTCTCTAAGACAGAGTAGACCTAGAAGAAAGGTTTGAGCCAGTGGACATGCACATCTTTAACTTAACTAGATGTTGTCAAAGGCTGTCCAAACTGGTCCTATCCATGGACATTCTGCAGTAAATGGTTATCATAGCAGACCCGAAGCTGCTGTTTTTAGAAGGGCCTGCTTGCAAGGCTAGCCCTTAGCTGGCATCTGGGAACTTGGGTTTCTGGAGTGTTCCTATTGTTCTTTAATGAATAAGCATGGCTTACTGTGCCTAGACTGTGCAAACAATGTGGTTCATGCTGAGCCCTTCCTTTCCTCCTGGGAGACTGGAATTTTGAAACATGCTAGTTAAAGTGTGCTTATGTGACACAATAAAAACCTTGGGTACCAACTCTCTAATGGGCTTCTCTGGGCAGAAGCATCACATACCTGTTGCTGCATTTTCACCACTGGGAAATGAATGTACTCCATGTGATCCCTCATGGGAGGGGGAAAGCATACAGGAGCCTATGCATGGATCCCACCAGATCCTTTCCATGTTTTCTTCCTGTATGATCCAGCTGTGTATTCTTACTCCATTGCTGTAATACATCTTAGACATGAGTACAATTATATGCTGAATCTTCTAAGTCTTCTTCTAATCTTCACACATGTCCACTAGTAGGGAGAGTTCCCAATTCATGATGATGACAGATTTGGTAGCATTCATCTTTCTGATTTTTGCCAACCTAATAGGTGTGAAATAGTATCCCGTTGTTATTTGGATTTTTATTTCCTTGATTACTAGTGAGGCTGTGCATCTTTTCACATGCTTAGTGACTATCTGAGTTTCCCCTTCTGTGAAGTGTCTATTTGTATTCTTTGCTCATTTGTCTTTTTGGTTATTTGTCTTTTTTACATCTATCAAAATACTAATTCTTTGTTCATTATGTACACTGAAAATAATTTCTTCCTGTCTGCAGTCTGTCTTTATTTTTTAGAGTGTGTTTTGTTTTGTGTATGTTTTTCATTTTAATGTGCTCAAATTGATGAATCTTTTCCCCTACGGAGTGTGCGCGTGTGTGTGTGTGCGTCTGTGTATGTGTGTGCGCACATGCGCATGTTTTGTTATGTGTCTTTGGAGAGGCTGTATGGAGTAGTGAGTAAGAATATAAGCTCTGGAGCCAGACCATGTGGGTTTAAATCCCAGCCCCACGGCTTACTGTGCAGTTTCGGTCAAGTTTACCTCTTTGGGTTTCCATCCATTTATCTGTCGAATGGAGATAATTACAGTTCCTGCTTATTAGGTAGTTGTAAGGATTATGTAATTAAATATATAAAGTGCTTAAAACAGTCCCTGGCACATAGTTGACTCATTAGTGCCATGAGTCCCTGGCACTCATTAAGTGTTAGCAACCAACATTATTAAGAAAACTTTTCTTAACACAATGAAAACAGTATCTTATGTTTTCTTCTAAGGATTTTCCACTTTGGTTTTTCAAAAGTGGTCTTGGGTACTCTTCTTTTCCCTCTTCTGTTTCCTTTCTTTCTGAGTAAATCATTCTTTTTTTTTTTTTTTTTTTTTTTGATACGGAGTCTCGCTCTGTTGCCCAGGCTAGAGTGCAGTGCCCTGATCTTGGCTCACTGCAAGCTCCACCTCCTGGGTTCACGCCATTCTCCTGCCTCAGCCTCCCAAGTAGCTGGGGCTACAGGTGCCCGCCACCACACCTGGCTAATTTTTTGTATTTTTAGTAGAGACGGGGTTTCACTGTGTTAGCCAGGATGGTCTTGATCTCCTGACCTTGTGATCCACCCGCCTAGGCCTCCCAAAGTGCTGGGATTACAGGCGTGAGCCTCCATGCCCGGCCGAGTAAATCATTCTTAAGGCTCTTAGGTGTTAGGGAGCCGGGTAGGTGCCCAGGTAGGGCTGAGGGGAGCCTCAGGGGCTGTGAGCAGGTGTAAGAGCCCAGGCGAGGCAAGGAGGGCGTCTGTGTAGGAAGGTGGCCTGGTGTGGAAACCAGACCCCAGGCAGGGTGAGGAGGGTATCTATGTGCTGGAGTGGCCCAGGGTGGGGAGTCAGAGCCTGAGCAGGGGGGGAAGTGTGGGTGTCAGAACCCCGGTAGTGTCAGGTGAGATTCTTGTTGGGGAAGGTAGGCAGGAGGACAATGGTGGAGATGGGAGATGTGTTATATCCAGAGGGATCGATCATATAAGTAAATGTGTGTATAAATATCTTAAAGATATTGGGAGCCAATTTTTAAGGGAAGGGAGCTGAAAATGTGGAAAGAAAAAAATGAAAGTAAATGCTGTGATGTATTGGAATTGGAGGTATCAGCATAACCTCACGATTGTTGATGTATACATTAATATATAGAGAAATAAATATAGATATGACTGTATATATATCTATTCTCTATCTATACATATGTACATACATACATACATACATATTCTCTAATTGTCCACTAAGAGAGCCTAGATGTTGGCTTCTGAATAGTATTTTCCCTAAAAAGAACCAGGGCCCTTGGGGAAATGGGTGATTCCAGATTGGGAAATGGCAAGATAAACCTGGAATATCTTGTTGTGCCAGAAAGCAGGTAAGTGCTCAAAGAATGATGTGAAACACATCAAAAGGACACAAGAGCCATTTGATGGATTTCTACTAGCTAAATAAGAGACAAATTGGACATTAAGTTAAATAGTAAAGAATTAAACCCATTGAATAAAATAGGAAGCCATGAATTCATAAATACGTATAAATAAATAAAATTCTTGTTAATTACAAAGGAAAAGAGAATCATCTTATGGAAGCCTGCAGACACCTCCGTAATCAAGTGATTAAAGTGAACATCATTAGTAATGGGTCAAATTGAAATTGCACGCCATCTAATAGGATGCAATGAAATGAAAGAACACAGTATCGCTTCTGAGATATTCCTGCCAAAGATACATAACATAAATCTCATTATGAGGAAACATCAAACATGCCCACATTGAAGAACACTAAAAAATAACTGACCTGTCATCGTTAAAAGACTGAGGAGCTGTTCCAAACTAAAGGAGATCAAAAAGACCTGTCAACTCAATGCAACATGTGATTCTGAACTGGATCCTTTTGCTATAAAGGAGGAGGTTATTGGGATAATTGTTGAGACTTGAATGGGGTCTGAGGATTAGATGGTAGTGATGTTAATTTACTGCTGTTGGTGGTTGTATTGTGATCATGCAGGAGAATGCACTTGTTTGTAGGAAATATACAAACTATACAAACTATGAGGCTTCAGGTTGGCAGTTTTTTGTCAAATGATTGAAGAGAAAATTCTATTATACTTGCAACTTTCTTGTAAATTTGTGATTGTTTCACAATTTAAAAATTATTACATAAAAATGACTTCTTATTTTTTAAAAAGAATACTTTAATCCACTTGGAGTTTATCTTTGTGTATGCTGTGAGATAGAACTAACTTAATTTTTTAAATACTTTCATGTAGATAACTAGTTGTTAACACTGAATACAAATTTGAAAAGTGATATTCTAGGGAGGGGGGAGAGAATAATTAAAGACAAGGACAGGAAAATGAGGGTTGAATTTAGGGGTTTTGTTTGGCTAGACTGTAGCTCATATGTGGACTGGCAAGGGGTCAATCTGGAAGGGTAAGTTGGGGCCAAATCATAAAAGGCCTTTAATGTCAAAGTGAGGATTTTGCACTTAACTCTGCAGTTTATAGGAACCATTGAGAACTTAAGTGAATGATCCTTTTGGGAAGACTTCCCTACTCCTCCCACTTCCTGCTAGTTGAGTGTGCTTCTTTTGGGCTCCTATAATTCATTCATTCATGTTTTCTCAATCTCTCTCTCCTCCTCTTTCCTTCTCCTTCTCCCATCCCCTCTCCCTCCCTTTCCCTACTAAATTGACCTCATCTATTTCTGAGACAACTTCCCAACCAGAGTGGTGTTGGGGACTTTTATTGTATGTGGCAGTTAGCACAGTGCCTGGCTAATAGTAAGTGTTCAATCGTGGTTACCAAACAGACCTCAGGAAATGAATTTTAAGAAGCAGAGTAGTATCAGTGGATGTGGGAGAGGCGAGGCCAGGCCAGGCTTGGAGCTGGAACATCACCCAGGCAGGAAGTAATAAAGGCCTCTATCAGAGAAAGGACAGTGATAAAAGAAAGGCAAAAGGGGTATTTGGGAATGACCTTGTGGTGTTGGAAGCTGTATTTTGGCAAGTGGTAGAATACAGGGGGTGAAGAAGGTGGAAGAGAAGGAATCTGAGGGTTTTTTTTAAGTCTCTTAGGACAGGAGAAGAGTCATGCCTACAATTGAAACAGGAAAATTAATCAGTTCAGGATCTCAGAAAGTGAGGACAATTAAAATAACAAAAAGTGTAACATTACCTTATAATTGCTTACCATCCTGTAGTTTTCAAAGTTCATCATCTACACCTTTATAGTGATAAATACCATTGAACACTCCAAAATAGGGAATCCTCTCCAAAGTGGGGACTACGAATACATTGGGACTTCCTGGCTCTTCCCTGACATTTTTGCCCAAGAGCCCACATTTTAAAAGTGATCAACCTACTGACCTTGCTATTTTGTTTCTATAGAGCTCCCTAGACATTTAGCTGAGGGAACAATTATGAATGTTTGGAGTTGAGCCCTCAGGCTCCTGCTGGTTTAGGTGGGACTTGATGCTGTACCTATAAGACATCTTGTTACATGAAGTGGGGCTGATGGGGGAAGCAGGTAAAAACCCAGGCTTATTACACCTTCCTGCAGGCTGGCTGCTGTCAGCTGTTGATTTAGTTCAACGAAGATCTAAAATCACAGTTTCTGAGCTTAAAATTGTCCCCATTCTCTGACCTTCAACTTATCTTTCAACATCTGCTGTCCCAGCTAAACTGGAGTTACTTGCAGTTCCTACTATAAAACAGAAAATGGAACAAGTGGCAATGGGTGTGGGGGGGGGGGGGTCCTTAAAAGGCACCTGAAGCTGTGTCTGATGTCCCTTAACATTAATCTGTTTACTTGCTAGAACAGGGGTGGGCACAGTATGGCTTGTGAGCCAAACCCAGCTTTGCCCATTCCTTACATGTTGTCTATAGCTGCTTCCGTGAACCACAGCCAAGTTGAGTAGTTGCAACCAGAGGCTGTATGACTTGCAAAGTCTGAAATAGTCACTGTCCAGCCCTTTACAGAAAAAAAAAATGTGCTGACTGATGCATTAGGATGTTAACACCGTGAAAGCAGAGGCTGTGTCTTGTTCTCTGCTTTGTCCCCAGAATATGGAGTAGTGGATGCTTTTTTACCTTCTTCTGCAATGTTTCCTCTCTCCTCTCCTTTCCCCCTTCCTCTTTTGCTTTTTGGCAACTGTTAGAGGATGAATGTGGCAATCAGTATTGTTCAGGACCAAAGAGGCTGCCTAGCTCTGCTGGAAAACAAGAATTGCACCAGGGCTAGGCTGTGTGCCTGGAATGCCGTCTGACCAGGTGCTGTGCAGTGTCTTATGGATGAAATGTGCCCCCTGAAACTCACCATGACTCAAGACTGTGGGATTTGGCTACAATAATCTGTGGTCTCTTATGAAATGTACTAAAGTATAAAACCAAGAAGGCTTGGGTCTGGGCAAAGCATGTCTTATGGGATGTGCACATCTGAGCCTGGACATCAGGCAGCTGCTCAGGAAGCTGAGTGTGTGTCATGGTGAGCTGCAGGAAGGGCCCTGAGTAGAGTGCCTTGGGGGGTCCTCATGCCATTTATGTCTCAATACTTAAAGTTACAAACGAAGCTAACAAACTGCTAAATAACCACCTTCATAATGACCTGGGTTCAAATGTCAGCTTCTTGGCATCCTTGGAGTTCCACACTGGCCTGTGGTGGTGCACAGCCCACTGCCCCATGGCTCGCTCCCCTTTTCTTCTTTCCCCTGTTTTCCCAAGTGGCCTCGTGTGCCATGGATGGACACTAGCCTGCACGATCCGGGACCAGCCTTGACTCAGCTCACACAGGCCCTAGAAGTGAGCTTTAGATCATTTGGACAGGGAATTGCAGAGGAGTTCTGGGTCCAGTGGGCATGCCCCCTGGGACCTGTGGATGCTTAGCCCTGGGAGAATGCAGCCACTTAAGGAGGACGGCAGTGGAGCGGGGCTGCAGGGAAGGCTGGATGGCCTGCCAAGCCATTGAATTTTTCTGGAATGTGCTTTTCATTTTCTATGAAAACAGTGCAAACAAAACAATCCCACAAAGGCTTAATTTGTGAATACTGAGGTATTTTCCAACTCTACAAGCCTATGGCTTTATGAATCTGAAAATTCCAGTACCTATGCTTTCCCCAACTTGATGATCGCCTTGGACAAAATG
The DNA here is from genome assembly GCF_000001405.40 of Homo sapiens. NCBI lineage: Eukaryota > Metazoa > Chordata > Mammalia > Primates > Hominidae > Homo > Homo sapiens. The sequence goes on from NC_000001.11 coordinate 93,990,010, forward strand.
TGGAGCAATCCTTCCTTGTTGTCATCAGGAGTCATGAACTGTTAAGCTCGGGGCACCTGCTCAGGCATTGAAATGCTGCATTGAGGAAACCAAGCCCCAGGTGGCCGGAGTCCATGGGCTGAGTCCTTCTGGTGCCTGAAACAGCTACCCCACAAGGGTGAGGCTGCTGTATTTCTAGAGGAAGAGCTCCTCCCTTGCCCCATAGTCCCCGCAGGCCGGCTGGGGCAGAACTTCCTCCTCACTGGCCACAGTGAAGGTGCCCAGGATGTCACAGAGACCCTGTGCCCCAAGCCCAGAGCTTTGCCGATGGGTTCTCTGCCCCACTTTTCTCTTCCTGTCTCTTCAGGAGAGCTAGAGTGGGCTTTTCACTCAGCTTGAAAGAGATTTCTCTTTTTATCCCAGCTATTCCAAAATCTTGAGCTCCCCAAAGAACTGGAAACTTAGAAATTCTGGCAGCACATCATATGCCTGTAGCTTCTCTTGAGTGGCCATGTTTTCTGAACTGACTCTCTCCATTTCCTCCTCCTTTTCCTCCATTTCCTCAATAATTTCCCTTATTAACAGACTGAGGCATCTTTCAGTAGAGTCACACATTCTCAGGAGATCTGGGCCAAGCTTCCAGCTTCAGCCCTCCTCAAACCCAAGCAAGCTGTGGCTTTGCCACCTCCTCCTTGCTTTGTGGCTGTTTGTTTGTTTGTTTGTTTGTTTTGACAGAGTCTCACTCTGTTGCCAGGCTGCAGTGCAGTGGCACGATCTCAGCTCACTGTGACCTCTGCCTCTCGGGTTCAAGCAATTCTCCTGCCTCAGCCTCCTGAGTAGCTGGGATTACAGGCACCCACCACCACGCCTGGCTAATTTTCTTTCTTTCTTTTTTTTTTTTTTGTATTTTAATAGAGACGGGCTTTCACCACATTGGCCAGCTGGTCTCGAACTCCTGAGCTCAGGCAATCCGCCCGCCTCGGCCTCCCAAAGTGCTAGGATTAGACGTGAGCCACCACACCCGGCCTGTGGCTGTTTTTAAAGCACGGCATCCTCCTGCTCCACTTGCCCTTTGCTGCTTTTTGGAGGCATCATTTTCTTGGACCCACTTCTTTTCTGTCTATTTTTCTTGCTGAGTTTTCATAGTTTGCTGGGTTTTCAGTTTGGTGGGTATTAGTTGAACATTTTCTGTGTGCCAGGAGCTGGAAAAAACAGGATGAAAAGACACAGACCTCAGGTGTAGTGGAGACAAAAGGTAAACTGAGATTTTTCCTTAAGGGGGTGTGCAGATTTTACCTGCATCGACTCTTCCCAGTTCATGATGCCTTTCCGAAACCCTCACAGCCAAACAGAATGGCTGCTAAACCACCTCCCCTACATAGTCTTTTTTTAGTTTTCTTTTCCTAAGCAGCCCCGAAGAGTGTAGTCTTCTTTCCTGTGATATTGCAGTTGCTAATTTAAATTATGAAACCAGCCAGGGTGCAGCAGTGTGATGCAAGCAGTGTGCTGGGCTTTCCCAACCTCTATCCTAGCCCTAGCTAAAATGGTCTTACAGTTTTGGTCCTTGGTAACTTAAAAGAAAAAGTCAACACCAGATGAAGCTGCGGGGTTACCAAAGTAGTTTTATAGTCTCTATGGGCAGTTGTTTGCCTAGCATCTAGAAGGTGCAAAGTGGCAAGCCAGGAGGTGTGCAGGACTTAAAGTTGTGTAGCCCTTGCCCTCTGTCTGCCTCTAAACAAGCACAGCTGAAACAAAAATTTTAGCACCTTGTGCTCACTTTCTTTCTCATCCTCTTCTCAGCAACAGTTCCTGGGCCTCAGCATCTCTCCCCTTTTCCTCTTGCCTCACCCCGACTCTGGAGTCTATCCTCAGTATAATGAAAGCATGTTTACGACGAAGCCCATCTCTAGGTCATGGAGGGGAGACTGCCCTGACAAGGAAACCCACTTGTTCTCCTCATCCACAGTCTCTGGAAATGTTTGGTTTAAAATTATTATTTTCTGAATCTTGATGAGCATTTATGTGAACTAGATGTCCATCTTCATTCCTTTTTATTTATTTATTTATTTTTAGATGGAGTCTTGCTCTGTCGCCAGGCTGGTGTGCAGTGGCACAATCTCAGCTCACTGCAACCTCTGCCTCCTGGGTTCAAGCGATTCTCCTGCCTCAGCCTCCTGAGTAGCTGGGACTACAGGCATGTGCCACCATGCTCAGCTAATTTTTCATAGTTTTAGTAGACACGGGGTCTCACTGTGTTAGTCAGGATGGTCTTGATCTTCTGATCTTGTGATCTGCCCACCTCAGGCTCCCAAAGTGCTGGGATTACAGGCGTGAGCTACTGCGCCCGGCCTTCATTCCCTTCTAACACCACTGCAGAAGATGCACATGGTAGCACTGCAGAAAAGGCACAGCAGCATGAGAATGAGGTCCTGACCTCTTCAAATGGTTACAAAGTCCTGTCGGGTCTCACGTCCAACCAAGGACCAACTCTCGCCTGTGCATGCCTCTTTGTCTCCTGTCCTAATTACACTTGTGAGGTAAACACTCAAATAAGCTGGGCAAACAGACACGAAACTTAAAGTCAGTAATACCCAGCTGACAATGGATAATGTTTACAGGCATTACTAGTTGGGTGTTTTCTTCAAACTCTACAAAGACTTGACATGGAACATTAAGACTAGTCCATTCACTTCCAACCTAGTGTTGCAGAATCTTGCCAGAACGAGCAGTCCTGAGGCAGTAACACTCACAGAAGTGCATGGGACTGACAAGGAGCTATGCACCCATCTAAAGAATGTCTAAAACTATACTAGGTGGTGCACACCAGGGAGACTGTGAATTAGGATAGTTTGTGATGAGTGCATTTGCATTTTATTTTTCCATGAAAATCACACACAACGCAGACACACAGACAAACATGCAGAAAAGCAGATCTGCTTGAAATGAGAGCAATATGGAGGCCAAAGCTGCTAGTGGGATGGCCCGGGGTTTCTAGTTCTGGGGTCTGGAGAAGGATTTTGTATTTGTTTGGTTTCACCATCAGGTGTTCCAGGTGAGCAAGTCAGTTTCGGTTTCCTTCTGAAAGACCTCTTTCTGAATTCGCTGCATGCTCCTCGTGTGTTTGTTTTCTGCTGCAGTGGGGTCATTTACGCTGGCCAGTCCATTTGGATGACCATATGGGCACAGGCTCCTGCGCCTCCAGCTGCCCAGAGTTCCTTTCTGGCTGCAGGAACGAGCGGTGTGAAAGATCAGTCCTGTGGAAGGAGATCACATGGACTCGCGTCATCTTGGTTTTCTGAGATGCTGTACTACTTTTAGATTTCAAAAGCTAAACAGTTGTCAATCAATTTCTGAAGGGCACTCAGCTGAGGGCACTGTGATTCTGTCAGATCACCCAGGTTATGGGCCATCTTTCTCTCCTTCTCTATGAAATCTATGAATCAGGTCTCCCTGGTACTAAGATCCAGGCATTTGTTACAAAGACACACATACGAGATGTGTGCATACATGCTTACATCCTGGGGGGAAGCTACACCCATGGTGCTGTTTCCAAGGGCTCTTACAGGGTCTTTTGGGGCTTTTTTAGCTTAAGAAAGTTACCATTATCTTAAAAGCCAAGAAATCCTAATTTAGGTCAGCCCTGAGGTATAGAATTCCCTTGACCACTTCCTGTAGGGGTGGCTCTGGGAAGCATGAAAGTGTGACTGGGGGAGGGGAGAGATGAGAGCTGGAGTGCAGGATATTAGGCTCCAGATCAAAGCTTGGGCTTTGATTAATAAAGATGTCCATGTTCCTTGAGAAGCGGACACCAAGGTGACCTTTTTAACTGGAGAGATACTGTCTCCAGTTATAAAGTGTGGGTTGAATTCCTGAACCAATGCCCGCTGTGGAGCTGGGGTAGTGTGGGCGAGGAGGGGACTGGACAAAGGCCTGACCAGTCTAGACGAAATGTGGTTTATCCCATTATCTGATTTAAAATCACACATCCTCTTAAGAGGATGACTAACACAGTTCTTAGGGCTGAGAACAGGATTTGAGGTGGTGCGAGGATCCCCATCAAGGCTGAGGGTACTTCAGAAACTTCTGAAACTAACACAAAGATACGAGTTATATGGGGGAACTGGAACAGTGTAAGAATAAGGATTAGAAATTGATCTGAGTTGTTCCTAATTTGGGAATGCACATGCGATGGTCACATAATTATTAACCTATTTAGGATGTTTCTAAGTTGTCTGATCATCTGTCACTACTTAATCTATTAACACCTTGACCCTCACTGGTTTTAATAACAGAGTATAAGATTGCATAAGACCTTATCCCAAAACATGTTTTCCAGGATGGAGTCCTTTGGAGAGTAAAAATGTTCTTGGTAAGCAAACGCTGATTTCTAGAGAAATATCTGTGTGGTCCTGGCTCACAATTTGGAGTTGTAAAGCCAATGGCCAGATGAACCTCCTGAAGTTCTCACATTTGCTTAGGAGCAAGTTGTAAATTCTCTCTAAAACTTCTTGAGAGAAATTGCCTTTTTCTTGTTTGAAGAATACTTTAAAGGAAATTATTTTGAAGTGGTATAATGTAAACAATAATATACTTACTATTATTTCATGACAGACATATACAATGCTATATGAAAGAATTTTTGCAAACCTTTGTAAAGATAGTATGTTGTAAAGTCAGAATTAGGTTTTGGATGAAAATTATCAGAAAAATATGCCAATAAGTGTGTTGCAGGTTTTCTAATCTTTGTGAACAAAAATGTAAAAAACACAATAGAAAAATGATCTCATCCAATAAGGGAGAAAAGTTTGGAATTAACTGCTGTAGATCACAGAACATCAGCACCCCTGATGTTCTGCCTGGCCCAGAGGTGATGTGGTGGGATTAGTCCTTTAAGAGGGAACATGCCAGGCAGGGGTGGGGAGACCATTGGTAATTCTGGGAAACAATTTTGCTACCCAATTCTATATTCTGAGTTACAGAGTTATAAAAAGGATTTGCAACTGCAAGTGGTTTTTAAAAATAATTTTCAACTGATGTCAACAGCAATCACCAGATCTATAAATGGGAATCAGTGGCTGGAAGATCTCAGTAAAAGCAAACTTTCTGTAACTAAAGGAGCCTTAGGCATTTCTGGGCCCTCTGGCAGGTAAGGGGTGGGAAGACAAAGTCAGTTTTGCCAAGTAGCCATTAGGTCTCTGCTGGTCAAGAGGAAGGGAAAAAATTCATCACAAGCACTGCTTTAGACAGCAGTGTTTCAATCATTAGCTGTATTTGGTTTTTCTTGCAATCCAGAAACTGGGCAGAATAAAAACTTTATGGGGAAATAAGGTTTTTGCATATCCTTGCTTCTTGATTTGATTTGATTTACTCTCCAGGTAAGTCAGAAGAGAGTGGCTAATTCATCCCTCTACAATCCCAGGCTTAAGCCAAGGCATTGGGATGCTGGTGCCTCCTCCAGTACTTGCTCTAGCTCTCTCCTTCTTGGGTGGTGTGCTCCTTACATGGGGCACTGTGCCAGGGCAGGAACCTACAAGCACCTATTCCAAGAGTTATCACAAGCCAGGAGACATACCTCCTATTGCTTCTTTCTCCATCTTCTTGTAATTTTTATAAAGAACAAAGAGCCCTCTTCCTACAACAGATGCTATTCCTTGATCTAACCAAATGTGTCTGACACTGAAATGATGTGCCAGTTAAGTCCCTTCCCTTGAAACTCAAACACATGTCCAGACATAGATGTCAAGCACCCAAAACATTCTAATATTCTCTATTACCTTCTCTGCTCCTTATTCCCCAAATCCAAGCTTTTTTGCTGTAAGCAAAAACATGGGAAAGTTCTTTTCAAAAATGCTCTCCCATGCTATCCAGATGGTTTCCTGATTACAATAGGAACCCCTACAACTACTGAATGAAAAGTTCTTCAGCACAGAACACACAGTGGCAGGGACTTAGCAAGGATGTGATGAGGATGTGGTGGGGACTTGGTAGGGACCGTGGTGTGGGTGGGGCTCTCTGTAGGAGGCATATCTGAGCCTTGGAGCAACTCAAGCCCAGTGAACCAGCTGGGCTCTGAGCCAAGGAACTGCCTCAAGCTGTGGACTGCATAAGCAGCAGGGGTACCTGGGCTTGTCGACTGGCTCCAGCAGCTCGAGGGTGCAGAGGGAGGTCATGACTTTCAGTCTGCTGTTTAGCAAAATTTACAAACACCTAGAGGTAAGAGAAGAGCGAGATTAGGTAGATATTTCCAGGAAAACAGCACCCTACACCCACCTACCCACTTTGCTCTCTATTTTCCACAGTTCACATACAGCCCTGCTGGTATGGCTTGTGTCCTACCCGGGGGAGGCTGGCCCACTCACAGAAGCCTGGCCACCACTGCCCTGGTCAGAGCTAGCTTCTTAGACTAGACTCCTGAGTGATGCCACAGGAGTTCCTGCTGGAGGACTCAAGGGACTTGGGCACCAGACATTGGGGTAATCAAGGCAAGGCAGATTCTCAGCTAGCAGCATCCTAATAACTAAAAAAAAAGGTAATTGATCCCTGTTCAGCTCCTCATTGAGTGTGCAGGTGGCTCCTGCTCGTGCCTCCCTCTGCTTAATGCTGATGAGAAGGTGCAGGTGAGCCAGATCCTCAGGGGTTAAATGGAGACTTCCCTGTTTCCACTGCTTTACTGAACTGTCTCTAAAGATGTTTATTTTTAAAAAAACATATATAAAAACACAAAACCCAGAAACAACCCAAATGTCTATCAATGAATGAATAGATGGATGAACAAAATGTAGCACATATACGTACAAAGGAATATTATTCGGCCTGAAAAAGGAAGGAAATTCTGGCACATGATACAACACGGATGAACCTTGAGGACATTATGCTAAGTCCTCGCATAATAAGCCAGACACAAAAGGACAAACACTGTATGATTCCACTTATATGAGGTATCTATAGTAGTCAGAGCCTTAGAGACAGAAAGTAGAACAGTAGTTGCCAAGGGCGAGGGGGGCAGTAAGTGGTGAGTTAGTGTTTAATGGGCACAGATTTTCACTGAAGCAAGATGAAAGAGTTCTATCGGGGATGGTGGTAACGGTTGCACAACAATGTAAATGTACTTAGTGCCACTGCACTGTGCACTTAAACATGGTTGGCATGGTCAATTTTATGTTATTATATTTTACCGCAATAAAAAATGTGATTACATTTTTAAAAACCACACATGGAATGCACGTTTATCAAAACTCACTAAACTGTACATTTAAAATAGGTGTTTTTGTTTTGTTTTGCTTTTTTGAGACAGGGGCTTGCTCTGTCACCCAGACTAGAGTGCAGTGGTATGAACACAGCTCATTGCAGCCTTGACCTCCTGGGCTCCAGCAATCTTCCTTCCTCAACCTCCCATGTAGATGGGACCACAGGCATGCACCACCACGCCTGGCTAATTTTCTGATTTTTTTTTTTTTTTTCTGTAGAGACAAAGTCTCACTTTGTTACATGGGCCTGTCTTAAACTCCTGGGCTCAAGTGATCCTCCTGCCTTGGCCTCCCAAAGAACCTGTGTTTCATCGTATGTTAATTACACATCAATAAAGCTGATTTGAAGGAAAAACCACCACCACAAACGAGCAAGAATGAAATAACACACCATAGCATCACAGGGAAGGAAAATGTAAAAAAAAGAATCAATGAAGTTTCCTGATGACTAAAAAATATTGTTAGAAAACAATTTCTGATATATCAGCTTTTACCCCAATAAACAGAGGGCAAGAGTTTGTTAAAAATCGGGAATGTTATGCCTCCCTCTTATGGCAATTCCAACCCACACTGGGTGTTCTGGACCAGTCTTTGCTCAGCTCTCGGTGCCCCAGGGCCAACTTGCCTGGTCCAGTGTGGTCTGTGTGACTGAGTACTCCTCGATGAGCAGGCTGTCCTTGTGGGAGAGGAGGAGCTGGAAGATCCTCGCCAGGGAGGAGGAGGAGACCTGGAACTGGAGCATGTTGTAGTGCCTCTCCCTCTGCACACTGCCTGGGAAGTTCCCCTGGAAGAACTGCTCCACAGGGTTCAGGTCAGGAAGCAGGTCGTCCTTCGGGGATTTGATCTTCATTGTGACGATATAGCCATCTCCAAATCTAGGGGATGCACACAGTGCAGGACAGGCCTCTGTTAGTGGTTGGGCCTAAGGTAATCCCAAAATAAGGAGTAGACTCATCAGAAATTTTGGGGATTAAGCTCAGCTTGGTGGCTCACACCTGAAATCCCAGCAATTTGGGAGGTAGAGGTGGGAGGATCACTTGAGCTCAGGAATGTAAGATAAGCCTGGGCAACAAGAAAGACCCTGTCTCTACGAAAATTAGCAGGGCATGGTGGCACATGCCTGTGGTCCCAGCTACTTGGGAGGCTGAGGCGGGAGGATCACTTGAGCATAGGAGGTCAAGGCTACAGTGAGCCATGATCATGCCACTGCACTCCAGCCTGGGTGACAGAGTGAGACCCTGTCTCAAAAAAACCGAAAAACAAGAAACAAACCCAAACAAGAACAACAAAAAAAGAAATACTGGGGATTAAAGGCCCATACCATAGACCTGTGTACATACTGAAAACTAGGAGAGAAAAACCATGGTAGTCCCTGGAGAAATCATTTGATACCAGTTTTTAGAGATCAAATGTCTGCATGGTAATGTGGGATAATCGTACTTGCTGAAGTCAAAGGTAGTTTTATTTATTTTATTTTATTTATTTTATTTTATTTTATTTTATTTTATTTTATTTTATTTTATTTGAGACAGTCTCACCGTTGCCCAGGCTGGAGTACAGTGGCATGATCTTGGCTCACTGCAACCTCCGCCTCCTGGGTTCAAGCAATTCTCCTGCCTCAGTCTCCTGAGAGGCTGGAACTACAGGCACCTGCCACCACACTCGGCTAATTTTTTTTTTTTTTTTTGTATTTTTAGTAGAGACAGGGTTTCACTATGTTGGCCAGGCTGGTCTTAAACTCCTGACCTCAAGTGATCCGCCCGCCTTGGCCTCCCAAAGTGCTGGGATTACAGGCATGAGCCACCACGCCCAGCCTATTTTATTTTTTGAGACAGAGTCTTGCTGTTTCACCCAGGCTGGAGTGCAGTGGTGTGATCTCGATTCACTGCAACCTCTGCCTTCTGAGTTCAAGCAATTCTTGTGCCTCAGTTTCCCGAGTAGGTGGGATTACAGGTGCATACCACCATGCCCATCTAATTTTTGTATTTTTAGTAGAGACAGGGTTTCACCGTGTTGGCCAGGCTGGTCTCGAACTCCTGACCTCAAGTGATCCACCTGCCTCAGCTTCCCAAAGTGATAGGATTACAGGTGTAAGCCACTGCACCTGGCCGTCAAAGGTAGTTTTAGCCCAGTGTGGGGATCCCAAGACTGCCCATAAAGACACGTGGACCAGTGCATACTGAGTGGTGGTAAGGGCTGATGGGCCAGGTGGGAGCAAAGGCTCGGGAAGGCAGCACTTCCCTGAGGAAGCTTCCTGAAACAATGGAGCTGCTAGGGCTTGGGCCATTGGTGCTTTCTTTCTCCTTCAGCAGGATGGCTGGTTACCCTCTCTTGGATGAGTGATGGTCCACCAGAGAGTGTGTGCACGGCTAGCGGGTGTCAGTACCCTATGCCCTGGTATCCTGTGTCAGTCATAACTGACTCCAAAGCTTCCTCCACAGTCTAGGGCTGTTCTCCTCTGCAGTAAGATGCAGAGGAGAAAGGCTGTTTACCTTTCAGCTCCAGAAAACTCACCATCCCTCCACACAGGGAACACTCCCCTCTCACCCCCTCTATCATGGAGATATTAAGGAGCTGGAGGGAAAGGAATAGGAGACTTCCCTTTCTCCAGCAGTTGGACACAGGAAGTTGCTGACACAGGTCTGGTGACCTGACATGCTGCTATTTCTATAGATATCTATGCAGTGTCCAAGTTGTAGTTGCTCAATAAATCATGGGTCAAACGTCCACTTGCCACAAGCAGCTAATCTATTAGACCTTTCTCTCAATTATTTATCTGCTCTGACACATATGAAAGGATGACATCTTCTGTGTAACACCCTCCTGTGGGTGCATCAGGATTATGCACCTCAGCATAGATAAGGTGGGTTATGTGCTGTTCCTCCCACCAACCAGCTTAGTGACTTATATTCTGAGCTCTTAATAAGTGTTTGTTAAATAAATGAGTAATTGTAACTCTGCTCTTTTCTAGGTTATAAAGCATATCAGAACGTGAATGAGCACGGCAATATGCTGATAATCTTAAACTGTTAGCTTTGGCATGCAAACTCTTAATAATAAGGAATTATCTACAATAGTTTACAATGTGTGGGTACAGGATAAGGATAATCCTATTCAAGATTACTGCCATTGTTGGTTTGTCATATAACATATGGTCTTTTTTCAAACTCAAAAGCATACAATATTCTAAAAACAAAGATGGGTCCTCAAGTCAGTTGGTCTCCTAACCATTCCTACATTGGAGTGGACTCTTAGTAAATAGGCCACAGGTCCCGGATCTGTTGAGATAAGTGGTGAAATATTGAGGCAGTGGTAGCAGCCCTCCCTCATCCCAGCCAGGCTCTGCATGCATCCTGATCAGATGCCCCATCCAGAGACTTGGGCGAGTCTTCGACCACAGGAAATTAGGCCAATATAGAGGAGTTTCTTATCAGCATGATGGCCTTCTCCATCTGCTGCTGGAGAATGAGGCCCAGCCACCACCTGCCTCTGCCCCAGGGGATGACGGAGCAGCAGGACTCTTCCAAGTGTCAATGGAGAACACAGGATCCAGGTGGATCCACAGAAGGCAACAAGGGGCACGCCCCACCATCTGCTTACTTGGACTTGAGATGCTGAATGGTGCCCATACATCGAAAGGCGCCCTTTACCATGATGGCCAGCCGGGTACACAGTGCCTCACATTCTTCCATGCTGTGGGGCAGGAGAGAGGAGGTGAGCAGGAGAGGATTCCCACCCACCTTCCCCAGCCCTGGGAATCTCTTGCCTGTGGGATGTGAGGACCACAGCCCTCCCTTCTCTGATGATGCTCACGATGACGTTCCACAGCATGCGGCGTGCCTGGGGGTCCATCCCTGTGGTGGGCTCATCCTGGGGGGTGGAGAGAAGGTTGGGGGCACAGGCTGGGAGCTGGCCCTTCTGATTACTGCTTCCCCCTGGGCTGGCTCCCCTGTGGAGGATGAGCTGACAGAAGGCGCACACAGTCACTCCCCTCACTTGAGCAAGACAGGGGTACCCTGGTGTAGGGTAGGGAAGGCAGGAGGTGGATCCAAGAGTAAAGAAGCGTGGCGTCCATCCTGGGCCCATTTCAGCCCACGAGGGGATTAAAGTGGATTAAGGCAATGACAGAATTCTCCTCAAAAAAAGAAAATCCTGCAAATACATTTGTCAGAAGGCAGGGAGGTCACTCAGGTCACTTCCTTGGTTCCCGCTATGTCCTGTGCCCTCATGATCCTTGGGCTGCGTGGGCATGGCCTCAGGCCTGGCCTGGCTCAGCTCAGGAGCCTTTGACCCAGCTCAGTGCTCCTGTATGGGGACCAGACACCGACAGGCCGCAGAGTGGGCTGAACTTCCCGGCTGTGAGCCGATGGCCCCACAGGAGACATCCTGGGAACGCAGGATGTGCGCAGTCCCAAGTCAAGGCTGTGCCGTGACTTGTTTTTCTCCGGAGCTGTGTGAACCAAACACTGGGCTGATCGCTCAAAATGAGCAACACAGGAAACAGTCCAGACTAAAGCCAAACTGCTGCAGTTTCTAAATCTGCCGACCCAGAACCTATTTCCCCAACCCAAGAGACCCAGCACTTGGTTTAAGCCCTTGGTGCGGCCCAAGCCCGCAGTTACCAGCAGCACCAGCGGTGGGCAGCCAATGAGTGCGATGGCTGTGGAGAGTTTCCGCTTGTTGCCCCCACTGTACGTGCCAGCCAGGCAGTCGGCGTAGACAGTCAGGCCCAGGCTCTTAATACTCCAGTTTGCAACCTAGGGAAGAGAAAGAAATGCCATTTGGAGAAGACAAGCAAACACCCCAAACCTCCCCCAGTTCAAAGCCTTGGGCTCCCAGATCTCACGCCTCCAGAATGAAATCCCCAGCTAGGCTGAAACAGGCTCCTGCTGGCTCCTGTCCTCTGGCATGTGCTTCAGGCGCCAGACAGGGGCTCTTTCTCTCTGTGTCTTGGATCCCAGGGTGGCCCAGCCTGCTCAGCATCTGTTGGGTGTAGCCGCCTGGGAAATGGACTTCAGCCTTACAAAGAGCAAGACAGTGGGTCTCGCCCAGCGTCCTGGACCATGGCTAGCAGTGGAGGAGGAAGGCTCTGTTTGAGAAGATGGTGAGTCCCAGACCTGTTGATCCCACCCGTCAAGAGGGTTACACCCAAAGCCTTGTGCATCCGACACATACCTATGGAGCACTGACCATACGCCAGGCACTGAACCAGGCACTGGAGAACAATGTGAACACAGCCATTGCTGCTATCCTCAGACTGCGGGGAGGTGGCAGTCAAAATAAACAGAATACTGGCAGATCGTGACAGTGCTGTGAGGGAACGATGACAGAGACACCAGGTGTGTGTGCACATGCGCAGGAGGGGATCTAGGGAAGCCACTGGAGACAAGCTCACCATGCTTCTGCCTTCTATACTAGTCCCCCGTGCCTGGAATGTTCCTCCCTAGGTGTGCACGTGGCTCCTTCTCTCACCTCTAGTTCTTCATTCAGGTTCTCTCCTCTGCAGGCTCTCCCTGGGCCACCCTACCTCAAAATGCAAACCCTGCCCCAGCAGTTCCTCCCTGCGTTACTTTTCCCTGAGGACTTTTCACTCTCTAATGTACTGGATATTTTACCTATTTATCTACAGATCGTCTATCCCTCCCACTAGAATGTAATCTCCATTTTTAACTTTTTATTTGGAAATAGTTTCAAACTCACACAAACATATAGGAATAAAAATAGTTCATAGAATTATTAACTAATAAAACCCTTCTCTCTCTCACACACAATTTTTTGTGACCCATTTGAGGGTAAATTACTCATCACAGCCCTTCACTCCTAAATACTTCAGGGCATATTTCCTAAGAATAGAGATCTTCTCTTACATAACCACAGTACATTATCAATGTCAGTAAACTTAATGTTATGATACATTTACCTAATCTACTGTTCATAGTTCAGTTTTGTCAGTTGGTCCAATAATATCCTTCTATCATTTTTTTTCTCTTCTGCACAAGATGTAGTCTATTGTCTGCTATTCAGTCATTATGCCTGTTTAGCCTCCTGCGATCAGAGATATTTCCATAGCTCTTTCTTTGTCTTTTATGACTCTTATGTTTTTGAAGAATACAGTCTCCTTTTTTTTTTTTTAAGGAATATTCCTTCTTTGGAGCTTGTCAGATGTTTCCTCATGATAAGATTCAGGTTACATATCTCCAATCTGGATTCTACATAAGTGAAATTGTGTCCTTCACAGGGTATCACATCTCGGGGCATGAGATGTCCATCTGCCCCTTATGGTTAATTTTGATCACCCAGTTAAGGTGCTGTCTAATTTCTCCATTGTAAAATTATTATGTTTCTCCCATGTAACCAATAAGCAATCTGTACAGAGTTACTTTTATTTCTTTAAAATTATATTATTATTATTTTAAGAGACAGAGTCTTGCTCTGTTTCCCAGGCTGGAGAGCAGTGGCTTGATCACAGCTCACTGCAGCCTCAACCTCCTGGGCTCAAGCATTCCTCCCACCTCAGCCACCTGAGTAGCTGGGACTATAGGCGTGCACCACCAGGCCCAGCTAATTTGTTTGCTAATTTTTTGTAGAGACAGGGTCTCCCTATGTTGCACAGGCTAATCTGGAACTCCTGGGCTCAAGCGATCTTCCTACCTTGGCCTCCCAAAGTGCTGCGATTACAGGTGTGAGCCACCATGCCCAGCCCCTTATTTTTTTTTTAAAAGCACTTCCTTACTTTCTGGCATAAGATATTCCAGGTTCATTTTATACCTATGCCATTCCAGCCCTGGAACTTATCATTTATTGGAGGAATCAGGGTTACTTTTAGTGGGGAATGTTATTAAGACAAAAGCCTGAGTGCTAAGTGTGCTCATGGCTACTGGGGTGTTTTTGCTTCTTGAGCCTTTCGGAAGACAGATACACACATGCAAATATATGTCTATATATACATGCCTATGTGCATGAAACATGAACACATCTGCATGCACCCACAAACACAAGCATATAAATATTCCTGAATTCCCAGTGCTACCTCCGGTTCCTATCCATGACCTCACAGTTCTTTCTTGCTTTTCCCTTTTCCATATTTGTAAGTCCCTTCTTCCACGGTGAGAATTCTGGGTCCCAATAACATCAAAACATTTATTAATTTATTTAATCCTGTAACACATCTAAAATTTTCAGAATCACTTTGCCTATACCACTATAAAAAACAAACTAAAAAGAACTCAGAAATTATTTGTAGTTCTTCTCCCCCGCTCCACCCTGCCCAAGAATGAGGATATAGAGTCAAACACTGTGTTCAGCAGTTGTTTGTGTTAGCTCTATCCCCCTTTTGCAAGATTATGATATTTATTTGAAATAAAATTGGGTTACTTTATTTAGTTTGCTGTCAGTGTTAGGTTTTCTTTTTGTTTTCATTTTTGCCTACTTCCCATTCTTACTGATTTTTTTTGAATATGTGGAACATTAACATGCTTCCAAAAATTAAAACTATACAAAAATATATCCCCAGAAGTACTGTTTCCTCCCATTTTTCTTTCTTCCCATTTTCTTCTTGTTGATCACCAAATTCATTGTTTTCTGGTTTATCCTTTCTACGTTCTATTTGCAAAGGTAAGCAGACATACGTTTACTTTCTTGTTTTTCCTTCTTTCTTACATACAAAGTAGCGTTCTCTATGTTCTGTTTTCCACTTTGCTTTTTATCATTTAACAGTATTTACTGGAAATATCTCCATATCAGTTTACTGAGACTTTTCTTCTTCTTTTTTATAGTTGCGTAAGACTTTATTGTGTGTCTGTACCATAAATTATTCAGCCAATCTACAATGACTAAACATTTAGGTAACTTCCAGCATTTTGCAATTACAAATGCAATGGATCACCTTATACATATTCATTTTGCACTGTGGGAGATGCATCTTCAGGATAAACTCTTAGACGTGTGATTGCTGAGTCAGAGGATAAATGCATACAACATTTTGTTAGATATGAGAGTGGGGATTTTTTTTTGTCTGTCTTGTTCACTGCTATACTCCTGGTTTCTAGAACAGTACTTGGCACACAGTAGACACATAGTAAACATTTGTTGGAATGAATGAATGAATAGCACGCTTCAGTTTCTCATCTCCAAGAGAATGCACTCTCATGAAACAGGCTTGTAATTAACCAGACTCCTATGTGGCCACAACAAAACATTTTTCACCTTTTCGATTTCTTCTGCTGGTACACCTCGAAGCCGGGCATAAAGGTAAAGATGTTCTCGTCCTGTGAGCAGCTCATCAATTGCATCAAACTGAGGACAGTAGCCCATATTTTGATGGACTTCAGAAATATTGGTTAAAATACTGCAAGAAAAAAAGCAATTACTGAGTATCCTTCAAGGAGTGGAGGGATGACCATAGAGCTAGGGCTGGAGAAGCTTCTGCCAACGGGAAAAGGAAGCTGCTTCTTCTCTTCTCCTATTTGGCTTCAGAAATGCATGGGATATTTGGGAATCAAAACAGGGGCCCTTCGGTTAGAAACTGAATCCTGTCAGATTCTTCCATGTTTCCATGTCTAGGATTAATTGAATCCCTGTTACGCCAAAAGTCAGCTTTCATTTTGGATCAGATCACCTCACATGTGAGTTTAAAAACAGAGGGAAGATCAGGTTTAAGAAAATGATTCATGATTTATCAATAATTTTCAGACATTTGGGAAGTAACTAGAAAAGATGCATGTGTCCCGATGGAAGTAAACTTCTCTATCTGTATTTATTGGCAAAGATAGCAATGAAAGAGGAGCCAGTCAGATAACTACCCACAGCGAGAGGCCTGCAGGGAGCAGGGGTAGAGTGAGTTGGGTTCCACCAACTCCCTTTGGCTAATATATTCACCCCCACTAAAAAATATATTGCCAAGATGGAAAATAAACTATACATAGACATTTAGTCTAATCTCATCCTTTTCTTCTTATAGCTTAGGGTCTATGAATAAAGGATGGATGATATAGGATGGTACAGAGAGACCATTACAGTTCCCCACAATGACAAAAGCCACCAAAGGCATGGCTGGGCCAATTAAAACTACTCAGGGAAGCAAGTAGGGTACGTTTCCAAATTAGTGGGAGCTACCCTACCATATAATCCCAATTCTGTGTCTTAAGCCTATAGTTTCTTTCTAGCGTCCAGCTCAGTTTTACCTTCTGGATGTCAGACTGTGCCTCACTTGGACACAGTTGTAACTTGATGTCTCATAAATGTGCTCATGGAAAATTCTATGATATCTTTCCCCTGCCATGGTATGATATCTCTACCCTGCCATGACTCCTTTTGTCACCATGAGGAAGTCACCTGCGTGGTCACTTGCAGGTGAAGCTGGATCTGTTGAGATGGACTCAGCCATGACCTGGCTTCACCCCTGCCTGTCCCTTTTCTGTAAACCCAGTAGGGCTGGCTATGGAGGCCAAAGAATCAAATTCATCCTGTCTGAGCCAGTGAAGCGTGCTCAGGACTCGTCCTGCCCACTGGGCATTGGGCCATGCTGAGGATGGCTTTCAGGAGAGAGGAAGAGGCCCCAGTCAAGCAGATGCTGGACAGATGTCAGCAGCACCTAACTCCACTTATAAACCAGGGCAGAGGCTTCCTCTGGGCACCTCTATTGTGTGTGCTGAAGTTTTACTGTTCAAGCTTTTCCTGCAGCCAGGAAAGAGGCAGATGAGTGAGAGCTCATCCTCTCTGTCCTGCCCATAGGGGACCAGTCTGTTTAAACACATTTTATTACAGAGAGCAGCAGTCACCCTCCAGAATCCAAGGGCACACGCCAGTTTTCCCTCTATGCTCCTTGGTCTGGCAAAGCCAAATATCAGCCTACAAATAGCCAATGCAGGTTAGGCTACCCCAAAGGCCCATGCATGAGCCCCTATCTAGAAACTCAACCCAGAGGAAGGATTCTTCATTCATCACAGGGGTTCTTAACCTGGGATTCAAGAGCTCCTGCAGGATCATAAATGTGACCTGGGGCTCAGTAAACTCCCTGAAACGTTTTGTAAAAATGTGTGGAGGGAGGTAATGGGAAGCAATGGTGCATTTTTATAGGAATAGGCTACAAATATTCATCAGATGCTTAAAAGGTTCCGTGACCTCTAAGAGATTAAGAACCACACACTTAGTGCTTCCCAGGTCTTTCCAAGAATCCATCCCAACAGAGGAATCTCTTAACTATCACAATTCAGTTCACTTTTCCATTGGGTCTATGTGTTGGGCTTTTTGGGCCATGCTCTCTGGGAGGCCTCCTTCTCTGTACAGATCTTTCAGGGCCTCAGAGCCACCCTACTATAGGGTCTGATGATCACCCTTCCTATTCTTCTCACAGGACCTGTGAGAGACTCCCTGAGACAGGAGGAGCAGGATACTCACCTCTTGCCTGCTACGGTGGCATCCCCTGAGGTCACTGTGGTGTCCCCAGTGAGCATCTTGAATGTGGTTGTTTTGCCGGCACCATTCACTCCCAGGAGGCCAAAGCACTAGGAGAAAACACAGAGCTAGCCTGGCCCTAGAGATCAAGAAGGTCTAAAATGTCAGGCCCCAGGGTAAGTGTGTGTGTGAGCTGGGGGAGGAATTTTAGACCTGGGCTGCCATCAGAGGCCACGAGCCATATGTGGCTACTAAGCACTTGAAACACATCTAAGTCCCAGTTGACACGGGCCCTGAGTGTAAAGATTCAAAGACTTAAAAACAACGAGAAATTGTCAAATATTTCATTAATAAGGTTTTCTATTAATTACATTTTGAAATAATATTTTGGTTATATTGAGTAAAATAAAAAATACTAATGAAATTAATTTTACCTATTTTCTTTTTACTTTTCTCATGTGGCTAGTGGAAGATTTAAAATTACATATGTGACTTGCATTATGGCATTATGTTCCTATTGAATAGCTCTGCCTTATGGGGAGGAGAGGCAGGCACAAGAGCTGATGTTCGGAAGCCTTTCACACGTGGTCTGCAGAGTACCCACCTCTCCAGGGCGAACTCCGACACACAGCCTGTCCACTGCTGGGCTGGAGGTGCCTGGATAAATCTGCAAGATACGAAGAAACCGGACTGAGAACTGAGACAGGGTGAGAGCAAGGAGGGGAAGAGGGAACAAAGAGCAAAGGATGGTTTAGGAGAAAACTACCAGCACTAGGAGGTTACATATTGACATGGGCAGGCACAGAGGTGTGGTGAGTACTGAGACATCTCGAGGCTGACCCATGCTCTGCAGAAACAGAACACAGAAAAGGGAATGATGCTCAGCTGGAGTGATTCTCACTGAGGCCCTGTGTCAGTGCCCGAGATGAATAGCAGGGAACACACATTGGAATTAGATGCTCTTGGAAGACGAGTTATAACACAGGGATGATGACCCTACATAAAACTGGGAACCAAATTGCTTGCATAAGCATATCAATTGTTCTATAGAAGGAAAATGGCAACATCATGCCAACTGTGGATCTAACCAGCACCTCCAAACTCATACCCATTCCCTTACCTTGGTTAGTTCATGTAGCCTTAAGATGTCAGTTTTATTTCCACCAGTAATAATTCTTTGTCTTTCTTCAGCCACATCATCATCTTCATCAACAATGGGCTCCTTAGTGGGCTCGGCAATCCTAGATGAAGAAAAGGGGTCAGGATTGGGCTGGCTGTACAGTGTCCTTGGCACTGTCCTTTCCATGGGACCTCTCTTCCACTTCCTTGCTTCTGCTTCCTTCTGGGCTTCCATCCTTTAAGACTTAAATTCTAAAAAGGGCTCCCAGCAGGAGAGGCATTAGGCATTAGGTAGAGAGGTCAGGTGCTCATGTCCAGAGTCAGCCTTGGGTTCCAGTCCTGGCCTCCTCATGTGTGATCTTGGGCATTGGACCTCTCTGAACCTTGCCTACTTCAACCATGTGATGAGGAGGAGGGTAACAATACCTGTCTCATAGGATTGTGCTGAAGATGAACTCAGCACAGTGCCTGGCACAGAGTAAAGACTCAGGGCCTGGGATCACCGTCAGGACTAAAATGCTTCCTCTACAGCAAGCACTCAGTAAGGGGTAGTTACTAACCTCCGAGCCTCCCACTTCCTCCAGTCTGCCCTGCCAACTCCACCTTTCCAAAACAGAGTTGTCATCAGGCCACCTCATGCCTCAAAACCTTCTGTTGTTCCCCATCAGCTGTAGGTTGAAGCCCTCCCTCTGCAGCTGTAGTTACAGCCCTGCAATCCAGCCCCACCTACCCTTCTCACTTACCTCTTGCACTAACTCCTCTGTCAGCAATTGGCATCTCCCCCTGGTTCCCAGTCCTATTGGTCATTCCCGTCTCCCAGCCTCCGCATGTGTTTCCAGTCCCTCAATGTTCTCCTCCTCCTGCCCCACCAAATGGAATCTTCCCCATTCTTAAAGACACAGCCTCTTCTTTGAAACCCTCCCTGACCTTCTGGAAGCCAGGGACTATGGTGTACTTCTCTGGTCCTCTTTAGGCCCTAAAGCAGGCAGGACTCATTCAAATGTGTTGACATCAGAGTTTGAAGCTAATGAGTCAATTTGGGTAGTCAACCTCCTGACCTGCTCTCTCCCACACAAAAGCCTCTAAAAGGTATGGCCAAGGCTGCAGAAAGGGTCTGCAGGGGCTGAGGGTGCCAAGGACAACAATTCCTGACACTGTCTCCCATAACTAGAACTGCTTGTGTATCCTGTTTCATCAGGCGTGTGTTGACACCTGTGATCTCATTCACCTCTCACAGTCCTGTGAGTAGAAAGGCAGATTCATTTCCAATAAATCAATTCCCTGTGGATCAAAACATAAAACCAAGTCCTTGGAATCTATTTACAGGTGACCACACTCAGCCTGAGAGGAGGAAAAGTTAAGAAACAAAACACTATTGGGGAAAGCTTGCTAGGAAGGGCTGCTGCTTGGCAATTCAGGCCCCTGGGTGAGGACAATAAAGGTAGGACTGGATTGCAGAGGGGAGTGAGGCAGGGGCCCACCCAGCTTCAGGAAGAGCCTGCGGAAGAATGGCAATTGCCAGCTAACCTGGCATTTGAGAAGCCCTGGTCAAAAGTCAGGGTTGGCAGCTACCCACCTTCCTCCAGGAGTGGGGGGTCGTGATCACTGCCCGCACCCCTCCACATGGCTCCCATATTACTCCCATGCTCCCAAATCTCTAATTAGCAAAGGGGCCTGCTGTGTCCTTTCTCTCATAAATACATTAGTCTATTTCCTAGTACTTTGGATACCCTGTAACCATTGTTATTTGCAATACTATCATCTAATCAAAATACACATTTGGTAATTAAATGAGAAGGATTAAATATCAGCAATTGAAATTAATAGCACTGCATTTTAAATATTTTAAAGTGGATGCTCTTCACATATTTGAATGTGCCTATTTTAACCCGATCCTCTACTTGTATTATTGGAGAAAAGCCAGGCTTTGAGAATGTAGAAAAAACATTGTGGAGTGGGGCTCCTGAGGAAAGAAATGACCATGTGGGTATAAGGTCCAGTTCTGGATGCCCTGAGCTGCCCACTGGCCCAGGGTGTGGCATGGACGTACCATTGGGAGAGGAAGAAGTGGCGCTGGACCAGCAGGGTCAGGAGGAAGTACACCACCCCTTCCACCACCATGGCAAACAGGTTCTTCCCAATCAGGTCCCAGTGGAACGGATTTGCAGAGTGCTCCTCACCTGGGCATCAACAGGAATTGAGTCCACTTCAGCCGCCCCAGCTCACCCCACAGACCTGGCCACAGCACAGGGCCCACTAGACCAGGCCTTATGTGGGAACTGAGCAAGAGCCAAACACCCGCCTCATAAGGGCTGCCCTCCATCCCTCCTGTGGCTCCCCAGCCATGGAAACAGAGGCACCCTAATCCTCTCCAGCTGGCAGGACACCTCCAGCCCAACAAGGTCCCCTCCTAGCACCAGCCCCTGCCACAGTCTGATGCAGGAGCCCCCCCGGTAACCCTCCCAGCTTTGGACCCAGGGCCCATGCTCCATGGGCCTCGGCTACCACCCACCAAACCGGGCATAGACATCTGTCACAGCCTGGCTCAGTGCAAGGTCAATGAGGCCCCGGCCCAGGCAGAAGTGGGGGAAGACAATGAGCAGCTTCCTCAGCACGGCGTTGAACCTGAGCAGCGTCTGAAACAGAGAAGTAGGACTGTTGGAAACGGGGCAAACCCCACCCCCCCTCTCTTCAGCAGGTGGGGCCCAGATGCTCTCACAGGACAGCACAGGGCAAGGCCTGCAGACAGAGAGTCCTTGCAGCCAGACTGGCCACTGGAGGGATTTGTCCAGCAGAGCATCATGGGTTTGCAATGGAGGTCATGAAGTACTTACAAGCAGTGCCTCAAGGCCAGGCCAAGGAGCTAATCAATTAAATGACCAATCAAGGACTGGGGCTCCCTGCAAGTTTCTAGTGGGCGGGAGCTTCCCCTTTGTCTAGCCAGGCAGCATCTTCTAAACATTTACTATGCTCAGTACCATGTGGGCACCGAGGCTAACTGTGAGGAACCTGCATTACTGTCCTTACCCCTCCCCTAGGTGACTCTGGGGGTGACAGCAGGAATGTGCAGAGAAGCTGCAGCCCTCCTGCTGTCCACTTAGGGAGCTCTCCCTGCAGACTCACTTTGAAACAACAGGAGCCCTCAAGGCATTTGTTAACACCAGGCCCTGAGCCATCTCCAGCTCTGCTTTTCAGCCCCTCACAGGGCAACTACCATTGTCTAGGGAGAGGAGGGTTGGAGACTCTCTCTGGGGTCTGTGTTAAGCCAGGGACTTGTTTTCAAGTGGTCGGACTTGGCATGTTGGGCAGAGCCTCCCCTGAGAAAATAGAAGGGACATCGAGGCGTACGAGGCCAGCATAGCTCCTGGCTGGGCCACTGCTGTCCATTCCATCTGGCTCCTCCCAGTCCCACAACCTCCTCCCTCTCCAGCCTCCACACCTGCGCCCACATTACCTCATCCTTCCCTGCCTACCCTTTCTCCCCACTCTTTCTGGAATCACTGTGCTCTTTGGCCTCTAGGCCTGGGCATGTGCAGGCTGTTACCTATTGCTCCAAGCAGGAAAGAATGCTCTTTTCCCTTCTGCTTTCTTAAAGATTCCTGTTCTTCTTTAGACAGCTGGCTCAGAGAGTGCCTTCCCTTACAAGCCTTCCAAGATTCCCATGAGAAAGTATCCATTCCTCTCTCCCAGCACTTATCACATTCCCATGATTAATTTTTTAAAAATCTGCCTACTTTCTCTACTAGTCAGTGGGCCCCTGGAGGGTGGGCACTGAGTCCTAATTATTTTTTTGTCCTTCCTAAATACCTGCACAATGATTAGCTCAGAGTAGGCACTTCATTATTTATTAAATGGGCTAATAGAAATCTACAGGCTGAAATTGAACTTCCTCCACCACGGCTCCCCCAGCCCCTGCAGCCTGGCTCTTCCCGCTGCCTCTGGCCTGCAGCATGTTATCTGCCTCGCTCCTCTGCTGCTCTGTCACACGCTGTATTATGGAGGATCATACACTGTGGCTTATATCGTTGCAAACTTCGTGGGCAGGTCCTTTTCCGACTGGAACGGGAGCCTCTGGAGGGCAGGACGAGTGGGCCACGCTTGTTTATATCAGCACACACCCGGCACGTGGTGTTCAGCTGGTAAAGACCTCCTGATCTCACACGGGCCGGCAGCTGCTGGGAGCTGGGGAGCTTCCTGTGGGATACTGGGGGTTTCCATAGCAGCTGTGTATCGGATAATTTACATGAAAATACCAGGTTTTTGAAGGCGGGTGCTTAGCAAATGTTGGCTAAATGGGTGCAGCCTCAGAGGGGAAAATGTTCTGAGTTGCTTTAAGCTGGCTATTTAATTATTCTGAAGGAAAACTGTCTTAAGACTTAGTGGGCTGTGAGCCTGTGGCAAACACAGCTCTGCAAAGCAGCACTTTCAGTCACCTGGGTGCTCTGGCCATCTGCTGGGGCTGTGTTCTTATCCCCCCGCCTTTCCAGAGTCTGACTCTGACATGCTGAATTTCTTATCATTCATGGGACAGATGAGGCTTCGTTACTTGCCTAGCAGCCACGAAACCCTAACAAGATCTGGAAAGAGTCAGTCTCAGGGGTCCACGGGTCTGGGCGGTTCATGGTGGGGCCTCCGCACAGATTTGTCCTGTGTTCCCCAGTGGGGCCCAGAGGCAGGTGGAGGTGGGTGTGGCAGGGCAGCAGTGCAGATGTGCTGGCCGGTCCCACCCTCTGAACTGGGAAGAGCTAATGAGGAGAGGAAAGGTTGAGGCGCCTGGGGACACAGGCACGTGGTGAGGCAAATGTTCCAAGGACAGCCACAGCCAGGACTCAGACACAGCGGTGGGGACTGGGAGTGTGGAGTGTGGAGTAAAGACAGCCCTGCAGCGACTGCCTTCTTTTTTTCCCCCTCTTTTTATGATTCAGTTTGGCCATCTGTCTCTGGACAGGGGGAGGTCAGGTGGAAGGGACAACTGGGCTTGGCAGCTCATAAAAGTGAGGCATTCAGCATGGAGAACACCCAGTCTCTTCATCAAGATTAACTTGCCCAAGGAATAGTATATGTCAGAGTGTTACAATTTCCATAAGAAAGCGGGAGAAAGACCGTATAGGGATCTGCTGATGTGTCTCCAGAGCACACAGGAAACTCAAGTAAGAGTTTGCCTCTGGAGAAGAGAACTGCATGAGTGGGAAACAGGGGTAGGAAGGAGATTTTTTCATTGTATGCCTTTTTGTTCCTTTTAGATTTTGAAATTACCCAAATGTATTGATGTGTGTGTGTGTAAAACCCAACACCCAAAGTCCCTGAGAAAACCTTTCTGAAAGAGTAAGCAAAGCTTAAAGTTTATTGCAAGAATCAAGTTTTGCTTGCAGAATAAACACAGAAAACCATTTCATTCAGAGCACAGAAATGAAAAAGGTGCTTATAGGAAGGAAAGAAGGAAGAAAGAAGGAAGGATGGAGGGAGGGATGGAGGGAGGATGAAAGGAAAAAGGGAGAGAGGGCAGAAGGAAAGAGGAAGGGAAGGAGGGACGAAGGAAGGAAGGAAGCAATGAAAAAGGAAGGAAGGAGGGACGGGGGAAGGAGGGAGGAGGGAGGAGAAGAAGGAAAGAGGAAGGAAGGATGGGAGGAAGGAAGGAAGGAAAGGAGGCAGGGTCGGGGGTAGGGAGGAAGAAAGTGGCACTCATCCGCATACAGCTGCTACATGTACGATGCTTGCCCCTGGCTCTGCTCGACCAACACATACTCTACTATCCTACTAATCAAACAAAAAAGCCAAGAAAGTTATGCTCACCCGGTTATTCTCAAATAATTCCAAGATGAAGGTAATAGCACTGCTGTTGATGCCGATGAACAGATTAGCACAAGATAAAGCCACATAGGCTGTGCTGGGGACATCAAACAGGAAGGATGCTGGGTACATCATGGGAATGACCGCCCATCTGTGTGAAATGAGACAACTCAGAGTGATGGAGTTCCACATTCCATTCCACCTACAATACGTCTGGATATAATGCACTCCCCTTACACCTGAGGTGATGTGTGTGAACTGGCCAGAGTCCCAGGGGACCAGAGAGATACTCCATTTGTTGGTCTCTGTGCCTCAACTTTAAATGGAGATAATGATGCCTGCCTTGACCACTTCATGGGGTTTTGTGAGGAGCAAATGGGCTGCTAGCTGTGTATATACTCTGTAAACTACAAAGCCCTGTACAATTCATAGGAGGGTTCTCCAGCCTGCAACACCTCCCACTCTAGCCTGGGTCAGCAAAGCCCAGCTGAGGTCATCTCAGATGAGCCCAGTGAGCTCATCTTCACAGCTTATAGTCAGGTTGGTTCCCAAATTCTCTATTTCCAAGAGAAAGATGTGGAGAACAATGCTTTGGCAAGGCTCTACTGGCCCACAGAGGAAGGACCAGGATCACTATTTTCTTTTACAGATGAGGAAACTGAGGCCGAGATGGATGAATTACTCATTCAAATTTACACACGTGGGAAAGAAAGTTGCATGCTGGGCCCTGTAACTCTGCTGATGTAACCCCTGTGTCATCCTCTGTCCCTGACTCAGGAGGAGCTTTTTGGCCGGAGTCTTCTACTGTGGGCGGTAACTCTTGGCCAGTTCACATGGGGACACTGAGGTGGACAGATTGGCCACAGATGAGTGAGAGTCAGAGCTGGGTGAGGGGTTGGGGAATGGCTGCCCCCAGGCTTTGGTCAAGGCCTCAGTTTGAGTAGGAGATTCAGATCATGTGGGACTTCTCTCATTGTCACTGACAGGACCAGGCCTCAGAGATACCTCTGTCAGTGGAGTCAGAATCAGAAGCCAGACAGATCCCTGGTTATCAGCTTCAGACCCTACCTGGGGCCGGAAGCTAAACTTGTGGGTGCTACCACCACAGGACAGCCCAGGTTTTCTGTCAGGAGATGATCCCCCACCCCCACCACCAGGCTTCTCTTCAGAGGCATTAGCTAATGGCCCAAACGGCTTACCCATACAGCAGGAGCAGTGCCACAAGGGCAGGAAGGTTTTCTGGAGAAGTGTAGGCTTTCTTCTGAAACCCGATGAAGATGCCCACCACCAGCCCAGCACTCACGGAATAATTCATCTCGGAAAGAGAAGAGGAGAGCAAGTCACTTAACCTCTCAGACCTGCTGCCAGCTCTGCAAAATGAGGGGTGGGGCCAGGCTCCTCCAGCTCGTAGGGTCTGGGATTCTGATTCGACTTGCTTTTTAAACAGTTCTTGGTTGGCAAACATATGTTAAGCTGTCACTAGTCCTCCTACCCCACCCCATGCCCTACCTCCCTGCCAAGGGAACCTTTAGTTTGTATCTTTTGAAAGGATCAATTACAAAATTCTGCCTGGTCTCTCACTCTTTCTATTTGGTCATAAAGTTTTGTTGATTCTTCTTTCTAAGCATGTCTTCAGAATTCAGAAAAACTTAAAGCCTAGTTCTTGGCTTCACAAAGCTCAAATAAATAATGATACCCTTTTTAAACAATTTAGTCCTACAGCCACTATACTGGGCACAGAAAGGGGACGGCAACAGTGGGGTTAGGGGAGGAGCCATGGTGATCAGGAGCAGGGCAAGAACCAGAGACGGGCTTCCTCAGGGGGCAACCTGCCGTGGGGTGTGGAGGCCTCAACGGGATGAGAAAGATATCCTTACAGGAGGCTGATCTGGTGCAGGGTATCAGAGCCAGAGCAGAACGAGGAGGACCTGCATGCAGCAGAGGCAGCTGGAGCAGGGAGAGGACGGCATCCACATGGGGAGGGGATGGTGGCAGAGTTGGGCACTGTTCAGGTGTATAGGTCCGGTAGATAAATGAGTTGGGAGTGAGAGAAGCCAGCGTCTCACTGTTGGAGAAGGGAGTTACAGATGTGGAAAGAAAAAAAACTAGAATGAGCCCTGTGGAGTTGGTTTTGGAGAGCTCATAGTGTTCACTGTATAGGTAGATAGAGAACTATAGATAGAGGTGTGTGCATACCTGTGTGTGTACATCCATATCTTCCCTAGTTCTATCACTGAGAAGGCCTGGGACCAATGGTGCTCCAGAGGCAATGAACATATCTAGCACTCAGACCTTGGCTTCTGAGGGCCACTTCCCACTGGCAGGAACCAGGGCTTCTTGGGGAGAGGGTAGGAATGGGGATAATGGAAGGATGAGCCTGGAATATCTTGCTGTGCCATTGAGCATGGAGGAGGTCCAGGGGCATGAGGACCCAAGTCAAGACGATACAGAAGCCAGCTTCAACGGCCCCCCACTGACCACAGTGGGGATAATGTGAATATCAAAATAAATAATGATAGTCTTGGATCATAGTCCATTGATTAACACATGAACCATGACTGCATACAGAGATAAATAAATGGATGAATAAATGGAAAATTGTATAATGAATAGGATATTTATATATCTTTGAAGTGCCTCTACCTGAAATTTGTATTTATTATAAAGGGGAAAAGAGTAATTTTACAGTGAAGAAGCTCAGCAGACACCTTCTTAAGTGACCGAATTGAACATCATCAGTAACAGAGCAAATTGAAATCAGAAGCCACCTGATAGGATGCAGTGAGAACA
Organism: Homo sapiens; assembly: GCF_000001405.40. Lineage (NCBI taxonomy): Eukaryota > Metazoa > Chordata > Mammalia > Primates > Hominidae > Homo > Homo sapiens. The sequence continues at coordinate 94,017,330 of NC_000001.11, forward strand.
CAGCATCTGTTTGCTGATACTGCTGCCAAGATGCACACCCTCAACCTGGGCAAGAGGAAACCTCAGACAAGCTCAGACCAAGGGACATTCTGCAAAATAACCAGCCTGCAGTCCTCAAAGTGTCAAGACCATGAGTGTTAACAAAAGACTGTGGAACTCTTCCAGGCTGAACGAGACTAAAGAAACAGCACAATCAAATGTCATGCATGATTCTGAGCTAGATCCTTTTTTCTGAAAGACATCACTGGGGCAATGGGCGAAAGAGGAGTGGGGTGTGAGGATTAGGTGGTGATGACACATCAGTGCTGGTTTCCTCATGTTGACAGTTTGTGTTGTGGTTGTATGGGGTGTATCCTCGTTTGTAGGAAGTATACATCGGACGTGCTGAGGGGTGTGAGAGAGAGAGACAGGAAGAGAGAAATAAATGAGAAGGGGCATCTTGCTGAGAAGTTACTTTCAAATGACTAAGAAAAAAAGGTTTCAACTGTACTTGTGACTTTTCCATAAGTCTGTAACTGTTGCAAAATTTTAAAGTAAAGAAAAATAGATGACACATATAAGAATTTAAAACATCATATATGTGCTAAGTGAATTACATAAGCAATAATTGTTTGTTCCTTCATTCAACTTTTTTTTTGCCACTGGCTAATGGTGGTCCTAAGTTCCAAAATGATGGATCGCGGAGGTGAGATTCCAGGCCAGCTTTAAAATTCTGGAGCATCAGAAAGCCTGCTAACATGATGCCTACCATCTTCTACCCCTTCATTGGACTGCCAGCTAGTATCACCTCCCACCTCAGATGTCCACTCTATCCTAGCTACATCTCTCTCCATAGGCTCAGAGATCCCTGTAAGCGCACACGCGCGTGCGTGCACACATACACACACACAGAAACACGTGGGCCAGCCCCAAGTGTGTAAATTCTATTTCTTATCTTTTAAAAAAAGTAAAATTAAAAGCCTCCGCACTTTTCTAAGTAACTTTTCGGTACCGGTGGGCCTAGCTCCTTTTATATTAGCATCACAGGGCCAATGTGGTACCTGCAGTTGATGCTCTTATCCAAAGAAAGGCTTTCAGGTTCTGACCTCCTCCCCGTGCATTTATGAGTGTTTCCTCGTGTAGACAGAAGAGAGAGGAAATAATTTAGTTGCTACTGATAATCTCTGGTTTTGTATTGTTAAGTGATAGCTGCTTACTAAGCTGAGTAAGATAGAAATCATATCTTCAGGAATTCCAATATTCACCATCATTTTAAAAAACCATGGATGAGAAGGTCATTTGTGTTGGTCTCCATCAGTTGGTATATCTTATCATCACATGAAATGGAGGCTCATGTTGGTCTTAAAATGTTGAGATTTTACTACTCAAGACACCTAGAATAAATTGGGGTTGATGTCATAATGATCCCTGTTACATTATAACTAGGCCTTTACTACCAATTCCTTTGACCCTGCAGCCTGTAATAGGGTACGCTATCCTGACCCCTCCCTACCCCCACCAACCTTGGTTGTCAGGAAGGTGGTAGTGTGCTATTGATTTAATAAATATTTTTTCTTCATTTTTCCCTGTAGCGGTGGTTAATCTAATAAGTGAAGGTCTTATTATTTTGGCCACTGGCTGGGGTTGCCAGATTTGGCAAATAAAAATCTAGGATGCCTAGTGAAATTTGAGTTTCAGATAAACAACCAGGTTTTTTTTTTTTTTTTTTTTTTTTTTAGTGTAGATATGTCCTGTGCAATATTTGAAGTAGCATATGCTTATACTAAAAATTATTCATCATCTGAAATTAAATTTAACTGGGTGTCCTGTATTTATCTGGTGACCCTACCACAGGGAAAGTTTTACCTTTACCCTTTTGAAGGTGGGGCAGGATTTGAGAAGGGGACTTGGGGTGAAAGACCCCTTCATATTACCTTCTCAGCGCCAGACTGATGCCAGGAAGGCCAGACTCATGCCTGCGGTGCAGTGATTATTTGATGGGTCAGAAGACCCCTCAGTGCAGGACATAGAGAGCCCCCGTTCACCAGTTGTTAAGCTGCACCCCACAGCCTTTCCTAGCTTCGGGCTCCTAGTTCTGTGCCTTTCTGAGAAGATGTCAAGGGACAGCAGATACACAAGGCCCTTGGCCCAGTGCCTTTCAGCAGCCCTGGCACCGTGAGAACCCCTCCCCTCTTGGTCTGGTCCTTCAGAGCACACACAAGCTCCACCTTGGGCCCACGGAGGGGAGGGAGGCGCTGTAAACTGACACTTACGATGTCCCAGAGGAAGTTGGTCACCCAGTAGGTGGTGGGGCTCACTCCACTGATAAACTGGAGGTGCTTGGATTTGTTCACCCGCTCCTGGATCAAATAAAGGACAAAGCTGGCTGGGACGAAGGACATGGAGAAAATCACGCAGATGGCAACCACAGCATCCACTGAAGTGGTCAGCCTGCAGCAGGGCCAGAGACACAGGGAGAGGGCGATGAAGAGGGAAGAGCAGAAGGAGGAGAAGATACAAAGTCAGGCTTTGGGAAGGCCTTACACCCGCCCAGGTGTGGCCTCCAGGTTCCTCTTCTCTACCTTGAAGCTGTCACTCCACTAAACTGTCTTAATCCATATGGACCAAGGTTAAATGGGTATTTGCGGGTTGCCTTTCTATTTCATGTGAATATTTCTAGACAACCTTTCTTTTTATTATATTCTCTAATTATTTTTATGGTGTATAGAAATAGATGTTTATATTAATCTTATGTACTGCAATGCTCTCATTAGCTCTAATAATCTGTCTATAGAGTCTCTTGAATTTTCTATGTTGACAGACATACGGTCTGTGAGATTTATCTTTTGTTAATAATCATCTTGTTAAATCACATTTTCAAGAAGTACATCGTAACACAAGGAAATGTTCATGATGTAAATTTAAGTGAAAAGAGGGCAGGCAAGTTGTACAGGGACTTGGCTCTATTTATTCTTTCCTCGGACAAATAGAAGGCATCTGGCTGAGGGGTAAGTTGGGGCTAAAGCCAGCCTGAACTTTATGTACAAGCCATAACCCCTGGCATGGGACAGTGTCCACCTGCAGAAAAGAGCATTTTTACTAATTTCCACAAAGGTATCCTATGTGGTAGTCACTACCTTGATAAAACTACAGATCATATCATCCATACACGTAGTAAGCTTAGAACAAATGACTGGAAGGAGACACACGAAAGTGTGGCTGAGTGAGAATTAACAGAGGACAGTCTAGGGCCCTAGGGTGTCCAGAGGAAGACACCAAGGAGCCAAGGCCCAGGTTTTAGTGGATGACCCTGGGCATGTTCACTGGCACTCAGCGTGTGCTAGGATAGTAAAATCAGGACCCCACAACGTTGCTGAAGTTTGCACTAACAAAGGTGCTCCTACCAACCCCTCCTCCATGTAGGCCTCAAATAGAGTGAACATACTACAAAACGCACAAGGCCACTGTCTCCACTGGCTGAAACTGTGCAAGAAGAGCCTCAGCTTGAGGGTAGCAAAGCTCTGTCGACATCTCCAAAGTATGCTCTTCTGAGGAAATTCCTGGAATCTAAGATAATTACTCCGAGGGAGCTGAAAGGTTTACTGAACTTTGCCAGTTCCTGGCAGCTGCTTTGCACATAGCAAAGATAATAATTGTATAAGCTCCAGGAGCAACTTGCTATCAAAAGCCAAAAGGGAATGGAACCAAATGTAAACTTACTTGCCACATAAATGTTGGGGAGAAAGAATGACCAAGAGGTCTGGTATGTGAAGTGTGAGGCACTTATTTGAAAGTCGGATGTTCATATGTGCCTGACTAAACAGCATTACCATCCAAATCAGCACTTCGCGGTGGTGAGAATCCTCTCAGGATGTTCAAAGAGTGGAGAAGGTGACAAGAAAGTGGTGAGGCTGGGGCTGTGGTGGCTTACACTGTAATCTCTGAGAGCTGCTCCTTGGTCAGGTTCAGGGGTTGGCTAATGACGGTGATTCCATACTCCTCGGGGCTCCTGTCCTTAGGCAGGCTGGCCCGTAAGATGGCGTTGTGGGCCACATTGAGAAAGCTGACCAGGGCATGCCAGCCTTTGTTATTAAACCACACCTAGAGGGTGGAGAGGACATCTGAGACGCTGCACTAACAGCTAGTTAAAGCAGAAATCAGTGAAGGAAAGGAAATTTGAGAAGCAGGAAGGGTTTGGTAGCTGGAAGACATTCCTTGCTAGATTTCAGCAGGAGGAGGGATGGAATTTAATGAAGGTAGGAAAGTAAAAATAAAATAACCAGCTCAGGTAAATTTTTAGCTCCAGAGCAGATTATACATAGGTCAAGTACCTTAATGTTGTCTTCAGTTTCTAGATGTTTAAGGAAATCAGGTATTTCTTTAGAGGCCTCTCTAGTGATAGGGCCCTAAAAACCATGTAAACAAACAAACAAGACGGTTTTAATTTTTTTTTCCTGTTATCACTCATGAGAGTTTCTCATTCATGGTAGTTAAGCAAGTCAAAAATCCTACTCAAATCTCCAGTCTGTTTACATACCCCGCTCACATTCATGATCCGGCCAAGGTCGCTTAAAAACCCAACAAGTGCTTCCCCCGTGATGGGGACGACTGGGAGCTTTCCTCCAATGGAAATTCCTCCATACCTGACAAGGAAACAGGAAATCCTCAGACCAGGGCCACGAACTTCACGCCTACTAGTAGCTCTCTCGGGTTTTGTAGGGAAACATGAACTTTCGGGGGAATTGCCTGGACCAGCGAGCAACATGGCTCCACTTTACAAACCAGCTTTTAACTCTTTTCCCACTGCTGCTGCCTCCAGGAAGGAGTCCAAACCCTCATCCTGGCCTCTGAGGCCCTTCTGCATCTGGTCTGTGCCCCTCTCCAACTTCATCCTTCCTCAGCCCTTCCCTGGAGTGGCCTATTCTGGACATATCGAGTCACTTCCAGAGCTCCTCATGGCCCAGACTGCCTGCATGTCTCTGCCTTTGCATGGCTGCTAGCTCCCCTCGGCACCTTTCCCTTTTGGGAGCATCGAGCCAACTCCAGGTCCTCTTTCACATGTCACATGTCATCTCCTCCCATCCCAGCCAAGGACTCCTTTTCTGTGCCACCTCTGTGCTTTGCAGGTACTTCTAGCAGCACAGGACCCATCTTCATCCTGTCATCCCTACCTCTCGGGGCTTCTGTGCCTCACACCTGTTCAGGGAGGCCCTTAGCCTCTCCTGCCTGGACTTGTGCTCTGCTTCTTCACTGGCCCTGGGATCTATCTCCTGTACTGCCCTGGAAGTCTGAAGTGACTGTGTGGAAACACCAGTCTGAGTGCATCACTCCCTGGCCTCAAACCCTTCAAAGGCAGGGCAGAAGCCAAAGTCAACAGAACAGAATGAATTAGCTGGTTATACCAAGCAGAGGAGGAGCTCTTTCTCAGGGCCTTGAATCACTGCCTCACTCCTACTCTCTGTCTCAGCCGAGGCCCCACAGGTCCCTCTGGAGAGCAATCCTGAAAGCCAGATTTCATGTGTACGGTCTAGAATCTGCCCAGGAAAGCACATACATGTCAGCCCCGCACCTGTTCTGGAGGTGCAGTTCCTGAGGGAGGCTGGGAGGCAGCAGGCTCCTAGAGTCCCACTTGGTGAGGTTCTAAACCTCTGGAAATATTTCAACCTCCAGGATGCCTCAGGAATGGGGTGAGTCTGGGGCTGGCCCACACTCCCTGAAGCTTAAAAGGAATGGGCCAAGGAGTGTCCCGGGTTTAGGCTACAAGGCCCTCTTGTTGGAGTATTATAAACTGTTATATACTTGGAGGTTTTAGAAGCTTTTTTTGGGTGAGAATGCTCTGAAACGCCACATCAGGGAATGCCACCCCCACTTATGTCCTCCAAGAAGAGGCACCACTGAGTGTCTTCTGAGTCTGGGATGTCCCTAGCCACATATTCTTCAGGACGTGTCTTGTGACTTCCTGAGCACCTACAGAACAGCCCCTCCTCATGGCTGTGAGGTGTGCCTTTTAAAAGTGTGCAATTATTTCAACAATGAATCAATCTGAGATTTTAATTCTGATAAAAATAGTTTCTTACCTCTGTTCATTGACCCAGAATTTGCTCTTTAAGCTGAAAGCCAAAATAAAATAATGCAATGAATACCACAAGTACAGCAGTGCCGTTAACTTTCTTTCCCAAACATTCATTTTGAAGACTGAAGTCTCAGTCTTCAGGGGCATTTTTGCATTTTCCGATATCCAAGCAATGCGGAAGCCGCCCAGCCCTGGGACATTGCCTGAATACACATGCAGAGAAAGGACCTATGATTTCCCCCACTGGCTCTCCAAATCATATCCCGCATGCTGGACTTTCTGAGTGGTCCTGTTGTCAGGTCATATGTCAGGTCAATATGCCTGATCTGGACCCAGAACACACGGCAATGACCATGTCAGTGTGGAATGAAGGCTGCAGCCCTCCTGTCTTCCACCCTGCAAAAATGAGACTCTAACAACCACCTGCACACCTCGGGGGAGTTCCGACTCACTCCACAGCCCAAAGTTAAGGCACTGACATTCAGTCAATCAAGGGTAAAATGACAAAATGGGAAATGAACAGATGCCAACTCTGGACCCCAGAGCTCAATCCCATGAACTGTCATTGTCATCCACCTTTAAGCACACACGCACAAAATCCAAAATTTCATACTGGAGATTTGCTGCTGAGAACTCAGTTTGGGATGGTTGCTGTTTATTGCATTCTATTTATTCTGCTTTTATTTTGGGGCTTGGATGGCATTCTTTGTTTTGCTAAATGCTTTCACCATTTGCAGTGTGTTCTAGTTAATTAAGTCAATTTATCCCTCGTTCAGGGCTCTGGCAGGTGAAGCAACAGAAAGTCCTACTAAAGTTAGACAGGAGGTTTTATCTTAAAGCCCCAGAGCCTGTGCGGACTGGACCACGCTTCCTTAGGATCCTCTCTCCTGGCATGGCATGCCCCTGTCAAGCTGCTTGTTCTGATACGGGCTGCCAAAGCTGTTCCATCCTGGATGGGGCTGATAAGAACAGCTGGAGAGCCAAGAGAACTAGATATTTCTTGAAAAGTTCATTGGCATCTCAAAGGGCAGTGATCAAAGATGATAATTCACAGTTAGAATATGACAGCTGCAGTTGACCTGGCTCGCCCTGGCGTGTGCTGGACTCAGACACTGTCCCGCTGCCTCTTTCCCACCCTATCTTTTTCCTTTCTCTTTTTTGCCACTTACTTATTTTCTCTTTTTCTTCTACCTTTTCCCCTATACTCCTCCACCTCCCTCCAAATTTTTACTCTCTCTTTTAACTAGTTAAAATATGTGGCTGCATTTTTGAATAACTTCTATGGTCTTCTGATATAACTTTTAATAATACGTGGGTTAAAATTTAAGACTGCTTGCCCTAAATGTAAAAACAAACAAACAAACAACAAAAAAAGAATTAATCTTAAGTTACATTTTACTTGTATGTGCCTCAATTGCTTTTTATGTTGAATGGGGCCCTCAAATCAGATAAAAAAGAAAAAAATCTACTGCCCTGATCATACATAAATTGAGAGAGAAAATTATCTTCTGTCCCTAGTTAATATCTTCTACAGGGAGCCAGGATAAAAAGCATAAAAGGATTTCTTCTTACCTGCTTCTTATAAGAGCAGGATACGTTTTTACCAAGAAGTCGGAGATGTTCCTGTCCGTCAGGTCTTGTAGAATTTCCGTGCTGCGCTGTGTTCTCTGAGGCAATGAGACACCCACGTTAATTACCTTGGAACTTGAGGACTTATAAGTAGTTTGTGAAACTGCTTGTTGTCTTCCAAAAATTATTTATGGATTGAGCTGCTGAGAAAATACTAAATAAAGTACTGGCATCTCCCTAGTTCTCACTTCAATGATGTGTAACTCATCTTTGATGCCTCTTTTTTCGCCAATCCATTGACAAGACAGAATGGCGTCACTCCAAAACAAATCTCCAATCCATCTGCGTTTCTCCAGCTCCAATACTGCCACGCTACCCAAGCCACCACCTAGACCACTAGAGAAACTTCCACATGGGTCTGCCTGATTCTGTCCTTGGTCTGCCAACTTCCGTTTTCCACCCAGCAGCCAGCTTGAACTATAAAAATGTAAACCCGAGCACCTCAGTCACCTTGCTTACTTATCCACTCCAATAAACCCTGGGATCAAATCTCGACTCACTACCAAGGCCCATGTGGCCGATGTGTGTGGCCCTGCCCCTCTCTGAGCTCACCTGCCACACTCCCCTCCCTGTCTCTCGGCGAGCACCTCTCTCTCCTGGTGCAGCTTTGTGCTTGGCTGTTCACTCTGCCTGGGAACTCTACCTGTAGACCCTCTCATGGCTCGCTTCAAATTTTATTCCTCGGAGAAATGTTCCTGGTTCCAGTCACTCTGTATTGTCATGTACTGTTGTGTTATCTTCATAGCTCTCATTTCCATCTGAGAGTTTCCTCCCGATGGATCTGTTTACGTATTTGTATCTGTAATCCCCCGTAGGATATCATTTTGGTGAGAGCAGGGACTTTGCCTGATTTGTGAGCTGTTGTGTCCCCAGCACCCAGAATAGTGGGTGGCATACAGATGACACAGTTGATTTGTGACATTAATGAAAGAATTTGAATAGTTCCTTACAATTTACAAATCACTTTCAAAATACATCTAGGACTGGAAGCTAGTTCATCGAAATATTTTGGAAAATTCAAAGGTGCATGGGTTTGTCCACCAGGTGGCAATATTACTGCAAATCTGGGAACACATTCCGCTTACATTCTCATAAAAGCATTCACTCTGTCAAGGGTGCTGCCCAGAAGTAGTTGAGGGGATTTTGGTGGCATTACACCGCCGTTATTGCGCACCATTCTTTCCTTTTCATACACTTTCTATCTCCTCCCCCTGTTTTCCCATTTGACTTTCCTCTTCTTTAATTCACTCTTTTCACCTTGTTTCTCTCTCTCCTGCCAGGAGGAGAGCTGGCACCTACCGAATGCTCCCTGTGTGTCGGGCACTATGTTAAATGCCCTACATACACGATCTCACTTCATCCTGACACTCTTTGAAAGAAGAATTTTTAGCTTAATTTACAGACAGAGAAACTGAGGTTCAGAACAGTTAGCTGACTTGCACTGACTGGGCTGCAAACTTGCAGGTGGGTGGCCCAGGGCCTAGGAACTGAATCTGCCTCTGTCTCCTCCTTGCTCTTTTCACTGAGTCACCTGCTTCTCAAGCTGAAAGTGGCACTCAGACACCGGCCAAGCTCCCCTGGTGGAATCCAGGTTGGAAAAATTGCTGCTGGCTGCGATAGCTTATGATAAATTGTTTTATAAAAGTTCTGCCCAATAAAATATTTGTGTAACCCTATCTCCACATATACTAGAAGTCAGGGACAGAGTGCTTCCACCTCAGGACCCACCACATTCAAAGAATGTTAGAGCAGGGAGGGTCCCTAGAGATGACCACATTGCCCCATTTCCCAGATGAGAACAACTGATTGTCTCTGAATCAGGCCCACGCCCTCTGGACTTATTCCAGGCTGAATGAGGGATTGTGTTTGAGTGGCTAGGGTGAGCAGATGTGAATAAGAGTGTGGGTTTGTGAGTGTGTGTGTGTGAGAAAGAGAGAGAGAGAGAAAGATAGAGAGAGAATGAGAAAGAGATTGAGAGAAAGAGTGAGAAAGAGTGAGAGAGTGAGAGATAAAGAGTAAGAGATAGATAGAGACAGAGAGATTGAGAGAGAAAGAGAGAGAGAGAAAAAGAGTGAGTGAGAGAGACAGAGCGCGCACAGCTCCTGTGCATATGCGTGGCATTCAGTTTTGCTCCAATGGAAGGCACGTATAATAGTGAGGAAATGCAGAAGTGAAAGAAAATGGCAGGAACTGGCTTGCCTTTTTCTAGGACTTTGGCTGTTACATTTTGTCCAGGGACCAAGGACCAACACTACTGAAAATAAGTTTCTAAGCTGGACAGACCGCGTGGAAGTAAGGGTTCGTTTAGGAAATGAAACACCATGTAGGTAGGCTTGGCCTCCCCTCCCTCGCCCTGGCCAAGAGCTCAGGGTACAGTATCACAGCCTTGACGTCCTGATGCTGGAGGGTTTTGAGTGGAGGCAGCCACAGGAGCCCTCAGCATTGACAGCAAAGCAAACAAGCAAAGCTTCCTCTTGGGGCACAGAGGACTGAGACAAGTTCCTTGGGTCCTTCTTTTGGGATCCCTATGATGCAGCAGATGAGCTGTGATTCAAAGAGAGAAAATATTGCTTGAGAAATATAAAGATACATGCTTTAGAATATAAAAAAGAGCAGGGATCGGGTGTTCTTGGCCTAGAACCATTTATAAACCAGACTGTGATAGGTGCTGTGGCAAAATCTAGTTGCTCCCATTATTTGCTCCTCCCTGCTGCCTTAGCCATAGCCTTTTTTGTTGGGTTTGTAAGTGGAAGTACTATGTGGGAACTTCAGAAAACCTTCCCTAAACATAGCACATGTGCACACTCTGCCCTCTGTTTTGCTTCATCCTTCTTCCATTCCGCTGCCTGGAAGGCAGCTCCTGCCTTATTGGCTGATGAGGCTGAGGCCTGTTTAGTGTGGAGGAGAAAGAGAATAGAACATCGTGCACCACCCACGTAGACTTTTAGATGAGTGAGAAACAAGTTGTGTCTTGTTTTATCTGCTGTTAGTTTGGGGTTGTCATCACTTGAGTTGAATCTAATTCTAAATAATTCCTTGCCCACATGATTTCATTAAATCCTCATAATAATATTATGAAATAAGCAGTTATTCCCAATTCACAGGTGATAAAATTAAGGCTCAGAGAGGTCAAGTAGTCCACCTGGGGCTCTCCGTGTCCCATACCTGTGCTTTCCCACTGAACTGCATAGCCTGTTTGGGAACAGTTTATTCATTGACAAATCATTGGACAGGGCTGTCTAAGGCCCAGCCCTGGCAAGTCAGCTGGGAGGCCCATTATCAACCACGGACACAGCCTTCTTTGATGTCTCTAAATCCCCCAGGAGATGCTCACTGTAATCTGTTCTGGACTTTAGAACTCCCAGGACAGGGTGCTGCTCAGAGCCAAGATCATTAATGTCCCTGCAAAAGATGGATGCTGGCTGTGCATGTATTTGTGTACATACCTGCAGATGTTAGAGACACAGCACATGGAGAGCTTCTTAATTAAGACTGTTAATAAGTGTGTAAACACATTTCCATTTGAATGTACATCATAGCATTGCTTATAATGGTGAAAACTAAAAAACCTAAGTGGCGAATAATGGGAGATCAGTTAATTTAAAGTAACTTTAGGCCAGGAGCAGTGGCTGACGCTTGTAATCCTAGCACTCTGGTAGGCAGAAGTGGGTAGATCACTTGAGGCCAGGAGTTCAACACCAGCCTGGCCAACATGGTAAAACCCCATCTGTACTAAAACTACCAAAAAAATTAGGCGGGCATGATGGTGCATGCCTGTAATCCCCACTACTCGGGGGGGCTGAGGCACAAGAATTGAACCTGGGAGGCAGAGGTTGCAGTGAGCCGAGATCACACCGCTGCACTCCAACCTGGGTGACAGAGAGAGACTCTGTCTCAAAAAAAAAAAAAAAAAAAAAAAAGAAATTCAAACAATGGGATAATATACAGATATTAAAAGTGATGCAGATGTCTATTTATTGACATGGATGCATGTTCCTAGTAAATTATGCAGTAAATCAGATTTTAAGACAATATTTGGAATATAATCTGTTTGGGTGGCTGCAAACCAAACATTATCTGTGTTTATATCCAAGCGATGATTTTTTTTCCTTCTGACTTACCTGTGTTTTCTAATTTTTCTATAATGAGCACATATGACTTAATTTTTTTTAGTGCTTAAACACATTTTTTCTACTAGATCAAATAGGAAGTATCTGGTGGAAAATGAAGCTTTTGGTGAGTGGCTTCCTCCAGTTGGCAGCCACAGCGCCCTGTGGGGAGCCCCTCCCAGAGGGTGCAGGGAGTTTGGTTTAGTCCCCTACTCAACTGCCAGTTTGAAATGTTAGTTTGTGAGAGACTCAGGAGATACCAGGGACTCCCCTAGTCCCTCTGTGGCAGGCAGACCTGGGGCCCCGTTGTTTGGAGGTCAGGTACCTGGGGGGGCGGGAGGCCCCCGGCACCCTCGGGGCACTCTGGCAGCATGGTGAGCTTCTCCCTGGTGCTGCACCTGCAGGATGGTGAAGGGTTGACCTGTGTCCATTTCTGCTTCTGGAACAGCTGGGTGATGTTTGGGGACACAGAAGGAGTCTTCCAGGGTGTTGAGTTGCCACAGGGGTACTCCCTCATGGAAGACAAGAAAATATTCCATAATCAGCCTCAAAGTTGCTGACAAATCCCTAGGCATAAGAAATTGTGCCCAACCCTTTCCTCCTCCTCTTTAGACCCAGGCCCTTTCTTCTTATTCTCTTGGAGGCTGGTTTCTGCTCAAGCAATATCAAAACTAGGGTTTTGTGACTGACTAGGTGTGGGGCTGGGGAATAACCATCTCTAGCTTGTGGATCGTTTTGTCTCCCTTTTTATTCCTAGCAGCTCTAGCTGTTGAGAGACACAGCAACCAGAAGAGGAATTTGAAATTAGTCTGTTTTGGTCCTTATTGACAGCTTTGAAAAAGACTGAGGGAGAAAAGTTAAAATTATATTGAACTTTTAGGATTCCTGGTGGATGTCAATGGCCTTCGCTAACTCCCTTCTCCAGACTCACAACTATCACAAAGTACTGGCCACTGTGTCACTCACGCCATTCAAGGCCCAATCACACAATAGCATAACCCTATTTCCCTCCCTCCCTGCTCAGAGGCCTTTCAAATAAGTTATGGGGAATCATCTGTCAACTCAACATAGAACTTCTATGCTGAGAAATATAGAGCTGTCCAGTGGTGTGGGGGCTTCCTAGGAGGTAGTGAATGTCCCTGCACACAAGTGTGGAAGGAGAGGTTGGGGGAGTGCTGGTCAGAGACATGGAAGTGACCAGCAGAGCAGGATTGAGTGGGGCCTCCCCAACGCCTGCCATCTTGAACCCACCGTTGGGTCCTCCCAGGGGAGCTAGTCTTCTTAGGACAGGGGCGCGTAGGCACTTACGGAAGCCACCCTTCCTTCAGGCAGCGGTTGCCAAAGCCTGGCTTATTCAGGAGGACGTCTGCAAGTACCGTGAACTGCTCACTGCCTGGTTCATCCATGCTAGACAGAGTGAGACATGTGACTGGGACAGAGCAGGCGCGTGCCAACATCATGCAACTCAGAGCCTTTACTGGATAGCTGCTGTGTGCCAGGTATGTATTGGAGGCACCGAATGCTGCCTTGGGATGGCGCTAGCTCTCCTGGGAGTGCGGTAGGCTGCCTGAACACTCGCAGTGGTCTGATGGCATGTCACCTATGCCTCAAAAAGATGGCGCTTCAACCCATTCACCTAAGCTTTGCATTCCTTTCCCCATTCGGCCTTCCCAAGCAGTCCTGCCTGTCCACTAGGATCGCCTTTCCAAGCAGTGGCAGATACATTAAGTTCCTTTCTGCAGGCAGCCCAAAGACCCCTCCCCTCTCTCATTGGTGAAGGTCCCAGTGAAGTGGGAAGGTCAGGGCCCTTCTAAGCAGCATGTGACCCAGGTGCCCCAAACCCACAGAGGAGAATGGTGACCCCGAGTCCGCGCACCTGAAGAAGGTGTACTGCTGCCCATATATCCAGGGGTGAAGGGTCAAAGCGGGGTATTCGCCAAAAGGAGGGATAACAATAGAAAGCATCAGAGCCAAAAACACAAAGGTAGCCGGGAGCACGATCTGTGGGAGAATAGACGTGGAATAAACATGACTGTGGCATGGAGATGTCACACGTGCGCGTGCACACACATCTTCATTCTTTTAAACATTTATCCTGCAGCCTCCTAATCAGCCCCTGGTGGAGAGGGTTGGGCTTCTGGGGGAACATAATAAGCAGGGTGTGCAAAGGTAAGATGTGCAGAAGAAAACAGAATGTTCTGGTGGCCACTGAAGAATCTGAATGCAGCCCAGTGTTCAGCCAGACTTCAAAGGGCATTTCAAAGAGCAAGTCACGTGACTCACTGTTCTTTAAACCAGAGCTTCTTTTTCTAAATTAAACAACATTAAAAGAAAAAAGAGGGCAATGATTTTGATATGTAGGGTCACTGCAAAAATGAATGAAAACATGACTTTATCCCTCACTGTAAAAATAAAAACAATATTAACATTTTCACTATTATTCTATTTTCTTTGCTAGGGGAGGTCCAACTTACAAAGAAGATTCATGTTACCAAGAATCAAGATAAGGGTTTGGAAAGCAGGAAACAAAACCAGCAGAATCTAAAGAGGGTGCTCCTTGCTGAGTTATAACCCATGCCTGAAGGAACACTCAGGAGAGGAGGGGAAGGCTGGGAGAGGAGCCACTGAGCTCAGCTAAACACCGACCGACAATAGTACCTGCGCCAGGAAGTCCTTGTGGCTGCGGATGGTGTGTTGGAATCTCTTGACCAGCAGCGCCTGCACATGCTGGAGGACCAGCTGTGTCCCCGTGTTGAGCTGCGGGCCTGGGCACTCTGGCTCTGGGGGAGGCTGGCCCTCTGGGTGAGCAGCCGGCGCCCCTGGGGAGCAGACATTGGAGTCCTGGGGTGTCTGTCCAGCCTTCTCTCTGGGACCCAAGCAGGGGTGTCGGGGGTTGACGTTTTCTCTTTTCTGCTGAGCGCCACCTGTTTTGAGAGATTGAATTAATAATTTGGAAAATGCCTATAAGGTCTGGATCTCTAATGCCATTTTTTTTTTCCCTTACAGCATTGATTTTCCTCTTCATTTAAGTCAGCAATGAAATACCAGGCTGGTAGCTTAATCATCTTTATAAAAATCTATTTCTAGTGTAAATTACTTATACAGAGAAATTGTATAGATTCACCTGAAATTGCCTTAAAATTCTCTATTAACATTAAAGAGAACAAAATAGCTCTAAAAGCATTGACATGGAGAAGTTTAAAATACGTAACTTGGTTAATAAAAAAACAAAACTGGCTGGGCACGGAGGCTCACGCCTGTCATCTCAGCACTTTGGGAGGCTGAGGTGGATGGATCATTTGAGGTCAGCAGTTTGAGACCAGCTTGACCTACATAGTGAAACCCCCTCTCTACAAAAATACAAAAATTAGCCAGGCATGGTGGCAGGCACCTGTAATCCCAACTACTCGGGAGGCTGAGGCAGGAGAATCACTTGAACCCAGGAGGTGGAGGTTGCGTAAGCCGAGATTGCAAGACTGCACTCCAGCCTGGGTGACAGAGCAAGACTCCTTCTCAAACAGCACAAAGAAAACCAAACAAACAAACAAAAAAACTAAGGTGCTGGTCAATATGTGTAATACACTCACATTTATGTTTAAAATTCATGTTCATGTATCCTACACAAAGAAAAACTGACATCTTATGTACACACACACACATAATTGTAAAACTCTGAAAGAATGTCCACCGACTGTCAGCAGAAGCTCTCCCTGGGGAGGCAGAGTTGGGTAGAAAGGGGAGAGGAAGTGGGAAGCGAGACTTTAGCCTTTTGTGTATTATATGAATTTTTAAACAACAAAATACATTCACCTATTACCTGTGTACTTAAACAAATGAAAAATCAGAGTCGATGTGGTTCTTTCTGAATTCTTAGAGGATACTGAGAAGTGGTAGAAAAAGTAATGAACTAAGAGTTAGGGGACTGAGGTTTGAATATGGATTCTTACAAGATACATAAATTTGGGGAAGTGACTCAATCTGCCTAAATCTGAGTTTTCTCAGACTTCTTATCTGTAAAATGAAGGCATGGTGGCTCATGCCTGTAATCCCAGCACTTTGGGAGGCCAAGCCAGGAGGATTGATTGACCCCAGGAGTTTCAGATCAGCCTGTACAACATAGGGAGACCCTGTCTCTACAAACAACTAGAAAAGAAATTAGCCAGGCACGGTGGCGTGTGCCTGTAGTCCCAGCTACTTGGGAGGCTGAGGTGGGAGGACCCCTTGGGCCCAGGAGGTCAAGGCTGCAGTGAGCTATGATCGAGCCGCTGTATTCCAGCCTGGGTGACAGAGCAAAACTCTATCTCAAAAAAAAAAAAAAGAAAAAAAAAAAGAACATTTCACAGGATTGGTTTGGAAATTTAAATGAGATAACACATGGGAGCATGCTCTAGAAACCATTGCAAGTTGTCGGTTATGTTGAAGCTACAGTTTATAGTCACTGATTAATGCTCATTTGCTGAACAACTATTGCTGGACATGGAGAGCCTAGAGGACTGTTGGTTGGTCCCCAGCTGCTTTCTTAACCCTCCTCAAGTCCCCCAGGACAAGGACAGTTGTAAAGGGAATTGGATCAGCTCAGTCATCCTTTCAACTACATTTACCTATGACGTGCCAGGCCTGGGATGCGAAGGCTGGGTGGCAGCCCCAGCCCTGGCACCTGCACTCAGAGGGGCGAAGTTCTGCAGGTTCTCGGTGCCAGAGCCCCAGTTCTGCAGGCTCCTTCTCCTGATCCGGGCTCAGATTTGATGTCTTCTATGGCTGGCCCTCCCTCTGGGAGGATCCCTACTGCCCCTCCTCTTTGCTGGCTGATATCATCTCAAACCTCTGAGCTTTGATCTCTCCCTGAAGGCTCCATCCTGACTGGAGCCCACTGACCTGGCCAGAGCTAAGGGTTCCAGGCCTATTCAGAATCGCCAGTTTGTCCCTAGCTATCTGCTGCTTTCTAGTTACTGACTATGAGTCACCCCTTCAGAAGTGGCATTGACCCTTGTTGGAGGCTGCACAAATGTTTCTTATGATTAGGCATAATTGAAATCTGTCAGTAACAACATGAACCCGTGATCATTTAAGCAGCTGACCCAATCATTACCTCCTGCTCCTTCCTCCTGTTACCCAATAAATAATGAAGGGCTGCAGAAGCTTAGGGAGCTGCCTTTACTCATTAGAAGCAGGGAGCCCTTTTCTTCTTCTCTTCTTCTCTCTTCTTCTTCCCGATGCTAGCCTTTCCTTAAAACAGTTACTTTGGTTTTTTTGTTATCATTTCCATGTTGATCCCTTCGTTCAGTCTTGTAATGATGTTCTCAGGCAGTAACAGTAGTAACTGCTGTAATGATGGTTTCACGTAGTAACCGTGGCAGTCAGCCACAGACCCTCTCCATGCCACGCATTGTGTGACCCCAATGCACAGCTACAGGTTCATTTAAACACTGGAGACAAGATCAGAAAATGTCATCCTCTGAGACTGAGCTAACTCAAAACAAATGTACTTAGCCATCTGAAAAGTGGCTGAGAGTGTGGCATTGAGCATCCTAGATTACAGAGCTAAGACCAGAGAGTGAGACCCAGTGGCCTGGGTGACTTTAGGCAAACCCTCCAACCTCTGTGAGCTCAGTTCCCCCCAGATGGGGCAGACCCCTGCCCTGCCTGCTTCATAAGATTACAGTGATAATCAAATAAGACAATGGATGTTAAGTGCTTTGAGGTAAGAGATGGTTTGTAAACATTTAGTTTAGAGTTGCTAAGTCTTAATCAGTGATCGTATACTGTGTTATAAGTCGGCAAGCATTAACTCACTTAATTCTCTCAACAATGCTACAGGTAGATGCTATTATTATCTCCATTTTGCAGATGGGGAAACAGGTACAAAGAGGCTATGTACTTACCCAAAGCCAGTTAGTTTGCAAATTATGAAGCTCAGGTTTGATATTTGGTCGGCCTCACTCCAGAGGCTACACTCTTACCCACTCCCCTTGACTGTATCTTTGGAACATCCTGTTCTATGCCTATGCTGACTAAACAGTCCTCTGATGTGTAATTTATTCTCCTGAGAGGGCCTATTTATCAAGAAGGAATATTCTGCACAGGTAAAAGGCCCTAACTCTTGAATCCAGCAAAGCTTCTGATATAAATTAGCATATTTTCATTCTGGTCTTGGTTAATATGAGTCTTTGACATTGGGTGAGCTGAGATTATTCAATTTCTGTGTCAGCAGAGCTTGAAAGAAACTTGGGTTCTGTGGTGAATTGCTGCTGTCCCCTGGAGAGGACTGCTTCCTGCCCCACACCCACTGTGCCAGGACGACTACATCTTTTGGTCACCATGCGATGTACTGGGATGGGCTGAAGCATATCTGGGCTGGTATATGTGTCCATTGGTAGTTCTAGGCATAGTAGATAGATGTTTGGGATCATTATGAAGAAAGATGAAAACCAAGTTATCTTAAGAGCTGATTCCAGAATCCACATAGAAAGGAAACACTCCAACAGGAAAACACTGAAATATGCCACACTGGAAAGAAGGAGGTAACTGGTGGTTTAGGAGGTGTTAGGAGCCCAGGGGCAGCAAAGGAGAATCGCTGCAAAGCTTTGCCTGTACCAGGAGAGGATTTTACAGTGTGGGTGGACACCTCGTGTTCTATCAGAAGTGGTTTCTGTTTGTGTGGCAGGTAACCCTTCCACACATCTATCTCCCCACCCTCCACCCTCTGCTGTAAACTCTGCTACACTCACACATGCTTTGTGTGGCTGTGGGTTTGATAAAAGTTCATGGAAGGAGCTAGTTGGTGCCCAGGCTGACACATGTAGAAGAGAGACTTCTAGAATCCACAGGAATTTTGGTCCCCATGTTTTCAAAGCCCATAGACCACTAAATAAGGGTTCAAAATGATTTTATGTTGATCTCAAAGGGGCCAGGAGACTGACGTCTGAGTTGTATTTGATAAACATTAAGGACTCTGCCAGCTGTCACTCATGCAGACAGAGATGGATCAGAGGCCTGGTGGAGATGACAGGAGGAGATGAGGATGATGACATGGCAGGCCGAGAGACTGGGGATACAGCATGAGGAGCTGAGGGATGAAGCTACCAACCTGACCTCCGTAAGAATCCTCATTCATCCAAAGTGTCCCCATCTAGACCTAACTCAGTCTGTTATTCCTTTGTCACTCAAAGCCATCTAGGATGCAAAATGCCTACTACTGGGGAGTCAGATACTATGGAGGAGTATTTGCCTGCTTTGTTGTTTCATGACTTTTTCCTTAGACTTTTTTTTTTTTTTGAGATGGATTTTGCTCTTGTCGCTCAGGCTGCAGTGCAGTGGCACAATCTCTGCTCACTGCAACCTCTGCCTCCCAGGTTCAAGTGATTCTCCTGCCTCAGCCTCCCGAGTAGCTGGAATTACAGGTGCGCGCCACCACACCTAGCTAATTTTTGTATTTTTAGTACAGATGGGGTTTCACCATGTTGGCCAGGCTGGTCTCGAACTCAGGTGGTCCATCTGCCTTGGCCTCCCAAATTGCTGGGATTACAGGCATGAGCCACTGTGCCCAGCCCCTTAGACTTTCGAGATGGAACTTGGGAGGGAGGCAAGGAAGGGAACAAGCCACTGGCTCCAGCACCATACCCGCAAACAGAGGTCCTGAATCAGAATCCTCCGTGACCTTCAGAAAAATCTGTCAAGAAGAAAAAAAGAGAGAATTTTGTTTAGTCATTCTTATTCTCAGAAAAATCTAACCCAAGCTCTGTTTTGTTGGGTATTGCTTCATAATGGGAAGAAAATCCATTACGACTCTATCTGAGAACATCATCTTCTATAAATACAAAAACGTAAGCACACAGTAACCACAAGTACATAAAATTTGTATGCATGCAGAGATGGGGGAACTATGCCAAAAATAAAGATAGTTGCTATGCTTGGGTGGGGAACGATGGCTTTTTGCTTTTACAAAACTTTGCTCTAATGTTAGACTTTTTCAAAGAACCGCCACTTCTGGCACTTGACAGAAACCAGCTGGAATCTCTACTTTACCTCTTCCAGGGGAGTGTCAGAAATTCCAAAACTGCTGAGACCAAGGTCAGCCAGCGTCTCCTCCAGCTCTCTGAAAAGGCTGGCATATGCTCTGTGCTTGAAGTTCTTATTTGGAAGAAGGAAGATAAGTTCTTGACCAATGCACTCCACCAGCTTTGCCTCTGGAACATGGTGGAGAACTACATCCATCAGCTCATTTACATCCCCTAGGACAAGAAAAAAGACTGATGCCAGCTCTGTTTTCCAGAAACTGGAAGACTGTGAGGTTACCCAGATTTCCTACTTCTCTCCACTTCCCCTTTGAAGAAGAGGTATTTTGTATCTCGGCAGTGACTCTTTCAGAGGACTGATGCTCCATCAAGTCTGCTTTTAGCTTAGTTGGCCCTGAGATCATCATTGAGAGGCAGAGGGAAACGGAAGCAAAGTCCTCCCGACTAGCTAGCTGTGCAACCTGGGGGCGGAGGTTGGTGGGGGGGTCATGCAACTTTCCTGTGCCAGTTCCTCCTCTGTTCAACGAAATGCTCTGTCCCCTCAAACTATGTTATGTTGGGTGGGTCACATTAGACTTTCCTCATCTGTGAAAAGGGGAAAATACTGGTATCCACTTCATTGTTGTTTTTGAGGACTGGATGAGTCAAACTACACAAAGCAGTTAGAGAAATACCTGGCACATAGGTGAGTGCTGGCTGCTATTATTATCCTTTACATCATCTCGGTAAGAAATCTCTTACTCATGGTTGTTTTTCATTCTCATTCACTGAAAACTTGAGGGCTAAGTCAAAGTTGTTTTCATTTTTCTGGTCTGTCACCAGCTATGGGGGACTTGCCCAAGACACAAACCTGGAACCGGTGACCAAGCTGAGTGAGAAGTACCTTCCCTAAATCACACACACATGCCTACTCTAACTTCTCAGAAGATTGCACAGTTTCTCTTGGGATTGCACCTGCCTCCACAAACAAAACTGAATCCTCAGGTCACAGGAAATGCAGAGGGGGGGTTGAGAAGCCATGGAGAGAGGCTGGGGGAGAGGGTAGGATATGCGGTGCGTATCATAGACTGTGAACAAGTGTCAGGTATCAACTGTTTATCTGACACATGTATACAGTCAGAATTGAATTTTATGTACAAATGTGTATTACTTTAAAATTAAAAATCTAACTGTGAAAACCTCACTTGCATGCACTTGAAGAGAGAGTTCTCTCGCACATTGTCTTGAGAGGCAGGTCAAAGGGAGAGGGATTCCAGGACTCAAAACATGACTCTTCAGAAAGCAGCTCTCAGAGTTGTGGACACCCAGTAGGTTCTTTTCTTTTTTTGTTGTTTAAAAAATGATCCATATGAAGGGATTTCATGGTTTTCAACCAAAATCCTTCTGCCTAGCCGGATTGGAAGTCTTGCTTTATGTCAAATCTGCAAGTTGGACTTGATTGTCTTTAGCTCTGAGATGACTTCATACGGAGGCTGGAGAGTCCTTTACGTTAAGGAAGCAGCTCTGCCCTAATAGCTCTCCAGGGGTCATATTCATTGTTCTTTTAGGAAGGAAATTGAACCCAAAGCTGCTGGATTCCCAGGAATTGTGTCTTAGGCATGTGTCAGCCTTTCCAGAAGTAGCTCTGTAGGTCAGCAGGGCTTTGGGCATCTGGGAGGGAGGTCTGTGAGTGTGTGTGTGGTATGTGGGTGTGTTTAAGTGAAAAGACTTTCAAGGAGCTAACTGGGGATTCAAATGATTTTCCCTTTCTTATTTGGGGCATAACTATTTAGTGCATTTCCCACCATTCACAGCATCCCGATTCTATACAAAGAAAACCTTTATTTAGAAATAAAGTAATTTAAAAAAAAGAATCATTCAGCCATGCAGGCCCTGTTTCCAATCTGATTTTGGCAAATCACAGTAACTTAACATATTAGTATCAATTTAAAACAAATATAAACTTCTTGACCAAGGTTCAGAGAGCAGGGAGATAGGTACCCACAGCAAGGCAGGCTAGGAGAAAGACCCAGAGATGTCATCCTAAAAAGATGTTTTCTGTTCATCACAGGGTCTCTCAGTGTAAAGAGAGGGCAGGTGCATGAACAGTGATGATGCCTCTCTGAGCATGTTCCCTCCAGTTGTAATGATCAGACAACGCAAATATTGCCCGGTTCTCTTGCTTCACCAGATTTCAGTTAGTAAATTCTTAACATTTGAAAAAGTTTGTGCTAAATAGAAAAATATGCCTTTTCTTTGATAAGCAGATACTTTCCCCATTCATTAACCTGCATCAGTACGTAAGTTTAGTTTTGCTCCTGTGTGGGAATACGCTTCTCACACATTCTCTCACATAGAGAGGGGATAGCCTCTCCACTGCAGCTCCTTGGAGATGGGGGCACCCCTGAGAGCTTCAGTGCATCCTAATTAAAGGGAGAATCACTGGGAAATTGGGAAGCTGAGGGGAGAATCAGGAGTATAACAGGGGTGTATGCTATTTCCAGACTTGCCATCCACATGTGCAATCTCTGACTCCACGAATTCACTGGAAGAGCCGTGCATCACCATGCTTCCACTAGAGGGCGCCACGGCACACATGTAGAAGAAGCTCTCCCCAGACACTAAGGAATGTGGCCTGGAGCCAGGGCAGGGGGACCCCAGGAATGATGGCTTACTAAGGGTAAGAGCACAGAGTGTATTCCTCATTAAAGGGAGAGGGCCTTTAGGTGCATGACTTTTAAAATCCCTTTGGGAATGAAGGAAGAAGGAAGAGGAGAAAGAAGCTCAAAGCAAAAGAACAACTGTGTGACCTGCAGAAGTACCCAGTGTTCTCTTTGCTCCCATTAAAATGCATCACAACAGGACACACCCAGCAATACTGGGAGATGGCTGCCAGACGGAACCCAAGTATGGCCCGTCCAGTCCTTACCATCCAGGACTTGTTCTGGAGTTAGGTCATCGACGTGGGCTGGACACGTGGTGGAGAAACCCTTAGACGAGCAGCTGCAGGTCCCCTGCAACAGATGGATGGGATGACTGACAAGATGCACATCCCTTCCATGACAGCCTCTCCCTGATGCCAGCTGCTGTCACCGCCCGCTTTATTTATTTCTCACTGCCAAGTGTAGTCAACACATTTTTTTCTTCACTGTTTAATCTGTTAATTCATCTGAGCATTTTGAGGGTGTAGTCGCTTGATTTTATCCTAGAGAGTGTGTGAGTCACACACAGAGAGGAGCAGAACCTCCAAGGGTCCCTTTGGCTTGTCATCAATTATGTGGCAGCTGTAGGTTCTGCCTGTGGGAGACATTCTGTGCCTCCCTCCCCGTGGATGGACATAGGAAACCCCAGCGGCAGCCAGACACTTAAACCAGAGGCATAAATAATGCTGCCATATCATAATCATGACCATTTGAATGTGAGCAATGCCTGTTCTTAAGAAGCCCAGAGCACATTTATAATACTTTATCTCACTTATCTTCACATCCCTAAGAAATAGAAGCAGAGGTCATTAGCTTCATGTTCCATGTGAAGAAGAAAAAAATACTAAAAAAAAGGAGGAATTAAATAATTTGCCTAGGATGACACAGTTTGTTCACTTCGCAGCACAGACATAAAACTGGGTCTCCTGATGTGCTGAAGTGGTCTCTGCTGGTTGGTACTTTTTGCCTTCATCATTTTTATGTTATAGCACCCAAGGAGGCCTCTTCTTAGTTTTCACTTACCACTGAAATTCAGGTTTAATTAGGGAATATTAATGTTGAAATGAAGCTCAACCAATTGCTCTTAAAACAGCCTAACCTTACAGAATAAGACACTCACTTCTATGTTGCACCAAACCGCACCAAACTGGTGTGTAATCTGGCATGTAATACTTGCAGACCATTTAAAGCTAGTTGTTTCATTTTGGCTAAAGCATCTCTGTAGGAGGAGGCTTCAGAATGTGTTCATCGAAATCTTCTGCAAATGGTCCCAGAACAAAGACACTGATTCTGGTGGCGAGAGCCTGTGTGAGTAGCCATGTCTGGAGTGGCAGCCCCGTGCTGTGTGCTCCTTCTCACCCAGGCCAGGGTCCTTCCCTGGGCAGACACCTACCTCACTGCCTTTCCTTTGGCTCTGGATGTTTTTCATCTTGCGCACCAAGGTTAAGTACAAGCCTGTGCCAAAGCAGTTCTTCAGGAAGAGTGGGGTGCCTGAGCAGTAGAGCCTTCCCTGGGCAATGATGGCAATGCGGTCCCCAAGGAGGTCGGCCTCGTCCATGTGGTGAGTGGACATGATGATGGTTCTGCCTGCAAGGTAGGGGCCAGGGCAATCACCAGGCCTGCCCTGGGTTGGGCATTGTTGGTAAAGGGTGTACAGCAATTTCCTGGCTATATAGTTGCAAAAATCAGGAGTTAACTAAAAAAAAAAACCCAAGGGAACTAATTCAGCAGCAAATTCCAGCATATTAGGACAATAATAACTAACATTTCATAGCTTCCTACATACTGTAAAGCATTGCCACACACAGTGTCTCTGTATCCAGCATAGGATCTGATTCAAATAAATCTCTATATTAGGGGCTCATGTATTATGGTCAGCATCTAGGGAGTTTCATATGTACATTTTCTGGATCATTAAGCTCTGGATTTATACTCTTCATAAAGAACACACACGTGCATACTCTCACTAACTGGAGATGTCATTAACAGAAAACAGCAGGCCGGGCACGGTGGCTCATGCCTGTAATCCCAGCACTTTGGGAGGACAAGGCGGGAGGATCACCTGAGGTCGGGAGATCGAGACCATCCTGGCTAACACGGTGAAACCCCGTCTCTACTAAAAATACAAAAACAATTAGCTAGGCGTGGTGGCGGGCACCTGTAGTCCCAGCTACTCAGGAGGCTGAGGCAGGAGAATGGCTCGAACCCAGGAGGCGGAGCTTGCAGTGAGTGGAGATTGCGCCACTGCACTCCAGCCTGCGCGACAGAGCGAGATTCTGTCTCAAAAAAAAAAAAAAAAAAAAAAGAAAAGAAAGAAAGAAAATAGCAATGAGGATTTCAGGATGACAAACCCTCAGAGAAAGGCACGGGGCAACGCTGTGTGAGTAGAGCAAGGGGGAAAGCTCTGGCTTGACCACGGGGTTGAACCGTGCTGTTACCTCTATGGGCACTCAGCTCTGCTTGCTGTCTCTTCTGATCTGAGCCCCTTGTCTGAGAGGTGCCATGACAGAGGAGCCACTTCCATCTGTGGCCACCCTCTGGAGCACTGAATGCCCAGCAGGTCACCCTCACACTGGTCCTGAGTGGTCATCTGACAGCTATGGAGCTTCTAGGTATGTTTGCAGGTGACCTGGGTCCCCATGGTCAGAGAAGACATTCACCTAGAGTAGCATCCATTATTCCAGACAGAAGGGCTGCAGGTCAAGAGAATTTTCTAAAATATTTTGGGAAGTAGGTTGCATCATCAGTGATTCTCTGTTTATATTTGTAAAAACCTCAGGAGGCTTTAGCTGGAACTTAGATTCACCAAGTCACTGATAAACCCCCTTCTGAGTGTAGTCATTGTGGTTCCTGTACTCAGCTACAAAATGGCAGGTGAGAGAGTGGGGACCACAGCTAGGGCTGCAGTGAGAGCCCAGCCCAGGAGACTGAGCAGCAGCTGTTACCTGAGCGATACTTCAGGAGCAGATCCCAGATTGAGCGTCTCGAGTAAGGGTCCACCCCAGAGGTGGGTTCGTCCAGAATCACCACCTTGGCATCTCCCACAAAGGCAATGGCAACCGACAGCTTTCTCTGCATGCCACCTGGAGGCACAAGAAGGACGGGAGAGTTAAGGGGCTGTGGAGGGTGAGGAAGAGAAAGGCCCAGGGCAAGTGGCATTGTGGGGGTACCTTAACCCAGCAGTGGTTTGGTGCTGCCTCTTAGATGTTTATAGCGTTCAAAGCCCTAATACTGTTCAGGCTTTGTAAATGCAGAAAGGGCAACCCTCACCTCCTCGGATCAGACCCTTTGAAGACTGTTCAAGCACATCAATCTCAGGACAAATAAAACCCAGGCTGCTGTGAGACAGTGCTCTGCAGGGAAAATGATCTGGGGGCTGCTCTTAGATTTTTGGTGTAACTTCACAGAGGTGTTCCCACCCTTAGAAGCTCTCCTGCTCCAAGCCTCCCCTGCCTCCTGGGTGCACTGGGGAGCCATGGATTTGCCATCTGTGGCCCTGTCTCCATCCAGCTCTGAGCACCTGATAGGTCCTGAGCCTCTTCATTCCGCTTGTGGTGGAGGCCTGTGTCCTCCAACATGGCTTCCATCTCCAGCTGGGCCTCCTCCTGGGACTTTCCTTTCAGCTGGGCATAGAACAGCATGTGCTCAGCCACCGTGAGGCTAGGAGGATGGGACAACGAGAAAAGCAGTGGCTTAGCACTTCCACTTCCAGCAGCTGATCTTACAGAAATAATTGAGGACAAGTATTCTTGATTTGGCAATCAAGATGCTCACTGTGGTGGTGTTTATGATACAATACAAAAATAGCAGACCCTGCTTAAATATCTAATAAGAGGATGGCTTACATAGTTCATGCATACAATGGAATAATCTGTAAACATTAAATATTATTTTATAGAAGAATATGTAATGACATGAAAGATGTTCCTGATATCTTATGTTTAAAAAAGCAATCCTTTTTTTTGAAAAAAAAGTCAGGTTATAAAATTGTATGCATAGTTTTACTATTCTTTATCATTTTGAAGTATATGTGTTTATCTATCTATACATGTATAGGAGAAAGTTCTAAAAAATTATATACCAATGTTATAACTCAGCGGTTATCTCTGAGTAGTGAAATTACAGGTGACTTTTATTTTCAATTTTTTGTTTACCTATATTTACTTCCTCCCTCCTTCCCTTTCCTTCCTCCTTCCCCTTCCCTTTTCCTCCCTCCTGTTCCCTTCCTTCTCCCCTCCCTCCCTCCCTCGCTTCCTTCTCCCCTCCCTCCCTCCCTTCTTTCCTTCCTTCCTTCCTTCCTTCCTTCCTCCCTTCCTTCCTCCCTTCCTTTTTTTTCTTTCACAATGACTATGCGTAGCTTCTTAGATAAGAAATAAAAGATATCTTATTGGGGAAAAAAAGTAACTGAAAAGCCCCCTGAAAAGTTTGCCTTTCAGGCCGTGGCTTCAACAGGAAAAAGGAACAATGGTTCTCCTGTCTTTGGTCCCAGAGAGGAAGTACTTCAGGGCTGCACAAGGGGCTCGGGGATCGATCAGCTGCTCTGTCAGAGCGAAGGCAGCCTCACCCTTCTGAGGGAGGAGCCCTCAGCTCTGAGCAGCAGAGGCAGAGTCCCATATTCTCAGGGACAATTCTCACTGCAAGTAGGACAAAGGACTTTAAACATAGGGGAAACCAAATAAGAGTCTGTATCTCTGCCTGTGCCCAGGCCTGGCACCCCTGAGCTGGGCTCTAGAGAAGTGTGCTGGGGGCAGAGGTGAGGAGAGGGGATGGGGCGGTCTCAGTTCCTGTGTCGCTTACTGGTGGAACAGGATGTTGTGCTGTGGACACATGCCAAGGCTCTGCCGGACTGCATCCAGGCTGGTTTCAATGTCCCTTCCCCCAACGAGCACAGTCCCAGAGGTTGGTGGCAACAGACCCGTCAGGATGGACCTGCAGAACACAGGCGTCAGTGGCAGAAGAGATGGCCTTTAGCAACATGCCTTAGGAGGGCCACCCCCACACCAGGTTCAGTGAGAACTCTCACAGATTCCTGCCTGGGGCTGTCAGTCAAACTCAAACCCCTATTAGCTGTGGGGCCCCCTTAGCACCAGTGTATACATCCAGGCCCTAATGCAGAGGGCCACCTCTGCCATCCTTCTCTGCTTCTACTTGTTTCATGGTGCTCCCAGGCCAACGCCGAGGGCCTTTGGGATTCCCAGCCTCAAAATGTTCACGTGCAGTCACAGGTGTCCCCAGCTCAGCCATCACGGAGCCTGGTGTTGGAGAGGATCAATAAAAGGTGTTCGGTGCATGACTCGAGGCGTTGCCTCCTGGGTGAGCAGTCATGGCTATTGAAAAGCCAGGTGTCATCATCATAAAGCCCGGGTAAGGTCTTGATGAAGGCCAGAACCCTAAGCAGTCCTAGGCATTTGCTGATTAATTGATCGAAGCCAGGCATGGGAATTACCACCACCAATATTAGCTTTGGATCCAAAACATAAAAAGCCTCAGAGCAATGGTGGGCTTTTTTTTTTTTTTTTTTTAAATGGGAACTATGACTCCCATGTCCTTAGGTTGTTGTAAGGCTTAAATGAGTTAATACACTTACAACATTAGAACAGCGCCAGCATAAAGTAAAACTCAAAAATATTATTACTGTTAGTATTAAACATTGTTTTAACCCCTGGGGGAAGTTGCATGTCAGCAGCCGATGAAGTAATGTGTTTGCCTTTGCGGAGCCCTGGGGTCCTGGAATTTGCTTCCAGCTCTCTGACCATATCAGTTAGCATGGAGAGAAAGCAGATGGATGCAGGGCCGCCACACCCAGCTCTGTCCCTGAGTTCTGATACCATCTCAGGCTATCTGAACTTGTCCTGATGGAGAAGCCGAAATCTCCGCGATCAACCACTAGAGGGAAACAGAACCAATTAGAATGGCACCGGCCCCACATTCCATTCACACTGAACCGCCCTAGAGAACATTCCATCACAGGGTGTACACGCTGTTGTTCCTTCCTGGGGCTCTCCAAAGGACTTGAAGACTGTGTCACGTGGGTTCGCTGCCCCCTGCGAGGTCCGTGTCTGCTGCTCCTTGGGAAACCATGGCGGGCCGTGTTCTCCTCTCAGCAGATGGCGCTCGGGTCCCTTGGAGGAGAGTGGGGCGCCTGCGGAGCTGAGAGATCCGCGCAGAGCCCCTTTGCCTTCCCTGCCCTGACCTTCTGTTACCAGGCGGTTACTCCACAAGCCCCTCTAGAGACTGATTCTTTTTTCACTTTCTCCAGAACGACCACTAACCCTCATCAGCTGATGTTGAAGCCTGCCTAATGATTGGTAGGAAAAGGAATGTTCCTTGAAAATAGCAGGACTCGGCCTGGTGCGGTCGCTCACGCCTGTAATCCCAGCACTTTGGGAAGCTGAGGCGGGCAGATCACCTGAGGTCAGGAGTTCGAGACCAGCCTGGCCAACATGGTGAAACCCTGTCTGTACTAAAAAAAAAAAAAAAAAAAAAAAATACAAAAATTAGCTGGGCATGGTGGTATGCACCTGTAGTCCCACCTACTTGGGAGGCTGAGGTGGGAGAATCGCTTGATCCTGGGAGGCGGAGGTTGCAGTGAGCCAAGATCGCACCACTGCCCTCCAGCATGGGTAATGGTTACTATCTCAAAAAAAAAAAAAAAAAAAAAGAAAAGAAAAGAGAAAGGAAATAGGAGGACTCTATAGCTTCCATGCACATGATGACAGTGGCCATGACTTGATCACCACCATGGACTGTTGAGATGGGGGGAAAGACTCAAGGTGTGAGAAACAAGAGGCAACTGTGGTGCCTGGCTTTTGCCCCCGCTGAGCCATGACAACTTGGTGGCTTCAGGAAAGTCACTTCAACTCTCTGAATGAATGTCCACTTCCCCGGCACACAAAAGGGGCAATAAACGTATTCTACCTCCCCATCAAGAGAATACATATTAGTGATCTTTGAATACTGCAGAAAGCTTTTACACATTTTTGGGGCCGCAAATATTTGTCACTAAAATTTGTGGGAAAGAGTAGACAGCCGCTGATAGGGAAAGACTAAGCCAGGAAATGACAGGCTAGCATGGCAGCCAGCTTCTCTGCTGGAAGACTCACAAGGTGGTGGTTTTCCCAGCTCCATTGTGGCCCAGGAATGCGGTGATCTGGTTCTCGTAGAAGGTGATGTTCAGACGGTCCACAGCTGGCCGGCCACAGGGCTCAAAAATCTTTACCAGATTCTTCACGCATACCCCAGGAACCCACCCTGGATGCTCACGTTCAAAGAAGGAGTCTTGGAGGAAAAAAAATGAACATGATGTAAACATAATGCCTAATTACATGGCCCCAGGGCTCTGTCTCCAGGCCCTTGTATTCTGCCTATAACGTCACCTGCCCCTGTGGCTTCGGCTATCACCGTTGCAAGGAAGACTCCAGAATAATAATAGTAATACTAGCATCAAACGTTTATACAGCACCTCCTATATGCCAGGCACTGCTTCGACTGCTTTACACAAATTACCTCAATGTACTCTTACAATGGTCCTAAGGGGTAGACATTTATTAGGCTCATTTCCATAGTCCAGGAAACCTTAGACACAGAGACATCAAGCGTCCTATTAAGGACACATAGGCATGAGTGGCAGAGTTGGGATTTGAACCCAGAGCCCATGCTTGTCAGAATGCACTCACTGTCTATAGGGAGAGTTGGCCCCAAGCTCAACCTTGGTCCTAGGCCCTCATTGCCAACAGTCCACGGGGCATTTCCTCATGAATTTCTGGAAGCGGCTTAGGTTCTTCATCTTCCCAAAACAACATCTGCCTTCAGATTCTCCCATGACCTTTTCTGGACCGCCATTCTCTTAGTCACCTTGGCTTGAATCTTTGAGTTGACTTTGACTAAGGCTTCTTGCTCCTCAGAACTCCCAGGTTTTCCAATAGGTGGGTAGGGCAGTCCACGCTTCCTCATCACCATCCCTCAAACCCCACTCCCCTCCTTCTTCCTCCCATGCCCCCTCCAGTGCAGACCCTCACCGAGTGCTCTCACTTCTCCCTGACCTCCCATCTATCCCTGCTTCATTTCACCCTATATGGCACAGCTTAATTTGTCATCTTAATACTGTAGCTCTAAGCATTTCTTTCCCTAGGGGGAAAAAGTCCACTGTTTCTTCTATCCGTGCCTCCTGGCCTTGCCTGCAACTGAGGTGGAACCAGTCCCCAGCCTCCTGATTTGGCTTAGACTTTCCACTGTGGGAGGAGGATCTTGCCAGAGGCATGGTGTACTGCAGTCTAACTCTGGGAGGGGCTGCAGGTCTCTGGCTTTAGTTTTATGAAATGGCCCCTGGGGTGGGCTGGAGGGATAAAGGCCAGACCCTCTCCTGCCCTGTCAGGCAGAGCCCAGGGGCTGTGCTGCCTGTCTAAACCCAGAGCATTTTGGCCACAGAGAAATGCGTATGCTTAGGGAATGAAAAGCCTTGGGAGAAATACAGAACTAGTTTAAGAGAGAAGATGAGGGCAGCAAAAGCCAGGAAAACAAAACTTGTAAATCTGGGTCGTCAGTTTAGGGATTATTAGGTAACTTCCACTGTCAGGAAAGGCTTCTGATGGTTTCAATGAATGGCCTTCTAGATTTGTAAGCCGTAAGTGAAGTGTAGTCAGCTCCCCTGGAGTCTCTTTCCCCCTGGACACAGAAGCATTTATTTTTGTCTTTCCTTATAGCTCATATCCGCTTTAAGTCCCAGTGACCAAAGTTATTGTTCTTGCTAAATCCTCGGAAGTCAGCACATTTGTGCAACTCACTTGGGATTTGCCTAACAAGGGCACAGGCACACTACATAGTTGGTATTTGCTTTCTCCAGGAAATATGCGCTAATGTCTGGGCTGAACCATTCATTCCACACACATGCAGATGGACCTCTGAGAAGGGATCTGGTTTAACACTTGTCCACAGAGAGAGTCAGTTTCCTAGGCTTCTTTCCACCCTTGCCATGAGATGTTTTGCTCTGGCCCTCTGCAGTGCTTAGAGCCTTTTCCTCGCCTCTGCTGTGTATTCTTTATCGGGGTTTTACCGTGTATTCCTTCTGGGTGCTCTGGATCCTCCGTTTCCTCTGTTAGGGGCTCGGTCTTTTCCAGGGCTCTTTCTTCTCTGGTTGAACACCCTGCACCAATCAGAAGCCAGTGTTACTCTACCACCGGGAGCTGAGAACGAGCAAAGGCAGGAAAGGAGGGGAGAGGTACAGGGAGCAAATGAGTTTCCTAGCCAGCCTTTGACCTGCTCTAGGACTGTGAGGTACTCAAGCCTGATCACACAATCTTTGCCAGAGGAAGATTTATAACAGGAGCTTCAGACTTGGAGAGTTTCACCTCCTCCTCTCAATGTGCCATGAGGAGCCCACAGTTTCAGAAACTGTGATTTTAAAAAAATTAAGAAAACCAGGTTTGAATTTGAAATGAGTTAATTTTCTTTAGCCCACCACTGGCACATTTTACTCCAATACAAAACATGTGAAAGTCATGGTGAACCTTGAGTAAAAGTCTATTCAGGGGCCGGATGTGGTGGCTCACGCCTGTAATCCCAGCACTTTGGGAGGCCAATGTAGGCGTATCATGAGGTCAGGAGTTCGAGACCAGTCTGACCAACATGGTGAAACCCCGTATCTACTAAAAATACAAAAATTAGCCGGGTGGGGTGGCGCTCACCTGTAATCCCAGCTACTTAGGAGGCTGAGGCAGGAGAATCGCTTGAACCCGGGAGGCGGAGGTTGCAGTGAGCCGAGATAGTGCCACTGCACTCCAGCCTGGCCGACAGAGTGAGACTCTGTCTCAAAAAACAAAAACAAAAACAAAGTCTATTCAAAGTGCTATGACGGGCAGCCAGCTTAAACTACAGCTTGAATATATGGTTTACCTGAGAAATTCACCTAGATGGGCATTTAAGTATCTTGGAATTAACACCAGGGTTGAGCCTGGTGATGGTATTAATACAAGCCTGGACAAATTGTGAAGTGTGGTATAAACACACGCATTGAACACACACACACACACACACACAAACAGACACTTTTTGGCAAACTTGGCATTTGGTTTAAAAAGATATCAGGACATCCTGGAAGGGGAAGAGGAGCAGAAGGGCCAGTCAGTCTGCCAGAGAGGAAGGCAGGGGCAGGAGGAAACCACTGTCACCAGGCATCCAAGGGCTCTCGGCCTCAAGTGCACATACAGGAGCAGGGCGAGATTTCTCAATGCAACAGCCACCCAGGGCCCCTCTGTCCCCCACCCTCTGAAAATGTGCAGGATGTGTGCTGGAGCAGCAGGTAGTGGGCCTGCTGGTCAGGGACCTGCTGCCTCTAGTACTGTTCTTCTATTTCTGCTTCCTGAAGGACTTTTGAATCTATGCCCCACAGTTCCTTTGATCACTTTACTAGCTATCAAACTGCACAAATAGGTAATGAAATAGCAAGAGGAAACATCCTCCTGAAGAGTTTAATCACTGGAATGAGTTCCTGCCAGGCAATGCATGTGCATGTTCCAGATTTTGTCCCAGGTGACCAATAGGGGAAGATACTGGATGTCTCCTGGGCTCCATTTTTTATTTTTTAATCTGTGAAAGGAGGGAGGTTGGGTGGAGACACTCAGCTCTTTTCTGGTTTTAGAGAGTTTTAGAAATCCATTTCAGTCCAGCCTATGAGACAGGTGAAAAATATTTGCCTTCCGTTGGCAAACATATTTGTGATTCACTTTTGAAGGAGCATATTTTCCTTATGATTTCTTTTTTTCTTAAGAGGCAGAGTATCTGTTGGGATTGTAGAGAAAAATAAAATGCCCACAAGCCCTGTGTTGAAATTTTTCATTTATTATATGATAATTTTATTATAGTAAAAAATTAACAAGTTTACAGGTAGACAAGTCAATACAATGAAAAAATCCTGAGCTGTTAAAGTGTTGTTTGTTTGACCCAGTGAAAACAAAAGCAAAAAACAAAAGAAAAAAAGAAAAAAAAAGACTAATCCCCCAGAGAAAACAAACATCCATCTCAGTGCTTGCAGGATAAGTCCTGGCCCAGGCCCAATAATACAAAGTAAAGAATAGGTAGGTGAGCAACAAACAGATGGGAGAGTACTTCAGCTCTAGGGGAGTCCCCCGCTTTCACCCTGGAATTTCTTTGCTTTCTCAGACCTCACAAAAGAGTCTGTGCTTTTCCCTGCTTCTAGAACTTTCTCTAGCTAGGCCTCCTGTTTGGTTCAGTAGTAAAGGTGCCTTTTACCTAAGATGTGTTGTGGGCAAATGCCCTTTCAGCCTTTTTCCCCACCCCTAAGAAAGATCAACACCAGGAGAATCTGAGGTATTGCCCTGAAGATAACAGCTCTGCCTCAGCCCCAGGAGGAGTCTTCATCTTGGGAGAATAAACTAATTTATATTTTGAAAAGGCAGAGAAGAATAAAAAGGCACAAGGAAGGCAATGGGAGATGAATGCAAAGGTTCCTTCATGATTCCCTGGATTTCTGCTTTATACTGAAAAGCTGCAAAAGTTCTTTGAACCCTGAAGTGGCTTGGCCTTTTTTAAATAGGGCAATTTAGTCTACTGGACAAGGTGTACAGGACCCAGGGCTTCATCCATGATCAGCCATTCATGATCACACAGGGCCCAGCAACTTGTGAAAGGTGGTCCCCCAGACGCTGCAATGCCCATCAAGGGGCAGAGCCCCAGGAGGCAGCTGACTCATCAGGAATCACACCGTTTACATAGAGGGCCACCTCTGTGATCCATATACATCTTGCACAGAGCCCAAGGAGTTGATTTCAAACATTAAGATTTGTGTTTTAAAGGACTCACCTTCACCGCCAAGCCAATACGACTCTTGTAGAAGAAAGTACCAAGGAAGTGGGGTTCCATAGTCTCCTAAAAATAGAGACAAATAAACAGAGAAAGTCGAAGGAGTCTCCCTATCCTACCTTACCGCAGTTCTATAAGATCTAGAGTTTATTTACCTGAACCTCAAATTGTAACTATAGATATTTGCAGTTATTATTACATGGCTATTCTCAGGCTCCCAGAAAGACTACCCCTTCCAACATATTTTTATCCACACAGTCATGTTTTTGGGGTGTTATAAGCAACAGCAAGACCAATAATCTTGGTTGACATCAGTTTTCCAAGAAAACGTTTCATGAGAGAATTAAATCAAGTCCTTTTCCAGGAGTCAGATAATAATAATGGTGATCATCACTAAGATGTACTGGATATTCTTTCTGTGGCAGGCATTGCTGTGAGTGCTTTCCATGTGTTAAATAATCTAAACCTCAAAACAACCCCAGGAGATAGGTAGTAATATTATTCTTGTGAGAAAGGAAACAGAGGCACACTGAGATTCAGCCATCTGCCCCCCGTCACAGATAGTGAAACAGAAATGTAGGAATTCCAACACAGGTAATCCAGTTCTAATGTCAGTGTTTTTAACCCTACACCCCCATCCCTCATTCTACTGGATCTACCAGGGTTCCAAGAAAAAGACTCCCAAATTTCTAGTCCAGTTCTCTTTGAAAGTTCTGCTCCCTACAAAATGTTGATTTTGTAAAATCATGGTCTCGGCTTTTTTTAAGAGTTGCCGTATGTTTCATGGCCTTTGCTGCCACTGGACTGTCTATTCCTCGGGGCAGGTCTGGATCTTTATCTCCACCGCTCTGTTCCCAGAACCTGGCCCTGCTGAGCCTCATGCACAGGTGCTGCTCAGTAAATAGCTGTTGAATAAATGAAAGCTTTAGCTTGGCTAAAATAAAACTTTTGAATTATGCACAAATTTCAATTTTAATCAACTAATTTTCATCTATTATATCTGTTTCCAACAATCTAGTAGGATAGAAAAAACAGACTAAGTTCAAATGTCTTGTTCAAAGTCACTGTCATGGGTTGAATTTGGTCTCCCTCCAAAAAGACATGTTGGGGTCTGTGGCATAACACAAAATATACTTGGTCTTTGTCCCCAGCTCCTGTGCAGGGCACAGATCTCCTAAAACCCTTGGAATTTCCTGGCAGAAAGGAGTGTCTTTTTTTATTCATAATAAGCCCCTTCCTCTACCACATCTGAGTTTATGCTAATGATGTGACTCAGGGTAGAGCCCCAAGATAGCTGCAGTTTCTGGGGACTGGTCACCAGAAACACCACACATGTGAAGAATGGAACTTTCAGTCCCAACCCTCAACCTCCAATGGGGGAGTATGGAGCTGGAGATAGGGTTATAAAAACTCTCGAACAACAAGATTTGGAGAGCTTTTGGGTTGCTGAACACTTTGAGGTGCTGGGAGAGTGGTGCGTCTAGAGAGAGCATAGAAACTCTTCCCCCGACCCCATACTGTGCTTCTCTTCCATGTGGCAGTTCCTGAGCTGCATCCTTCATTTTAAAGCTGTGATTGTAAGTACAGGATTTTGGCAAAAGTGTGGGTAGCCTGGGCACCACATTTCCAGCTGGCATCTGAAGACGGGGAAGCCTTGTGGGACTGAACCCGTGGAGTCTGTGTGAATTCTGGATAGTGTCAGAATTCAATTGAATTCTTGGACAACCCATTAATATAGGAGAATTGGTTGGTGCCAAAACAACAACAACAAAAAACCAAAACACACATTTGGTGTCAGAAGTGCTGTCAAGAAAAAAGATACCAGAGTGCTAACCCCAGGTACCTCATAATGTGGCCTTGTTTAGGAACAGGGTCATTGCAGATGTGATTAGTTGAGATGAGGTCACATGGGAGCAAGGTAGGCACCTAATCCAATCCAGTTGGTATCCTTATAAGATGGCCATGTAAGACAGGCAGAATGCCATGTGCAGACGAAGGATCAGCAGGAAGCATCTACAAGTCAAGGAGTGCCCAAGCACCTACAGGTTTCAGAGGGAGCATGGCCCTGCCAACACCTTGATTTTGGACTTCCAGCCTTCAGAGCTGTGAGATATAAATGGCTGTTGTCTAAGCTGCCCAGTTAGTGGTATTTTGTTATGGCAGCCCTAGTAAATGAATGCACGCTTGCCACTAGGATGCAAACCCAGGCCTCCTGACCCAGTCTAGAAGCCTTCCTCCTATTCAGGGTGGCTGCCTACCTATTTCTGCCAACAAAGGCTGCCCTGAGATGATCTGAGAGCTGTGAGTTTGTCCCTCCCCATGGACTGGACCAGCCTCACCATCCCCTGCCTGCTTTTGGCTACAGCATCAAGAGCCAGGCATGGCTGCCACAGCACAAGGCTATTGGCTGACTTGGAGACCACTCAGAGGAAGATGGGGCAGCTCTAGTTACCAGAAAATGCTAATTTGAAGGAAAATTTGATTTTCTACCAAGCAAATACACGACCGTGCAAACAGCCAATTTTCAGAAGCTGATTTTCCATGCTACAGATTACTTAGATATTTATTCAGTGCCCACCAAAGGTCAGGCACTATTCTGGGCACTGGGACTGTCACAGTTAACAAAATAGACCACATGCATGCTCTCTGGGCTCATATTCTACTAAGGGCAGAGAGTCAGTAAATACATGCATAAGATACATCATTGTATCAGATGGTGAAGAATGTTCCCCAAAATAAAGTAGGGTAAGGGGACAGGAACCCTGGAGGAATGTTGTTTACAGAGCCATAGTTATGTAGATCTCTTCAGTCTGGAAAGATCCCTGTGATAATGGGACATTTGAACAGAGACCTTAACAAAGTAAGGAAGCAAGCCTGCAGATATGAGGGGCGGGTTGCAGGTTGTGGGGAGAGAAATGTGCTTCTGGCATGAGAACAGCAGGTGGAAAGGCCCTGAAGAGGAAATGCGCTCGGTGTATTAAACAGTCAGTAAGGAGGCCGACGTGGCTGGAGCAGAGGAACATGGAGGAGTAGGGAAAATCGTAAGATGAAGAAGAGAGTTGGAGGCCGGATAATGAAGCAGCTTGGAGGCCAGGGTTGAGACACTGGGTTTTACTCTGAAAGAGAGGAAAAGCCAGTGCAAGCATTTGACAGAGAGGGCTGACACCACATGACCTTGATTCTGAAAGGATCTCCCTGAATACAGTGTGCAGAATGGACTGATGGGAGGTGGTAGTGGAAGGAAGAGACTGGCATTGGGAAGGTTGTGGTGGAGGTGGTGACAAGAGATCAGATTCTGGATTTGTTTCTCAAGTAGAGCCAGTAGGATTTGCTGGTGGATTTTTAACTTCTAGATTTAAACTTCAAATGCTGGTTCTGACAAAGAGCTTGGAAGAAATGAAATTTAAACTAGATGAATGGAGAGGGCTGGGGATCTGAAGAACTCAATTACCTTTACCCTATAGAGGAGGATGCTTACCTGGAAACACCTGATCAAGGTACCAAGCGAGTAAGCCATAGACAGCAGCATCAAGGAGCATCATCTGCATGGACAGCAGGAAGCTGAATTCGTCCCCTTCCGTGGGACTGTTCCCGATGTTGCTCCACTGCAGCCCCAGGCCTTGCTCTTCAAAGCGAACCAGGTACTCAGTGCCAAATCCAAATGCCACCGGAGACAGTAAGCTCTGCAGTGAGGCGGAGAGGGCACAGAAAAAGAGCAGTGCCTTTTATCCAATGCAACAGCACCCAGATGCCCTCGAGGTAGAGGGGAGGGCCAAAAGAGGGTCCCCATTGTCTCTCAGTGTAAGGTCAGCTCAGGAGGGTGAAGGCAGTCTTTCCCTTGACGGCCAGGGGGAGTTCAGAGTGTCTCTCTGCAAACAAGAGAGTCTCTAGCTATACAGTCACAAAAAACATGAAACAATTCTCAGCCCAGCCCTAATCCACAGTTGCTAGACCTATAGCTTCCTAGTGATCTATGTACCCAAGAAGATGGCCTCAAATTCCATCTGCCTACTCAAGGATTACCAAAATAGCCCAACTCTGCCCACAGATGAGTCATAAGGATTTCTTGCCACTTATCCATTGTGATCATTTTAGAAAATTGGGTACTACAAATGGCAGCAATTGATTTCTTATTTAACCTAAGAAATGAAAGGCAGATGCCCTGACACCTCTGGAGCCTAATAAGTGTGAGTCGTGAGAACAAGTCAGACTTTCTGTCTTTTCCCAGTGAGGGCAGGTGGTTGTCCCTTCTTGACTCTACAGCACAGAGACAGGGAGACTCCGGAGGACAAGGGGAACTGCACCCTCCAGGGCCAGAGGCTGATTAGAGGGTGGAAATGGCCCATTTGAAAACAATTAGAGAAAAGACAGTGCTCTTTGTCTGGGTCTGGGAATTGTGAACTAGGAAGTTTCTCAGGCCATCAGAAGTCAGCTTCGGGAGTCCTCTCCTGGCCAGCGAGCCTGACTCTGTGGACAGTCTCATTTCTGCACTTCTTTCTGCAAACATTGGTAGAGCATGTTAAAGATACTTGTGGAAATACTCCAATTCAAGTTTTTTTGAAGCAAAACAAAAACCTTTAATTAATGGAAACATCTCTTTAGACAGATAGTAAAGTGGCAAGCTCCCTCCCTTCTGATTCTTCTCAAAGAGTAGGAAAGGAAAACTAGTGAAATGGGCTGCTGGCTCTCTCTTGTGAGTAAATAAAGGGACCCATGAGTTGAACTGGTTTTTTAATGACTTTCCAGGGCAGATGAATCAAGCAGGCGTGGTGAGGAGTCACTGTTGCATCGCTCGGGGTGAGGACTGCTCCCACTTTTGCCCCTGTACATTTTAGCCTCACGTGAACTTTTTAACCTTAGGTCAAAGGCAAAGTGGACCCCCTCAGAGGGCAGGCTGGGCCTCCAGGACTGCTACGGACCCTTCCAAGGAAACGTGTTGTAGGACAGGGGCCAGCCCAAGGGCCTCACCACAGCCTTCTTCAGCTCAGCGGTCATGCGGTCCTGCCAGGCGAAGCACAGGATGTGTGGCAGGTAGAGGGTGAAATAGATGACACCACTACAGGCTGCTGCCAGACTGGCCTTGGAGAAGAAGGTGCTGAGCAGAAAGCACAGCATGATGGTGGCAGTGGAGAAAGCCAACAAGAACAGGAAGAGGATGAATGGGTCGCTGTAATGTAGGATTCTTCCATGCTGAAACCAAGAGGCCATGCGTCAGTAACTCCTGCCCTTGGCCGGACGCCTTCTCATTCTGCCCTAAAGGGCTCTCTCCCACCAGCCTGCAGTTAGTGTCTAAATTTCTACGCACACTCCATGTGCTGAGTTCCTTTAATCCTAGGAATGCCATTTTCCCTGGGAGGAGTAGCACATTAGACTCCTAACAGTCATCAGTAATGTTAAAAAAATTAATTGGGAGACCATTAGGTTGAAACGGCCCCAGCATTCTGTGTTCCTACATCAGCAAACCAAAACCCAACTTAGAGAAACTTAACTAATCACAAACTGCCCACTAACCTGTAATCAGGGACTTTCCACTTGAACCAATCAAATATTTGCTTTGTTTTTCTTTGTCTTGCTTCCCTACCCCTCAGTGGGGCCCTGAACCACTTGTGATCTGGAGCCTCCTGTGAATCACTGTTTGCTGGAATCAACTCTAACATTTTAATGTGCCTAAGTTTCTCTTTTAATAGTATTTATTATGTGTTAAGTAAGCAAATCCTCGGTGAGAAGAGTGGTAATATGGAGAAATATAGCTGGGACAAGGGAGGAAGACCTGGGTAGGGGGTCTTGGAGCATCTCCAGGGCCCTGGATAAACCAGGTATATGGAAAACAAAAGAGGGAGATGGGAGGGAACTCCAGAGGAGCTTCAACATTTTGCCTGGGGCCTGGCCTGTCCTATGCCGTCATCTATACTTGATTTTCTGAGGTTTGCTACCCACACAGGTGAAAATACCAGTAATTAATCCAAATCACTTGGAAGTGGATTGATCCTCCCCATCCATGAATATCACACAAATATATTTCCTAGAACCTGCTGGCAGTACTCAGTAACTTTCACATTAACCAATGAATCAATCACTTTGGCTATGTAGAAAATAGGACCAAACTAGCAACTTTTGCTAGGGGAACTGCTATCCAATTACACTATAGGATAAACTGAGATTGTCAAAGGTATTAGACCTTCTTGGTTATCTTTTGCTGGAGGCATCCTATGAGGCACTTTACTCTCTGAACACGTAAATGAGTACATAGAATTCATCCTGTGCTCTTCCCAGGAACATAAAGGAACAAATAGGTCCATGTCCTAAATGAGTTCTGATCAGTTGGCAGTAGTTCCCTGGAGCTCTGGCTTCCTCTCATAGAAAAGAGACCAATGAGCTGTATCTGTGATGGGCATGCGAGAGCTGAGTGGAACGAATGTGCCATTTGTCTGCTGTGGCTGCCATTTCTCCTTTCTGCTCTCCTGCCTGTGGGTACTGACAGAACAGACTGAAGAACAGATAAAACAAATGGCAAAGGGGAGCGGGGCACAGAAGAGACCCACGCTTAACTGGAACCCAAATTTGAGGAAATCTAAATAAAAGTCTAAATTAGGACTCAGAGCTCCTGATTTTGTGTGTCACCCACACGCAGCTCCATAAAAGCAAGTCCATGGCTGAACATGTGGGTTTTGGATGGAATCACTTTAAGGTAGTTGTTGCAGTTCTCAGAAGAATGAAATCAATTTCTTTTTTATTTATTTATTTTTTTAGACAGAGTCTTGCTCTGTTGCCCAGGCTAGAGTGCAGTGATATGATATCAGCTCACTGAGACCTCCACCTCCTGGGTTCAAGGGATTCTCCTTGCTCAGTCTCCTGAGTAGCCGGGACTACAGGCATGTGCCACCGCACCTGGCTAATTTTTGTATTTTTAGGAGAGGCAGGGTTTCGCCATGTTGGCCAGACTGCTCTGGAACTCCTGACCTGAAGTGATCCACCTGCCTCTGTCTCCCAAAGTATTAGGGTTACAGGCGTGAGCCACCACGCCCAGCCTGAAATCAATTTCTTATCCTTGCTCAAAACAAAGTCCCATAAACTTTTAGGACTTCTAGGACCACAAACTTCTAGGACTTTTCACTGACTTAAGCCAGAGGTGTAATTCACTCTGTGACCCTACAGTTTCACCAGCTGTGGCTTCCTCAGATGGCCACTTTTCTTTTTGTTTCTAATAGCTCGAGTAACAAAGGGACCTTCCCATTGTCCCTGCTTCCAGCTTCTTTCCTGTGTTGTTGAGGTGGGGAGGAAGAGACAAGGGAAAGGTGGGAGAGTCATTCAAAGGAAAACCCTGTTTTGGTATGGAAAGCCCTGTTTCCGTCATCACTGGAACAATGTTCTAGTTCCCACAAAGAGAAACCCTTTTGTGCATGAAACTCCTGGTGAACATTCTTTACCTCACATCGTAAAAGCTTTGAAGACCTAATGGCCCATTCTTAGGAGGGCAGATCTCAATGCTGCTTATCAACAAGCCAGGCAAAATCTCATGGCTGTTGCTAGTCAGATGTTTACACATTTTTACTCCTTTAATTCTGAGGACACAAACATGTTGGTACTGGGAAAAGAAGCAGACTGAGGGATGGGAAAGAACAAGGGAAACCTAGATAAGGACAAGGGGCTCAGCTCCTCCCCTCATCTCTTAGAACTTTGGTGCCCTTTGCAAATGTAAGCCCACATCCAGGTGGGGTCAGGTTGTTTGAGCAGAATGACCTCTACCTTAGC
The DNA here is from genome assembly GCF_000001405.40 of Homo sapiens. NCBI lineage: Eukaryota > Metazoa > Chordata > Mammalia > Primates > Hominidae > Homo > Homo sapiens. Next base: position 94,059,385 of record NC_000001.11, read on the forward strand.
ATTTGTCTTGTTAGGACTCTAGCACAGAGCATAACCAAGGCCACAGATCACTGGATCATGGAGCAACATTAAAAAGACAAAACCTTCAGATTTAGTACATTTTACCGTAAGGAGAAAGGGCAAGATTTGGCTTAACTGGAGATGTGTTGTTTGAACAGGATCTGATGGAACATTTGTGGATCAGGTGGGTACCAGATATGGGCCAGCATGGGATGGGAGACACTCAGCCAGTCTGTGGTCACTACACACACTGCCTAGTGTGGTACAGCACTTCCTATCATGATGGGGAAGAAGTAGAACAAGCTCAATCAGTCCATCTCAGGAGCCTGTAAAGCCTGAAGTCTAAAAATTATACCAAATTCCACCCAATAAAATATAAAAAATGACCTAAATTTATATCCTTATCATTTAACAAGTACAAACTATCATCTACGGTGGAGGAGCTAAAAATGAAGGATAGCAGCGCATTGCAAAATAATGTTTCATTTCCAAGTCTAGCTCTCAGAGGAGTTGCAAGTTTGCAGAGGACAGACCAATAGATGCTGCCTGTGGCTATAAAAACTCCTTATCACTGAGGAAGGATGGACTCCAAATTCCATCCTTTAAAAGAGAGAGAGGTGTTGGAGCTTTTTCAGGCAGCAGAATGTTTTTTGGTGAAGCCATGTAGGAGGTGACCATGATGATGATAAGTAAATAATCCAGATCTCCTCCCCTACTGCTACTGAAAAGGCAAAAGGCTTTCCCCATTTCAACTCTAGCCAGTAGTTAAAATTGTAAGCCCAGGAAAACACTCCCTGAACTGATTTTTTCTGTGTTTGGAAAGAGAAGACCACTTTAATTACACTATCACCCTGTGCAGGGCTCTGCTAATAGCAGCTTCTCCAGATGGTCACGGAATGGGACTGGGAAGTCTGTGTGGACCATGGACCCCTGGGCAGGAAGTGGGAGATGGGAGGATGCTGTGATACAGTGGCTCCTTCAGGAGATTTCGTCTCTTTGAGTGTCTCCCACGTTGGCTAAAAGGAAGGGCTGGGAAGCTAGATGTCACGCTCTCCTTGGTGGCCACATGACTAATCCAGGCACATGAACAGGAGGAAAGGGGAAAGGAACCAAAGTATTCAAGATTTTCTGGGCCTTCTCCATTTGGCTTACCATGATGAATATCGTCAGGAGGAAGATGCTCATCGACATGATGGAGAAGCTGTCCAGGAACCAGGTACACCAAATCACTGCATTGGAGACACCCTGATTTTTCAAGGTCTCCTTCAGTCGCAACTCCTTCTCCAAGACGATGCTCTTCACAGTCATGGAGACAGAGTAGATCCATGCCAGCACCATGAAGATAGGGAAACAGCGGTTCAGGATGATCATGAAACTAAAGCAAAAGGAGAGAAGCAGAATAGTAGAGTGCTCTGTACCTGGTAGAGGCAGAATAAATGTTTGTTGAATGAATGTGTTGAGAACAAAGCCCAGATGGAGGGAAAGGAAAACAGGAAAACCTCCCCTGGACATTTAATGGGCTGGAATCTTTTAACACATTCCATGTTAGCCCTGAAGCATTATTTTTTGTTTATAGCAGAGTGCTGGCTTTCTGGTTAGCCCGGGTGAATGCTCTGCAAGTAAAATGTGTCAATAAAATTATATCCTCTATGTCAAAGATCTTCCCTGTAAGGCCTTGCAAGGAAAAAACTGCAGACTTGATGATGTGGATGGGATCTGAGTAGACAGCTACATGCTGACACTGAAACCCAAGAGGGTGGAGGACTGACAAGGGCAAGTGGTGGTGGTAAGAGCAATAACTTGGCTCCCCAAGGGGTCAGCCGCCCCAGCACAGTCTGCCCTGGAAGGTCAAACCCTAGTTACACAAAAAGACACACAAAATAACTAATCAGTTTGGCACTTTCAGAAGGCGAATGATCCATCAATACATCAGTTATCCAACAGCCACTGGACCCACCACCAGCCATGCACAGGTGGAGGAGACCCTGGTATATCCACCTGGCAAACAGGATAGATTTGATACACTGGAACGACTTTCTTGTGAACTTTACACGTTTTCCCTGTGTTTCATGTGCTAGTAAAGCCCTTGGGATTATTATCTATTGAAAACTGTTGTGTGTTGTCACTGAAAGGGCCCAATTCCAGCATGGGAGGGTTTCACTCAAGGTGGCCCTAGGGAGAGAAGCATATGTTCGTAAAGCATGCACTTCTGGGACTAGCCACCAGAGGACTCTCCCATACCAAATGACCCAGCTCCCTATTGCCTCCCCACACCCACCTCACTTCCCCACCAGCCACTCCCGTCCTGATCCTAAAGTGGACCTGGGCTTTCGCCCCTGGCTCCATTTCCCAGCTCTGCCTATTGTCCGAACCCAAACTAACTGCAGACTGGCCACTGTTATCTCAAGTTTTCTGTAGAGCTGAGGCTGGAAAACCCATTGGACAGTTATTAAAAGAGGGTTTCCTGTGTCCACACTGAGTTTTAGGTGAACTCAATTGTAGATCTCTGCTGCTGTTTTGGTAGTGTGTCTGACCCCATCTATAATGACAAATGAGCCTCCCAACCCTCCACCCCGGCCCTTTCTCTACCACCCCCCAAATCCATATTCAGTCAAACAGTAGGCTGCTTGCTTGGCTTATTCCTGGTCAACAGATATACAGGCCTGGGATGGGAGTGTCCAGGGAGGCAGGTCCTGAGCTCATCCAACACATTCCTCTGCCTTGTCATTGAGCATACATCATGGAAATGTTAGTTAGGGAAGGGGCTGCATTATTCCAGGGCTCCCAGGAACCAGACCTACTGGCCATACAGAGTCCAAAATGAATGCTGATGTGGCAATCATTGGGCAAACATTCTGACCAGAACCCTTCCACATACCAAACATACTACATAGTGGGGAATTTGTCCCCTCCCCCAGCCTCACTTTCCTTGCTTTAATTTTCCCCTTCCCTTTTCCAGCTACAACATCAACTCTTTTCCCTTTCCCACCACTGCACTGACTCATCTGTGCCTGCCTGGAGCTTGGGAGAAGCAGGTTCCTCAGTCAGAGCTCCATGCTCTCCAATTTGGCTCTGGTCCCTGGGGCTCTCTCTAAAGACATGGAAGCCTTGAGGGCACCCCCAGCCCACCCCAGCCCACTCCAGCACCCCCATTAGCGTGTCATGGAGGAGGATCGCGAACTTCAGACTCACGAATCGTCCACGAAGCAGGGGTAGGGCATCTGCTGGAGGTAGATTCCAACTGGAGCCTCCGCCTGCACCTGGCTCCTTGTGATCCCCTGTTCAACCATGTCCTGCAGATAGGCAAACCCGCCCCAGATGTACCGGAAATCTTCCACGGGATCAGCTCTGGGACCAGAATCCCAATACCTGAGAAGACACAGAGGGACAAAGGATGGGAACGGGCTTGGATAGCTCACTCACACCTCCCGACCACAGGGTGACTCGGAACTCATTCTCTTAAAATCTTTCTCCTAAACGCTTCAAAAGGATCCAATTCTATTTCCTAGTCCTCAGTTTAAATCTCAGTTTTGAATATTAGCCACAATGTGACTCTGTAATTGCTTTCATTCAAGGACTCTTTGTTGAGCTTTATAAAATATCTTATTTTTTCTTATTTAACTTAATTTTATTGATTTATGAGTCCAGTCTCAATCCCTTTCTCTCTACCAAATGTAATTTCCCACTGACTTTGGAGAAATGCAGCGAGCCCTTCCTGAAACATCACCTGTCTTTAATCTTATTGGTTTTCTCCACCACGTCTATGTCCATTCGGATCTTATACTTCACGTGGGGTGGTAGAGAGCTGGTCCAGGGATACATGTCAGGGAATACCACTCCGGCCCAGAACATGTTTTCCTCCAGTAGAGAGAGGGCACGTTGGGTGAGCTGAGTTTCATCATTGTAGCTTTCAAACTTATCCAGGACCAAGCACTGCAGAGAGTCACAAAGTTGAGAGAGTGTGAGGAGGACCAACTGCAAAGACTCAACTCTACACACAGAAAGTCACAGGATAAGGGCTGCTGTCCCAGGAAATGGTCAAATGCAAGGAGGCCTATAAACTTAATGTTTGCTTAACTCCAGAGTCTGGTGTTAATTTTTCAACGTGTCCAGATGTAGGGGCGCCAGAGAGCTTGGAAGTGCTGACGTGCTCTTATCCCTGCAGAGCTAGTGAGGACCACACTTTCCAGATGTCCAAGGCTGTCCAAATATGCAAGTCTTCAAAATGACAAAAATACTCCAGGCTTTTACTCTCCAGCATGGGGAGGCGAGGGAGTGGGGTCACACTGGCTACAGCCTGCTTTGAAGATCAGAAAGCCTGACGATTAAAGAGCTTTAAAGAGAGAGAGAAACATTCCTAGCCTTGAACCTTTCTGGCTCTCTCCAAACACACAGGATGGCCAGCTGAGGGAAGAGCAAGGAGGAAGAGAGAAAATAACAGACAGCCAAAATAACTTAGTCAGGGAAATCACTTCCAATTACAATTCTGTGACAAGTAATGCTGGGGGAGGAGGAATTTCTATAATATGCCTCTTTTCTTCTCCTGGAAGAGGAAAAAAAAAAACCATTACCCACAAAAGAGCAGAACTAAGAATGTTTGAAAATTTGAATATGATGGTTGTCCTCCTGTATAGATTTGTTAAAGCACTTATATTGCTATTTGCATCTATTTCCTTTTCTTTAACCTCCTGTTCCTATCATTGTGAGGGCTATTGGTGTCGACATTTCTTTCTTAGCATGTAACTCACAAGAAGTCAGATGGTCTTGTCTTGATTAAGTTGTTCCCTGAATGCATACTGAGAATCTGCAATGTGCCAGAGCCTGGTCGACTCTAGGAATACAAGAAGGAAAGATAAACATCTCTTCCTGAAAGAAAGTTGAGAGCTAATGAGGGAGAGGATTGGAGCAAACCAACAACCATAATGTGGAAGGATCAGGTTCTAATGAAAGCAAGCCCAGTGTATTGGGGAAGCCCAGCGGAGGGACGCAGCTAAGTCTTCCTGGAGGGATCAGGGAAGGCTGCCTGGAGGAAGAGCCTCCTGAGTAGGAGGATAAGCAGGAATTAGCCGAGGAGAGGAAAGTGGGGGAAAGGTCAGCTCAGGCACAGGGAACAGCACATGAGGTATCTGGGGACCTACAAGAATAGATCAGTGGTTCCCATCTGTGGCTGTGCTTTAGAACCACTGCGGAGCTTTAAAAGATACCTATGCCAGGCCCTACCCCAAGCAATTAAATCAGAATCTCTAGTGGCAGGGCCAGGGCATCCATATCTTGTAAAAAACTCCCTAGGTAATTGCAAGGCACAGAAGGGAGTGTAGGGTGAAGGGAGGTGAGTGTGACAGCAGCACTAGAAAGGAGGGTGGGACCGGACGGTTTGCCCTGCGGGACTCAGTAGTATGAACGACCAATGCAGGGCTTCCCCGGACACGTGCTTTCAGTGCTAAGACCAGGGGAGTTCTGGGCAGGCCTTAAACAGCCACAGAAGCTAATGTAGGGTTTTGAGCTGGGATATCACCTATGGGATCAGACTATGATCACTGGTAGTGGAGAGGGGGGAAAGCAAGCAGGAAGACTGGGTTATTGATGTACTGCAGGCTTTAAGGAACAGATTCATCCCCACAAACTATCTGTGAGTTACCTGGAATCCTCATTTTACTGAAGAGGAAACTGAGCTTTATAAAGTATCTTATTTTTTTGAGGAGACCTGCCTGAGGTCACCCAGAGAGACAGTGGCAGAGCTGGGACTCCCTCCCCAATTTCACCTTCAGGCCTAGAGTTCTTCCTGCCACACCAGGAACCGTGGGAAAGGCTGGATCCACAGCCTGGCGCTCAGGGCCCTCACTACTATCTTGTCAAGTAGGTGGATCAGCAATTACTACTTATCCTCACTTGGCAGCCCCGGAACTTAGGTTCAACGAGTCTGAGTGACTCCCCCAGAGGCGTGGTAGAGTAGGTATCAAACCCCAGGTCATTTGATTCCACAACTACTACCCGAGAAATAAAGAAACGAGAAAGGCAGACAGGGCGTAAGGACCTGACCACAGAACCAAGCTCCACTGCACTGGGAAGAAGTAGGCAATCCCAATTCATTCGCCGAAACCTCTCACTCCCGAGTCCCACCTGCGCCTCAGAGTATGCACCGGAAGCCTCTGGCGATTCAGAGGCTGTGTTTGAACAAGGGGCTGCACACCCAACACTTCTTGGGCCTCCTGAACTAAACTGTCCCACCTCAGCCTCCATGCCCTGGGGGCAGGTCCCATGTAATGTTCTCAGTCTTCTAGATAAAAAGGAAGAAAACTATTAGTGTTCCAGCTGATATGGGCAGAGGAACACAGGTACATGAAAAATTCTAAAGGGCCCAGGCTTAAGTGACACCACGCTGATGAGATATTAATAATGATCTTAAAATGATATGGAATTGGTATTTCTTTGGGCCCAGGCTTCAGTGACACCATGCTAATGAGATATTAATAATTATGTTAAAAGGAAATGGAATTGGTATTTCTTTAAGAAATACCAGTATGTGTAGTCACCCACCATAGAGCTAAGGGAAATGGAGAATTTTCTTTAGGCAGTGATTCTCTCACAAACAGGCATTGCCTAGCCTAACATTGACCAGTCCTTAAATGAGATGTAGGACTTAAACAGGTCACACACCAAAAGTTGTCAATAAATGTTTGTTTCTTCTGGACAGAAATAATGCAAGGTTTGCTATTGGATAAATAGTTTGGGTCTGTTGAGGGTGGGGGTAGGTGGCATCTAATATGTAGACTGTTAGCACAGTCCCTGACCATGGGCCTGACACCCAGTGTTTGTCAGTACTTAACCCACCCAACCATGCTGCTTGAGGACAAAGGATTGACAGTGTGATGCTTGGGCCAGGGGGCTTCTGAACTGAACTGCTAGAATACATTTTTAAAATATGCATTTAAATTTGCTTTAGGGAGACCTCAATGTTGTACAAAGATAAGTAGTCAAATAATCTTTTTTTATTGGTTTGTCAAGTTTAGAACTGCATATAGAGAATTTTAGTATTGGCAATTAGAGTGAATCTGAAATTTAATTCCTAAAACGAAAAACAAAATTATTTGGGGAGATGAAAGTCTTTGCTCTTCATGTTGTGACACACACATAGAATGTTCTACCAGTTCACTCAGTCATGGGGCATTTGGACAGAGCCCTAGAGGGCTTGTGGTCTGATGTTCTTACTTGGCTGGTGAAGAAATTGGGATCAGAGGAGCAAAGGGCCTTGCCCAAGGTCAATCTAGGTCAGAAGCAGAGCCTGCATCCGTGTCTTCAGTGCTGAGCCTGCAGAGTGCCATGGTTCCCCTATCCTTGCTCTGAGGATAAGCCACACTCTAGCCACAAGCGGGGGTGTAACATCCCTGAACAAGAAGATCTTCTGCTCCAGAGCAGCATTGTTCAGTAGAACTTTCTGCAGTGATGGAATTGTTCTATATCTGCCCTGTCCAATATGGCAGGCAGGAGCCACAAATATCTATTGAACACTTAAAATGTGGCTAATGCATCTGAGGCATTGTGTTTTTACTTTTAATTAATTTAAATTTAAATAGCCCTGCGTGGCTGCTGGTTACTGTATTGGCCAGCACAGTTCCAAAGATAGTACATTCTTTGAGGCTGGGGCCGTGGCTTGTTCGCCGTGGTCTCTAGAATAGCATTTTGTCATGATAGGGCCTCGATATATGTTTACTGAGTTGAGTTGATTTGTGTATTTTGAATATAACTCTGCATCCTACCCTAGAATCACATGATAAACTAGGAGAAATTAATAAAACGTGAATTTTTGCTACAGTGCTAATGACAGTATACCTCTTAAAACAAAAAAGCTAGTAAAAATAAATATATTTTAGTAATATGACTCTCAGAGATATCTGGCCCATTCTCTTTGAACTCCCTTTTCATGTCTTAAGGGGAAATCTATACGGGAATAAGCAGCTGATGTTTTTCAGTGGCATTGCTGACTGCTGTGATGACGTGGGCTCCATCCTGGCTGGTTTATCAGGCAGCTGATTCATAGTCATGTTTCCTGATGCATCCCCCTACAATGATACCTTGATAATCTCTGGGGGAAAAAAAACTTAAAAGATTCTCAAACGTTCATTTACCCTAAAACATCTGACCCATTTTCAAAGGTGCTTTGTCTTCCTTGCCTTGCAAATTGGTGTAGCATAGTGTTTAAGAGTCTAACAGATCTGTTGCCATTTCCTAATTGTGTGGCTTCTGTTTCCCTACCTACAAAATTGAGATATGCCCTATCTCATAGGTTTGTTCTAAGGATCACATTAGACGCTGTTTGTGAAGGGCTTACAATTGCCTCCCTGTAGGAATAAAAGCAGATGCTTGCTGAAGGCTTACTATACGGCCAAAACTGGTCCAAGGACTTTACTCATATTCACCCATTTCATTCTCACAACAACCTTATGAGGTCCAAGTTCACTTAGGAGACACGACTAAGCAAAGTAAACCTCCTCTGGAAAGAGCCTGTGTTTTTAACCACTATGGTATACCAAACCGTCTCACAAATAGTTAGGATCTGATAAATACCATTTTTATGACTGTTTTTGCAAAATATCTTGAAAGTCAACAGACTTTTAAGCCCCAGCCAGGTTACCTTTTAGCCATGGCAGCTGTTTATCAGGGGAGGAAGGGAGCTATTTTCTTTAAATAATATGTCTGGGAACATATCCCATCCTGAGCTGATCCATAACACCTCATTTGGTTAGAACAATGCTATGGACAGATGCCAAAGCCCATGTCCCAGGTGGGCAGTAGGGGAGCTGAGAGGGCGTGGGGCCTCACACACTGATGCTTGCTAGCTGCTTGTTGATCACTAGGTGAAAGTCAGACAACTCTGCCCACAGGAAGGCCTTATAAAGCTAATCCCGAATGTCATCCTCCCCACATCTTCCCTAGATCAAGGTAGAGCAATTGTAGAAGCTGCTTTGGACATGAATCAGAAGTTCCTGGGTCACCCTCTGAAGTATGAGTCATGAGGTGGCCTTGCATTCTCATGGGGAAGCCACCTGCCATGCAGCAAGTGACCTCATTCCCTATTGGTACTTGCTTTGATCCCTGAAATCAAAATCTTGGCTAATGGACATGTATATTAGTGCACGTATGTACATAAGTACGTTTGGGAGACAGAGATGAATGAATAAACTCTCAGCAGAGGTTTTTGATTTTGATATATTTGGTCTGATTAGCTTGCAAGTTAGAATATAGTAGGTTCTATGAGGCTACGGCCATGGAGTCTATGTGTAAAAGCTGTCTGCTTCTACACTAAGAGTAACTATGCAATCATGAATGTTAGGGAAGAATGTAGGTAGACAAGAACTGGCTATTGTAAGGGGCCAGTGTAAGGTGCTCAAACCTAGCACCACTAGTGGGAAAAGGAGTCAAAGGGCATCTTTGCTGAATAAAAACACAGTGTCTTAAGGCCTCAGAGGCAGATTCTGGGCAAATGTTATAGCCGGAGCTCAGAATCTCAAAGAGAACCATTGTAATGCCCTATGACAGCCAATGACAATAAAGCAAGGAAAGGGCTTTCCTCCTCCCCTTTAGTTTCCTAACTGCTGTGGCTGAGCCCAAGTGGCAGGACCACCACCATTTGAAGTCCACACAAGTCCTACAGCTCTTTGTTGGTTGTTTTGCTGGCACTCACCAGGAAGCAGAGTTCACCCTGGCGGAAGAGGTTTGAGCCCTCTCCAGCGCAGGCAGCTGTGTTCAGGACCTCTGGAGAATGCAGTCATTTGTTTACACAGCTAAATCAAACACCTCCTTGGGAGGACAAGCTGCAGTAGCAGCAGGCTTCCTTCTTTAACTGTGACCTCTCTGTCTGTAATTCAAACACATTCAGTAACAGATACATTAAATTATCTGTTAGGTGGGAAATGATGTCCAGTAGAGGCAGAGAAAGAAAGAAAATCTTTCCTTTTGTTTAAACTTGATGATCAAAGTGGGGAGCAACCCTGTGCTGACGTGGCATAAGAGGACATATTTTGACGAATACATCCAGGACGTGCTAGGAGTGAGGTCTTCGAGGGTAAGGGAGCCACTGCCCGCTTAGAGATGTTGGCTGTATAATCCCGCCTCTCACATCTGTAACTCCTAAACTCAGGCTGAGAACAAAGCGGGCGATGAATGCCAGCGGAGGGCTCAAGTGGCCCTGCTGGTGTCAAGGTAGACACCTGGGGTTCCTTTTGAGAAATGCCAATGGATGTGGGCAAACATCCCAGAATGAGTTTCCTGGCTAATCTAAACAGTAACATTCAAGATTTATTTCCCACTACATGGAAAAATCCACTGGATAAAACAGCCTTGGGCTATCTGAATTGGTTGGAATGGTGAGTTAGAGGCCGAAGGCACTGCAATAAATTTTATCTTGCACGCTGGGCACCGCAAACAGACATCTGAAACGTTCACCCACAGAGAGTAAGGAAACACATGACGACTGGAAAACAAAGGGACAGGAAATGCACAGCTGTTAAAAAATGTCTGTCTCTAAAATAAACAACTTAAATACAATAATGAAACAAATAAAAAGATCAAGTTGGAGGACAAAGATTCACACTGGGGCAAAGCCACGAGGTAATGCCTGCGTCTAACTGGGTCCAAAGGAAGAGAATCACCTGGCTGACAACTGCAGGGCACTTGAGCTCTTAAAGTTTCTTGTTGAATCATCCCAACAACTTGGGCACATGGATGCTACTATATTCAAAACATCTGCTAATCAACAGAGCTGGGCACTGACCAATCAGACCACATTCTGGCCACAAACACCCATTTCAGCCACACCAGTGAATGCCACTTGAACTGCAGTTTGGGTTATCATCCTCAGTTTTCTGGCAGTAAAACAGCAAAGTTGCCTCCAATCACAGAGCCTATTGGTGCAAGAGATGGTGTCCTTTCACCTATAGGTGAAGCTTTTGCAAGCCGTGCCTGCTGACTCCAGGCACTACTTCTTCTCCCCTGATGCTGCAGCCACACCTCTGCCCAGCCCATCCATTTCTCTTGAGCTTCACATCTCTGCACTTTGCTTATGCCCTTCCTCCTGCCTGAAATTGTCTTTCTTCCTTGCTTAGCTGGAAAATTCAACCTTTACAGCCCAGAGAAGCATTTATGAGCGTCTATTCTATGTGACTACAGCTCCACTAAGGTAAGTTGGGAAGTCAAAAAGAAAAGTAAGGCAGTTTCGGCCCTTGAGGGGTTCAGGGCCATGAAGGTGCGGAGGCGTATAAACAAATCATGATCAAGGGCTACAGGGAAGGGAATGGTGCACAGAAGAAGGCCCGAAACATAGGACCTGAGTCCTGAAGCGTGGGTGTGGGTGTTGACCTGGCAGTCGAGTGGGGGAAGGATGGAAAGGCTCAGTGGTACCAGGTGGGAAGCCTGGGGCAGTCCCATAGAACATGGAAGAAGCATGAAGGGCTAGACTGGGAAGGCCTTTACCTTAACAGCAATGAGGAGTCACTGTGGAGCTGTGGGCGCTAAGTCTTGGCAAGCCTGGGATTTTAGAAAGATCTTGCTGGAAGCAGTTGAGAGCTGAACAGCAAGAGACTGGCGGCCTGGCAAACAGCTAAGAGAGACAGTACACGCTTCTGTAAATGGAGGCCATAAATGGGAAAGAAGGAGGAATTTCAGAGATAATTTGGAGGAAGAATTGACAGTGCTTAGAGGATTTATGATGTTTTGAATTGGATTTGTACAATCTGTTTCTACTCTGTCAGATTGAATTATGTTCTGCTAGTCCTCTGAGATACCACTATTATGGCATTATTTAATGACATGCTTATCTCTCCAATGTGAGCTTCCAAGGAATCAGGGATTAACAGCATTTATTCAAATGTAGGTAGCTCAATCCATGCAAATGCATGAATGACTGAATGAATTCACATCTTTTTGGTTTCCTACTCTAATCTAGCTACTTTCAAGCAGGAAAATCCAATCATAATAGTGCCTATTATGCTGCATATTATAAAATAATGTCTTCCTTCATTGGATTCATTATATAATTTATCCAGAGAATACTTTCTGAGCCCCCTATTAATGTGGGCTGCATATGACAGCAGAAAGAGCTTTCTCATCAGAGCCAGGCAGCTCTGGATTATAATTCCAGATCCCCCATTTAGCTGTTGTGTTACATTAGACTGTCAACCTCTTTGAGTCTGTTTTTAATTCTATAAAATGACAATTATGCTTACTAGGCAGGTAATTGGGAGTATTGCATGAGATGACATGTAACAGTGCCCAGCATGTGGCTGGCTCATAGCAGCTTCAATATCAGTCCACCCTATGAGCTCCATTGATTACTATTTGGACCTCCACCCATGACCCCGGTCTACCCCTTGCCCACATTTTCCTTCCTCAGGCCAGTTATATGTTTCTTAGAGACTAGAGGTATGAAATGAGGTCATTGCCTATGAGTTGCTTAGGATCTAGTTCATGGCTCTTGAAATAATATTGTTTGTGTGATGCAGACTTCTGTGCTCTTTCTCACGATCCCCTGATTTCTCCCTAGCCTTCCAATGCACATCTAGAGTCAATGAATTAATAGAAGAAAGAAATAGGACAGATAATTCACAAATATTTATATATCTGAGTCTAAAGTACATTACATGATCAGCAGCTTTATCTTCTTAATCCTATTTTTTCTTAGGTTATCCTGAAAAATACATTCCCTGCGTACATTCTGTTTGGGTGGTGGTGGCATGTGGCCAGGAACATGCAAGGTTACAGAGAAAAAATAGTCCAAATCTCTGGCCTTTGAGAATTCATCAGCAAGATAATCACCATGTAGACAATAAGGAGTTATGCACATGTATTGACTGTGTTGACAGCAGAGGAAAAAGCAGTTAATGAATGCATGTTTTTTCACAGCTTAGAGAAATACAGTGGTTACTGGTTAAAGTACAATTTTATGCCTTGATCAGAGGTATTTTCGTATTAAAATCTGGCTGAATTCAGCTTCCTATATCAGCTTCCTGATGTGAAATTCAAGACCTGAAAATCAAATATATTATGAAATGAAAATACACTGTGAACTCTGAATAGTATTTCATCTGTGCCAGGCCTAACCTTTTGCTAAACAAAAAATCCAAAGGGGAGGGGTGTGTATGCTTGTTTTAGCTGAAGGGCAATAAGAAGAATAATGTATTAATTTTTCTAATTGAGCTTTTCTCCAGAAGCAAAATATATGTGAATAAAGACACATATAAATTAGAACTATAAATGAATACACATACCAGTTTAAGATATTTGCCTGTATGAGGACCCATTTGTCCTGTGTCCTTAGATTTGGAGAAAAGGGTGATTGGAAGGCCCATGGGAATGAATGTCTCCCCATGAGTGATGTGAGGCTCCCCAAACCACCATCATCTATTTTCCTACTCCACTGCCTGCCTTCTAACTGGGCCGTCTGACTTCCATTTATTTCCCCCTGCTAATGGGAGGGGATCAGAGGAAAGACAGAATGTATTTATGGGGTGAATGAGATTGCAGACCCTATTGTGGAGGGGGTCTGAGACAGCAGACCATGGTCCACAGAAATGCCAGCATGGTGGTTAGGCCGCCCTCCTGGGAGGGGCCTGTACTCTCTGCTCAGAACCCCCAGGCAGGCCTTCAGCAGCCCAGTGAAGCAACATCCTTGCTTTCAGAGCCATCAGCAAAGAGTTTTCATGGCCTCTCTGCTACTAAGCCATCCTCAGGGTGGGGACATGAATGATTTTCAAGTCTCCTCCAGACTTCCCAAAACACGAGAACAGAAGCAGAAAAATCCAGGACAAGCCACAGTGATGTGTTTCTTCCTCACACATTTCCTCCCCGCTATCTTCTCCTTTCTGTTCATTGCCCCTTGCTTTCCTCCTCCCCCACCCCAAGGGCAGGAAGATCAGAAACCACATCATCACAGCTGCTGGGCTTCTGCTCCCATCATACCCCTCTGCTCAGAGGCCCTCGTGAAGTCCTGGCGGCCCCGGAGGATGTGATTTGCAGCGTTGTGATTCCTAGAGGAGCACCAGCTTGGAGGCTGGGCCTATTTACAGGAGGCACTAACATCATTTCCTCTCCTAAGCAGTGTTTTTTGGCTTGTATTTTGTTAAAAAGCTAATATTTATTAAGTGCTTACTATATGTCAGTGCTTTGCATGAATTAGCTCATTTAATTCTCATAACGAGCCTATTAGGTAAGTGCTATTAATATCCCTATTTTATAGACTTGGAAACTGGGCACAGATAATAGGAATTTGAACCCAGGCAGTGTGGGTCCAGAGACTGAATTCTTAACCATTTAAGCAATTAATATATTTTAAGTATCTGTTTGGTGCCTGGGGCTGCATTAGGAACAAGCTGCTTGGAAAAAATAATCCTTCTGGAAAACAAGACATTTATGTCACGATACGAATGTCAAGTAGACAAGGAGTATTCTTTATATACTTTGCAAAAACATTGTGAGAACCACTGAACTCCATGCTGCACAAATGAAGCAACAGAGCCTCTCTCCTCCGTCCACACCCCCTCGCACAGGTCCTGCTTATGTTATAACAGCAGTGGGTGGATGGTGGTGGGCCTGGCTGGGAATAAGGGCTTAGCAGGTAGAGGCACCATGAGAGGAGGGAGATGTTAATTGAGTAACTAACTGTACAAGGGAACTGCAGGTCCCACAAATCTAATAGGTCTGTAAACATGCAGATAACCAGGCCTCTTCCCTGGAAATTCTGAGCCAGTCGATCTGGGTTGATGCTTAAGAATCTGTTTTGTAAACAGACACATAGACCAATGGAACAGAACAGAGGCTTCAGAAATAGCACCACACATCTACAACCACCTGATCTTTGCCAAACCTGACACACACAAGCAATGGGGAAAGGATTCCCTATTTAATAAATGGTGTTGGGAAAACTGGCTAGCCATATGTAGAAAACTTAAACTGGATCCCTTCCTTACACCTTATACAAAAATTAACTCAAGCTGGATTAAAGACTTAAATGTAAAATCTAAAATCATGAAAACTAGAAGAAAGCCTAGGCAATACCACTCAGGACATACGCATGGGCAAAGACTTCATGACTAAAACACCAAAAGCAATTGCAACAAAAGCCAAAATTGAAAAATGGATCTAATTAGGCTAAAGAGCTTCTGCACAGCAAAAGAAACTATCATTAGCGTGAACAGGCAACCTGCAGAATGAGAGAAAATTTTTGTAATCTACCCATCTGACAAATGGGTATCTATCATCTCATGCCAGTCAGAATGGTGATTATTAAAATGTCAAGAAACAATAGATGCTGGTGAGGCTGTTGAGAAATAGGAAGGCTTTTACACTGTTGGTGGGAATGTAAATTAGTTCAACCATTGTGGAAGATAGTGTGATTCCTCAAGGATCTAGAACCAGAAATACAATTTGACCAGGCAATCCCATTACTGGGTATATAACCAAAGGAATATAAATCATTCTACTATAAAAATACATGCACATGTATGTTTACAATTGCAAAGACATGGAACCAATCCAAATGCCCATCAGTGATAGGCTGGATAAGGAAAATATGGTACATATACACCATAGAATACTATGCAGCCATAAAAAGGAATGAGATCATGTCCTTTGCAGGGACATGGAAGAAGCTGGAAGCCATCATCCTCAGCAAACTAACACAGGAACAGAAAACTAAACACCACATGTTCTCACTTGTAAGTGGAAGCTGAACAATGAGAACACATGGACACAGGGAGGGGAACATCACACACCGGAGCCTGTTGGGGTGGGGTAGGGGCGAGGCGAGGGAGAGCATTAGGACAAATAGCTAATGCATGTGGGGCTTAAAACCTAGATGATGGGTTGACAAGTGCAGCAAACCACCATGGCACACATATACCTATGTAACAAACCTACACATTCTGCACTTGTATCCCAGAACTTAAGGTAAAATAAAGAAAGAAAATCTAAAAATTAAAAAAAAAATCCTGTTTTATAAAATGCATTCAAGGTCATTCTTATCTTCAGACAAGTTGGTGATCGCTTAGTAGTTGCCTGCAGTTTGGTGCTGCTGTCATGACTGGCACCTTCTGAAAGGCCACTGGGGAGCCTCGGCTGCCACTTCCAGAGTTTGGAGAGCGAGGGTCACACACTCTGGAAAATTGTGGTGGCACCAGGGCAACAGAAAGTCCTCAAGAGCACCAGGTGACAGATAGAACGAGGCTTTTCTTCACTAGTTTGTTATCCTCAGGACTCACAAGTCTGAGACAAGAGGGCATGCTCCCGAGGGCCCTCGAGTTTATTCCCTCTCCTACTGCTCACAGAAGCCCCTACCTTCCAACAGTTCTAGATGACACAGACCCAGACCTGGCCCATGGGCAAGAGTGGTCCACCCTTAGATGGAGTCATTTACTGGGAGTATGAGGTTGAGAATTTGAAAATGACTGACATGTGCTCCCTGATTCTAAATAACTCCAGTTTAGCTGCCCAGCCAGAGATGGACATGTCAACAGCCAACTCTAATCTATCTGGGAGAGGGGTCTGAGAGAGGTGTGAAGAGAGGGCCAGGAAGCACAGAGGAGTGAATGACTAAACCTCCATCAAAGCAGAAGTGACATTTAAGAGCTGAGTGCTGAGTCTCAAAGAATGAATGAGTAGAAGCTCAGCAGATGAGGAAAGGGACAGTCATTTCAGGCATTGGTGGACATACACTTTTCTACCTTGTGTTTCTTCTTTTGGGGAAACATCTTCCTCCACTTCACAGTAATCCTGCTCATAGAAATGGCCCCATGGTGGGCAGCTGACCCAGGCCTCCCAATCAGAGTACACAGGGGTGGGTACAGGAGCCAGACCAACAGGGAAACTCTCTAGGAGCATTGCTTCTGCTATGGGAAAGGGATTTTTGGTGTATAGATGACTGCTAAGGGCTGTAAGCAGCTAGGGCATCAGCAGAGGAGAGGGCCTGGCCAGAGATGAAGCTGAGCAGAGGCGAGTAGAAAAGTGAGGTGGAAGGACACAGGGGTCTCATGGTGGCTTCCAACTCTTGGATCCTCCTGAACTTCATTATTTATGTCCACCAATAAATGCTTTCTTTTTGGTTAAGCAAAAAGCTTGTGACCAAAAGCGCTCTAATAAATGGGCAATGAAAACAGCATTTGCAAAGGGTAGAATCCCAAGAGGTCATGGAATGGGAATGCCTGTAGGCGTGAAAGGGCCAGGTAGCAGAGTTGAGCAAGGGCTGGGAAGGTGGGGTAGGACAGATTTGGAAGGGACCTGTGTTATTTGGGGGTCGAGTCATTAAGATTTTAAGTGAGAGAGCAACGTAAGCAGGTGTGCGGAATGTAACTCTGGTGCCAGTGTAGAGAAATGCCTGGGCCAACAGAGGCTGGACCCTGGATTCCAGGAAGGAAGCCCTTGGAATGGGCTGGCGCAGAGATGACAAGGCCTCTAGTCCTCAGAGAGCCTGGAATGCAAGAGGCAGAGTTGAGAGATATTTAGGAGGGAGAGGAGACAAAGCTTGGTAAGAGAAATCAGAAAGGCAGGCTCTGAACTCAGGCACCCCCAGAGCTGGATCCTGTTCGCTCCTCTTAATGGTCATGCGTGGGATCTTATTTAACCTCTTTAAGCCCTGGCTTCTCATCTGCAAATTGGCAATGATAATGGTGCAAGCCTCATGGAGCTGTGAGAATTAAATGAAGCATATGTGTGTAAAAGCAGTTGGCACAGTACTTGGCATAAAGTAACACTCAGTAAGTGACAGCTACTGTGTGGAGGGTGAAGAAGGAAAATTAGGGATGACCCTGAAATCCCTCACTTGAGAATTCGGGCAAATGCTGAGGACGTTAATTAGGATAGGAAATATAGGAGAAGGATATGTTCTATGGGCAAGGAGAACATACAGTTTTTGGAGGGGACATGTTGAGGCTGATGTGCTTGTAGAACTTGAGGGCAGGAGTGTCCAGCAAGCAATGGACTGTGGGGTTGAGGGGACACTGGCCATAGATGGCCACTCAAGCAATGTCAGACAGAAGAGGGTTGAGGACAGACACAGATGCTTAAAGGGGGCTACAGGAGGAGGTGCCCAGCATGAGAAGTAGGAGATGTGAAGAGGAAACCGTTTTCAGCATAGATAAGTTTTAAGTATGGATAAGCTGTTAGAGAATGAGAACTGTACAGGGGATGTAGGGATTCTTGTTTCTTCAGTGGGGAAAATGAAAGCTTAAATTCAAGACCACTTGACTTGCTAAGGGAGCTCTGGCCCCACTCATGGGGCTATCTTCAAGGGGCCCACTGTGGGGCTTGCAGCCCCTTACCTCCAGGTATTGATTGACCAGGCGGAGGGTGCGATCAGTGATGTTAAATATGTCCCTCCAGTCGAAGTTGGCCATGTCGTCAGCCTGGCTTTCCCGAGGGCCCTTGTAGAGGAAGTTTAGGATGGCTTCAGCAGTAATACCTTCTTCACCAAGCTGCCTATTCAAAAAGTCTTTTACTGTTGGGTTCCCCAGGGTATCCTTGGGAAGAAGAAATACAGTCACTGCTCTGCTTAGAAATTCCATAGGATCTTTGGTCTTGTTCTTCAGCCATTTCTAATTTTTAGTGATTGAGGATAGAGATGCTAAGGCTCCCTGAAGAGCTGGTGAGCTTGTTCCACTATGAAACATACCTATCTATATCCCATTTCCCCAAGTCCATGGGTCTCTAGAATAGAGGGAAGATGTGTAGGGGCAAAGGAGGGGCCAGATGGGGGTCATTGAATATGGTGTATAAAAAGCTTTCTTTTGCTTATGGATATTTTTGTTTTCTTTTGAGTGTCCCTGATATATAGAACTCTTGTCTTCATTTTGCAAAGCTGAAAATGAGACCAGACAAACACATTCCACCATCTTTGGAGTTACAGAGCTGGCCCCTTGGGGAGATGCCTCTTTGAATTTGAGGCCCTTGAGTGAATTCATAAAAGTAGGAAACTCCAGGAAGCCACTGGTCTTGTGGCAGCTTTTAGACTTCTCCCAGAATTCAAGAAACATATTTCTCATCCAAAGTCAGTGACCCCACTTGGTGACTGCTTGGAATGAAGGCCTTTGGGGCCTGCTTGTTGTATTTTGATCTAACTCCAATAGCGATTAACTCTTTCCTGGGAAAAGGAAACAAGTGGAACTTTCTTGCCCCCACCGCTTCCTCCTCCCCTCCCCTCCCCATCCTCCAACCCCCCTTACTCTGATCATGTTCATCTGTGTGCTGTTGTCAAAGAAGTACCAGATCTGGGGCCCTACTTCTTCCCAGGCTTTGACCAACTTCCTAACGTGTTCCAGTTCTTCAAAAGTTGAGTTGGCCTAAAACCAGACAGAGATCAAGACAGAGACACGAACAGAGAGAAAAGTGAGAGAGAACTTTTGGTTGTGTCTTTTCTGCCCCTATCACTTAGTGTTAGGGAAAGGCTTTTCAAGGAAGTGTTTTTATTTTCTCAGTCTATTGCTATTTCCCAGAACAATTCACCATCTCCCAACTTCCTGGGCTGACAGAATCTAATTTCTTAGTATCTCAGAAGTCCATGTAATATTGATGATATTATTTTCTCAGAACCTCCCTCGTTAAAGCTAGATTTGGACCCCCTGGGAGAAAATACCCTTCCTCCCTTCCTCCCTGTCTTTATCTGAGTAGCCAGGATTCAGAGAATTGTGAACCCTTCCATTAGGGATATAATTCAAGCAATGGGAAAGAAAACCTCATTGTAGGCTGCAGTAGAGAGGGGAGGGCCCAGGCAGGGGCACTGAAGCAAAGCATTCCAGTGATGACTGTGGATGGGGGAGGAAACGCAAGAGTCCACTTAGCAAAAAACAAACATGAGATGTGCTACCAGGAAGGCACATCTCTCTCACACACACACACACACACACACACTTCTGGGAGGTCCAGGGTACACAAGGCAAGCCCAGCTGGGATCTTACATTCTTCAGTATCCTTCGTGCTGCAGGTGAATCAGGAGTGTACAGGATTTTTCCCATCAGCAAAGGCTTTGCCGCCCTCCAAGCGATTTTGGTTAAAGGATTTGACTCCAGGCTCTGGATCAATGCATTACAAAAGGATGCTGCCAGGAGACAAGGGACAGATTTTACAGAAACTCCCCATTGCTTGTAACTCAATATAGTCATTAGTGTATCCACATCACATGTCTCATTCAACTCCATGCTGGAGGATTTGATGAATAACCTAAATTAATAGGCTGTACCCCACCAATAACAAGCTCATCATTAGTAGCAAAATGCCACAGTGACTCTCAGTAATGGCCTCATCAGAGAAACAAAGGATGCGACTTGCCCTGTGGTTTATTCTGCTTTAGGAGAAGGAGGCTGAGAAGCCTGCCTCTGATTACTGCTAGGAACTGAGGCCTTTCTCAGATGAAAGGGACTGAGAGGCCAAACAAGGCCCCCGCTTGGAATCTCAGCTTGAGCCTCAGTAATTTCCCTTCAATTAGCTGCTTAGCTGCTTTGTTGTGTGTAGCTATCTTAGAGTCCAACTACTTTTGGCATGTCCCTTGCTGCCTCTTTTCAGTTTTTAACTAGAGGGGCAGCCAGTTACATTTCTTCCCCACCCCATCCTCCTTTACCCCATAGAAGACCAAAAAAAAAAAAATAGTGAAAGGTGGGGAAGATGATTTGCCAGGAATTTGCCATTTGGAATGTAATTCAGTACTACACACATAGATTTTCACGATATTGTGTTTGTAAAAGCATCCCACAGCCGTGTTTACTTGCCAGGGCCCTTCTGACCTGAGCTTCACCTGGAACTCTGGGTTGCTTCCTTGCGGATCATTCTCTTCCTCTTGAACTTAGCCCTAGTTCAATTACATCAGTGGGAAATGGCCCCTCTGTTCCCTTTCCAAGTGGGCCTCAGTTCTTTCTGTGGTTCATGTCCAGAATTGCTTATAAGCAATGCCCCCTTTCTGCAAGGGGAAGTGGACTTTCTGGGAGAAGTCTCTTTACCTAAGGCCACTCAGCAAGACAAGACAGATGCAACCCCAGGTTTGGTTTCACCTAGAAGTGTTAAACCATCAACTTAACCAACATGAGAGGCCAATTTATAAGCAGGACTCAGAAAACTTACTTGTTCTTCTGTCATAAGAATAGATAGGATCCTTCCTTGTGGAGTCAATCCCCAGAAAGGCCTTATAGTTATTGTCTTCATACCAGTTGAAGGAGAGCACCCGAGAGCCACCTCCCTCGGGGTAGCCACACAGGAGGTCAGACAGGATGCCCATCAGCTTTGTAAAGGTCTCTGGACCACCATTCTGCATGAGGGGCCTGGTCACCCACAGCAAGTCCTGCATACTCGGCCGATGGATAAACTAGGGCAAGGCAAAGTCTTCAGGTTATTTTAAGGCAGCTAGAGTCATAATCTGCTGTGAGGCCAATGCTCCAACGTTTGGTTTGACTTCCACATTTAAAAGAAAACATCCATATATTCTCAGCAATCCTTAATCCAGCTGCGAAAAACAAAAAACAAAACCTACTGCCATCTACTTAGGGACTAGGAGAATACTAGGATGAGCCTTAAAGAAAATCACAGAGTGGCCGGGCGCAGTGGCTCATGCCTGTAATCCTAGCACTTTGGGAGGCCGAGGCGGGCGGATCACGAGGTCAGGAGATCGAGACCATCCTGGCGAACATGGTGAAACCCCGTCTCTATTAAAAATACAAAAAAATTAGCCGGACATGGTGGCGGGCCCCTGTACTCCCAGCTATTCGGGAGGCTGAGGCAGGAGAATGGCGTGAACCTGGGGGGCAGAGCTTACAGTGAGTAGACATCGTGCCACTGCACTCCAGCCTGGGCGACTGAGCAATACTCCGTCTCAAAACAACAACAACAACAACAACAAATCACAGAGTGACCCCTAGAGCACTGTAGTATAGCCTCTCTTCTTCTAGTCTCCTTTATTTGAATTCGTTGGGAATGTGTCCTTGGGCAAATGCAGAAAATATTTTACTGTTAAGCCAGTTCTTGGGTTCTGTTGTCCCACCAAGATGGGGATACTGGGGAGAAAAAGAGGGAAATAAAATGATTGGGGAATGATTCTGTTGTAGAAAAGCAAGATCAGAGCAAATTTCTTTGGCTAAATAGTCTAAAATTTAGTTTCTTATATTTGGAAAATAATCTTATTAGCTTAATTTTACCAATGAATTCTTCCATTTCCTTGAAATGTGTGGTTTGTGGTTTTCTCGTGTGTGTGTGCGTGTGTGTGTGCACGCCTGTGTGTGTCTGTGTGTGCGTTTTAAAATTCTAGCAAATACAGAACAGATGAAGTATCCATTCCTGGAAAAACACTTTTTCAATTCTGTGCCAGCTAAGAGGAGGTTGGTGGCCTTCTCTTCTCCATGTGGGCACCCTGTGGTGCTTGCTGGCCTCATCCTTTGAGGGTAGATCTGTAATGCCGAGAACTCAGGAGAAGGCTGGTGGAGCTGCCAGTAGCTTGGCTCCCATAATGCCATTTGGCTTTGCTTTAGGGGAAAATACGAAATTAAAATAATGCTGCTTTTATTCCTAAAACACACCTGATTACTTGCTTTGCTTTCAGTGGTACTGGGGAATTTATAAAACCATTAGGATTCAATCAGTGAGACTGAAAATATTTCCCCATTGCAATAAGCCATGTTTACGTGTCATCCCTCTCTTTGTCCACATGCCAACACTTGCCCTCTGAAACTGATGAGCCCAGGGAGAATCCACACAGTGAGTCATGCCTATAATCACCATCTATGCTTCAATAAAGTCAAAATCTCAAATTGCTTCAACAACAGTGAGTCTTATGACATCTTGTAAGGGGTTATTACTATTATTATGTTGCTCATTTAGTCAAAGCACTCAGAGATGAAGGGGCTGTTCTCAGGTCAAATGGTGTAATACCAATTCATATAAACTGGGCCTTCTGCTTTAACTTAGTTCACAAATGATTAGACTTGCTATCTAGACAGTCAAGAAGCCTTCTGGAACTTCTACTCAGAACTAAGAGTGTTGATATACTTTGGGGATTGTTTGTACATTCTCTATCAATTTCAACCTTATTGTAGTGATATAAATTTTTTTAATGCTATGAAGAAAAGACTGTTTAACAGAGACTCCCACTGTAGCAGGTGAGCATTAGTACAATGGGCTCTTCTCTAACTTTCCCACATCAGTGTGCATACTCGGCCCAGGTTGAGATGCGTTTTATAAAGACAGATTCCAACCATGCAGTTTTCCAGGTTGGTGGAGCCCAAGTCAGCTGCGAATAATGGAGGGAGAAAAGTTTGGAAAAAAACCTGTTTCAACTTTTCCCTCCCTTTCGTAACACTCATCACACTTGAAGAGAATTGTTTTTTTCCCATCTCTCTTTCCCACAGGGTCATGACCAAATCTGTGTGTTCATCATCATATCCCCAGCACCTCTTATCTATTGCGTGGAAGAATCCATTTCTATATGGGAGGAGACTTGTGCAATCAGATGTTAATTAAAATGTGCGCATCTTTTTACAAAACAACACAAAAGTCCATTGTTTTCTTTATGATGAAATAAGCCAACATAGGTAAAACACTTAGAAGAAGAGTGCCTGTAAGCTATAAAGGTGTATGCTATTATTATTGGCAGTATATATTTATGTGAATTTTAAGACTGTAACAGAATAATGAACCACCTCAGTACTGAAAAGACTTAGATTCAACTGTAAGTCTTCTGATGATTTATGCCACACCAGGCAAGTTGCTTATTGCCAGTGGCATTTCTTTTTTGATGTGAAATCAGAAGGGTGGTTCCTTTCTTTCTGCCTCTTACTTAAGAGCACAGATAATTTGGGATGTGAACAGGTGCTTTGAAATTGCTAGATGGAAAGATCAAATGTACTTTTCCTTGAACAGGTTTGAAATACAATTAAATTATTTGACATAAGTGGGGTAAATGGTGGAAAGACATAATGAAATTATAATTACTACCATCAGGCTACTCACCTCTTGAATTCTTGGTGACATATCAGATAATATTCCTCCCCAAGATCTCAGATTGATACCTTGAGAACGGCTGTCTAGGAGTGTGGGAAGCTGTAATTGACAGTAAAACAATTTTTTAAATATATATATGTTTGTAGGTATATACACACATAGGCACAGTCTGATCTCCTATATGTTTGAAAACTCCCCCCCTCCTTCTTTCTGATCGCAGGATCTTTTCTGCAAGATTACTTTTAGAAACAAAAAACTCTTTTATTTAATTGAAAAAATAAAGGCTCTCATTCCAAGACTCCTTGCTGCACTTGTCAATCACAGATAGTTTCATAGTT
Source organism: Homo sapiens (assembly GCF_000001405.40). Taxonomy (NCBI): domain Eukaryota; kingdom Metazoa; phylum Chordata; class Mammalia; order Primates; family Hominidae; genus Homo; species Homo sapiens. Next base: position 94,083,681 of record NC_000001.11, read on the forward strand.
ATATTAAATACTATCACTATTTCAAAGTGATTCTAATTGCTGTTTTAGTGACACCAAACAAGATTCCTGGAGGAAGGAAAACAGAGTGCAGCTGGCAGAGACTGAAGGAAGTGCTGCGGGCCTGGGGTGCCCATCTGTTCACCTCGGAGCTTTGTAGACACTGCAGTCTTCTCGTCATTGTTTACATCTTTCTTCCTTTGTGCCATTTTCAGACAGGTTGTGTCTCTTCCTCCATTCAACACTGCTCTCTCATGGAGGATTTGACCAGCTACATCACCTTTATTTTAAAGCAGCTGCTGGTAGGAGTCGGAGAAGTTCCCTTGCAGATTCTCCAATTGCCAGCAGTGTTCAGGAAACCCCAGCCCATGTGAACTCACCACTGCTCCTGCTTTTGCCACCTCGGCAGGGGATGTGGAAGTCCCCAGGTGTGCTGCCTCCAAGCTCCAGAGACTGATGTGAACATCTGGTTTTCTGGAAACCAAGGTCATGTCCTGTTTGACTTCATGCTTCATGTTTCAAAACTGATGGAATCACTGATCCTAGAGGAGTCATGTAGGACTGAGTTCTAAGTGTAAAGACAGTGGTTTTCCAACTCAAGTGTGCTTCCTGAGTAGGTGTGAAGTGAGCACTGGGCATGTGCCTTTTAACCAGCTGGACTTGTAATTCTCATCCAAGTATCTGGGGACCAAAAGCCTCTGCTTTTTATTTGCCAGCACAGTTCTCCTAAATGATCATTGGGCTGACCTAACTTGCATCAGTGCTGACAAACAGGTGGAGTTAGGCTTTGACCAGCCAGGTTCTCATTTGTAGCTGTGTGTCTTTGCCCCTCTCCTCTTGGCTGTAGATGCAGAGGTCCTTGTATTCTTTTTGACCCTGAAACTCTAGAATAAATGTAGGTACACTCAGGCAGCATTCATATTTCAGGCTTATTTTCTAATTGTGAAATAAAAGGCCTTGTTAGGTATGGGAGTTACAAAGCAGATGGGTAGAATTTTCCAGAGGAAAGAACAACTAAGCTGCTATTGACACCACATCACTGAGAAGCGTCTCCCCTCTTTGACCTGAGCACTGGACCGAGGCATTTGTCTTGCCGGGAGTACTCTTCAAACTCCTTCGAAATAGCTTCAGTGGGTGCTGGGCAAAGCACTTTAATTTCTGTTTTTTCCATACAAGGGTGGGGCTGAGAAGAAGAGTGGGTGTGAAGGGAGGAAGCAAGTAGGCAAAACTGTGTGTCGATAAGCAAGTTAGCCCCAAGTCCTGCCCGTCCTCCCTCCTGTCTCCCCTGAGATTATTAGAGATGAAAAGAGACCTGAGAGACATAGCAGTAAAATGGCCACAGGTGGATTTTGATTCTGATCTGAACAAACCAGCTGTAGCAATTGGGGGAAAGTGGACATGAAATGGGTATTAGGTATTATTAAGACATTATGATAAATTTTGTTGGGTATGATCATAGCATGGTGATTTTGTTAAAACAAGTTCTTACATGTTAGAGATACAGAGGGAAGTACATATGGTGAAATGATATGTTGTCTGTGATTTGCTTCAAAAAAACTTCAGGAAAAAAAGGTGGAGAACAGTTAAAACAAGAACAGCCAAATATTGATAATAGTTGAAGCTGGGTGATAGATCCATGGGAGCTCATTTTATTATTCACTCTACTTTCATACTTTTTTCCTACAATAAAACGTTTTAATAATAAAAAAGGTTTTAGTGTATATGCAAAAATAAATTGTCGAATGAGCAAATACTAAGGAAGTATCCTATCTGTTTTGTTCTTCCTCTCTAGGACTACCTTTGTTCACTTCCCTTCTAGAATATTTCATCAAAATAGGCATAGAAAAAGGACTGGCCTTCTTGCCAGTCCCCTTGCCTCTAGCCCCCTCCCTTCCAATGCATTGTGGTCTGAGTTACCCAACAGGCCAATCCAGTCATGTCGCTTTCCCTGCTCAAACATCTTCCATGGCTCCCTACTGTCTCCAGAAGAGAAGGCCATTACTACGTTTTGACACACATGACCTCTGTGAGCTGGTGCCTGGCTCCCTCACTTGCCTTCTCTCCTGCTTCTCTGCTGCCACAGTGGACTTCTTTTTATGTCTGCTCACACGTCAGCTGTCTCCTGCCCCTAGCTCTGCTCTCTATTCCCCCCCATTCCTTCTTTGCCTGGCAAACTTCTACTCATCCCTCAAGTCTCATTCCTAACATGATGACCTATGTGAGAAACAGCTTCCTCCCAAGTAGATTTAGATGCCCCTTTTTCTATGCCTCTTGCTCACCCCTGCCCAGCCACGCTCTCTTTAGGAGTTCTGTTTCCTTCCTTGTGCTCTTCACCATTGGTAATTATTCTGGTGTTTACTTGTCATCTATCTCCCCTGTAAGACTCTATGCTCCATGTAGACAGAAATCATACTGGATGACTTCTAGGTATGCTGGGCATGTGGTGGGCACTCAGTATTTGATGTGTGAGTAAATGATCTTATCAGAATAACAAGCAGATTGATTATAATTGTTTATACACCTGATACTCCATGAAATGGTATGTTCATTAAGGACAGGACCCCACTTTTTATCTTTGTATCACCAAGCTTTTTATCCATTGCATTTTCTGTACACTCATCGATGTCCAACTAAGGAAGGTTCTGTAAGACAAGTCTGCTTTTAAGTTGTCTTTTTTTAAAAGGGTAAATAAATTTGGTCTTTTTATCTTGAAGTCAAATTCCCCTATATTGAAGTCCTGTTAGAAGTGGATGTAATAAAGAAGTGGTAAATTAATGACTTCCTGAAAATTCATAATCACTCAATTTTACTAATTCAATTAATCGTATTGCCTAGGTAGTTCTGAGTCACATGAAGAGCACATAGGCTGTTTTTTTTTTTTAAGACAACGAAGTAGTAGCTGTTTACTTATATAAAGTACAAGGCAAAACTGTCTCTGCAAACTTCCCCACATCTCTACCCAAGGATAATCAATGTTAACAATTTGGCACATATCCTTCCAGAAGCACGAAGACTTTAACTTCTTTTTATATCTTTTTCCTGATTGACAATTCCACAGACCTCCACATTTTTACCATAGTTTGCAGTTTAACCACATCAGCATATGTGGCAGCACTTGGAGAACACCCTGCCCCAAATGGTGGCTTTGCTTTCCCTAAAGACTAAGGGTTCCCTCCAAGAATACGAGATCAGCACTGTCTTAGTTCACTCTGGCTGCTACAACAAAATACCATAAGCTGGGTAAACAACAGAAATCTATTTCCCACAGATCTGGCAGCTGGGAAGTCTAAGATCAAGGCTCCAGCAGGTTTATTGCATGGTGCGGGCTCATTTCCTGATTCGTAGATGGCATCTTCTCTCTGTGTCTTCATATGGTGGAAGCGGCAAGCTGGCTTTCTGGGGTTTTACAAGGGCACTAATCCCAGTCATGACCTAATTGCCTCCGAAAGGCCCCACCTCCTAATGCCATCATCTTGGGGATGAAGATTTCAACATATGAATTTTGGGGAGGATGCAAACATTCAGATCATAGCATGCATCTCCTCTTCATTTTTATCCCCCTGTTGCCTAAACGTCCTAATAAATGTATAACATGAAGCATAAGAAAGACCTCAAGAATAATGCACACACCAACCCATTCCATTAACCTTGCCTAGCACTGAGTGACTAGGCTTCGTCACAGTGACAAAGATTGATGCTTATCTATGCAATATTGCTAAAAGTCATAATGCCTGGCCCAGCCTCCCATGCATACAGGGTGAGCCTATGGCACAATGGTAACCAAGACACCAGGAGAAGTCATAGGATGGGGTTTCTGGAAATGGTCTTTTGAAGTAGGCCCCTCTGCCCTTTGCCTGGTCCCTGCCTGCAACATGGATGTGCTGGAGGAGGCAGCACAGGTGTTTGGAGGTCACCAGATGACAGGCATATGCTGGGGATGAAGGAGGGAAACACAGGGCAGCCTGGGGGTCTTGAGGAAACCTGTGGTGCTCCAAACCCCTCTTGGAGGACCCAGCTCCAGACTCTGCCTGGGGAGAAAAATGAAACCCACGGTTTCTCTGACTTTTGTTACTCACAGCCAGGTGCAGTTTCTAAATGATAAAATCCCACATTTGACAAATATGTATTGAGTGTCTGCTATTGTGCCAGGTGCTGGGGACACGGCAGTGAATGAAACAAAGTCCTCCCTTCATGGGGTTTACCTCCAAGAGTCTCCCTGAGGCTTCGCCAGCCCTTCCATCACTGTCGTCATGCTGTGTATACGTGCAAGATTCTCCCACAGGAGAGAAAGAATCTACCTCTGATCGCTTATGTCTCCCTAGCTACAGTCTAATTTCTCTCTTCCACCCTTCATTCCCACATTCTTTTAAGCATAGTCCGTAATCAGTGACTTCACTTCCTCACCAACACTTCCCTGGCTTCTACCCTCACCATCCTACTAAGATGCTTTATCAAGAACCCCCCAGTTTTCTCCTGGTTTTTAAGTCTAGTGGACATTTTTGCTTCTTGTATTTTCAAACCTCTCTGCTTTTCTCAACATTTTGATCATGTCCTTTTCCTCCCTGGTCGTCTGTGACACTGCTTTTGCCTGGTTTGCTTTGCTACTTCTCTGCCTTTCCCACCAGCAACTGTACCTCTACCTTCCCCTGAAGTGCTGAGGTTCCCAAGGGCCTCCCTTGCTCCTCTCACTCTGCACACTCCCCGGATAGTCTCATTTCCTTTATCATTTAATCTGCTACCTTTTTGTTGATGACTTCTAAATCTGTACCTCCAACCTAGACCTCTCCCCAGAGCTTCAGACTTACATATCCAACTGTCTGCTGGGCATCTGCCTAGATCCAGCGTGTTCTGAACTGACCACATCGTCTTACCCCAAACCAACTTCTGTGCCTGTGTGCCCTTTCTGTGGCTGGCACCACTTTCTGTCTGGGACCCATCATGGGTTCTTCCCATCCCATTGTCTAAATCTCCAGCCTGGAGATCCAGAAATTGGTGCTGGGAATGAGTGTGGGGTAGGATGAGCCCTTAGATAGCAGAGGGTAACCAAGGGACATCTGAAAGGCTACTTTAGGAGGAAGCTGGCATCAAAGACTGGAATCCAAAGAAGCTATGCAGACAAAAAGCAACCAGGTCCTAGATAATAGGAAGGCATCTAAGAGGGGGTAGGAGCCCAGAGGCACAACCTAAGGAACAGCCACACTCATGTCTCCAGGGAGGCTGCGCATAAGTAAATCAGTCACAAGCTCCCATCAGTTTTGATTATTTTCTCTTCTTTCTGAATTTGTTTCCTGTCTTCCTCACTTGAGTGTGGGTGGGAGATTGCCCATGGCCATGTGGACAATCTTCTCTCCATCCCCTCTCCTTTACTTCTGCAGGCCCCAGGCACACTCTGGTCTTGAAACTCCACCACACATCACATGAACACTTTGGAAAGCATCTGTGTCCATATCTATTCAGATCTCTGTCTATCTATAGGTCTAGGTCTATGTAGGTATAGTTTTCTAAAAGCTCCTAATTTTTACTTATGAAATTATTTGACTTTGAACAACTTATTTAATGATTTATCTGGTATGAATTTTAAGCAATCATTGTGAATACTTAGAAGTGTTTGTAAAGTGGAAAAACCTGAACTGCAAACAGGCTTTGGAATTTAAGATTTTATGAATATAGTAAATCCTCACTTAATTCATCCACAGGTTATTGGAAACTTCAACTAAGTGAAATGGCTATAATGAAACCAATTTTACCACAGGCTAATTGATATAAACCAGAATTAAGTTTCTTTCTTTTCTATTTTTTTTTTTTTTTGAGATGGAGTGTCACACTGTCGCCTAGGTGGGAGTGCAGTGGCACGATCTCTGCTCACTGCTCCGCCTCCCGGGTTCAAGTGATTCTCCTGCTTCAGCCACCCAAGTAGCTGGGACTACAGGTGCCCACCACATCTGGCTAATTTTTGTATTTTTTAGTAGAGACAGGGTTTTACCATGTTGGCCAGGCTGATCTTGAACTCCGGACCTCAAGTGATGCGTCTGCCTCGGCCTCCCAAAATGCTGGGATTATAGGTGTGAGCCACTGCACTTGGCCCAAAATTAAGTTTCTATAGCTTGTTTCTGGTTACAATAAATCACCAAACTTCAAAATAAAGACTAAAATACTTCTAATATTAAATATTGAAATACATGTGAACTATACATACATTTTCAAAGATTAATTAAAAAGTAAGATAATTATTCACCCAATTATTTCAGTTCAGAGTCATGGGTGGCTGGATTCCATCCCAGCAGCTCAGGGCACAAGGTAGGAATCTAACCTGGACAGGATGCCCTCCCATGGCAGGGGCACTCACTCCCACACCCACACTCACTCACGTTGGAATCATGCAGACACACCGTTTCCACTAATGGGCACATCTTGGGGATGTGGGGGAAACAGGAGTACCTGGAGCTAACCCAAGCAGACATGGGAAAGATGTGCAAACCCCACGCTGACAGTGGCCCTGGCCAGGAATCAGTTTTGTTTTCTCTCATCAACGGTATGATAAAACAGTGTTGAATGAAACTCAAGGGCTTGTTTTAACTAAATTTAACAATGAAGTTGAATAAAATTACCTTCCTTAAATATTCATTTAATATTCATTCATTATAATTCTAAAGTTTTTTCATTTTCTTTTGGAGCCAATTAAAAAAAAAAAAAAACTTCAAATCTCAAATAGTTTTGTAGGCTTCTGTAAAGCCTGCAGTCCTTAGCCACTAGTCCTATCACTTTGAGGACTAATGGATCAAAATGACCAACCCACCCTGTCTCACCCCATTCTCACTCTACCCCTACTGGCCAGAGTCAACTCATTTCAAACTACCTCACCTTCTCCAGAAAGCCTTCTTCCCCCATCACCATGCTCTTCCAGCTTTCCTTCCCTAGGGATTAGGTGCCCCTCCTAGCTATTCCTGTCTTTCTCAGTGCATTTATTTACCACTTTTATTTTGGTTTGCTGTTATTTTTTAATGTATCTATCTCTCCACTAGACTGTAAACTCATTAAGCATAGGAATAGGTTTTATTTTGTTTGTCTTTTATCTTCTGGGCATGGTACACAGTAGGTGCTCAATAATACGTGTTGTGGTAATTAATGAGTAAATAAACTATAACAGAGTAGGAAAGAGACTGTGTCTGTTGAGGTTTTAGGTTCCATGAGGGCTATATATAGCAGTCATCATGGTGACTTACAGGGAGGGAGCAGTCAGTTTCACCTGGGGACGGGGAAGTGACACTTGAGCTGAGGTTTGTAAAGAGACAAACTGATGACTGTGAGAGTGAGGACAGTGTCTGTCAGTAAAAGGGGAGGGCCCAGGAATTCCAGGTGGAGAAAGGAACGTGAAGAGAGTCAGCAAGAAAGAGTGACTAGAGAGACAGCCAGATAAGAGCAAGACTAGGAATTTGGGGGAAAGGGAACAGAGAAACAATAGCTTGAGATGTATTTTTGTGTGGTTAATACCCTTTTTTCCATCTTGTTAATAATTTAATAATATTCCTTCACCAAATAGTTACTAAGCTCCAGTTACGTGCCTGGTGCTACAGCTACAATTTCCTTCCCAGCTCTTTTTAGTGGGAATGGTAAATGATGAGGGTCCGGTCCTCACACCTTACATCTCTGAATACTGCCTAGTCCCGAGGGAGCCCTCCATATGTACCTGTTCACAGTTGCCTGACTGAGGTTGCCATAAATTATAAAATAACTTTCCCAGGGCTCTCCTCTTCTTTTGGTTCCCCCTTCCCTATTATCTGTTCAAATTCACATGAATTGTTTCTGTCAAAGAACCGGAAGAGACTGTAAGTTTAGTTGGAATGGAACTGAGAAACTATTTCTGGAAAAAAAAGTCACAGATCAAAATGGCAAACATCATCTCACACACACACACACACACACACACACACACACACACACACACACACAATTTCCTATGCCAAATAAGTTCTCTTAATTTTCCAAGTAACAAATAACTCTTCCATGTCACACATCACAACTGACAGCACTGCCAGCCGAAGTTCAAGGTCAGACTAGACCTCTAAGGAAGATAAGGCTGTGAAGGGATCTGCCTCTACTAACTGAGGTCAGTCTAAGGGGCCTTTAGGCCTTGATCCTGTGCTTAAGAAATTGATATAAGGTCCTAGGCAGCAGCCAAGATGATTCCGGCCCTAAGAGGTCTCTGCTTGGGTTGTCTGGGATCAAAACCATGTCTCTCCCTTGGGACTGTGTAATATTTTTTTCTTAAGGTAGAACAGACATGTTTATCACCTCCTAAAAAGTCTTGTTGGCATAGTATTTCTGATGCTTTGGATCAAATGTGTTCATCAAACAGATGTCACCCAACCGCACATGAAATGTCTTAAGCATTGAATGTTTTGTTGTTTTACTTTCTGTGATTCAAAGAAGACAATCTGGAAACAGTATTAATTTCTAAGTTGAGGATATACCTAACACAAGGGTAAATAAGTAGCCTCAGGTTCAATGTGTCTTTTTGGGGCAGACATGGCCTCTGCAGGCTATGGAAGGTTCTGAAGGGAGGGATGAGCTGCAGTCTTGAAGGCATGCAGACCAGAGGTGAAAAGCAGTTGAAGCAGTGGACAGAAGTGTGTGCTGCTGTGTTCAGTCCTGGGCTGAGCTACAGGAAACCCACATTTATCCGGGAGGGAAGTTGTTGCTAGGCAACTGGGAGAATGTGGATTTGAAGCATGTTTCTTGCAAACTGACAGTTGTTAAGCATCAAATGAAAAGGGAGGAAGCGGGCTTCAGTGGTGAGGGGGCAACCAGGAGGGGACACCCTGAGTGCTAGGAAATGCGTCATCAGTGGAGAATTCAGACTCAATCACTGGGGGGTTGGGGGACATGTCAAACGGTCTCTACCAGGAGGTCACAGAGACATGCAGTCTCCCAGAATGAGAGGGAACTGAGTGTCTCAACTAGAGGGTGGGCTCTTGGGTATGTGAACAGACAAGTTATGAGACTCTTTGGCTCAACAGAAACTAGGTCTTTTTCTGTCCGTCCCAGTATCTGTGGTTAATGAAAGCAAAACTGAGCTTGGAATCTAGAGGCAGCCAAAAGGTCACTCCATGAGACAGACCTTCTCCTAGTCTGGGGGGGTCTGAAGAAGGAGAAATGGGGAGCAAAGGGCCTCTCAAAAGAGGCTGTGCTTTTATAAGAGCAAAATGCTTTTTGTTCAAAGTGTTTTTCCATCTCTTCTCTAATGTGAATTTCATTACTATTTCATGAGCTGTGTAGGACAAGTCTTATTTTCTCGATTTTACGGATGGGAGGCTAAGATTTCCTTTAAATGGCAGCAAGTTAGGAGCCAACATAGAGCCAGGGCCCAGTCTCTCAGCCACTAAGAGATGCCTGTATGCCCCAGCAGCTGCCCAGGCCTGTGGTCCTCACGCCATTGGATCCTGTGCTCAGGGGCAGGGAGGATGCTGAAGGGGGCAGGGAGGATGCTGAATACTTCATAAACAGAGTTAAGGAAGAATCGGTGTATATTGAGACCGCTTACTAAAGAATGCATATTAGTGGTAGGTAGAAAAACATTTTAATGTAAAGGCTATTAACCTGGGGTCTGGCTTCAGCTGCTCCATGAGCCCCATCCTGTGTGTCCCTGTGAACTTAGTTTTCTTTAGGGAACAGGTCTAGAGCTGTAGTCAGATTCTCGAAGGTAATCCTAACCCATAAGAAAGGTTAAGAGCTACTGTTCTGTAGAGATAAAACATATCAGAAGCCAAAACCTTTCTTAAAACCAACTGACCCTGGAGAGAACCTGACGCCTCACACATTGGTGCACACATTGTAGGCGCCTAGTGCGTATTTACTGAACAAAGGCCAGGACCCCAGGACTCATTATCCTCAATGGCAGCCTTCCCAGGGGCCTGCTCTTGTCTTAAGTGACTTCAGTTTTGACTTCTCAGTATTTCTTTCTTTGTAAATCCATAAAAGAACATCTGATCTGTCATGAAAATAAGCCCTGGCCTACTGCCTGCCTGGAGCTGAAAAGACATCAAGGCAGGCAAGTGACAATCCAGCCAGTAGGCTCAATGTGCACGAAGGGGCCTCTCTTCTATTTCATTTTTATTTCTTCTTTGTTGAAATCCATTCACCCAGAGGATATTTTGATGGTAATAGGTAAAGATTTTTGTAGATGCAGGCAGAAAAAATACTAATGCTATAAATCAAATATATTTGCTGTGGCTTGAATATTTTCATAAAACCCCCCAAAAACAACAACAAAAACCTTCCTGATTTAGTTTTGTTTCCTCCCAACAGCCCTGCTGTTCCCTGGTACTGGCACTCAGGAATCACTCCTTTCTCTTCTCCCCTTCCCAAAACCCTTATGGAGAAGTGGGAGAAATTGGAAAGAATGAGGAAGTCATGACATCAAGTCATTAGTGGGACCTCACTGTAAAATCCTGTAGCTGTGGGGGCTTTCCCAGACACTTGACGTAGCAATATCCACCCGAAAGTTGAAATGCATAGGTGAAGTTTAACAATCTGCAACCAATGACCCAGGAGAGCAGCAACTGTGGCAACTCTCACTGGGTAGGGGGCGGTCCACCCACGCTTCTCCCCAGTGACTCAGGAATTCAGGGAGCCAGAGCCAAGAATGAAACAGGACATTGATGGGCGCATGTAGTCAGAACCCCAAGATTGGGCCCTTTTCTTCCTGGAACTCAACGTCCAGCCACCCCGTAGTCAAAGAGACACGGATAAAATGCAATCAGAAAAGTAAAAATGACAACAGAGCAGTGGTTGGGGGACAGAAAAGAAAGCTGAATCATGCCACACTGGAAGCATTTTCAAAGGAAAACCGTGAGCCCAAATGCCGAGGAGGCTGACTTTTCTCTATCAACAAGCATTTAGGAGGGGGAAGGGAGGGAGACTCAGACTTCCCAGCAGCATGGCAGGTCTTGGCACCCGCCTCGGTTCCCCTGCCGAACTTCCACAAATAAACATTCAAAGCAGAAGGGACAGATTTGCTTCTCAGCAAGATTTCAAAGCTGTGCACCAGAGTTGGAGAGAAAACAGGAAGGATGGTAGGGGGAAGAGGGGGAGGAGGAGGGGAAGGAGAAGGAGGGGCATGCATGCCTTGGGCCAAATCAGATGGGAAGCGTCCCAACCTCTCACCCGAAACTGACACACCATTTTTATGAGGTGCGAAACATTTCAGGTAGTGTTGGCACTAATAATACCTTGGGCCCAAGTCTGAGCTTCTGGGTTTCAAGCTGGGGGCGTTAAGCCTGCAAAGGCCGCAGGTGAAGACAAGCTCCTTCAGGTGAAACCAAGAGGGGCTATTAATAAATTTCCTTGGAGAAAATCCAGTCATTTGGCTCTTATTTCTCTCCCAGTCCACCTAGGTCACCAATCTGTGTGTGCGCACGCAAGTGAGCGTGTGCGATAGTGTGCAAATGAGCGTGTGAGTGTACGCGCGGGGATGGGTGGGATGGTGTGGGAGGGATGTAGTAAGGCCATGGGTACTGCCTTTGGATTGTTTGAAGATGACAACACTCACTTCTGATCTCCAAGGAACCGAGAGAAAACACAGCTGGTCTCAGTCGGTGCTAACCCCAGCGCCCCCCTCCGATTCTCTGGGCTCCACAGGTTCCCTTGTCTCGGAGGTTGCACTCACACCCCCAGCTCCTGACTCAAAGTGGGTAGATGCCGTCACGGTGGTTTACTGAGATTTTCCCTCTTTCTTTGTTAATGAGAACTCATTTGGCATTTAATAAAACCTTATTTATACACTGGCCTACGTGCGTATGAGAAACAGCCCAGAACAGAAGGCCCAGCATTCCCGCACTGCAGCTAAGCATGGCTGCGCGCCAACCAGCTGCAATAACAGCCGCGTCCCAGCGGGGCCCCTTCCCTGGCCCCGGAGCAACCCCTGCCTGCCTGATGCTCCTTTCAGAGGATCGGAGGGTCTGCCCTGAGCCTTTCTGGGCCTGCCTCAGGCTTGTTTTTCTAAAAACCCAAATAGGATGGGCCCAGGAGCAATAAAGGCAAAGTCCCATTTTAATGCCTGCAATTTCTTTCAGGTTTTTTTTTTTTTTTTGTAAATTTTTGTTTTTAGTGTAATCCATTTGTCAAATGGAAAAGTACATTTTAAAGGCACCAGAAGACTAGATGTGTCCTGCTTCGGTTGGATCTTTCTCCACCGAGACGGAAGCAGGAGTGAGAGGAGAGCAGGTAGGGGTGGTGCTCCGTGGTTAACTGAGGCCGACTACGGCAGAGCTTTCTCCTCTGGGCCATCTCCCGGTCCACTGCAGGCTCTGTCGCTCACCAGCTTTGTTAAGAGAACAGGAGAGAGAAAGCATCTCCACACCACGGTGGTCTCATGGGTGATCAAATGAAAGTTCTTTGGACCCTCAGAGGTGTGTGGGGTACTATTATTATGCGTGGTCTATAGAGACTGAGGTGGTAAATTAAACTCTAGGTCAGTGATTCTCAATCTTGGCCGGACATTGGACTTATCTGGGAAGCTTTTTAACACAGTGAAGTCAAGGCTGCACCCTAGGCCAGCTGACTCAGAATCTCTGGGAGTGGGGGCCAGGCATTTGTAGGACACATTGAATCACTGGGGAAGCTTCTAAAAGCTACCGCTCGGGGGGACAAATGCTGCTGGTGTTGGCCCTTTCTAGGCTGCACTGCTGTGAAATGTCCTGTTTGCTTGTCTCTGGTCTGGCTGTGAGTTCAGTGAGGGTGGAAGGTTCACATTTGGAGCCTTGGCCTCAGCACAGTGCCCGGCCCTTCACAGGTGCCTGATGCAGGTTTGAGTGCCTGCATACAGAAACCGAGAAAGCAAGCCCCCAGGACCCGTCTGAGGTCTGCAAGGGTGACAGGTCAAGGTAGCCCAGGGTTTGTGAATGCTAGCATTTGCCAAGGCAGCATGTGAAGACGTAAGGAAAGACTTGGTCTTTCTTGTCTGATAAAGAAACATTTGGAAGCCAGTGTCCTGAGTTTTGGTTCTAGTCTCCAATGGAAAGTTTTACCCAGGTGCCGATTTACCCTACTATCTCTGGCATTGACATCCCAGAATCAATGGTCATGTCCTGGGAGGTAAATTTACCTATACTGGTGGCCAAGGTGCTTCAAGAAGGGAAGAATGATGCTGCTCCCTTCATGGTGACGAGAGGATTGCACGAACCTGGGTACCCAGGCCCTGCCTGCAAAGCCCAGGTGCACAGACATTGCTCATTCTGCCCATTCTACAAAGCATGCGGGCCCTGGACACCTGAGAGGGAGCCTCTGGTGGCTCTGCAAACACCAGCACTGGACTCCTGGCTGTGCTGGTATTCAGCTGCCTGGAATAAGGGACCTTTGTTGCCTCACTCTTCTGTCTGATTCTGAAAACAAGTCAAGGAGCGTGTCTAAAATCAAGTTCTTTTTGAAACTTTGGATAGAGACATTTGGACTACATTGCTTTTTATTTTTCCTACAGTGTGGTGAGCCAAGAGACCTTTTCTGGGGTCCTGGGCTCTCACTGATGGTGGCATCCCTAGGCTCTGACCCTTCATACTCACTCTGGGGCCCCACCCTGACGAGCTGGGAAAATCGTAGAGTAACTTTCCACGGAAAGTCACACATTGAAGGGGATTAAGCGTGGACCGTGCCAGAAACTGCGGTGTCTTATTTCATGTTGCTTCATTTTTAAAAGCCTTCAGCTTGCTTTTTAAGACAAGCTGAAAGTGAGTTTCCTGGGACTTGAGAGAGCAGTCATGAAACAGACAAAACACAGTTCCTCAATCAAGTTCTTAGTGACTGACATTCCCTACAACACAGTTCTAGAAATTAAAATGTAGGCAAAAGAAAAAAAACATAATTCCATGCTAGAAATATTATATATGCCACCTTCTCTGAAGGATTCTAATTTTGAGTGTTTCTGAAAGTGTGGCCTACAATGGTCTTCATCAGAATCGCCTAAGGTAACAGGATAGATTCTGGGCCTGGCCTGGTTCTTCTGAATCACAGTGATTGGGGGTGGGGATTTAGCACTTGCATCTTTTACCAACTTCTCTGATGGGTTTTTTTGGTTTGTTTGTTTGTTTGTTTTTATTGAGACGGAGTCTTGCTCTGTCACCCAGGCTGGAGTGCAGTGGCGCAATCTCGGCTCACTGCAAGCTCCGCCTCCCGGGTTCACGCCATTCTCCGGCCTCAGCCTCCTCAGTAGCTGGGATTACAGGCGCCCGCCACCACACCTGGCTAATTTTTGTGTGTGTGTGTTTTTTAGTAGAGACGGGGTTTCACCGTGTTAGCCAGGATGGTCTCTATCTCCTGACCTCATGATCCGCCCGCCTCGGCCTCCCAAAGTGCTGGGATTACAGGCGTGAGCCACTGCGCCCGGCCCTCTGATGGTTTTTATGCACTTTGCAGTGTGAAAACCTCTGCTCTACACCTCCTTTATCTAATTCCTTCTCATCTTATCCTTCTAGCAAAGGAGGAGATATTTTCAGGTCCCAAGCAGTCTGTCTGGGATGCAGTTCTAGAACAAAGGGTTGAGCTAGATCAGGGCTTTCCAAATTTTTGAGACTATGAAACTTTCTCTGTCGTTTTTTCTCTCTAGAAACACCAACCATTGAGGTTGAGACCATTTCCAGAGGAAGAAGCATGGGGCCATCATTTATTAAAATTTATGAAATGTTTTGCGTATACTTTTCTTGTATAATTCCTACCACTCTGTAAAGTATTATATTTGTTTTATAGATGAGTACTGGGACCAGAAAAGGTTCAATATCTTACCATGATCACCTGGCTAGGAAATAGCAGGTCAGGGAGTCAAACCAGGCCTCCTCCTTCCTTTACCACTCTGTTAGAGGAGGTAAAGGGGATTATCCCCACATTTAGAGTGGACACAAACATGCCACAGCCACATACCTAATGGTGAACCTCATAGTGACTTCTGGGTCCCTGGGCCACTGTTCTAGAAATACTATCAGTTGTGATTTTTTGAGCCCTGGGAGCCTGGAGCTTTTGCAAGGATTGTCCAGAACACCAGGCTCACGCCCTCCCCAAGGTCAATTCGTGAGGCTCTGCTACCCCAGGAATCACCTTGCAATTGGCGAGCAGCCAAACCCCTCCCTTACCACACGGAAGAGCTTGAAGAAGTCCACGTTGGCATACAGAGTGTCTTCTATCCACTGTAGGGTGCCCTGGGAGAGGGAGCACAGGGCATAGCGCACCGTCTTTGCCCCGCGTCTCTGGCTGAAGATGATGAAGCGCTCCAGGAGGGCCTCGCTGCAGGCGATGTCCTTCAGCGCCAGGTCCGGGACTCCATGAGCGAACTGCAGGGAGAAGAGGCAACACTAGAAACTGCCCTGTGGTAGGAAAGACACCCACGTCCTAACCCACAGAACCTGGGAATACCTTGTGTTACATGGCGACAGGAATTAAGATCGCAGATGGGATTAAAGCCACTGATTAGCTGATTTTAAAATAAGGAGATTATTTTGGCTTTTCTAGGTGGGCCCCTGTGTAATCACAAGGGTCCCTTAAATGTAGAAGAGGGAGGCAGAAGAAACAGAGTCATGTGATGTGAGAAAGACTTGATAAGCCCCCACTGGCCTTGGAGATGGAAGCAGACCACTAGCCAAAGAATGTGGCGTGTCTCTGGAGGCTGAAGGAGGCAGGAAAATGGATTTTTCTCTAGAACTCCGCAGTAAGGAATGCAGTCCTGCTGATGCCCTAACTTTCAGACTTGTGACCTCCAGAACTGTAAGATAATGCATCTGTGTTGTTTGAAGCCACTAAGTTTGTGGTAATTTATGACAGCAGCAACAGGAAACCAATACAATCCCCATACCTCATCTTATCAGAGTGCCATTTACAATTCAAGGGATCCCCTTCTTACAGCATGATGTTACAGTACCATCAAGGCTTCCTCTCTGAAGGTGGGGTTGAGAAGTAGCTAGAACAAATTTGCTCTTGGATTTAGCAAACAAAAGCACCAGATGCCCAGTCGAATCTGAATTTCAGATAAATGAATACTTTTTAGTACAAATATGTCCCAAATAGGGACCGAATAGAACACAATTATTTGAAAAAATTATTTGTTGTTTATCTGAAGTTCGAATTTAACTAGACACCCTGCATCTATCTTGTCTGCAGGCCCTAAGCCCTGCAGAGTGCACATTCTGCAGCTCCTAGGTAGCTCAAGGATAGTGGTTCTTGAAGTACAACCCTCGTGATGGCCTCTCGAGGATCAGGTGGCAGGGGAGAGGCCTGGACCTTGGCCAGGGACCTGTGGCCACCCAGCACCTTAACTGGCTCCTAGAGTCCTGGACTCCCATAGCATTGGACAGACACTGAGTACCGTGGGCAAATTCGTGAGATTCCCGGGGCACCACAGTCTCCCATGACATCTAACGACGTGGCTCTCTGGGCTGGAGGGCAGAACAGGCCTGAGCTCTGCCACCTCCTACACTGTCCAGACTACACATGGCAGCCTGGTCCCCACACGAGGCACAGGTTACAGCTGACCATGAGTCGGTGTGGACACTTTCGATCTCAGGGACCCATAAAACATAGTGAAACCAGAGCACTGAAGAGGGTGTGTTAAGAATAGCCACTAAAAGCAGCTAGTATTTACTGAGAGTTTACTATGTGTCAGGCGCCCTTCCAAGTGTTCACATATATTATTTCTTTTAACTTCAACTGCCATGCTGGTAGGCACTTTTACTATTTCCATTTTACAAATGAGGAAACGAGAGGCACAGAGTGGTTAATTAACTTGCCTGAAGTCACATAGCTAAGTGTGTGGCCTTGTGAGATTTGAACCCAGAGCTTAACCATCACCTGTTAACTCTCCAGTGAGTAGGGAAGAGGGAGAAGGCAGGACAAAGAAGGGTGGGTTTATAAATTATTTCACTGAGGAGGCAACATCTGAGCTGGGCCTTGAAGCATGTCCAGGAGTTTACTGGGCTGGGGGTGAGCCAGAGAACTGTGCCCCTGTCATCTTCTAATTCCCTAGATGGAGAGAGGGAATGGTGAGGTTCCTTCTGAGCTGTGCTAAGACCCCAGGCAGAAAGGACCAGGAGGGGTATCCAGTCCTGATGGTAAAGGACACAAATCCATGTTCAATGAGCATGAGTGACAACACAGAGGCGAGCTCCCATGTTGGACAGCGCCCAGAGAGAACGTTGCCATCGTGATGGACAGTTCTGGGAACAGTGCTGATAAGGAGCCCCGGAACTGGATGGAGGTGGAGATACAGATCAGGAGCTAGAAGACAGGTGAGCCCACAAGGCAAAGCATCCTGGGAAGTGGGCAGGGAGGGCCGGGTTGGCTGGAACGTGCCTCTGCGAAGCGCAGATGGCTCAGCGTTTGCTAATCAGCAGAGCATCAGCTCATCAGAGCCAGCAACATGAAATAAAGGCACAACCTGGTGACCCCGGCCTCCATTCTCCAACATGAAAGGCCTTGGCACTGATGCCAGAAGCACAGTACTAGAGATCTAAATGTCACATTAGTAAGGAACTGGAAAGAAATTTCCCCGAAATTCCTGTCCTTATCTTCATCTCCCTTTTATTACCAACTGGAAGTCATCAAGGCATTGTCAGGACTTGAGTTTTACGAGCTGAAGAGAAAGCAAAGGGGAAAATGAGCAATCGGTGCCGACAGCACCCCCTCTGTGGGGGTGGGAGAGGAAGCTAAACAGGGCCTGGCCGGAGCCGCACCACCCAGGGCCTGGGCACTGCAGGCGCCAAGCTCACCCTGCCTCCAGGCTGACCCTAGGTTCCCCTTGTCTAGTTTCGGTGAAAACCTCAGGGTCTGAGAAGCCAGAAAAGCAGGTATGAGCTCCTTCATTGTGCAGGGAACCAGTGTGAGAACCTGCTTCCAGGAGCTGGTGCTGACCAGGTGGGGTGGGGTCCCTCACTCCTCTGGACTCAGACAGCACCCTGTGCAGACCTTGATCTCAGGGTTAACACAGGCTCTGAAGTTCTGTTTATGTCTCGTTCTCTCCTGGAGTCTGGAGGAGGATCAGACCCAGCCAGGAGGGAGTCGGGAGGGTGTCTGGGATATCAGCTGCTGCAGATCTAGCATTCTCGCTGTGTTCATCACACTGAAGAAGCTGGGCGGGGAGCCCAGAAGGCCCAGAGGACAGCTGCAGCTCTCACACCTGAGCCTGCGGAATCACCTGGAGGGCTTGTGAAGCACAGATTGCTAGGCCTTATCCCAGGGCTTTGGACCCAGTTCACCTGGAGTGGGCCCTGATAATTTGCATTCCTAACAAGCTCCCAGGCATCGCTGATGCTGCTGGTCTCTGGGCTTTGAGAGCCACAGGACTGAAGTAAGAAACACTGGATTAGGATTGAGAGGACCTGGATTCCATCTGGCTCTGACAATTTCTAGCCCTGTAACTGTGCACAAATCACCCCATCACCAGACGCGCAAGCCTCCTTCTCTGACCCATCTCAGGATTGTTGTGAGGAGTAAGGGAGCTAAGGGATGTGCAAGTCGTGAGTTAGTGGTAAGAATGCTCTGCATAAATAGAGGAGATTATTTAAAGGGGTTAGATAAATTGGGGGCGTATACACAGGTCAGAAATGTGCCAGGGGATAGAAGAAGGAGTTTGCCTGGTGCTGAGAAGGAAGTGGTCCAGGAAAGCAGAAGTGGGCTCTTCTGCAGCATCTCAGGTTCTGTAGCCTCGGGACGCCACCCCAGCACTTGCCAGCACTGTGCTGGCAGCTTCCAAGCCCGGAACTCCCCTCTCACTTACTGTGTGGCTGACAGACAACTCTGCTCAAATACCACCTCCTCAGGAAGGCCTTCCTGAGCATCCCCCTTAAACCTGCCCCTCCGTCCCTCTCTAACCCTCGACTCTACCGGATTTTCCTTGCAGCACCCATCACAGCCAGAAGTCACACAGCGGAGTCTCTGCTTACCTGAGCATCGCCTGTGGCCCCACTGGAATGGAAGCTCCCTGGCCTGGGGTTTTGCCTGTCTGGTTCACACTGTGTTCTAGTACCTACAACTGTCCCTAAATATTTGAGTAATAAATGAATAGATTTCTGTTTCCTCATCTATAAAGAGAAGGTTGTGCCCCATGATCTCTAAGGTTCCTTCCAGTTATAAAAACCTGAGATGTTTTAAGGTCACCAGGATGTGTACAGCTTCGAATCCTATGTTGAAAATGATCACGATCTCAAGTGATCCCCCGGTTTTTTTCTAAATACAAGGCATTA
Organism: Homo sapiens; assembly: GCF_000001405.40. Lineage (NCBI taxonomy): Eukaryota > Metazoa > Chordata > Mammalia > Primates > Hominidae > Homo > Homo sapiens. Next base: position 94,102,892 of record NC_000001.11, read on the forward strand.
AGTGATGGATTCTGAATGTGAACACAAGGAAGAAAGAAGAAAAAAGCCAATATATTTCTTGCCTTTCTCAGGCTGGGTGCTTCCCTCCCCTCCAGGGACCACTGGCCAGTGACATCCCCCTACCTGCTCTGGACGGACTTGAGAGTTGATCAGAAGGTAGACCACTGAGTCAGACAGGCCGATGTTTTTAATGAGAAATAGTGTCAGTGTTTCTTCATCTTTCAAGATATCCCTTATTCGTATTCCTCTTCCTACATATGAATAAGAGAAAGAACAGGGTGTTGAAGGGGAAATGGGTCAAAAAAAGGAAAACAGCCAGAGTCGATTGGAAACACTTGTAACTCAACTCTCAGAGGAAGGTTCTGTTCTTGGGGTCTCTGGGAGCCCCTAGAGGTGAGGCTCTTGCCAGTGGGCTGCCCCCAACACATTGACTGCTGAAGCAGCTGGGCCCAATTTAGTAAGAAGGTGGAAAAAGTTAGCCAGGGCTGGATGGGGGTGTCAGATGCTTTGTGGGGTTGGTCTAGGACAGTGCTTCTCATTGAGGTGGGGCTGGGGAACTGAAACAGGGGAATTTCATCCTCCTGGAAATATTTGGCAAGATCTAAAGACATTTCTGGGTGTCACAACTGGGGAGGTGCTGGTGGGTAGAGGCCAGAGATGCTGCTAAACATCCTGCAAGGCCCAAGACACTCCTCCCTCCCCCACACAAAGGATTATCTAGCCCCAAGTGTCAGTGATGCTGAGGCTGAGAAACTCTGGTCTAGGATTGGAGGAGACACGTGCTCTTCCCACACCGCAGCTGTCACAGGGTAGAGGACCCCTCTGGGTGTTTCTATCATCTCAGCTTGGGCTGAGATGCTCAGGGCACTGACATGGACTAAGAGAAATGAGTTGGGGCCATTAAGGGCAGGAAAAGCTCCAGGTAGAAAGAGGAGAGCCAGGCACATGCCGGGGCTTGCCTGATGAGCCCTAGTCAAGCTCCCTCCAGCTCCTCTCAACACCTGTGGGAAGCAGGGTTTCTTTATAAGGAGGCATAAAGAACACCTAACAGTTAAGGTGACCTTGGGGCAAGTGATTGAGCCTGTCCCCGTGTCTGCATTTTCCACATCTACCTCATAGGATTGTTGATGCGGGGTAAGGAATGTGAAGTGCTTAGCTCCCAGGCCTCAAAACAGCACTCAATAAATGCTTATTATGATCGAATTAATATAATTCTTACCCCTCCTGGGAGATTCACACAAGCACCCTCCTCCTCGGCTGGCTTCCAGGGCCAATGCTTGGCCTCAACCCTGCTAGTGCTATAGTTCATGAGGCTCTGGCCAGAGAAGAGCCTTATGGGCCTGGATGTCTACGAAGGGACTTCAACACAAAGGGAAAGCACTGGGGTGCGTGAAAATGCCAATCTCTTCACCCCGAGTGCTTCAGGGGCATGGGTGACTGTTTATCTCCCAGTTCTTCTCTAACTAGCTTTAACCATCACATGTCCCCATTCTTTCCTGGTCCCAATTCCACGGCATCCCATCCTCTTCCTCTCCAAATTCTCCCCTCCCCCAGTGGCCAAGAGGCCTGCCCCTGTGTGCTGGACAGCCACCCTTCTCATCCCCAGGTTGTGCCTTTCCCTGAACAGCACCATATCCGGATTTATGTTGCAGCTAGTTTCCTCTGGAAGGGTCTTGCGCCAACCCCACAGGCCTGTCCATGCAGCTGGGGCAGGGGAAGCCGGTCTTGAAGTTCGACCACACAGTGGCACAGTGGCTTCTCTCACAGTAATGGGTTCCCTGAGAGTGGTGCCCACTGTCACTCCCCTTTGCATAGGAAAGATCCAAGGACTTTGGGGAAAGCTGGACACAGGGCCCGAAGGGAGGAGGAGGGCTCTGAGAAGGGCTGCTCCCTTATATTCTAGTCTTCCCTCTTCAAAAACATAAATCCGGCTGTCTTCCAAACCCAGCCCTCCTGCTTTTCCTCCTGTCCCTGGGTGCCAGCTCCATTGTTCTTTTCCCAATTACCCCTTCATACACAGCCTTGTACACTCTCACTCCACCAACACCATCCCCAACACACGCACACACACACGCATGCACACACATGCACACACACATGCACACATGCGCACACATGCACACGCACGCATATGCAGACATACACACATGGGAGATCTCTTGAGAGTTGGGGGCTATGGCTCCTGCTTTTATTATACTCCTCATTGTACCTAGCAATGCTGGGTGCACAGATGCAAGCCCTTGAAGTCACCTCTCTCTGACACCCAGCATTAAAGACTGACATCCAATCAGAGTCTCAATAAATGTCTGTTGAATGACATGAGGCATTCAGTAAATAACTGTTGTCTTGACCTGACAGTCAGGACTCCATTTGACTGTTTATCTCTTCGTTATTCTTTAACTCACTCACCTGACCTTACATACAAATATCTTGCTGGGGAGAAGGGGCAAAACAAGAAAAGCTGGGAGTGATGTTGCCCAGGCTTGGCACACAAGACCACCCAGGAGACAGGGCTGCTGTGGCTCTGGGGGGGAAGGGGGAGTGTGCTGGCTTCTGGTACACCTGAGGAGGGCGGGGGCCCAGGTGAAGAGGAGGCCGATACCAGACAGAAGCTTCCCTAGACTCCTGAGGGAGAAATGTGAACTGGGAGCCTGAGGAAAGAAAAATAAATTTCGTTTAAAATGTGGTTCTTCTTGTTCCCTTCCCTGGGAAGATTAGAGGCTTGGGGGTGGGGCTGCTGAGGCCCCAGGAGCTGAGGGTGGGGGTGGGAGGGAAGCCAGGAGAATGTAGGAGGCTCCCGGGAAGAAGGTGTTTTAAAGATGATTGAGAGACCACAGAGCTTGCTTCGAGGGAGAGGGAAGGGGGCTCCATGCCTGGTCTTTTACCATTAATCCTCCCTGCTGAGAATGCAGTACTGCAGGTTTGCCATGAAAGAAAACCTCTGCCTGGGTCAACCAGCGGCATACCTTCCCAGGTGGCTGTGCAGAAGCACGCACCAGCACCAGCCCCGCCACCCCCACCCGCTCGCTTTCAAAGGTGGGCTCTTCTGCCACATTGGCCTGAGGAGTCCGTGCTCACAGTGAGCAGCGCCCCGGTGAATCTCAACAGACTGAAACAGCCTGTGTTCCTGACAGTGCCCTTCAGGCCCTGGCCTGGGATTTCCTCAAAGACCGTGTCCCTTACTTGGGGATGGACCCCTGTTCCCTCTCACAGCCTCTAAGGCCAGGGATCTTGCAGAGCCCCCATTCCTAGGGGGCCGTGGCCAACCTTTCCTGAGCCCTTGTCCCCAGATTTGCTCTGTTAGGGACTTCTCACAGCCCGAAGCCTGCAGAAGGAACCGCCTGCATACCAATTCAAAATCAGTCCTGCTCTGGGGTTAAGAAGTAGTGATTTTGGTTCTCATATCCACATTGTAAAAGCCACAGAGAAACTGTGGTTTGAAATTACTTCCTTCACACTTCCTCCCAGCAGGACTCAATCTGATGATCAGGCACTTAAGTGAAATGTCTGCCTCATCATCAAACCCACTGGATGCATGAGGTATGTCATCCCGCCAGGAGCTGGACAGCCCACGTCTGCATCTGTTTGTTTAAATTAGGAAAAAAACACCTTCTGGTTGGTACACAGGGGAAGGGGGATTTCTTACTATTAAAATGGTAATTGTACTCATACCATATAAGGTTCCTCAAACTTGGGCTCACTAAAATAAACTTCTACCCAGGGCAACAAAGAATGGAGTGTTTGTAATGCAGTTTGTAGAAGTTACTACATAAAATCTATGGTTTACTAGTTTGAAACAATGAGAACGTAATTCAGCATCTTCATACACCAATCTGGTCATACGCCTGTCCTTTCTCACTTGGATGGGGAGAGAGGGCTTCAGAAGGTGGCCAGATGGGAGGAGGATCAGATTCTCCTCGGAGAAGTTTCCCCTGTTGACTCTCCTGTGCTCCTGAATCCCCTCCTTCCCTCCACTGGGCCCCACACGCGCTGTGGTCATTTTCTGCTCACTCATCTCTCACCTTCTGCCCTGTGAGCCCTCTGAGGGCTGGCATTTGCCTGACTCATCTCTCCACCCCCAGAGACTAGCCCAGTGCCTGGCTCACAGGAGGCACTGAAGGTCGACTGAATGTTGAAGGAGCTGCACGCATGCACGGGAAGGTGCCCCCGGGGCTGATTTCAACCATTCTCCCACATTTCTTGTTTGGAACCTGCAGCAGAAGCTGTTCTATCAATACAGCCTCTCCCATTCCCCTGGTAGACCCCTTGGTGACCCCTTTCTCATCCCTGTTAACCTCTAAGGTCATCCTTAGAGTCAACTCCCTAATCCTAGGAGCACACATCTCCCAGAAGCCCCTAACAGCTGCTTTCGTGGCCTCTGAGCCCCGTTTCCTGGGCAATCTCCCCCAGAGCAGCCTTTCCTCAGAGGGCACGCTCCACACCCAAAGCTGCAGCAACCCCTGGATTTTGGGGGGCTTTACTTCCTCACGACCACTCTTTTCCTCTGCTCTTGCAAGTGGGATCCAGTGGCCATGTCCAGTCCCTCTAGCCATCCACAGAGGAGCCTACTACACACGTGACAGCACACAACACCCACTCACACTTTGTAAAGGCACATTGGTGTTATTACTTTCGGATTGTTTCTTGTTCTTCTCCTGGGGAGGAGAGACACAGGAGAGGGAGCCTCTTCATCCTTTCTCTTCACTCTTCCTGACTCCAGGTGGCTCCCACCCTGGTGCCCAGCTCCTGCCATCTTCCTGCACAACCGTGGTGTCCGTGTGGGGCCAACATCATCACCTCCCATTTCCTCCTTCCCCTCACCATGCACCTGCACCTTTGCCCCACTTCACCATGGCCGCATCTGGGGGCCAGTCATCACCCACCCTACCTTCGAAATCCTGAATTCACATATTTCACTTTCTGACCACAGCCATTAACCTTTTCATCTTGTTCATTTTCTCAATCACTTAAACAGGGTCATGGCACCCACTGAGACTTCTATTCCCTTGCCTCTTCATTTCCCCCAGTCCATTTCCGTGCTCATCTGCCTTCTCATCCTTCCTCGTGCAGCCTGGACTTGATGCATGTAGTCCAGTCCCTGCCTTCAGCCCGCTGCCTGTTGACCTTCTGTGGTGCCTCCATACACACCCCCAGCCCTGCATCACCCACTCTCCACTTGCTCTGCCTCGGGGCCTGGGTGCTAAATATTACTGGGAGAAATAGTACAATTATGCATATTTATGTCATGATAATACATGATCTCTGACCTCCCTGGCTCCTTAATGATAGTTGGCCTTGCTGCTTCATGTTCCTGGTTAGCTCTCGCTCTAGAACTCTGTGAGAGTTGCTCTATATCTTTACGAAACTCTGTAAACTCGTCTCCCCTGCTTCTAGCCCTTGACCTAGCCTCATACTTCCCATAGTGCCATCTCTCTTAGCATTCTTTCTGTCTCTAGACTTAACGTGGATGAGACCTTTCCTGCCTTCCTTCCCAACTTCCTACCTTCCAGGCTTCTGTGGAGGAAGAGGCATCTTCACCAAGGTGATGTTCAAGCCGCCTCCAGACCCCATCCCTTCCTGCCTCCGCTAGTATATTTTTCACCAACTCTCCCTGTTCTTTCCTATATCTTCAGTCTCTCCATAGGTGAGGGAAATGATGCTTGAGAGCACTGCAGTCATGCTTACCTGCAATTCTCTCCGGGTGAGTCCGGAGGGTGTCCATGAATTGGGACAAGATGTGTAGCTCTGTCCAAATACGGCCAAGGTGCTGGCTCTCTGGTGCATTCATGAGGAGTTCTTGAAAATCTCGATATACCCTTGCCAAGCTGTAAGGACAAAGCCTCATTAATAAGGAAATAGCTGTTATTTTTATAACAGTAATAATATCTCATGCTATTTTTTTTTTTTATCTCGCTCTGTCACCCAGGCTGGAGTGCAGTGGCGTGATCTCGGCTCACTGCAAGCTCTGCCCCCCGGGTTCACGCTATTCTCCTGCCTCAGCCTCCCGAGTAGCTGGGACTACAGGCGCCCGCCACCACACCCAGCTAATTTTTTATATTTTTAGTAGAGACGGGGCTTCATCGTGTTAGCCAGGATGGTCTCGATCTCCTGACCTCGTGATCCACCCGCCTCAGCCTCCCAAAGTGCTGGGATTACAGGCATGAGCCACCGTGCTTGGCCATCTCATGCTATATTTAAAGATACTATGTGTCTGGCCTAGCTACTACATTGAGTATCCTTACAATACTGCCAAGGCAGGAGAAAGAGATAATTTTACTTCCTTGTACATATAGGCTAACTGACAAGGATGGTGAGCGATCTATTCAGTCTCCCAGTTTTGGCAGGGTCTGCTCGCCTCTCGGTCCCATGCTCTGTGTGTCTCTTGCCCAGAGAAGCCTTAAACAGGGTGACATTGGTGGATATCACTGGAGGGTTTATCCAGTTTTTACCCAATTCTCTGAGACCTGCCCTTCCACCCATTCACGCAGGTAGGCTCTGACAGCCATGCTTCATCCACAAGGACCTCCCTGCACACACACATTGGCACGCATGCACATGCACGCCTCTGCCAAGGCTGATGGGACAGGGAGAATAAAGCTGGGTCAACCCGATTTGTTCCCAGGAATTTGGATGGTGTTCAGAGATGAGCTTCTGATTGCCCAGGCCGAGGTATTGTGAATTGCATGAACAATGGCAGCCCAGGCATTGAGGAGCAGGGGAGACTGGTCCATGGAGAGAGGTGAATGGAGTAGATACAGAGGCCAGGGCTGGCAGGCCCAGATGGAAGAGAGTTGAGGAAGCAGCTCCTGACAGCTCTCCAGGTCTTGGCCTGCCTCTCCTGAGCCCCGCCTTGCTGCCCTTGGCTCTGTGAGAATGTCTAGTATCCAAATCATAGATTTCCTTCTGGGGTTTAAGATTGCTTGAATGGGTTTCCGTGCCTTGCAAGCAAAAGAACCTTGAATAAGCCAATATTTCACTCATAATGTGAGTGCAAAACATGAAACCCAACTTTCCGGGTTCAAATGCCAAGTACAGCTAGAGTCTGGAGCCCCCTTCTCCAACTCCCACCCCTCAGTTTTCCGCAATAACATCTATAGACACTGCCAGGGCCGTTCCCACCAAAGCTCCATGCAGCCTCCACTGAGCTGTCTTCAGGCCTCCCTGATCCCACCATGTGACCCCACACGATCTCTCTGGATGGGCAGGTGTTTCTTAAGCTGAAAGTGCAGTTGTAAACTAAAACTGCAAGGCAGTGCTTGCAGCAATATGAGTCCTGCTAAATGCCACTTCCTTGACTTTGCTAGGAAGACAGATGTTTCCTCTTCTATCATCTGGTAATCCAGGGGTCAGCAAACATAAAAATTACAGGCTTACAGATCATACAGTCTCTATCACAACTACTCAACTCTGCCATTGTAGGGCACATGCAGCCATAGTTTGTTCACAGTGGGGAAGGCCACCTCCAATCATTAGGTTGACCTATCAAACTTTTTTTCTTTTTAGTCTAAAAGCAGGCTTCTCCTGGAAGAATCATACTGAGCTCCCCCAAGGAAAAAACTAAAGTAACCAGGTATCTCAGTTTTCACCTAGCCTGGTGTTTATACAGGTCGGGTAAAGCCTGCTCCCCAACAGGCCTTTGCTGGTGGCCTTCAGGTATGGGCTGCACAAGGTGCTGCTTAAGGTCAGCACAGTGGGTGAGGGATGGCCCTGTCCACACCCTAAGCCTCTGTCTCTAGAATATGCTCCCATGATGTTCTCCCAATGCTCTGAAAGGGAATTCCGAAGGCAGACCCTCTTCCTGTGGGATTCGACTTGAATTTTGACCCTAGACCTGAGGCTACTAACCTGGCATCTACAATTCCCTGAAATCAGATGTACAGTGTAATGTTTGGTATGTGGCCATTTTTCTTGGAAGAGGGGTCATTGGTTTTCATCAGCTTTTCAGAATAGCCTGCAGGCCCACAGTGAAGAGCCACTGCACCCGAGCCATATTCCGAGATCTCACCACTCCAGGGGGCCGATGGCAATTATAACAGAGGATTTGGAAATTGTATTTTTCTCCCAAGAAGTAAACTTGACTTTGTAAACCTGACTTCATTTACCTTCCCAATGCTCCCTGACATTTTTCCTAGCCCTTAGATGTCCAAGAAAGCTTTTAAAGGAAGAGAGATCTGTCCAGGTTGATCAGGGTGAGGGAACTGAGTTTTTCTCCTACAATGATTCACTCCACCCAAGCAGGTCAATGACCAGAAGGCAGTGGACACATCTCTGCAGCGGGCTGCCATCAGACTCCAGGTCACATTCTGGGGATATAAGGACCAAGAAATTTTGTGCACGTGGCCTTAGCTTGGAGATTTCTCCCCAAGTGCCCTGACAGTTAACAGAATGTTCCAGAGAGGAAACCTGCTCTGCTCCTAAGAGGTTAGGGGCTCAGCAAAGCCACAAGAACACTCAGTGCTCCATGCTCCGTGCACGCACGTGTGCATTTCAGCACGTGAAGGGGTGTGCAACTTCCTCCCCTGCATGGTAGGGATCTCAACACTTACATGGAGTTGTTATAGTTTGACACAATTCCAGGAGATTCTCCTGGGGTGGGGCTTTGAAAACAGGGATTGTTCACATTGCAGAAGATCCCCTGGAGCCACGGCAGCATTCCTGCTGAGGGCATCGCCTTGTTGGGGAAATGGCCTTTAAAACAGAAAATGAGGACAAGACGGGATTAGTCATGGAGACCAAGCAGGATGCAGACCTAGGAGTTGGCCTTTTTGGGAAGGGGCCCGGGCCCCTCTGATGTCCTCCTTCATTCTCAGCATTTAAGAAGCAGGAGCATCTCATGTGTGCCAGTCCCTGTGCTGGGTGCTAGAGACATGGCCTCTTCTCTCAAGCTCCCGGTGTAGTGGGGAGACAGACGGATGTTGTAATAGGCATGGGTGGAAATGTGAAGGGGAAGCAAGGGGGGACACGTCATTTTGTGCCGAGAGGGGCATAGGAGTGTTAGTTCAAGAAGACTCCACGCAGTTGCTGCTGCTGCTTGAGCAGACGCTCGTCTATTCCTTCAACCACGGTGAACTGAGCACCTACCCCAAGCATGCAGTAGGGCTGCAGGTTATGGGCTCCTCGGGGAGAGGTAAAGAAGAGTCTGATGGACAGGAGGCTGATTCAGAACTGGGGCCTGAAACTCATGAACGAGAAGGTGAAGATCAAGAATAGAGGACTGGGCAGATTTGCATAACGCTTGAGGCTTCCACATTCACCACATAGAGGGCCGGAAACCAGGTGAAGGCTTTCCCACAGGGGCAGAGTGTAAAAGAGGCTCTCACTAGGTTCCTTTCAGGTCTGCAGACACCTCAGGGGTCCAAGAAATAAAATTTTTCTTCAGTACGATTGTATAGCATCTCTTGTCCTCATTTTTCTCTGGCACCATGTATAACATATTCTCTATATTGATTCCTGAAATATTTTCGAGAACTCATCTACAAATCTGTTCTCTTTAAAACGAGAGAGTTTAGGTATAAAAAAATAAAAACTAGCAACAACAAAGCAAACAAAAATAAGTGCACAGTCCCTTAGTAACTACACACAAGTATTTGCTTAGAATGTGTAGGATTAAAACATGAAAATTTGGGCTGGACAAGGTGGCTCATGCTTGTAATCCCAGTGCTTTAGAACGCTGAGGTGGGAGGATCACTTGAGGCCAGGAGTTCAAGACCAGCCCGGGCAATGTAGTGACTCTGTCTCCACAAAAAACAAAAAAATTAGCTGGGAGCAGTGGCTCATGCCTATAATTCCAGCACTTTGGAAGCCCAGGCAGGAGGATCACTTGAGCCCAAGAGATAGAAGCTGCAGTGTGCCATGGTCCTAACACTGTACTCCAGCCTCGGCAACAGAGTGAGACCCTGTCTCTAAAGACTTTTTAAAAATTATAATTTGTGTAACATTGATAAATCTGTTACATGCATCATAGACATGAAATGATGATAAGCAGATCTGATCCCCACACTCCCACCCCAAGATCTTTCTAGACAAAAGGCCCAGACCAAAGTCTCTTCAGGGCTTGCCCAAGCTACCCTGCTATGCTTACATTCATGATGGCTGTAGAGTGGGTTGGCATTCCTTAACCAGATCAAGACCAGAAATAAAGATAAAGGCCACACGAGTTCCACCACAAAGCGAATCTGGAAAAACAAAACAAAAAGAGAGAAAGTTCAGTGGTGCTAAGAGATTATAGAAAACGTAACCAGAGCAGACACAGCCCTCCTCAGATCCCATGTGTGCAGTAGGACTTTGGTTGTGGTATCTTTACCTAAACAGTTTCCTTCCTTTACCCCCTCCCCACCATACACCCTCTACCTTGTTTTATTATATCAACCAGATTTTGTGTCCATCTGGGTTCCACTCTGCCTCTATTTTAGAAAACTGCATTAGCATGAGACTTTCATAAAGGATCATCAAGATCATCTGCTTCAGTGCATTTTAGCTGTCACTATGCACATGAATGCAGATTTGGGTTCAGTATGGCCCCACCAGAGCTTGCATTTCTAACAAGCTCCCAGGTAATGCTGATCTAACAGGTAGTAAAGATTTCTCTGTAGCCACTCACTCTGCAGTTAAGGAAAGAGGCTCAGAGGAGGCAGGTGACCTGTGCAGTGTCACATCAGCAGTGGCAGCATCAGAACCAAAATCCAGCCTCCTGTTTCTGGGGCCAGTGTCCTTTCTGGCCCTCCCCATTACCTTGCCCTTGCAAATGTGGTCATTTAATGAATCAGTGAATGAATGAGTGAATAAATGACTGTGATCCATTGCAAAGCCAACAAAAATCTGGCCTACCAACATGCTTCCTTCAAGTTTCTATTGCTTAAAGAAACAAAGCAGGGCACACTGCCATGGGTTTTTACATTGGAAGAGGCTGCTGATGTTAACATATGGTTGAAAGTTGGTATTTAAATTTCGGTTCCATTTGGAGCTTAAGGACTCTTGATTCCAAAAGCAGATCCAGTGGCTGTGGCAGTCCACACCCTGTGGCATTGCACATAGGGGTGGGGGTTGGAGATGTGGAATTATGGAGAGGAAGAGGGAGAGGGACATGTGAGTTGGAGAGTAGAATAGGTCTATGCAACCCTTACTCCAGGGACCTTAGGAAGGAAACACATAAGATCTGAAGGAGATCTGAAGCAGCTGGCCGGGGAATAGCAAGTTTAATAGATCAGCTAGGGGCTATTCACATGGTCTTTCATGTAACCCTTTGTTGTTTTCCTCTCAAAGAAATGTAAATAGGCTCTCAGCAAAATAAAAGACACCATAGCAGAGGCTCAATAAATGCTCCTTTCCTGCTAGTAAGAACAAACCATGTTCTGCTTTTTAAAAAACAGCCTACTGGCAACAAGATTATAAGAAACTAAAAAATAAATTGATGGGGGAAAATGATCGTGCATTGAAGAAAGAAAAAGCAAAAACTATTTAGGGACAGGTGGTGATTATGTAGCTGTAACTTTTTACAAGATGTTTTACTCAAAATATATATAGGGAGGATGTGTTGGAGGAAGCGCGCACACACACACACAATATGGGAAGAAAAGAATAGACTCTCCGTGAGGCACTTTTTTTTTTCTTTTTGAGACGGAGTCTCACTCTGTTGCCCAGGCTGGAGTGCAGTGGCACGATCTTGGCTCACTGCAAGCTCTGCCTCCCAGGTTCACGCCACTCTCCTGCCTCAGCCTCCTGAGTAGCTGGGACTGCAGGTGCCCACCACCATGCCCGGCTAATTTTTTTGTATTTTTAGTAGAGACGGGGTTTCACCATGTTAGCCAGGATGGTCTCGATCTCCTGACCTGGTGATCCGCCTGCCTCAGCCTCCCAAAGTGCTGGGATTACAGGCGTGAGCCACCGCGCCTGGCCCTGGACTTCCGCTTCTTAACACACACCGCACTTCAGGTTCATCACTCCTCCAAGTAAGTGAAGCCCTCAAGGGCAGTAAGCTTCCTGAGGACAGGAACCTCATCTGTCGTTGTCACTACTGTGATTCCAGCACCCCACATGGGGCAGAACTCATAATAGGTGCCCAATAAATATCCACGGAATGAGTGAGCCTTTGTCAAGACTGGTCTAGGAGGCTTCTCCAGGAAAGCCTTTGGTGACATGGGGCTCAGGTCACCAACAGTCTGTAGATTTAAGAAACAGCCTCCCCCAGGGTCATGTACATTGGTGTCTTGTCTTCCATTCTGGATCATTCCATCAGTGGGTAAGGCTGGGGAACAAGTTCAGTAAGATAGCAACGTTGAGTGATAGGAGCAATTGATGAAACCTGGAAGTTGTTTCCAGTGTCTTCACCAAAGAAATGAGACATCCAGTTCAAATCCAACACATTTGACTCCTTTAGACGACTGCTTGCAATATTGGCTTTCTATCACGTAGATCGGCTGTCTTCCATGCGGCAACATCTATCTGGGAGAGGTCTGGTACGTTAAACACTGATGCTGATTTGGGAGTTAGTGGGAAGATCTGGGTTAACAACCACTTTGGGGCTTGCTTAACCTCTGAGTCTCAGTTTTGTCCTCTCTGAAATGGGACTGCTCATTTTTCCTACAGTGTACACTCAGGGTTAAGAGAAGGTTACTCTGAGGTCAAGTTACTGGGGTTCCTATCCAGCCTGTTCCATCTTAGCTATGTGACCTTGGGCAGCCCACTCAACTCTTCCGTGCCAAATGGTCTCATCTGTGAAATGGATGTGATACCAGGACCTACCTCCCAGAGCAGTCGTGAGGGTGAAATGAGACAATTGTGTTAAACACGAAAGCACAATATGGCATGAGGTAACACTCAATAAACATGAGCCATTTGTTATTGCCTTACAGGGTTGTCGCAAGATCACAGGGTTGTTGCAAAGGCAGAAGAGTAAGGAGACAGAATTAAGCTTATCTGCAACCTTGTAGGCCTGCCCTCCACTTACGTTCATCTCCCTCCTTTTTGGATTCAGAACTCCCCAGTTGCCAACTTGGAACCATGGTGCTTGCTAAGAAACCAGCCACACACCGTCCCCTGCTCCATATATAAAGAGGGAGGGCTGTGTATCAGGGAGGGGACCAGCCAGCTTGGCCTGCCTGTTCCAGGGGTAAAATTTCCAAACCAAGCTAGTGCATTGTCATCCTCCCTTGCAAGGCTTGTCACGCACTCTCCTGGCATCCACCCACTCCCTCACTCACTCATTCTTGTATTTTTGAAGAATCTGGTCTCCACAAGGCACGGTGACTTAAAGGCCTCCTCTCAGGAGTAGGGGAGGGATCAGCACCTCCTTTCTCCCTTCCTTCTTTGTCTGGCCCTAGGACTGTTCCCACCTCACCTGTGCCCTCTTCTCATCCTTGAATTAGGCTGTTTTTTTTTGCCTATAGTCCCCGCCCCTCAAATCATCACCCCTGTTGATTAGGTCAGCACTTCTCATGTGGCTGCAGGCTGAAAACATGCCGGGGTCTCAGATCATACCCCAGATCAACTACATCAGAATCTTGGGGCATGGGACATCAGGGTTCTTCTTTTTAACACGTCTCAGGTAGTTCCACCGTGCAGCCAAGGTTGAGAACCGCTGCTCTAGGTAATGGTTGGTTGGTAATCTTTGAAAAATATTTGTTGAGAGGTCACTGTTGTTCTAACTCTGTGAGAGTGTGTTTGTTTTTGGCGGGGGGCGGGGGCGGTTGCTGCATTTCACGCGTCACTCCCTGGTCAAAGACCACCAGCCATTCTTTTCCTAGCCTGACAGGTCTGGTTTTCACAATAGCCTCTTCTGCCGGCTTCCAAAATCATGCTCAGCTTCCCCTCCCCAGAGCGGCATCCCTGTCCTTGACGCTTAACTGCGTACAGGCATACCCCAGGGAGAAATTCCACAGTATAATTAAAAACATGTTTTCTCAGCAGCTCAGACTCCCCCTACCCTGCCCTTTACACATGTCTGTAACTTTAATTAAGCCCAGCCAAGGCTCAGAAGGGCTGGTGGAAAATTCTTTTTTCCCAAACTGGTATTTCCTTCTTTTTTTCTTTTTCTTTTCTTTTCTTTTCCCCTTCCCTCCCTCCCTCCTTTCTTTCTTTCTCTTTCTTTCTTTCTTTCTTTCTTTCTTTCTTTCTTTCTTTCTTTCTTTCTTTCTTTCCTTTTCTTTCTTTCTTCTTCTTTCCTTTCTTTCCTTTCTCTCTCTCTTCCTCTCTCTCTCTCTCCCTCTCACCTCCCCTCCTCTCTTTACCATTCAATCAACATGGGGAGGAGGGGTTTCTGGCAAGGGCACAGTTGTGCTTGTTGTTTTAGAACTGAGCCTGTTAAATTTTCTTCCTTCCTGCTCTGTTTTCAATTTAACAGAAGGCAGCCAAGGCCTAAAATGAGCCCCATGATTCTTCCTTCTGCACTGAGAACCAGGACAGAATTCTTAGCCTGGACAAACATGACCCGGAGCCTGGGTACACTGGAGTTGGTGCCCAGCCTCTCTTTACTTGCCACATCCTCGGCTTGATGCTGAACCCAGGACAAAGGCCACAGCTGTCCCAGGTGCTCCAGGGTGTGGTGTCCAAAACATGATTAGCGCCCCACTTTCATGAGTCCTCAGGCCCCCCCACAGATATCCATCCTAACCCAGAAGCTGGGATGAAGGGATGACACCAAGAGACCCACCTAGTGATCTTCATAAACCCTCCCTGACACAGCGCCAGGTCCACAGCCAACACGGGCAGATGTATACTTGTCTTGTGCAGTGGAGAGAGCGCTCGTCATTGGGAATGCACGTTATCAGGATGAACTCCTTGGGAAGTCTTCTCTCACCCTCTCCAGCCCCGGTGCCTCCTCTGAGCTCACAGACCTCCTCCTCACCTCCCATCCGTGTTTCCTTCTACTCCACGGTCTCCACGTTGTGCTGCACAGTAATTATACGTGGGAGCCGCCCCTGCCTGGTTCTGAACTCCATGAAGGCAGTGGCTGTGTCTAGCTTACCTTGGTATAGGGCAAACACACGTCCCAGTTTTCCAGGTCCAGTGTTGGTTTACATTTATTGTCCCAGTGCAATTATTAATAGTGCTCCCTTTCACTTGCAAAACTGCCCTGATTGGATGATAAATTATATGGCCACTCTATCTTAGTGATATCAGTGACCAGACTATTGGATAGATCTCGATCCACGGGGGTCAGTGTGGTGTAACGGCCATGCCTGCCTGTCCTGGGTCACGCAGCATGGGTGTGAATCCCAGGTCCAACCCCACCAGTTACTAATCCTTCTCTGGAGCCTCAGTGACCTCATCAGTACCGGGGGGATCACAGAGAGGCCTCTCTCGTGGAACTGTTCGGAGAGTTCAGGGAGGTGATGCACTTAGTACAGTGCCAGACACTTAGTAACACTTGACAAATGTTAACAGAGGAAGAAAAAAAGAGGGAGGAAAGCAGAGATCTGAAGATTTTCATCTTATGCCCTTAGGGATTGGGAGCTGAGGAATGAGGAAATTTGGTATCTGATTTTACTCTTGCTCTGCTTACAGGAGACATGGAGGTTTGAGGGAAAACCTGGGAGCTGAATTATGGGCTGGGTGGTTGTACTTTTCTTAGAGGGACCATCTTCTAGAGGCAGAAGTTTCCAGAAGAACCGCAAGCTTAGGAAGGAGCCACAGATCCCTCTCAGAGCTACTGAATCTGTTGGGGGTGCCTCTGTCTTACCCAGACATCCTGGAAGCTCCTGGAATGTGGTAGCAGGTGGGGAGCCATCGGGAGGCGTGCCAGACAGAAATCTCAATTTCCAGGCCATCAGGATGGCATCCAGTGAACGCCAGCCCAGACCAGGCCCAGCCCTGGGAGGTGCCCTGGCCAAGGCCCTCAGCCCGAGTGGCTCCATCTCCCTGGGAGCACACTGTGGAGAAGGCAGAGTCCCTGAGCAGGAGTCGCCCACCCATGCCAGCGAAAGGCCAGATTGAGAGGGAGGGCACCAGAGCATTCTGAAAACAGGGTTATTCTCTGTCACAGCGACATGAGCGCCACAGGAATGGGCTCATTTTAGGCCAGCAGCTACAGTCCTGTTATCATGTGACCCCCTTTGAGGGTCACAAAGAGCACAGTGAGAATAAAATGAACTGAGAATTGTAATTTCTTATGGGAAAGAGAGAACAATGGCATATTGGATTTTCCTCCGCAGTCCACAGATGCCTCACATAGGCAGGGGCTGGGAGGTCTTGTTGCCATTGTATACCAATGAACCTAGCACGGTGCCTGGAGATTATTTTTTGATAGAAGGAAAGAATGAATACATGAAAAAATTTAATCATGAGGTTTTTTTTTCCAGTTTTATCAGGATTTTCATGCAAGAAGGGAAGCTCCTAGAAGAAAGGACTGAGTTTCTGATTACTCTTAATACTTGGCCCCTGGAGACAACAGATAACTTCAGCACCAGGCTTGACAGAGGAAAGTGACCTGAGGACAATGGTGCTTCCCAGACAAGTCAGGTTTAACTTGTCTCTTCCCCCTGCAGCCTCCCTGCGTCCTGGGCCAGCCACACACAGGTTTTGGAGCCATCCATGCGCATGGTTGAAGCGTGTCCCATGCTGCTCTCTTTTATGCTGGTTGTTAAGCTATTGTCCCTCGGCCCCACATGCACCAACCTGCCAGGGCTTTCTCCTCAGGGGTCCAGACCCGAGGTCAGGTTCAGAGATCCAGCAGCAGCCTCCATGCACGCCTTCCTCCCAAGTCCTAATGTCAGCTCCACAGACCTCTCATCTATGCTCCAAGTCTTAATAATTCCTGTCTCTTCCCTTGGTTCTCTCAGCCCTAGGGGTGGGAGCTGTGTCCTGCAATTGCTACCTCCATGATACCTTAGAGTTTCCTTTTACTCTCTCAGGTACCAGCTCTGTACTTAGCTAACACCTTTTCATATTAAACTCTAAGGAGACCCTAACTGAGACACTCATTCATAGGCCTTCACCTGTTCCAGTTGGCCCCATCACCTACATGAACTTATTCTGAACCGAGATTTGGAACAAATACTGTTCTCTTCTCGCCTAAAGCAGGTCTCCCTCCCTTTCCTCCTGATCTCTCCAGTGGCTTGCAGCTCCCAGGGTCCTAATCTCACCCCTACCCAGCCCCCATCCCTTATCCCCTCCTTCCTCTTTCAGCTCCTTTAGTCATCGGCATTTGCACAACTCTGCAAGGCTGTAGCAAAGTGCATTCTTTCTTTACAGTTCTATAGTCACTCCTTATCCTTTCCCAGAAAAAATTGCACAAAGCCAGTTGTCATTTACAAGTACAGTCTTGGTGTTCTCTGATCTCCGGCACCTTTTGCTCGCACTTCTCATGGACTATTCCACCTATGCTACTTTATGTTGCTCTTGGTCTCCAAACGTACTTTGGGTTTTCCCAGGCAGAACAGAAGCCAGTCCAGGGTGGAATCTGTGTCGTGCTTTTAGGGCTCCAGTCTAACCCAGGCTGGTGTCTGCTCATTGAAAGAGTTCAGGAAATGTGCGTGATGGTTAATAACGTATTGCATCTCACAGAATCTAGGACGCAGTCAATTGTAAGACACACTGTTACTTTTCTGCACCACTAAGAAAGAAAAATAATGTGTCCAGTTAAACTGTGACTTGATCGTGAGCTGCATCCCAATTTCAGAAATGCTAACATGTGAAAAAACAATGTGCCTCAGAGAATCAATGAAATAAGGCCTCACTAAGCTGGGAAGCTGTTCGAGGGGGTTCTTGCTTGCCTTTGGCCTGCTCTTCAGGGCTTAAAGTTCTTCCCACTGCTCAGCGTGGATGCCCTAGAGAGCGGTAGACTGGACAGGCAGGTGTAAAACGGGGGGTGGGGGAGGGGCGGGCAGGCAATGGATTGACAGGCACGGTAGGCAAAAGATTTTCATGTGGCTGAGGACAGAGAAACACATCTTCCTGGGAAGGGCACTGTCAGAGGGGCCCACAGAAAGGCCGTCCAGCTAAACACTGCTTCAGTGCTAATCGGCGACAAGCCCACTGACTGCTCACAACCCCCCACCCTGCCCCACCACCCTACCCCACCACCCCACCCCACACTTCCAACCTGTTTATTTGCTCCACACCTCATTTTTAAACCACAGACAGTAACTGTTACCTTTTGCCTTTTCCGCAGGGTCCAGTTCTTCCAGAGCAAAAGCTGTATCTGTCTCACGAAGCCCATGCTAATGACCACACGAAGACCAGATTGGTCAGAGCTGAGGCCCCTCAGACAGCAAAGGACATAAACGCCGTTAAGAGCGCCTCTGGCTCCGGACGCTGTGTCCTTCTCCTGGTGATTAAAGGCTACTTTTCCCCTTCAAAGCATAATCCCTTTTAATTACACATAAGCCCTTAGTTGGGGAGAGGAGGCCGACACTGTGTTGGCTCCCTTTTATGGAGAGAAAGAGAACCCTAAAGACACAAGTGGCTGGGCACCAGGGAAATTGAGGTGGGGGATGCAATGGGAAACCAAGACCCTCAGGCACTCTCCTCCATGAGAGGGGTTCCTGAGGGGGATGTCTTTAGGTATCTTTGACCTTAAGTTTGGAACAAAATCTCTTTGCATAAATATAGGCTGGGCATTTGTCCTCGGCAAGAGCCTGCCATGAGCCGGCAGTCAGGGTTTGACTGGCCCTTTAAGTCCAATCGACTCACTCGGCAGATCTGAAGTGATCCCTCCCTCTTTTAGTCTTTTATCTTGCTCCGTAATGACTGAAGTCATTATGGTCAGCTAGTTGGGTTATCTCTGAGCTTAGCAGAGGGTAATGATGTTTATCTCTTGTGCTGAAATTGATCGACTAGTAGTGGCTGCTTGGTGCTGTGATGGAAAAGGCACTGGAACACTCCAGGCCCAGCAGGACAGAGCCGTGACTGACTTGCAATGTCTGACTGGGGTGCGGGTATGAGGAGAGGCAGCAGGTGGGCCCATTACTGTCATTCCAGCCCTGCAATGGGGTGGTGCTGGGTTGACTCATCACCAGGTGGGGGATCTGTGATCCCAAGGGACACCCCAAACAGAAGCCTCCCTGGCACTTCGCAGTGGAACTTTTTGTCTCTGCCTCCTCAAATCTCAGAATGTGTTCTCTTTGAAAGACTCTAGACCCTTGAGACCTGGATGGGGCGGAGGGAGAACCACAGAGAGGAATGGATGCTGACTTCATAGAGTTTGCGGTCTGGTTGTAAACACGGGACTTGAACTCGAATAACTCAAGGAGTGTGATGAGGGCCCATAGGCTGTGCATGGTGGAGCTTCCAAGAAGAGAGAGATAGTTTCTGCTTATGATGGCAAAAAGGCTCCTTGGAGGTGATGGCATTTAAGACAAGCTTGCAGAATTACAAAATAATATTTTATAGTAAGTTTATTATTTATAAACTGCTTTTGCATATGTTATTTCATTTTAGCCTCACTACAATTTTGTGAGGTCCATATTTGCTGTTTTACAGATGAGGAACGTGAAGCTTAGTGAGATTAAGTACTTTGCTCACGGTCCCACATGGCAACGGTGGGTACTTGAACAAGTGAGTCATTTAAACTCTGCAAAGACAGGGAGGAATAGCTTATCTTGCCCAGGAAAACCACAAGTGAAACATGGCTGGAGTGAAGGCTATGAGGCTATGAATGGAGGATGCTGGAAAAGGAGACAGGAACCAGACTGAAAAATTGATGATGATGATGATGATGATGATGATGATGATGATGATGACTGATTCAACTGAGATTTACTGAGCACCTGTGAAGTGACTGGAGTGGCCCACAAGTGCAGGCTACCCCCAAGCAAGCTCTGGCAGAATCATTAAGACCTTGTTACATGCTAAAGGATATGGGTTTTATCATGCTGAAGATGATGAAAGATTTTAATCCAGTGGCTGCCAAGAGTAGTCAGTTCACCTCGGCAGCAATGTGGGGGTGGTTTGGGGGGAGCCAGAGAGCCTGAACCATGCAGTGACAGCCATGATGGAGAGAAGGGGAGGGACTGGAGGGATAGGAAGGAATGAGACACAGCAGTGCCTGATGAGTTACTGGAAGAGGGTGGTGAGGAAGAGGCAGAAGTCAGCTAGATGGAGTTTGGGGCTTGACTGGCTGGCTAGTGAGACGGTGGTGCTCATAACTGAGGAGGGAATGCCAGAGGAAGGCCAGTGGGGAGTAGGAGGCAGTTGGGGGGAACAGGGGTTTGCATTTGATATACTGAAGCTGAAGTTCTATGACATCTGACCACACGTATTCAGCAGGCAGTTGAATACTTGGGTCTGGAGTCAAGAATAAGCTTGTGAGATGGAGACATAGATTTGTGAGTGGTCAACATATAGGTGGAAGATTAAGTCCCGGGAGTGATTAAACAGGTGACCCAGGAAAGAGAAGCTTGGAGAGTATATGAGGTTGCTGAAGGGGAGCCACAGCTGGTGAAGGAATATGCCTCCTTCCAATTCCCAAAGACATCAGCTATATAAGTAATGTTCTGTCATAGTTTCAAAATGGTCCATTCTTCCTTGAGCTAGAAAGTTAAACTATGAGCACTTTGTTAATATTCAATTGATGATGCTCTAATAGTATTATTCGCATCTAACCAGTTTCCTTGCCTGAACAAATCTGTTTGTTGAGATTGACACACACATGAAATAAAATGTATCATTTGAACCTTATTTTAAGTGTACAGTTGAGTAGTGTTGATACATTCATATTGTGCAGCCATCAGCACCATCCATCTTCAGAACTTTTTCATTTTGCAAAACTGAAACTCTGTATCCATTAAACACTAACTCCCCAGAGTTCCCTCCCCCTAGCCCCTGCCAACCACTCTATTTTCTGTCTCAATGAACTTGACTACTCTTGGTACCCCATCTAAGTGGAATCATAGAAAAGCATAATCTTTAAAGTTCATCTATGTTGTAGCAAGCCATCTTAATCTGTTTGAGCTGCTATAACAAAATACCATAAACTGGGTGGTTTATAAACAACAGGAACTTATTTCTCACAGCTTTGCAGGCTGGGAAGTCCAAGATCAAGGTGCCAATAGATTTGGTGTCTGGTGAGGGCCTATTTCCTGACATGTAGATGGTAACTTCTTGGTGTGACCTCATCCAGTGGAAGGGAAAAGGGGTCTCTCTTGGGCTTCTTTTTATGAGGGCACTAGTCCCATTCACGAGGGTTGTACCCTCATGACCTAATCACCTCCACAAAGCCTCACCTCCTAATACCATCACCTTGGGGGTTAGGATTTCAATTTATGAATTTTAGAGGAACACATAATTTAGACCATAGCAGATGTGTCAGAATTTCTTTTTTTGTTTTTTTTGTTTTTTTTTTTTTTGAGATGCAGTTTCACTCTTGTTGCCCAGGCTGGAGTGTGATGGTGCAATCTCAGCTCATTGCAACCTCTGCTTCCTGTTCAAGCGATTCTCCTGCCTCAGCCTACTGAGTACCTGGGATTACAGGCAGGCGCCACCATGCTTGGCTAATTTTTTTTTTTGTATTTTAAGTAGATATGAGGTTTCTCCATGTTGGTCAGGCTGGTCTCAAACTCCCAACCTCAGGTGATCTGCCTGCCTTGGCCTCCCAAAGTGCTGGTATTACAGGTGTGAGCCACCGTGCCCGGCCAGAATTTCTTTCCTTTTTAAGGTCAATTAATATCCTATTGTCAGTATAGACCTCATTTTGTTTATCCATTCGTCCATCCAGGGTCATTCGGGTTGTTTCCACCTTTTGGCTATTGTGAGTAATGCTGCTATGAACATAGGTGTACAAATATTTGAGATTCTGCTTTCAATTCTTTGGGGTATATACCTAGGAGTGAAACTGCTGAATCAAATGGTATAACTGTTTATTTTTTGAAGAACTACCATACTATTTCCCTTAGCAGCTGCACCATTGTACTTTCCAATCAGCAGTGCACAATGGTTCCAGCTTTTCCACATCCTGGCCAACACTTGTTATGCTCTGTTTTTCTTCTTATCACCACCATCCTAAAGGGTGTGAGATGGTATTTCACTGTGGTTTTGATTTGCATGTCCCTAATGATTAATGATGTTAAGGACATTTAACTCTTTTTTACTCTTTCAATATTATAGATATTTGGTAGGATTTTTCTCCCAAGGTAACTCCAGTTGTTTAAAAATTATGTCAAACTAAAAGCTGTGTTTAGTTTTTTCATATATTTCTGAGGATATACCTAGTGAGTCAAAAATGATACTGATAACTGTACATTTCATTCTCATAGTTATCACCATTAATACACATTGATCAGGGTGAATATGAAATTGATGTGGTCCTGGCAGTAGTTTTGAGCTACGACCCTGCACATAGATTAAGAGTTGTGGTGTTAAGCGATAGACCATATCAATTCACATTTACATTCAGAATTATAAACAAGTCAAGGAAAATGGTGAAGTTTTAAAGATCTTCTCACTTCTATTCCTGAGGGTTGAACTAGGAAGAGGCATTCTGCTACTTACATCAGTTATTCTGCAAACAAAAATTCAGTAGTGGAGAGAAGTAATTTATAACTTTTTACAGTTTCTATTTGGAAGAAAAGCTATGGAAAAATATATAGACTAAATTACTTTGAAATTACTGTAATTTTGGAGTGGAGATAAATTTGATAATGAAACCAATACCAAAAGATCACCATCAATTCACTTGCAACAAGCTGAAGAAAATAGAATGTCCCCAAATATATCATTAGACATATGTTTATTTCAAACAGTGATTACAGGTGGAATGAGAAGACATTATGAATCTATGTCACAAGCATAAAGGCAGTTTTGGGACATCATAATGTAAGATGAAAAATATCTGATTTTTAAATTTGATTTTATTTCTACCAAACTCAAAACTAAATCATTGTACAATTAAAACTTGAAACTCCAGTCATCATGAATAACATGTTTCCTCAGCTTACGCAATAATATTTCATGAGATGATAGTGCAAAAAATAAATAAATAAGGCTCAGTTTATGAAAGTTACACATAGAAAAAACTCCAAGGCTGAGTGGAAGCTGCCAGCAGGTTGACTGCCTGGCTCACAAAGATTTGCTCTTTTCTAGGAGTGACTCCAACACCAAGGGAAGAGTCTGCAGTAGGCTTGTTAATGCCAAAGTGGACTGGTCATGTGCAGTCACATGATCTTAGCTGGGCCAGTCAGGGCCTATTCACAGAAATTTGGGGCATGGATCTGTGAGAAGCATGGGTTAATCATTACAGAAGTACAGAAGTGTTGAGAAATTAGAGGCCATGCTGGGTCACTAGGTTCAGTTTGTGTACGTAGGGGCCTAAGCAAAGACTGGGGACTGGATTTCACTTGTTTTTGCTAAACAAGCCCGGGACCCTGGTATAGGGCTGCATCCTATCAAAGGAGGTACCTTTTTCCTTTCACAAAGGCGTCTTCTGCTCACCAAACTATACAACCACGAGGCTGCATCCACCCAGAGGAGCACCTTTTCTAATTTGCATAAAAATGCCATATAGGCTAGCAGAGGACCTGAGGCTGTGTTCCCCACCACTAGGAGAAATCTGATCTGCAGTAACAGAGAATGAAGGGAATGCACAGAGAGGCCGAGGTAGAGAGCATAGGTCCCAGTTGTAGCTGAGTCCCTGGTTCCAGCTGTCCCTGGGAGACAGCTGTTCCCTCCTCTTCAGGCAGATTAGCAGTAAGACACTCCAATCCTTTCAATAAAACCTCCTTTTGCCTAAATTAGTTCAAATTTGGCTTCCATAGTATATGAATAAAATTCCTGGGTAGGTCCATGATTGCAATAATAATATAAGTATTATAAATACTAACATAATCCAATGGAGTTGCAGCAGAATTTAAAGAAGAGAGGTACTGTCATGAGTATCTTCAAGAAAGTAAAAGAAATCCAAAATACCCAATATCAGCAATTCCTGCATCTCTTAAGAAAAGGCTTACAAGTTTTCAAAACTTGCTAAGCAGTGTCAAGCCAAGTAGGAAGATGTGTGGCAAGTTCAAAATACATCAACCATTGCACATTACTAGCTGGAACGGAAGTGCTTTCATAGGTTACAAAAACATTAAAATGATATCATCTGATTCTCCAAATCCTTTCATGGCCAATGAATCAAGTGAAATATTTGTTTCCAATTCTGAATCGACTTTTGTTTAAAATTTATTTATTGTTCACTCAGCATTACCAGAATTCTTTCTAAAGCGCCTCAAAGTGGAACTGTAAAAATATTTTTCCTTTGTTTTAAAAAATAGAAGCAATATCACATAGTTTACCATCAGAGAGAAGTGATGGATATTTCAAAACCATTTGGCACAGAGAAGAGGAATTTTTCCAGAAAAAATATCTCCAAAATTCCCATATTTTAAAATATCTTTGGAGGAGAAAAAACTTAAAATTGTAAGATTTGGGGTAAGGCATTTCCCCCTACCTCCTCAAGACAGAATAAGATTAATATCTAACTGTAGCTTACTAACTATATCAGTAAATTTAAATTCATACTTTTTTTCTGATAATTATACCAAAATGAAAATAATTTCTGAATTATTGAATAACAAAACACTTAAAAAAACTTTACAAACTTGATGCAAATGTAATTCCAGAACTTTACTTTTACCTAAAATGCCTATAGCTCAATTTTACTTATTAATCAATCTTGACTGTTCTCATACTTGACATGGTCTTATTAGTAAGCCATGTGGCTTGGAGCTATTGCATATTGCTTTGATTTGGCTGGTCATTGTAGCAAGAATGGCATGCCCAATTTTCTACCTTTCATTGCTAGGAAAATTTACACAGCAAAAGAGGTCCCCTCATCTCTAATTATTGTGGAGCAGAAATTAATGACCAAACTAATAGAACTAAAGGACTCAGTGGTATTGTGGAATCATTGGGCCCATCAGCTGAGAAATAAATTTTATTTTACTAATTGAATTTCCCCTATAAAAATCTTGCACTCCAGCTGGTACTAATTTCACTTTGCCTGTAATAATTTTGGACCTCAGGTTGTTGTTACTATTGGATTGACATGTAGATATTGAAGTTTAGCTTATGAAAATAGTACTATTTGCAAAAACAATACTCACTTGAACATTTTCATGAGTTTTTCTTGGGAATGAGAAGAGAGTTACTGCTTTTATGTCTAAACAATCTTTGTCCATCACCTCCTCCAAATATTCCAGAGTTCCTCCAAATATTCCAAATATTCCAGGGGACTATGTAGGGGGAAAGGTCTAAGATGGAAATCTAGGGAACTGATTATTTAAAAGGCAGGTACACAAGTGTTCATCACAACATCCCTTCTAACAGCAAAACTTGGAAATATCTGTCACAGAAGAATGGATAAATGAATTATGGTATATTCTCTCAGCCAAATCTCTCACTGCAGTGAGCATGAATAAACCACATCTACAAAAATACAATTTTCCCATACATAATGCTGAGCAAAAGAAGCCTGGCAGAGCATTCATAGCCTACATTTACAAAGTTCAAGCACAGAAAAAACTCATCTCTAATGCTTGAAGTCAAGATGGTAGTTACTCTTCGGGGGATCTGGTGGCTGGAAGGGGCACAAGACCATTTCTAAGCGTGCTGGAAACACATCATCTTTTGATCTCAGTGCTAGTTACGTGGAGTGTTCTGTCTGTGAAAATGATCAACCTGTGAACTTACGATTTGTGCACTTCTCTGTATGTATACTTCAATCATAGTCTGTTATTTATTTATTTATTTTTAAACAGGTGAAGGAAGAGAACCCAGTGAGGGAGGCTGAGCAGGATGAGCTAGAGATGATGGAGAAAAGTCTGGAAAGAGGGGTGCCCTGGGAGCCACAGAAAGAGGATGTTTCAGGAGGAAGGATCAGTCTGCAGTACTAAATGGCTCAAGAAAGGCCTAGAAGGATAAAGACTGAAAGCTGCCCATTGGATTTGACAACTGACCTCTGAAAGAACAGTTTTAATGGGAGGCAGAAACAAGACAGCAGAGGGTTGAAGAGCAAGACCCTGGAGATGGGAGCTACTCTTTCCAGTGGCCACAGCAGCTGCAGGGAACGAGAACACTGGGTCCAGGAGGTCTTTTCCCTGAAGACAGGAGAGATTGAACCACGTTAATGTGTGGGAGACAGCTGGTTGAGAGAGAGATGCTAAAGTTACTGGGGGATGGTTGATGGGGTTCCCGAGGAAGTGGAGGAGGTGGGATTAGCCCTGGGCAGGGGAAGGGGCTCCTTGCATTCCACAGACACTGCAGGAAAGGAGGCCAGGAAGTAAGTACGATTCACTGAGGGAGTGGAGGCTGAGAGTTGAGGGAGCTCATCCTCATGACTTCTAACTTAAATTTGCATAGGAGGTCAATAAGGAGATTAAGTCAGATAATGAGAAATCTTATGTGCAGATTCATTGCCTCATCTTAACTTTGCTCTCCTTTGATCATTTCTAAAGCAAAGTGCAGTTTAGTCAGTCATCTAAAATGGAAAAAAAACTTATAGACAGTGTGTAGAAATCTTAGGGGGACAAATTATTCACAGACAACTCCCCCTCCCTTCTCACCCAGACACATACACTCACCATTATATCCATTTTATTAATTGGCAAACGACAGATAAAGAGTATTGTTATTCAGTTCAGCTTGACAGTTTAACCCAATAATTAGCACCAATAACAATGCTTTCTGGAAATTGTTTTCCCAGGTACGGTTTCTTCTGGCCTAGGACAGCTAAATCCGTTCAGAGGTCTCTTGGCCCCAGGAAAAGCAAGGTCGAGTTTGTGTCCTGCAGTGGAACCAACTTTCTTCTCAATCTTCAGCTGCTTTGGGGCTTCTGCTGGCACCCCAAGCTCTGCTGAAGGCAGATCAGTTTGGGGTGACTACACATATGGAAACTAAAGATCGGGGAATGTATTCATATAAACTACCTGGCCAGGCACCTTTGGGAAGTCTTCGTGGAGTCCAGGGAGGCACGGGGGTAGGGTGGAGTCCATATACCCCAGAGCGATGGGCTCTGCTTTAGCAGAATAAAGCTAAATCGGGCCGGGAGCGGTGGCTCATGCCTGTAATCCCAGCACTTTGGGAGGCCGAGGCGGGCAGATCATGAGGTCAGGAGATCGAGACCATCCTGGCTAACATGGTGAAACCCCGTCTCTACTAAAAATACAAAAAAAATTAGCCGGGCGTGGTGGCAGGCTCCTGTAGTCCCAGCTACTTGGGAGGCTGAGGCAGGAGAATGGCGGGAACCCAAGAGGCGGAGCTTGCAGTGAGCTGAGATTGAGCCACTGCACTCCAGCCTGGATGTCAGAGCGAGACTGTCTCAAAAAAAAAAAAAAAAAAAAAAAGCTAAATCAAGTTGTTATCAAAAATGAGAGGCAGGTTGTTATTCCAAACACATTTAATACACTCACTTCCAAAGCTGTTTAGAGTTTTGCCGATTTGACACCCAGAAAACCCACGGGAGTCCAGAGATTTTACATTTTCTGGGCATTAAGTGCAAAGTACTTGCCAGATAACAGAGTTTTAGGGGGTTGCCAAGGAGTGTTGCATAGCAGACCGTGAGACTGGGCTGTTATCACATGAGCCGCAGTGAAGTGCCGGCTGAGTACAGAGTAGGGTAACACCTGAGAAGCTTCATTATCAGGGCCAGATCTGTCACTCTGAGTCTCAGGGCATCCTGAGCTCAGCTGTGGTTGTGTATCGAGAGTTGGACATTCCAAAAGGCTATGGCCAGAAGCAAGCAACCCAACCCAATGACAAACTTAAAAAACAAAGGGAGGCCTGGTGTGGTGGCTCACACCTGTAATCCCAGCACTTTGGGAGGCCGAGGTGGGTGGATCATGAGGTCAGGAGATCGAGACCATCCTGGCTAACACACAGTGAAACCCCGTCTCTACTAAAAATACAAAAAATTAGCCGGGCATGGTGGCGGGCACCTGTAGTCCCAGCTACTCAGGAGGCTGAGGCAGGAGAATGGTGAACCCGGGAGGCGGAGCTTGCAGTGAGCTGAGATTGAGCCACTGCACTCCAGCCTGGGCGACAAGCGAGACTCTGTCTCAAAACAACAACAACAACAACAACAACAACAACAACACATAGGGAAAGAGACGTTCTAATGCCAATAATAATTTTTTAGAATTAGGGACCCAGATTAACTCAGCACATGCCTTTGTAGTGATGCATTTACTATGAATAAGATGAATGATAGTAACTTGAGTGACTGTATGGAAGTGTGTGCTTCCTTACACTGCCTTCCTTTGAAGGAAGACTTGGCCCCTGCCCGCAGGAATCTGTGATCAGGAGGCTGGGAAGTGAAATCTCCACAGACCTGGAACTTGCATGTGCCTGAATAACTTTCAATAACAGGTACAGAGCTTGCCTCCTGGTACAATCTTGCAACAAACAAATTATCAGGAGAAGCACTTTTCCAATTTATCCACTAAACGGCAAAACCAAACAATGACCGAACATGACGTTGGTTTTTCAGTTACTGTTTGACCTGGAGCGTGGAGAAAACAGAAGGAAAATGGAAACTACTTAGGCAGCATTTTGTGAGGAGGTGGAAGCAGCGTGGGAAAATATTTCACATGGCTCTTGCCTACTCAGCCTGACAAAGAAAGCTGTGGTTTGTTGTCAGATTCCTTCAACTAAATGTGTCAAAGGGAGAGAAACCTCTCTTGAGTGAGAGACCTCTCTCTTCAAACAGATGCACATCGCCTCCCTCCTCCCTGGCTCACACCATCCCCAGTCCTCTGTGTCCTCCTCTCTTCACACATGTTGGAGCTGGGAAGGAGAACGGAGAAGTGGTCCATATCCTTAGCTCTGCCTCATGTGTCAGCCTTCATTCCTGCCATCTCGTTTCCGGCTCCACCCCAGTGGGATGCCGCAGGGTCATTTTAATAATCACAAGGATAGCCATGGAAGCAACAGGGCCCCAGTGGACCCAGCAATCATCCTAGGATCCCCCATGAATGGTGTGCAAGTGGCTCTGTCCCTGCAGGCGACGCAAAAACTTTGATCCTCTTTATTCTTTTATGAAAGTAGATTATTTTTAAAGTGCTGATCCTCGATATCACTTCATTGATAAAGATTCGAGTGTGAGTATTGTGATATTGTGGAATACCACGGTCTTTGGAACCAGACAAAACTGGGTTGCGATCTCATATTTGCCACTTAGCTATGTGACCTTAGAGAGGTTTAAAAGTCTGGAAGCTGCTATTAAAATGATGACAGAAAACGTCTGCATTAAACCAGGAGCACCTCAAGTAAACACATGAAGGGCCTTTTTTCTTCATCAGTGATGCGTCTTTATCTTTCTTTCGACTGCTGTTTAAGCTGCTAGATTAGATTCAGGGAAAGTTTAGACATGGCCATAGAAGTCCCATAACATAGAAGGCTATATTGCTTTTCTAGAGGTCACATCAGGTCAACACTGGTTTCCCAACAATGCCTGGAGAGGCTGTCTTAAGCAAAAGCGCTGTCATCAAAGACAAAACAAACCTTTCTGTAAAATGGTTATAACTGGCTTTCAACCTTTGGCAGCCAAGTTGCAGCTAGGGAATGGCAGACCCTTGGGCCTGAGCTGAGGAGCTAATCCCAGCAAGGCTGTTACAAATCTTTTCCAGAGCACTTAGGCTTTCCCTCTGAAAGATGTTGGATCAAGACTTTTCGGAAATTCTCACTTTTTAGAGTAGAGACTCGTGCCCCGTATAGAAGATGCAGCCATGGTTTGTATCCTGTAAGTGATACGGGATGAAAAACTGTATTTCTTAGGGTAGGAATAAAACAACCCTTCGGGGCCATCTCTACTAAAAATACAAAAATTAGCCAGGCATGGTGGCATATGCCTGTAATCCCAGCTACTGGGGAGGCTGAGGCGGCAGAGTTGCTTGAGCCTGGGAGACGGAGATTGCAGTGAGCCAAGATCGTGCCACTGCACTCCAGCCTGGCCAACAGAGTGAGACTCTGTCTCAAATAAATAAATAAATAAATAAACAAATAAACAAATAAAAATAAAACAACTCTTTGGCTCCCATTGCCTTCCTTATGGGGTTGGTGCATTCAACCAGAGTAGGGGTGGGGGCGCAGGGTAAGCTTTGGGGAGAATGTCAACAGACCTCTTTATTTATGACTATTATTACTGTTGTTGAAGACATAATGAGATCAATAGAGATCAATCAGAGATAGCCTTGACAAACGCCTCTGAGATAAGCCTTTGTTTTCAAACACAGCAGGCTTTTGTCAGTGCTTCCTAGAATCATTTGTCTTCCACTTTTACTATGTTCGCCATATCCATGGAACACCTGTACTTTATTATATTTAATTGATTTTCAATTGACTCACTTAAAAAAAAATAGAGTCTTACTATGTTGCCCAGGCTGGTCTTGAACTCCTGGGCTCAGGCAATCCTTCTGCCTTGGCCTTCCGAAGTGCTGGGATTACAGATGTGAGCCACTGCAAGTGGCTTAGCTCACTTTTTTTTTTTTTTTTTTGAGATGGAATTTCACTCTTGTTGCCCAGACTGGAGTGCAATGGCACAATCTCGGCTCACCGCAACCTCTGCCTCCTGGGTTCAAACAATTCTCCTGCCTCAGCCTCCCGAGTAGCTGGGATTACAGGCATGCACCACCACACCCGGCTAATTTTGCATTTTTAGTAGAGATGGGGTTTCTCCATGTTGGTCAGGCTGGTCTCGAACTACCGACCTCAGGTGATCCGCCCACCTTGGTCTCCCAAAGTGCTGGGATTACAGGCATTAGCCACTGTGCCCAGGCTTGACTCACTTTTTATACTTAGCTGAACCCTAAACAATAATCTGGGAAATCACAGGTTTACTAAACTTCTAGAAAGAGTACAGAGCTATTAAAATACATTTCACATGTACATTTTAAAATCATCTTGTGCAGCACCAATAGGCAGGCCATACTTTAAAAGACACTTCTTTAGATGATCAACTATATAATGAAAAGACTATTACAGACAGGACATTAAAGGTTATTTTTCTTTTCCTATACTACTTACCAAAATTTCCCCCAATCCCTTTCTGGTTGAAGAAACTCTTAATCAAGCCCTTCCTTTCTATGGTATCCAAAAATACTTTCATATGTACCATCTCACTTGATTCTCACAATTACCTATAAGGTGGCCTAGAAAACATTATGCCCCCCCAGCTCTGGAGAGATTAAGGCTCAGAATTTACTTACCCAAAGACATGTAGCTAGTCAGTAACAGGGTAGGTCAACTTGTCACAGATACTGGACTTCTGTTCCAATTAGAGATAGCATGGCTTCCATTCTCTTTAAGATTTTGGGCTGGACTAGGGTGGAGCCAAGATGGCCGAATAGGAACAGCTCATCTACAGCTCCCAGCGTGAGCGACGCAGAAGACGGGTGATTTCTGCATTTCCAACTGAGGCACTGGGTTCATCTCACTGGGGAATGTCGGACAGTGGGTGCAGGACAGTGGGTGCAGCGCACCAAGCATGAGCTGAAGCAGGGTGAGGCATCGCCTCACCCGGGAAGCACAAGGGGTCAGGGAATTCCCTTTCCTAGTCAAAGAAAGGGGTGACAGATGGCACCTGGAAAATCGGGTCACTCCCACCCTAATACTGCGCTCTCCCAAAGGTCTTAGCAAACGGCACACCAGGAGATTATATCCTGCGCCTGGCTCAGAGGGTCCTACGTCCATGGAGCCTTGCTCATTGCTAGCACAACAGTCTGAGATCAAACTGCAAGGTGGCAGTGAGGCTGGAGGAGGGGCGCCCGCCATTGCCCAAGCTTAAGTAGGTAAACAAAGTGGCCAGGAAGCTCCAACTGGGTGGAGCCCACTGCAGCTCAAGGAGGCCTGCCTGTCTCTGTAGACTCTACCTCTGGGGGCAGGGCATAGCCGAACAAAAGGCAGCAGAAACCTCTGCAGACTTAAATGTCCCTGTCTGACAGCTTTGAAGAGAGTAGTGGTTCTCTCAGCACTCAACTGGAGATCTGAGAATGGACAGACTGCCTCCTCAAGTGGGACCCTGACCCCCGAGTAGCCTAACTGGGAGGCACCCCCCAGTAGGGGCAGACTGACACCTCACATGACTGAGTACTCCTCTGAGACAAAACTTCCAGAGGAACAATCAGGCAGCAGTATTTGTGGTTCACCAAGATCCGCTGTTCTGCAGCCTCTGCTGCTCATACCCAGGCAAACAGAGTCTGGAGTGGACCTCCAGCAAACTCCAACAGACCTGCAGCTGAGGGTCCTGACTGTTAGAAGGAAAACTAACAAACAGAAAGGACATCCACACCAAAACCCCATCTGTTTGTCACCATCATCAAAGACCAAAGGTAGACACAACCACAAAGATGGGGAAAAAACAGAGCAGAAAAACTGGAAACTCTAAAAATCAGAGCCCCTCTCCTCCTCCAAAGGAATGCAGCTCCTCACCAGCAATGACACAAAGCTGGACGGAGAATAACTTTGACGAACTGAGAGAAGAAGGCTTCAGACGATCAAACTACTCCGAGCTAAAGGAGGAAGTTCGAACCCATGACAAAGAAGTTAAAAACCTTGAAAAAAAATTAGTTGAATGGCTAACTAGAATAACCAATGCTGAGAAGTCCTTAAAGGACCTGATGGAGCTGAAAGCCACTGCATGAGAACTACGTGATGAATGCACAAGCCTCAGTAGCTGATTTGATCAACTGGAAGAAAGGGTATCAGTGATGGAAGATCAAATGAATGAAATGAAGCGAGAAGAGAAGTTTAGAGAAAAAAGAATAAAAAGAAATGAACAAAGCCTCCAAGAAATATGGGACTATGTGAAAAGACCAAATCTACGTCTGATTGGTGTACCTGAAAGTGACGGGAGAATGGAACCAAGTTGGAAAACACTGCAGGATATTATCCAGGAGAACTTCCCCAATCTAGCAAGGCAGGCCAACATTCAAATTCAGGAAATACAGAGAACGCCACAAAGATACTCCTAGAGAAGAGCAACTCCAAGACACATAATTGTCAGATTCACCAAAGTTGAAATGAAGGAAAAATGTTAAGGGCAGCCAGAAAGAAAGGTCAGGTTACGCACAAAGGGAAGCCCATCAGACTAACAGCTGATCTCTCAGCAGAAACTCTATAAGCCTGAAGAGAGTGGGGGCCAATATTCAACATTCCTAAAGAAAAGAATTTTCAACCCAGAATTTCCTATCCAGCCAAACTAAGCTTCATAAGTGAAGGAGAAATAAAATACTTTACAGACAAGCAAATGCTGAGAGATTTTGTCACCACTGGGCCTGCCCTAAAAGAGCTCCTGAAGGAAGCACTAAACATGGAAAGGAACAACCGGTACCAGCCACTGCAAAAACATGCCAAATTGTAAAGACCATCGATGCTAGGAAGAAACTGCATCAACTAATGGGCAAAATCACCAGCTAACATCATAATGACAGGATCAAATTCACACATAACAATATTAACCTTAAATGTAAATGGGCTAAATGCTCCAATTAAAAGACACAGACTGGCAAATTGGATAAAGAGTCAAGACCCGTCAGTGTGCTGTAGTCAGGAGACCCATCTCATGTGCAGAGACACACATAGACTCAAAATAAAGGGATGGAGGAAGATCTAACAAGCAAATGGAAAACAAACAAACAAAAAAGCAGAGATTGCAATCGTAGTCTCTGATAAAACAGACTTTAAACCAACAAAGATCAAAAGAGACAAGGAAGGCCATTACATAATGGCAAAGGGATCAATTCAACAAGAAGAGCTAGCTATCCTAAATATATATGCATCCAATACAGGAGCACACAGATTCATAAAGCAAGTCCTTAGAGACCTACAAAGAGACTTAGACTCCCACACAATAATAATGGAAGACTTTAACACCCCACTGTCAACATTAGACAGATTGAGACAGAAAGTTAACAAGGATATCCAGGAACTGAACTCACCTCTGCACCAAGCGGACTTAATAGACATCTATAGAACTTTCCACCCCAAATCAATGGAATATACATTCTTTTCAGCACCACACCACACCTACTCCAAAATTGACCACATAGTTGGAAGTAAAGCACTCCTCAGCAAATGTAAAAGAACAGAAATTATAACAAACTGTCTCTCAGACCACAGTGCACTCAAACTAGAACTCAGGATTAAGAAACTCAATCAAAACCACTCAACTACATGGAAACTGAATAACCTGCTCCTGAATGACTACTGGGTACATAACGAAATGAAGGCAGAAATAAAGATGTTCTTTGAAACCAACAAGAACAAAGACACAACATACCAGAATCTCTGGGACACATTCAAAGCAGTGTGTAGAGGGAAATTTATAGCACTAAATGCCCACAAGAAAAAGCAGGAAAGATCTAAAACTGACACCCTAACATCACAATTAAAAGAACTAGGGAAGCAAGAGCAAACGCATTCAAAAGCTAGCAGAAGGCAAGAAATAACTAAGATCAGAAAAGAACTGAAGGAAATGGAGACACAAAAAACCCTTCAAAAAATCATTGAATCCAGGAGCTGGTTTTTTGAAAAGATCAACAAAATTGATAGACCGCTAGCAAGACTAATAAGGAAGAAAAGAGAGAAGAATCAAATAGACAAAATAAAAAATGATAAAGGTGATATCACCACCAATCCCACAGAAATACAAACTACCATCAGAGAATACTATAAACACCTTTACGCAAATAAACTAGAAAATCTAGAAGAAATGGATAAATTCCTCGACACATACACCCTCCCAAGACTAAACCAGGAAGAAGTTGAATCCCTGAATAGACCAATAACAGGATCTGAAATTGAGGCAATAATTAATAGCTTACCAACCAAAAAAAGTCCAGGACCAGATGGATTCA
This sequence comes from Homo sapiens, assembly GCF_000001405.40. NCBI lineage: Eukaryota > Metazoa > Chordata > Mammalia > Primates > Hominidae > Homo > Homo sapiens. The sequence continues at coordinate 94,137,652 of NC_000001.11, forward strand.
CAGCCGAATTCTACCAGAGGTACAAGGAGGAGCTGTTACCATTCCTTCTGAAACTATTCCAATCAATAGAAAAAGAGGGAATCCTCCCTAACTCATTTTATGAGGCCAGCATCATCCTGATACCAAAGCCTTGCAAAGACAAAACAAAAAAAGAGAATTTTAGACCAATATCCCTGATGAACATCAATGTGAAAATCCTCAATAAAATACTGACAAACTGAATCCAGCAGCACATCAAAAAGCTTATCCACCATGATCAAGTGGGCTTCATCCCTGGGATGCAAGGCTGGTTCAATATACGCAAATCAATAAATGTAATCCAGCATATAAACAGAGCCAAAGACAAAAACCACATGATTATCTCAATAGATGCAGAAAAGGCCTTTGACAAAATTCAACAGCCCTTCATGCTAAAAACTCTCAATAAATTAGGTATTGATGGGACGTATCTCAAAATAATAAGAGCTATCTATGACAAACCCACAGCCAATATCATACTGAATGGACAAAAACTGGAAGCATTCCAGGGCACAAGACAGGGATGCCCTCTCTCACCACTGCTATTCAACATAGTGTTGGAAGTTCTGGCCAGGGCAATCAGGCAGGAGAAGGAAATAAAGGGTATTCAGTTAGGAAAAGAGGAAGTCAAATTGTCCCTGTTTGCAGATGACATGATTGTATACCTAGAAAACCCCATCGTCTCAGCCCAAAATCTCCTTAAGCTGATAGGCAACTTCAGCAAAGTCTCAGGATACAAAATCAGTGTGCAAAGATCACAAGCATTCTTATACACAAATAACAGACAAACAGAGAGCCAAATCATGAGTGAACTCCCATTCACAATTGCTTCAAAAAGAATAAAATACCTAGGAATCCAACTTACAAGGGACGTGAAGGACCTCTTCAAGGAGAACTACAAACCACTGCTCAATGAAATAAAAGAGGATACAAACAAATGGAAGAACATTCCACGCTCATGGGCAGGAAGAATCAATATCATGAAAACGGCCATACTGCCCGAGGTAATTTATAGATTCAATGCCATCCCCATCAAGTTACCAATGACTTTCTTCACAGAATTGGAAAAAACTACTTTAAAGTTCATATGGAACCAAAAAAGAGCCCGCATTGCCAAGTCAATCCTAAGCCAAAAGAACAAAGCTGGAGGCATCATGCCAGCTGACTTCAAACTATACTACAAGGCTACAGTAACCAAAACAGCATGATACTGTTTTGGTACCAAAGCAGAGATATAGACCAATGGAACAGAACAGAGCCCTCAGAAATAACACCACACATCTACAACTATCTGATCTTTGACAAACCTGACAAAAACAAGAAATGGGGAAAGGATTCCCTATTTAACAAATGGTGCTGGGAAAACTGGCTAGCCATATGTAGAAAGCTGAAACTGGATCCCTTCCTTACACCTTATACAAAAATTAACTCAGGATGGATTAAAGACTTAAATGTAGTACCTAAAACCATAAAAACCCTAGAAGGAAACCTAGGCAATATCATTCAGGCCATAGGCATGGGCAAGGACTTCATGTCTAAAACACCAAAAGCAATGACAACAAAAGCCAAAATAGACAAAGAGGATCTAATTAAACTAAAGAGTTTCTGCACAGCCAAAGAAACTACCATCAGAGCGAACATGCAACCTACAGAATGGGAGAAAATTTTTGCAATCTACTCTTCTGACAAAGGGCTAATATACAGAATCTACAATGAATTCAAACAAATTTACAAGAAAAAAACAAACAACCCCATCAAAAAGTAGGCGAAGGGTGTGAACAGACACTTCTCAAAAGAAGACATTTATGCAGCCAAAAGACACATGAAAAGATGCTCATCATCACTGGTCATCAGAGAAATGCAAGTCAAAACCACAGTGAGATACCATCTCACACCAGTTAGAATGGCGATCATTGAAGTCAGGAAACAACAGGTCCTGGAGAGGATGTGGAGAAACAGGAATGCTTTTACACTGTTGGTGGGACTGTGAACTAGTTCAACCATTGTGGAAGTCAGTATGGTGATTCCTCAGGGATCTAGAACTAGAAATACCATTTGACGCAGCCATCCCATTACTGGGTATATACCCAAAGGATTATAAAACATGCTGCTTTAAAGACGCATGCACATGTATGTTTATTGTGGCACTATTCACAACAGCAAAGACTTGGAACCAACCCAAATGTCCAACAATGATAGACTGGATTAAGAAAATGTGGCACATATACACCATGGAATACTATGCAGCCATAAAAAATGAGTTCATGTACTTTGTAGGGACATGGATGAAGCTGGAAACCATCATTCTCAGCAAACTATCGCAAGGACAAAAACCAAACACCGCATGTTCTCACTCACAGGTGGGAATTGAACAGTGGGAACACATGGACACAGGAAGGGGAACATCACACACCAGGGCCTGTCGTCGGGTGGGGGAAGGGGGGAGGGATAGCATTAGGAGATATACCTAATGTTGGATGATGAGTTAATGGGTGCAGCAAGCAACATGGCACAGGTATACATATGTAACAAATCTGCACGTTGTGCACATGTACCCTAAAACTTAAAGTATAATTAAAATAAATAAATTAATTAACTAAAAAAAAAAAGATTTTGGTGGTCAATATGGTTTGGCTGTGTCTCCACCCAAATCTCATCTTGAACTGTAGTTCCCATAATCCCCATGTGTTGTGGGAGGGACCCAGTGGGAGGTAATTTAATCATAGGGGTGGTTACCCTCGTGCTGTTCTCATGATAGTGAGTTTTCACGAGATCTGATGGTTTTATAAGGGGCTTTTTCCCCTTTTGCTTTGGTACTTCTCTTGCCTGCCACCGTGTAAGACGTGTTTTTGCTTCTCCTGTGCCTTCCACCATGATTGTGAGGCCTCCCCAGCCATGTGGAACTGTGAGTCCATTAAAACTTTTCCTTTATAAATTACCCAGTCTCGGGTATGTCTTTATCAGCAGCGTAAGAACAGACTAATACAGTGGTTAAGAACATAAGCTTTAGAGTCAGACACACTTGGTATTTATTTATTTATTTTAGAGACAAGATCTTACTCTGTCACCCAGGCTGGAGTGCAGTGGTACAATCATGGCTCACAGTACCCCTGACCTCCTGGGCTCATGTGATCCTCCCATCTCAGCCAAGACTACAGGCACATGCCACTGCGCCTAAGTCTCACTATGTTGCCCAGGCTGGCCTCTGAACTTAAGCGATCCTCCTGCTTTGGCCCCCCAAAGTGCTTGGATTACAGATGTGAACCACTCCACCAGGCGCTACACCTATGTTTTGAACCCTATTCTACTGCTTATGAGGTATACAAAATGGGGAAAGCTTTTAAAAATTCCATTTTTATCAGTTTTATTATACGTAAAGTGAGAATAATAATATCTGTTGCATAGAATTGTTAATAGTGGTTGTTGAGAACCCCTACATCAGAGGGCTGTGATTAAATGAGATTATATGAAAGGAAGCACTTATCACGGTGCTCAGTCTAAAGGAAGTGTTAAATGGTGGTATTATTACTTTGATAAGAAATGTTGACTGTTGATGAATTTACTACTTCATGTCTTGAAATCATTGATGACATGATTGAACTTTTAAGATGGAGGTCCATCTTCTTACATATAAAAATATATCTGTGATGCTGGGCACGGTGGCTCACGCCTATAATCCCAGCACTTTGGGAGGCCAAGGTGGGCGGATCACGAGGTCAGGAGTTCGAGACTAGCCTGACCAATATGGTGAAACCCTGTCTCTACTAAAAAATACAAAAATTAGCCAGGCATGGTGGCAGGCACCTGTAATCCCAGCTACTCGGGAGACAGACGCAGGAGAATCACTTGAACCCGGGAGGCGGAGGTTGCAGTGAGCCGAGATTGCACCACTGTACTCCAGCCTGAGCAACAGAGCAAGACTCCATCTCAAAAAAGAAAAAAAAAAATCTGTGATAACCGGTATGTCCACTCAAATACTTATTATCTCCTCTATAAATGCAAGAAAAGTTTCCTCTCCTCTCACTTGCCTCATTTCTGTAATTAACTGTTGCCACCCCTCCAAATACCTTCACAGCAGCAAAGATAACTTTACATTTTTATGGACTTAAAATGTGAAGGCATTAACTCAGGTATACTAGTTCGCTTGTCCTTCACAATTGCCCTGTCATGCAGGTATTATTCTCATTTCAAAGATTAGGAAACACCCTCAAAAAGGCTGGATGACCTGCCAAAATCATGTAGCATGCCAATAGAAAAGTTGGGGTGGAAACACAGGCTTTTTCATTCTTTCCCATCACATGAGTCTTTGACAAAGCAGGAAATAAATGGTTGAATCTTCCTTTGACTTATATCTCCCCTTCCTGGTACACAATGTCATCAGCTTCTGCAAAAAGTTGACCAGTGCATGTATGAGTAGGGAGGCATCCCATTTTCCATGGATACCAATGCAGGAAGCAGTTGTTAGTTCTTCATTCTAGACTGCCACTGGGCAGTTGTGGTTTTATCCCTTTTATTTAAAACAGGGAAACAGGCAGCTGTAATTCAGCATTTGTTAAAAAGGAAAACTGAGTCATTTGTTTTTCGCTGATTTCCATTCTAACCTCCCTCTGTGCTGATAGAAGGCAAATAGCTCCCAGACCTTTTGGTGATTCATCCACATATTGGCAGCTAGTCTGGGATTCCAATTCAGTTCCAAGAGCACTAATTTCCTATTTTCTCCTTGTTTCAGAAATTATCACAAAAGACTTTAATTACCACTGTGAGCATCCAAAGAAAGGATAAGATCGGGTTGGTTTTGCAAACTGCTAGGCTCTTTCAACCCTGAAGATGGGCCTTTTGGACTGGAGCCTGCAGGTGAAATGCATCACCAGCCATCTTTGTAAAAGGTGAAAGAACCAGCTTCACGGGGACCTGGGGCTCAGACTTCACTCACACTTCTGAGAAGAAGTAAGGAAAAGAAAAAATGGAGAGGAAGGAGTGAAGAGGGGAAAGACTAGAAAAGTTAAAGGCAGACAGAAGGGGAAGCCACTAGCTTCGGGTCCTCCTCACTGGTTCCTTTCCTTGGAGCAGGGAAACTCACAGGTGCAGGGGCACTGGAAGTGGCTATCTGCCTTCCGCCTCCCTCCTCTTGTCCCACAGAGGCTCACAGCCTGGATTGCCTGTAGTTGAGCACTTTCACAACATTGCTTACCAGCTGCTCCCCACTGTAGAGGATGTTGTCAGATTACTTAATATTAATCTCTCTTGATTAGATTGCAAATTATACTTGAAGTTGTTTTAGTGAAGTCTGTATTCTATTTTCATTCAGATTAAAGGGTAAGATTTGTGAAAACATTCCCAACAGCTTTGGTAAAACAGTTTAATTAATTGGATTTGAAAACATTGGCTCCAAGACTGAATTTCAGCCAGCAATAAATGTCTCCAAGGGGCATATAAGATTCTTTAGGGTTCAAGTACATTTGTTAAAAAAACTCTTTTAAATAAAATAGTCTAAGACACGCCTAGTGCAAGTAAACTCCCATTATGGCCTAGGTTGTTAAGCCCTTGCATCAGTTTCCTTCAGCTACTGGAAGTAAGAAAAAACAAAGTGCACCCCAGAGCAATCTTTCTGCTGGTGTCACATCTCCTGCATCAACCTGGAGTGGCCATTAAACATACAGACTCCCAGGCTCCATGGCTGAACTACTCAATGGGAACATCTGGGAGTGAGGCCCAGGAATCTGAATGTTTAGCAAGGTTTCCAGGTGGCTCTGATGCACGCACCTAGCATTTGAGAAGCACTCCAGAGGAGATCAGAAAGACAGGCCAGTTTTCCACTGGAGTAAGTGCCAGGGTTTGCCTTCAGGCTCTCTTGTCCAAGTCCAGTTAATTCTCACAGCTTCAGGATCACTACAAACCAATCACTGCTGGAGGGAAAGTGGGACTGGTTTACACGAAGAAAATATAACACTGGCTTCTATTACATCACCAAGCATAACACACCAAAACCAAACATGCAAATGTTGGGGAATTTTCACTTATTGAATTATGTAACAGCTCTGAAATCTTTTATGTGATGTTGTCATTTGACTGCACAGTTATTTATCCATTTTTAACTCAAGGAAAAAGACTTCATAAATATAAAGAATGTTTTATGACAACAAAGGCATATTCTTTCTGCAATCTTAGATTGTTAGTAACCAGAATCTCCTTACAAAATATATACACATATATTTTTAAATTACAAAATAGACTGGGCCTGTCTGGGTTAAGTCAATAATTTGGTGGGCTCAAATGACACAACTCAAGCAAGTGCAGCTGTGGCTTTGCCAGCATTTTATTTACTCAGTCTCTTTGGACTTACCTGATGCAATGACTCTGTCAAGGCTGCTCCAGTGAAGGAAGACATCTCATAAAGCTTCATCTCAAACCAGTTTACCAATTATGTAAACAGTTTTTGAGGGTTGTCTATGTGCCAGGCAATTATGCTGGGTACTTATGGATAGAATTAAGCATGGTATTAAAAGAGCGCCTCTCAGCTTTTAGCTGTGTGTCACAACTACCTGTGAAGCTTTTTGAGAATACTAAAGTATAGGCCTTACCACACACCCACTGAACTAGAACCTTCAGGAGCAGCATCCAGGCAACTGAATTTATAAAAATCTCTCCAGGTGACCTTAATGCAGAACCAAAATTAAAAACCACTGTGTTAAATCCTACAAAGAGCCTTCCCCTTCTGAGAAGTTTCAGTCTATGGGAGATATACTGATGTAAATCCATCCACAATAGGACATGTAGTAAGAACACATTTTAAAGAAAACACATCAGTGATAGATAACATCAAATATGACATAGAAACAAATGTATAGACAGAAGAATAAATAAAATTGACAGAGGTTAGGGAAAGCAAGGAGACATTTCTGGGCAGATTCTATTGTATCTGGTTGGCAGGAGAAATAACAGATTCTGCTATTCATTTTTCGTAATACTAAATTAAAGGCTCAGCAAAAGTTTCCAGTATAAAAAGCAATGCTTTACTTTTTCAAAATTCTGATATATTTGAAACTACATACAAATTTACAAAGAAATTATCTAGAATATATATACTTTTTATTAAAAATATACAACTTTTAAAATTTAGGTTAGAGCTACAGATGACTAAGTCCTACATAAGACTTGTGTATGTTGTCCAGGAAAAATAAAAGACTAGACTAATATGCTGTGAACATACATATGAACATGTATCACATCCATGTTTAAATGAATTCCAGGCAGTCATATATTAAATGAAAAGAAATCAAAGGTTTGCAGTCTGGCTAATGAGAGGTTCTCTGAAGGGCATTCTGTGGAATGCATTTCTCTTGGCAAGTTGCTATGGTGGACTCAATTCAATTCTAAGCAGATTTCTTTAATCCTTGTTTCTAAGTGGGTCAGCACCATCTGATTTTAAGTATTATTGCAAGAGACATAGGCACGATGATTACTACAACCACCCTTCCCTGGAAAGTTGCTTTTCCTTTGATAATGCTTGGAAGACCCAATTCACACAAGTTGAAAAGTCTCAGGTAGGACCAGCACTGTCACAGGAGAGGGGACAAACCGAGTACAGCTGGTGGCTTTCAGATGATAAACATGCCAAAAATTCCATCGAGTTTTTTTTTTTTAATATGCTGCTTAGGAAAAATGCTTAAGTAGCTTACTATATTCTTTATATTGGTTCAGGAAGATTCCGTTGGATAATCTGAGGACATGGTCTTGAAGAGAATATTCAGAGTTGGGAGGATAAACATATCATTTGAAAATCAGAAAATCTAAACCAGTTAATTGTGTGGTTAGTCCTCACCAGAGACAATTATCAAGAGGAGGGCCGGGGAGACTGTTTCAAGATGGCTGCTTGGTGCTACTCGTCAACTTGGGACCCTATGTGTACACCAGCATTTTCCTGAGTTCTCTAATTGTTTGTAGTTTGTCAGTGATTCTCTTTGGGTTTTTATGTTTATTCATTTCCAAGTTTTTTTGCCTCTACATTCTTTCACTTGTTTAATGGTATTGGCTGATATTTCCAATACAGTGTTAAATAGTAAATTGTAGGAGCAGCGGGCATTCTTGTTACGTTTCTCTCTATCAGGATGCTGCCAGTGTTGTTTGCCCATTAAGGATGCTGCAAACTTTTTAGGCTGTGATGCATTCCATCCTCAGATAAAATTACATTTATAGATTTTATGTTTTGGGACCATCCATGCATTCCTGAAAAAAATTGCAGAGTTTACAAATGTAAGTGGCATGAGACCAACTGGGCCTAAGAAAGCCGAAGTACCAATTTCTCAAGTAAATAAACTAAAAAACGGAGGCTCTTATTTCATTTGCTTTTGGGATTTCTCGACTGAAAATTCACCACAGCAAACATACCTTATGCATCCCTGTATCCATAAATATTCATTGCCCAAATGTGCCCCGTTTGAAATATTTTCCAATGCCCTTAGGTCTTTTTAATTGGGTCTTCAAGTCATAAAGCCAGATTACCTGGAAGAGATCTCCAAGCCCTCAGACACTGTCTCTCACAGACGCCCTAAGCACCCCCATCAGGAAGACTTCTGGCAGTCGGCGGGCCCCTAGAGCTCTATGCGATTGCCCTTTTCCATCAGCTCCATCTCTCTCTGCCCGTTTGCAGTGAATCACCTTCCCAATTAGTGATTTCCACAGTAGGACAGCAGCATCTATTCTTGTTTATTGGGCTTCAGACACTGAGAAGTGTCTATAGGCTGAGGTTTATACAGAGGACAAGATGCCAGAGAAACCTCAAAGGCAGGATTTGTGACTCACCTGGGTATGCAGGTTGGGGGTATTGGGGAATAGGAAAGGGCGACTCGGCAAGAAGGAAGGAATGGCAGCAAGGAGTGAGGCTCCCACTGAGCTCTGCCAGTAAGGGGAGGCAGAGACATCAGTTTACCAGGTAATTCCATAATATTCTCTGGCTCGATGGTCTTATGTTAAAAGACATGTGAAGGTTTTTTTTTTTAAATTGTAAATCAACAATATCTATAAATTATAATGTATAATTGAATATGTTTATGAGTGCAACGTGATGCTATAATTTATGAATACCATGTGGAATAATTAAAGAAAACTAATTAACATATCCATCACCTCATGTGAAGGTATTTTAAAGTACATAAATACTAGCACCTATTATTTAATAGTAAGATAGTGATTAAGAGCCCTGACTTTGTAATTGGACAATTCTGTGTGTGAGTTCTGGCTCTGTCAATTACCAGTTGTGTGATCTTGGACAAGGGTCTTAATTAAGCCTTAGTTTTCTCTTTTGTAAAGCAGGGATAATACACCAACCTGTTTCTTAAGCTTGTTGTGCAGACAAAATGAGACAATGTAGGTAGAATGCACAGCACCACAGAAGCTTAGTAAATGTTAGTCACCATGATTTTCTCTTTAGCGTTCTACAAGCTAATAGGATTCTTTTTATATTTCACATTGTGAGGACTAAAAACAAGACCTCAGGGCAAAGAGGGCAGCTATTCATATCCCTCTAGTTCTTAATGCCATTTAGAACTCTAATACAACTTCCCATAACATGTATTTCATCTCACAGCCAAGGGAAATATGGCTCAGAATGTTGAGAACCAAGCATATGGCTCACAGACTCGAATAAAGTCTAAGAGGCCACGATTTCATAGGAGCCATGAGTCCCTGAAGTAGGTTGCAAACCTTATATATATGAATAGAATAATAGCTATGACATGGTCATACAAAGCAACATTTAGTACAAATGAATATAAAATGCATATGCATGTACTAATGTGGACAGTTAGGCTATTTTGGTCCATCTTACATTATGTTTTAGACGTATTAGTGAAAACCAAGAAGTGGGAATTCCTGTACATAAAATAGCAAGTGAAATATTTATCTCACAGTACGACTCATTCATCAAATCCAAGGATCAGCAAACTTTTTCTTTAAAGAGACAGAGGGTAAAGATGTCCCAACTCCTCAACTGTAATGTTGTAGCAGGAAAGCAATCAATCATAGACAATGTGTAGATGAATGAGCATGGTTGTGTTCTTAGTCAAAAATCATCCTAGGTAAAAATCATCCTATCAGTGATTCTTTTCAAGTTTTTAGTTTTATTTACAACTTTACAAAAACAGGTGGCAGGCCTGATTTGGCCCATGGGCCATAGTTTGCTGACCCCTGCTCTAAACCATATATCATACTCCAAATAACATGACTTACTGAATTATTCAGAAACAAGCTAAAGTAAATCTGGCTTCTGTACTAGTTAACAATTTGTGCACTATCCACAAATGAAGATACTTAGTTATATATTTATATACTTATGTGTGTTATATGTAATTGATATGTTATAAATATTTGATAATTTTTAAATGTTTTATATAACTGAAAAAGCTTAAAACTATTGTATTTATTTTTATGTCCATATTTTCAGTTGTTAGTTTTATATGGTGTTCTTTTTATAAAAAAATAAATACAGTTAAGCTGGTCTTTACATTGTGAGGTCCTAGGAAGTCATACTATTTGTAATATGGTTTAATAGTTTTAAAACAACAATAGTTCATCTCTCTTCCAATGTTTCTGTTTTGTTGAATGTACACTATAATTTTTTAATCTTCAATTCAGTTCTGAATTTATTTCACCGTTACATAAAATACTCAAGTTGTTAGCACTGAATTTGACTGGAAATTTATAATTTACATATGTCAAAGCCCAAGTCCTGAAAGACAAACTACCAACATATTCTGAGATTTTAACTAAACCACACGATTCAGAAAGAGCCTTAAATACATATTCTTTGTGCAATCCAGTTGATGATCACTAGTAAAAACTGGTAAAAATGAAAATTCTGGTATAAAAATATATAAATATAGATGGTAGGTTTTGGGTACTACAGAAAATATTGGAAAATGAAGCTGTTAATTGTCATTTGGAAAATAAAAGCTTATGTTTAACAGAAGACAACTGTTAAAAAAAAACACACAAAACCTGTCAGCTCTTTTACCACTCTATAATTTATATTGGAGAGATTTTTTTTTTTAACCATGATAGTCAGAAACACTGTTTTTCTACTTAAGCACTTGGTTCCACTATAGGAAGTGAAGCTGTTTCTTGCTGATTCCATCAAGCAGCTTGACAACTGTACTTTACTGAAGATAGATTCAAATAGATCATTTTATGGGAGCAGAAAATCAATAGAACTTAAAAAATTTTTAATTAGCATTTAGTATTTATAAATTCCAAAACACAAAATGTAATGATGTGCATATGGCTCAGAAGGAGCTGTCGACAAAAAGAGTCAAACTCTGCAAAATATTCAAAGAGATTTATTTTGAGCCAAATATGAGTGACCATGGCCCATGACACAGCCCTCAGGAGGTCCTTAGAACATGTGCCCAAGGTAGTTGGGGATGCAGCTTGGTTTTATACATTTTAGGGAGGTATGAGACATCAATCAAATACATTTAAGAAATACATTCGTTTGGTCTAGAAGGATGGGACAACTCAAAGCAGGGGCTTCCAGGCTACAGGTGAATTTAAATATTTTCTGATTGACAATTGGTTGAGTTTGTCTAAAGACCTGGGATTGATAGAAGGGAAAGGTTCAGGTTAAGATAAAAGATTGTGGAGACCAAGGTTCTTTTGAAGTCTTATAGTGGCTGCCCTTAGAGATAATAGTTGAAATGTTTCCTATTCAGATCTTTAAGAAGTGCTAGACTTTTAGTTAATCTCCTTAGGTTTGGGAGGGCCTGGAAGAAAAAGATCTAGTTATGTTAATAGAGATTCTTTACAGAGGCAAATTTTCCCCCACAAAAGACAGCTTTGCAGGGCCATTTCAAGATATGGCAAATAAACATGTTTTGGGGTAAAATATTTTGATTTTCTTCCTTGTCTGATAATGTTATGCCAGAGTCAGGTTGGCAAGTAAGTCATGATATATAGGGTTAAATAAAACCCATCTGATGAGAATTTATGGTTTGTAGTGCATGACTCCCCAGACCCCTTAGATAGGAATTTGGACAAGATTAAAAAAAATCAGAGCTTAGTCCTCAGAGTTCAAGAGGCTTATAAAATGCCATTGCATGTTTGGGCTACAATGATCTCAGTACTCTGAAAGCAGTACAAGAATTTGGAGCTGAGCAAGATCTAGATTTTTACTGAATTTTTTTTGAGACATCTTGATCCAAGGCTAAAAACCTGGTGTCTTCTGAAAAAAGAATGAAATGTCAATTAATTTTTTACAAACTTGAAGGGAATTTAATTAATAGCCAGTGTGACTGAGTTCATAGATGCATAATCTTGTAAATCAATAAAGAGCTCACTAAAATATGCTGAGTGAGAGATAGAAGCAAAGTGCTTAGAACAGTACCGGACCTAATGAGCTCTCAATACAGGTAGCTATGTTATTAAGATTAGCATTTCTTGTAGTGTACACCATGTCATGGGATAACAGAAAAATCACAGGCTTAAAAGTCAGACTGGCCTAGGTTCACATCCTGACCAATCCAAATTACTTAACCTTCCTTGGATAGTTTCACCATGGGCAAAATGGAAATATTCTGGATTCTTTGGAATAACACTTGCAAAACTTGTCTTAATTTTCATTTCCCCTATTTCTGCCATTACTCTCATTAGGAGGTCTTGTAAGAAGTCATCTACATACAGGCACACTTACAGGTTTAGTCTTTACGTTTGCCTTTTGAGTATAGAACTCGAATTGGGCCAGCTTCCCAAATGGGTTTCAGAGAAGTAGATTAGTAATTTTTCCCAGACATTTTTTCATTTGGGGGAGGAATGATGTTTTGAGCTCTTGGTCTTCGAATAGGAATATAACGTCACCTGAAAAAAAAAAAACAAAAAACAAAAAAACAAAAGAAATAAAGAAAGGGTTGTCACTTTATGTACCAAAACCAAATTTGTGTGACACTTAAAAAGAAAGCCTTCACGCCTGTAATCCCAGCACTTTGGGAGGCCGAGGCGGGCGGATCACAAGGTCAGGAGATCGAGACCATCTTGGCTAACACGGTGAAACCCCGTCTCTAATAAAAATACGAAAAATTAGCCGGGCGCAGTGGCGGGCGCCTGTAGTCCCAGCTACTCGGGAGGCTGAGGCAGGAGAATGGCGTGAACCTGGGAGGCGGAGCTTGCAGTGAGCCGAGATTGTGCCACTGCAATCCGGCCTGGGCTAAAGAGCGGGACTCCGTCTCAAAAAAAAAATAAAAAAATATAAAGAAAGCCTGACTGATTGGACAGATGAAATCATTTTCAAATGATAGGTTATATAATTTTTTTTCTTTTTTTTTTGAGATGGAGTCTCGCTCTGTCGCCCAGGCTGGAGTGCAGTGTCGTGATCTTGGCTCACTGCAAGCTCCGCCTCCCAGGTTCACGCCATTCTCCTGCCTCAGCCTCCTGAGTAGTTGGGACTACAGACGCCCACCATCACGCCCGGCTAATTTTTTTTTTTTTTTGTATTTTTAGTAAAGACGGGGTTTCACTGTGTTAGCCAGGATGGTCTCGATCTCCTGACCTCATGATCCGCCTGCCTTGGCCCCCCAAAGTGCTGGGATTACAGGTGTGAGCCACCACGCCTGGCCAGGTTATATAATTTTTTAAACAAATTATTCTCAGTCTAAAAGATACATGGGCATTAGTGAACACTTCTTTCTGCTTAGCAGAAAAAACCTGTTGACTTTTTGACAGAGGTACAGATCTCTGAAGTTACATTAAAACTACACTTTGAGGACCTTTTGTAGTTCATAAGTGTGATGATTCGGGTTTCACGCTCATATGTAAAATGTGCCTCCCTCAAACCTTGTTACAACATCAGCACATTGCCCATGTGACATGAGGAAAAAAGAGTACACTTTGTGTATATACATATGTGTGTGTGTGTGTGTGTATAAAAGAGTACACTTTGCGTGTATATGTGTATATATATATATATATGGTTGTGTGTATTTAAATTAGCATAATAACTTCAAACACAGTTAGTGTTTTAAAACTTGCAAAATCTGTTTATGAAAACTTTAGCATTTCCATAAGATAAATTCAAAGAAGTGAAGTAGCTGAGTCAAAGGACTGTCAAGATTTCAGTAGGCAAACACTGGAAAATTAACCTGAGAAAAGTGACACTAATTTACACACCAACCAAATGTAAGTGTGCCTTGAATCCCAAGGATTTTGCCAACTCAATTTGCTTTTGAGTTACACTCAACCCAGTGAGAGCATATCATATTAGATGCCTTAGATGCTCTCCGTATCTGATCAACTAATAAAGCATAATGTCCATTCTGTCAAACGAAGGCTGAATGCTTTTAAGTTTAAAATGCCATTTTTTCCCCATCTGCTCCCAGATTTTCTTTTTTTTTGAGACAGAGTTTTACTCTTGTTGCCTAGGCTGAAGTGCAATGGTGCGATCTCAGCTCACCACAAACTCCACCTCTCGGGTTCAAGCGATTCTCCTGCCTCAGCCTCCCGAGTAGTTGGGATTACAGGCGTGTGCCACCACGCCTGGCTAATTTTGTATTTTTAGTAGAGACAGGGTTTCTCCATGTTGGTCAGGCTGGTCTCGAACTTCCGACCTCAGATGATCCTCCCACCTCGGCCTCCAAAAGTGTTGGGATTACAGGTGTGAGCCAACCGCACTGGGCCTGCTCCCAGATTTTCTTTCTTCTCTAGTCTGAACCCATGGTCCATGTTTTCTCACTCAGAACCCTTGGTTCCTCAAACTCTATGATTTTTTGCTGTGTCTATCCTAAAAAATTCCATTCCAGGAATGTTCCAGTCCTCCACTCTCCTGCCTTCCTGTTCCCTGCTGAAAAACACCCAACAATTCCGTGCCTTGCCACTGTCCTGACTTTGAGCTGCAGCCGGCCCTGAGCACCAGGGCCCACCAGAGTCACTTTTCGGTCGTTGTCTCGCCTGACCTTCTTCCACACCTGGGACTGCTGGCCTCTCTTCCCTGGGTTCCAAGGCTATTTTGATTTGCTTTCCCAGGTCCTCCATACATTTGTAGACCATTCTAAGTGGCCCAGTTCCTTGCAGTTGGACTCTAAACACCAACGTATATTCTTAAATTTCTGAGGGAAAAACTTAGAGCATAATGGAGAAGAGCACAGACTCTGAAGCCTAGTTGCCCAGGTCCTGGCTCAGCCCTGCCTGCCACTTCTGCACTGGGCTAGGCAATCCCACTGCCCCATGTGTCTTCATCTGTGAAAAGAGACTCCTATGTGTATCTGTGTGATCTAAATGACCTACTGAGAAAAATGCTTAGATAATAAACACTAGAAAATGGCATTTATTATTATGATTCCTAATCAGGAGCCCTAGATCATGGGACAGCGAAATAAGATATAGAAATCAGACTGGGTTCAATCCTGATTGAACAATTGGGCATGATTTGGGCATATTATTTGGGCAACTAAGCTCAGCTTGTTGGACTATGTGTTGAATGGGGCTAATACTATTTTAGATACCAGAGTTATTATACAAAGTAAATAAGAAAAACAGAATGAAGCAGCTTGCACAATGTCCAGCATAGAGCAAGTAGGAAGTGATTGATTTTTAGTTGCCATTATTTTTAGACCTTGTGATTATTGGTACTAGATTGTAGATCAAAGATAACATACAGGGCTCTGTTTTGAAATGTACATTGGAATTTAGCTCTGCTGGTATGTAGAACTGCAGTGGCAGTGCAGCCTTTTTCACCAGCACCTAAGAATTCCTACAACTAGAAAAATTACCATACAGAAAAAAACAGTGAATAAAATGGCTACAGTTAATAAAGTAAAAAACACACATACACATATGTGCACATCATGAGCTGAAGGCAGGCCACTGTCAAGCCTCCCGAATTTCAGAAGTCTAGTTCAGCCCCTTTTGAGCACTTAGACCAATATACTTAACTGTTGAGCCAGAAGTTCAAAAGAATTTTAACTTTATGCAACACATCCTTTGCTTGGCTTTGCTTCATGGCAGAATTTATAGTCTCTTCTTTTAGGACTATGCTAATATACATCAGATAAATTAGTTTTGCTGGTTCTTCTTCTTCTTTTTTTTTTTTTTTTTTTTTTTGAGACAGAGTCTTGCTCTGTCGCCAGGCTGGAGTGCAGTGGCGTGATGTCAGCTCACTGCAACCTCTGCCTCCCAGGTTCAAGCGATTCTCCTGCCTCAGTCTCCCGAGTAGCTGGGACAATAGGCATGCATCACCATGCCCAGCTAATTTTTTGTGTTTTAGTAGAAATGGGGTTTCACCATGTTGGTCAGGCTGGTCTCGAACTCCTGACCTCATGTGATCCACCCGCCTCAGCCTCCCAAAGTACTGGGATTACAGGTGTGAGCCACCGTGCCTGGCTGCTTATTCTTTTACTTATATTTGTAACATTTGATTCATACATTGTCAACCCATATTTGTACACAACTGTTGGGATATTTTTAAGTCATTATGATGCCTTTGGTATATACACAGCAAAGTGGCCATTTTCTAAATTACACTATCTTCCTAAGATATCATGAGATGCTCTGACTCAAGTGGTTCAGTGAGAAAGTCATCTTCTGGTTTAAGGACATCCCCTTCTGTTCACAAACTGCTAAGATTTTTTTCTTTTTAAATGACGAATGGGCATTAAACTTTATCAAATACTTTTTGTTGTTGCTCCCCAGCTATAGGACCAGCTTCTGGATGTGACCCCTTCTTTCAATCAGCGCTGCCCAACAGAACTTCCTGCCATGATGGAAATGTTCTATGGCTGCACTGTCAAATATGGAAGCCACCAGCCACATGTGGCTATGGAGCACTTGGAATATCACTAGTGCAACTGAGGAACTAAACTTTAAATTGTATATAATGTTAACTCATTTAACATAAATAGTCACCTGTGGCTTCTGGCAGCTGTATCGGACAGCTCAGATCTAGATCAGCAGCAGAAGACATATTGTAGATGAAGTACACGGTAATTTTGTATTAAAGTCTCCTAAAAGAAAAACATGGATACAGCTCTTCTGATTATTCATTGTATTATTTTGGAAATGGGGAATGACAACATTTTCAGAATAATAAAAGTCATACTATTTTAGCTTTAATTTAAAATTGGCTTCTATTCTTGGACTTTTTATACAGGGAAATTCTGCTATTCATTCTCGGAAAAAAATGGTATGTAACCAAATCTGACTTTTCCAAATAAATCTGATAATTAACTCTCTGAGAGGACTCACTAACTGCCAGCTTCTGATAGTATTATGTTCTATGCTCTACAAGGACAGGGAGTGTTTTTTAATTGCTATTTTGTGTCTATTAGCTGGTATAGTGATGGCACATAGTAAGTTGTCATTAAATGTTTGTTGAATTAAGTTATAAATAAATGTATACAGTGCAACCCCTAACTTTATGTAAGACACAAAAATCTTTGAATATAACAACCCAATAGTAATATCACATTTATGTTTCTAGTAAGACAGGAGACTGGAAGCCAAGAACAACAGCCCAATGATCCTGGCAGGGAGTTGAGGTCACAGGATGTAAGCTATTTCAGCAAAGGACCCTTGTGTGTCAAAGCATTTTTGGATGCAGCCCAGCTGGGAATTAGGTTTATTTACTTCCTTTCCCCAAAAAGATTTTTCTTCACAATATGCTTAAAGGTGGTTTCTATGGTCTGAATGTGTCTCTCCAAAATGCATACATTGAAAGTTAATCCCCAATACGATAGTATTAAGAGGTGGGGCCTTTAGAAGTTGATTAGGCCATGAGGGCATCATCATCCCCACCAATGAGATTAATGCCCTTATAGAAGAGGCTTCACACAGCAATCAGCACCTTTTGTCCTTCTGCCTTTGACCATGTGAGGACATAGCATTCACCCTTCTGCCATGTGAGGACACAACAGCAAGGTGCCGTCTTGGAAGCAGACAACAAGCCCTTGCCAAACACCCAATCTGCTGGTGCCTTGATCTTGGACTTCTCAGCCTCCAGAACTGTGATATGCAAATTTCTGTTGTCTGTAAGTTATCCAGGCTGTGGTATTTTGTTATAGCAGCAAGAGCAGACTAAGACAGTGGTCACGTAGTTTTTGCTTTGAGTGTGTCCCTAATGACTGATAGATCACAAGGTCATGTGTTCCATTTTGAACTGTTCTAATTGTAAAATGAGTTCTTTTTATAAAGCAGAAATGTGCATCTCAATCTTAGCTTTTGATCGTATTTTTTCCTAAAGGAGCAAATAAATAGTCTAAGTTTAGTCCCTATTTGCTTGCAGTATTTGAGGACAGCTGTCATGTCCCCAATTTTCCTCTTTTCCAGGAGAGGCACCTCCAGTCTTCACCTATTCATCATGTGATTTGGTTTACAGATTCTGGCCCTTCCCTACCTTGTCCAACTCCAGCCTCACCTTTCCCAATTCTATATTCACAATAAGTCACTAAAATTTTGTTAATTATAGTTCCTCAACATTTCTTGAACAAGTTCTCAGTGCTCCATCATCACTGCCAACTGGTATATGTCTACATTCTTCTTAAATTACACATTTAATTATTACACGTTCTACTTCAAATGTAATCTGACCAATGACAACTTCAATGTAATTCCAAGGGAGCCTGGTAACATTAGGGAAGCTCTGAACAGTGCTGGACACATTATTTTATGAGGAGCCTTATCTGATAAAAGCTTAGCCCAAATAAGTTTATGAGCTTTAAAAAAAAAAAAAAATCCCTCTTCAGCATCAAATGTAACTTAAAAAAGAGGCAAGTGGTGAGGAAAGAAAAGCCCTATTCAAAGGATAACCAAAAGAATGTGTAACTTACACAACCCACTCAACTCCCTCATGCTAGAAAATTGTCTTTATCACATGAAGTCTTACAGGATCCCAAAATAATGTAGGGCTTTCTCTAGATTAGGCATTAATTTCTGGAGCTAGCTAGAACCATTTTGTTGTTACAAAGCTAATTACAAATATTCAGTTAAATATTTAGTCTCACATCTCCAGGGTGTCCCTTGAATGGTGCTAGTTTTGAAGGAGGCAACAAAGTCCGACAATCACAGTGCTGGGTGGAAAATTTTTCTAACTTTAAATTCAAGGCATTTATTTAAATGAATAAATTTCCATAATATGTAGCATGCATAGTATTTTTTTTTAAACACCTGAATTTTGAGGTGAGTTAAATCTGACAGTGTATTCTCCAAGAGATCTTTGGGACCCTTTGAGGAAGGATCCTATGAGGAAGGGATGTAGCCAGGTAGAATAGGACTGGAATAGTCTGTGGTATAAAGTGAAAAAGAGGCTGGGCGCGGTGGCTCACGCCTGTAATCCCAGCACTTTGGGAGGCCGAGGCGGGTGGATCACCTGAGGTCAGGAATTTCAGACCAGCCTGGCCAACATGGTGAAACCCTGTCTCTACTAAAAATACAAAAATCAGCTGAACATGGTGGCGCATGCCTGTAACCCTACTCGGGAGGCTGAGGCATGAGAATCGCTTGAACCCAGGAGGCGGAGGTTGCAGTGAGCTGAGATCACACCACTGTACTCCAGCCTGGGTGACAGAGTGAGGCTTTGTCTCAAAATAATAATAATAATAATAATAATAATAATAATAATAATAGTAATAATAATAAGTGAAGAAGAAAGAATGTCAAAGTAAAAAGTAACTTACAACAAAGAGATATAGTTCAGGTGCTACCTTCTCCTACTTGCTGTATGGCAAGTCTTTGAAGCCATTAAAAGAGAGTTCAAAACACCTACCCTGCCTTTCTGAGGATCATGAGACAGACTATATCAAAGTGCCCCAAAGCACATTTGTAAAATACTTAACAAGAATAAATAAGACTGGGTTAAATGTATACATCAACTTGGGAGAGAACTGCCATCTTTATAATACTGAACCTTTCAATCTACACAAATGATATATTATTCTATTTGGTTATTTAATTTTTGCCAAAAATATTTTGTGTATTTCAGATGTACATCTCTACGTTATCTCTCCTTAGATTTCCTAAGTATTTGATGTTTTGATGTTATTTTAAATAATATCATTTCATAAATTCCATTTCCTGTTTGGTGTTAATATATAAGTGACTTGTGAATACTGAATTTTAAGCATTTTTTTTTCTAAATTCACCTCCAATTCAAATTCTAATAGGTTATAAATGCTTTTAAATTTTCCATGTAATAATTATATTATTTGCAAACAATGACTATTTCACTTCTTCTTTTCCAATCTTTATGCCTTTCATTTCTTTTTCTTGCCTTATTTTATGGCTAGAATCTCTAGTACAATGTTGACTAGAAGTTGTAATTGTAGGTATTCTTGTGTGATTCCCAATCTCAGGGCCAAACCTTTAAATATTTTACCACTAAATAGTCTCCTGAAGAGTGTTTCTCTATCAGTTTAGGGAAGTCATATCTACAGTTTGCTAAGTGTATTTTTAAAAATCATACATAGCTGTTGAATTTTATAAAATCTTTTTTTAAATTTGCATTTATTTATTGAGATAGCTATACTTTTCTCCTTTTAAGAAAATTAATGTGGTAAATTATGTTGACTGATTTTTCAAATGTTAAACCACTTTTGCACACACAAAAAAGTCACCCACTTGGTAGTAATATACGGTTCTTTTAATATACTGAGAGTTGCTTTTCTGTATATTGTGATGTCTTTGTCAGGTTTTGGCATCAAGGTGAGGATGAACTTTTAGAGTCTGGAAGTATTCTCTTTTTTTATTTACTGGAAGAATTTGCTTAAGATTGGGGTAATGTGTTCCTTAAATGTTTGAAAGGATTCACTGGTGAGGCTTTACATTTTCCTTGTGGAAATGTCTTAAATAACTGATTCAATTTCCACTAGTAGATGGGGACTCTCCAGATTTTTTGTCAGTTTATTTTGTCCTTAATTTTGTTCTTATTCAAATTTTCAAATTGGTGTTAAGTTGTTCATTATATCATCATATCTTTCAATGTTTGTAGAGTCTCTAGTAATATTTTTTTCATTCCTGATGTTATTTTTCCTCTTCTTTGATTGATTAGTTTTACTGGGGGTTTATCAATTTTCTTAACCTTTTCAAAGAGTCAGTCCTTAGCTTTATTATTTTTCTTTAATTTTGTTTTGTTTTACTGGTTTCCGGGTTTCACCATGTTGGCCAGGTTGGTCTCGAACTCCTGACCTCAGGTGATCCACCCACCTCGGCCTCCCAAAGAGCTGGTATTACAGGCGTGAGCCACCACGCCCAGCCTCTTCTTGCTTCTTAAGATAAAGTTTAATTGATTTTAACCTTTCAACCTTCCAAGACATGTAGTGAAGGCTAAGAATCTCTCTCCAGGCATTGCTTTAGCTGCAGCCAATTTTTGATATGGCACGTCTTCACTACTGTTCAGTTTGAAATATTTTCTAGTGTCTGTTATTTCTTCTTTGATCCACAGATCATTTAGAAGTGTGTTCTGTTTAATCTCCAGGCAGTTGAGGATTTTTCTAGTTATCTTTTGTTACTGATTTCCAGCATAATTTCCCTAAGGTCAGAGAGCATATTTTGAATAATTTCAACCCTCTGAAATGTTTTGAGGCTTTCTGTATGGCCTGCTTATTGTCAATTTTGGTAAAATTTAAATATGAGCTTAAATGAGATATGAATTTTGTCACGGTTGACAGTGTTCTCTGTATGTCAGTTAGGTTAAGTTTGTTAACTGTGGTCTTGATTTTATTTTTGTCTCTTCAGAGGTGTGTTAAAGCAACCCTTATGATTATGGACTTGTCCATTTTTCCTTTTAGCTGTCTATTTTTGCCTTATATATTTTGAAATGATCTTATTTTGAATTTTGAAATCTTCTTCGTGGATTGACTTCTTTATCATTATGGAATATCTCTCTTTATCTCCAGTAATCCTCCTTGACTTAAAATCTGTGTTATCTGACATTAGTATGGCTATACCAGTTTTTTCATTGGTTCCAAGGTGTATCCTTTTCAATCCTTGCACTTCCTGTGCACCTTTATTTAAGGCGTGTCTGTTCTAGACAGGATGTAGGTAGATTTTGTTTTTTTCCTAGTCCAACAACAGTAGGTTAGTACTCAGAATGTTTGGTCAATTTTCATTTAATGTGATTACTAATTTAAGCAGGTTTATATCTACCATCCTACTATTTACTTTCTATTTAACCCACTGTTTCATTTATCCTTTTTTCTTCAATCTTGCCTTTCTTTGAATTACCCTAGTATTCTATTTTCCCGTCTTTTAACTTCTTTTTGATGTTACAAAACACATCTTGATAAATTTAATACAAATTATTGCTTTTACCACTTTCTTGATAGTGCTAGAACTTTATAATACTTTAACTCCAGCTTTTTGCCTTTTCCATTATGGCTGTCATGCATTTTAATTCTGCATAAATTTTATACTTCTCAATATTAGTATTGTTTTGTAACAGTTGATGTTCATTATATTTACCTTTTCTAGAGGTCGTCATCCTTTTCTTTCTTTCTGTTTTTTTTTTTTTTTTTTTGAGTTTTGCTCTTGTTGCCCAGGCTGAAATGCAATGGCATGATCTTGGCTCACTGCAACCTCCACCTCCTGGGTTCAAGCGATTCTCCTGCCTCAGCCTCCCAAGTAGCTGGGATTACAGGCATGCACCATCACGCCCAGCTAATTTTGCATTCATCCTTTTCTTCATTTCTGTATTTCCATCTGGGATTACTTTCCTTCTATCTAATGACCTCCCATCAGAATTTCAATTAATGTAAGGCTGTTGGTAACTAATTCTCCTTTCTGTCTGAAAACATCTGTATTTCACCTAAATTTCTGAAGGATATTTTTACTCTAGATAGAATTCTTTTCCCCCCCAGCACTCTAGAGAGGTCTCCTAGGTAATGGGGTTTAAATGCCTCCTTGCTGACATTCATAACAGTGACATAATAAAAATACTGCAATTGCTTAATGCAGTGATTTTAGATTTTCAGCACCTAGAAACATCTCTTTCATTTTAAATTCAAAGGCATAGACTCAGGCTCAGAACTTGAAAGATTGTACAGACCATCTATCTCAATTTCCTACCTAATAATAATCCTGGTAGATGGTTACTTAGTTTTTGACTTAACGCTTCCCAGTTTTGAGGGAATTCACCAAATCAGAAGATAATGTATCTAAAAACAGTCCTAATCATAAATGGCTTCCTTCTAGAATACTAAGGTTAAACCTGCCAACCTTTACCTCCTTCTGTCCAAAGGAGCAAGGAAGCCGGGAATCCTTGTTTTCACTTACACTATTTGTCCTCAGGTTTCCATGGTAAGCATCCCTTTCTCTACGCTTCCCAACTCCACATTCACAGTGAGTCACTAATCCCTGTCAATTGCGCTTCTAAAAATAAACTGGAATTTAGGTCATCATCCCCACAGAGGGTGGCTTAATGAAGGACCTATTTCTCACGTGGATTGCTGACCCTTTTCCTGATTATGAGCAGAAGCTAAGTGATCTCCTTCAAGCTCTATTCCATATGCTTATGTCTTCAACAGCTCTCCATCACAGCACTGTTTTCTAAACTGTTCTTCTGGGACAGAGGGTGGAGGGGTGGACTTGTTAATTCTGTCATCTGCTGTGTTGTTCTCTCATTAACAAAATTTAACCTACAAAACTCACTGCAACCCAGAACTTCAGCAATTTTAGACACAAAGGTTTTAATTAAATGAATAAACTTTTATACATACACACTAAAAGTTACATTGGAGTTGGGATGTGATAACCCTTAACTTCAATTTCCTTGCAACTAGAATGAAAAAATACAGTCTGAAAGTATATGATTTATAGCAGCTCTGACCTAAAAATGAAGATGAAGGAATTTAGAAGTGATACAGAATTTATAATAAAGACACCTGAGTTGAAGTCTTACCACCCTTTCTTATTAAGTATATGACCTATAGTAAGTTATTTAACTTCTTTGAAGTCTATTTGCTTGTCTGAAAAAGGCAGTTAAGAATACCTGCTGCATTAGTCGGGGTTCTCTAGAGGGACAGAACTAATAGGATATTAGGGAGTTCATTAAGTATTAACTTACACAATCACAGGGTCCCACAATAGGATGTCTGCAAGCTGAGGAGCAAGGAGAGCCAATCTGAGTCTCAAAACTGAAGAACTTGGAGTCTGATGTTCGAGAGCAGGAAGCATCCCGCACGGGACAAAGATGTAGGCTGGGAGGCTAGGCCAATCTCTCCTTTTCACATTTTTCTGCCTGCTTTTATTTGCTGGCAGCTGATTAGATGGTGTCCACTCAGATTAAGGGTGGGTCTGCCTTTTCCAGCCCACTGACTCAAATATTAATCTCCTTTGGCAACACCCTCACAGACACAGCCAGGATCAATATTTTGTATCCTTCAATCCAATCAAGTTGACACTCAGTATTAACCATCACAAGTCTACTGCTTGTCAACTTGAACCCATACACATCTCCTGAGATCATACATAATATTCAAATAAAGACAATAACAAGGTCATAATTACAATTCACATAATACAACTATCCTTCGTACAACCGGAAATGCACCAATCCCCAACCCAAACACTATTACATAAAGTTAACACTGCTTAAATGCTGATATGAAGTCAATAAATCTTCTGTCACATGATAAAGGGAAAGGTTTTTGTTTGTTTGTTTTTGAGACGGAGTCTCGCTCTGTCGCCCAGGCTGGAGTGCAGTGGCGCGATCTCGGCTCACTGCAAGCTCCGCCTCCCGGGTTCATGCCATTCTCCTGCCTCAGAATCCTGAGTAGCTGGGACTACAGGAGCCCGCCACCATGCCTGGCTAATTTTTTTGTATTTTCAGTAGAGATGGCGTTTCGCCGTGTTAGCCAGGATGGTCTTGATCTCCTGACCTGGTGATCCGCCCGCCTCAGCCTCCCAAACTGCTGGGATTATAGGTGGGAGCCACCACACCCAGCCAAAATAAAGATATTTTCTTAGTACAAGTGCATACATTCACAAACATGTTTTTAGCAAAAGAAGGAGGAAATACTCATGACAATTACAGCCTCCCTTCTACAGCTGGTCACATGGTCATAGCTGATGACTCTTTTTCTACTACCCATTCTGTATTCTCTTTGCTTTCAGCAAGCACCTCAGCAGGTTGTGTTTTTTTCCTGGTGGAGTGACCCAAACCGTCATTCCTGAGGGGTCTGAGCCATTTGTAGTCCTGCCTGGATTGGGCTGCTGTAGTTTCCTATTGACCTTAATCACAGAGCATGGTAATACTAATGGACGCCCTAATGGATCTCCTGTGTTCCATGCATACTCTTTCTTACTTCTGTTGTGGAGTAGTAGACTGATTTCATCTTGATAGTCCAGGTCAATCACCCCAGCCAACACTGCAACTCCTTTCTTAGCCTGTTGACTTAAAGGTAGGAGGAGCCCAAAGTGTCCAGTTGGCAATCTTAACTTCCAGTTTAATGAAATTGTTGTGTCTCCTGGTGGCAGCATTCCTCCCTCTGGAACTAAGACCTCTAGGCCAGCAGAACGTAATGTCGCGGGAAGAGGAAGCAAGAATTTTGCTAGTGGGTCACTAGGGGTGATGGTGAGTGGTGCCACTTGCACTTCCACCCCTTGATTCCTGGACCCGTGAATCGTGGCTATAGGAGAAAGAGTACCATATATTGGATGCTGATTCAGAGCACACACGGCCTTCTGGAGAACTTTGCCCCAGCCCTGCAAAGTATTGTCACCTAGTTGGCATTTTAATTGTGACTTCAAAAGGCCATTCCGTCATTCTATCAATCCAGCTACTTCAGGATGATGGGGAACATGATAAGACCAGTGAATTCCAGGAGCATGAGCCCACTGCCACTCTTCTTTAGCTGTAAAGTGAGTGCCTTGGTCAGAGGCAATGCTGTGTGGAATACCATGATGGTGGGTAAGGCATTCCACGAGTTCACAGATAGTTGTCTTGGCAGAGTACTGCATGCAGGATAGGCAAACCCATATCTGGAGTAGATGTCTATTCCAGTGAGGACAAACCTCTTTCCTTTCCATGATGGAAGAGGTCCAATATAATCAACCTGCCACCAGGTAGCTTGCTGATCACCCCAAGGAATGGGGCTGATCATCGAGGGCTCAGTGTTGGTCTCTGCTGCTGGCAAATTGGGCACTCAGTAGTGGCGTAGCCAGGTCAGCCTTGGTGAGTGGAAGTCCATGTTGCTGAGCCCATGCGTAACCTCCATCCCTGCCACCATGGCCACTTTGTTCATGGGTCTGTTGGGCGATGAGAGGGGTGGCTGGGGAAAGAGACTGAGTGGTATCCACAGAATGGGTCATTCTATCCACTTGATTATTAAAATCTGCCGTTGCTGAGGTCACCCGTTGGTGAGCACTCACATGGGATACAAATATCTTCACGGTTTTTGGCCACTCAGAGAGGTCCATCCACATTCCTCTTCCTCAAATATGTCACCAATTTTCCAATCATGCTTCTTCCACTGATTCAAATGTTAATGTAGTGACTTGATGACCCATAGTCAAATATTCAGTTTCCACCAAAGCCCAGTAACAGGCCAAGAGTTGTCTCTCAAATGGAGAGCAGTTATCTTCAGAAGATGGCAGGGCCTTGCTCCAAAATCCTAGAGGCCTCTGCTGTGATTCACCTATGGCAGCCTGCCAAAGGCTCCAAGAAGCATCCCTATCTGCCACTGACACCTCAAGTACCAGTGGATCTGCTGGATCATATGGCCCAAGTGGGACAGCAGCTTCCACAGCAGCCTGGACCTGTTGCAGATCCTTCTTCTGTTCTGGAACCCACTAAAAACTGGCAGCCTTTCAGGTCACTCGATAAATGGGCCAGAGTAATACACCCAAATGAGGAATGTGTTGCCTCTAAAATCCAAATAGGCCCACTAGGCATTGTGCCTTTTTCTTGGTTGTAGGAGGGGCCAAATGCAGCAACTTATCCTTCACCTTAGAAGGAATATCTCAACAGGCCCCACACCACTGGACCCCTAGAAATTTTACTGAGGTAGAAGTTCCCCGAATTTTAGTCAGATTTATTTCCCATTCTCTGGCACATAAATGTCCTACCAATAAATCCAGTGTGTTTGCTACTTCTTGCCCACTGGATCCAATCAGCATAATGTCATCAATGTAATGGGCCAGTGTGATATCTTGCGGAAGTGAAAAGAAATCTAGGTCTCTGTGAATAAGATTATGACACATAGCCGGAGAGTTGATATACCTCTGAGGAAAGACAGTAAAGGTATATTGCCAGCCTTGCCAGCTGAAGGCAAATTGCTTCTGGTGGGCCTTATGGACAGGAATGGAGAAAAAGGCATTTGCCAAGTCAATGGCTGCATACCAGGTACCAGGAGATGTGTTAATTTCCTCAAGCAATCAAACCACATCTGCTATAGCAACTGCAATTGAAGTCACCACTTCGTTAAGCTTACAATAATCCACTGTCATTCTCCAAGATCCATCTGTCTTCTGCACAGGCCAAATGAGAAAGTTGAACAGGGGTTTGGTGGGAATCACCACCCCTACATCTTTCAAGTTCTTGATGGCAGCACTAATCTCTGCAATCCTTCCAGGGATGCAATATTGTTTTTGATTTACTACTTTTCTAGGTAGAGGCGGCTGTAATGGCTTACATTTGGCCTTTCCCACCATAATATCCCTCATCCTACCAGTCAGGGAGCCAACACGGGGGTTCTGCCAGCTGCTAAATGTCTATGCCAATTGTGCATTCTGGCACTGGGGAAATGACCACAGGATGAGTCTGGGGACCCACTGGACCCACTGTAAGTCGGACCTGAGCTAAAATTCCACCTGATCTCCATAAGCCCCTACTTTAACTGGAGGACCACATGACGTTTTTGGGTCCCCTGGAATCAATGTCAGCTCAGAGCCAGTGTCCAGTAGTCCCCGAAATGTCTGATCCTTTCCTTTTCCCCAATGCACTGTTACCCTGGTAAAAGGCCAGAGATCTCTTTGGGGAAGGATGGGAGAAAGATTCACTGCATAAATTGTCAGTAATGTGGTGTCCTTCCTCAAGGGGTTCTGGCTTCCCCTTCATTCAAGGGGTTCTGGGTCTGTGAGCTGGCTCAAGTCTGGAAATTGATTGAGTGGCCATGATTCTCTGTTTTTATAATTCAAATTAGTCTTTTGTCCATTCAACCTAGAAATTTCCTGCTTGTATAAATTAAGTAGGAATGCAGTAGGCCTCCTATCCATTTCATTTCTAGGAACACCATGATTAATTAGCCAAGGCCAGAGCTCTAGACACATCAGACTATTCTGATTGTCGCTTTGCCTCTGCTATCCGTTATGGTAACTACGCCCACCTTGCCTTTGATGGTTGAGTGTCACCACTTGGCCCCCGCTACCTCGGGATCCAATTATTCCCATTGTATTTAAATTTTGTAGTTGAGTGACTGCAGTTCCCATCATTAGATCTGACACACAGAGAAGAGCAATTACAGCAATTACAGGGCTCTTCAAAGATGCAGGTGCTGCCCTTACAAATCTATTCCACAACTCAGTGTCCCTAGTTTCATCAGGGGGATCTGGCAGTCCCACATGTCCCCATTCCAAGTTTCAGGGTCCCATTCTTTTCCAGTAGATGCCCTCACTTTAACAGTAAACACCTGGTGCATGCATCTTTTGTTACAAGTCAGCCACTCACATGATAAGAGCTTGTGTTTGTTTTTCCACAATTTCAGCTCTTTCTGTTCAGGAGATAAGATTCTCACTCAGGGCAGTCTTAGCAGATTTGAGGCTATCTGTTTCTGAAGCTGGGAGACAGAATCCCTGAGTTCATAATTTTCTTTCATCACTTTGTCCACTGAACATAGGAACAACCAACCAGCTTCATTATGTTCCTTGGTTCTCCACATATGGTGAAAGGTATTATGCATAGAGTCACTAAACTTGACTCTCACGAGTAATGAATCAGGAGGGTCAAATGCATTTATTTTGCATAACTCTCTAAACAGTTCACACCAAGGACTATCAGTGTTCTCCATACTATTAGAAGTAGAGTCCTTAGCATTTTGGGTTCTAATCATATTAAGCAGCCAACTCCAGAAACCCCAAACCAATGAAAGAACTCCATCCTTAATATTCTGTTCCTCTAGAACCACTCCCAATACCAAAATCTGTATTAGTCAGGGTTCTCTAGAGGGACAGAATAGGACACGCACACACACACACACACACACACAAATATATGGAGAGTTTATTAAGTATGAACTTACACAAACACAAGGTCCCACAATAGGATGTCTGCAGGCTGAGGAGGAAGGAGAGCCAGTCCAAGTCCCAAAACTGAAGAACCTGGAGTCCAATTTTCAAGGGCAGGAAGCATCCAGCATGGGACAAAGATGTAGGCTGGGAGGCTAGGCCAGTCTATCTTTTTCATTTTTCTGCCTGCTTTATTTTCGCTGGCAGCTGATTAGATGGTGTCCACTCAGATTAAGGGTGGGTCTGCCTTTCCCCAGCCCACTGAGTCCAATGTTAACCTCCTTTGGCAACACCCTCACAGACACACCCAGGATCAATACTTTGTAACCTTCAATCTAATAAAGTTGACAGTATTAACCATCACACCTGCCTAAGTAAAGATTAAATGAGATGATCATCACAACGCATATTTGTTGCTGTTGTTGTTTAAAAAAGTGAATGGAGGGCCAGGTGTCGTGACTCACACCTGTAATCCCAGCACTTTGGGAGGCCGAGGCAGGCAGCCCACTCAAAGTGAGTAGTTCGAGACCAACCTGGCCAACATGGTGAAACCTTGTCTCTACTAAAAATACAAAAATTAGTGGGTGTGGTTGCGTTCACCTGTAATCCCAGGTACTCGGGAGGCTGAGGCAAGAGAATCGCTTGAACCGGGAAGGCAGAGGTTGCAGTGAGCCGAGATAGCGCAACTGCACTCCAGCCTGGGTGACACAGCAAGACTTCGTGTCAAGAACAAAAAACAAAAAACAAACAAAAAAAGTGAATGAAGGGAAAAATAGATTAAGTTTTCAATGTAACATTGTTCATAGTAGGAAGAAAACCTGAAAGCAACCTAAATGCCCATCAACAGTGGGATTAATACATTGTAGTATAAACCCAGTAAAATACTTTAGTTTTTTAAAAAATGAAAATAAACTATAGTTACAATTGTATAGGTAGCTTTTTTTGTTTTAAAGCCAAGGAAGGATTAACATAAAATTCAAGATAGTGGTTACACCTGCTGTGAGAAGTGACAGGCATGTGATCAGGAAGGGGCATCCTGGTGGTTCCTTAACATCCTGATGAGGGTGTTGGGGCAAATGGGAATTCGTTTTATAATCATTCTTTAAATGATACATATATATGTACACACTGCTGCATTTATGACTCAGTTTTAAAACAAAAAAATCATTTAAAACTCTCATTGAATCTTAATCATGAGACTTATGTATCTATACTTGGAGATGGAGAATATGTAGACCTTGGTTCACCGTCCTAGTCTCCTGTGTTGAATCACAACACATTCTACTCATTTTTTGGCAACTACTAGATGAACTCTTACAACTTTGATTAAAATAATTGATACAGAAGATTTATTTTGCTGGCAGTAGATCTCAAAAAGCAAATTTCTGGTATAAAATGATCTACAGAGAATTTGGCAGATGGCAACTACTGTGTGTCAGGTCTGTGTCTACAACTGTAAATAAGATCTTGCCATTCTTATAGTCAGGCTGTGTTATAGTCATCCCGATCTTTTTTTTTTTTTTTTTTTTTTGAGACAGAGTCTCACTCTGTCACCCAGGCTGGAGTGCAGTGGTGTGATCTCGGCTCACTGCAACCTCTGCCTCCCAAGTTCAAGCAATTCTCCTGCCTCAGCCTCCTGAATAGCTGGGATTACAGGCACACACTACTACGCCTGGCTAATTTTTGTATATTTAGTAGAGACGGGGTTTCACCATGTTGGTCAGGCTGGTCTTGAACTCCTGACCTCGTGATCCACCCGCCTTGACCTCCCAAAGTGCTGGGATTACAGGCATGAACCACTATGCCCGGCCTGATTTTTAAATTTCAGTGCTGTATTCACTTATCAATGAGCAATGCCTCATTGGTAACGGTCACTATTCATCTCATTTCCAGTACTGTCAACACTATAAAAGGAAGACTTACAATATCCTGTAACGAATGGGCATGACTGCATCCAGAAATCTGAGACAGGTTTTCATGTCATGTACAGCTTTTTGTTAATTGTTTAAAGCTGAAGATGAACTCAAATAAAACTTGTAACTCAGAAGCATAGCCAATTAGTCGTTTAATCTATTTTCTGAACTGCATGCTTATTTTATGGATGCAGAGTAGATTGGTTGAGTGTGAGGACACTTAAAAATAGCATGATACAGTTATTGTAGGAAGTATTAATATTTAAAAATTGTTACAGCCAAGACCAAAAAGTGAGAACCACAATTCAATATTTTCTATAAATTTCATAAATGTCTATGTTTAAACATTCCTGGTAAATATGTATAATCGTACACTTTTAAACTTTCTCTGATAAATTCAGTGAGTATTCAATAATTGCTCATTATCAAAAGGTTGTGAATTTGTCTCTCTTCCAGCCAGATGACAGGAGCCTAGGATTCCAATGGTGTGCTCAGGACTGACATCACTGGGGTCAAAGATTCAGCTGCCATGGTCCAGGCTCCAGGCTGGGGAGGATGTTAGGGATTGGTGTGGTCAGGACCAGCGCTGCTATGACTGCGGATTTATTTGGCATATTTGGGACTGGGTGTGATGAGACAGCAGCTGGCATGTCAAGAGGTTGAGGGAGGGAGGAAGAATGAACAAATTATTTAGGATTATGGGAGTCAGGTTTCTATGAGAGAAGGAAGTTACAAAGATGGAAAGGGAGACTAGATTAACCTCAAAGGATTGAATTGAAGGTGTCAATGTGAACTCAAAGTTTTCAATACGTATGTATATAAATAGATATAGAAGTAGGTGACTATTCTTGAATGTGTGTAGACACACGTTTTCCTTTGAGCTGTTCACCAATAAGACAGTGAGCCTTTCTCAGGTCTTCATTTCCATATACCATTTCCCATTTAAAGAAACCAGGGCTCCTTGGAAAAAAGGGCTAATTCTAGACTTGGGGTAGGGAGTAGGAAAAAGTGTAAGATGAGCTCGTAAAAAAAATAAGAGGGGAAAAAGCAATGAGGCATCTCTAAGGAACACAGAAGCCAGCTTGAAGAGACTCCCAAAAACCAAATCGGGGAAAATTTCAGCATGAAAATAAGTGACAATAATACACTGTCACTGAATAAAGCAGGCATTCATGAATCTATACTGATTTAAGTGAATGAAGGAATAGAGAAGGAAGAGCTCTTCCTTACAGTAGTAGGATGCCAACCAAGGCAGAAGCCACGGACTCACCATTTGACAACCAAAATAGTAATTGGTTCAGTCAAGAATTGTCAATAGACTAGCCCGTGACAATTCGATGAGAAACAATACATTTACAATCTTTAAGAATCTCCTCACAAATTACTTCCTAATTCTAATTTTACAATGGAGAAACCTGGTATATACTATCTGAACCAAGTGACCAAAATTAATACTATCAGGTATAAGACAAATTGACATTGTGTGCATCCTGGCATGACACATTTGAGTATAGAGCATCATTTCTGTAGTATTGGACAAAAATGTCTATCCTAAACCTTATGGGTCTTATCTAATGATAAACCAAAACTGAGGAACTTTCTACAAACTGGCCAATCCTCCTCAAGTGTCAAGGTCAAAGACAAGTCTGAAAAGATGTTCTGGACTGAATGAAACAAGAGATAGGGCAACTAAATGCACTATGTGGTCCTGGATTGGGATGCTGAAACACAGGAACATTACTGAGGCAATCAAAATCAGCAGATTGAATGTGGTCTATGGATTAGATATCATGATGTCAATGTCAATCTCCTAAGTTTGATGGTTGTACTATGGTTACGTAGGAATGCCCTTGTCTTAAGGAAACACACAGTAGATAGAGGTAATAATGCAAAAAATATTTTGGTTGGGATTACATTGAATCTACAAATGTAAATGAACATCTTTACACGACTGAGTCTTCTAATTCGTGTACATTATGGAGTACTACATTTATTTAAGATCTCCTTAAATGCTTCCTGACATGGTCTAACATTTTCTCCATCAAGATCTTGTACATCTTTTGTTAGACTTATTCTTAGGTAGAGTATTTTGTATTTTTTAATGATATTGAAGAGATCTTTCTAAAAACTTCCATTTCTGTTAGTTGCTGATATCTAGGAATACAACTGACTTACATACTGATTGTGAATGTAGCAAATTTGCTAACTCCTAGATGTTAACTGAATAGTCTACATATATAATCATATCAACACATCACCATAATTTCCTGCCTGTAGGAAAGAAAAACCCACAGAATTCCACTGACTATAAGTTATTTAACAATATACAATGGTTGTCATTTAGAGAGATGTTTCCAGTTGTATAAATACTGTAACACAACGATAGCTGGGAATAGTGTAGCCATAGTACCATCTTTAAATCACCCAAATAACTGAGGTACAATTCTATCTGCTTGTGAGTTCACTAGGCAACAAGTCTCAGGGATCATATAGTCTTTGTCTCTGTATCAAAACAAATACACTGCCTAAGGTACACTAAAAGTAATTTAACATACTGTACTCATAAATTCTAACTAAGTTCTCTGTAGGTAAAACATGGCTAGGGAAGTTATGATCAACCCTTCAGAAATGACTTCTTCTGAGTCGTTTGGACAATACGCATCATCTTGGACAATACGCCTCCCACAAGGCTTCCTGGTGTTCTGGCAGCACTAACAGGGCTCCTGCTGTTGCCCTTTCCTTTTGGTCACGTATCTTTCCATGTTGCAAAAAACAACTTCTGGATAAATGATTTCCACCACACTATTAGATAGCACAACACAGTGCACACTGTGGATCCTCTAGAAATAGCAACCTCTTCTCAAGAGATACTTGCCTCAGGGCCCCAGGAAACTAGAAAGCATCTAGAGGCTTAAGGCTCTACGCTGGACAAAGTGCCAGGGAGCCCTAAAGGCAGAAAGGACCCAAAAGTGAAATTCTCATTTTTAAGCTGTGAGGGAAAACAGAGAAATGAGTTTATTACATGATATAACCTTTGGGTGGGCTCCATATATTAAAAGAGAACTGAAGAAGTTTAAAAGTACATTTTCTAAGTTTTAGTATAGGATGATGATAATGTTCTGGAGATGAATAGGTGCTCATGGTTGCAAAACAATGTGAATATACTTAATGCCACTGAACTATATGCTTAAAAATGGTTCAAACAATATACTTAAAAATGGTAAATGTTATGTGTATTTTACCACAATAAAAATTTTTTAAAGTTGCATTTTCTATTGTTAAAAACTACCAGATATTATTTAGTAATCACAGTCATTAAGAGCACTAACCATCAAAATCTGACAGCCCTATGTTTGAGATTTGACTCCACCTGTTACACCTGTGGAACACTGAAGCAAGTCATTTAACTAAGCCTTAGTTTCCTTATCTGTAACACAGAAATAATAACATGCTTACCCACCCATTATAGGTTGCTGTGAACTTGAAATAAAATAATCTATGTAGCACCTTGGCAAAGTTCCTGGCACACAGAGAAGGCTCAATACACATGGGCTCTAATTTTCTTTTTAGGTATTCATAGCAATATGATTATTTTATATTTTGTACAATGAGGACTAAAAACAAGCCTTCAGAAAAAAAAGGGCTGGTTATTGCTCCCTAGACCTTTACATCACATAGAACTATAAAACAGGTTTCCATAAAATTCATTCCACATTGTAGTCAACGGATGTATGATCCTAGGTGTTGACTTCTAAGCCAATGGTTAATAACCTTAAACTCTCATACTGTAATAGGCAACAACTGAAAAGAAGCCACGGGAACATGAAATAATTTAACAAGTTGATATATATATATATATATATTATCAAGTATAACACAGTCATACAAAAACATTTAGTAGAAATATAATTCACACATAAAAACAGTCTACTTATTTTTTGTCCCTTTTATATCCTATTTTAGGCAAAATGATAAAACCCAGAAAATAACAGGAATGTACTAGTCCTAAAAACTGGACCTTTTATAAATGAAACAGATCCGATCACCTATACCTTCTCTCAAATTCCAAATAATGAGGCTTACTGACCTGTACTCTCAGAATCAACTTAAATAAATTTTAGCTTGATTTGGATGAAATATGTACTTTCAGTTGTTGACAATCCAGGTAGAACAAGTACATAAAATGATTCCTAAGTCAAAACATTTCATACAAAAGGAATGGTTTTAACCCAGACAAATCAAGAGGAAATGCACTGAATTCAAAAACTTCTGAAACAGGCATTTTTTGGACCATTTATAAAATACTAAAAAGTTCAGAACTGCTGAAAAACAAAAGTTTATATAAAATAAAGCCAAGGGGTGAAAAACTATCAAATGTATTAAAACCATCTAAAGCCAAATATAATATAACTGAATATATAATTTAGAAACAGGTTTAAGTGCATTTTCTTTGTACAACTGACTATCACATGTAAAAACTGGCAATTAATTAAAATGCAATTAAATACAGATTTGCAAGCCTTCTGGCCATTATGTAAACATTTAAAAATTAACTGAATTGCCAATTGAAAAATAAGAGCTTACATACGTATCTTAAAAAAGCACAAATGGTGAAAGATGCACTATAAAATTGTGTGACAAAACATATGCATACCAACAAAGATCTTTTTAGGCACTTGCATTCAGAAACATTCCTTTTATAAATAAGCACTTATAACAGTTCCACTCCAAAAAATAAACCTGATTTTCCCAAATTGCACCTATTAGTTGAGACTATATCATATATTAGGGATGCATTCAAATGGACCATTTGGTGGGGAAAGTCAACTGAACTTTAAAAAATACGAATCCACCTATCTTATTCACAACTTTAAAAATACAGAATTTAAAGATAATTCCAGTGAGGCACAAATGTGACCCTATCAAAACATTCTACCATTCAGTATTACCAACAGAGGATAAATACAACAACAAAAGGCAAAACCCATGATTTGGCAGTCCTATACAAAAGAGGCCCTGTCAAAACATTCTTTCACAAAACAAGCACAATACCACAAAATAACACAACAACAACAAAAAAACCCTGAAATTTGACATCCCTACACAAATTGTGGAATTTCACCTTCGAGGTCTTCAAACTGTTGCATTCGTTTTAGCCTTGGTCTCTGACACATTGGATTCACATCAGGCAAGCCAAGCTCCTCAGAGTCTTCTTTAGGTTGACCAGTTGCTTGCCCAGGACAAGCTGATGCTTTGTCTGGGTCTGGCATTGACTTCACCACGAGACCGTGGGGATCGTGATCTGTGCCAGGAGGCACTGCTGCTGAGGGTGAAGCTGGCTTCTCCTCATTCCCCCTGATACTGATGATGGGAGCATGTGGTTTATAAAATGTTGTCCAATGTTGAGGCTGCAGTGTTCTGGGTGCTCTGACAGGAGCGAGAGGGTAGGAATCTGAAGACCGTCTCTCAGATGCCTCTCTCACTGACCTGACTGGCTCTGCATATGGCTTACTGGGTTGAGTGGCATTGATAGAATGGTCCCCACTAATCTGGAGGCTTGTTGTCACTCCTTTTTCCTGGAGTGCACTGGGCATGATCATTGTAGTCTTGGCAGTTAGGCTGTTTTGTTCATACTGTTTGTCCTGAATTTTCTGTAGAGTTTGCTGGTCAAAGCCATTAAATTTGGAACAAACAGTAGTAGCAGCGTCTTTTCTATTAACTCCTTCAAAGGCAGGATTCTTGCAAAACTTGTCTAAATTTACATTTCCCATATTTCTGCCATTTCTCTCATTAGGAGGACTTGCAAGAAGTAGTCTATCTACAGGCAAACTTACAGGTCTAATCTTGGTCCTTGGAGTATGCCTCTCCACATTGTTTGTTGACCTATCAGATTTCAGAGAAAGTGGCTTAGGGGTTTTACCATCTTCTATCTTTTGGGATGCTGATTCAGCCTCTTGGTCTAGAAGCAACTGTGCTTTGTCTGAAAATGAAAGAAATCTATTTAAGTTTGTGGCACATGGTTAATAAGAGAGTTTGAATGAGTTAGAGATGAACACTCTATCAAGACAATATGAGTCTTACATATTTTTTCCAAAATAATATTCTCAGTTACCTATGTGGAGGAGTTAAACATTTGCACAGTATTAAAGGTGTATATTGAATTTAAAAGTTCAAATTTTTTACTCATTTAAATCAACATGAACAGCTACAAAACACAAAAAAAACACTTGCTGAGTAACTTCTTTTTAAGTGCTGTGCATGAACAAGTACTTTCTGGGTCAAAAGACTATCACAATTTCAATAGGCAGACATTGGAAAATTAACCTCAGAAAAGTGACACTAATTTACACACCAACCAGATGTAAGTGTGCCCTGAATCCCAAGGATTTTGCCAACTCACTCAATCTGCTTTTCAGTTACACTCAACCCAGTGAGAGCATATGATATTAGATGCCTTAGATGCTCTCCATATCTGATCAACTAATAAAGCATAAAATCCATTCTGTCAAATGAAGGCTGAATGCTTTTAAGTTAAAAAGTGCCATTTTCCCCACCTGCTCCCGGATTTTCTTTCTATAGTCCGAACCCACAGTCCATGTTTTCTCACTTAGAAGCCTCAGTTCCTGCATCTATCCTAAAAAATTCCAATTCCAGGAATGTTCCAGCCCTCCATTCTCCTGCTTTTCTGTTCACTGCTGAAACACATCCACCAACTCTGTGCCTTGACGCCATCCTGACTTTAAGCTACAGTCGGCCCCAAGCACAGCATGCAATCCTTTCTCTGCCACCCAGTCCTTCACCCACATCTCTTAGGCAGTGGTTTGCAGACAGGTGCCCACCAGAGTCACTTTTTGGTCATCGTCTCATCTGAACTTCTTCCACACCTGGGACTGCTGGCCTCTCTTCCCTGGGTTCCAAGGCTCTTTTATTGTTTTGTTTTGTTTTTGTTTTTTGAGACAGAGTCTCACTCTGTCACCCAGGCTGGAGTGCAGTGGCATTATCTTGGCTCACTGCAACCTCTGCCTCCTGGGTTCAGGTGATTCTCTTGCCTCACCCTCCTGAGTAGCTGAGATTACAGGTGCCTGCTACCATGCCCAGATAATTTTTGTATTTTTAATAGAGACAGGGTTTCACCATGTTGGCCAGGCTGGTCCTGAACTCCTGGCTTCAAGATCCGCACACCTCAGACTCCCAAAGTGCCAGGATTACAGGTGTGAGCCACCACACCTGGCCCAAGGCTCTTTTGATTTGCTTTCCCAGGTCCTCCACACATTTATAGAGCATTCTAAGGGACCTGGTTCCTTGCAATTGGACTCTAGGCACCAACATATATTCTTAAATTTCTGAGGGAAAAACTTAGAGCATAATGGAGAAGAGCACAGACTCTGAAGCACAGTTGCCTGGGTCCTGGCTCAGCCCTGCCTGCCACTTCTGCACTGGGCTAGGCAATATCACTGTCCTATGTGTCTTCATCTGCGAAATAAGACTCCTATGTGTATCTATGTTGCTGTGTGATCTAAATGATCTACTAGGAAAAGTGCTTAAAATTATCTTGTATGTAATAAACACTGGAAAGTGACATTTATTATTATTACTGTTCCTAAGAGCTTCATGGGATAGCCACAAAGGTTAGGTTTAGTAATCAGAACTGGGTTCAAATGTATTAAGAGAACAACCTTTGGCATTACTTAGTCTCTTTCAGACGGTTAGTTATGGGTTGAATGAGGATAATGCTATTTACTTTATAGCACAGAACTATTATGAAGATCAAATAGAATCAAACAAATAAGCACAGTGCTTAGCACAGAACAGGCAGGTACCTGGTGAATGTTAGTTCCATTCCTTTTTTTTTTCTTTGAGATGGAGTTTCTCTTGTCACCCTGGCTGGAGTGCAATGGCACGTTCTCGCCTCACTGCAACCTCTGCTTCTCGGGTTCAAGTGATTCTCCTGCCTTAGCCTCCCGAGTAGCTGGGATTACAGGCGCCCACCACCACACCTGGCTAATTTTTTGTACTTTTAGTAGGCGGGGTTTCACCATGTTGGCCAAGCTGGTCTCAAACTCCTGACCTCAGGTGATCTGCCCGCCTTGGCCTCTCAAAGTGCTGGGATTACAGGCGTGAGCCACCATGCCCGGCCCTCCTTTCCTTTTTAGACCCTATGATCACTGATACTTGATTACACATTAAATTTAACATATATGGCTGCAATGTAAAAAACTGGAATTTAGCTATAACAATGTAGAAATGACAATACAAATGGAAGCTTTTCCACCAGCTTAACAACTAGCAATGACAGCAACTAATATTATAAAGAGAAAATAAGTGAATAAAATGATCGCAGTCAAGGAAAGAAAAAAGACATACACATCTCTGTGTTTAATAGGTTAAATGTAGGCCACAGGTAAAAAGCATGTCAAAAAAAAAGTAGGACTCTAAAGTTTTTGAATTTCAGGAGTCTAGTTGACTCTGTATGAGCAGTTAGCTCAATGCACTGAACTACGGAACTGGAAGATACTAACGAATATCACATTGCTCAACACATTTCTACCTTGATTTTAGCTGATGGCAAAACTCAAAAACAAAAACAAAATTCAGAAGGAACACAAAAAACATTATAAACTCCAAGATGTCTTATTATAAGAAAGACTTTTATGAAGAATGACATTCATTTAAATGCAAGATACACTAAAAGGCAACTTTCTCAATGGCTAGCCAAGATTTGTTAACTAATAAAGCTTCATTCTCTGGCTTCCCTCATTGCCCCTCACCTTGGTTTTAATCACGGTTCTACTGGTAAAATTTTAAGCCAGCAAACATATTTTTTTTTTACATGGCTACTCACCACTGAGACATGCATCACATTTTCCTAACGCATTTTGCTTGCGTTCTGATTCCTCAAATGATGTAGCTCGTTCAAAAATTTTGCTTTCACTCTCTGAAGTATGGATATCCTGTTGATGCAAGATAATTTTTAAAATGGAAGAAGTAAAACATAACCTCAAAATAAACAGTTCAAAGATCTTTAACTTATTAACATAAATATTACAAAGTTCTAATATAATTCTATAAAGGTCAAACTCACTTCCTTTGAAGAAAAAAATAGTGACTTCATGGAACGTTCAATGTCTCTTTCTTCTGGTGATAACAGAGGCTTTGGAAAACAGCCTTGATCAACAACACCTATGCTACACATAACATCTTGTGGTTGTAGGGACCCATCGAAGATCTTCTGTGAGTAAGTAATGAGAAACTCTACCAAGCGTGCTTGATTTGAATACTCTGCAAGGGAGGAGATGGTGATAGGAGCAGTTGTGGGCCTTGGCCTAATGAGACTTGGTCCAAATATCACCCCCAAGTTTTTGGAGTTCATCTTGTTTTCTTCTGCATGATCTACTACCCTGCAAAGTAGAACACATAAAGTTGTATGAGATTTTCCTATTAGAGTTCCTTGACTGTAGTTTACTATGGAATAGAGAGGGTGGAGGGAAAATGAGCTGCACAAAAATACTAGGGGGAAAAAGTCTAGGAAAAGGTTATATTTATTTGATTAAAATATTGACCACATGCCAAATAGAGTTTCACAGTTTCACAGTATTGGAATAAATTTCAAGTTAAGTAGAAGGAACTACTATAGTTTTACCAGCAGAAAGAAAAAATACCCCTAAAAACTGCTCCCATCTCAGTATATGGTATATCCTCCCAAGTCCTTATACTGGGAACTTAAACATCATTGTCAGGTGTCTCACTACCCATCTCCAAGTCTAGATGATTCTCCCTTCTGAAGATCTCAGTTCCAACACCATTCCCACTCCTCTGGCCTCACTTCAAGCTCTTACCACCTTTTATTTCTATGATTATTCAAGGAGATCTGAATTGTAATAAAGGCCTCCTCTCCAACTTAGTTTCCATATTGCTGCCAGAAATATCTAAAAGGCAAATCTGAGCCTGTCAAATTCCTAGCTCAAAATTCTTTAGTGGGTACTGAAGGAAGATGGTCAGCGCATGCAAGACTGCCAGGCATGCAAGACTTTATCAGGCCTCTACCTGGCTCAGTTTCTGCTACTGCTTGCTGTATTGCAGCCTAACCAATTCACTTATATTTCTCAGATGCACAATGAGCTCATGTCTCCATGTCTGTGACTTTGTGCCTGGAATGCTCTTCTGTGTAATTTTGCCCACCAAGATACAACTTGGTTCTGTAAGTCTGATTCAAGGGCTATCTCCTCTGATTTATGCCTGCACCACACAATCTTCCTCTGCATGCTGTGCATAGCTGTTAGAACAATGATGCTGTACTCTATTTGTCTGCAGATCTGTCCCCACAGCTGATGAGACCAACAGATGGCTGAAACCCTATGTTTTCATCCTTGTTTAGCCAGCCAGAGCCTGGCACACAGGAGGCATCTGAGGGAACTATGTTGGCTGCATGTACATATATCTTCAATGTCTCCCTTTCCCTTACACAGATTGGAAATGAAATGTTCATTTTAAAAGTAACACTGCAACAATATGAACACACTTAACACTTAAGAATGGCTAAGAAGTGCCAGGCGCGGTGGCTCACGCCTGTAATCCCAGCACTTTGGGAGGCTGAGGTGGGCGGATCATGAGGTCAGGAGTTCGAGACCAGTCTGGCCAATATGTTGAAACCCCATCTCTACTAAAAATACAAAAATTAGCTGGGCATGGTGGCATGCACCTGTACTCCCAGCTACTTGGGAGGCTGAGGCAGAAGAATTGCTTGAACCCAGGAGGCGAGGCTGCAGAGAGCCGAGATTGTGCTGCTGCACCCCAGCCTGGGTGACAGAGCGAGACTCTGTCTCAAAAAAAAAAAAAAAAAAAAAAAAAAGAATGGCTAAGAAAGTAAATTTTGTTATGTGGATTTTACCACAATTAAAAACAAAAAACAAATCAATTGCCCATTAATAAATGTTCTAGTTATATAAAATTCTTACCGCTTTAGATGTACTATAAGGAAATGAAGACTGTTAAAATTTGATGCTGGCAATTGTCTTAGAAGGTCTTTGCTTTTTAGAAGAATTCGGTTTATTTCTATACACATATTTGGCCATTTTTTGTCTTCAAGACTATTCTTTTTTGTCTCTTGTTCTTCATTTACATGTTGGATCTCTTTTGCAAGGTCTATAAATTCCTTGTACAATCGAAATAAAATAAATGGTTCTGGGAGCTAAAGAAATAAAATTACATTGGGGTAAGCATTCTATTTTTTTCTGTTAATAATCAACTATTACTAACAGTTACAGAGTGATTTAGCATGTCCCTTTACATTAAGAATATTTAAAGTCAATCCACATTTAGTAATGTAAATGTTTGCTACAGATGTGGTCTATAAAGTAAACCTAGAATCATCATCATAAATTGTTATCTGTATTAAAAACAACTTAACTGATAATCAGTAAAACTAAACCTAAAGCTGCATGATGGAATTTTACAAGTCTGGTATATATCCTATAGCAATCACATTCACGACTCCCCCAAAGTTAGTATGATCTTCAACTCTTTTATTGAAATAAAACCCAGGATAATGCACAAAATAAGTCAAATTAGTTAAAAAGGTGAATAAACTGAATTTTCTTGATATGAGAGAAACAGCAAGAAGACACTGTTAACATTTTATTTATCTAATTTTTTAATACACCTTGAATTGCCATAAATAGGTCAAAAGAAAAAGTACCTTCTCAAACTAACAAAGGGCATGCCATTTTGATCTGCCCAGTGTCATAATGAATTTCAATGTTTCCGCTTGCTCTGTGATGAAACACAGGGTACCTCTGACTACTACCTGATGTCCTATTTTATCTGTGGTGAGTCAGAAGGTAGGTGCCCCTTTCTCTGGTTTCCTCTGCTGGTCCTAGAGAGGGGTAGCCTTGAGATCAATTTCTACCTACACCACTCTGGGATCTGAAGGAAGTCACTTAACCTCTTGGAGCTGCAGATTTCCTGCACAATAAATGAGTAGCATGAAGTCTACTCTCTAACATTGTTTTAAGAATGGAACATGGTTTCCCACATGAAAGTCTCGGTCACATAATATTCCTGAGACAGAATGAGAGCTGATAGTATTGGACCCTATTCATTTCCTCTCCTTGCCTGGCTAGAAGAAATAAAGGATGATTCATTATGAGATTTATAGTCATTCAAAGGTATTTGGCCTCCATTTTTCAGCTGAGAGTCCTGTAAAATGTGATTAAAGATATACCAGTAGTTTCCTGGGCTAACATGGTAAATCCAACAATTATACCCAATTTCTTTTCCTGCAATCCCACTAAAATACAGTAAGCCCACAGGACTGAGAGAATAGGAGAGGAGACAAAAGCATTACTTCATAAGCTGAAGAGTTGAAGAGCAAATGAACAAGTACTGACTTAGCAGCTCTGATAAAGCTGAAATCTCAAACTGTGAACCAACATGACTGACAGAATCCTAAGGAGACTCAGGGACTGTCAGCACTAGGTCTTCTGATTCTGCTGGAGCTATCTGAGAAGGCTTAGATCTGTAGATCCCTGTTGCCACTTCACGCTTCTGAGCAGCCTCTTCCCGAGAAGTCTCAAGGTTTCTTCTCCGGGCAGTATAAAACAGAGAGTCTCTGGATGGGCAATGTCAAACACAAAGGACAGACGGGCAACTATCTGAAAATGGGGATTTAGTGGACTACACATGCCATTCTAAATGTAGAGATCCTGTGGCCTTCTTAGCCTACTTGGCTCTTACAGGACTGGTACCACACTCTAGGCAAGGAAAGACCCTTCTCTGGAGTATCAAACTACCCCAAGAACAGAAACCTATAGAGATAGAGGCATCAAGTGTTTCCCGAACAGCCCACCTAGATCACCCTACTATAAAGCTCAAGGTCTTCGAAGACTTCTTGTGTTCAAGAGCTTCAAAAGAGATTCAGTTTTCAACTCTTTCATTTTAAGCAGACAGTCATGGAGACGGAAATCAAAATGAGTAGAAAACAACAACAACAACAACAACATAAAGGTTTAGGACTGTGCTATTAATATGGTGGCCACAAGCCACATGTGGCTACTGAGCACTGGAAATGTGGCTGGTCTAAACTGAGATGTACTTTAAATGAACAAAACATAGCAGATTTCAAAGACTCAGTAACAAAAAAAGGTAAAATTATTTCATTAATAATTTAAAAATACTGATTAAATGTTCAAATGATATTTTCAGTTTAAGTAAAATATTAAACTAATTTCACCTGTTTATATTTCTTTATGTGGCTACTAGAAAATTTAATACTGTATATGTGGCTCACATTATATTTCTATTGGACAAGGCTAGAGAATAAGCCAAGAATCCTTAAAAAAAAATTATAAATATCCTCAGATATGGCAGTCATTAAAAAAGGAAGAAAGCTGCAAAAAGAACAAAAACTACAATTCTGGGGAATTGAAACATGATACCAGGAATGAAATAGTTAATAGCAAGGAAGAAAGATAGAGCTGAGGAAATCTCTTAGAAAGTGTTGTAAGAAAACAAAAAAAAAGAAATGAATGATAGAGAAAAGATAAGGGAACTAGAGAACCTGTCCAGGTTGTCAAGTATCCAAATAAGAGTTCCAGATGGAAAGCACAGAGAAAATAAAGGGGAGGAAATGAGCAGCAAAATGGGAAGTTCCAAAAACTAAAGGACTAACCAGGATTGGCAGCGCTTATGGAGTGCCCTGAATAGTGGATAAAATACACCCACATCAAAACACATACTTATAAAATTTTAGGATAATGGGAAAAAAAGAAGATTCCACAAGCTTTCAGAGACAAAATCATAGGCCACATACAAGAAGTTAGAAATGAGAAGGA
The DNA here is from genome assembly GCF_000001405.40 of Homo sapiens. Lineage (NCBI taxonomy): Eukaryota > Metazoa > Chordata > Mammalia > Primates > Hominidae > Homo > Homo sapiens. Next base: position 94,182,599 of record NC_000001.11, read on the forward strand.
TTTCAGGCTTCAAAGAGAACAAAAAAAACACCTTTGAATTTCTGAAGAAAAATAATTTTCAGTCCAAAATATTAGAACCGTCCACACTATCAACACTTATGACATTTCCATTCAAGAGAGTAGAATATAAAGACATTCGTGGATAAATAAGGTTTTAAATATTTACTCCTATTCTACCTTGCTCAAGTATGGGCATGACCAAAACAGGAGAATAAAACAAAACAAAACAAAACAAAACAAAACAAAACAAAACAGGGAAGACATGACAGGCATTTCCTCATAAAAGAGGAGAAGGTGGAAAAGAGATACCCCAGGATGGCAGCTAGTTACCATATTTTTAAAAATCCAGTACAAAATTATAGCTAGATAAGGAGGAGTAAGTTCTGGTGTTTTATACCACTGTAAGATGACTGTAGTTAACAATAATATATTACATACTTTCAAATAACTAAAAGGAGGGTAATGAATGTTCCCAACACAAAGAAATGATGCTTGAGATGATGGATGGGCTAATTACCCTGATCTGATCATTATGCATTATATGTATCAAAACATCACTGTGTACTCTATAAATATGTACAGTTATTATATGTCAATTAAAAAAAATTTTTTTTTTTAAAAAGGATCCTGCTGGAAGCAACAGAACTGCAGAGATTGATATGTTGAGGACTATCATCACTATTCTCTCTGACATTATCTCTTCATTTTCACCCGAGGACAGAATAGCAGCTAAGCTTGGCTCAGGTCTTTTTTTGTACGTGTCTCATGACAATGTGCTGATTAAGTTCTTGCAATCCCTCCATAAGCTGCTGCTTGATGCTACTAGAGCCATTTATTTCATCCCACTGAGTAGGTCTTTGGACCTACTCCTGCAAACTACAGGTTTAACAGTGAGAAAAAAAAAAGAGCAGTCTACTCCCTGACCATATTCCTGCTAGAATGTGCAGTACCCAGCTTATAGGACAGTCCTTCCAGGTGCTCCAAATGTAGTACATTACATGTTCCCAGGACTCATTCATCATCTTGGCCACTAACCTATCACAATGGCTATTTTAAAATATCAACGAAGGCAAAGCCAGCCTATGATCCAGACACTGTTTTACTTACTTCATATAACTGTGTGGATACTGGGATTTCCTTACACAGCTAGATTTATGCTTTCAAGTCAATTTTCCAAAGCTTAACAATACATTGTTTAGGAATAAATAGCAAGTATTAAAACTATTAAGAGAAGAGAGAGAGTTATGATTATTAAAGACCTCCTTGGTGGAGTTAGGGGGATGTAACTTGGAAGAGGAACATGGGGGTTTTTTATAAGGTACGGTAATATTCTATTTTCTTAAGGTGGGTGATGGGAGATGAGTTTGTTTTTATTTTTCTTTAAATTGTACATGTATTTCATATACTCTGACCTATGCACTAATCATTAGCAAGATACCTATACCGTCTATGCCAATGAAAAAACATGTGTAGCAAATGTTATCAGCAAAATACAAATCATATTTTTGCTGTTTTTAATTTAATGGTGGGTTTCAAGGGTAAAAATTTTTACCTGCCGAAGGTATAATTTCAAGACGTCACAGATATCATGTGAACTAAATTCTGAAATATCTACCAAGTGCATTCCATTTTCCAAAGCTTGACACAATTTTTCAGTTTTTATTTTGTTTCCACACACACGATAAATTCCCTTCAATAGAAAAGAAAAAAATTTTGCAAAATTCTTCTTTAGTACAAATGGCTAAATGCAGATATCTACATATACTTGATTTTCAATCTTTTCACTCTATTTCAAATTTTATTATTATTTTAGAAAAAAACTATTCAAGGCCAAATGAAGTAACATTTCCTATAGAAATCTGAAAAAATTTAGTTATTAAAGACTGTTCATTGGCCAGGTGCCTGGGAGGTGGAGGCGGGAAGATCACCTGAGCCTAGAGTTCAAGACCAGCCTGGGCAACATAAGGAGACCACATCTCTACAGAAAAAAATTTTTTTTTTTTTAATTAGCCAGGCGTGGTAGCGCGTGCCTGTGGTCCCAGCTACTCAGGAGGCTGAAGTGGGAGGGTTGCTTGAGCCTGGGAGGTCAAGGCTGCAGTGAGCAGTGATCATGCCACTGTACTCCAGCCTGGGCAACAGAGTGAGACCGTGTCTCAGAAACAGAACAAAACAAAAAAAACCCCTGAGCATTATTTTCCTTTAAAGTCTCCTTTTCATTAGAATAGGTTACACAGGCATTTATGCTTTTTAAAATTTTAAGAGTTATAATGTACCTGTAGACACAAAGCTCTATTTTCAATCTCTGAGGCACATATTTTGAGTATAAAAGGGATACCATCTGGTTCCTTTTTTGCAACTTGTGTGAATTCTGCTCCAAATAAGTGTATTTTTCCTGGAAGTTTCTGATGACCACAAATAATGACTAAATTTTCCAAACACTTTCGATGACAAACAAGGAGACACTACAAGAAAATGATAGTTTGAAACTGGTTAACCTTAAAACTATTCACAACTGGGCAAACTGCAGGTGGAAGGTAACACAACAAAAATGAGTTTAAGAGGTATTACTTGCGCTATTTGAAACAGATTTAACAACAAAATAAAATATAAAATTATAGAAGGTGTACTGTAGTACAATTTATTAAACATATATTTGCAAAAGATCCTAAAAAGTAAAATTAAAAACAAAAAAGTATAAAACAAAAAGCATAAAAGGGTCAACACAATTCCACAAAGATCTTACCTCTTCACATTCAACACCTTGGAACACTACAATGCCTTCACAATCCCTACATTTCGTGGGGGATCTCAATTTGCGAAACTTGTGTGTGAGAGCTGCCTTTGACATCAATGTTTTCTTAAATGTTCCAAGGGAATTGGGTCCTTGCAAGAGAAATAATTTACAAAAATTGTAAAATGATAGAAAAATTATACCATGTGATATCATATTTTGAATAATCTTTAAACCCTGTAATCATTCATATATTATAAAAAGCTTTGAATCTCTAATATCAAAATAGCTAGTTAGCATCCAATTTATAGGTCTAATTTATAGATCTCTTAAAAGGCACATTTATGAAACATTTTAGCTATGAGTAAAAATCGTCACCAAGTCACTGCTATGAATAATAACATGACATAACGTTTTCAGAATCAGCATATTTACACTGTTATTAATATGCTCTTTCATAGAGCTGGGAAGTGTGTTCATAGGTGGCATTAGAAAAAGCCCCTCTAAACAAAGAAAAATAGCTGTATGAGGTTAGAGTGTGAGCATTATCTGCATTACAGATAAAGCTATCCTTAATTCACTATAAAATTATAGTTAATATTAGCTAATTACATATTAATATTATACTGGAGGTCACATATTCCATTAATTTAGGAAATGATGCCAAACCAGGTATCTGTAGGCATTAAACACAAAATGAATTTATATGAATCTAATTCAAGTCGTTAAGGTAACTGATTTAACTTTATCCTTCAACATCCACAACTTCCTTGTCCTCAAGAAGTACACTTACTTAGTTTTCTTGCATTGTTTCTTTTGAAGGAGCTTTTTAGAATTTCTTATGCACCACAACCCTTTTAACACTAAGTCACAGTATTAGGTTTATGAAAATGCACAATATCTAGCCTGTTATTTTAGCACCATGCCAATACATTTTACATCCAGTAGTTTTGCTGCCTATTCTTATATTTGTATTTGTAACATTTGATTAATACATTATCAACCCATACTTATATATAATTGTTGGGATATATTTAAGTCATGGTGAATTTTTTTTGTTTAATACACAAAAAAGTATTGATTCTTTAAAATTATACTATTTATCTAATATCATGCAGTGCTACTGATTGAGCTGGTTTAGTGGGACTTAATTCAGGTAAATACAATACCAGTTTCTGAAGGGGAAGGTGGCTCTCTTTCATCTAGATCATCTGCAGAGGACATAGTTCCACTGGATGGTGTTCGTGGAAGTTTTCGATGAAAGTCTCCTAGAAGAAAATTGTGGATACAATTACCTGACCATTCATTGTAGAATCTTTGAAATAGGAAATGACAACACTTTTGAAATAACACGTCATACTATTTTATTAGCTTCAATGTAAAAATTTGCTTCTATTCTCATACTCTGGGTAACAGGGAATTTTGATACTCATTCCTGGGAACAAAAAGAAATTTAACCAAATCTGACTTTCCCAAACAAATTTAAAACTGAGGCTCATGTAGTCCAATAACACTTTACTGCCAACTTCTGATGGTAAGTATTAGAGATTGTAAACTCCACAAGTATAGCTGATATTTTCCATTCATATCTAATACCTAATATGTGACAGAGTAGCTGGCACAACAGTAAAGTTGTCATTAATGTTTGCTGAATTAAGTTATAAATGTATACAATTAAACCAAAAGCTTTCTACAACATACAAAAATCTTTGAATATAACAACCCAACAGTAACATCACATTTATGTTACTGGCAAGACTGCCGACTGGGAACCAGGAACAACAGCCCAGAGATACTGGCAGGGAGCTGAGACCACAGGATACAAGCTATGTCAGCAAAGGACACTGCCATATGTATCAAAGCATGTTTGGAAGCAGCTCAACTGGGAATGAGGTTTATTTACTCCCTCTGCACAGGCCTATATCTAAGTGGAAGAATTCACCTTAACGTAAGGCCTTAAACGTTTCAAATTCAGAGTTAGAAAAGCCTTTATAAATGATTTTAAAGAACATCCTCTTCACCAAAGGATTTTTCTTCACAATATGCTTAAAGGTAGCTATCTAGTTTTCACTTTGAATGTGCCCCCAATGACTGATAAATCACAAGGTTGTATTACTCCATTTTATAACTATTCTAATTGTAAAATGCATTTCTTATATTACTGAACAGAAATCTGCCTCCCTATAAATCCCAGCCTTGGTCATATTTTTCCCAAATGGAGGAAACAAGCACTCTAACTTTAATCCCTTGTCACTTCCAGTATTTGAAGACAGCTGACAGGTCTCCAATTTTCCTTTTTCCCAGGCAAGGCATTCCCAGGTTTTCACCCATTTATCAGGTGATGTGGTTTCTAAAATTTTGCCTTTACCACATGAAGTCTTATGGGATCCTAAATAATTTGGGGCTTGCTCTAGATTGGGTCATAATTTCTGGAGCTACCTAGAACCAGTTTGTTGTTACAAAGCTAATTACAAATATTGAGCTCAATATTAGGCTCACATTTCCAGAATGTTCCTTGAACTGTGCTAGTTCTAAAGAAGGCAGCAAAGTGGCAGGTGATAATCAGCCTAAGAACCCAGTGCTGCGTGAAAATAGTTTCCTAAATTTAAATATAAGAGATTTATCTAAATGAGTACAACTTCAGCAATATGTAAAAGAAGAAAAAGGCCTTGGAATCTGAGATGGCTTAAATCCTGTAATCTATTAAGATCCTAGAAGAAAGAAACGTTGCCAGAAAGAATGGGCCTGAAGCAGTCTTTGGTAGAGGTGTAAAGACAGAATGTTGGATGTAAGAATCTCATGGGTTCAACTGCTACCTTCTTCTCCCGCTAGCTGTATAACCCAGGCAAGTTACTCTCTTAGAAGCCACTAAGGGAGAATTCAAATCGCTTACTCTATTTCTCTCTGGGGATCATGAGATAATCTATATTAAAGTATCTTAAAGCACATTTGTAAAAAATTAACAAGAATAAGTAATTGCAGGCACAGAAATACCAAAATAACATTGTTTACTATAGCAATTAAGTACCAAACAATCCAAAATATGACAATTATATTCACAGAATATACAGCAGTGAAAATAAAGGTGGCTACCTACATTCACATAGATCTTAAAAAAAAACACACATAAATGAAATCACAATAGCGTAATTCAATTTGTATAACATTCAGAAGAGAGCAAAACTTCACCAGATATAGGTACTAGAAACATTTAAAATAGCTAGAGAATGTTTTTAAAACATTTCAGGATAATGGTTTATTCTGGTGGGAGATAGGGCAATGTTACCAAGGAGGTGTACACAGGGCGCTTCTAATATACTGATAATCGTCTATTCTTAGCCTGGGTGGCGAATATATGAGGGGTTTTTAAAAACTATTTTTTAAATTGTACACTTTCCTCTCTATTATGTGTGAAAGTTCACTATAAAAACAAGGTAGTTAAAAAATACCTAAAAAAGGACTGATCTTTCAATGAGTTTTCATTGCCAGACTTAAATATAGATGTACCTGGACTTATAGATTCTGAATCCAGAGATCTAGATTCGCTGCTCCCTCCAGTGCTCTCAGAATCACTAAACATCCCAAATGTCCATGATCTTATAAAGGAAGGACCTTTAATAAAAAGAATAAAGTCAAAACTTGGCTACAGGTAGATTTCATAAGGTAAAATACTGACATTCTATCAAGTGAGACAATTCAAATTTCTTTAACAATAACCAGTTATCAACGTTAAGACAGGCACCATGGTAACAACTGTGAATAAGATCTCATAAACTTACAAACTAAGGCCTGATTTTTAAATTCCAGAGCACCAATTAATTTAACAATCACATTCGAACAACCTGACCTTTTATAAATTAGCACTCTCTTTAGGGTGGAAAACTACCTGTTATATCTGCACTGTTAGAGCATCTGTCCTCTTCAATTTTATTAGAACTGTCAGGAAGGCGTACAACATCCTCTAAAGAGTTGGCAGGTCCAAATCCTGAAGGTTGGGAACTATTTAAATGTTTATTTACATTTCTGAAACAACAACAATGACAAAAAACAAAACTCAACACTCCAAAGAATAATAATCAGTTGATTTCATTCTATGTTTAGAAAAATCTATTAATTTAACAATCATAGAAGAATTAAACTAAATATTAAAAACAAACCACACTCATGGTTCAGCTTCTTATAGGAGATGTAAATACTTTTTAATTATTTGTCCTTATTACAGTGAAAACATGGGAAGTGAATAGCAAAAGTATAGTTAATTCATGTCATGGTTAAACTTTTCTAGCATGACCTCTGTGAAAAACATAGGTTAAATTTTTGTCGACCTTCAAAACATGTATGGCCATCATATGCCATTCCCAAAGGATTTTTAATTCTTAAATAAAAGAAGTCTGTGTCAAAATGGAAAGGCTCACTGTTAATGAATTACATCTATTCTTTAAATATATCTACTTCGATACCATAAAATAATATTTAAAGAACTCAGAAAATTTTTAATTTTGTCAGTTAGAAAAGTCTCCTCCTTGTACTAGATAGAAACTTAACAATTAAGTGTTTTATATTTTGAAATAATTTTGTCTGTACATTAATTCTCACCCATCAACTTTTTCTTCTTCAGTTGAATTTGTGGCCTTGACAAATTCACTGTACTCTTGGCCTGGGTCATAGAGTTTGGCACTATCACAGAGAGACTGTAAACTGTCTGCAAGGGAAGCAGCCTGCAGATGCTGCATGTGGAAGAGGTTAACTGTTACCTATGGACCCAGAGACAAAAGGCAGAGTAACTCATGATATACAGAATGCTATATAAACATACATTTATTTCAATGACTGCACCAATAAAAATGCCATACAGTGAAGCATACAACACTGAATATCACTCTGAACATACTATGATGCCTGATTTTGCATAAGTCTAGATTAGGGAGAAAAGCAGTTTGAATCTAATATCTAGGAGCAATCATTTCCAGCAAAACTGGCTTTTAGCTGAAAAGTTCAAAAGTGACTTCAAAAACTCCATGCCCCAGCTGGTTCATAATTTTAGGAGATGGATGTGTTTCTGAGGATCCTCATCTCTATATCCTGATGGTCTGATCACAACTGCCTAAGAGAAAAACATGGGGAAAACACTTCCAATCAAAGAACTATTATTTAGACTGTTTTCACTTTTTCAATCCTATAAAAATAGAAATGCTTAACTACAGTACTCAGTTCTAATAATTAGATATTACCTTGAATTTATTCAAAATAAATTATTCCATTGAGTTTCACAAATGCCTAAATATATTATCACTATCATCACTTGTACTAACAACAATAGCAGCAGCTGACAAGTGTGTACAATATGCCAGACCCATTCTCAGAGTCTTACATGAATACACTAATTTGATGTTCACAAAAACCTAGGCTTTGGGTATATTACAGCAAACCGATGAGATACTGACCCTCCTGGACCTTTACGTTCTCCTGAGGGTGGTACGCGAGAGAAGTAACAAATTACGTAAATAAAATACTTTCTGGTACTGAAAAATGCTATAAATACTACATAAGAATGTCAAATTATGCAGTATGACCAGGTACGTGTTTGTGAAAGGGTATTTCCAACATGGTAAATTAGGGAAGGCTTCTCTGAGGAGGTAACATTTGAACTGCGAGCCGATGTAAGAAAAGCTTCATGGAGATCAATCCAAATGAAAGGAGGAGGTAGTGCAAATGTGAATGCGAAAGAGCTTGTCATGCTCAAGAAAGAGATGAAAGGTCAATATGGTTGAAGTATATGGAAAGAGCTGGAGCTCTGGTTTAAGATAAAGCTAAAAAAAGAAGTAGTCATCTGAACTATGGCAAGGTGTCTGAATTTAAGAGCAACAGGAAGCTGGTGGAGCATTTTACACAAAGCTGTAACATGATCTGATTTATTCTTTAAAATGACACTCTGGCTTCTTTGTGGGGAAGGTATTTAAGGGTAGCAATCTGAATAAGTGCTAAATTTCGATTAGCTTAATGTTATTTCAAAGACTGCCATGTTTCCTCTTCATCTCTCTTGATATACCAGATGATAGGATAATTAGCCTCTAAGTCCTTTTCAATGTAGACAGGCATTCCCTAAGGATACTTGACTCTGCATAAATAGTATTTGAAAAGTACAGATAACAGAATAAATAGCTTATTTGTGCCCTAACTTCTTCAAGAAACAAAGAAAATTCAAACTGCATAAGGTACAGTTTAATTCTAGCAACTGGCTATGTTAGAGCATTCTCCAGCTAAAGGTAAACTGCTTACTCTCTTGATCCTAAAGGTAACTTGCACGCTAGGTGACCTTCATCAAGTTATTTATAATTTATTTAAACCAGTGCATTGAAAAAGTTAATGTGCAAATGAATCACCTTGGGGATCTTGTCCAAATGTAGATTATGGTTCTAAGGATCTGTGTTGAAACCCAAGATTCTGCATTCCTCATAGGCTCTCAAAGTAATGGCAATATGACTGGTCCAAGGACCGCATCTTGAGAAGGCTTTCTAAACTTTAGTTTTCTCATCAGTAAAATGGAGCTAAAAACTTGATAGGATTTTTGTGAGAATTAAATGAATTAATGTAGACCATGAGCTTAATACACTGGCAGGTACGTAGTCAATCTTAGCTATTATTAGCTATTGTTTGAGGTGAAGAGAATTTGTCAAAAGTAAATGGCCTAAATGACTTCTAAGGTAATTTCAAATCCTGGATTTTATAATTCTTTTAAATCCTTTCATGATTCTTTAAGTAAATAATATATTAATTAATCAAAATTTGGAAAATAAATGAGATACAATATTAAACACTCAAAAATATTTTAAGGAAGTTTTCTGGTTCAGATGCAGTAAGCTAACTTCTCCCGTCTCCCACTGAATTCACCTAAAAATCTGAACAGAATGCACAAATCAAGACTCTGAAAAGTAAATGGAAATAAACTACAATTCAAGGTATGACCTATCCAGTGATAGGTCTACTCCTGCCCTCTTTTCCAGCCCATGCTCAGCTCCTACCCAATTCTCCAATTCCCAAAGTACAAACTGAGTGCAGACAGAAGGAGCTCCAAGAGAGGTCCTTTCTGGCCCAAGGAACAAAAGCGGGGAGGGGTGATGGGAGATGAAACTAAAACAGTAGAAGAAAACTCCCTGGTTTCTTTTGTATATTTATTTTCTCTCCTGCCCCAGACCCCAAGCAAGTCCAAATCCCTAAGACACAATCTTATGGGAGCAGCAATGATGGCAGTAGCAGCTGAGGAGATGCCAAAACTCTGATGGAAATCCTTGTTTATGACCAGATGAACTGTAGTCTAGAGTGAGAGGGTCTGAAATTTCTGTTACTTTTTTCTCTTTATCCTCCCCACACTTGGCCCTGGAGAAGAGCAGAATAGGCAGACCTAAGCCCCCAGCCAGAAGATTAGGAAGGGAGTCACGCAGAAGCTGGAAAATGAACCTAACTGTATCAAATGGCTGCTAAAATTGAAAAAAAAAATTAATGCTCAATATAGGTTATAAACAGGACCCAGAGTCAATAAAGTAATGATGAAAATATCTAGGATATCATTCAAAATTACTTGTCATACAAAGAACCAGGAAAATCTCAACAACTCGCAAGACAAAAGACAATAAAAAGACACCAACCCTGATACAGCTCAGATTTGGGACGATTAGATGAAAAATCTACAACAACTATTACAAAGGTTTCAAAAAAGTAGAGCAAACAATCTTGAAACATGGAAAAACAGAAGAAGTCTCAGCAAAGAAATGTAAGATATAAAGAAACAAAAGGAAAATTTATTGCTGAAAAATAAAATATCCAGAACAAAAAATTTACTGGATGAACTGTATGGGAGAATGGGGATAACCAAAGGAAAAGAGACTGTGAACTTGAAGACAGATCAACAGAACACTATAAACAACCAAGAGGAAAAAGCTTTGGGGAAAAAACAGAGGACCTCCAGAACTGCAGAAGATTAACAAAAGCTCTAGTGTTTGAGTCACTGCCTGTCAGAGAAAGAGGAAAAAGAATACTACAAAAAAAAAAAAAAATTGAAGAAACAATAGTTGAAAACTTCTCAAATTTTTCAAGAGTCAAACTTGTAGATTCAAGAAGTTCAACCAATCCAAAACAGGAAAAACAGCAAAAACCAGGTCTAGATACGTCTTAAACAGATAAAATCCAAAGACAAAAAAAATCCCACAAAAACAGCCAAAGAAAAACACATGCCACAATTGGGGAATGATAATTCATATGATTACTGGTATCTCATGAGAAACTACGGATGCCATAAGGCAGTGGAACAATATTTTTAAAGCAGTGAAAGAACTGATTTCTGTATTTAGAATTCTATATCCAGTGAAGGTGTCCTTCAGAAATAAAGACGAAATAAAGACATTCTCATATGAAACACAACCAAGTGAATCCATTACCAGCAGACCTGCTATAAAATAGTGGTAAAGGAAGTTCTGTAGACAAAGTGTTACCAGAGGAAAGATGGAACCACTAGAATGCAAGAAGAATGAATAGAAATAGTAAATAATAGACTACTTTTTTCCTCTTAACCTCTTTATAATATGTATGACTTTTAAAAGCAAAAATTATGAGAGTCTGGTGAGGTTTTCAACGTATATGGATGTAATTTACATATATCAAATACAACCCAGATTAGGTAAAGGAACTTCTACGGTGGTGATGCTTCTGTGTTCCACTTGAAGTGGTAAAAAACTAGTTCTAAGTAGACTGTAAAAAAATTAAGTGTATGTATAAATATAGATAAGTGTGCAACCATTTTTTTTAAACTTGGCTATTTATAGAATAATCTATTTTAGGCTGAATTGTCCTAGTACATGTTTTAATGCATCTAGCATTTTCATAAAACTCTGGAAGCCACATTAAATGCTCGGCTTCTTCAACAGTTTTTCACAGTTCATTACTACACTTTCAGGTAACTAGTAATCTCAGAACTTCTATTTCTGTTCCATGAAAGAGATAATTTTTTTTTTACCAGAATGCTTATTTTGTATCTTAATGACACAATATCCATTTTCATATATGACAGAATCCATATATGTACTACTACATCTGTATGTTCTTAGTCACATCAGGCTGCTACAACAAAAATACCACAGAGTGACTTAACAAAGATTTATTTCTCACAGTTGTAGAGATTGAGAGATCAAGACCAAGGCACTATCAGATTCAGGGTCTGGTGTGGGCCCCAATTCCTGATGCGTAGACTGTTCTTTTCTCTCTGTGTCCTCACATGATAGAAGGGGAAGGGTCATGAGGGCTCCACCTAGTCACCTCCCAAAAGCCCCACCCTCCAAATATCATCACATCATCACACTGGGGATTAGGAACTCAACATGCTAATTTTGCAGGGGGTCATAAGCAGTCCATAGCAACTCAGTTCAACCAAGTCTTAAACAGATAAATACCAAAGATTCAACCAAGATTGTGAGGTTCTAATGAGAATTTACAATGCTAAATGATCTCAAAAACCATTATGTTTTGATATATGCTGCTTAACTGGTTGACTCTATATGACATAAACAATCAAACACATTTTTTCATTGGTCAAGCGATGTAGTTTTACATTTAGCTTCACTGAGAGTAAATGTAGACAAAAGTAAAAAGTAATAATAGAAGTCTACATGCAACCATTGTGGTTATCAAGGCAATGCAAGTTTCTAAATGATAATTAGAGGGAGATTTTCTCGGGTTATATAAAAAGATAAAAATTGAATTTCCTAACTGGAAGCTGGCCAGGAGTGGTTTGTAACTGCTATATTCTCTTGAAAAAGACACTGTAGTCATTAGAACGAGAAGGGAAGGGAAAGAGTTCTACCAAACAAAATCTCAGTTTTGGTTCATTTATTAAACTTTTCTCTCATTTTATAAGAACAAAGGGGAAAAAAACCATTCTGGTGATTGGACCCATGGGCCAGGCAACCCAATATTCAATTGACAGTGAATCCAAGACATTGCAAGCAATATTCAGTTTATGACAGTGGTGCCAGGGGAGGTGTTATGAGCATCCACACTGTTTTTTCCTTCACAATGTTTTCTTCAGAAAACATTTAAAAGTTAGGAATATAACCTGAGCTACTATAGCTTCTTAATAACACAGATGTGTGCAACCAATTTTTTAAAAAAGGTATATGAAGATACATAATAAAAAACCCAGTAGACAAATTAAAATATATGTCTAGAAAAGTATCAATTCATCCAAAAGACGGCAGCAAAAGGGAAATAGATTAAGGAAAATATCATAAGGCATAAACAAAAAAGAAATAAAATGATAAAACTAAATCTGAACATATATTTACCTTAAATATAAATGGTCTAAACACTCCACTTATAAGATAGTGCCAAAATAGATTTTTAAAAAAAATCACAATAGAAGTATATGCTCTCTATAATGCTATATAAGAAACTCACTTTAAATATGATAAAATTAAAAGAATGATAAAAGATATGCTACACTCAAAATAACCAAAAGAAAACTGGAATAACATATCAGTATTAAATAAAGTAAAATAAAAAGCAAGGGAATTTATCAGTATAAAAAGAGACACATTTCTAGGGATAAAAGGATCAATATACCAAGATCATTAATAATTGTTACTGTGTAAGCAACGGAGCTTCAAAATACATAAAACAAAAACTGATAGAACTAAAAACACACAATATGTTGGAGACTTCAAAACTCCTTTCTCAGTAATCGATAAAAGTAGCAAAGGTAAATCATCAAGAATACAGAAGAAATAAATTACATCTTAAAACAACAGGAACCAATTGATATTTATAAAACACTCCAGTCAACAACAGAACACACATGCTTTTCAAGTGTACATGTGGAAAATTCATCACTGATCTTTTCAAAGAAACAGCTTTTAGTTTCGATTTTTCCGTGTTTTTCTTTTTTTTTTTTTTTTTTTTTTTGAGACGGAGTCTCGCTCTGTCGCCCAGGCTGGAGTGCAGTGGCGCGATCTCGGCTCACTGCAAGCTCCACCTCCCGGGTTCACGCCATTCTCCTGCCTCAGCCTCCCGAGTAGCTGGGACTACAGGCGCCCGCTACCACGCCCGGCTAATTTTTTGTATTTTTAGTAGAGACGGGGTTTCACCTTGTTAGCCAGGATGGTCTCGATCTCCTGACCTCGTGATCCGCCCGCCTCGGCCTCCCAAAGTGCTGGGATTACAGGCGTGAGCCACCGCGCCCGGCCCCTGTTTTTCTTTTTAAATTTTATTGATTTCTTTTTACTGATTTCTGCTTGTTTATGACTCACATCCTGGGTCATAAAATAAACTACATAACAAATTTAAGAGAAATGTAATCATAACCAGTATTTCTCCCACCATAATAGAATTAAACTAAAAATCAGTATCAGGAAGATATCCAGAAAATCCTCAAATACTTGGAAATTAAACAACAGACTTCTACATTATCCACAGATCAAAGATGAAGTCTCAAGGGAAATTAGAAAATATTTGGAACTGAATATAAATGAAAATACAAATTTTAAAATTTGTGGGATATACATAAGCAATGCTTAGAGCGGAAAATTTAAAGAATTAAATGTATCAGAAAAGCACAGGAAGGTCTCAATAAACAACATAAGCTTGTGCTTTAAGAAACTTTTTTAAAAAGGCAAAATAAACCCAAAGAAAGTAGAAATAAGAATAAAATGCAGAAATCAGTAAAATTAAGAAAAAGAAAAACTGATGAAACTAAATGCTATTTCTTTTTTAAAAAGATAATAAGACTTATAAACCTCTTGCCAGACTGACCAATGAGAGAGAAAGAGAAAAAAGATGCAAATTACCAGTATCGGGAATGAAAGAGAGGTTATTACTACAGCCCACTGAGACATTAAAAGGTAAGAGAATACTACAAGACACACTGTGCACATAATTCAACAACCTAGATAAAAAGGACCAATTCCATGAAAGCCACAAGCTACCAAAAATCACCTAAGAAGAAATAATTAACTTGAATAGGCCTATATCAAAATACACTGAATACGTAGTAAAAAAAAAATTTTCCAAAGGAGAAAATCCCAAGCCTAGACACTTTCACTGGAGGAATGTTATCAAACTTTTAAAGAAGAAATAACACAAATTTGAAACAATCTTTTCCAGAAAACAAAATAGGAGGAAGCACTTTCCAATTCATTTTATGCAGCCAGAATCACCCTGACACTTTCAAAACTAGACAAAAACATTTTTTTTAGACATATCAATCTTTCACTGAGAGAAAAAGAAAAAATACTCAACAAAGTAGCAAATTGAATCCAGCAATATAAAAAAGAAAACAATTCCTCATGACCAAGAGGGGCTTATTCCAGGGATGCAAAGCTAGGTCCACACTCATGTATTAACGTAATGCACCATATTTACAGGCTAAAAACAAAACCACATGTATCAAATAATGCAGAAAAATATTTGATAAAATCTAACCTTTATTTATGATAAAACTCTCAGCAAACTAGAAAAAAGAAATTTCTTAACCAGATAAAAGGCACCTTCAAAGAACCTACAGCTATCACCATATTTTATGATGAAAGACTGAGTGCTTTTCCCCTAAGATGGACAATTAGGCCAGGATGTCTTCTCTCACCACATCTATTTAACAGTGTACTAGAAGCCTTAGTTAGGACAATAAGAAAAAGAAATAAAAGGAATACAGATTGGAAAGGAAGATATAAAACTGTCCCTATTTGCAGGTAACATAGTTTTCTATGTAGAGAATCCCAAAGGATCTACAAAAAGCTCCCAAGAGTGAGTTTAGCAAGGCTGCAAAATATAAAACCAACACACAAAATATCAAGTATATTTCTAAATATTAACAATTAAAACAGCCAGCCACGGTGGCTCACACCTGTAATCTCAGCACTCTGGGGGGCCAAGGTGGGTGGATTCCTTGAGCCCAGGAATTCAACACCAGGTTGGGCAAACATGGCAAAACCCAGTCTCCACAAAAAAATACAAAAATTAGCTGGGCATGGTGGCATGCACGTGTAGTCTTAGCTACCTGGGAGGCTGAGGATTGCTTGAGCCCAGGAGGGTGAGGCTGCAGTGAGCTATGATCACACCACTGCACTCCAGCCTGAGTGACAGAGTAAAACCCTGTCTCAAAAAACAAAAACAAACAAAAAACCCCCCAAACCAATTAACAATGGGAATTTTAAATAAAGGAAATCTATACATATGCACTTATGTGTACATATAGACCATTCACAATAGCCCCCCCAAATAAACACATACGTATATAGGATTAAATCTAACACAACTTATTAAAGGTATGTTGAAAACTACAAAATGCTGATTTTTTTTTCTTAATCAAAGACCTAAGTAGTTGGAGAGACATAATATGTTCATGTGTTGGCAACTTTATATTGCTAAGATGCTACATATACAGTCAATGCTCCCCAGTCTGATCTAAAATTTAATATCAATTCCAACCAAAATGTTGGCAAGAGTTTTTTGGAGATATGGACAAGCTGATTCTAACATTTTTATGGAAGGTCAAAGAACCTTAAATACTCAAACAATTCTATAAAAGAATAAAGCTGGAAGACCCACACTGTGTACCTGATTTTAAGACTTGCTGCAAAGCAAAAATAATCGAGACACTGGGGCTTTATAAAAAGGACAGCGAGAACCAAACACCACATGTTCTCAATCATATGTGGGAACTGAACAATGGAATCACTTGGACACAGGGTGGGGAACATCACACACCGGGGCCTGTCGGGGGGCTGGGCACTGGGGGAGGGATAGCATTAGGAGAAACACCTAATGTAAATGATGAGTTGATGGGTGCAGCAAACCAACATGGCACATGTATACCTATGTAACAAACCTGCACGTTGTGCACATGTATCCTAGAACTTAAAGCATTAAAAAAAAAGACAGCAAGTACTTCAGTGCAACAAAATAGAAAATAAACAAGTAGACACCTACAAATATGGTCAACTGATTTTTACCAAGATGCAGAGGCAATTTAATGAAAATGGCATAGTGTTTTCAACAAATGGTATCAAAACAAGTGGATATCTGCATTTACCATGTTTTTTATTTTCTCTATTTTATGCAGTTTTGACATCTTAAAAAGCATGCTGGCCAATGAGAGACTGACTCTCTCTGGGCTAGCTAATTCCTAGAGATAGCCAAGGGCACAGCTAGGATCACAGCTTTCATGTGCAAAGCAACAAGTCTCAAGTCTATAGATCCAGCCACCTCCTTCTCTAACTCTTACACACAAAGCCAATTATTTTCTCTGTCCTAAATCACCCCAGGGCCAGGTACCAAACAACGGGAGACCATCCCTATGCTCCAAAGTCCATGGAAATTCACACTAGCCAATCCTAAACAGTTTACCTTGCCTTTCCTGAGGAAACCCCAATAAAAGCTCTACTTAGCTTTCTTTCATCCCTACTTACGCTTGCCAAACCTGGTAATTCCCTTGTGGCCCTGTGTGGATTGACATGTCCCCTTCTCTTGGGAAATTTAAATCCTAAGTTTTTCTTTCAATGGCACTGACCTTTCTGTGTCACTCCGATAAAGTAACATCCTGTGGGTATAATTTTATTATAACATCCATATGCTAAAAATGAACCTCAACCTGTACCTTAAACCTTACACAAAAATTAAGCCCAAACGGATCATATATCTATATGTAAAACTATTGAAATTTTAGTAGAAATCACAGGATGAATCTTTATGATCTTGGGTTAGGTAAAGCACTCTTAGGTATAACCAAAAGCATGACTCATAAAAGAAAAAACTGATAAGTTGGATTCCAACAAAATTAAAACCTCTTTCTCCCCAAAAGACACTGCTAAAAGAATAAAAAGAGAAGCTCCAGAATGAGAGAAAATATATGCAAGCTCAACAATAAGAAAATAAACAACTCAATTTTTAAGATAGCTAAAACACAGATTGTCAATAAGCCTTTGAAAAGATGCTCAATATCGTTAATCATTTTTAGAAACACAAATTAAAACCACAATTAGATAACACACCTATTGGAACAGCTAACATTTAAAAACAACGACTGATACATGTCAAGGACACAGAACAACCAAAACTCTCATACACTGCTGGTTAGAATGAAAAATATTATAGCCACTCTGGAAAACAGTTTGGCAGTTTCTTATAAAGGTAACTACACATTTAGCACACCAGCCAGTAATCCCACTCCTGGTATTGACTTGAGAAACAAGAAAACTTATGTTCAACAAGAATGTATAAGAAAATATTCTGCGGCTCTATTCATAATCACCCCAAACTGGAAACACCGCAAATGTCCAACTAGTGAATGGATAAACACTGTAGTACAGTCATACAATGGAATTCTGCAATAAAAAGAAACAAACTATTGATACATGCATAACATTGATGAATCTCAAAGGCATTATGCTGAGTAAAATAAACCAGTCAAAAGGTTATATACTATATGATTTCACTTGTATGACAATCTGGAAAAGACCAAACTCATAAGGCAGAGAACAGATCAGTACTTGCCAGGGGTTAGGAGTGGGCAGAGAGTTGGACTACAAAATAAGTAGCATGAAGGAATCATTTTTAAGTGATAGCATTGTTCTGAATCCTGATTGTGGCAGTACTTACACAAATTTGTAACTGTTAAAACTTGTGGACTATACATGAAAAAAAGGTTTTCCATGTAATTAATTTTACGAAAAACATTTTAAAGAGTAAATAAAAATACTTCAGGACAGAATGCTTTGTCTCCAAATAATTTGGTTCAATTTTAATATTTAATTTACTCCAATTCTGAAGAATATATCTCAGAGCACTGGCAGAAGTTTCAAGGGTCAAATCAATGATGTCGGCAAAGCCAAGAAAACTGGTGGCTTAGAGGCAATTTTAAACTCTCAGACTTCAATTTTAACCAAACAAATCATCAATCCAGAGAACATGGGGAAAGGCAGATCAAAAGAAATTCAAACTGTATATCACTATGAAAAACTGAAAATCAATCTGCAAACTCAACACATTTCATTAATCTCAGAATCTAAATCCCGTAAGAATTGTAACTTATCAGGCATACCTTCCCCTTCTGCAGATAGAGACTTCTCTTTCTTTTCCCTCCCTCCCTTCCTTCCTCCCTCCCTTCTTTCCTCCCTCCCTTCTTTCCTTCCTTCCTTCTCTCTCTCTCTCTCTCTCTCTCTCTCTCTTTCTTGATCACCCACTCTAGAGTGGGTAATCATAATCGAAGCTCACTATAACCTCAAACTTTTGGGCTCAAGTGATCCTCCCACCTCAGCCTCCCAAAGTGCTGGGATTACAGGTGTGAGCCACCATGCCTTGCCTGATGGTCTTTTCTTCTTGCCTTCAAAATACTGAAGAAATTACTTACAGCTTTAAGGGTAAGATCACACTGGAAAACAAGTGTCCGGAGTTGTGCTAAAATTTCTCTTTTGGTATTTTCTAGATCATTTCTTCTTTCTTCAACATTTGTCACACAAACTTTGTAAAGTTCATTTGCTTCTTCTACCTTCACAAATATCACAGAAAAAAAAATAACACTAGAATTTATATTTTAAACAAATATTTACTATAGTAAAGCTAAGTTGAAATAACTGAAAATTCTGAAATCTTCTGTTTTCAAAATAATACTTCTGAAGTTAATCTGTTCTGGTCAGTGATTCAAAGGCAGTTGATTTTAATGGACAGCCATGTACAATTTATAATTAGTACACTGTCTATAAAATATTTGCTTCTATTTGAAATAGCATTTTATATTTATATTTACTATATTCCATATAATCTTACAGAATTTGTTCGTAAAATTACATTTCATCAATAATACAAAGCTTTTGCCTATCCTTGCTATCAGGTGCCTGAATTAGTACACATACACACACACACTTGCCTAAAAGGTGAACTTTCTTGTCAAGTAAAATAAACTACTGCCTTCTCTAAGACATTCTTTCACAAACTCCAAAATTCAGGTCTCAGCATAGTGGTTCTCAAAATGTGGATCTTCACCAACAGCATCAGCACGACCTGAGAGCCTATTAAAAAATGTTGACCTACTGAATGAGAAACTCTGGGGGATGGGCTTAGCCATGTTTTAACATGCCTTTCCAGGCAGTCTTGGCAGACGCAGAACTTTGACACCAAACTCCTGGCAGATTACCGCTAATTCAACTTGCAAATAAAAAAGAAAAAGATCGTTACTTTTTGGAGAGCCTCCTCTTCCAACCTTCGCTTTTTTTCTAGTTGCTTGTTGAGATTTTTTGCTAATCCGCCACTTGAAGACAGATGCTCCTCTTCTGCACGAAACATGGAAGACTTTGCTTTCTCATATTCATCTTGACGTTGCATGCATAATAATTTTGCCTTTTTGAGAGCATTCTCTGCTTCAAGCTACACCGAAAAGAGTATTAAACACAGAATATGAAAGAAATCCTACTGAACAAGTGTCTTTAGCATATTCAGCAAGATAGTTAAGACAATATTTTAGAAAAATGAGAGCAAGGAAGGTCAGTATATACTGCAGATTATTTTAAATGTTCACAAATAGGTACATGAAACTCCATTTTAATACTAACCATTTTATTTTGCTCCTGTTTCCAAAGCTCTTTTATTTCTTTCCTTTGTTTTTCCATTTCATTTTTCCTTCCAAGTAGAGGCTGTGAAAGGTATTTAAAATGGAAAAAGAGAAAAGCAATTTTCTAATGGCATGCCATTGCTTAAAAATAAAAGTGCATTATACATATAAATTAATCTTTACCTGCACAAATTTGTTAGCCTGGAGAGCTGCAATTGTTTGTTGTAAAAGGTGACTGCTTTCTATATCATTAAGAAGAGCATTAGTAAACAGAGACTGCAGTGGCATGAACTCCTAAAATTTAAAATTGAAAAGTAAATTTTACAATAGAAATGGCACTAGAATTCCAAACACATCACTACCCTTCTTCAAAAAGGGAAACTAAGTTTAGACTTTTGCCCCCAGAAAAATAACTAGTCAAAAACATGACTATGAGAAAAATATAGAAGAAAATTAATTATAATTAATCATAAAACTGGTTAGCAAAAGTAGTAGCTATCAAGACAATCAGTATTTGTATAAAATTGTAAATTTCTGGCTGGGAATAGTGACTCATGCCTATAATCCCAATACTCTGGGAGGCCAAGGTGGGTGGATTACTTGAGCTCAGGAGTTTGAGACCAGCCTAGGCAACATGGTGAAACCCCATCTCTACAAAAACATGCAAAAATTAGCCAGGGCATGGTGGGCACCTATAGTCCCAGGTCATCAGGAGGCTGCGGTGGGAGGATCGCTTGAGCCTCGGGGGACAGAGGTTGCAGTGAGCTGAGATCACGCCACTGCACTCCAGCCTGGGTTACAGAGTGAGACCCTGTCTTAAGACGAAAAAAAAAGCGTATTTCCTAGATTTTTTCATAATGGACATCCATCTAAACTTAAAATAATTTTGTCAATAAAAAGATCAGCATTTAAGTGCTTTCCTATATTAACTGAAATATTCTGATTTTGCAAATTATTGGGAGTTCATGAGTAGTTTCTTATTATAGAACCCCCGAAGTTCACAGAACACTTACCTGAATTCCAATGTTAGTTCTAGTTGCCTCTGCCAACTTGACCATATTTCTAGTGGACTCCAATTCTGAAAAGTTCAAAGAGGGTATCAGAAGGTAAAATCAATTTATTTTTCCCCCTGTATACTCTAAAATTACTTGTAGTAATTCCACAATTAAGAAGTGATCACAAATACTAGTGTGTATCAAGATATAATACAGCAATACTTCTTTCTTCCTTTTTTTTTTTTTTTTAAAAAGAGACATGGTCTCACTACGTTGCCGAGGCTGGTCTCGAACTCCCAGGCTCAAGTGATCTTCCAGGCTCAAGTGATCTTCCAGCCTCAGCCTCAGGAATAGCTGGGATTACAGGCATAAGCCACCATGTACAGCTCTTAATGCAGCACTTCTTAATTGTGAGTGCTCATCAGAATCAACTGGGAAACTCTTTCAGAATATATTTGCCTCCATTTCACCTCTCTGAAGGATAGGACCTAGGCTTGTGTACTGACCCTCTACAAGACTATTCAGGTGATTCTGATTAGCATTCTCTATTATAAGCAAATAATACAGTAGAAAGAGCATAGGCTTTGGGTAGATTCTATATTCTTCCAGTTATGCTATATGACTTTAAGCAAATCTGCTATATGACCTTAAGAAATCTCCTGTCTTGTCTCTCTCAGCTGTAATATAGGAAAAACAATTCTTGTCTTGCCTACTTCTCAGAGTTTTTGTAAGAAGTAAATAAGATAATGACTACGAAAACATTTTGATAACTGTAAAACACTGAGGAAATATTAGCTATTAAAATGTTTCTTCTCTGTTTCCATTGCCTTCTACTCATACATCTATTGTTGCTGTTATCTCCTGACCATATTATCTGACTGCATTTCCTCTTACCCACTAGAGTATGACTTCTTTGAAGGCAGAGACAGTATTCTATTTGTCTTTGTGTCCCTAGGTCTAGTAGTTGGTCCACAGTAAATACTCACTAATTCCATCTAGTGTAAGAAGAGTCTTTTCTGGATAATGGTTTTATTCATTATAATGAAACAGGTACTAATTTGGAATTCTATTACTCATAATCTGTAAAAAATGAGTTAGAAACAACTTAATTATTATACTCTAAATCAGATGCTTTAAAAGGCAACTCACCCAAGTTAAGCTTTTTTTCAACCCATGAAACTATGTTCTTAGTATATTTTGACCAAGTTTTAGCATATGACAAAGCCAGCTCGATAGAGTCAGTGTTCTTTAACAGCACGTTGTCTAGTTCTAAAGGGGAAAAATTTCCTGAAAACAAAAATATCAAGGTAAGTATATGTTAAATGTGATCACATCATAACTCCAAACAAAGAAGCACTGAGATCCTAAGATACTAGTCAATAAAAACTGGTTTTTAAAAAAAATACAAGTGACAAATTTACAATTAAAAGGCCAGAGTTTAAACTTAAAATGGTTTCAAACTATAATGTATTTTTATCTTAAAATATATTTCTATTATCCATCAAGTTAAAAGCTTTACACAATTCTTGATCAGTCTATATCTCATATTATCTATCTACTCTAGCAGGTTATTTCCCTTAAGCTCTATATGTAAAACTTTATATATCATTTTGCATTAAAAATGAATACACTAGGTTACTAAGCAAGAAGAGATTAATCCAGGACATTCATAGAAAGTAACTACAAGAAGTTTGTGAAAAGTTATAAACACCTTGAGCATTACCTTTTTCACTGGATGAGTCCACTGATTCCACAGAAACATTTTCAAACGACTTACAACATGGAAAAAGATAAATTTAAAATTAGAGAAGAACACAAATCTTTGCTTCAGAATTTTTTTGCCCCAATTTGTTACTCTGACATAATTCCTGCTAAAGAATTTCAAGTATTTAAAACTTAAAGGCCTTAGAAGTCTGTTTAAGTGCCAGAACACTTCATAAGAATTTCATAGCTTTTTACAACAGGAGTTCCCAAGATCCAAGAATGAACAACCTCACTGTTGTTACTAACAGCATTAGTTAACATTAATGAATCCATTCAAAACTTTAAATTTTGCAGATAACAAAAATATTAGTCAAGAAGTTAGAGAAGCAATGCAAACATATTGCTATCTAAACAGAAGACACAGATCTGCCTCTTCCAGTCATCTTTTATCATTTTACTATATGATAAGCATGTCTCTGAAAGTCTATTACATAGCTTAGCACAAAACTTTCTATGATGATGGAAGTGTTTTATATCTGTACTGTCCAATAAAGTAGCTAATAGCTCCATGTAGCTATTTGAACATTTAATAAGTGGCTAGTGTGACTAGGAGGTGGAAGTGAATTTTTAATTTTATTTAACTATTATAATTAAATTTAAAGAACTACATGTGACTCGTGCTACTTTATTGCATTGTGCTGGAAAACATCATTTACCAAAATTTTGAGATCTTAAACAAATTTAATCGATTTAAATTGGGCAATACAGGGTATACAGGGATTCAATGCAAAACTGATCGAGGAGACCTGGGTCTGAAGTCCAGCTCCATTATTACCTGTATGACACTGGGCTACATATTTTAAGTTCACTAACTTTGTAAGTCCTTCTGTAAAAGAGGGATAAGAACACTACTTTCAAAAGACTGTTTTAAGAATTAAGATGATGTAGGCCTAGCGCAAGGCATGGTACATAGTAACCACTATTAAACATATTGCAACAGGCCAGGTGTGGTGGCTGATACCTGTAATCACAGAACTTTGGGAGACTGAGGCGGACGGATCACCTGAGGTCAGGAGCTCGAGGCCAGCCTGACCAACATGGAGAAACCCCATCTCTACTAAAATACAAAAATTAGCCAGGTGTGGTAGCACATGTCTGTGGTCCCAGCTACTTGGGAGGCTGCGGCACAAGAAGTGTTTGAAATTAGAAGATGGAGGTTGCAGTGAGCCGAGATCACACCACTGCACCAGCCCAGGTGAAGGAGTTCTCACTCTGTCTCAAAAAATATATATATATTTAATATTATATATGTATAATATATAGTTGCAATATATATATTCAAATGAGGCAAATATATATATATAGAGAGAGAGAGAAGGAGCAACTTTTATTTATTTATTTATTTATTTTTGAGACAGAGTCTCACTCTGTCACCCAGGCTGGAGTGCAGCGCCACGATCTTGGCTCACTGCAACCTCTGCCTTCTGGGTTCAAGTGATTCTCGTGCCTCAGCCTCCCAAATAGCTGGGACTACAGATGCACATCACCCTTCCTGGCTAATATTTGTATTTTTAGTAGAGACTGGGTTTCGCCACGTTGGCCAGGCTGGTCTCGAACTCCTGGCCTCAGGTGATCCGCCCACTTCGCCCTCCCAAAGTACGAGATTACAGGTATGAGCCACCATGCCCTATTATTTTTAAAGGGTATTTTTCAAAACCGTTGATCAAAGTAATTTTATTATTAGGATTATATATCATCACAGCTTTTTTATTCCAATCTCTAAAACAAATTAAAACCTTCAAAAAAAAGTACAAAAGAAAAAAAAGAAAAAAGTATTTTTTCCTGTTAAGAATTAGTATAATATGTATGCACAATAGAGGTACAGAAACAGGAAATATGATTCACACCTAAAATTTAAATTGTTCAGTGTCTTGCCACACAGATAAAATGTGTAATCTTCTGAAGTAGTAGCAACAGTTTGAAAAGATAAAATTTAGGAATAATCATGAATAATAGCAAAATATTTAAACATCTTACAACTTTTCATCATTCTCCTCCATTTGTCAATAGATGGCTTCAGTAACGGTCATAATTTTTGGTAATATTGTAATACATATAACAAATGCCTTAAATAGTCATTTTTATTTTATATAATTTTAAGAAGGACCTGAGGTTTTTATAATAATATAAGTCCCTGGCACGTTTCCAAATATTTGATTTTTTTTTTTGTTTTTGTTTCTTTGTGTTTTTTTAGAGACAGAGTCGCACTGGCTAGAGAGGAATGACACAATCACAGCTCACTGCAGCCTTGAACTCCTGGGCTCAAGTGAATCCCCCCTCTCAGCTTCCCTTTCAAGTAGCTGGGACTACAGACTTGTGCCACCACATCTGGCTAATTTTTTGTAGGGACAGGGCCTCAATCATGTTAACCAGGCTGGTCCTGAACTCCTGTCCTCAAGTGATCCTCCCACCATGACCTCTTAAAGTGCCGGGACTATAGGTGTGTGCCACCACACCTGGCTAATTTTTTGTAGGAACAGGGTCTCAATCATGTTAACCAGGATGGTCTTGAACTCCTAGCTTCAAGTGATCCTCCCACCTTGGCCTCTTAATGTGCTGGGACTATAGGCATGAGTCACTATACCTGGTCCCAAATATCTGTTGAAATCCTTCTTGGATTTGATCATCCTTAACAGAAAATGATCAACATAAGTCCCTGATGCAGTTTTTTAATGTATTTTGTTTGCATTCAGCAAAAAAGTTTAGTCAATTAAAAACATTACTACCATAAACTTTAAAGAAATATTATCCATACATTCCTTATATTCTGTTATTTCATAGCAATTTTTCTTTTTTTTTTTGGAGACAGAGTCTCACTCTGTCACCTAGGCTGGAGTGCAGTGGTGTGATCTCGGCTCACTGCAACCTCCGCCTCCCGGGTTCGAGCAATTCTCCTGCCTCAGCCTCCTGAGTAGCTGGGATTACAGGTGCCCACCACCATGCCCAGCTAATTTTTGTATTATTAGTAGAGATGGGGTTTCACCATGTTGGCCAGGCTGGTCTCAAACTCCTGACTTCAGACAATCCGCCCACCTCGGCCTCCCAAAGTGCTGGGATTACAGGTATGAGCCACCACCCCCGGCCTAAGATTAGGCAATAGTTGAAACATGAAGTTAAAAACATTAAAGACTTTGCTTTCACACAAACTTAGCTTACCTTAGTTTCTCGAGAAACAGGCAGTCGCAATAATGAATCATTGCCTACATCTCCCATAAGGAAGTTTGTAAGGCTATCCAAGGAGGTTAAAAAAAGAAAGACAAGTCATTATACTTCTTTGTGACAGGGTTTACATTCAACATGTTATCTAAAATAATTTTTTAAAAATAAGAACCTTAGAAATAAACCCCTAGGAATCTGTTCACATAAACCACAGTCACTTGCAAATGGATGTTGCTTCTAAATAGCTATAAAAATATCTTCGAATATAGTAATAAGGCCATACAGAAGGTAGTTTTTCCGAAGTTGTGATATTTAATACCATTTAATACTTCGTTTCCCATGTATGTTACTGGATAATGCAACATACTCTCACTAAGACACCTAGGACTAGTTGCTTTAAATGACAGTTCTCTACTTACATATTTCCAAAGGTAAATGCCAAAGTTTCAATAGAAGAAAACACTTCCTGGAAGAGATCGTTTTTGTTTTCTTCATTAACTTCTGTGAAGTTCACAGCTGTAAGGAAAAGTTGGTTACAATAAGGAAAAACATACTTTAAACTAGATTTATACAGAATCATTTAATCCTTTAAAACTTCATCATTAGTTCAAGAAGCATTAGAAGATTCAGAAATTGAAAAGCCTAACATACAAAATTGACATGATGTTCAAATT
This sequence comes from Homo sapiens, assembly GCF_000001405.40. NCBI lineage: Eukaryota > Metazoa > Chordata > Mammalia > Primates > Hominidae > Homo > Homo sapiens. The sequence continues at coordinate 94,209,509 of NC_000001.11, forward strand.
CTTCATTATGAAATTCATATAAAAGAATCAGCTTGCATAAAAGCAGTTAGCATTCCAAACTGACTACTCCATGGATTACATAATTTGACACATCTAAAAACTGACTCAATGTGAAATCCATCAGTGCTGGAGTCACAGAGTCCATGTTACACCACACCTCTCAATTATTAACACTGTTCTGTACTATTTTCTCTTCCTTACTGCTTTCTGGCATTTTAAAAAACAGCTAAACACACTGTAGCTCACTGAAGGCAATATGAGGTACATTTTTTAGTATGAATTACCAATAATTAAAGTCATATATATATACATATACATATATTTGACAAAGCATAAAACCTGTAACAAAGCACATCACATTAAAAAAAAACACCCAGTGATTTGGAAAATTAAAATTCCTATTTACTTACAGCCTTATTTCTTATAACAGGCTCTTGGGCTCTGAGGTCCATGTTAATTGACATACAGCTAGCTGCATTTTGTTTACAATAGAGATATTCTAATATTTTGCATTTTGTTAAAGCAAATTATGAAACAAAACTGAAAAAGATTTCTTATTTTAACTTCTGTATACACTCTTGTTAAAAGCCCAAACACGGTTTACCAAGACAAAGTCTGAAAGTGGAATTGGTAATTTTTTTAAAGTAACTGTTGCTACTTGGGCTGGGTATAAAGAGTAACTGGTTCCCTATATGACCCCTCCCTAATATTCTCACCAATAAAGGGAAGGAAGATAAACCTTTTGAAGAAGTCACTCTCTATTTTAAAACAGAGTTGTCTTTAATCTTGGCTGCACATTAGAATTACCTGGGGAGTTTTATTAATAAAAACAAAGTCTGGGTCCCACTAATCAAAGATTCAGATTTCATAGGTACGTGGTGAAGAATATATTTTGTTGCAAGCTCTCTCATGTGATTCTAATACACAACGAGAGTTGGAAAGCAAGAATTCCTAGGCAGGAGTGAATTAAACTTCAAGCCTATAAATCCCATGAAATTGCAACCAAAATTTTATATGCATAAGCCTCTGTAGATTGGCAGGTGGGAGGCTAAGATCCATAACCTTCATCAGATTCTTCTAAATATCACTGATACAAACAAAAAGAAAAAGTTACCATTGCGAATATGGTTCTTAAATAATGGGCATTTAAAAAATATTCTCAGACTTCTGCTCTGACCAAGATGGAGAAACAGATTATACTTCTACCTGAAACAACTAAAAGACACTCAAATAAAATATAAGAAATAGGCTGGGTGTGGTGGCTCATGCCTGTAATCCCGGGGCTTTGGGAGGGCAAGGCAGGAGGATCACTTGTGGCCAAGAGTTCAAGACTGCAGTTAGTTATAACTGCACCACTGCACTCCAGCCTGACAGAGCAAAACTCTGTTTCTTATTTAAAAAAAAAAAAAAAAGATTTCTATACAAAGGACATTACCAGGGATAAAAAGAGTCATTTATAATTATGAAAGAGTTGATTCATCAAAAGGACATAACAGCCAGGTGCAGTGGCTCATGCCTGTAATCCCAGCACTTTGGGAGGCCGAGGTGGACAGATTGTCTGAGCTCAGAAGTTCAAGACCAGCCTGGGCAACATGGCGAAACCCCATCTCTACTAAAAATACAAAAAATTAGCCAGGCAATGGTGACGCGTGCCTGTAATCCCAGCTACTGGGAAGGTTGAGGCATGAGAATCACTTGAACCCAGGAGGCAGAGGTTGCAGTAAGCTGAAATCATACCACTGCACTCCAGCCTGGGCGACAGAGCAAGGCTCTGGCTCCAAAAAAAAAAAAAAAAAAAAAAAAAAGGACATAACAATTCCATATATTTATGTACCTAATAAACAGAGCTTTAAAATACTGAAAAACTGCAACAAAAAACACATAAATTCACAGTTGTAACTGGTGATTTCAATAACCCTTCGCAATAACTGACAGAACGCGTAGATGGAAAATAAGTAAGCATAGGGAAGATGAGAACAACACTATCTACCACCTTGACAAGACATTTATATGACACCCTACCTGACAAAGCAAAACACATGTTCTTTTCAAATGCACACTGAATATCGTTACCAAGATAGACTATATTATGGGCCATAAAACAAGTCTTGATGAGTTTAAAAGGATTCAAATGAGGCAAAATATTTTTGTGACAACATGAAATTAAATCAGAAACAACAGAAGGATCTCTGGAAAATCTCCAAATATTTAGAAACTAAATAACACACTTTTATTTTTTTATTTTTAAATTTTATTATTATTATACTTTAAGTTTTAGGGTGCATATGCACAACGTGCATGTTTGTTACATACATATAAATGTGACAAGTTGGTGTGCTGCACCCATTAACTGTCATTTAGCATTAGGTATATCTCCTAATGCTATCCCTCCCTCCTCCCCCAACCCCACAACAGTCCCTGGTGTGTGATGTTCCCCTTCCTGTGTCCATGTGAATAACACACTTTTAAATAACCCAGGTGTCAAAGAAGAAAAAAGGAAATTAAAAAGTATTCTGACCCAGCACTTTGGGAGACCGAGGCGGGAGGATCACCTGAGGTCAGGAGTTTGAGACCAGCCTGGCCAACATGGCAAAACCCCGTCTCTACTAAAAGTACAAAAATTAGCTGGGGGTGGTGACGCACTCCTGTAATCAATCCCACCTACTCAGGAGGCTGAGGCAGGAGACTGCAGTGGGCTGAGATCTCACCACTGCACACTAGCCTGGGTGACAGAGCGAGACTCCATCTCAAAAAATTTAAAAAAGGGATTTTGCAGAATAAAAATGAAAAAAACAACATATCAAGATTTGTGAAAGGGGGGACCAAGAGATACAGGTAGAATGATGACAATTTCACAGGAGTATGATGCATGTCAGAATTTTCAAATTGCACCATTGTTTATTATACAATCGTACCTCAATAAAGCTGTTTATAAAAATACATTGTAGACTTTAAATAGTAATTTATAATATAATACCATCAAAAATGTAAATCCTACTTGTATTTCCTAACTTTAAGCTGTTAAAAAATAGTTTATAACCCTATCCAAAATTGTATAATTATTCTTACTTTCTTGTATTTTTTTATCAAACTAAACATGACTGGGAGATTAAAAAATAATTGTAACAACTGTTGAGTAGTGAAAAGAATAATTATTGAACCAATTCAACATTTGAACCATCTTATCTTCATCCCTACCTGAGCGAAGTTATAGCCATCTAATGAAAATTCCTATTCCTAATGCCTTGGCCTGACTTCAAAACAGCCCTATATTTCTAATATCTAATATAATTCTCTTTTTTGTCCTGCTCAGTGTTTCAAAGAAAAGTCTTTGGCTCCTTTCCACTAATAAATATACCTACTCTTTCCTACATTCTCCAAAACCCTATACCAACTTTACTCCTCCTTCACAGCTTCATTATCTCCTATTCAATTGACATTTTTTCTTATGTTACTAACACACTCAAATCTTTCCTATGTGAAAAAAATGTTCATTTTGCCATATTTCTCCTTAAAGCTACCATTCAAACCATTTACGGTTTCTTCACTACTGAACAGAATTCTATAAATAGGTCATGCCATGGCCTATATTGCCTTCCTTCCCAAGTTAACCTTAAATTCAAGATTTGGCTTTTCACCCACTTTAACGGTTATCAGAGGCTAGAAAACTTTTTCTTTTCTTGTTTTCTGAGACAGAGTCTCGCTCTGTCGCCCAGGCTGGAGTGCAGTGGCGTGATCTCGGCTCACTGCAAGCTCCTCCTCCCGGGTTCCCGCCATTCTCCTGCCTCAGCCTCCCGAGTAGCTGGGACTACAGGCACCCGCCACCAGGCCCGGCCAATTTTTTTTGTATTTTTTAGTAGAGACGGGGTTTCACCGTGTTAGCAAGGATGGTCTTGATCTCCTGACCTCGTGATCTGCCCGCCTCGGCCTGCCAAAGTGCTGGGATTACAGGCGTGAGCCACCGCACCCGGCCTGGAAAACTTTTTCTATAAAGGACCAGGTAGTAAATATTTTACACTTTTCAGGCCAGTCAGTTCTGTTGAAAGGGGCCATAGATGATACATAAATGGATAAGACTGTGTTCCAATAAACCTTTATTTACAAAAACAGGCAGCTGGCCAGATTTGGCCCACCAGCCTGTGTGCCAACGCCTGGTAAAGTGGATGGGTTCCGAAGTCAGTCTGCCTAAGTTAAATCCTAACTCTCTCTCTTACAATGTTACATAACTTCACCCCTCTGTAACTCAGTTTCCTCATTTATAAACTGGGGATAATTACGTACTTTGAGAACTGTTGTGAAGATTAAATGAACTTAGAACAGAGCCTGTTACATAGAAGATGTTCAAAAATGTTAGCTATTATTATCATATAACACAAAACACTGTCAACAATAACCTATCAGTCAAAATTAGATGTCTTTTTTCTTCTAAGTCTTCAAGCTACTAAACCTTTTTGCAAGTTTCAACAACACTACCACTTAATATGTATGTTGGACAAGCTTCTCTCTATGCCTCAGTTTCCATATCTGCAAAATGAGAGGTGATATAACAGTAATATATACTGATAAAAGGCTTTAGAGTTTCAGCCCTGAGTTCAAATCTGGTCTCTACTACTTTGTGTGTTAGTCTGGACACATTACCTAACTTCAATTTCCTCATAAGCAAAACAGCATATTATTGAGAGGAATGACTGAGAAAACAAATGTGAAGCACCCAGAGTACAGTGCTTGAATTCAGTAAACACAAGCTCTGTTCCTCTGTTCAATATCTATCTGTACACAATCTGTAGTTCATAGAGCTTTCTCCACTTAGCCTCTATAGCTCTCATCTTGGCTTTCTTTATATACACTATCCCTACAGAATCTCACCCACTTCCATACCTTTGAGGGAACAAATTCCTAAACTACCTGTCTAGTTTTAACCTCCAAGCTCCAGATTCGCATTTCTAATAGGCTGATATATTTCTTCTCCTACTTTCCACCTGCTATTTTCCATACAATCCTTAGCTCATTAGCTTCACTTTCAAAAATGCCTCTAAAATATTTTTTCTTCCTTTCCATCCCCATTGCCATTGATTTAATTCAAAAGCCCACGTTTTACCTCTAGTCTGAACTATTTAACAACCTAACTGGTGTCTCTGTCTCCACTCCATCCCCTCTATTAATAGTCCTTCAAAAGCTCATTAAAATGTTGCTTAAGGTTTAAATAATTGTCTCCCTTGGGTTCCCTATTAAATCCCAATACCAAGTCCTAAGACACGTTTAGTATCTCTTCAAGAAATCACCTGAATAGCTTTCATTCATACAACCTATTAGAGCAGCAACTTTCAAATGTTTTTGACCACAACCTTGGGAAAAAATACATATTGCATCATGACTGAGTATTCTATACACACATAATCAGCTATATAACACCTATAAAATTTCTGACACATACTTAAGTTTTATGTAATGAGTGTTGCTTCTGATTTTTCTTTTCTATTCTCTTTCATTTTTTAAAAATGCTGGTCACAATCCACTAACTTGATGTCATGAGTCAGAGCCCATAGTTCAAAAACCATTCAATTAAAAGATGCAATGGAAGAAAAGCATGAAAAGGAAAAAAAAAAAAAAAGAAAATAATAAAATACATAGGGAAAAAAACCAAAAAAGCTACAAGACCTACCTAATGAAAACTTTCAGTTGCTTCTGAGGAACATAAAAGACAACTTCAAGAAACAAAGTACATATTATATTCTTGGATAGAAATACTAAATATGTATATTTTCCTTAATTTAATCTATAAATTTAACTCAAATCATCAAAAAACAAAACAAAACAAAAAAAAAACCAGTAGATATTTTTTAGAACCAAACAGCCAATTCAAAAATCTTCATGGAAAAAATAAAATTCTGAACAAGCTATCCCTACCAGATACTAAAATGTCATAAAAACTATAATAAAAACAGTGTGGCCTGGGCATACAACTAAACAAATCAGTGGAACAGAATTAAGGTCCATAAATAGATATATGTGAGAATGTAGTGTATTTATGATAAAGGTGACATCTCAAATTAGTGGCGAAAATATGAATTACCTGATAAATTTACTAGACACTTAGATACTTTACAATGTTTCTGAAGACTTAAATTCAACAAATGAAACCATGAAACATCAGAAGAAAAAACATTCAAGAATTCTATTATAATCTCAGAGCAGAGAAGCCTTTCCTAATACTCAAAACCCAGAAACCATAAAAGACTGAAAAATGTTAATGCAAAAATAAAAGACAAAAAATGAAGTAAAAAAAATTTTTCAACATTAATCAAAGACTAAAGGCTAATTTTACTTATACAGAGTTTCTACAAATCAATACTAAAAGGAGACCTACCAGCAAAAGAAAAGCAGATAAAAGGTCAATTAACATAAAAGGATGTAAAAACGTTATTGAAACAAAAGATATTCAACTGTACTCAAAATGAGTGAAATGCAAATCAAACCTAGGCTGATACCACTTTTCACTATCATACTGGATAACAGAGCTTTGTAACCAGTTCTGTTGGCAAAGGTGCAGGAAATCAGCCTCTTCAGCACTGCTATCAGAAGGGCAGAACCTATACTGAAGGCATCTGGTAATATCAAAAAATATAAACACACATGCTTGCTGATTCAGCAATTATTCATCTAGGAATTTGCATGACTATTTATTGAAGCACTGTTTGTAATAGGAAAAAAACTGGAAATGATCCAAACATCTATTAGTAGTTAACTGATTAAATAAATTATAGTACATCAATATAAGGGATTACCATACAGCTTTGAAGAAACAATAACAAAAGAATGAGGAAACCCTTTATGTGCAGGTAACTCATGACAATGAGCAAGGAGCAGAACGCTACCATCTGTGCAAAAAGGAGGTTAAAAAAGAGAACACATCCGTGTATTTGCTTGTATATGTGTATCTCTGAAAAAACACACAAGAGACCAATAAAGGTTGTTACTTATCTAGGTAAAGGAATGAGTGACTAATAGTCAAAAGCAACAAAGAAACTTCATCATCGTTCAATACCCTTTTATACCATTTGGATTCTGTGTGAACTGCCTATTAATAAAATTAAGTTTTCAAAACAAATACAAGGCTTCTACAATCTTGGAGGCATAATTAAGACTTATTTTTCTTTTTTGTTTACCAATTTTTAAATATAGGGTAAAATGCAGAACATAAAAAACCTAAATTAAGGGTTATTTTCATTTATATTAGAAATAAGATTGACCAAAATAACTGAAAATAATGAAAACAAATAGTACATAATAAATTACTGAGTTCTGAAGATACCTTTATCTCCTTTAAAAATAGGCTATATCTCTCTTACCATATTGCAAATATTTTGTCAGACTGAATTTCCTGCTTGGAAACATGAGAACACACAGGAAATACAAATCACTATTAGAATGAATGGGAAAAAAATTAAAGATTTTTCTTTTAAAGTTATTAAAAGGTAAACTCCACATTTAAAATAAAAAATATGGGTAAAGATTCCAATTTCTCACTTCTTATACAGAGGAAGCAGGCACCCTTCATGCATTCAAACCTGTGGTAATACAAGTAAGATTACACATCCCTGATTCTAAAGTTATTCTGTATTTTTTTTCTATTGTTTGGTAGATTTGAAAAAATGCATTTCATACTTAAGGTCTCCAAAGTAAGTCATATACCTAGGTCACTGCTGTTTTTTAAACATAGTCAGAGTTAAAATTAAATGATGGGGCCGGGAGCGGTGGCTCATGCCTGTAATCCCAGCACTTTGGAAGGCTGAGGCAGGCAGATCACTTGAGGTCAAGAGTTTGAGACTTGTCTGGCCAAAATGGTAAAATCTCATCTCTACTAAAAATACAAAAATTAGGTGGGTGTGGTGGCACATACCTGTAATCCTAGCTACTTGGGAGGCAGAGGCAGGAGAATTGCTTGAACCCAGGAGGCTGAGGCTGCAGTGAGCCGAGATCATGCCACTGCACTCCAGCCGGTGTGACAGAGACACCGTCTCAAAAAAAAAAAAAAACACTCAATGATGGACTAGGTGTGGTGGCTCATGCCTGTAATCCCAGCATTTTAGAGGCCAAGGTGGGAGGATTGCTTGAGGCCAGGAGTTCAGGATCAGCCTAGGCAACAAAGCAAGACCCTGTCCCTGTGAAAAATTTTAGAAATTTAAAAATCAGCTGGGAGAGTGACAGCTCACATCTGTAGCCCCAGCTACTTGAGACACTGAGGTGGGAGGATTGCTTGCGTTCCGGAGTTTAAGATTACAGTGAGCTATGAACATGCTACTGCACTGCAGCCTGGGCAACAGAGTGAGACCCTATCTCTTAAAAAAAAACAAAAAAAAAAAAACTGAAACCTCAAATAATATAAAGGATCTCCATACTCCAGACAGCTTTCTGTCCCAGAAACTTTTCCTTTCTGAAATAGCTACTACTGTACATTTATAGGTTTTAAAGCACTTAGACTGGCTGGCACTGAACAGATACTCAAAATGGTTTCTACTTACCCTCTGCCTTTCCAGGTTTTGAAAACTAAATTACCATTAAATGAAACCATTAATTAAGTTGATTTGACCTCAATTTTTCAAGTTGCTGAATATTTTTCAATTGGGGTATCAATTATATTTTTAAATGGCCTCAAAAGTGAGAGTTGGGGCAGGGAAAGAGGTTTTATTATAAACCATATAAACTTAACACAAAGAAAACACAATATTTAAAGTGTTCTAGTCTCATAGAGTTCTACCAAACAGAGGAAGTTTCCCAACAACAAAATAATCTTCCCCTTTTAAATGTCATCCAGCACAAAAGTAAAACAGTTACAATAATCCCAAGTATAAAGATAGTAATAGTGGAAAATAATATTCAGAAGATTGCTTTTCCTCAAAGACAGAAAGATCTTCAAGGTATCTGAGAGAGCACTCTCTTCAAGTTTGTTTCTGGAATGTGGACACCAACTATACACAGGCGCACTCCTTCCCCAGGACATCCTGACTGCACACAATAGCTACTGACAACAATTGAACTAGGTCGCTATTTCCAAGCATGGAAATTTTACTATCTATAGACACAAATTTCCCTATCTAAGTAAAGTTAAATGGTACTTGTAAACAATCTATTTAGAAACAAATTTGGTTACTAAGCACATTTTTAAAAGTCAGGACAGAAGAAGCTATCCATGTTTCCCATTTAAAAATCATCTACATTTTTTTCAGTGTTTGAAATACAGAAAAAAGGAAACCACACAAACATGATAAATCTATGTCAAAAAGTGCTGGTAGGGGTGGTTTCCTTAAGTATATGAACTATATTTTGTAGACAAGGTTTTTATTTTCCTTTCCTGCTTCATCCCTTAACACATGCCCTTTAGCCTCTCCAAATATGATCCTGTTCACCAATCTCATCATGTTCTTCTCACCCAGAGTTCTTGTATTACAGCCCCATCCCCACCAAGTCCAGCCCAGTTAATGCCTACTTGACCTTTTCGACTCAGGACCGGCAATCCCTTTCCCCAAAGAAGAGTTTCCTTTCCTCATTCAGCCTAGAGTGAGTTCCTCACTCTGTGCTCCCATGGTGCCTAGGCGTACTTCTATCACAGAATTGATCACAGGATTGCTGTTACCTTGTCTGTCTCTGATTGCTACATCACTGCTCCCTAAAGGTCACTTTCTGTAGTTTTATTACTTTGAATCCATTTACCTTATCGGTAGCATTTAACACTGATAATCACTTCTTAAAATCCATGTCACCTCCTTGCAGGTCCATCTCCCTACCTGTTAGGTGTTTCTCCAATTCCTCTGTATCTTCTCTCTGTCCCTGGGATCTCACATCAGTCCTCTACTTACTCTGCACACTCAGCTGATGTCATCCTTTTCCATTACCTATACATCAACAATTCCCAAGTCCACATCTTCAACACCGAACTTCTCCATAACCACTAACATTCAACCTGTGTCGTTCTGTCAAACTGACATCCATTCCTTCTTATTTAACAAATCACATTCTACCACTACCACACCCCAGCTTCCGCTCATTTAAGCCCTCAGCTTCAACCCTCATCTAGCCCATTATTCCTAACAATCTCCTATTTCCCTGCCTCCTGTCTCATTTCTTCTCAAATACTCACTTCGCTCTCAATCCTTCTTTTATATACTGCAACCCAGAATAATTCACAACTTTGAATGGCAAGTCATTTCATCAGAGGATAATGGTCCAATTCTTCATGCTAAGTTTTAGCACATATATGCTATAGATACACACACACCCATACATATATGATAAACTTATTTTACAATTTTAATTTCATTTTCACATTTTAGATAAGGTCCCAATTAAGCCTTCTTTTTCTCCATTTGATTCCCTCTTTTAAGTAGTCACTGCACATTACCACTCTCCAATTTCAATTTGTCCTCACCTAACAAAGACTTCTTGTACACCAATCACCTCGAAAGAGCGTGCACTCATTCATAAAAAACTCAAATTTTAAACATCAGTTGTTTGGTTAAAGTTAAGTCTTTTTAAAGTATTCACTGCCAAATAAAGTTAGTTTTTAAAAGGAAGAAAGCTTTAGGTGTGACTTAGTGGGAATATTTCAATATCAAAGTATATATAACTCCTTATTAACATACATCACACAAATGCAATGAGAGGAATTGGCTATATATTCACTATAGACCAAAATATATCACTTGGCTCCTTTTTGCCCACAGCAACCCACTTTTACTATATCTTCCTTACCTTTCACTTTTGCAGTGAGCATTTCTGCAGCATTTTGAAGATCAACAGAATTGAGGTTCTGATGTTTATTCATTATAGACTTTAAAACACGGAGCAGTTCCTCTAGACGTATATGAATAACTTCTTTAAAACAGTCTTTAAAAAGAAAAAAAAATAATTTATTTCCAGAGCAAAGTTCCACAAATCTAAACTACAAAACGTCATCTGAAGCACATTTCAAGTAGAAGCATTGGTTACACAATTTTTGCCTACTATACATTCATTTATATCTTCACTGCTGCAATTATATACAATTTAAAAAGCCTTCAGAAAATCCTTAGTCATTTTAATTCATTAAGGATTTCAAAGGCTCTCACAGTTATGGTCAATTTAAGTACTTCATTTTTCAGTTTTCTCAATCTTAATATGTGCTCCAGACTTCCCTTGAGCCAACTTTATAAGGTAAGTTTTTCTTGCCTTATAGTTTTACTATCATATATTTTTTAACATATCCAGTAACTCTTAGGCATATAAAGATCATCATTTAACCTATACATTTTTAAAATTATGATATAATTTACCTATGATAAAATGTACAGACCTTTAATGAGTTTTTGTGCTTTTTAGAAAAACTGAATTAGTTGTCAATGATGAAAAATTGAAGGATCATTACACATATTCTAGATTTTGCCTACTCCTGAAAAATCAAAATCTTTTACACTCAGGGCCACATTCCTCCTTGGCCACAGTAGCTAGAACAGAGCAGTGCTGCTCTCTTAGATAGATGAGTTTCTTCTCAGTGCTCATTCATTTTCTCCCAGCCTACTCCACTCATTTACATCATCCTAGGTCAGAGCGATGCAGTTTTATTACACCTTAAATAAGATGACTATACAATTTATCATTCAAACCAAAATACTTTTGCTAGTGGAAAGGGGGATGCTACTCACAGTCATGCTAGCACAACAATCACATTCTAGGATCTTCATCCCAAGTAAATCAGAAAGTATAATCACCCTACCTTTAAAACCCCGAAGTAATCCTCAAAAGTCTGACAAGACAACCATTTTAAGTACAGTACTCTTATATAATCTTCCTTTCTGTAAACTTACACAGCATTGGTGTTTAATAAGAGTTAATATCTATTAAGCACTTACTATGTGCTAGGCACTATTAAAAACAAAAGGATATTATTTCATTCAATGTGATACTGAATACTGTGATGGGTCATACTCATTTAGTATGACCCATGTATGTATATACACATATTTCTGTATGCAGTCATCTATATTATTTATATAAGTATATATTTTTATACATATGTATATATTTATACACATTTCTGTATGACTACATATAGAAATATTTGTGTATATACTTAAATATATATACATACATATGTACATATATACATACAAATGTATGTGCACATATGTATATATGTATATATAAATATATTCATGAAAATGTACACATATGCATGTCTATATAAATACCCATATGTAAAAATATACATACACATATATATATTTCTTTGCTTTGTTAGCTGAGAGGGCCTAAAAGAAATGACACTCAGCAGCAACAAGCACACCTAGTATCTAGATCTTGGTTTCTAATACTATTCTCCAATGAAAGTAATCAGGTCTCCTTAGAGAAATAGTTGATTCCTGGACTGGGGCAGAAATCTTCAAGATAAGTAACAAGCATCTTGTAATGCCAGAAAGGAAGGAAGAACTTTAAAAAAAAAAAAAAACTAAAACAAACAACAAAAAACACCCCCCAGTGAGGAGGGCATGTCAAAGGTGCACAGGAACCAACTGAAAGTTTCCAATGGCCAAAGCTGGAACAATGTGAGCAACAAATAAAGTAGTATTGGATTATAACCTAAAGTATATAACAAATGTCCATGAGTCCATACTGACATAAATGATTGAATACATTAGTAAACAGGGGAAAAGAAACAAATCTCTTGTGTAAAAGAACTGTAAAAAATGTGTGCAAATACTTTGCTCTCAAGAAGGTGAAACATAACTCTCTTACATATGACCTATGCAGGCTAACTTCTTCCAAAGAGTGTAGTATGGAAAGGAGGACAAAAAGAATAACTTGACAGTGGAGAAACTTGACAAACACTACTGAAGACAGGTGACCAAGGTCAACATCAACATTGACAAATCACATTCAAGGTAAATATCCTTGCTATAAAGTGATGAAAACAACACTTTACATCTGTAATCTTCCTCCCAATATCCCATAACTCCGGTCTAATGAGGAGAAAAACGTCAGGCAAATTCTAATCAAGCGCCATCCTGCAGAATACCTAATCAGTATTCCTTAAAATAAAAATGAGGAAAGTTTGAGAAGCTTACAGCCAAGGAAGACCTAAGGAGAAAAAACTAAATGTAATACGATAGGATCCTGGAAAATAATAAAGAATATTAGAGGAAATCTATGGAAATCTGAATATAGACACTAGTTAATAATAATGCATCATTTTATTACTGGTTATCAAACACTGGCTCACTAACTCTAAGAGATATAAGATGTTAATACAGTGTATAGGACTATATGGGAACTTTGTATTATTATCTCAATTTTTCTGTAAATCTAAACCTGTTCTAAAAAATAAAAGTCTATTTTTAAAATGAAATACAAGTAGGTAAAAGATTTTAGGAATTTTATGTGCTGTTGAAATTTTCCCCATAAACATAATTTTTTTTTTTTTGAGACGGAGTCTCGCTCTGTCTCCCAGGCTGGAGTGCAGTGGCGTGATCTCCCCTCACTGCAAGCTCCGCCTCCTGGGTTCACGCCATTCTCCTGCCTCAGCCTCCCGAGTAGTTGGGACTACAGGCGCCCGCCACCACACCCAGCTAATTTTTTTGTATTTTTAGTAGAGACGGGGTTTCACTGTGTTAGCCAGGATGGTCTTGATCTCCTGACCTCGTGATCCATCCGCCTCGGCCTCCCAAAGTGCTGGGATTACAGGCGTGAGCCACCGCCCCTGGCCTATTTTATCTTTTTTATAACTGGTAATGTTAGTTTGGTAGGTTTACTTAGTTGAGGCAATACAGTATAGTGTTGAAAAGCATAGTCTCTGAAACCAGACTGCCTGACTTTGAATTCTAACTTCATGGCTGAGAAACCTTGGGTGAGTTACTTAGCCCCTCTGTGCCTCAGTTTCCTCATCTATAAAAAAAAAGATAAGGTAGCTAGTTCACAGGGTTGTTCGGTTAAATGAATTAAAACACATAACGCACTTAGAACAGTGGCTGGAACACAGTAGGCCCTTCATAAATGTTTGCAGCTATTTTTAGTTGGTGCAAAAGTAATTAATTGCGGATTTGGCCACTAAAAAAAACTATATATACATACATACATATATTTACATATATATGTATGTATATAGCCAAAACCTCAATTACTTTTGCACCAACATAATACTTTATGCACTAGTAGAATAGGTTAATGATATAGGTTAGCTCTGAAATTAAATCTAGTAGATATGAAATAAAGGAAACTTCTGGGAAAATAATATAATTTGAATAGGTGTAAAAAAATTATAAAACCTTCCCTTTTTTTTTTTCTTTTTGAGTTGGAGTCTTGCTCTGTCGCCTGGGCTAGAATGCCACGGTGCAATCTCAGCTCAGTGCAACCTCTGCCTCCCGGGTTCAAGCAATTCTTCTGCCTCAGCCTCCCAAGTAGCTAGGATTACAGGTGCTCACCACCACACCTGGCTGATTTTTTTTGTATTTAGTAGAGACGAGGTTTCACTATGTTGGTCAGGCTGGTCTCAAACTCCTGACCTCAGGTGATCCACCGGCCTTGGCCTCCCAAAGTGCTGGGATTACAGGCGTTAGCCACCATGCCTGGCTTATAAAACCTTCCTGATGTGCTATTTTTTCCCCAGTTTTGTACAGCCAGATCTCTTATTTGGCACATACATAACTAAATAAAGTTGGTATATGCTAGTACTTCTGCTGACTTAACCAAAACCAAGGTGGAGTGATTATCATCACAGAGAGTTACACTGCCCTCTTTTTGAAACCTAATAAATGTTAGTCTTAGAAAAGAAAGTTATTTCTATCCCCTATTCTAATGTTTTACAATAAAATCTTCAGGTATTAATATACTTAGGAAACATTAAATCTCAGGCCAAAAGAGCTTGATTTTCAGAATGCCAACGACAACCATCAACATTCAAAATTAGTGTTGGGCAAAAACTACAAAATACTAATGGCCTAAATGCCTACACAAACCAAAGTAATACTGTGGTCTTCTCAGAGTCAAGGAAATTAAACATGCAGAAATCCATATATTTCTAAAATTATTAAATGCTTTTCAATTTTCTCAGTTTTAATTTCTAATAGATAGAACTCACATAAAAAACTCTTTGGAGTCCTCAGTAATTTTTTTTAACAGTGTAAAAAGGTCCTGGGAGTCCCTGCTATAGTTTTTCTTAAGAATCACTATATCCAATCTGTCCCTGGATTTCAAGAAAAATAAAAGAAAAAAAATCACTGCAACTGCAAAACACTCCAATAACTGGTGGCAGCACAAATGGTCTACGAACTTGCAATTCCTTTTTTTCCTACAAGGTAGCCCTAATAAACAGATCTTGAAGTTGTCCCCAACTAACATACTAAAAAAATAGCATCAGAATTATTTTCGTAAGAAGTTTCAGAAGCTCCTTAAGTTACACTATGAAGAATTCCAATTCCTGAAATTAAATACACTGCTGAAGCCCACAAATCAACAGAAATGAACATGATGACTAAATAAAGAAAAAGGTAATCACAAAGGTTCATAAACTTTTCTATATATTTGGGCAGAAGGGTAAACTTCTAGGTCATGAGCATGTCCTAATAATATTTCAGTTGGAACTTCATAAATTAGCAAGCCCTCAACTAGCTGCATCATAAATGGTTTAAAGAAAATTCCATTTTTACCAAAACTGAAGAAAGTTAAGTGGCTGCTTGATGCAGTAAAAAACAATAGATTTAGATAGAGAAACCTGGGTTCCAACCCTTGATCAACTACTTCCTTGAAATGAACACACATACAAAACTCTTAGTTTCTCTGATCTCAGATTCATCCTCAGTAAAAACACAATTGATAATACCTGTTTTACCTACCTTTTAAGGTTGTTGTGAATATCAAATAAGTAGAAATAAAGCTACTTTACAGTCTTAATATACATAAATGGCAATTATTACTAGTAATTCTGTAAGCCATTCAAACTACCTTTGAAAACAGATTTGCCTCACAATCATGTTCAATAACAAATACATTTATAGCTAGATCCCACAATATTTTGACTAAGGAAGAAAAGACATTACATTTAAGTTTCAATTTCATTTGCTGTGTAGAATCTAAATTGGTGAATTATCTGAAAATGAAGCAGTCATTCAGGATATGTTTTATTAAAAATTTCTATATCTCTCAAGTTATAGTACTTAATTTAGTCATATAACTAAATACAAGATAATTTTTAAATACCATAGTGGCCATATTGTAAATGTAATGAAATTTAATTTATACTAAAAAGTTATTACAGATGTGAATATAATAAAATTCAACCAAAGTCTTAATACTAGTCACCTAGAATAGTAAAACTCCTGTATCCCAATGTTTGCTTGTTTCTCTACTCACTCTGTAATACAGTAATCTGAATTTTAATTTATTGTTTCACCGATCTAAGCCATTTATTTTCTGCTTCATTCCACTTATCAAGTGAAGACAGATTAGCCAGCTCCACTTTTTGTTCTCATGCATTAACAAAATACCACAGTGTTTATATTGCCAACACTTCATGGAAATGTCTAAGTAAATAAATGAAAAAAACATGATGTTTTCTTTCATTAAAAAAAAAACTGACAATAATTTGAAAATCAATCTTGTTAACTCAGCTTAACCTCTTTAGGGAAAGCAATGAAAATAAGGAGAAAAAATGTTTCAGAACTTATCACTAGGAAAGTCCCAATTTTTGTCGTAATGGCTTTTGAAGTTACAGGATAAAAGTGAAGCCTGAGAAACAGCAATTTACTTTATTCAGCTACCAGGGATTATGAAAATAATAACAACTGACATTTGAAAATGCTTATTCTAAGAGCTTTACATATATAAACTCATTTAATCATCACAAAAACCCCATTATCTCCTTTTAATAGACACAGAAACAAGCATAAAGGAAGAAGATAAATAACTTGCCCAGGGCTACAAACAACTAGCAAGTGGCAGAATGAGGATTCCACCTCAGGTATCCTGGGTCTAGAACTTGTGCTCCTAATCACTATGATATATTGCCACATGGTTGAAGAAATTAAGCTTAATGACAAGTACTCTGCGATCTGCAATTTAACAGGCTTTAATTTCCAATGAATATGCTAGTTACTACTATAAACATTGTTAAATGATATAAACCATTCTAGGCAAACGCAGAAGAGGAATCTAATACACCGAGAACTGGTACAGGTGTAATAAATGAGCTACTTGTATTTCATACTTCGTTTCTCAAAGATTCATTTCATAACTTCTAGTCACTAAACAATAATCTATTAACATTCACATTAACTTCTAAGTGATATTCATTAGGAATAACTTCTAAAAAGATTTATTTCTAGGATAAGACAGAGCAGTACACATCTGAGGCTAGCAGCTTAATGTTTCTAATATTTCACAAAATTTCTGGCACACTGTAAAGTTAAGTAGGAGGCATCAATGGTAAAAGTAACAATGCAATTTGTCTGAAAAAGAAATTTACACATCCTCCTGTACATTCTCCCTGGGAAAAGAACTGAGTTAATCCACAAGACAGGATTTCAATGAAGACTTTGCAAATTTATGCAGAACCTCTCATAACAGAATATATTATTTAATGGTATTAAACTTTTCATTTAATGAAAAGTTCAATAAAAACTTTTTATTCAACCTAACTGTTCAATAAAATTTGTTTTAGAAAGTTAACATACTACTTCCGACTATAGTCCTGTAAAAACAATTCATCAGAAGCTATCACTTATGAGGTCAGCATTATTTTCTTTATAAATAGTATAAAGGTGATACACTCTTAAATTAGAAAGCATCTTTTAAAAATAAGAGAACTTGACTAGTTCATCTGAAATTGGCCATACATTTTTATCTTCCTTTCCAGCCTATTTAAAAACCAAACCAAAAAAAGAAAAGAAAAAGAAAAATAAGGCACCATAGTCACAAACCAAAAAATCCATTTAAAGTAGTACTATATAATAAAAAAGCTATAAGAAATTATTAGACTATTGATTTTCCCTCAAATATATTTTAAAATGGCAGTTAATATTTCCAAGCACTGAGTAGCAGAACAATTAGATATTTTATACTATTCTTTCTAGCCCAATTAAAAGGCCTTTACATTTTCCACATTCCCAGATTTTAGCTTCCTTGAGTGATATTCCACATGAAAATGGGGAGGTATGTCACAATGGCAGACTTTAAAAATTATTACATAAACTTGAAAAGCACTTATGAATCTGTTATTTAGAATTTAGAACACGTTATTCCACAGGGAGGAAACCATAAACCTGAATTGGTACTTACACTGCACATATATTAATCTACAGTGTTATAATTAAACACAACATGCATATGCATAACTGAGTGCCTTCAGCATTTTCATATAAGATAGAACATTTACCTTGTAATTACTCCTAATGTACCTTAATGACACTGGATAAAAAAACTAAAACTTCAAATTCCACATCTGCTACTTGTATAAGACTACAAGGTAACCTCCTCCTGGAGGTTAAGTAGTGGAAAGAGAATTACCAAACTCTGTCACTTAACTTACCCCAGCAAGAATAGAATATTTTCAGCCCTCTAATCTTCCACATTAAGCTCTCTATTTTAATTTGTAAATTAGAAAATTAGAGATAAACCGTATATGTATCTTAACCCTGTTGGGAGTACAGAGCTCTTTGGCAGACATTTATATTTTTTCTAATCAGTTCCTCAATGACGATTACAATATGAGCTTCATATTCTCACTTGGGAAATTTTCATTAATTTGTTTTCATATAATTTGAAAACAAATACTTAGCTGTCTTCTTAGGAATAAACTGCCAACATTCAGAACAATGTATAATCTCCAACTCTAATCAAATTTTGAATCACAGATTCGTAAAACTGATAGCATCTGGTACAAGTGCCTCATTCTTAACAAAAAATTAAATGAATTAAGCCATATTCCAAAGCTAGTCAGTAGAACTAGGCCTAGAACCTAGATTCTGATTCTCTTTTCAGAGCTTTTGCTGCCATCCTTTACTACCAATTTAACCAAACCATATAACCTGGCCATTATTTATCAGCAATAAGACATTGATGAAATCAAAAGTTATACATACATCTCATCTGTGAAACGGAGCTAAAGGTACCTGCCTTTGAGGGGCCTGGGTGATTAAACTTGTTTGTATGACAAAGTACTCTGTAAAATGAAAAGCGCCATATACAATTATACATCATTTCTAACTACTTGGGGAAAGTAAAATGTGGCCATAAACCAATCACAAAGCTGTTTATCTAAGACTAGCCTCAACCTATGATTAAACAACTGCGGCAAAAGTCAAGTGACTGCACATTAGTGCTTCAGTTAGTAATAAAGGTATTAACAGATAAAAGTTATTACAGAAAAAATGTATTCTGACTAAACCAAAAGATGATTTAATTGTATATCTACATTCTTTATTCTTAAGAGCTGCCTTTTTAGCTTAACAAACGTGAATTAAAAGGTAATAAACAATGCCAAAAATATGGCATCTTCCTCTTAAGGAGACAATACACAAAATATTGGGAGGGCTACTGAGAAATTACTGACAAGGCTCTTCCACTCTAAAAGAAAAACAGTGAATGAAATGGCTCTTTGCTGTCTGGCCACACTTTAACGTTGTGGTGATAACTCAGAAAAGAAGTCCAGGGATATTTCTCAATACCCAGAGACAAAAAGCAGGGCTCATGACTATAGGGATACATGTAATAATACCATCTTAAATAGTTAGAGCATTTTAAACATTTTACCTTTCCTAAAGATTACATCTCATGAGATCTTTGTAATACTTTTATTAAGTAAATAAGGAATAGTCTGATACTCTAAGCTGAAAATCATCAAAATTAAAAACAAGCACAATATTATGTAGCATTTTCCTTATCTTTTATAATGAGGTCCATTTATGTTTATAAAACAAAAAGGTTCCATCAACTCAAATTAACTAGTTTATTTCTAGATTTTGATAACGATATTTCAAAGACAAAAAATCAACCCAAAGGTAAATAATGAACATCCTCTGGCCACTGCATACTACTGAGTTGGTTATCAAAAAAACAGTTTATCTATTTTGTAATTAATTTCCTGGCCATAAATTGCAAACTTTTTGATAATGTCCTTATGAATTTTTAAAATTAAATTTCAGTGTATGTATTTCCATACATATCCCTTTACCTCAGGGGGTAGTCTCTTTCTGTATCTTATTTTTTTCTTTTCTCACTTAGGGTCAACTTTCAGTTGACCTTCAGTATTCTCTGAAGTGTCTGCTCACAATTTAAAACTCTTATAAAAATTTTTTTTGGAGATAAGTAGTCCAGCTTGTTTTAAATTACTATCATTTTAAATCTGTGACACAAGGATAATTATGTAAAATGAAGATTTTTAAGAGATATAAATCTTTTAAGGAAAATAACTAAAAACAAATAGAAATCTTAACTAAAAATCTTATTTATACTAATAAAAATGCATTTAAATTGAGGCATTAAATAAAATCAGGTTTTACACCTTAAATCAAGGTAAATGACTTGTCAACTAATACATCACTTTAAATTTCACCTTAAAAATCAATCCAGTTAATGAACTGCATATCAAGAAGTATACATTTTATTGTTTATAAATTTAAAAAATTAACCTAGTTAAGAACAAATTGTTATTACAAAGCTATGTTTCTTTAAATAAATGGCAAATTTATCATTTTGGTAAATTTACTACCATTATAATACTTAATGTAGTTAGGATATCTTTCCACAATAACTTTAGGTAACTTTACTGCCATTTAATCATCCACAATCAGACTTCAAAATCAAGCTATTAAAATGAATGGGAATATGAACAACTTTTCTAATATGTATACATTCTCAAAAGAATCACTTATGTGATTGTTGTTTTAAGGAAAACTCAAATACTAAAACTTTGAGGCTTCAATTCCAGTCATTTTGGGCATTTCAACCTGAAAATAACAGATTAGAAATTAACTCTTAAATTTAGTACAAGCACAAGATACAATTTTGGTTTTTCAAAATGTCCATCAGAAAATAAGTATTTAACTTATATATATACATAGAAATATTTATTGAAATCTTACAAATTTCTATAAAGCCCCAAGAGGTCTCATATAAATAACACTGAGAATCTTCATTTTTATATCTAGACATACCATTATGAATATGGAAATGAAACTGCCATTTATCATAGAAGAATAGGAGCTGTTTTTGTAACTATTTATTATCCTTGCCATCAAATTTAGACCTAAGAGGCACTAAACATTGAAAGACAGGTACTAAGAACAAGTCAGAGATATACAATCTTTTACTTTAGAGGAACAGAGTCTCATGCTCCATTATTCATTTCTAACTAGACAGAATTCTGTGATTAGCCCTTAATTCAAGATGTTACAGATCAGCAAAACAGAATTAAGTCTGATTTTTGTTAAAAAAAAAAAATGCAGTCATTTTAGATACCAAAACTTCATCTAAAATGTGGAAAGGTGAATTTAGGTAACAGTGTCAACAATGTAAATTATAAACATTAGTCAGCTTATTTAAGACCAATCAATGCACTGTGTTACCATTAACAGAAAGGTTAAAATTCCAATGATGTCAAATTTTCCTACGTCAAATGGACCCAACCACAGGAATCAAAGATATTTTTCTTTTTTGTATTCTTATTCCCTCACACTGAAGTTTCTATTAGGTATTACACTATTATCTGATTATAAAATAGTTTACACTGTAACCATCAAAGATTTGGGGAAAAAAGCACTAAAATAACTAAAGCAGAATACCCTGTTCCTACCACTGTGTACAAACTTATCTGCTAGGCCAGCATTTAAAATTTTACAAACTATCCAGCAAGAATGCTAATAGAAAAGTGACAAACCTGAAAATATGGCTTCTTTCAAATATAGTAACATGTGGGAGAACTTCCTGATATCATTCACCAACTCCTTGATGTAATCCGGATCAAAAATAGAGTTGGAACTTAAGGACTTGAGCCCCATTTCAGAAGTTGTAATATCAGTAGAGAGTTGACCTGATGCCCAAGCACGTTTTTTCTTTGTCTTTTTCTGTTTGTGAGCAATCATCCTTTCATGTAACAGTCAGAAAAACTGAAATCCTTAAGGGGGCAAGAAACAAAACAAAAACAAGCGAGGAGAGAGAAAGAAACACAAAAACTAAATCAGCCAGGGAAATATTACACTAGATTTTCACAAACAGCCCACAGCTCACCTTGGTATCCTATTTTTAAATTTTTAAAAATCAAAAATCAATAATCAATCACTGTATTATTGATAATAGCAGTTTCCATTTATTAAATACCAGTAATTCCGACAACTCTGACATGCAAACTACTGTTCTTTACATTTCACAAATGAGGAACCTGAGGTTTAGAGGTTAAAAATTTGCCTTAAGCTCTCAACTGATAATGAACTAGGACTTAAACCTGTATCTGCCTTGATGCCAAAATCCATGCTCTTAATAACTTCCTCTTGATTCCTAGGGTATAGAATTTTATTTAATTGTAAAAGTTGTTCTGAAACATCACTTAGTAGAAGGTCATATTCTCCTTCCATGACATCACCTTCAAAAATAAAGATGAGATATGGGCTTTGAAAAAAGAAATACCTGTTCTTAAAATCCTCCTCTGTCACTTATTGTATGATCTATTCATCTCTTTACTTCAGTATGCTCATTTATAAAATGGGAGTAACATCCTGACAACACCTATCTCATGAGATTGTAGGGATTACATGACGCGATGATACAGAAGTGTCGAGAACATAGAAGTTCAATTACAGTTAGTTTTTCCTAATAATGCATATACATACATATACACAGACACACACACACAACACATCCTGGATTACCAAGTCTCATCAAGGATATTTCTTTGTTGAAAATAAGTTACAAGGGTGCCCACTAATCTGACATACTCTGACTGGTTAAATAAACACGTGTGATCATCAGAGCAATATTTTTGATAATCTCAGGATGGTAGTAAAAAGGTAATCTTTTGGTATGAGAAGAATTTAGATTTGAATCCTGGCTCTAGTATTTTCTAGATATGTGACCAGTACAATTTATTTACAGGCTTGTGTGAGGATGAAAAGGGATCACAAAATTAGAAGACTTCATATGTTAAAACACCTAATACTGGCACATAGCTGGAACTCAAGAAAATCATAGTTATTTTCTTCTTCACCCTCATTTTACCTTTCCAGAGTTAAAAGTTCTAATCTTGTTTGTATCTCTGGAAATCAAAAAGGAAATAACCGGAGGAATTAAATTAACTCACACTTTATTATTAACACTTTTTTTCAAGTATTTTGTCTTGAATATTTGGCTACTTTAAAAATGGTAGATGACTAAGGACTTCTATAAAATTTACAGTAGAAAGTTTTTTGGTTTTTTTTTTTTTTGGAGGGGGGAAGGGTTGAGTCTGGGTCTCACGCTATCACCCAGGTTGGAGTGCAGTGGTGTGATTATAGCTCACTGCAGCCTCAAACTCCTGGGCTCGGGCCATCTGCCCGCCAAAGCCACCCATGTAGCTGGGACTCCAGGGGCACAACACCACACCTAGCTAGCTAAAAAAAAAATTTTTTTTTTGTAGAGATACAGTTTCACTATGTTGCCCAGGTTGGTCTCAAACTCCTGGGCTCAAGTGATCCTCCTACCTCAGCCTAGCTAAATGCTGGGATTACAAGCATGAGCCACCATGCCTGGCCCACTAGGAAGTTTTATGTAATATCCGTTTCTAGTCATATGTAAGATACATTATTGTATCATTTACTCCTTCCTATATCTCACCCAACTCCATAGTTCATTTTTCTTTCTGATCTACAGGGTTCTCTAATCAACCCACTTCTCTCTACTGCTACCACACTAGTGAATTACCATCATTTCTTTTCTGAGCTACTATACTACTTTCCTAATGATCTATCTGCATCCATTCTTGTCTCATCACAAATGTAGTGAGTGAACATTTCAAACATAAATCTCATAATGTCATTTCTCTACTGAAAACCCTTCCAAAGTATAAGTGAGAAGCTATCATGCTCTACAAGGCTCAACATGAGATCTGGCTCCTACCTACCTGTGCAATGTCATATGGAGACACACCTGCTGGCTCTCAACACTCCTGCCACACACACCTCCTTCTCATTCTTCCAACAGTATTTGTTTACGATGACTCTCACCAGGAAATAATTTTACATAATAATACATGTTAAGTGTATTATGTTTGTGTGTGGCATGCTTCTGGGTAAGGCTCCATGGGATGTATGTGAGTTTTTAAAAATTCCATCCCATTTCATTTTTAAAAATGCTGGGTGCAACTCACCAACTTGGTTTCATACACATAATAGGTCATGACCCTACAGTTTGAAAAACACCAACTGTTCAGCTCAGGGTCCTGTCTATATGTAATTCTATTTGCCTGGAATATTCCTTCTCCTTTGTTTACTCACTCTGATCTCAGCTCAAAGCTTACCTCCTCAAAGAAACGTTCCTGGACCATCCCCATCCCCCAGCAAAACCACTACCATCAAACCAGAGTAGAATCTCCTGTGAGATGTTCCATAGTATCCTCTACTTTTCATCACTGCTCATACCACAGTTCAAATAGATCATGTCTTCCTAGCTAGAGTATAATCTCATGGAAATCAAGACCATGTATGTCTATTTGCTAACCATGTGTTCTCTGATCATAGCACAATGCTTGGCGTATGAGGAATGAACTACTTAGAACTATCTGCAGATAGGCTTATAAACTTATAAAGTTTCAATTAATTTTTATAGAAACAAAAATAACTCTGGGTTGTTGCAATGTTTTGAAGTGAAAATATAAATTTTTAAAAAACTCTCTAAAATGGTATGTTTCAAAAAGAAAAGTATATGAAGCTGAGGGAAGATTACATAAAACTGAAATCAAAGTTGGATTTCTATTATTGCTCCTCCTGATTATTAAACTGGGGACCACACTTTATAATTTTTAAAGTTTGTTTATTCACTGTCCTTTTGTCAATCTCAAATTATTTCTGAGAATCTAACTTCTACATTTAAACTAGTTTCAAACCTATCTAACATTAATCCTTATATGCATACATCATTTCTAAAATGAATCTAGGGCAATTTTTGAGCATTATTATTATATCTAAGTCTTCCTTCCCATCAACAAAAACAAAACAAAAATTCAAAGTGTCTTTTTTGGGCAGCTCTTTTACAAATCACTAACCAAAATGCCTATTAGCCTAACCAAACATCACTCTTGCAGTTTACTTAATAACGTCATTCTGTTTAGTTATGACAGCTTTTAAACTTGGTAAATTAGAGAATTGGTCACTGTCACTGGTAAAGATGGTTACAAAAATTAAAGACATTAAAACAATTTACCTATTTTAGCAGAAATAATTTACTTTAAGTAACTACATGTAAAATAGTAACCCAAACTTTCAAAGTGTTTCAAAACTGCTGGAACATTTTTAGACAAGACTTAAAAAATCTGCAAAAAACAAACACAGCAACAACAACATCAAACACATGGCAAGGAGAAGAGGAACTCTTTTCCTCTTATAAAAAAGGATTATACCCTATCTCTAGCCAGCATTATAATGATTAATGTGCTGATTTTGTTATATATTACTACTTTTCATATTCCAGAGTAAAAAAAGGAAACATTACAATTGAAAAAACGTTTAAAATAACAAACTTAACCCAAGCTTTCATAAATGAACTATGATAATGAGAAGCTGGAACAATACACACTTTCCAAGATCATATACACTACTTTCTCATGCGCGAAAATGAATATTCTCTTGTTGGAAGTAACATAAAACTTAGTTACTAACAGACTGCAACTGGCAACTTAATTAGGTAATGACGCATGCAAAGTACTTAGCAGAGTGCCTGGTTCATCATAAAGATGAACCATAAAGAAAAGTCATTATTACTAGCAGTGCTTTATTGTGGGAAATTGTTTTTGAACAAGATGTGGCTTCACTACAATACATAAGTGGATTGTGAGCAAGAAATACAGGACTGGAAACAATTGTAGAAACTTAACTGACTCTGTGGAAACCTACTAAAAAGCTTCCAAGTGAAATTTGAACTGTGCAAATAGACTTGTGCAAAATATTTTTGACACACTAATTCTGGTGCATCTCTTTCAACTTCAAACCAACAATATTAAAAACATGTATTATCCACTTCTCAAAGAATTCTCTAGCAAGTAGAAAATTACCGTGCAAAACCACTTCCATTGTATGTTGTAAATCTAAGTGTTGTGTGCATTAGAAATGTAGACACAAACTTCCTATCCCCCACGACTGCAGGAGCCTGTGTCAATCAAATGTCCGCTGCCCCACGCATGCCCCCTGCCAAATGCACATTACGGCAGTAGTTTCATTTTAGGCTCTCTAATTGAAGTGTAAAACTGCCCCCAAACATCTATACTTACTATTTCCCATTCTACCATTTCTTCTTGAGGAAAAATTGCCAGATATTTCAGAAATCTGCTATTTCAGCACAATTTCAGATTTGGCAAGAATCTACTTTGAGATGCTAAAAAGATTAGATGAGCTCATCCTAAAACGATGATTAAATCTTTATGGTTTTAAAAAGCACTCTCCACAAAAACAGAATAGGGACATGTGAGAAAGAGTTTTATCAATACTATGCAAACAATTTTTAAAGGAAGGCATGCAATACACATGCACTTCATTTCTGTACAGTTTGAACCTAGCACGCTTTAAAAAGAGGAAGCTGCCCAGCATCCCACCCCTCCAGAATGTCTAGCATTCCTGGCAGGCAGTACTCTCCTTTGACCAGCCAAAACTACTCTTTGCCAAAGAGCAAGTTCCTCATCCAAGAATTTAAACAAAGAGGGAAGAATGGAGCAACCAAAATGGACAGCCGACGGTGGTAACGACGGACAAAAGATAAACTATAGACAAGAGATACAGTCACAGAGACAGATGGAGAGAAGGGAAGGAGAGCTCAGCTCCTGCCATTAGCAGGTAATATCCTGCCCTCCGAAAACATTTGGGGCCAATACCCTCTGAGAAAGTTTTAAAAAGATAAACATAGAGACAAGAGGCTCGTCAGTCACGAGGGTTCCACCTTGAAACGTCCAACTCCAGCTCACCCGCCCCCCAAAAAATTTTTTTTTTTAATTAAAACTGTCAAACCCCAAAACACGTCCACAATTGAACTGGGACAAACCTCTGAGACTGAGGAAAACTCTCAACGAAACCCAAAAAACACAGACCAGGAGAAAATGCACCACGGAAATCCTAAAATATCTCAGGAATGAGAGCCCAACTGGAGTGAGGGCTGCAGTCAGGGCAGGTGGGAGCGGGAATAGAATCCAGGCAAGAACACAGACCCATAGTGATCAGGAGCACGGATTCCGGAGCAAAAGCGCCTGGGTTTAGGTCCTGACGCTGCCAACCACTAGTCTGTGTGCTTGGGCAGGTTTTTAACCTCGGTTTCCCCGTGTGAACCGAGTCGAACAATCATGGAGTGTTCTGAACATTAAAAGAGTTAAAATGTGCAAAGGCTTCAGAACAGCAGGCGGACCCGTTGTACGCGCTGTGTGCTAACTTTAATTACGATCGTCACCGTCTGCTCCCGGCCACCGCTGGCGTCCTCCCCAGCTCGTCCGCGCCTCCCTCGCCGGGCGCGCCCCTAGCCCCGGCCGGACCCTTCCCGTGGACTCCAGTCCTGGCTCGAGGACACCCGTCCCTAGCGCAGCCTGCCACCGCTTCCACTCGGGGCCGCCCCGCGGGCCTCCCGGACCCTGGACGGCAATTCGCGGGCGCTCGCGCGGGCAACCCCAGCCCGGAGCCACGACCGCCGCGGCCGGAGCAAGCGCCACCTCCTCACACTCACCACGGCGCTCCATCTCGCGTGCCGGACGCGGACGCCCGCCCCACACCTACGGCCGCCGCCACCGCCGAGGGCTGGAGCTCGCTGCCCCCATCCCCCACGGCCTGCGGACGCCCGGCCAAATCTCAGCCGCAGCCGCAGCCGCAGCCACAGCCACAGGCACCACCACCACTGCAGCCGCCACCGCCCCTGCAGCTACCGCCACGGCCGCACCGCCCGCCCGCCAGCCCCGCCCCCTGGAGCCCAGCCCATTGGCCCGCGCTCCCGGGGGCGGGGCCGGCGACCGCGGCAGGTACGGGAGGCAACTAGCTCGCGCGCAGAACGCGACCGTCAGTTGCGCGCGGCCGGACGCTGTCCCAGCATCACGGGCTGCGTCGGCTGCCCTTTTGGCTTGCAGGGGACAGGCAGAGCGACTCAGAGAAAAGTCACCTGAGGACTAGATGCGGCTAATGGCCAGATGAGCAGCTACATTTCTTATGAGACACTTCTGTGGATCGCCTTTTTCCTCCCTCTTCCAGGGGTTAGGGCCTGGGGAAGGGCGCCACACGTCTGAATGAAGAATGAACTACCTCAAAACCAGCCATCTACTCTGCCCCTCTGCCCTCTATGGAGGGTAATAGTTTCCACTTAGGCCTATCTGTATTTTTTTTTTTTTTTTTTTTTTTTTTGGAGACGGAGTCTCGCTCTGTCGCCCAGACGAGTCTAATGGCGTGATCTCGGCTCACTGCAACCTCCGCCTCCCGGGCTCAATTGATTCTCCCACCTCAGCCACCTGAGTAGCTGCGATTATAGGCACCCATTACCACGCCAAGCTAATTTTAGTATTTTTAGTAGAGGCAGGGTTTCGCTATGTTGGCCAAGCTGGTCTCGAATTCCCGACCTCCCGACCTCAGGTGATCCACCCGCCTCAGCCTCCCAAAGTACTGGGATTACAAGCATGAGCCACTGTGCCCGGTCCTTTCTTTCTTAGCTGCACTTTCAAACTCACTTCATAATGAGAAGAAAAAAAAAAGTCTGAGAAAGATGGAATAATTATAGCAAGCAGGGCTAGAAAGCACATAGTCCCTATATCACACCACTCGCTGGAACAAGCGATGGCACTTACCTCAGTGCTGGAACATTCAGAAAGAACTCATAGAGAAACAGAGGAAAAAACACAGGGAGGGAGACTGTGGGTAGCGCTGGGGTCTGCGAGAAAAATGACCACACACGGGAGAAACAGAAAAAGACACAGGAGAATGTGCTGAGGAAAACTGGAAAGAAAATGAGGTGCAGACACAGGAAAAGGGAAGAAAACCAAGGAAGGCAGAAATAAGTGAAGGCAAAAAGAGAAAATAAGGAAGAAAAATAAAAGGAGAGACTACCCACTTAACAAACAGAAAAGTAAGTGAGCATGACAGAACCAAAAGTAGGGTAGCGGGGCAAGAGAAAAACTCATTGACAAAGAAAGAGAAGAGGGACATCTTACATAGACATATCTTTGAACCCTTACAGGAAAAACAATGCTAAGAAAATACAACAAATTTGGCTCCTCAGGTGCTACTTAGAAAAGATAAATAAGAAAACTCAGCTCCTTGGTTACTTTGGCACCATACTGGATTTTTTGGACTCAACTTACACAGATTTTCCCCTCAAATCCCCAAAATAATAGTAACAAGGTCCTGCCACAAATAGGAAACCTCAAAAACCAAAATTCCTTCTAATCGTGCTGAAAAAGAAAAATGCGCCAAGGACTCTCACCATGGAAGCCAATGATGCCTGAACTGAAGCAAACTAATAAGAGGAGACAAAGGAGTCCCCAGGCCAAGGGGAGGCTGAACAGTGCAACTACGATTCAATCATAAGTAAGGTTTTTGGAAGGAAATTTTTGAGGAAGTCCCTCAACCTCAAACACCCTCTTAAGTCTATTTTAAAATATATTATTTTGCACTTATACACCATTTCCCTTAATAAAGAGGACTGTGTTGCTGACTAAAATGGAACTGGAAGCATCACTGACAAAATCATGAACAAGTTCCTGATGGAGAGAGAGGGTGTATGGATGGAGGTGGGGGTGTGACAAAGAGAAAGGAGCTCACAAGGAGGAGAGAAAAGCAGGGAAAGAGAGACAAAGGGAGAGACAAATATGTGAGAAGGAAAGAGAGACAACAATAAAGGAGAAAGAAAGACAAGAGGGAAAGAAGAAAGAAATATGCAGAGATAAGGGGAAGCAGAGAAAGAAAATGAGATGGAGAGAGATAAGGAAGATAAAAGAGACAAACAGAGGTGATAGAGACTACCCACCGATAGAGAAAGGAAAGAGGGTCATTTCTCACATGCAAACAGTTCTGGGGGAAATGAAGCCAATTAGGCTCTGAGGTTTTACCTTAAAAATACAAACATAAGAATCCAAGGCTCCTTGATTACCTGCTTCCACAATTATTTTTCAGACTTAATTTTTAAAATTTTTTCCATTACACCTCAAACCTAACAGTACTAATATGACAAGCAGTACTGAAGACACCTAAAAAACAAAGACTCCTTCAAACCCCACTGGAGAATGATGCACCATGGACACTCACCCAGTGATGACTCAAAACTGAAGGACATCAGTGGGGGATGAAGAAAGAATTCTGAAGGCCAAGGAGAGTGGGGTTGGACAACTCTCAGGGAGCTCAAGGAAGCAAAGTCTGTCCCTCATAGCTGCTCTGGGTTATTCTCAACACCCCCTAAACCAGAACTACCCCTAAACCATCCCAAAACAACCAACTACTGTGCATAGGATCTGACACAGAGTCACAATAGTTGGCTATTTGGGAATCGAGGAATGTTACTTAGAAGGTTAAATAAACTATAAGTAAGGTTGTCTAAGGGAAATTTTGAGAAGTCTCTCAATCTCAATCCTCCTCTTAAACCTTTAAAAAAATACATTATCTGCCATCCTTCATCCAGAGGATGATGACATTTGGAAATATTTGCAAAAATGGTAGTTTACTTTTAATTTAAAAGGGTTATTTTATTAATCTCCCCTGACTTGATTTTGTTTGAAGTAATTTATCACACAAATACACTTTAAATATGAAAAGCACATTAATAGATGCAATAATACCTTTCTGCAAGTCCGAAATTCTTGGTCTATAATAAAATTGTAGTGTTCAGAAAAAAAGAGTAAAACCATCAGTATATCTACCATAGCAGTCCAATAGCTTAAGTTTTTCAACAAGTTGCAGAAAAACATTTCTGGAAGCAACATATAATTTTTTTTAAATACTTGTGTTTTTACCATTTATATTACTATTGCCTCTAGTATTTTTTCCTTCTCAAACAGAAATTCACATCCTCTATGACACTGTTCAAGTCAGCCATTCGGTGCAGCCTTAACTTTTATATTCCCCAAATCTTCCTCATGTGTTCTCTTCAAAATGTTTGTGGTACCAGACTGCACAGATTAGTATTCTTTCTATCTGCAGTGGTGACATTACCAGTACTGTTAATTTTACTTCATCTTCCTGAAGACAATTCTGTAGTTTAGGTAGCCTACTTTTCATAGCAGAACATGGGTCTAAAAACATTTGACAATATCTGGAGACATTTTTTGTTGTCATAACTGGGGAGGGGGATTCTACTGACATCTAGTGGGCAGAGGACAGGGATACTGCTAAACTTCCTACATGCATAGGACTACCCTCATCCCCAAGAAAGAATTATCCTGCCCAAAAGGTCAATAGTGTCAAGGTGAAACACCCTGTTCTATATCCAATTACCACTTTATAAAAAACTATAAGACCTAAGAACTTGTTAAATTATGCCACAGTATATACCCAGAAAAATCTGGACTGTGGGCCATTTTATAGCATAAACGTGATTTCTTCAACAAATAAACTGCAGGAAAAAAGATGGAAAGAAAAATCTCTAGATTATCCTTAAAAGATATATCAAATGCAGCCAGGTGCGGTGGCTCACGCCTGTAATCCCAGCACGTTGGGAGGCCGAGGCGGGCGGATCACCTGAGGTCAGGAGTTTGAGACCAGCTTGGCTAATATGGTGAAACCCCATTTCTACTAAAAATACAAAAAATTAGCCGGGCGTGGTGGCGTGCACATGTAATCCCAGCTACTCGGGAGGCTAAGGCAGTAGAATCGCTTGAACCTGGGAGGTAGAGGTTGCAGTGAGCCAAGATCACACCACTGCACTCCAGCTTGGGCAACAAGAGCAAAACTCCGTCTCAAAAAATAGTAATTTTATATATAATTATATATATATCTTATATATATAATTATATATGATATATATAATTTATATATGTAATTATATATGATATATAATTTATATATAATATATATTTATATATATATATATAAAATCAAATGGAGGAATAAATAAAAACAGACATACTCTTCCCTGTAGTAAACAACTAGAAAAATGGACAAAATATATATTGTTTTCAGACACCGAACTACACACCGCACTGGGCTCAGGGCTGTCATCTCTGAGAGATGGGATCATAAACAAATGAGGTAAGCCCCACAATTACCCCAACTTTCTGCCTAAAGTCACATTCTTGACCATAGCACCCTTGACAACTTGAAGAGACAGAGATCATGGTTCCAGGAGATTGGAGTTGCCAGAATCTGTAGGACAGAGTACCAGAGACTAAGGATGTAGAAAAAGAAAGAGCTCCAGAAATTTGCATAGGGAATTTCTTAATTATCTTGCTGAACACCAAGATGCACATGTATACAGCAAAACACAACAAGGATTGGCAAATAATTTCCAGAAAGCTATAGATGGACGATTCCCAGGTTTCCCACAGGGCTGGAAGAACTCCACATTTTCATCAGCCAGAGTAGAGAGACCTACTGAACACCCCAGGGAGACCCCAGGGCATGCCTCATAGTACATCTAACCTAGCTTTAGTGAAAACTATACTCTAGCCACACCCCAACAAAGCTTCAAAACAGGCACATTTTATAATTTTTTTAAAAGCTGATGTTTAAAACAAAGTAGTAACAATATGTTGTGGCATTTATAACATATACAGAAGCAAAATCTATGACAATAGCGTAAAGGAGGAGGAAATGAAAGTATACAGTAAGGTTCTTACATTATAGGTAAAGTAGTGTAATACTATTTGAAGGTATACTGTAAGTTAAAAATATATACTAAAATCTCCAGAGATAAAGTTAATTAAGCCAATAGTGGGCATAAATAGAATTTCAAAAAATCAAAAAAAAAAAAAAGGCAGGACAAGAAGAAAAAGGAAACAACAAATGGAACAAATAAAAAAACAAACAGCAAAGTAACAGACTTAAACCCAATCATACCAATAATTACATTAAATATAAATAATATAAACAGCCCAATAAAAAGGCAGAGATTCTCAGAGTGAGTAAAAAAGTAAGACCCAACTATATTTTTCCTATTAAAACACAGACTTGAAATATAATGACACAGATACATGGAAAGTAAAACAACAGAAAAAGACACACCATGCAAATATTAATCATAAGAAAGCCAAAGTAGCTCTATAATATAGGTATCAAAGAATTTTACCAAGGATAAAAAGCAACATTTCATAATGATAAGTGAGTCATTTCATCATAATGACAACAATCCTGAAGGTATCTGTACCAAAAATAGAGGTCCAGAGTATGAGAAAAAAACTGAGAGAAATGTATGGAAAAAATAGACAAATCCCCAATGACAGTTAAGATTTCAGCACTCTTCTCTCAGTAATTGATAGAATAACAGAAAATCATTAAGGATCATTAAGGACATAGAATACTTGAATAGCACTATCAATCAACTTGACCTGATAGACATTTACAGAAAATTCCACCAAAAAACAGCAGAATATGCATTCATTTCAAATGTATATGGAATATTCATAAGATAGGCCATATATGGGATAAAAAGAAGTCCCAATGAACTTAAGAGGACTGAAATCACACAGTGTATGTCCTCTGATCAAAACAAAATTAAATTTGAAACTAGTAACAGAAAGATAGTCAGGAAATCCCCAAATATTTGTAAATTATAAAATATAACTTTAAAATAACCAATGGGTCAAATTTCCACAAGGGAAATTTTAATATATTTTGAACTGAATGAAAATGAAAACCCATTTCAAAATGTGGAGATTACAAAGTAAAAGTCATGGTTAGATAAAATACACAGTTTTAGATGCTTTATTGTAAAAGAGAAGGGTCTAAAGTCAATATCTAAGCTTCCACTTTAAGAAGCTAGAAAACAAAGAGCAAATTATACCCAAAGTAAGCAGAAGGAAGTAAATAATGATAAGAACAGAAATCAGTGATTTAGAAAACAGAAAACAGAAAAAAATCAATATAACCAAAAGCTGGTTCTTTGAAAAGATTAAATTGATAAATATCTAGCTAGGCTGATCGAGAAATAGAGAAAACACAAATCACTAATATGAATGGAAGAAACGACATCAGTACAGACCCTACAGACACAAGGATAAAAGGATACAAGGGAATGTTACAAAAAACTTTGCCAATAAACTTAACAACTCAGATGAAATGGAAAAATTCTTTGAAAGACACAGATTACTAACCCTGACACAAGAAACAGAAAATGTTAATAGCACTACATGTATTAAATAACTGAATTCATTATTTAAAATTTCCCACAAAGAAAACTACATCTACATGAGCTTCACTGATAAAATTCACTGAACCAGATAAAATAATCCTATACAAACTCTTGGAAAATACAGGAGACAAGAACACTTCCCAACTCATTCTATGAGGCCAGCATTACCCTGATACCAAAACCAGACAAAGACATTACCAAAAAAAAAAACCACACACAAAAAAAACAAAAACACACACAAAAAACAAATTTCTTAACACAGTATTAGCAAGTCAAATCCAACAATATATAAAAAGGATAATACATAATGCCCAAGAAGGGTCTGTCCAAGGAATGCAAGCTTAGTTTAACATTCACTAGAAAAAAACCATGTGATCATCTCAAAAGATGCAGAAAAAGCATCTGACAAAATTCCATGGCCATTCATGATTAAAACAGTCAACAACGTAGGAATAGAAGATAATTTCTTCTATCTGATAAAGGGCATCTACAAAAAAAACCGACAGGTTTTCTCCTTAAGATCAGGATTAATATTGTTACTGAGGGTCTTAGCCAGTACAGTAAGACAAGAGAAAGAAATAAAATGCATTCACATTTAAAAAGAAAGAAGTAAAATACTCAGAGATGGTGGGTTGGGGACTTAAAAAAAAATCTTAAGAAGCCTATAAGCTACTACATCTAATAAATGAATATAGCAAGGTCACAGAATACAAAGTTAATACACTATAATCAATTTTATTTCTATACACTAACAACAAACAATTGAACAAAAAAATTTAAAACTTCTGCTCTTTGAGAGACAGTGTTGAAATAAAACACAAGCCACAAATTGGGAGAAAATATCTGACAAAGAATTTGTAACCAAATATATCAGGAACTCTTACAATTCAATAAAAATAAAACAACAATCCAATAAAATAATGAGTAATGAAGTGAACATATGCTGCACAAAAGAAGATACACAACTGGGCAATAAGCACATGAAATATTGCTCAATACCATTAGTATCAGGGAAATGCAAATTTCAACTTCTATGAGATACCACTGAATAGTCAGAAGAAATTTTAATTTCAGCTAGACTGAAATACTAAGTGTTGGTGAGGATGTAGGGCAACTGTAACTGTAATACATGCTTCTACATACAAGGTATACAATCACTTTGTGAAACAGCCTGGCAGTTTCTTACACAGGAAATGTACATTTAACATACAACCCAGTAATTCTCCTTTTGTATGCATCCAAAAGAAATGAAAACATATATTCACCCCTAAACTTGTATACAAATGCATAGCAATTTTTTTCATGATAGTCAAAAACAAAACAACCCAAACTCCATCAACAGATAAACAAACTGTGGTACAGCCTTACGATGGAATACTATTTAACATTACATATCCATGACATAGGAAAAAATCATAGATGAATCTCAAAAGCATTAAGCTAAATGAAAGAAGCCAGGCACACACACACTGTATATCTTTGGTATGATTCCATTTACATAAAATTCTAGAGAATATGAACCTAATCTTAAATGACAAAAGAATTTCGTTGCCTAGGAATGCAGTGGTGGTGTAGGTGTGGGGGAAATTGCGAGAAGCCTTTCATTTCCTCCACTAAAAATAAAGCATCCCTTTACTTTCCCATAGGATATTCAACATACTTGGGAAACTCACGATATTATACCTTGGGCCCCATCAATATTGTCTATTGCTACCGAAGATGCAAAGGTTCTACAGGACTGTCTACCACAAAATGGGATCAGACTAAATTTTCTTAGTGAATGCTGAATGAATAAGTGACACGAGAATGAAAATTCTTTAGGGTGACTTCTGGGCATGAACTTTGTTCAATGTGGTTATACTAACCCCCGGGACCAAGAGCAGTGGCTATAAAAGCCCATGTTCCTAGGTCAAGAGCCTTTACATGTGAGGAAGTGAAGGTGCTTACAACTGAGGTAGATACACTATTTTAAGGAGGTAAGGGGAGCAGTAATGACCAACCACTATACATTCTTGGGCAGCGCTTTTCTACATCTCAGCCAAAGTTCTATTTCCTGCCAAATTGGGGACTAAAACATTTTCTACTCAGGTCTATTCTATTTTCTTCAAGTTCACTCTTAAACTCTTCTCAGAATCATCAGACAAGAACTGTATACATACTGTAAAGCTCATGAAGCTTAAGCATCAGGGTTGCTTACTTACACAGTTCCTGTAACAAGGAGGCATTTTGAAATAAGCATTTCTGGCAAACTGCGTAAAGAAATCACTACAGAAAGGGACCTAATCTCCAAGACTCCCATAATTTTGTTGTGATTCACTCATTCTGAATATTCACTTTCATATCTAATTTTGAAGTATTTTTCTTGAAAGGGGAATCTCCTCTCCCAAACTGAATGAGGAGGAAGCGAAGCTAATTCCCAAAGATTAATAAAGAAAAAGGTAAATGTAGAACAAAAAGGTACTTAGAACTTTCATAAAACATCTCCTAACATTCCCCTTCCCCCCGCCAACCCCTCCATCCCCCGCCCAAAAAAGATCCATCTTTAGAAAACAGAGGATGTCAAAGATCCAAAAAAAACAATGTGGAACGCCACCCTTGGTTTTTAAAGAGGGGTGGTGGTGGTGAAAAGGTGAGATAAACTAGGACAAATCAGAGGGGCTGAAAGACAAGGGAGGAACGTCCTTGGCTGCTCTGTTTAAACCAAGGCAAGATCCTCCCTGGGAACACCGGGTTTCTATCACAGACCGGGTCCTGGGACACCTAGTGAAACAAACGCACAGGGGTCCGCTCTCTAGGTGGTAGGTGCAATCTCCCAGCTTGTCCCTTCCTATTTTGCAGAGCACACGACTTGCCCTAGAGCCATGGCTGGGAAAAGGTGGAAGGGCGAGACCAGGCAGTAATGAGTGGGGAGAGAGAAGGGGAGGAGTAGGGTGGGAGGGAACGACAGAGACGCTCCAGAAGGGGCACACGGTGAGAATGCGCAAGACGGTGTTTTACAACCTTAGATCTCCCTCCCCCAAAGTAATAAATAGCCAGGGTCTAGGTGAGGTGAAGTGCAATAAGAAAAAGTAAATATGGAACATGAGATGTCTGTTTTACTCAGCCTTTGCATGTGTCAGACTGAAATTTCAGAAAACGTCACCAAACTTCCAAAAAGCATCCCCAGTAAGAAAGACGGACTTGAGACCCGGTGAAGAAAACCAATGGGGTAAGGGTAAAGGAGCCCCTGAATTCCGCAGTGAGGCGATGAGGGCTGGTGGCTAGCAAAGGGAGCGGGGCTGAGACACGCTCGGGGAGTCCTGTAAGGGGAGGAAAGTCCACCCGGCCAGCTTCTCCCCTGCTGCCCGCCGGCGTCACACAACTCAGAGCGCGCACCCGGGGTCCGCGGCGTACCGGCAGCGCCCGCCCGCGTCCTCTCGCTCGTCCGCGCCTGCCTCGCCGGGCGCGCCCCTAGCCCCTGCCGGACCCTGGACGGCAACTAGCCGGCGCCCGCGCGGGCGACCCCAGCCCGGAGCCACCACCGCCGCGGCCGAAGCGAGCGCCACCTCCTCACACTCACCACGGCGCTCCATCCCGCGTCCCGGACGCGGACGGCCGCCCCACACCTACGGCCGCCGCCACCGCCGAGGGCTGGAGCTCGCCGCCCCCATCCCCCACGGCCCGCAGACGCCCGGCCAAGTGGCAGCCGCAGCCACAGACACCACCACCACCACCACCACAGCGGCCGCCGCCTTTGCAGCTACCGCCACGGCTGCGCCGGCCGCCTGCCCCGCCCCTTGGAGCCCAGCCCATTGGCCTGGCCCGCGCTCCCGGGGGGCGGGGTCGGCGACCGCGGCAGGTTGGGGCGGCTGCTCGCTCGCGCGCAGAACGCGGCGGTCAGCTGCGCCCGGCCTGAAGTTGTCCCAACCGCGGCCGCGTCGGTCGCCCTTTTGACTTGCAGCAGGGCGGGCAGAGCGACTTAGAGGAAAAGTGACTTTTTGTACCCTCCTGCAGGGAGCAGGTTCTCTGTCCTTGTTTAATTAGACATTTCTCAGGTGGGCACTTTGAATTCCTTCCAGTCAAGACTCAGGTGTTCAACTTGTTTTGTCGGCCGTCTTCCTCCACCCTTCTTCTCCCATTCAAAACAAAAGTACGTTTTGTGCTTAACTTTAAAACTCCCCCCACTCTTTTCTGTCTTCAACTGATTGTCACTTTCAGCAAACCAAATAAATTACTCAAAACATCAGCTATTATACAGTCCCCGACACATGGCAGGTGCTCAGTAGATGCTAGTTGATCGCATGTCCCCTAACCACGCTACCTGCTTCTTACCATTAAGTGCTCCTTCAGTCATGGGACTGATCAACACGGTGGAGGAAGCCGCAACCAAAATAAAACATTTATCTAGATGTTGGATCACACATCATATCATGTATGGAGGAAAACAAAACACTGCATTTATATATAATATATATTAGTAACACTTACCAACTCTACTAAGAATACCTTTCCTGTCACCTGTGCTGACACATAAGCACTCCATGAATATTAGCTGATTAATGGGTAAAATTATGGAAAGGGAATTTGGAAAAATCACTTAATGGCATCTTCCCTTTAAATATTTTTCAAAAAGATTAAATATCTGTCATATTCTTCACCCTTCTTCGTTAGGAGAAATATATTTGAAAACATTGTCAAAGGAAGATGTTTTTGTTTTGTTTTGTTTTGTTTTAGAGAGAGACAGGGCCTTGCTCTGTGCTCAGGCTGGAGTGCAGTGGCACAGTCATAGCTCACTGAAGCCTTGAACTCCTGGACTAAAGGAATACTCCCATCTCAGCCTCCTGAGTAGCTGGGACTACAGGCTTGTGTCACCACACCCAGCTAGCTCTGTTGTTTATTTTTATGTTTTGTGGAGATGGAGTCTTCGCCATGTTGCCCAGGCTGGTCTCAAACTCCTGGCCTCAAGGGATCCTCCTGCCTCATCCTCCCAAAGTGCTGGGATTAGAGGCATGAGCTACCACACCTGGGTCATTTTTATAAGTAAATATGATTATTAACTGAGAAAGGGTGAATGTCAAACATCTGCTATGTGGGATAAATGGCTGTGTTTGGCAAAGAAACTAAAAAATAAGGGGCAATATCTCCACCAAATCCTCTAACACTGACTCAGCATGTGCCCTGAATCATCTTATAAGCCAACTAGGTTTTTTACCTATAAATGTTTCTTCACTAAAGTGGCTCATGATCATGGTTTTGGAGGACGAGGACTAACAGACACACAAACAAGAAATCAAAGGCATAACTGGATAGTGCATTAATAATGAAGCATGTATGACAGATGATGTGGTATTGTTATTTTATAATTACAGTATATATTAACACATATCCACTCTGCTTATTGAAATATTTTTCATTCCTTCCATGATAGAGAATCCTGCCTCTGCTCTGAAGCCTTTCTGTTCGCTCCAGTGAAAATTAGTCATCCACCGGGCGCGGTGGCTCACGCCTGCAATCCCAGCACTTTGGGAGGCCGAGGTGGGTGGATCACTTGAGGTCGGGAGTTCAAGACCAGCCTAACCAGCATGGAGAAACCCCATCTCTAGTAAAAATACAAAAAATTAGCCAGGTGTGGTGGCGCATGCCTGTAGTCCCAGCTCTTGGGAGGCGGAGGCAAGAGAATCGCTTGAACCCAGGAGGCAGAGGTTGTGGTGAGCTGAGATTGTGCCATTGCACTCTAGCCTGGTCAACAAGAGTGAAACTCCATCTCAAAAAAAAAAAAAGAAAGAAAATTAGTCATCCTATTTGACATCATATTGTACATAGGATACTATTCTTGTGGCACTTATGGTTTTGGTGCCATGGTTTTTGGCAGTGTTTATGCTAATTAGATTGAAAGTTCCACAGTACTACATTAGTTAGGTCTGTATCTAATACAGAATGGGCCCCCACTAAGAATTTTCTGGAGGGATGTTGAGGGCATGAATGGTAGGCCCAGCAGTAAAAATTCTTCCAGTGTGATTTTTTTTTTAAATCACAAACTGCACTCAACTTGGTTGTATCTAGTAGAACCAAATATGATGGTCACAAAAACCTCATGTCTAAAGCAAAGCCTATCCCAGATATCCTGTTCCCTGAGGTGAAGGGACTGATCACAAGTGTGCATGTTCCATGTGGGTGGTGGAGGTGGGAGCCCAGCCCCACAGGGGAGCAGAGTGGACAGGTGCTCTTCCCCTCTGCCACACTTCAACAGCAGTCTGTTTAGGAGGGACCCACATTGTCCATCATGTCTGTTGTATTTTTATTGATTCCACAAATATTCACTGAATACCTCTAATGTGCCAGACATTGTTCTGAGCACAGGGGATATATCAGGGAATTTTAAATCCACCCTTAGATTCTCCTCAACCATGATGAATAATGCCTGGGAGAGGGGAAGAAGTAATGGAAGCCTGCACGGGTGGCCCCAAGGCAGGCAGTCCTTGGACTCCCTGGACTGCGGCTGTCCTTGACCTCACTGCTGGGGCATGTAAAAGGAACGACTCAGAGTCTAACAGGCCACAGTGAGTACAAAGCCTCCAGATTCCAAGGTGGACAAAACTCACCAAGCAGGTTATTAATCTTGATTCCATGATGGGTGTAATTGAGAAACAAGGAATCAATTCAGACCTCATGCTGGAAATGAATGTGAAAGACATTACCAACATCCAAGAATTCTGTGCTGTCATAAGGACAGGAAACTAAGATTGACAAAAATAAAGAAATATTTGAGTATATAGATGAAGATATCATACTCATGTTACGTCCAAATTAAGTTACTACATTTCGAACTCCAATTTTTAATGTGTTTTAAACTTTCTTATAAGATTTTGATGATATAAACCTCTGTGCTTGAGCCATCACATACCATAACCCTACCTGATGTCTTAGTAATATGTATAAGGTAACTCCCCTAATAATTAATGATCAGTGCCAAAAATAATATTAGCCTTAAAAATGCAATTATTGATACTACTGTGAATAAAAAGATTATGGTGGTAGTAATAATAACTAGCCATTTATACTTTACTCCGTGCTAGTAAACTATAAATGTCTAGTTATTGTGCTAGTGATACACTTTTAATTATACTTTACATTTCATAAATTATTCAGTCCTCACAATAACCTATGAAGTGCTATTATCATACCCATTTTTTTTTTTTTTTTTGAGAGGAAGTCTTGCTCTGTCACCCAGGCTGGAGTGCAGTGGCGCAATCTTGGCTTACTGCAAGCTCCACCTCCCGGGTTCACGCCATTCTCCTGCCTCAGCCTCCCAGTAGCTGGGACTATAGGTGCCCACCACCACGCCCGGCTAATTTATTGTATTTTTAATAGAGGCGGGGTTTCACCGTGTTAGCTAGGATGGTCTCGGCCCCCCAAAGTGCTGGGATTACAGGCGTGAGCCACCGTGCCTGGCCTATCATACCCATTTTATAAATGAAAAGCTGAGACACAGAAGAAGTTCAATGAAGAATTTCTGCTGGACTTCATGGAAATTGACATTAACATGAAGTTAAGTTTGACCATACTTCTCTTAGAAAAAGATATTAGGAAATGACTCCTCTTATTCTACCTCTGCGTCTCTGTCCTTCTTGCTCTTCCCCAGGTACCCCAAAGTCCCTTTTGCCTCAGGACTTTTGCCTTTGCTGTTTCCTCTGCCTGGAATTGGCTTTTCCCATACATCTACGTGACTTGTTCCTTGCTCCCTTTTCCTTGCTGCCTTCTGGTCTCTCCTCAAATGGTCCAGATTATTGACATGTTCCTTGACTCCTCCATAAAAACAGCATCCCCCTTTTTGATACTCCCTTTCTTCCTTACTCTGCTTTAATTTTTGCACTTATCCCTCTACTGACTTGATATAGATTTATTGGTTTATTTACAGATTTTTTAAATGTCCCCTTACTAGTATGGGTATGTTAAGTTCTATGAAAGAAGGGACTCTGCCTGCTTTGTTCACCACTGTGTTTCCAGCCCCTGGAAAAGTACTTGGAATTCATCAACGAATGAAAGATTTAAAGAAAATAACAATACAATATATCCAAACATTAGAGTTATCTTTTGAAAAGATTAATTTGTTAACATTTTGAGAGTTTTAATCAGATAAGAGAACTATATTACATTGTTTGAGAAAGATTTTACTTTAGCTGCTTGTAACCAATATACTAACATATGACAAGTTTCATGACTTCACCAAATCTTTATCTGAAAGAGCCATAAGTAACTCAAGAATCTTACATTATAAAGTTCTGCTTATAGCTTGGTTCCCTTTCTTGGGTTTCTGGGCTCTGCTAGTTTAGAGGCCTTAGTAACTTAAGGAAGAACGCTTCTTCCAAGGAACACAATTTTTTCATAGAAGTAAAAGTGAAGCCTCTGGTCATTTGCCTCTGCTGCTTTCAACAGGCAAATAAAGGATAGTTACAGTGTCGGCTGGGGTGTTTGTCCAAGATCACCCTGTGCCGTAGAGGCAGGAGAAGCAGTCCAGGGAGTCCTCAGGCAAACCTGCTGACATTCAGGGGCAGGTTAGTAGATAACAGCAGCCTGACCCTGCCCATGCTACCAAGGGTATACTTACATCAGTAATAAAAGTTCGGATCATGCCAAACAACCTAAACAACCCAATCAGCCAAAGTTTTAGAGTAAGGGAAAGGGAACAAATCCCCATGGCCTCGTAAGTATTCTAATAGAAGTTCTCTAATGAAAAAA
Source organism: Homo sapiens (assembly GCF_000001405.40). Lineage (NCBI taxonomy): Eukaryota > Metazoa > Chordata > Mammalia > Primates > Hominidae > Homo > Homo sapiens. Next base: position 94,252,724 of record NC_000001.11, read on the forward strand.
AAAAAGAATCTTAAATTATTTCCTTCCTTCTTTAAAGTAGAGGGGTAAACATTTTCCACGATTGTTTTTTTCTTTCATCGATTCACCAAATGGTGACTAGATAAGAAAGCAAATACTGCTCCCCTTAACCTGTGTATTCTATGATCCTCACAAAATACCTGTAAGATAACAAAATGAGATCTGTTTTTCTGATAAAATTTCATAAGTTTCAGAATCAAAGGGATCTTAGAGCTTATTCACTTCATTCTCCTTTATTTTTTTTTTTGAGACAGAGTCTCAGTCTGTTGCCCAGGCTGGAGTGCAGTGGCGTGATCTCGGCTCACTGCAATCTCTGCCTCCTGGGTTCAAACAATTCTCCTGCCTCAGCCTCCTGAGTAGCTGGGACTACAGGTGCATGCCACCACAGCCGGCTAATTTTTTGTATGTTTAGTAGAGACAGGTTTCACTGTGTTGGCCAGGATGGTCTTGATCTCCTGAGCTAGTGATCCGCCCATCTCGGTCCCCCTAAGTGCTGGAATTACAGGTGTGAGCCACTGCGCCCGATCCATTCTCTTTTATTTTATAAGGAAATCCCAGCCCAGCTTTCCCCGGGCTTACAGTTAGTCACTGGCCTGACTAGACTGGAACCAAGACCAGGGCCCTTTCTACACTAATGTTTTAAAATCTCTGTAAATCTATGAAATTAAATGAAAGCACTTGCCTTGATCATTCTTAGTTTAATGAGTAAATATTTGAGCTATACTAACATGTTTAAATATGAAATTTGTTCTACAAATTTACTCCTATTATTTTGGAGGTCTGACTTATTGTACTAAAAATTATGGCCCTAAACAATGGATGGCTTAACATACAACCAGTGAGGAGCTTGGGTTGCTCTTGAAGTAGGAAGTTGTCCGCAGGCATCTGGAACACACACGCACGCACGCACGCACGCACGCACGCACGCACATGCACACATTAAGGCTTTTCTCTAAGGGAGAAGGCTGGCTGGCTTTAGGAAGGAGTAGAGCCCAATGGAAACATTACTAATATTTCTTTATCTACCCACTGAGCAAGTACTGCTGAACTCTCTGAGAAACAATGCTACTACTAGTGACTTAGTGACTTCAGTGAGTGTTTATCTTTCTAACTACATATTTATATAGGGGTGGCTGCCTGTGCCATGCTTGCCAGAGAATTGAGAAGTGACTGCTTGTAAAAGTTGGAAAATATTTGGTTTAGAAACCTGTTTTTAAATTCACTCAAGATAAGATTACATTTTATAGTATTAGAAGAACTATTATCATCCAACCATTTAGATACCTGGATTTAAATGATTTTATTCTGAAATTATCTCAATAGCTGACAATGTGTGGCTTAAATTAGAAGAAGGCAAATACAAGTTAAAGTAGTACTATGAGTTAATAATTCTATAATATTGGTATCTAGAAATGTCTATAGATGCTTTCACTTCAAAGACCTTCAAAAATATTGATTGTCACTGATGGATTGACACCCTTTACCTTATTCTTCTTGATGACGTATTTAGTTTAGGATACTCATGAATGCAATTAAATTTTGTCTGGGAGCTACATGGTACTAGAATATATGAGGTCACAGACATAACCATATATCCTACTAGCCAAAAAACTGATGAAATACCTGTTACATAACATCACTGAAACCATCAGCTTAGTAGATTCAGGGTGGAGAACAGATAGAATGGCAAACAAGGCTTGAAGACAGTAAGTTGCCTTGCTTAGGAGTTAGCCTGAATTGGCTGCAAGGTGAGAAATGCTTTAGATCTCTTCTGTGAGTCCATGAAGGCAATACTGCTTGGCAATCTGACTTCTAGTAACTTCCTCCTGGGTAATGACTAAGAACCAAGAGGAGGTGAAAAAGAGCTCCATTCGGGAAAAATGACTAAAAGGTAAAACAAGCCTACTAAAAAACCAGAACCTAAGGAAATGAGTAGACCGGTAGGCAAGTGGTCTTATCCAGACCTTGGAGTTGCTTTGTGAGTCAGAAAATAGAAGCATAGGATGTGGGTCAAGGGACAGTGGATTCCAGAAGGACCCTGTGAAGATGTTTCACAGAGAGCTGGCATTTTAATTTACACAGCTTTTCTTGAACACCAAGTCAGTGAAATGGAGCTGCCAGATGCCAATAACAATGTTGTATTCATGAATCAGTATTTGAAGTGCTATAAAAACTGAAGGTGGTTTTTGGTAGTGGGGACAGGACTTTGGGGAAGAGGAAAAGACAAAGGACATAAAGATCACAGCTTAGGGAAAATTTCTTGAGAACAAAGTAGACTACTGATTTATCTAACAATGTGTTATAGGTTGAACTGTGTTTGCCACCCCCACGCCACCAAATTCATATGTTAAAGTCCTAACACCCAGTACCTCAGAATGTAACTATATTGGACATAGGGGCTTCAAATGGGGTACTTCAATTAAAATGAGGTCATTAGTGTATGCAGCCCCTAGCCAATGACAAGTGTCTTTACAAGAAGAGGTGATTAGGATGCCAACACACACAGAGGGAAGACCATGTGAAGACAGGGAGTGATGGCCATCTATCTACAAGTTGAGAGAGTCCTCAAAAGAAACCAACCATGCTGACACCTTGATGTCAAACTTCTAGCCTCCAGAACTGTAAGAAAATGAATTTCTGTTGTTTAAGCCTCCCAGTCTGCAGTACTGTGTTATGGCAGTCCTAGCAGAGTAACACATAAGGCAACACTATTTAAATGACAGGACTTAAATAATAACAGCACTGATGGGTTCTAGTTGGATCCAGGACCATCCTCTTCCCTTCCCTGTAGAAATGTTAGTCCACCTGTGGCTGCAAATTGCCATTATCCAACTTGTTAAGTGCGGCATTTCTTCCTAATATTCACAAGTCACACAATGAGTCAATATCACTCCTACTCTGGGGTGTGGCCCAGGATAAGGCATCACATCCATTGTAATACTGTCATTAAAATGAGAAGGCAGGATGTTTACAAGCCTGGTGTTCTGTAAGTAAAGAATTTTCAGTGGGAGGAGATTGATTCGTTTCTGCTCAGAGTTGAAGGGATGCCCTGGTCTCTTCATTTGTATCTAAGAGAGGAAGAGTTAGTGTGGCAGTTTTAGGGATACTGTTGCTGCCATTGCAATTGGTATTGGTGGTTAGTTAATAATACTAATTCCATCACTGTGCTTGGTTTATAATATGAGCTCAATAAGCATTAGCTTACTTTTCTATTCTTTTTTGGTTCTATAACATTTCACAGTACACAAAGCTCTGCTACACACATTAACTCAGTCTTCAAAACAAGTCTGTGAAATATGAATTATTGTTATCATCCTTATTCAGCTACTAAGAAACCTGTATCTCAAGGAAGGTGAACTATTTACTCAAAATTACACTACAAGTTAATAGAAGAGATTGAACTCAAAGCAAGGTCACCTGTCTCCTCAAGCAGGACTCTCTCCGACATACCCACCAGCTCTAGGTAGTTAGTTCTATTCCTCTCTGTATGTTTTAAATAATCCATTTTAATCAAGGAATGACTTTCTGTATTCATCAAATATTCTTGATAATGAAGAGCTTTGATATTTATTACACAGATTGTATCTACCCTACAAATATTACATGAATAAACACTTTGCACATACAAATGGGCAGAGAAAGAAAATGCCCCCAGAACCCCTTCATAAGTTACCTCCCTTCTACTGAACTTGGGTCAGAATTTCTTAAGAATAATTGTTTAGAAGATACTTTCTCTTACATAAATACAGAGTTCCAATTTAACCAAAACCAGAAATAGATTTAACAGTACTAATCTTTTTTTTTTTTTTTTTTTTTTTTTTTTTTTTTTTTTTTGAGACAGAGTCTCGCTCTGTCTCCCAGGCTGGAGTGCAGTGGCGCGATTCTCGGCTCACTGCAAGCTCCGCCTCCCAGGTTCACGCCATTCTCCTGCCTCAGCCTCCCGAGTAGCTGGGACTACAGGCGCCCACTACCACGCCCGGCTAATTTATTGTATTTTTAGTAGAGACGGGGTTTCACCATGTTAGCCAGGATGGTCTCGATCTCCTGACCTCGTGATCCGCCCGCCTCAGCCTCTCAAAGTGCTGGGATTACAGGCGTGAGCCACCGCGCCTGCCCAACAGTACTAATCTTTATATATTCTATGGTTTACTTTTTATTTTACTTCGTGTATGTTTGTGTGTGGGATAGGGAAGTAACATTGCTCCTATAGGTATATACTTTTCAGGTTTTTTATGCTAGACTTAGAAGCAAACTTTTTAAAACATAATTCATTCATTGGATGGAGGCTGTTTGAAAATTAAGAATTTTCAAAGAATTGATTTATGATCCTCTCAAACCAATCCTTTTATGATTCAGAAGACACTTCAAGAATCTTGGCTGGGCCGGGCATGGTGGCTGACACCTGTAATCCCAGCACTTTGGGAGGCTGAGGCAGGCAAATCATGAGGGCAGGAGATGGAGATTATCCTGGCCAACATTGTGAAACCCCGTCTCTACTAAAAATGCAAAAATTAGCTGGGTGTGGTGGTGCACGCCTGTAGTCTCAGCTACCCGGGAGGCTGAGGCAGGAGAATCACTTGAACCCTGGAGGTGGAGGTTGCAGTGAGCCGAGATCAGGCCACTACACTCCAGCCTGGCAACAGGGTGAGACTTTGTCTCAAAAAACAACAAAAAAAAGAATCTTGGCTGGGCACAGTAGCTCATGCCTGTAATCTCAGCACTTTGGGAGGCTAAAATGGGAGGACTGCTTGAACCCAGGATTTTGAGACCAGCCTGGGCAACACAGGGAGACCCTGTCTCTACAAAAGTAAAAAAAAAATTAACTGAGCATAGTGGCACATGCCTGTGGTCCCAGCTACTTGGGAAGCTAAAGTAGGAGGATTGTTTGGCTTGGGAGGTCAAGCTTGCAGTGAGCTGTGATTGTTCCACTGCACTCTAACCTGAGTGACAGAGGGAGATCCTGTCTCAAGAAGAAGAAGGAGAAGGAGAAGAAAAGCTTCCAATGTATCTATGACACATGTGACATTATCCTAATGATATATGCTCTATAACAGCAGCAAGGACTAGTTAATAGGCACTGGATGATGACAGAGTGTTGCCAACATTGTATAGGTAGTCTGTGCCCTATTGGAAATCTTATCAGAACCCCTGAGAGCACCTGAATGAAGTCCAGCATATGCACTGATTTGATAACTCACTCCATACCTTTTCCTTCTTAGAGAAGGAAGATGATGATAGAAGCCCCGATCAGGGATGTTGGATTCTGGTGTTGGAGGACCAAGTATTAGGTATGATATGACAAAGTATTAAAATAGAAGCTCAAAACTCAAAACCCTAGACAAACAGAGAGACAAGACCTCCTGCAGGAAGTATCCATTCCTACTTACCTCCAGACCACTGGAGTCATGGGTAACATGACCATTCCTAATTTGCCCTGGACAGTTTCAGTTAACACTAATTGTTCAGGTAAAATTATTGATAGACCCTTCTCTCACTCTCAGAAGTGTGCCAATTTGTACATTACAGTAAATGTGCCCTCTAGTCATAGGAGAACTTATGCTCAGTATTACCTGGTCTCTCAATTTTTTAAGCCAGGAATTTGGATTTTTATAGAACATTTCTGAATTTTTTAATGTGGACAATAAATTCCAAATTTTTAAAATTGTCCAGGCCAAATAAAAATCATGAGAGGTGGAATCTGGCCTGAGAGCTGCCAGTCTGTCATCTGTAAGTTAGAAACTCTAGCTGATACCACAGTGTTCTTTGCCTTCCCTCTTTGGAGACCTTAGCTCTCATGGGCTGTTGAGAGAGGGTCTTAGGGGGCTCCCACAGGGGAAAGCCTTCTGCTTTAGGCAGTTCCAGTGGTAATCAGGGAAGGGTCCAGGAGACAACAGGCCTGATAGGGGCAGTTTAGGCCAGTTGTTCAAGGCCTTAGTAATGATTATAACTAGCGCTTCCTATGTAGTAAGGTCTTACATAGATTATCTTATTTACTCTTCACAATCACCTATAAGGAAGATATTATGATCTCCATTGCTCTAACGAGGAAATTGAGACTTAAAGAGACTAATTAATATGAACAAGTTCACCCAGCTAGTAAGTGGCAAAACCAGGGATCTGAACTCATGTCAGACTTGACTCAAAAAACCCACATCTTTATCCTCTGTGTCTGCTGCTTCCCACTGTAGAGAGATCAAGTTTTTCTTTCCCTTGTGGTGTTTTTCATTTGGGTGAGTCATTTTTGAGCTCTTGTCACCATGGAAAATCATAAAGTCTTGACTCTGAGTCTGCAAGAAGATATTTTCTTGCTTTCATTCAGGTATGTAGAACACAGGCCAAGTGGTTCAGCCCAAATCTCTAGAACAAGGGTGGGTGGGGACAGGCAGTGGGGTTTAGGGCCAAATTCCCAAGTAGTCATAAGGAGTGTTCTTTTACTAGGTGTCTGTCCCTTTTGCCTAGATTCCTTGGAACTCTGCCAGTGATGGGCAGCTGGTCAAAGATTTGAGATTTCACAATTCCAGTCATCTCTGTGACCTGTATCCATTTTAGAAATACAAGTAATGAATATACCTCATCCAACAGAGACTAGGAAAAGCATAGAATTTTTGTTCTAGTATTAATTTGACCAAAGATTGGACATGTTGTAGTGGATCAAATAATGTCCCCATAAAATGCATGTCTTCCCAGAACTTTAGGATGTAAGCTTGTTTGGAAATAGGGTCTTTGCAGATATAATTAGTTCTAATGAGGTCATAGTGGATTAGGGTGGGACTTAATCCAGTGACTGTTGTCCGTACAAGAAGAGAAAACAGAGACACAAGGGGAAGATACCTGTATAAAGGAAGAGGTAGAAATTGGAGCAATGTACCTGTAAGCCGAGGAACACCAAGGATTGCCGGCAACCATCAGAAACTAGGGAGAAGCAACGAGGGATTCATCTCTAGGGACTACAGAGGCAGCATGGGCCTGCCTTGCCTCCAGAACTGTGAGAGAATCCATTTCTGTTGTTTTAAGTGATGCAAGTTTGTGGTAGTTTGTTAAAGCAGCCACAGGAAACTAATACACATGATAAAGAAAAAAATTTAAATACTAAAATGCCCTTTCAAGATGGAACAGGAATCTGTGTTGGAAGTTTAAATTTCAAAGCTCCCAAGTCAAAAGTTCAGAGAGCATTTTCTGACTCACTGTTGGCCGAAGAATGAACTTTTCAGAGAGGAAAAGTGTCCTCCCTGCATAATGCAAAAGTCTCTACGGAGTTTCTGTAGAGGACCAGAGGCATTCCATGTGTTGATTCAAAATGGCTTAGTTCTGATCTAATCTTGAGCAAGACTTGCTTGTGTTTAGGAAGTCCATCTACCAATGTCTACCACCATTTGCCACGTCATCACAAGCCTAAAATCTGTTATGCCTGGGATGAGCCATGGACATTCGAGTGTGCATTATATGGTAGCCTTTTCCCATTTTCTGCCATGTTTGCCCTGTCTATCTGAGGGGCTTCTGGCTCAGTTTCCCTTTTGAGACTACGATTCTGACAACCAAACCAGCTTTCGTTTCTCTAAAGACAGATCCCTTCCTTTCTCTTACCCCCAGAGGGGCCCTGCCTCAAATCTGATGGACTCTCTGCATTGCAGAGGGATTTCTTACACTTTCAATTTTGGAATGCCCATAGCAACTCTGAAGAAAGCTGGTCACAAGCTCCTATATCCCATCCTCAGCTGATTCAATCAAATTTGGGTATCTGGTCCAAGAGCAGCTCGTCTGTAGGCCTGTCAGTGTTCTATGGAGTAATCTGGCAAGGAAGCTTTACTTAATGAAGGAAAGAATAATCAATAGCACTAATAGGACCTTCTGTCTTGGAGAGTTTAAATAGAATGCTTTGTAGGGGTATGGGGGACTTGCTGTTGGTAGTAGGTAGAGAGATTGGAAAGACACACAGAAAAAGAAACCATGTGATAGCAGGCGCCATTAGTGAGCTGAGGCCATGAGACAAAGAAAAATGAAGGAAGTTGGCTGGTAGTGGCAGGAATAGTCAAACAGAGACAAGAACAGCTGCATCATCATAAAAGTGGCAGAGCATTAAGGCAGCTGATGCTGGTGTCTGAGGGCCCACAGGATAACTCAAACTGCATTGTGTTCTAAAGCAGCTTCTATCTTATAAATTATGTTCTGGTCTCTGTGAGGCATAGCTGTGCAGCTGTTGAGTGTTTCCTGACTTCCTTACAACCTCCTGTGTATCCCTGCAATGCCACCTTCCTAATTCTGCACCCCCATTAACTAAGGTAAATGTGTCTCTGTTCTTGAAACATTAAAAAACCAGGCCATGAAACCACCATCTCCACTACCGAATTCCATCAGATTGGACTTTTTGGAAACTATCCAGAGATTCTGAATGTACACTCTCCTCTTAGACATCAACACTTGGAAAGTCCCTTACTATTGCTTGGCCAGACCTTCTTACCTCAGCTCTGTAGCTTCCCCTTTTCCAGTTCACCTGCTGCAGAAGCTCAGACATGCTTTATAAATCAAGGCACATAGGTTATTATAACACTGATCTCATTTAATGTAATTTCATCTCCATAATTGAACATAATGAAGTAATAAACACTTATTTGTGTTTACTATCACAAGTTTGGGTCTCATTTGGCTTTACTGTGTTATGCGTGCAGGTCAAGTGTAGCTACATCTCAACAAAATTAAGACGATTTTGTAGTTTAGAAGTAAGGTTAAGATTTGGAGTCTTGAAATGATCCTATGCCTAGAAAACTCCATAGTCTTGACCTGAACGCTCCTTAAGCTGATAAATAATTTCAGCTGTCTCAGGATACAAAATCAACATACAAAAATTACTAGCATTTCTATTCGCCAACAACAGTCAAGCTGAGAACCAAATCAGGAACGCAATTCCATTCACAATTGCCACAAAAATAATAAAATACCTAAGAATACAGCTAACAAGGGAGGTGAAAGTTCTCTACAAGGAGAACTACAAAACACTGCTCAAAGAAATCAGAGATGACACAGACAAATGGAAAAACATCTCATGCTCATGGATAAGAAGAATCAAAATCATTAAAAAGGCCATATTGCCTAAAGTGATTTATAGATTCAATGCTATTCTTATCAAACTACTGATAATGTTCTTCACAACTAGAAAAAGCTATTTTAAACTTCGTATGGAACCATAAAATGAGCCTGAATAAGCAAGGCAATCCTAAGCAAAAAGAAGAATGCTGGAGGCATCACACTAGCCAACTTCAAACTATACTACAGGGCTGCAGAAACCAAAACAGCATGGAACTGTTACAAAAACAGACACATAGACCAATGGAACAAACAGATTGCTGAGAAAAAAGGCCACACACCTACAACCATCTGATCTTTGACAAAGCAAGCTGACAAAAACAAGCAATGAGGAAAGGACTCCCTAGTAAATAAATGGTTCTGGGATAACTGGCTAGCCATATGCAGAAGATTGAAACTGGACCCCTTCCTTATACCATATACAAAAATCAACTAAGGATGGATTAAAGACTTAAATGTAAAACTCAAAACTATGAAAACCCTGGAAGACAACGTAGGCAATACCATTCTAGATATAGGAGAGGGAAAAGATTTCATGACGAAGATGACAAAAGCTATTGCAACGAAAGCAAAACTTGACAAATGGAAATTAAACTAAAGAGCTTCTATACAGCAAAATAAACTATCAATAGAGTAAACAGAACCTACAGAATGGAAGAAAATGTTTGCAAGCTATGCATCTGACAAAGGTCTGATATCCAGCATCTATAAGGAACTTAAGAAAATTTATAGCAAAAAAACCAACAACCCACTTAAAAAGTGGGCAAAGAACATGAGCAGACATTTCAGAAAAAGATATACATGCAGCCGATAAGTATATGAAAAAAAGCTTAACATCACTGATCACTAGAGAAATGCAAATCAAAACCACAATGAGATACCATCTCACACCAGTCAGAATGGCTATTACTAAAAAGTCAAAAAAATGACAGATGCTGGCAAGGTTGCGGAGAAAAAGAAACACTTGTACATTGTTGGTGGGAGTGTAAATTAGTTCAGCCATTGTGGAAGACAATTTCTGTAAGATCTAAAAACAGAACTACCATTCAACCCAGCAATTCCATTACTGGGTATACACCCAAAGGAATATAAATCGTTCTACCATAAAGACACATGCACACATATGTTCATGTGCAGCACTAGTCACAATAGCAAAGACATGGAATCAACCTAAATGCCCATCAACGGTAATCTGGATAAAGAAAATGTGGTACATATATACAAGGAATATTATGCAGCCATAAAAAAGAACAAGATCATGTCCTTTGCAGGAACATGGATGGAGCTGAAGGCCATTATCCTTAGCAAAGTAACATAGGAACAGAAAATCAAATCCTGCATGTTCTCACTTATAAGTGGGAGCTAAATGATGAGAACACATGGACACATAGAGGAAAACAACAGACACAGGAGCCTATTGGAGGGTGGAAGTTGAGAGGAGGGAGAAGATCAGGAAAAATAAATAGGTAGTAGACGTAATACCTGGGTGACGAAATAATCTGTAAAACAAACCCCTGTGACACAAATTTACCTATATAACAAACCTGCACATGTACTCCTGAACTTAAAAGTTAAAAAAAAAAAGGTTTGGGGTCTTGTGCATCTGGTTTTCATCTGCAATCAGAAAATGCAGTGCTCTAACAATGTTAGACATCATGCAGACCACGTACTCATGCATAATTATGAAATATCACATGAGGAGGCAGAGCCCTTCAGTGTAATGAATTCCATTCCCTTCCCTATTTCCCCTTGGGTTTTACATAATATGTTTATATTTTCTGCTTATAATAATACAAGATTCATTTTAGAAAATTGGTTAGAATTCTAAAATAATATATAATATCACTATCCGTGATAGTGACTATTAATACCTCAGTATTTTTCCTTTCAGTCAATGTTTTCTCCTGTGTGGATATATGTAAATTTTTCACAAAATTGAAATTATTCCATGTACACCACTATGTACTTTGGTTTGTTCTGTCATTTTTCACTTAGCTTTTTATAATATAAACATTTTCCCATGCCATTCAAGAGCATGATTTAACGTGGCCACATAATAGTTCATCTTCTAGAAGTTCCTTACTTTAGCCAGTTAAAAGTTCTCTGCTATTGAGTGCTTGTATTGTTCCCAATGTTCTTTGGGTATAAGTAACACAGTGGTGAGCATCCTTGTTAAAACCGAGCTTGCATCAATCCTATTTCCCTAGTTGAGATCCCTAGAAGTGTAAATTTTGGGTCAAAGGCTGGGTATATTTTTATAACTCTTCGTACGTAATGCCAAATTGATCTCCAGAAAGAACAAACTTATTCACAATCTTGGCAGTAGCATATTGGCAGTAGCTGTAGTGAGATGGCGGTAGAATGGCCATCTGACTATGGCAACCCTTGATTTCTTTCTTCCATGATTTAGCACAATTCTCACTGAGCCTCAGGAGTTCTTTGGTTCCTCTCTGAGTCTTTCTGCATTAGATTCTGTGTTAATTCTCATCTCATCTCCATTGTTCATGGTTGGTGCTCAACCATCCAAATCCTGCACCTTCTGTCCCAAGACTGAGAAGACTCCATTTGGGAAGAACATCAACAGCCCTCCCCTACTAATCAGTAGGGGTCTGGAAATGGTCTTTGGCTCACAGGCTGAAACCTAAGACACAGATGCTTTGGTGTGTTTGGGCAGTGGTTCTCCCTAATGCCCCTGGATGCCCATCTGTGGCTGCCTTCCACTTGCTTCTTTTGGGCTCTTGAGTTCACTCAGGGGAGTCCCATCCTATGTTCTGCCATCAAGCTGATATTTGCTTTCTCTGCATCATCTCGGCCTGCCTTATTACCTGGGGCTCAGTCACCTGGTCATCTCTTGCTCTTCTCCACCTTCTACTAGATAGACTTCCCCAGATGATTTAGCTTTGCATGTCACAATCCTCCATCTCACCCCATCCCCGGTCTTTGCCAAGGCCACTGATCCCTTATGCTGATCTCCTGTATTAGTCGTTGCTTTGACTTTGGCACTTGTGAAATGGGGCTATATTTTCTATGCATTTGTTTAATCTTGGTCTCTTATTGCCACCCCCTCCTTTGGGTTGCCACTTCTGCCCTAGCTTTGCCCCTGACTCTGGTGACTCCCTTTCACTTTGGCTCAAGGCTTTACTATTCCCAGCATGCCCTGGCCCGTATGTTACAAGCCCAGTGAGAAACTGATACTTCAAGACTTTGCTTCAGAATATGAAAGGAGTGTATTAATTATGCATAGAAGGGCCATGGCAGTTTGCCAGCTGCATCTTAACGAACTCTATTCCACTCCCCAGACATCCCAGCCCTTCCCTACTTCTGTTAGGTCCTTCCTGACTCATTTTGTTGAAGCTCCATCTCTGGCTTCAGCATCCTGACTTGCTTCTGACCTCTGGCCCACCATATGATATCTCAGTGCCCAGTTTGGCTCCCCTTCTGCCTTGGCATTGCTGACCGGGTCTGGCTTCCCTGTGAGCTGAATCTATAAGCTGCCCTGGCAGGCATGACCTCGCATTCCTGATGGGCCTGCTTCCTCCTTGGCTCTGGCCCTGCTCCAGAAGCTATGTGGATAGGATATTTTAACCCCTCCAATTTCAGTTTTCTACTGAGAATGTGGGGCCTAATATGTGAGTATGGGCAGTCCAGTCTCAGACCATCCTTTTTCCAGCAAATCCTTTCCAGGGACATACCTTGGGAAGGAAAGTGGATAATAGGGGCAGCCACTCAGAACTGAAGAAACTCTAAGAAATACACCAGCAATTATTGCCTGGAATGCCCTGATCATCCCTCTATAGCGTGTTCTTACCCAGTTCTATGTTACCAATTTTGAAAAGCTACCAAGGTGCTTTTATCTAACAGTTGTGGGGGTCTCCCACCTTTCTACTGCTTCTGCTCCCCAGACTCCAGTGACTTTTTCCTTAGACCTATTGCTGAATGTCTGAATCACCCTGCTTCAAGGGTGGGGGTGACTGGTCACCTTAGTAGGTTCTACAAGGTGAGAGGCTGTGGGTGCTATTTCACCAGAGGGAATGGGGGAGCACCAAAATCAAAAGAGTGAGGATATGTTTCTTGGTTCATGGGAGCCAAAGTCCAAAAATCCATGAGTGTCTGGTGCCCCTCCACTCTAGCAGCTGCTATAGACTTGGCATAGAACAAGCATGTGATGCAGGGAGACTGGGAAGAAACATTGCTTTTGTTTCTGGGCTATTTTATGAGCCAGCAGGGCAAGGCACATGGTGGTGTTCTTTCTGGTCAAGCTGCATTTGATTAAAGGAAACCGAAATCTACTTAGGGTTCAGGCGATTAGAATAAGAGGAAGAGCTGGCCTTTCTACAGCAATGCTAGCAGGAAAATAGAAAATGACAGGCAAATGGACTGGCATGTCCAGAGCAGTGAGTCAGCCAGGCTCAAAAGCCAGGCATTGAATGAACACTGGTCACTGTCATTCTGCTCCTTCTATGGCATGCTTATTCCTTGGTTTCCTCCTGATTACAAAAAGACTAGAAACTCCTGGGGCCCGTGCTAGTCCAGAAACTCCTCTCAACAAATCAATATTCTCTCACCTCCAAATTATGTTGGGGAGTTATCGGAGCTTTGAATGGAGTTCTGAGTCTCTCTTCCTGATAGGGACTAATTTTTTCTGAATAGTGTGCTCACTGTGCTAACTGAAGAGCTAACTCCTTACCTCTTCCATCTCTTCTTTCCTTCCCCCTTCATGAACTGAGCCCCTTCATACTATGGCCTTTGCTTCTTTTCACCTGCATTGTGGTGGGGCTCAGGGTGTAGAACACAGAGAGAGGCTGGGAGAACCAACTCATTCCCATAACTCTGGTTCTAAAGAATACCATTCAGGTGGAGTACCTGTTAATCCATCCTTATTAAATTCATGGTAACTTATCTCTTAGTATTCATAGCCTCTCTAGCACTGAAGTTTTCCATCCTAAGTGACTTGAATCAAACTTTCTGATTGCCTTCACGTTCCAGAGACACATACACAAATCAACTATTTGCGAAAACCAATCATTATCTCCTAAAGGAGGCACACCTATTGACATTCTTAAAGCTTTACAACTTTGGACATCTTACATGTGAGGAAACTAAGGCTCAATGAGGTGAAGTGACTTACTTGCCCAAGGTCACATGAGTTAATGGTAGAGCCAGGACAAGAAGTCAGATCTGCTCTCAATCCAGGGATCTTTCTATTATGCTATCATGCCTTCCTCAGGATTTTGCTCATCTTTGGCTTATGCAACACTATATCTCAAGTTGAAATTACTCCCATAGCTTAGAAATAGGACAGTTGCCTCGTTAGCATTTTCTTTCTGCCTTTCTACAAAGGAGTCTCAAAGTACTATGGACTGTTAAAGTAGAAAACTGGGACCTTATGGGGCCATCTTAGCTCCTCAACAGGTGTGTTAGTAATCCCAAATTCTGGAAAGTCATTGCTGGTGTGTTCTCAATTAGGATGTGGTCTATAGTTTTGGTTTCCAAAGGCTACAGTGTCACAAGTCTTGCATATGGATTGTGGCCATGAATATCCTTGAGTGACCTATGTTAAGTACTGGGATCAGGTAAAAGTGTAATGTGACTGTCAAATCCTATTTTCATTTTTCTTTCTCTCACTCAGTTTTCTCATTCATAAAATGAGTATTCTTTGAGGTCACTGTATGAAATAATCCAGGAAAAAGGCTTAACACTGAGCATATCTAATAGTCAGTGCCTCCCAAATAATAGTTGTGAGTGAAAATTTAATTCACCTATGTTTAATCTTCCATTTTATACACGAATATAATAAAACATTGTGGAAAGATAGCATAACATAAATAATGAAATAGTGGGCTCCAGTGCCAAACAAATCTGGAATCGTATCCTGACCTGGCCACTTGCTAACTGTGTGATCATGGGTAAATTACATAACTTTTCCAAGACTCAGTTTTCTCATTCATCAAATGAGCATTACTTGAGATCACTATATAAAATAATCCAGGAAAAAGGCTTAACACTGAGCATATCTAATAGCCAGTGCCTCCCAAATAATAGTTGTATTATTGCATTCCTTTGAACTATCCCAGTCTTCACTATATAATAAGAGACCTTGGATGCTCAAGCTGCTAGATGAAATAACTACATTTTTTTGGCATATTGGTGGTGCTAATATTTGTTCTGTTACTTTTTTCCCCTTTCTGTAGCTCTCTTCATTATTTTCACATGGCAAACATAAACTTCTTCTGATAAACAAAAAAACTAGTAAATTTCATTATAGTTCTGTTTAATACATTTATTTTTAAAATTAGTGTGTCTGTTTTAATTTAGATATTCATTTTGAATATAGCCCTTGAAACTCTTAGTTTAATTTAAATATTTGTATTACATGGCAAGACCCATAGACAATATTCAATACATTGTTTTCAAAGATATCCGCTTTACTAAGTCCCTTCTCTTCTTTAAGTTTTTGTTCAAATCTTACCTTCTTAACAAAGCTTAATCTGATCATCCTATTCTGCAAGCTTCTACCTTCTCCTACACCTACCACTCCCCAGTCCCAGGAACTTTCACCCTCCCCTACTCCTGCCACATCCCCCCAGCACACACACACATTGGCATCCCTGAACCCACTTTATTCTGCTCAATTTTTTTTCTACAGCACTTATCACTGTCTAATATACTGCATACTTTTTATTGTTTATTGTATGTTTCCACATGGGTAAGGGTTTTTGTCTCTCTCTGTTTCTCTTCATTAATACTTTCAAGTGACTAGAATAGTGCCAGGGACACAGTAAGAGTTCAGTAAGTACAATAAGTATTGGTTGAATGTTTGTTGAATGAAGATACTGGCATATTTATTAAGCTAGATGTTCTTAAATTATCAAATGATTATCTTCTTCTTCTTTTTAGAAACTGGGTCTTGCTCTGTCATCCAGGCTGATCATAGCTCACTGTAACCTTGAACTTCTGGGCTCAAGAAGATATATATATATATATGTGCATATGATATATGATATATGTAGAGAGAGACAAATCCCTGAGCCATTAACCTCTATTTGTCTTCCTGCTAAGCCTAACTAAACTTTAGTAGTGACTATTTTTGTATGTATGTATATATATACACACATTATACATATATAATATGCATATAAAGGCACATCCATATACATATGTAAGAAGGTTATATTTTTTAATGGTGCAATAACTTTTAAATCTCTCAAACAGCATAGTATTTTTTTCCTCTTTTCTATTTTGAGGGAATGTTTATTTCTAAAGAAATAGCTATTTCATCACATATCCCACAGAGTAATGAGTTCTCTAGGATTTCTCTGCTTTTACCTAAATTAAACTTGTTAGTTGCTGCTTAGCCCTGACTGGATTCATTTGATTGATTGATTCGTGAGCATTCATGTAATTAACTTATTCACGTCCCATTATTTGTCAGGCATTGTGCTAGGTTCTGCTTATAGACGACGAAAGGACAAAGTTCCTTCCTTTAAAGAATCTAATCTAGGGGAAGTAACAGACAAGTTTAAACCGCGATTATAATGCAGTGTAAGTGCCTCATTATAGCTGACAACAGGATGCTAAAGGAACACAAGCAGTTAGGAGATACTAATAGTCTGTAAGTAATCTAGACCACTGCCAAGTTCACCCTGAGACAGTCAGGTTTTCAGGATAGGACCATCCATTTTGTCTGCTCTGAGATGGTAATTGCTTGTGGTCAGAAACAGAGGGAGCAAAATATATCATTATTATTATTACTATTAATATATTTTAATAACAATGATGGTAAGGAAAAGACAGTTTACAGAATAAGAAATTCAATCTTACTCATAATTGAAGTAATGCAAATTAAAATAATAATGCAATAGATTCATTCAATTATTGAGCACCTACTGTGTGCCAGGCATTGTTAAAGGTGCTGGGGGTATAGTAGGGACTAAAGCTGACGAAATCATAGTTCTTAAAGAGCTTGTATTCTAGTTGGGGAGACATAAAGTCAACAATTGAATAAATAATAGGTAAGTGCATGAGCTTATAAGTAGAGTCCTGGTTGAAGCTCCGTTTACTGGGGGGTCTGCTGGGCCCATGAATCCAGATAGAGGTCATTTTCGTAGTCCCCAGTTATAAAATTGAGATCAACATACATGAAAATTGGAGAAAATCAATGGGATGGACAACAATATTACAGTTTTGCTCCAGGCTACGTTAACTATCCTAATCATTTGTCATAAAATATTCTGAAAAAGAGAGCTGCACAATCCAGACTTCCCTCAAAACACTATGACATTGATAAATTCATGCTGATCAGGCAAAAAAACAAGAGGTGGTTAGCATGCTGGAGACCTTGGTCAGATACATACACTCTAGAATGTGGAAAATAAACTCTATCAAGATTCAGGGATCTGCCACTTCAATAAAGTTTTTGGGGTCCAGTGGTCATAGATGTCCTGGGATTACCTCCAAAGCAAGAGACATAGCACTACATCTTACCTTCTCTACTCATTAGGAAGCACAGAGTCTGATGAGCCTTTTGGGTTCTGCACTTTTTGAGAAATAGCTCTTGATGTGTGTAACTGTGCCCTGGCAGACATGGAATGTGTGACCATGGGATGCCAGGTACCCGGAACTACCCATTATGAGTTGAGTTATTTTGGCGCTGCCATATCATACAGTCAGACATTCCCAGCAATAGTCCATTAAAAGATGAAACTGGTACATTCAGTATCCAGCCCAAACAGCACCAGAGGGCCAAGTAAATTTCATGAGCAGGTGACCCAGGACCTCATGACCACAGCTACACCAGCACCTCTCCCTCAGTTGGCACCTATGCCATGCAGGGATCCCTACATGATCAGCTTAAACAGAAGGAAAATGCCTAAGCTTAGGTTATAGACAGATGAGCTTGGCATGTGGGAGCAAGTAAAAAATGGATAGCAGCTTCCTTACTGCTACCATCAGAGACGAACTTGAAAGACAACAAAGAAAGTAAATTTTCCCAATGGGCAGAGCTGCCAAGCAGTGTACTTGAATACCCACTTTGTGAAGACAGAGAATGGCCCCAAATGGGAATATATATTAGTCATCTATTGCTGCATTACAAATTACTTTAAAATGTAGGGGGTTGAAATAACACATGACTCACTGTTCCTGTGGGTTAGAAATCCAGGTGTGGCTTGGCTGGACCCCCCAGCTCAGGGGCTTTCACAAGGCTGCAACCAAGATGTTGGCTGAGCTGGAGCCATCTCCAGGCTCAACTGAGGGAGACGATCTGAAACCAAGCTCTCTCATGTGATTGTTAATGGGATTCAGTGTCTCACATGATGTTAGACTGAGCGACTTGGTTCCTTGCTGTCTGTTGGCCAGAGGCCTCCTTCAATTGCTTACCACATGGGTCTCTATAGGAGAGCTTGCTATATGGCAGCTGGTTTCTATGACAGTAAGCAAGTAAGAGAATAAAAGAGGATAAGCAAGATGGAACCAAAGCCATTTTGTAACTAATCTCAGAAGTGATGTCCCATTACCTTTGCTTTGTTCTATTTGTTAGAAGTAAGTCACTAGGTCCAGTCCACACTCAAGGGTAGGGGATTACATAAGGACACCAATACTAGTAAGAGAAGATTATTTCTTTTTCATTATTTGATAGACATATTTATTTTCTATTGCTTCATTTTTGTTTCTCCCCGTAAGAGAAGATTATTAGGAGCCAGATTAGAAACTGTCTACCACAAAACAGATTCCTGGGCAATGACCAGTAGCAGTGGCCCATTAAAACATTGGAATGGCCTACTGAACATGCAGCTCAAGTGCCAATTTGGTGGCAATATCCTACAGATGGAGTGCCATCCTTCAGGACACAGGACGTCTTTATGAGACTGCATCCCCTCTCTGAAGAATACAAAAGGTGGAACAGGAGTAGTCTCACTCACCATTACTCTGAATGACTCATTCTGGTAATTTTGGACTCTTCAGGATTCGAAGTTCTGTTCCCCAAAGGAAGCACTCTCTTACTTCCTTTGAAGTAAGGGGACAGAGCAAAGACTTCCACTGAAGTACAAGGTGCAGCTTCTACCTGCACACTTTGGAACCTTTGTGTCCAGAGGCAAGTAGGTAAGAAGTGCCCCCATCTTGGCAGGAGTAATTAATCCTGATCAGCAAGAGAAATGGAGCTGCTTTTAGACAATGGGGGCAGGGATGAGCCCAGGTTATCCACTTGGGGACCTGTTGATAATCCCTCACTCAATTATAAGTGTGAAAGGTCACAGACAGCAGTCCTGGTATAGGAAGGCTATGAACACCAACAGCTCAGATCTCTCAGAGAAGAGGGTTAGGGTTAACCACCAGGAGAGCCACCAACGCCTGTTGAAGTAAAGGTTGAGGGTAAGAGAGACTTAGCCTGGATAGTAGAGGAAGGAGAGGGTGAGTGTCACTTTGGCTCTAAGACTAACTGCGGAGATGGGACTATGGGACTATAGTTTGTCCCACTAACCTCCTTTTTCTAAGATTCTCTTCAGGAAGACAGGACTATGGGAACCATGGTAGAGCTGCTCCTTGAACTTGTGTGGAGAAGGGGATCTGTGAGGTGAAGGCTAGACTGTGGTGACCATGAAAGTGTGTTGCTCAGATCTCCCTTCTGGATAACCAGGTGCAAGGAGGTAGGCAGCCAACAGCCTCCAGCTGCTGCATCTTTGAATACATCCAAGCATTCACTTCAAGGTCACAGTCTACCTAGGCTGGTCCAAGCCAGTGATTGAAATGGGAAGTACTACAGCTGGGTCATTTATGCCTAACATGACACTCCTCTGATGAATAATCTCAGCTCTGGAGCTCTCTACTGGCCTGGCTGAGACTTGTGGCAAGTTGCAGTGCAGTCTGAGGTTCCTTCTTCACAATTCTCCTTCCCCTTCTCTCCTTCCACGGAGGTCAGACCTGCATCACAGTCTGAAGGCTCTTCCCACCTATACCTGCTCCCTTGCCCCTGTATCCTTCATGGGCTTTGTCCCCAGTAGATCTTATGCGTGTCTAATTCCTTTTTGGCGACTGCTTCTTGGAGGACACAAAATGACCCAGAGCAGAGGGACCTTATTTCTTGGAGTCGAAGATAAAATTCCAGAAAAAAGTATCTTCAATGTAGACAGATTCTAACTTAGCATGTAAATGTCCCAATTATACAAATCCAGACTGTAGAGTAACTTTTGGAGAATAGATTTATACATTAACAAACACTGTGAATTCTTGTTGCTATGGTCAATTGGACACTGTGACCAAGCAGGTAACTCCTCAGATGGATAGATGAGTACTTAAAGGATTGAAAGTGGGGGTTGCCTACTGCGTCAATTCCTGTAAGACAGTCTTGATCAATGCCAAGACTTTGGAAATCCTGAATACTAAAGGCAAAACTGTAACTCCATTTAAGCTCCATGATCAGAATGAGAAATAAGTAAATATCAAATGAGTCAGAACGCTCTCCTCCTTTGCACGAGCTAGTCTGCAGTACTCTGCAGGACGTTTTTCTGATTAAAGGGCTTAAGCAATTTATTTTAACAAAAGTGGTCAGTAAGCTTTCCAGCAATCAAAGTTGAAAGTTAAGTAAAAGATACCCTTGGAAATTCTTGGCTTGGTCTCTTATTTATCACTCAGAACTTTCTTGATACAAAAAACCATTTGATATTTTCAGTGTTTCCTCCCACACTACTCCACCCTCTGCATTTTTCAAAGAAATTTAATAGAACTGCTGTGGCTTTTTGGTTTCAGAGGCAATTGAAATAATATGTAAGATAGATAGACAATTAGGGGATAAATGTATAAGAAGTCAAGTCCTACTTCCGTCTATTATGACTGAAGCTTGTGCAAAACAAACATCTCATATCACAGCATGTTTATTAAACATCTGAAAGATCTTGCCTTGGATTTTTTTTATAGAATTAGAGAAGTTTTTAGTCTTTTTTTTCTAAGAAACTGACTAGTTTAGTCACCAAAACCTGATTGAACCCTAAGTTCTTTCAAATGTCAGTGCCTCCATTAAGGCTAGGGAATGCTCTGGCTTTATTTTGATTAAAAATTTAAAGAGCAGATGAGCAGTAGCATTAAAAAAAAAAGACAAGAAAGAATGTAGGCAAATGTTTTAAAGTTATAAAAATAACAGTTAATAGTTACTGAACACCTAGTATGGGCAGGTTTATAGAGATTATCCCATTTATTCCAAAAAAGAACGCTGTAAGACAGGGTGTCATTATTATCCCCACTATCCAAATAAGAAAACCAAGATTTAGAGACGCTAAGCAATGTGCCCAACCTGTCACACAGTCAGTTCCACATGATTCTAGGGCAGGAGTTGGCAAACCCTTCTATAAAGAACCAGATGTAATATTTTCAGCTGTGCAGGCCTTACAGTCTCTGGGTCTTCATTGCAACTACCAACTCTGTTGTCGTATCGTGAAAGCAGCCATCAATGATAACATAAATGAATGAGCATGACTGTGGTCCAGTAAGACTTAATTTACAAAAACAGGCCAGCTAGATTTGGTTAGTGGGCCTAATCACTGTGAATGTTTCTCGTTCTTAGGTGGCACCATGTTTTAAATTGCAAAGCACATAAGTTACTTTCAAAGTAAGTGTATTTTAAATCCTACAGAGAAATTCTAACCGAGTTGAATCTAACTAAGCTACAAAACTTATTCCTTCAGCAAATATCAGTCAAGTGCTTATTGCTGGGATGTTGGCAATATGGTGGTCACAGAAACCTTAATGGAGTCTAATGTGGGAAAAAAGACAAGTAAATAGAGAGTTATTGTTTCCATACACTGTGATAAGTGCTATATTATGGGGCAGGGATTGGGATACCAAGAAAACATAGCAAAAGGGCAACAAACCTGGCCTGGGCAATTAGGAGGCCTCTGGCAGTACAGGCCAATGGTCCTTTGCCAACTCTCTGCTCCCACCACCCAGCTCCACTCTCCAGGAGCAAAGGTTAAACAGCAACAGCTGGAGCATGGCTTCAGCTTGCTGTCCGGTCTCCATGGGCTTCAAGCTCAGGCCCTTTACAGTCTCATGAACCAGGGCCTGCCAATGTCACCTGGAGATCTGTTCAAATAAATCACCAGTTCGTTTTTAAGGGTCTTGTTTTCTCTAGCTTTGCCTTGAATCCTGACCCTCTCTAAGAGGCCATAGTGCTCAAACTCAGTTGTCATCTACTCACCCAAAGAGCAGCATGTAGAGCAAGTGGGTAAGCCTGGATTAACCTACCAGGGGTTCTGAAATCTGGCTGTCTATGAGCTACTTACTTGAATAGCATTCTAGAACTCTGAGCCTAGCGATTTAGAAAGTACTTGTTGAGTGGATGAGAATCCAACTTTAAAACAAGCTCCACAAGTGTGTCTGGTGTGCATGAACCATGTTTGGAAACTGCTGGCCGGGAGGATTTCTAAAGATGCATTTAGCCTTTCCAGCCAACTATTTATTGCCATGGCTACATTTACAAACATCTTACTAAGAAGGAAGGGAAAATTGAAATGGTTTTAGGGATGTTTACCATGACTTTTACCTTCCCATCACTACCATGTAAAGACAATGGTTTGTTTGATAGGCTGATGTGTGGGAGTCAACTTTGTTGCTCTAATATGTTGAAGAATGGTCAGGAGTTCCTCTTTGTTAGGTAACAGAACAAAAATGTGAATCTTGGATGGATGATGCCTGTATGCTCAATTCAGGCATGCTTTACACAGTAAAAGAGCAGTAGCTGTGTATAAATTGAGCCTAGCAAAACACAGGAGAATTCTTCATGCCTTCAGGTTCAGGACAGGTGCTGGTTGGCAGTCTTCTTAGCCCCAGCGTTGGTTTAAACTAGTGTCCAGTAGGGTTACTGAGTTCCAGTTGGCAGATGTTATAAGCAAAGGAAGGAAAAGGGTTTTTTTAAAAAAAAGGAACATACGAACATATAAGAGAGTGTGTTAGAACAAAGAAGAAAAGATATGTTGGAGTGGTAGAAAGTTTCCTATTTCTTGATTATGCTTTAAAAATTAGGTCAGTTTTTGGGTTTTGGGTTTTTTGTTACTCCAAAGACCTAGAATTCTCAGCTTCTATCACAAATCAGGGCATTTGGGTAGAAACAGAGCTACAAGATTAGCAGAAGGGTTTTCAACCTTAAAAAAAAAAAGTTTTGGGGCCGGGATTGGTGGCTCATGCCTGTGATCCTAACACTTTGGGAGGCTGATGCGGGCAGATTACTTGAGGCCAGGAGTTCGAGACAAGCCTAGCCAACATGGCAAAACCCATCTCTACTAAAAAATGCAAAAATTCACTGGGCGTGGTGGGGCATGCCTGTAATCTCAGCTACTTGGGAAGATGAGGCACGAGAATCATTTGAACCTGGGAGGCAGAGGTTGCAGTGAGCTGAGATCACACCTCTCCACTCCAACCTGAGTGACCGAGCGAGACTCTGTCTCAAAAAAAAAAAAAGTTTTGGAAGCCATCTGGATATTAAGTTATTGCTTAACTTCAGAGCATAGGATAGGGGAGCATCTTGTTAGACTGCAGAGATATTAATAAGATGGTCTGATGGGGCACTCTCAGAGATATCAAAGGATATTAAGCTATCATTGTTCATATATAGAGCTGGTTTTTAGATTTTTTTTTTTTTAAAGATAGAAGCATTAGGAAGTCCTGAGTCTCAAGCTGGGCACAGTGGTTCACACCTGTAATCACCTGTCTGTAATCAAAGCACTTTGGGAGGCTGAGGCAGGCGGATCACTTTAGCCCAGGAGTTTGAGACCAGCCTGGGCAACATGGCAAAATCCCATCTCTACAAAAAATACAAAAATTAGCTGGGCATGGTGGCGTGTGTCTGTAGTCCCAGCTACTCAGGAGGCTGAGGTGGGAAGATCACCTGAGCCAAGGAGTTTGAGGCTACAGTGAGCTATGATTGTGCCACTGCACTCCAGCCTGGGTGACAGAGTGAGACCCTGTCTCAAAAAAAAAAAAAAAAAAAAAAAAAAAAAGGACTGTGTCCCAATTCTCTATTCACTGTAGTTCCTATTACTAGCATATTGGAAAAAAGTTCTCATCCTGTATGTTCCTTAATTTCTTTTTTATAAAATGTATCACCTGGCTTCCGGGCACTGCAAAGGGCCAGCTTACTTTACCTAACAAATACAACTTAAGCGTCTTCGTGCTATCCAGCCTGTGGGTGTAACTCCCCATAGCTATGACCCCAAAATTGTTACTGTGGCCTTTATGAATACTGCAAAGGAAAACAGGCCTGCTTCTAACCAGTTTCGACACAGCAGGAACTTTCCCAAATAGTACATTGGCTGTGGAGCAGAGTGCACTTTTTCATTTTACTTTGGAATGTATTTTTATTCTAACATTGAATATGGGTTCTCTAAAACGCTGGGAATTCAAATGGACTTTAAATAAAATAGTGTTGCCATTCTCGGAAGATCTTGTTCCTAGGAAATTGGAAAGCAGGCCAACTTCTCATTCTTAAAGATGAGTTAAATATGCAGAGGGAGGGAGTAATGTCACAAAGAAACTGAAAGGCAGATTTGTCATGGATTTGGACGATCAACATTTGGCTGTACTGAATGAGACAGTTCAGACCTTATTTTCCCTCAGATCATGCTCCCTTCCACATTACTGCTCAAGGTAAAAGCAAATGCCTACTTTTACCATTTTAAATTTATTATAAAAAGTATATGTAAGGAGTATTTTAAATATATTATGAAAGTTACTTTTTGAAAGTACCAATTATTTTGTAGGTGGATCAGGTTCACCATTAGTATGGAAGAGAAAAAAAATAGAGGATTATACTACCCAAGTCTGACTGGGAAGGAGGAGGACCATTCTATTTTAGCATATAAAGAAGTTAATATTTTAATTTTCCTCTTTCCTTTTCTCTGCAATTCCCTCCTCCTTCTCCATCAAGGTAAATTTTCCATGATGGGATTGGCCTGACACAGTGATGGGAGGAAGAAAGGAAGAAGAATAGGCTAGTGTTTTGCTTTTCCCTAAGTCTAAGATCTTTATTGGAGGGAGGCAGATTGGTGACAGTCTCCATCAATTGCTGATGGGTTCTCCAAGGTATAGCTACTGAAGGGAAAACAATTCAAACCCTCAGAAGCAAAGGGGCTAAGTAGTTTTTGAAAAATAGACACATCTCAGTAGCTTTGGATTATCTACACATTTTGTTGGTATATTGGTCAGTTAATAAAATGTTTCAAGTAGGCCGGATGCAGCGGCTCATGCCTGTAATTCCAGAGCTTTGGGAGGCCAAGGTTGGAGAAGTGCTTGAGGCCAGGAGTTTGAGACCAGCCTGGGCAACAGAGCAAAACCCTATCTCTACAAAAATAAAAATTTTAAAAAGCTAAGTGTGGTGGCACACAGTTGTAGTCCTAGCTACCCAGAAGGCTGAGGCAGAGAGATAATTTCAGCCCATGAGTTGGAGTTTATAGTGGGCTATGATCATGGCGCCGCATTCCAGCGTAGGCAACAGAACAAGACCCTGTCTCTAAAAAAAAAAAATTATTATTAAATTTTAATTTTAACTTTAAGAAACTCTTTCAAGGAATATTTCTGCATACTGATAACATACCCAATTCTAATTCTACTACTTACACAAAGCCATCAGACTGTTTGAGATTCATAAAATGAGATTCATGTAAACATGTCTTTTATGGAGAAGGAAAGAATAACCCAGAGATACTCAGTGATTTTACCAAGGTTACACAATTAGTAGCCGGCAAATCAAAGGCTAAAATCCACACCTGGTGCACGTGTATGCATGTGTGTTTCTCACCACATCTAGGGAAGAAATGTCTTGAGAGACATTCTGAAACTCATTAAAAAGTTAACCTAATGGAGGTTGAAGTTGAGGATGTCTTAATTAGTTATTAAATTTATTAAACGAAAGTCTCTGCTGAGGTCCCTCAGGATACATTCACATTAAAATATTTCAAGCCATATAAAATCCTGCTTTAATTACTAAGTATGCATGCCAGCCTGGAAAGATGGGTTTTGGATCAACCCAACTGTCAATAAATACAAGCAAATGCTTAACAGCTCCAAGCATTAGGGCTTCTCCCCTGGTATAACTCCTGTTCCTCCTTTGGTTTAGAGAAATGCACAAATGTGATTTCAGTGATCATTAGGAAAAGTACTAACATCTGATGCATGGGAGAATAACCTGGTATTGATCAATTTACCCTTGTGAGGAATCAAAGTAGTGACTAACAACTTGTTATTAATCTGGCTAACATTCATCTATAGGTGTCAGACGACAGTGTCCTACTTTCTAGCTTCTTTGATCCTTTTGGCTAGGTTCACTATAATACTTCTCATGGTTTCCTTTTGTCCATTAACATGGTGGTTCCCAACAAGCAGCTGTGAAGATCCTCCAGATGGTTAATCTCCAGCAGCATTAGTATTTCTGTGCAGTTAGTGGACAGCTGCTTATAGTATGAAGCAATACTTTACTTGCTGTGCAATTCCATGCCCCTTTGTCTGTGCTAGACCCTCTGCCTGGAATGCCCTGCCTCTCTTCTCTGACTTCCCTGACAAGTTTCTACTTCCAAGAGCATATTTAAATGTCATCTCCTCTATGAGGTTTCTTCCTGACTCCCAAGAGGTGGCACTAATTTCTCCTTCCAGTATGTTCCATTGCATTTAACACACAATTTCTGTTACAGTACTTTTCAGATCATATCAAAATCACTAATTTAACTTGCTACCTTTCCAAGTAGAATGGAGCTCCATGAAGAAGTGACTGCATCTTTTCTTCTATGGCTAAAAGTGGCCTGAGTAGGCCTTTAGCCCATGTTGGTTGAATGCATACTTATGCTTCATTGTTCTGTGACTCACTGAATAAGTATATTCATAGAATCTCTTTTCTGGCCTAAATTTCTGTGTTTATCCTTGGGCCGCACCTCTACACCCATTCCCACTCCAGTGCCCTGAGTAACCCCTTTAGGGGTTTGACTTGGGCTTTCACTATACCTTGAGTCTTTCCCTCAAAGTCTTTCTATTCATTCTGTTGGGACTTTGATGAGCATTGCTCTTTTGGGCCAAAGGTTTCCCTAATCTGGTTCCAACTTTTTTTTACAGCATATTCCTGAAACAGCCTCCCTTCCTGCTAGTGCCCGCAAGTTGTTTGTTCTTTTAGTTTTTATTTCCCCAACTCCAGAGCAAAATATTTCTGTACTTGTTTTTTCCTGTGATACAGTACTTTTCCTGTGATACAGTACTTTTATGTTATATATAAATATATATAACATAATATTTATCATTTAACCACTTATAAGTGTACAATTCAGGGAAATTAAATTTCTTTACTTCTTAATGGTGAATTCCATGAGTCTACCACACTCATGATGGCTAGCTTATATGGCCTGTGGGAGAGATTAACAAGAGGACACAAGTGAGATCCCTGGAAGCCTCCAACCTTTCCATCTTCCTCTCCAGGTTCCTTAACAGTTCACTCACTTTTCAATTCAAGGGACTTTTGCTATGGAAGGTTACCTGCCAAAGGCTGTGCCAGGTTGGGTGGGAGACACAATGCTGCAGACCATCTTCCTGTCCTCCAACAGCTCCTCTTCAGCTGGAGAAGAGAGCCAGACCAAAAAACTAATTATCAAACAAAATGCAACAAAAATAAATTAAAATTTTAAAAATCTACCAAAATGTACAAGTACTAAGAGATGGAAGGAGGAGGAAAAATTAGGTCTAACTAGAAGAGATGGACAGATGAATAGAATTTCTAAAGGAGGAGAAGAGTGATCCTGGCAGAACATAGTAAAGAACAGTACCACATGTAGTAAGTGTGCAATAATTTATTGAATGAATAAATGAAATGCATGGCTGTATAAATGAATACATGGATGAGAGCCAAACTGTAGCAAAGGGCAGGAACGGTGAGTGAACAAGGGAAATTTGATGTCTGATGTGTAATAGCTGGCTGTGGTCAGGATTTATGGTGGAATGGCCAGAGCTTATCCTGGTTCTTTTCTGCAAATTACAACTCAATTCTCAAACTATTACATGGTCCACATAACTAAGAGGATAGGATGGAGTTGTCAAATGACCTCACAAATGGAAAAATGGTGGGATAAGCAGAGAAGACTGACATCCTCCCTTCCATTCTCCTGTGCCATCTCTGCCATCAATCCTGAATTTCTAGGGGTCACTTCCCAATGATGAATATCACTTCCAGTGACACAGAAACATTTCAATCCTTTCAAGAGCTAATTATATCTCCATAAGTGACAACTGTGTTCTGTTATGATTATTAGATATAGAAATGGTCATAATGTTGCTCTTTGAGACACAAAAAACAGTGGAATATTTGCATCTTAAGGTATATTGGTGTATACATGCATCTTAGTATCACACACTCCTATAGACACATACATGTATTCACACATATGCATTTGTAAAACATTCACATTGATACATGTATACACACATTTAAACTCCCTTTCTAAAAGAAAGATTCATAATTTTCTAAGATTACACTAAGTCTCTGTGTTTGCCAAACATGACAGCATGATAGGGAGGGAATTAAGGCCCTTGTGCTATCATATCTCGCTGGGCAAGCACAAGGCAGGAGGTGTGCTAGAGGCTGCTCTTGCTGGGAACAGCCCAGCACGTAAAGTTAACCTTGAGATCAACACCGTCAGTGAGATGAGTTACAGGACTTCATGGCAGAGCATCACAGAAACTCAGGAACATATCAAAGCATTCGTCACTCTGGTGGCAGGAAATAAGATGAAAGAATTTAGAGAATTGCAATCACACATAATAGCGTTATCACTGGTGACTAGAATTTGAATTATGTGCACATAGACTTCTCCCCCAGTAGGTACTGCTCACAAGCACTTAAGGAAAAGGGGGTTCTGGATAAAATCAATTAGAGACCAGTTACATGAAGTTGGGCAAATGCTATAGAGTATAAACAGTAGGACAGAGTGCAGCCAGGGTGGGTGAAATTCAATTGTGAGTAATAAGTGCAGTTTTGGCAGCATTGCTGGGGAATATTTTTTTCCCTTGGGGATGTGAGAGCTTAATACTGTCATTATGATGGACATGCAATCACTGAGACTCCTGCATGGGACATTCTTTGTTTGCACTCCTCAGTATCTACCACGGCATGCTGTAGGTGTGAGGGGAACTGTATAGGTTGAGCCCTTTTACCAAGGGCAGAGATCAAGGCAGCCACAGCTGGAAATTCTCTCCATATTCCTTGAAGTTGGCAGACAATCAGAATCACCATAAAAAATCTATGTTTAAAAAATCTATGTTTTTTAAAAACATGGATTCCTGGGCCCTATCACCCAGAATCTGATCTTGTAAGTCTGGACTGGAGCCCACAACCTTGTCTTTTTTAAAAAAAAAGTTCCATGGTGGTTCTGTAATCCAATAGGCTTGGGGACCACTGGTTTCAAGTGATAGTGCTTTATTTATTTATTTATTTATTTATTTATTTATTTATTTATTTATTTTTGAGACGAAGTCTCCCTCTGTCACCCAGGCCAGAGTGCAGTGGTGCAATCTGGCTTACTGCAGCCTTGACCTCCTGGACTCAAGTGATCCTCCCACCTCAGTCTCCCAGGCAGCTAGGACTAAAGGCGCATGTCACCAAGCCCAGTTAATTTTTGTATTTTTTGTAGAGAGAAGGTTTTGCCATGTTGCCCAACCCTCCTGGCCTCAAGCGATCCTCCCATCTAGGCCTCCGAAAGTGCTGGGATTACAGGCATGAGCCACATTACAGGCATGACCACACGTGGTCAAAGTGTATTTTTGCCAATGAGTAGTAAAAATGGAAGAGAAGTAAAAAAGGAGGGAATGAGATTTGAGAGCCCCATAGTATCTGTCAGGGCCTCTAACCCTCTTCTCTTCTGCCTAGAGGTCCATGGCCCTGAGGTTTTCTTCTGGATGATGAGAGGGGAAGCCTGGCAGCTTAGAGAGCTATGGACTGCTTCATACTGCAGAAGAAGAACCAAGAATGGGCCATGCTTAAGCTGATTAAGATGATTCCCTTCTCTATGTGGTTTGTCTCCAGGCAAAAATAAGGACTTTAGATCTGAGTGAATCTAAATAACTCAAGTCTAGTTCAAATTAGTGTTTCTCCCTCTGTGAGTAAGGAAGGATGTCTTTCCCTCCTATCCCTCCTACTCTCTCTT
The DNA here is from genome assembly GCF_000001405.40 of Homo sapiens. NCBI lineage: Eukaryota > Metazoa > Chordata > Mammalia > Primates > Hominidae > Homo > Homo sapiens. Next base: position 94,282,984 of record NC_000001.11, read on the forward strand.
GAGAGTCTTGGCCCTAGTATTTAGAGCTTTATAGATAAATACCAAGTTATAAAGTTTAGCAAAGACACAGACCAACAGTCAGCAACATTTTTTTAACCTTAAGGAAAAAAAATACATAAAACCATTATTCTAAACTGCCAACGCCAACTCTGTAAGATTTTTTATTGAGTATATTTTAATGAGATTATAAACAGGGAGGCTCTCTGTTTTTGTAGCAAGTAACCAGCCATTAGTTTGAACGGCCACCTGGGTACCATTGCTTTCTATCTTCTAAACACTGTGCCATCATTAAGGATATTCTGCACAAGATGACATTGCTGAGGGGTAACCTGGTTACCATGCACACATGGCTCACAGGGCTGCTGAGTGGTTTAGAGAAGTCTTGGAAGGTGCTACCCTTGTGACTCCCAAGCACCACTCCTGTCCCTGACTTCAAATGAGGTATATAATAGATTTCAAAGACTTATTTTAAAATGCCCCCAGTTCAATAATTATTTTTTAAAAAATCATATTTGATAACTCAAATGGTTACCAAATATTTAAAAGAACTAGAATCGATTACCTCATGGAAAGAATGTTCAACTCTGCATATAGAATTTCTTTTAGTCATTCTAGGGAGAGTGATGAAAAAGCAGTAAATTATTATTGCACTCAGTTTTTAGTGGATGAATCTGGAAGCAATATTACCAGGATCAGTGTAACTCTGTATGTTAAGTCATACCATCATGCTCTTTGCTGTTGCATAATTTAGCAGAAAATGGTATGAAGTTTAACAAACAAACAAGGTGCATTTAAAAATAAATATTGCTAAAATGTAGCTATAAACTTAGAAAATCAGTGGATACTATCAAATGATAGCATAAAGTCCCAATCCCATTTCCAAACATCTTTATCGGTACCCAGAGATTTTCTGGATGGGGAATAGAGCTAGTTTCTAGTGATGCAATTAAGTGTGAAAAATGGTCTTGTACTCAGTTGCTTACTTGTTTGAAAAACAGATCTTGAACATGAAAAAAATGAACAATAAATCACAGAATTTTCACCCAATCTATTTCTTCTTAGGTTATGTTGATTCTGGCAAAAAGTTGAAAGGCAGAAATGGGAAAAAAAAAAAAAAACCATCAAGCCAGGGCTGGAAACACAATTCAGACAGTTTAAGTGGGTTTTCAGAGAAAAAATTCAAAGGAAGGGAGAACTAATTTACTTTACTGTTAAGTGTTTAGAGAGCTTTACTTATAGTAATTTCTTATGCTGAGTATCAGAGTTTTTAAACTTTTAAATAGAATTTAAATTGAAATAGCTACAATTTCCTGACAGATTACAATGTGCCAAACACTTTACATACCTTATTTTGCATCCTTACCTCAGTCTTCATTGCAGAGATTATTGTTATAATTTTACAAATGATAAAATGGGGACTTGAACAGGTTAGATCACATAGTGTAGTAGATTATATTACTGTTCACCCTATTTGCCCCTCTTTGTGTGAATCCAGGCATGGTCATAGCACTGACTTTGGCCAATGAAATGTGAGCAGAAATGATGTGTGTTACTTCTGGACAGAAGTTTTAAGAGCCAATGCATGGTTGGCTATGCCTTCTGTCTGCTGTGAAATCAGCAATGTTCCAGATGGAGGCAACTTGGGTCCTGGAGTGAATACTGTGTGGAGTAAAGCCGCATTCAGCCCATGACAGACATAAAGCATGAAAGAGAAACAAAACTAGGATGTGGTAAGCCACTGATACTCCGAGATTGTTTGTTTCTATAACAAAATCTAGCCAATCCTGTCTAGTACACACAGTTTAAGTGACAAAACCTAAGTTTCTTTGATTTCTAAGCCTTGGGCACAGAAGAAAGATAGTGGCATAGAGTAGGCACTCCATAAACATATGTTGAAGGAAGGAATGTATGGTGGTTGCCCAGCATTGAACACAATACTTCAGATGTGATCCGATCCACATAAGAGTTATTAGGAGTACAAACACTCTTTTTACACTGAACATCTGTTAATGAAGGCTTAGAGTGCATTAGCTTTTTTGTCAACTGTACTTATTTCTTTAACAAAAAAATTATTGTCTACCTAACATGTACAAGGCACAGAGTGAGGTGTCATGGCTGATACAAAAACAAAACATAAAAATGATTGTCTTCCAGCTGTTCATAATTTCATGAGTGAGAGTCGCACATTCACAACCAGCTGTGTCACAAGGCAATGAATAGAGTTGGACAGTGTGTTTTGTTGACTGTAGATTGAGTATGGAACGAGGCAGTCATGAGTTTCAGTCATTCATTCCACAAAAACACATTGAGCATCAACAATGAGTTGAGTGCTATGTTCACTCCTGCAGATACAGGTTAAAAAAAAAAAATACAGTCCCGGTCTCAAAGGTCTCACAAGCTAGTGTGAGAGACAGATTAGTTAATAGGGAATTATAATAGAGCATGATAAGAGCTGTAATAAAGTTAAGCTCAGGAAGCTATGGATATAAGGAGGAAGAATATCAGCCTGGAAGGGTCAATGAAGGCATTCTGGAGGAAGTGAGTCATAAATTGATTCCTAAAAGATGAATGAGTGTTTGCACATGAAGAAGGAGAGGGAATGTACTGGTGTAGAGAAAAAGAAGTACATTCGCCTGTAATCCCAGCATTTTGGGAGGCCAAAGTGGGTGGATCATGAGGTCAGGAGATGGAGACCATCCTGGCCAACATGGTGAAACCCAGTCTCTACTAAAAATACAAAAATTAGCTAGGCATGGTGGCATGTGCCTGTAATCCCAGCTACTTGGGAGGCTAAGGCAGGAGAATCACTTGAACCCGGGAGGCGGAGGTTGCAGTGAGCCAAGATTGCGCCACTATACTCCAGCCTGATGACAGAGCAAGACTCTGTCTCAAAAAAAAAAAAAAAAAGAAAAAAAAAAAGAACTACATTCAAGCCCCAGTGAGCAGTTGGTGGAAAGGCAAGCACACAGAGACAAAATATTTTGAAAGAACATGACTTGTTCTAGGAGACAGCAAGTAATACACTGTCTTAGTCAGCGTGGGCTTCCCTAATAAAATATTATGTACTGAGTAGCTTAGAACAGAAATTTACTTCTTCACAGTTATGAGGGCTGGAAGTCTTACATTAGAGTGCCAGCATGGTCAGGGTCTGTTGAGGGTTCTCTTCCTGGCTTGCAGATGGCTGCCTTCTTGCTGTGTCCTCACATGGCAGAGAAAGATTTCTTCCTCTTTTTATAAGGCCACCAACACTATCAGCCCCACTCTTATTACCTCATTTAACTATAATTATGGCCTAAAAATACAGTCACATTAGGGGTTTAGGGCTTCAACATATGAATTTGGGAAAGGCAAAAATATTCAACCCATAACATATACTATGGATTGAAAATAAGAAAAAATTTAGTCTGAGCATGGTGGCTCATGCCTATAATCCCAGCATTTTGGGAGGCCAAGGCAGGAGGATCACTTGAGACCAGGAGTTCAAGACCAGCCTGGGCAACATGGTAAAACCCTATCTCTACAAAAAATACAAAAATTAGCCAGGCGTGGTGATGCACAACTGTAGTCCCAGCTACTCGAGAGGCTGAAGTGGGAGGATCACCTGAGACTGGAAGGTTGAAGCTGCAGTGAGTTGAGATTATGGCACTGCACTCCAGCCTGGGTGACAGAGTGAGACCCTGTCTCAAAAATAAATAAATTTTAAAAGTGAGGTCAGAAGAAACAGAGAGGATGAATAGATTTCAGAAAAATTAAGAAGGAAATAGAATAAACAAGGTCTTTGGTGATCAAATGACTTGGTATGTTAGAAGTCAAAGATGATCTCAGAAAGTTGGGTACCAGTGACTGGGAAAGTGGAATATGGTATGGTAAATGTGGAAAAACTCAAACTGCATTTTCCTCTGCTCTCACACAACAATCACAATCACTGGGTGTCCTCCAATTCAATTCCAACACTATCAACCTGGAGATAGCATTACGACACTATCAACCTGGAGGTAGCATTAGATCCCACAGGTTAAGGGCTCAGTCCCCAGTACATCCTGCCACACCCACCAGACAACAGTCACAAGTCCAGGGCTCTGGAACTTCTGATTGACTGGCTCAAGTTGAGGTTTCCACTACCCTCTTTGAGTTTGATTAATTTGCTGGAGTGGCTCCCAGAACTCAAGTAAACACTTTCGTTTACTGGTTTATTATAAAGGATATTACAAAGAATACTGATATGGTTTGGCTCTGTGGCCCCACCCAAATCTCATCTGGAATTGTAATCCCCACATATTGAGGGAGGGAGATGATTGGATTATGGGGGCGGTTTCCCCCATTGTGTTCTCATGATAGTGAGTAACTTCTCAGAGATCTGATGGTTTTATAAGGCAGTTTTCCCTGCTCTTGCTAGCTCTGTCTTTCCTGCTATGAAGAAGTTCTTTGCTTCCCCTTTCCCTTCCACCATGATTGTAAGTTTCCTGAGGCCTCCTCAGCCATCTGGAACTGTGAGTCAATTAAACCTCTTTTACTATTATTATTATTATTATTATTATACTTTAAGTTCTAGGATACATGTGCACAACTTGCAGGTTTGTTACATAGGTATACATGTGCAATGTTGGTTTGCTGCACCCATTAACTCGTCATTTACATTAGGTATTTCTCCTAATGCTATCCCCCCCAGCTCCCCACCCCACAACAGGCCCTGGTGTGTGATGTTCCCCACCCTGTGTCCATGTGTTCTCATTGTTCAACTCCCACTTATGCGTGAGAACATGCGATGTTTGGTTTTCTGTCCTTGTGATAGTTTGCTGAGAATGATGGTTCTCAGCTTCATCCATGTCCCTGCAAAGGACATGAACTCATCCTTTTTTTATGGCTGCATAGTATTCCATGGTGTATATTTGCCACATTTTCTTTATCCAGTCTATTATTGATGGACATTTGGGTTGGGTCCAAGTCTCTGCTATTGTGAATAGTCCCGCAATAAACATGCGTGTACATGTGCCTTTATAGTAGCAAGATTTATAATCCTTTGGGTATATACCCAGTAATGGGATTGCTGGGTCAAATAGTGTTTCTGGTTCTAGATCCTTGATCCACACGGTCTTCCACAATGGTTGAACTAATTTACACTCCCACCAACAGTGTAAAAGCATTTCTATTTCTCCACATCCTCTCTCGCATCTGTTGTTTCCTGACGTTTTAATGATCGCATTTCTAACTGGTGTGAGATAGTATCTCATTGTGGTTTTGATTTGCATTTCTCTGATGACCAGTGATGATGAGCATTTTTTCATATGTATGTTGGCTGCATAAATGTGTTTTTTTGAGAAGTGTCTGTTCGTATCCTTTGCCCACTTTTTGATGGGGTTGTTTGTTTTTTTCTTGTAAATTTGTCTAAGTTCTTTGTAGATTCTGGATATTAGCCCTTTGTCAGATGGGTAGATTGCAAAAATTTTCTCCCATTCTGTAGGTTGCCTGTCCACTCTGATGATAGTTTCTTTTGCAGTGCAGAAGCTCTTTAGTTTAATTAGATCCCATTTGTCAATTTTGGCTTTTGTTGCCATTGCTTTTGGTGTTTTAGTCATGAAGTCTTTGCCCATGCTTATGTCCTGAATGATATTGCCCAGGTTTCCTTCTAGGGTTTTTATGGTTTTAGGTACTACATTTAAGTCTTTAATCCATCTTGAGTTAATTTTTGTATAAGGTGTAAGGAAGGGATCCAGTTTCAGCTTTCTACATATGGCTAGCCAGTTTTCCCAGCACCATTTGTTAAATAGGGAATCCTTTCCCCATTTCTTGTTTTTGTCAGGTTTGTCAAAGATCAGATAGTTGTAGATGTGTGGTGTTATTTCTGAGGGCTCTGTTCTGTTCCATTGGTCTATATCTCTGTTTTGGTACCAGTACCATGCTGTTTTGGTTACTGTAGCCTTGTAGTGAAGTCAGGTAGCGTGATGCCTCCAGCTTTTTTCTTTTTGCTTAGGATTGACTTGGCTATGTGGGCTCTTTTTTGTTTCCATATGAAATTTTAAGTAGTTTTTCCAATTATGTGAAGAAAGACAGTGGCAGGTTGATGGGGATAGTATTGAATCTATAAATTAACTTGGCAGTATGGCCATTTTCACAATACTGATTCTTCCTATCCATGAGTATGGAATGTTCTTCCATTTGTTTGTGTCCTCTTTCATTTTGTTGAGCAGTGGTTTGTAGTTCTCCTTGAACAGATCCTTCACATCCCTTGTAAGTTGGATTCCTAGCTATTTTATTCTCTTTGTAGTAATTGTGAATGGGAGTTCACTCATGATTTGGCTCTCTGTTTGTCTGTTCTTGGTGTATAGGAATGCTTATGATTTTTGCACATTGATTTTGTATCCTGAGACTTTGCTGAAGTTGCTTATCAGCTTAAGGAGATTTTGGGCTGAGAGGATGGGGCTTTCTAAATATACAGTCATGTCATCTGCAAAGGCAGGGACAGTTTGACTTCCTCTTTTCCTAATTGAATACACTTTATTTCTTTCCCTTGCCTGATTGCCCTGGCCAGAACTTCCAACACTATGTTGAATAGGAATGGTAAGAGAGGGCATCCTTGTCTGCTGTCGGTTTTCAAAGGGAATGCTTCCAGTTTTTGCCCATTCAGTATGATATTGGCTGTGGGTCTGTCATAAATAGCTCTTATTATTTTGAGATACGTTCCGTCAATAACTAGTTTATTGAGAGTTTTCAGCATGAAAGGCTGTTGAATTTTGTTGAAGGCCGTTTCTGCATCTATTGAGATAATCATGTGGTTTTTGTGGTTGGTTCTGTTTATGTGATGGCTTACATTTATTGATTTGCCTATGTTGAACCAGCCTTACATCCCAGGGATGAAGACAACTTGATTGTGGTGGATAAGCTTTTTGATGTCCTGCTGGATTCAGTTTGCCAGTATTTTATTGAGGATTTTTGCATTGATGTTCATCAGGGATATTGGTCTAAAATTCTCTTTTTCATTGTGTCTCTGCCAGGCTTTGGTATCAGGATGATGCTGGACTCAGAAAATGAGTTAGGGAGGATTCCCTCTTTTTCTATTGATTGGAATAGTTTCAGAAGGAATGGTACCTGCTCCTCTTTGTACCTCTGGTAGAATTTGGCTGTGAATCCGTCTGGTCCTGGACTTTTTTTGGTTGGTAGGCTATTAATTATTTCCTCAATTTCAGAACCTGTTATTGGTCTATTCAGGTGTTTATTCAGGTCTATTCGGGTCTATTCATCAGTTATTCTCTGATGGTAGTTTGTATTTCTGTGGGATCAGTGGTGATATCCCCTTTATCATTTTTTATTGCGTCTATTTTATTCTTCTCTATTTCTTCTTTATTAGTCTTGCTAGTGGTCTATCTATTTTGTTGATCTTTTCAGAAAACCACTCCTGGATTCAATGATTTTTTGAAGAGTTTTTTGTGTCTGTATCTCCTTCAGTCCTGCTCTGATCTTTGTTATTTCTTGTCTTCTGTTAGCTTTTGAATTTGTTTGCTCTTGTTTTTCTAGTTCTTTTAATTGTGATGTTAGGGCATCAATTTTAGATCTTTCCTGCTTTCTCTTGTGGGCATTTAGTGCTATAAATTTCCCTCTATACACTGCTTTAAATGTGTCCCAGAGATTCTGGTACATTGTGTCTTTGTTCTCATTGGTTTCAAAGAACAACTTTATTTCTGCCTTCATTTCGTCACTTACCCAGTAGTCATTCAGGAGCAGGTTGTTCAGTTTCCATGTAGTTGTGCAGTTTTGAGTGAGTTTCTTAAACCTGAGTTCTAATTTGATTGCACTGTGGTCTGAGAGAGAGTTTGTTGTGATTTCTGTTCTTTTACATTTGCTGAGGAGTGTTTTACTTCTAATTATGTGGTCAATTTTAGAATAAGTGTGATGTGCTGTGAGAAGAATGTATATTCTGCTGATTTGGGGTGGAGAGTTTGGTAGATGTCTATTAGGTCCACTTGGTCCAGAACTGAGTTCAATTCCTGGATATCCTTGTAAATTTTCTGTCTCGTTGATCTAATATTGACAGTTGGGTGTTAAAGTCTCCCATTATTATTGTGTGGAAGTCTAATTCTCTTTGTAGGTCTCTAAGGACTTGCTTTATGAATCTGGGTGCTCCTGTATTGGGTGCATATATATTTAGGATAGTTAGCTCTTCTTGTTGAATTGATCCCTTTACCATTATGTAATGGCCTTCTTTGTCTCTTGTGATCTTTGTTGGTTTAAAGTCTGTTTTATCAGAGACCAGGATTGCAACCCCTGCTTTCTTGTTTGTTTGTTTGGTTGTTTGTTTGTTTGTTTTTTGCTTTCCATTTGCTTGGTAGATCTTCCTCCATCCCTTTATTTTGAACCTATGTGTGTCTTTGCACATGAGATGGGTATCCTGAATACAGCACACTGATGGGTCTTTACTCTTTATCCAATTTGCTAATCTGTGTCTTTTAATTGGGGCATTTAGCCCATTTACATTTAAGGTTAATATTGTTATGTGTGAATTTGATCCTGTCATTATGATGCTAGCTGGTTATTTCACCTGTTAATTGATATAGTTTCTTTATAGTGTCGATGGTCTTTACAATTTGGCATGTTTTTGCAGTGGCTGGTACCAGTTGTTCCTTTCCATGTTTAGTGCTTCCTTCAGGGGCTCTTGTAAGGCAGGCCTGGTGATGACAAAATCTGTCAGCATTTGCTTGTCTGTAAAGGATTTTCTTTCTCCTTCACTTATGAAGCTTAGTTTGGCTGGATATGAAATTCTGGGATGAAAATTCTTTTCTTTAAGAATGTTGAATATTGGCCCCCACTCTCTTCTGACTTGTAGGGTTTCTGTCAAGAGATCCACTGTTAGTCTGATGGGCTTCCCTTTGTGGGTAACCCAACCCTTCTCTCCGGCTTCCCTTAATATTTTTTCGTTCATTTCAACCTTGGTGAATCTGACAATTTTGTGTCTTGGGGTTGCTCTTCTTGAGGAGTATCTTTGTGGTGTTCTCCGTATTTCCCGAATTTGAATTTTGGCCTGCCTTGCTAGGTTGGGGAAGTTCTCCTGGATAATATCCTGAAGAGTGTTTTCTGACTTGGTTCCATTCTCCCTGTCACTTTCAGATACACCATTCAAACGTAGATTTGGTCTTTTCACATAGTCCCATATTTCTTGGAGGCTTTGTTTGTTTCTTTTCACTCTTTTTTCTCTAATCTTGTCTTCTCTCTCTATTTCATTAATTTTATCTTCAATCACTGATGTCCTTTCTTCCACTTAATCAAATTGGCTACTGAAGCCTGTGTATGCTTCACGAAGTTCTCGTACTGTGGTTTTCAGCTCCATCACGTCATTTAAGCTCTTCTCTGCACTGGTTATTCTAGTTAGCCATTCGTCTAACCTTTTTTCAAGGTTTTTAGCTTCCTTGCGATGAGTTAGAATGTGGTCCTTTAGCTCGGAGAAGTTTGTTATTACTGACCTTCTGAAGCCTACTTCCGTCAACTTGTCAAACTCATTCTCTGTCCATTTTTGTTCCCTTGCTGGCAAGGAGTTGTGTTCCTTTGGAGGAGAAGAGGCATTCTGGTTTTTGGAATTTTCAGCCTTTCTGCTCTGATTTCTCTCCATCTTTTGGTTTTACCTACCTTTGGTCTTTGATGTTGGTGACCTACGGATGAGGTTTTGGTGTGGATGTCCTTTTTGTTGATGTTGATGCTGTTCCTTTCTGTTTGTTAGTTTTCCTTCTAACAGACAGGCCCCTCAGCTGCAGGTCTCTTGGAGTTTGCTGGAGGTCCGCTCCAGACCGTGTTTGCCTGGGTATCACCAGCAGAGGCTGCAGAGCAGCAAATATTGCTGCCTGATCTTTCCTCTAGAAGCTTTGTCTCAGCGGGGCATCTGCCTGTATGAGGTGTCTGTTGGTCCCTACTGGGAGGTGTCTCCCAATCAGGCTACACGGGGGTCTGGGACCCACTTGAGGAGGCAGTCTGTCTGTTATTGGACCTTGAACGCCATGCTGGGAAAACCACTGCTCTCTTCAGAGCTGTCAGGCAGAGATGTTTAAGTCTGCAGAAGCTGTCTGCTGCATTTTGTTCAGATATGCCCTGCCCCAAGAGGTGGAATCTAGAGAGGCAGTAGGCCTTGCTGAGCTGTGGTGGGCTCCGCCCAGTTTGAGCTTCCCTGCCGCTTTGTTTACACTGTGAGCATAGAACCGCCTACTCAAGCCTCAGCAATGGCAGATTCCTCTCCCCCCATCAAGGTCCAGTGTCCCAGGTTGATCTCAGACTGCTGCGCTGGCAGCGAGCAAGGCTCCATGGGCATGGGACCCACTGAGCCAGGCACGGGAGGGAATCTCCTGGTCTGCCGGTTGCAAAGACCATGGGAAAAGCACAGTAATTGGCCAGAAGTGTACCGTTCCTTCAGGTACAGTCCACTCACTGCTTCCCTTGGCTATGAAAGGGAAATCCCCCGACCCTTTGCACTTCCTGGGTGAGGTGACACCCTGTCCTGCTTCAGCTCACCCTCCATGGGCTGCACCCACTGTCCAACCAGTCCCAGTGAGATGAACCAGGTATCTCAGTAGGAAATGCAGAAATCACTCGTCTTCTGCGTCAATCTCACTGGGAGCTGTAGACCAGAGCTGTTCCTATTTGACCGTCTTGGAAGTGACCCACCTCTTTTCTTTATAAATTACACACTCTCAAGCAGTTGTTTATAGCAATGTGAGAACAGATGAATACAGATACAGATGAAGCTGTGCATAGCGGGGGAGGTGTGCAGGAAAGGGTGCACAACTTCCATGCCCTCCATGGGTGTGCCACCCTCCAGGAATTTCCGTGTTCAGCTATCTGGAAGCTTCCAAACTTAGTCCTCCAGGGATTTTATGAAGGCTTCATTACATAGGCATGATTTATTAAACCACTGGCCACTGGTGATTGACTTTATCTTCAGCCCCTCTCCCCTCTCCCAGTTAGAAGGTTAGGCTGAATGTCCCAATCCTCTAATCATGGCTTGGTCTTTCTGGTGACCAGCCTCCAACCAGAAGCTACCTAGGGACTGCCAGCCATTGACTAATCATTACTGTGCAAAAAGATGTCATTGTAGAGTTTCTAAGGATTTTAGGAGTTGTATGACAGGAAATAGGCTGAAGACCAAATATATGTTTCACATATCACAGGTGCTGTTCAATAAAGGAGAAGGATTTGGGCAGAGTGTGGAATGGATAATATTAATCATTTAATTTGGAACATATTGAGTTGTGGGTATTGGTCAGACATGCAGCCAAAAGAGTCAGCAATTATATATACATACATGTGCACACACACACACACACGCGCATATATTTACAATATAAATATATATATATGTATATATTTTTTTAGACAGAATCTTGCTTTGTTGCCCAGGCTGGAGTGCCATTGTGGCCCACTCTAGCCTCCATCTCCCAGGCTCAAGTGAAGTAGCTGGGACTACAGGCACACGCCATAGCACCTGGCTAACTTTTTAAATTTATTTTTTGTAGAGACACTGTCTTGCTGTGTTGAGCAGGCTTATCTCGCACTCCTGGGCTCAAGTGAGCTCCACCTAGGCCTCCCAAAGTACTGGGATTACAGGTGTGAGCTACCACACCTGGCCAGCAATTGGATATATTACTTTAGAACTTTGGAGCAAAATTTGGCCCCCAGACTTAGAGATGATAGGTGTATTTGTTGTTCACACTAGTGACCACTGGCAGTGAATAAGAACACCTAGATGAGATGAGCAGAGGGCTAAATGGCAAGATCATTAAATGAGAAGATGAGAGGAGGGAAAAGCATGGAACCCTGGAAAATACTAACGTTCAAGAGATAAGTGGAGGGGAGAAAATAATATTATCCTGGAAGGCAAGAAATGAAGAGTTTTGAGAAGAAAACAGACAACAGTGTCAAATGCCCTTGAGGGCAAATAAGGCAAAGTCTGAAAATTCAATTATTTTGAGAAATTAAGAATTTATTGCTAACTGTGGCAAAAGCAGCTTCCATAGACAGAGTGAGACTGAAAGATATTGGAGTGAATTAAGGTGAGAAAAGAGGTAAGAAAGGTAAAATGACAAATGTAGACCCCTCCTTTCGGTTCAAGAAGAAGGTTTGAAATTGTATTACTAGGGGAAAGGGAGAACATGTTGACTAGGGCCAACTAGAAGGATTGGAGTTAAGGCTGGAAATCTTAAAAGAACAGTGATAACAATTTGTGTCTGGTCTACCTTCATCAGCATCAGTTATAGGTTAGAGAAGGTGGGTAGCCGGGTTCACCAGGATTGGGATTTTGCCAAGTGGGTATATAGAAGAATGAGGAAGAATGGAATTGAGAGTGTTAAGCAAGAGAAAGATTGAAAGGATAGGGCTTTGTTTTTAGGCTGCCTAGAGAAGGAAATAAAAACTAGAGGAAGCTGAGAAATTGGGGTGAAGTAGAAGAATCAAGGGGCTTAGTGACTTTGATGCAATTAAAAGCACACATTGATAAGAAGATTGTACTCAGACATTGTACAATTTAAATTGTAGTTTAAGATTTCAGAAATGGAGCGATTCTAATTGATGACAAGATCTAGGATGTAATTTAGAGTGTAGGCTAGAAAAAACTAGATATCGGGAAAAGATTAATGATCTGTGAATCTTGGATACTTCCGTGTGCTTATATGTTGATGCGATGAATCCATTGGAGAAGGAGAATGTATCAGTCAGCAGGAAACATGAAATACTTACTCTAATTCTAATGTGGAATTCTAACTCCACACAATGTGGAATCTTCTAATTCCACACAATGTGGAATCTTCTAATTCCACACAATGTGGAATCTTCTAATTCCACATTGGGGTATTTGAGGTAGGAACTACTTACAACAGTGCAGTTACAATATAGAGAACCAACAGGATTGTAGAGAACCCTGAGGCAAGAAACAGTGGAACAATTACCTTAGATTTGAAAGGATGAGGGGAAGGAGCAATTACCAGAACCTGGAAGAAGGCTGTCTTGAGAGGACAATGACTTTGGTCAAAAGAAACAGCCAATCCAGGAAGACTTTTCTGGGAAGAAGGCAGAGGAATAAATATAGTAGTTCCCCTTATCCATGGTTTCTCTTTCCAAGGTTTCAGTTACCCATGGTCAACCACAGTCTGAGAATATTAAATGAAAAAATTCCAAAAATAAACAATTCATAAGTTTTAAATTGTGCACTATGCCAAGTAGCACAATGAAATCTTGCTCCATCCGGCCTGGGACGTGAATCATCCCATTGTCCGGCATATCCACGCTATTTATGCTCCCTGCCTGCTAGTCACTTAGTAGCTCTCTCAGTTAGCAGATCGACTGTTGAGGTGGTATGGCAGTGCTTGTGTTCAAGTCACTCTTATTTCACTTAATAATGGCACCAAAGCACAAGAGTAGTGATGCTGGCATATTTTTATAATTGTTCTATTTTATTATTAGTTATTGTTGTTAAACTCTTACTGTGCCTAATTTATAAGTTAAAAGTTATAGGTAAGTACGCACAGGAAAAACATAGTATATATAGGGTTTAATGCTATCTTTGCTTTCAGGCATCCACTAGGGGTCTTGGAACATATCCCCTCAATCAGGGGGGACTACTGTACTCTTATCTCATGCTCTTCTTTCTCTCAAGTACCTTGCTGGGGCTTCCCCATAGCCAAACCCCACCAGAAAGTAGAGGGCAAAGAAGTCTATTGATACAGTTTATATAGACTTTGGCCTCCCCCAACACAGAGCTGGGTAGAGAAGGATGCAAAGTTGCTCTGGAGAGGCAAACAGAGAGCCATCCAGCCTAGTGAGATTAGAGACACAAGCTAGAGCAGGGCAAACTGATAATGCATATTTCTGACAAATTGGAAGAGATTGAGATTCAAGTCTCAAATAGTTGAATGGAACTTAAATAGGAACCATAACTTTGTTATTCTGAGAAGAGAGAAGTAGTAGAAAATGGGTTATATTTGCAGACAGCTTTTTATGGATTTCATTTTGTCTGTGAAGACATCTATTGAGACATAGTGCAGGGAGGATGAGAATGGTGAAAGTTTCGGCCAGGTCTGATTTGTGTGACCATCCCTGGAGGAAGAGGATGCAGTGGAGAGGGAAGTCTTGTAACTGACAGTCTTTCCAGTGTCAAAGGGGTGAGTGAGAGGAAGTTTTCCCAAGCAAAATAGGGGTGTAGAGAAGACAGTAGCTGCAGATACCCATCACAGAGCTGAAACAACATGTTGAGCCTGGCAGCAGCATGTGACAGCTCATTTGTTTTCTCAGAAAGACTGCTTTATATGACAATACTCGTGGTATGTACATGTTCCAATTAGTTCTTTAAAAGTCTCAGTACTTTTTGTCACACATATTATTCAATTCTTAATATTTTATGTAATGGCTAATGAGCGTTAAAAAGCAGCATTCTAGTGATGCTTCCAAGGACAACAGCTAACACTTCTTGAGCACTTATGTGAGCTGGGCACTATGCAAACTGCTTTCTATCCATAATGTTATCTGATTCTCATAACTCCTATGAAGTCCTGAAGTAGGCAGTCACTTATTGCTGTTCTACTACCCATTCCCCTTTCTTTTTTCTTAGTAGTGCCCAGATTTTCTTTGGGGACAAAGGGGATCTTCCATTCTTAGCAACATTGCTAAAGAAGGGCAGATAGTTCCAGAGGGAGTTACGCTCGTCAGTCACCCATCTCCTTTGTCTCAATAACTGACTGGTCAGAGCTGGGCACATGACATAGAGTGTTTCATCAGGAACTTGGGGGTTCTTGTTGGGAATGCTGGGACTCCCTCTTCCTCTGAGTTGTGTGTGGTATGAGCATAGGAGGCCTGGAACGGCTGCAGCAATGAGGGGAGCTGGCCTAAGGATGTGATGACCACACAGAAAAGGGCAGAGCTGAGAGAACATTAGAGGTGCTGAACTTGGAGCCCAAATAACATAGTGAACCTCTAAAACCAGCCAGCTGGGGCAGCACTACCTCCAAACTGCAGTTCCATGAGCCAATAAAGCTCCTTCTGAGAAAGCTATCGATTTTCTCTGAGATGCCATTTTCAAAATGGTAATGATAAAAAGAATTTTGCTTGCTTATTTTTAGAGTTAAATGAAATAATATTCAGCGGCAAATATTGATACTCTAAATACTTGTCGTTCTTGTAGATTGTGACAGTGTACCATCCTGAATACACTTTCATGGGATTGATTAGTATGTAGCTCTTTCTAACTTATGTACGTATACTTTAGAAAGTTTTATACTGCAGAAGTATAAAGAGGCAAAATTATTTTAAGTAACGTGCATTTAATTTTTTTCTATTACAATATTGTACCCATTATAGAAAATATAAATGGTCTACATAATTTATAGCTGTACTAAGTGTTTACGGTCTTTCTATAGAGATTGAGCATTGGGTCTTTGTTCAGCATCTAAATTCTTCATTATTTATTGTTCCATGGGAAATTGCCTTGGCTTTGACTATTTTCAACTTTTAACGATTGCAAGAGCATTAGACATTAGAGACGTGAGGATTACCTGTATTCAAGTGGTCTCTCAATTTCTCTCTTTTGGTTTCTCAGATTCTTTCCTTAGGTTTGGGTTTATAGCATTTTACACAAAACAAGATAGGTGTGATCCTTAAAAGTTGTTTTTGGTTTTGTTTTTGCCTGCAATATATTCATTAAAACACCAAAGAGAAATGAGATACATTTCTGTTCTTATGGTTAAGGACCTATAATGCTATTTGTCACAAAAATAGAAAGATGGAAAAGTAGAAGAGTAAATATATATATAACGAGTTCATTTACATGGTTTCACATGCTTAATCTTGCAAACCCAACTCATGACAATAAATTTATGAAAACAAAACATTAAAAAACTTAGAAAGTAATAATAAACTATAAACACAATGCTACTGAAGCTCAGCTACAACACCACATTCTCAGCTCTAGTTTGGATAGAACACAAGTGTTTTAAATTGCATTGGGTGGAGGCCCTGGCAGGAAGGAAGCATCGGATATTGCTGGAACATATCTTTGTTTGAGCAACAGCTAATGAGAAAGGTCACCATTATGCTTTGCTTTCAAACACTGGGTCTGTTTTGAAATTAGTACTGCACATTTCATCACAAATGCTGGTTTATAATCATCGAGGTACATAATCCTGCAGTATTAATGTTGTTTTCTCCTAAGTGGCAAGTAAAATCCAAAGCTTATGTTCTCACCACTGTTTTGATCAGTATGTCAGTAAAAGATAAAATGACTTTCTATTTATGGACTCTGGGATTCCTGATTATTTACAAAATTCCAATCTTGAATTTAGAGGAAATTCAGCCTTCTAATTTTTTTCCTTCAGTTTTAGTGTTACTTGTACTCTTGTTAAACTCATCGCTGGCATTTGAAATACAAGGCTTTTTGGAATTTGTTCCCTAAAATTTATTGCATTTGTTTAGTGGATTATGTGAGTGGCACAGAAATCCTAAGAAAGAGCTTAACTTTTCTCTGCAAAGTGTTTGCTGACAAATGCGATAAACTTTAGAAGACCACCTTCTAGGAAGGGCTGACATATCAAGGACAGTAAAAACAGTAGTACCAGACATTTCTGCCACAATTTTTTCGGTGGTGGGGGGGAACAGAAATCTATTAAATATCTCAGTTTATATTTTTGGTTCTCCCTGTTGGCTAGGCTGTTGTATTCCCATGTCCACAGCACGTTCCACTGTGGGAGCCTGGAGCTCTTAGAATAAACTTTGGGAAAGGCTGGGTCCACCCTCTGGGGATAAGGGAGCCAGAGGGAGGAAGGGGAGGGGGTAAAGGAAAAGGGAAGGGGGCGGCTGTCTTCCTGTGTTTGGATGACCTTTCCTTATGTTTATCTGGAGGGACTGGGCAGCCACGCTGTGTTTGGTGTCAGCCTGCCATGTTGTCACATGTGATCTCTTTCTTAGCTTTATGTGTAGAGAGGACCTTTGCCTCTACTGGGAGAACTAGATTTAACTCTGTGAATTATGAAAGAAAAAAAGTGTACCAGTCTGTTAGGCATTGGGGCCCAGAGATAGAAGTCTTATGAAACATGCACATATGCCAGTGTGCAGCAGATTCCCTAAGGGAAAGGCTTAGGCATCTCTTGGAGCTGTCTGAAGGCGGGCCCACCTGTACTTCTTCCTTCTTGCTGAGAGCTGGGCTGGAGGCTGTCTTGCTTCTCCTGAAGCCTCATCATTTAGTACAATGCCCTTCACTTGTGGATATTCCTTAACTATTTCTTGAATGCATGAGTGAATGGATGAATACATGAGCAGAGTCACAGAGAGGTGACTGGGCAACAGGCAGTGAGGTTCCTACAATACTTAATTGATTTGCCAGTCCCTGCTCTAAGAGCCCTAAGTAGCTCCACTTTAAAGAAACCAGTTTCAAGCCTCTCCGTCTCACATTCCTGGTGGGTGAATCACTTGTTTCTTATGGTTGGGTGAGAATAACACCTCTGGTTTCCACCTTTCTTTTTCATTTTAGTGCTGACCTCATCTGACCTGACCTTAGCTTGAATGTTATTTTCCCAGAGAAGCTATCCCTTAATCATCCTACTCTCCTCCGCCTGAATTAGATCCCCCCATATACCTCTTACTAATCTCTATTATCTTCATAGAATGTAATACAATTTTTAATTATATTCATGTGGGTGATAATCCATCCTATGTCTGATTTCTCCACTAGATTACAAACTTCTTGAAGATAGGGGACCATATTTATTTTCTCATCACTGTGTTCTTAGCACCTGGCATAATACCTGGCATATAGGTACTATGGCATATAGGCTTAATACCTGGCATATAGGTCCTCTATACACATAAGCACTCAGCAAGCCTGTGTTCAATTAATGAATGAGCAGATTAATGAATAAATTATATTTGGAAGGAGAATTCATACCAGGTTACTGAGCAGGGTTGGGGATAAAGATCAGAGTCCAAAAGCCCTATCCCAATCAGACCTTGGACACACTAACGAGTTTGAGATTCTGAAGAGGATGAAGTGCTTAGCAGACATAAGTGACATTGGGCATTTTACCTTTGGAAGCTAACTAGTAGTCTGGACTCCTGGGAGTACCAGAAACTTTCTCGTTTAACTCTACCCAAAGTAGCAACTTCTTCCACCTTCTCAGTAATAGCAGTATTCTTGGTTACCAGGTATCTGAACCACAGAAAGACTCTCGATGTTTTCCTCTTTTTCACATCACACAGCTTCACAATACCTCTTGTTAGTTTTTTCCTTTTCATTCCCATGAGGGCCTTTTGATCTAGTGAATTAGTCAGTTTCTTTCTCTTGCAAGTTCCAGACATGCAATTCCAATTAGCTTAAAAGCAAAAACGGGGAATCACGTTGTAGGGAAGTTGATAGGGACAACTGGCTTCAGACGTGTCTAGATCCAGCGGCTCAGATATTGCTCAGGACTCCACCTTTCTTGCCATCTCCCTGCTAAGTTTTTAAAATGAACACCTACAACTCCTGACTCACAATCTCCTCATAGCACCAGGAAGGACTCTGATTGCACCCATGTGACCGTTCCTGAATCTGTCACTGCAATGGGGAGGGAAGGAAGGCTCTGATTTCTTGACCTGGGCAATATGTTCAGCTTTCTGCCCCTTGTATGGTGGCCAGGGGGGATGAGGGTACAGTCATAGACAGAGCTCCTCAAGGAAAAGAGGAGTTGTGTTACCCAGATAAGCTGTGGAAGAGGTGCTGGATAATCAAAAACAATAGAATGCCTTTCTGCAACAGCCATCCTGATCCAGGTGCAGTGCTAGGCCCTTAACCTACATGCATCAGGATATACAAGGGAAATGAGGCTGCACTGTGGAATCAGATTGCTTTGGCCCAAATCCTAGCTCTTTCTCTTACTCTCTCTCTCTAATTTTGGATAAGTTAACCCCTCTAAGTCCAGTTTTCTCATGATAAAACAGTGATGTAAAATATTCAGTAGAATATTACTCAGCCTTAAAGAGGAAGGAAATTCAGCCTCTCAGCTCCTCCCATCAACAGATGGCCCAGTCTTTAGTGAGGCACCAGCTATGTCCCTGAAACACCATGATGAAAGTGAAGGCCAGAGTAAATGGATTTGGCCATACTGGGCACCTGGTCACCACGGCTGCTTTTAACTCTGGCAAAGTGGATATCATCACCATCAATGACCTCAACTACATGGTCTACCATGGAATCACATGGTTCCAGTATGATTCCACCCACAGCAAGTTCCACTGCACCATCAAGGCTGAAAATGGAAATCCCATCACCATCTTCCAGGAGGGAGATCCCACCAAAATCACACAGGGTGACGCTGGTGCTGATTATGTTATGGAGTCCACTGGCATCTTCACTACCATGGAGAAGGCTGGGGCTCACTTAGAGGGTGGAGCCAAAAGGGTCATTACCTCTGCCCCCTCTGCTGATGCCCCCACGTTCGTGATGGGCATGAGCCATAAGAAGTATAAAAACCTCAAGATCATCAGCAATGCCTCCTGCACCACCAGCTGCCTAACCTCCTGGCCAAGGTCATCCATAATAACTCTGGCATCATGAAGCGACTCAGCATCACAGTCCATGCCATCACTGCTACCCAGAAGACTCTCATGGCCCCTCTGGGAAACTGTGGTGTGATGGCCATGGGGCTCTCCATTACATCATCCCTGCATGTGTCTACTGGTGCTGCCAAGGCTGTGGGCAAGGTCATCCCCAAGCCGAACAGGAAGCTCAGTGGTGTGGCCTTCCATGTACCCACTGCCAATGTGTCAGTCATGGACCTGACCTGCTCTCTGGAGAAACCAGCCAAATATGATGACATCAAGGAGGTGGTGAAGCGGCATCGGAGGGGGCCATCGGGGGCATCGTGGGCCACACTGAGCACCAGGCTGTCTCCTCCAACTTTAACAGTGACACCCACTCTTCCACCTTCAACACTGGGGCTGGCATTGCCCTCAACGGCCTCTTTGTCAGGCTCGTTTCCGGGTATGACAATGAATTTGGCTACAGCAACAAAGTGATAACCTTTATGATCCACATGGCTTCCAAGAAGTAAGAGCCCCCAGACCACCAGCCCCAACAACAGCATGAGAGGAAGAGAGAAGCCTTTAGTTGCTGGGAAGTCCCTGCCACACAGTCCTCCACCACACTGAGAATCAACCTTCCTCATTGTTTCTACATCAGACACCCTGAAAAGGGAAGGACCTAGGGAGCCTGACCTTGTCAGATAACATTAATAAATTCCCGTGTACCCAGCCAAAAAAAAAGGAAGGAAATTCTGACATATGATATAACATGGATGAGCCTTGAGGACATTATGCTAAGTGAAATATGCTAGTCACAAAAGGACAAATACTGCATAATGCAACTTATGTGAAATGCCCAGAGAAGTGAACTTCATAGAGACAGAAAGTGAAATGGTGGTGCTAGGGGCTGGGGAGTGGGGTGAATGGGCAGTTAGTGTTTAATGGGTACCGAGTTCCAGATTTGCAAGATGAAAGTGTTCTGGAGATGGACGGTGGTGATGGTTGCACAACAGTGTGAATATACTTAAAACCCCCTGAACTATACACTTAAAAATGGTTAAAATGGTAAATTTTATGTTATGTATATTTTACCACAATTTTTAAGGAAGTGACATAAGGGTTAAATGAGACCACAGATGTAAAGTATTTAGTGCAGTGTGAGTGAATACATAGTAAGTGCTCATAAATATGAAATATTATTCTCATAACAGCCCTACAGATATTATTATCTTCATGTTTATAGTTGAGTAAGTGGAGATTTGGGGGTTAAGTAAGTGGTCCAAGCCCACCCAGCTAGAAAGTGGTGAGACCAGACTCAAACCCACTGCTTAAGTACTAAGGCCCTGCTATTTTCTATTATGCCATGTTACTTCCCAGCACTCTTCTTGCCAGCTACCGCTGCCTAATATTTTTAAATATTGCTTTGATTATGTTAAGCTTCTGCCTAACAAAACTTAAGGGATCTACCTGTGGTCTAAAACACAAATGCCCTTTCCTGATACAATTCTTTTTGCAGTCTGACCCCAGTTACTTTTCTAGCCTCATTTTGATGTCAAGGCTCTGCTTTACCTTGTTTTGTGTTTTCTATGCTCGTAGCATATGCTAGTTATTCTGCTGGAACACTGTTGAAACTCTACCCACCTTTTTTGGGGGATGGGGGAAGAAGGTCTCACTCTGTCTCCTAGGCTGGATGGAGTGCAGTGGCGCCAGCACAGCTCACTGCAGCCTCCACTTCCCAGGCTAAAGCTATCCTCTGGCCTCAGCCTCCTGAGTATCTGGGACTACAGGTGTGTATTACCACGTCCTGCTAATTTTTTATTGGTTTGTATAAATGGAATCGCACTATGTGGCCCAGGCTGGTCTTGAACTCCTGGGCTCAAGAAATCCTCCTGCCTTGGCCTCCCAAAATGCTGGGATAACAGGCGCGAGCCACCACACCTGGCCTCTACCCATCTTTTGATGCTCAACTCAAGACTCAGCTCCTCCAGAAAGCCTCACCTAACTGGAAGAGAGACAGGTCATTTCCTCCTCTTCACTACTACAGTGTTTATTATTTGATAGCAACACATAATGTACTGCTTAAATCAGAGTTATTACTTCGCTGTTCATGTCTTAGCTTCACAGCAGTGGAGAGCAGGTATTGTATCTATTGCTGCTTTAAATTTCCCTCAATGCCAGGTTAGTGTTTTGCATTGAGTAGCAACTTGATAACAATTTCTTAAGGATGCTGATGCAGGAAATATGATTAATGATGACTAGTTCAAACAGTCATGATTTGGATTTAAGAAAAGCATGTATTATTCACTTTTTATTAGAAAAGATACTGGAATTTCTCCTTGTACTTTTAGGTCAGTTCAGGACATAATGATTCCTAGTCAGCATGGAAATGAAAAGATTGAGCCTGGTTAAAAAAGCAAATCTGCTGGTGAGCCTGTGTGAGAGGTAGATGTCTCTTGCTGATTACATTCTGAGAAACAGAAGCAGGCAAAAGTGTTTACAGAGCAACCAGAGATGAGGCAGTGGTTATTTTGAGAATATCTCAAAAAACAAAAGAGGTCATTTTAGGTTCTGCAAATAGTGCCCACTATGCAAATACATCAGTCTCTACATTGGTACTGAAAATGTTAATCATGTATAAGCCCCTAAACCTTTCTAAATAATGCTGTCCCTCACCTCCAGCCCCTGCTCAAAGGTCCTCTGTGGACCATGTAAGGGATCTGCAGTCATGCCAGGGAAAGAATCAAAGCCACGGTGCTGGAAATGGCAGCATCAGCCAATATTCACCAGGATGCTCTTGTGTGCCAATCCTGAGTGGTCATGGGGTTTGTTCTGACTGGTCAGTTTCTGTTCTTTAAATATGTTGAATATCACCTCTGGGCAGAGAGAACAGCACTGGAAGTAAAGGCAGTTCTATGTGGTAGGAACGCAAAGCACCAATGAGAGAATGACAGAAGATGGGTCAGGAAACACAGGTAAGGACCAGAACTTGAAGGAATTCAGACCATTTGGGCAGATGAGCCATAGATAACTATTAGGCAGAGAGGTATTATAAGCAGCTGTACATTTTTGAAGGATGAACAAGACTATTTATTAGGCTTTTGTAATGGACCTGATGAGAGGTGAGGAAGACTTGAATCAAGAACTCGGCAGTGCCAATAGATGGCAGGGGGGATGAATATAAGAGATATATTTTGAGGTAAAATTGACTGGATTTATGATTGAATGGAGAGAGTGGGAATAGAGGTGTCAAAAGGAATCAGAATCTGAAATGTGAATATTCTAATTGGTGGTATGTGCTAAGAATACATTGATGGTTCAAGTTTATTTTCACTGTCTTACCTCAAAGTTCAAGGAATAAGTTGTGGTTAATCATACATATGATACATGAGCAGAGCAGTTGAATGTGAGGTTGCTGGCAGCTCTTGAAAAAGGCAATCACCCTGCCTGACCACATTCTGGTTCAGTGAGAGTCTACACTGGAACAACAACTCATTTAGAATTGCATGAGACCAGCTTCCCATAGCTGAAAGAAATATGGAGAACGTTCTGAGGCTGATGGGAACTATGAAAACAGCAGTCACATACCTTTGGACAAGGCCATTTTATAACCAATTTACAAGGCATCATTTCTGCTTCCCTGCAGTAGTCGGGCCCTGGGTATCATTGGGATTGGCACAGTTTCTTTGAGTCTTTCCCCACCTCACAGGCAGTCAGGCTTAGAGAGCTGTGATGGGGATGGGCAGGGTCTTGGGTCTGGGAAGCCCCAGAGGAAAGACTGCGTTCTTTCCCCAGGTTGAAGCTGTTAATCATCCTGCTGAAGGCTGGATTCGCAGAGAGAGAAAATGTAAAAGGGCTGCTTTATGATATCCATGGATGTGCCCTCATGGCCGTGAACTTCAATAGTTCTTAACTTTACTTGCCTAAGTAAGGGAAAACATAATAAACCAGCAGGCAATTTGAAACATTAGCAGACTGTTATATTTCATCTGAATTTTAGGTCTTCACTTTTGTAACTCAGGATTTTATGTGAAGCTATATTTCTTTAAAGATGGCAGCATTTTCTTCTCAAAATGAGGATCAAGACTATGGTATCTTTACAGTATTAAAAATAAACTGTGCTTTGGACCTGCAAAGAAATATTCAGATGTCATAACCTGAAAATAACCTCTGAATTTTCCCACACTCTAACAAATCTCCAAACTGCCAAATGGATATGCACCAACATTTCCAGATTCCCCTGGGAACACATTTGAGAATGCTTAGTTCCAAAGAAAGAAAACGTTAGGGGAAAATATCCACACTCAAAAAATAGGGGTTTACACCAAAAGTGCTCTCCTGTCAAAAGAAAGTATCTCAAGTGTAACATGGTAAAAAATATATATACACACAAGATAAATTATTTATACAATATGAAGTTCAGTTGTAATTCAGTGGCTTTCTTGTCCACAAGTTAACACTTCCATTATATAAAGATGTTTAAAACAACAACAAAACAAAAAAGTTACACCTCTCTTCATTTATTCGTATATATTATTATTTGGTGAAAGAAAAACACAATTATTTCTATTCTGTCTTTACTGAAAGGAAGACAAAGAAATAAAAGTACCTTCATTTTTTTTCCCCTTTCTCCTTCTGCTATGCTTGTCTTGCCAAACCCGATCCCAGTGTAAGACCAACCAAATCATTCTTTACGCCTGCTCCTGAGTGGCTGAACATTGATGAAAATCACCTAAACTGCAGATTGATGCCACTATAAATACTTGGTTGCCTCCCCATCTACAGGACAATCTGATGGACTAGCTCTTCCACTCTCCACAACTGTTTCATATTGTCATTTTCTTCAAACATCTTATCACTTCCTATTCTAAATATGTAACTTTGAATAATATTTCCTCTAGAAAATGTGGGCAAATCATGACCAAAACTCCAATGGGATTTTATAATGGAATATAAAGCAATTATAAACACTGTCCAGAAAAGTAAATACATAGGAATAATCAATAAAATGAGAAAAACAAGAAAAATGGGAGTAATGTTGACCTACCAGTTATCAAACAAATTATAGAGCTACCATAATTAAATAATGTTAAATTCCTGCTGGAATAGACAATACATCAATGGCACAGACCAGAGACCACATGTAAGGGTAAAATAAGATAAAGGTAGCATTTCAAAATGATGAGAAAGGATAGGATATTTAACAAATGGTGTTGAAAAGTTGGCTATCCATTTGAAAAAAATAAAGTTATATGTCTACTACTCATCAATTTTAAAAAGTTAAATAGATTTTAAAAGCTATACATTAAATAGAAAACAAAATTTCAAAAGTACTAAATGGACATATAAGAGGGTAGTTATAATTTTCTTAATGGGAAAGGCCTTATAAAGCAAGACTTAACCCAAGAAAAAGCAAAACTTTGTTTCTGTACAGTTCTGCCTAGCAAAGCACTGATGCTCCTTCTTTTTCTTCCTGTAATAGCAGTCTTGCCTAGTACCCAAGGATTAACATTACTCTCTGTCCCTCCTCTTAATGCATCTTTTTATCTTTAATGGATTGCACGGGGCCTGGCACAAAGTATGTGCTCTAGGCTTATTGATTTCACTTGACTGAACTCAAATTACTTTGATTGTGCTACAATCCTGGGGAGAAATAGACTTTAATCATCAATACTTAATAATACCCAAATGATAATAATCCTTCCTCATTTATAAAAAAGTTTTTCATAGTTTATTTTATGAACCTCCTCTCCCCTTCCACACAAAAGCCCCCAAAACACTAGAAAGTAGGCAGGAAAGATGGTAGTAGTAAGGTTCTCAATTTACCCCCCTTCCCCATCCGCTGCTTCAGAGACATTGAGCAATTTCCCCAAGATCTTGGTCTGGGTCTCTTCCAGTTAGGTCATGCAGTCTCTGATTACAATTTGTTGCAAAAAGCCAGGTGGGGCATTTGAGATTCCATTCCTTAATTCTACAGAAACACATAGTGTCTAGAAAAATAGGTTAAAAACTAATGTGTAAGGCCTACCCTCTTTTTCTACAGAGATGGCACATAATCCCTGCTAAAAATACCCAAGCCAAGTCACGTCATCATTTTTTTGGTTTTTGTTTCTGTTGGATGGGGTTGCATCTTGTGCACCATTTCAAATCCTCCTGATCTCACCTCTTAGTCCAGCCACTGCGCCAGGATCCCATTTTGAGCCAGTTTCAAAGGTACAACCTGACATGGCCTTGTCTCCTCCTACACCTTCTACCTTTCACTTCCTCCCCTGAGGCTCTGTGGTGTCCACTTGGCATTTATGTGTATGTAACCCTGAAGAGAGGGGAGTCAGTGCTCGTGGACCACCCCTGATAGATGGGAATGGGAACCTTTGGGTAAATGCTGCCCCTTTCAGTTCCCAGGGTGGACAGTTCTGAGACACATTTCATAAGTTTCCTCAGGAGGTTGTGTGGGTCAAGGCTGCCTGCAGCCCTGAGCAACTTAGTGACCCGAATTTGCACTGGACTGCCTCCTTCCCCTCCTTCTCCTCCTCTGTCCTGCTCCCTGGGATCACATTCCCAAGTGTACAACAGGGGAGCCATTGGCTCAGGCTCTTGTTGCGGGGGCGCCCAGGCAGACTGGGGCTAGCCATTTTCTTTTAAAGGAGATTATTGCTGTACAATACTTTCTAACATTTGTTTCATACTTTCAAGCATCCCTATTTCATAGTCACAACAAACTTATGAGAGAGCCACAACTATTTCCATTTGATAGATGAGGAAACTGAGGCTCAAAAGAAGTTAAATAACTTGATCAGGATCACAACAGCGAGAGGATGGTGGAACCAGGACTCAGCAGAGGTCCTCTGAGAGGGGAGGTCAGGGCCCTCTTTGCTATAACACAGCTGCCTCCTATCAAAATATTTGCAGAGTGCTTTGATGTCAGTGCCTTGCACTCTGGAAAGTGCTCTTCCTCGCTTATCAGCCCTCTGCTGTAACACTCACAGCCGTTCCAAACATGTCCCCGCTTTTTCTAGCCACAGACACATTATGCACAGATGATTTTTTTATTGTGAACAAGTACAAAGGAATAGATCAGTAGCTGGAGAGGAGAATGTGGGACAAGGAAAGGGGGTTTTGAAGGTGAGAAATATGAGCAGATGTATATGCTAAAGAGAATCACCCAGACTAGAGGGAGGGATGGATGATGCAGGAGAGAAAGAGTGAATGAGAGGCGATAGGTCCCAAGGTAGAAATAAAGAGCCTGTCTTTCGAAGACATGAGAGTCAATTCCTCTGTTACAACCAGAGGGCAGAAGAAGAAACTCCTATAGATAAGTTCAGGTCTCTAGGTAAATGGCGATCTCCCTTATTCAAAAATACAAAACAAAGGGATGTTCTTTGGGTCCTATGCTGCACACTTCATGAACACAGGGGCCATGTCTGTAGCCCAGTACTGATATTTTAGAAGGCTCTCAGTAAACATTTGTGGTTGCTGAATAAATAAATATGAGTAAACATACATTCCCTTTACCACCAAAAACTTCTGAGACTAACACTAAATGATTAAGAAATGAACAAAAATGTCATTAAGAATTTTAGTAAGAGTTCAAATGACCCACAGATAAATCAGTCCTCGAATCCTTGCTATTTAATATCGGTACACATGAGGTCCCCAGAAAACTGCCACAACTGCCCGAGTATGGGGTGGTGGAGTCCTCACCTGGCAGCAATACCTGGGCAAAACAGATACAGGGGTTGTAGTAGACAAAGAGCTCAAGCTGAGTTCGTAGGGTGGGGAAACAGTGAAGAGGAAGGAGATCCTCAGCTTCCTGTCCCAGGTGAAGAAGGGCTTCTACGGCCCGGGAAGATGGGCACTCCATGCCTACCCCCAGCTGGATGAAGCCATGTAGTAGTGTCCAGGTGCCACCCTTTCAAAGGCACATGCCGGAGCGTGCTCAGTAGAAAGCAAACATGCTCTTTACAAATATACTGGAAACATTTCCCTATGAGGACCACTAAAGGAACTGAGTATGTTTAATCCAAGCAAAAAGACTCAAGAGGACCATCATAGTAATTTTCAAATATGTGAAAGGCTGTGATCTTTCCAGCACAATCCTTTTAAAACCTCTGAGTCAACCGCTCTTTGACCTCAGTTGAGCCTCCAATTGATTAATCCTACTTCCTTTTTGCTATCTCACTTTCTTCGTTGGTTAGCTCAGATTTCAAAGGCCAACATGGTAATCAATGTTGTGTTTATACCCTCAAATTTCTCACTCTCTCACCTATTTGGTGCTTGCTTCAGTGATAAAGGGGGGCAGGAGAGGGGGAGTCAAAGGCCCAGGCATGGGACAGGGCAGCCATCTAGGGTCCAAGACCTCACTTTCAATTCATGAAAGGGAATCTTTCTTCCCCATGCCTGCTGTTTTCTTCCATGTGGGGACATGAACTAGTGTCACACTCCTGGCTTCCTTCTACTCTCCCACTTGCCCTTCTCTACTGCACTCCTGCCAGATGGAATAACATACCTGATTAGTGGCTTTGGAAGGAGAACTGAGCCTGCACCAGATGGGGACACCTTCCTTGCCTCTCTCCTCTTGGCAACAAGCGCCTACAAGGAGCCACTCATTTCCTGACCTATTTCCTCCATGCTGTTAGTTTCAGAGAAGCCTCTCTTGGAGAGGTCTGGGAGGGTTCACTGAAGCTTGGGTCTGGATGGGTAAGCCTGTCTAATTCTGGTATTCAGTAAGTGAAAGGTCAAATCTAAGCCACATTTCCCAGCTATTAATGTCTTTCCTTCTAAAGGGAGCTTGCTGCCTTCGATGAGCATTGATTTCCCTCTGTTCATGGAGGATGAAGGCAAAACTCCCAATGGAATCAACCTTTTCTTCTCTCCCTCTCTCTCTCTTTCTCTCTTGTCTCTACCCACCAACCAGTCTGTCCCTGGAGAGAACGTGCCCTCGACTGCACCTCTGCACCAGAGGCTTGGATAGGTGCAACACAAATGCTTGTCAGATCAAATAAAATAATGATGTTATTATGTCTTAAAGAAGACCATGTTTGAGGGGTAAGAGAAAAATGGGGTCTGGAGTTTGGTGCTTAATCTTAAAGACCCAACAATAACATCAAATTTTAAGTGATCTCAAACCCTTCGTGCTGCCTGGCAATTCCAGCTGATTTCCTCAGTCAACTCACTCTTCCAGTCAAGAGATTATTTCACTGATTCTTCTCTCTTCTCAAGCCCTCTTGCTTTTAACTCTTGGGTTTGCTTCTTATTTTCCTGAAAAAATAAAAGCATAGTAAGACAGCTTCCGCATATGTACCACTAAGTCCACTAAATGTCCACATCTGTATCCTCATATGCTGTCTGCCCTCCTATTAACAATGCAAGGCTCCTTCTGTAACTATGTTCTTCTCCAAGGCCAGCCCTCACCTGGGCCCTGTGTCTCTTCTTCCGCCATGCAATGACCTTGCTCTTACCATCATCCCCTCTTCTGCATCAGTTTCTCTCTTTCTACTGGATTATTCAGATAAACATACAAATGTACTGTGATATCTCCCACCCTTAACAAACAAACAACACCTTTCTCCTACATATCCTCTTCCAGTTGCTGCTTCATTTTTCTGATTCTCATTGTGGCAAAATTCCTTGAAAAAGTTGTTATATTTGCTGTCTTCACCAACTCTTCCTTCATTTTCTCTTGACTATATTCCAGTCAGGCTTTCCTCCCCATCCTTCCACATCCCCCTAACTCCATTGTCAGGATAATCAATGAACTCCACATTGCCAAATCCAGTGACCAGCTCTTGGTTCTCATTTTACTTGACCTATTAGCATTGTACAAATCTGATCCGGCCTTCCTCCTTCTTCTTCATTTTTATTTGTTTTTTTTTTTTTTTTTTTGAGTGGTTTTAGGTTCAGAACAAACTTAAGAAGAATGAACAGAGATGTCCCCCCTCCTTCTTTTTTTTTTTTTTGAAGACAGAGTCTCACTCTGTTGCTCAGGCTGGAGTGCAATGGTGTGATCTTGGCTCACTGCAACCTCTGCCTCCCAGGTTTAAGTGATTCTCCTGCCTCAGCCTCTCAAGTACCTAGGATTACAGGTGTGTGCCACCACACCCAGCTAATGTTTGTATTTTTAGTACAGACAGGGTTTCACCATGTTGGCCAGGCTGCTCTCGAACTCCTGGCCTTAAGTGATCCATCCACCTCAGCCTCCCAAAGTGCTGGGATTACAGGTGTGAGCCACCACACCCTGGTCCTGCCTGGCCCCGTCTTCTTCTTTAAAGTCTGCTTCATCAGTTTCTGAGTCATCCTTCCCTATAGGTACTTCAATCTCAGTGACTACCCCTTCTCAATCTCCTTTGCTGGGTGCTGCAGCTTCCTGAATTCTGAATGGGAGAGTGCCTAGGGCTCCAGCCTCAGACCTCATCCTTTCTTCAGCCATATCTCATTTGGTCTGTGGCTTTATGTACCAGCTATGTGCTAAGTCATAAACATTAAAATTCCAGTATGGGCCCCTTCCCTGTACCCCAGACAGATCTCAATCACCTTCTCAACACATCTTCCTGGATGTCTAATGAGTGTGTGAAACCCATGTGTCAAAACTTGAACTTCTGATCTTTGCCCCTAAACCTATAGACTTTCCCATCTCAGTAAATGACAACTTCACTCTTCTAGTTGCTTTGGAAAATCTCCTTCCTTTTCTCTTCCTCCTGCTGCTCCTTGCCCCAAGGCCTTTGTACTCTCTGCCCGAGATGCTCTTCCCCCTAGTTATCCATCCACATGGCTTGCTTCTTCCTCTCATTAGGGCATCTTCCATAATGGCATCATCTCAGAGAAAACTTCCCTGACTAAGAAACAAGACCCTCTTTCTCCCCACAATCACCCCTGCTTTGTTTTTCTTCAAAATACTTGTTCCTATTTGATATTAACCCTATTATTGTTTAAAGTGTATCTCCCCCCATCTCATGCCAGTTAGAATGGCGATCATTAAGAAGTCAGGAAACAACAGATGCTGGAGAGGATGTGGAGAAATAGGAGCGCTTTTACACTGTTGGTGGGAGTGTAAATTAGTTCAACCATTGTGGAAGACAGTGTGGTACAAGGATCTAGAACTAGAAATACCATTTGACCCAGCCATCCCATTACTGGGTATATACCCAAAGAATTATAAATCATGCTGCTATAAAGACATATGCACACATATGTTTATTGCGGCACTATTCACAATAGCAAAGACTTGGAACCAACCCAAATGTCTATCAGTGATAGACTGGATTAAGAAACTGTGGCACATATATACCATGGAATATTATGCAGCCTTAAAAAAAGATGAGTTCATGTCTTTGCAGGGACATGGATGAAGCTGGAAACCATCATTCTCAACAAACTACCACAAGAACAGAAAACCAAACACTACGTGTTCTCACTCATAGGTGGGACTTGAACAATGAGAACACTTGGACACAGGGTGGGGAACATCACACCCCAGGGCCTGTCGGGGGGTGGGGAGCTTGGGGAGGGATAGCATTATGAGAAATACCTAATGTAAATGACGAGTTAATGGGTGCAGCAAACCAACGTGGCACATGTATACATATGTAATAAACCTGCACGTTGTGCACATGTACCCTAGAACTTAAAGTATAATAAAATAAAATAAATCTCCCCACTGGAAGGTAACTTTTTGAAGGCAGCAAGTTTGAACACTTTGTTTACTACTCTGATCCCTAACACTTACAACAGTATCATTTAAAACATAGCAGCCACTTGGTTTAAGAATGAACTTCCAGGGAGTCAAAGTTGTTCAAAAGCACAAGGCTGCTTCAGAAAGCTGCCTCTCAGAGTCATTGCATTAGGCAAGCAGTGACCATCTGGGCGGGCATCAGGGACATGAATAAGTATTGGGGTTAACTGAACCCAAGACTCCATGATTCTGGGGGATTGTGCTCCCTGAAGTCATCAGTAGCTCCCTGAACAAAGAACCCACAGGTCTTTCTCATTTATAACACTTACAGATGAAGTTTTCTCTCTCCTTTCCCTCGGCTTAAGAGGCAGCACTGAGTTGACCAAGTCCTCCACCCATTCTCTGACCACCACTCAGACAGACCCCTTTGCTGGCTCCTCTTTCTCTTGCTAGCCCTTTAAACCTGTGTGTTGCCAAACAGTTTTTTTACTTTAACACTCTCTCTAAATGCCTGTTAATCATTATCTAAGATGATAGCATGAGAAAGATTGCAAAAATGCTAGGAGTAATATTTAAAAAGCACAATACATTTTGCTTTGCATGTTGGTGAAGTCTCCTGATTTTTATTCAGAAGACCTAGGCTTGAGCTACTTACCCATTTTGTGTCTGGGGTCAAGACTCTTAACTTCTCTAGGCTTCTATTTCTGCATTTATAAAACAAGGAGAATAATATCTCACCTTACATGCATTATCTTAATGTATGAGGTTTGGGTGATACATGTGTGGATAGGTTTTATAAAATATCATCTGATCTATAAATAGAGATTTTATTATGATAGACCATAAAAAGGGGTCACTAAACCATTGTCTATAGAAGATAATAATTGATATAGGGCTGGGCATGGTGGCTTACACCTGTAATCCCAGCACTTTGGGAGGCCAAGGTCGGCAGATCCCTTGAGGTTAGGAGTTCAAGACCACCCTGGCCAACATGGCAAAACTCTGCCTGTACTAAAAATATAAAAATTAGCCTGGTGTGGTGGCAGGTACCTGTAATCCCAGCTACTCAGGAGGCTGAGGTACGAGAATCTCTTGAACCCAGGAGGTGGAGGTTGCAGTGAACTGAGATAGCACCACTCCACTCCAACCTAGGCAACAGAGCAAGACCCTGTCTCAAATAATAATAATAATCATAATAATAATTGGTATAGGCAATTGTCTTTTCATGTCTGTGTCTGTAAGGAGAAAGTCGTACTTGTAGGCCTGTGATTGTTTTTAGGCCCTCTCTCAAGATCCAATCAAATCAGTAATGCACTGTAACTGCCCATAGACCCAGGCTTATAGCCTCAAATAATCTACAAATATGCAACCAAAATAATTAAGCTGAAGTGCTTCTTTTGTCCAAATAAATCAGGCCACTTTTTCATATATAGAAATTAACAGTTCCTGAATCTTTTTTTTTTTTTTTTGACAGGTTCTTGCTCTGTTGCCCAGGCTGGGGTCTAGTGGTACAATCATGGCTCACTGCAGCATTGACCTCCTGAGCTCAAGCCGTCTTCTCACCTCAGCCTCCCAAGTAGCTGGGACTACAGGTGCACATCACCACATCCAGTTAATTTTTAATTTTTTGTAGAGACAAGGCCTCACTATGTTGTCAGGTTGATCTTGAAATCCTGGGCTCAATTGATCCTCCCACACTGGCTCTCTGGGATTACAGGCATGAGCCACTGCACCCAGCCCCCTGAATCTTCCTTGACTTCATTCACACCAGCCCTGCCTGTTTGCTGAAGGTTGCTGGAATCTGGCTGGATCATCTTTCCAGGAAAGGGGGCTTATTTGGGGTTTCAGGCAGGCATATCAGCACATTCCTGTATAAGACTAGGGGAGTTTCAGCATATTCCAGGCTGACCTTTCCTTTCAGTTGCAGATCAGACAGAGTCAACCTTAGTTTTATTTAGTTGGTTTATTGTTGTTGTTTTCCCTCTGTGACATAGAAGCGTGCACTTTGAGGGGGAAAAAAAATCCTACCTGTTTTACAGTTAGTTCCATGAGAAGCCAAACTAGTTATTAAAAGTAAGAAATATTTTAAGTTGCTCAGCTGAAATTTTAACAGCTCTTGTCTAATCGTTAACATACAAACCTCCCTAACCAGAATATTTGTGGGGGATGACTTCTTAACAGGATCTAAAATCAGCAGTTTCCCAAAAAGCCTGTTAAAAATTACACATCTGGAATTTTGTCCTAGTCTGACTAGGCTGCTGAATTCCCTTTTGATGTTTCCTGGGGGGTGGGGAAGAGATAAATAGCCTGATTTCATTTAATGTAGTACATTTCTTTGAAATCTGGTGTCAAATTTTGAGTATTTGCTGAAAGGTAGGGTGACCAATCATCCTGGTTTTCTTGGGATTGAGGGGTTTCCAAGGACACAGGATTTTCTTTGATTTGGGAGGCCAAGTTGAGCTGATCATCCTAAAAAGGAAACCCTAGTCCAAATCACTCACAGGACAGGTGAAGAAACTGAGGCCCAGCAAGATGAAATCATTTGCCACCATATTACATAGTTAGCCAACACTGACTGCATTGCTGGGACCAGAACCCAAATCTTCTAAGTCTTAGTTCAAAGCTCCACTGACCCACTTGACTTCTCCAAACTTAAGTTTGATGACTGGTTTGTCGGTATTTGACTGCTTTATTTAATTTATATGTGAGCAGAGGAAAGCGATAGTCCAAGTACATTCTAATCAGTGATCATAAAGACACAGATGTTCTAAAGCAACATAAAAGTAACATCTACTGAACACCCATGTTCATAACAGCATTACTCACAATAGCTAGAATGTGAAAGCAACCCAAATGTTCATGGATGGATGAATGGATAAGCCAAGTGTGGTATATACATACAATGAACTATGCGATTCAGTCTTAAAAAGGAAGGAAATTCTGACATTTGCTTCAACAAAAATGAATTCTGGGACATTATACTAAGTCAAATAAGCCAATCACCAAAAGACAAATTCTGTATGATTCTACTTTTATGAGGTACTCTATGAGTGGATACTTACAGATCTAAGATATAAATACTATACTTAGAGTATTTGTCTACTCTAAGTAGTCAAAATCACAGAGCCAGAAAGTAGAATGGTGGTTTGCTGTCAGCTTGAGGGAGGGAGGAATGGAAGTTATTGTTTAACAGGAACAGAATTTCAGCTTTGTCAGATAAAGAGAGTTCTGGCTAGGCACGGTGACTCAGGCCTGTAATCCCAGCACTTTGGGAAGCCGAGGTGGGCGGGTTGTTTTAGCCCGGGAGTTTAAGACCAGCCTGGGCAACATGGCAAGACCTCATCTCTACAAAAAAAACAAAAAAACAAAAAAACAAAAATTAGCCAGGCTTGCTGATACATGCCTGTAGTCCCTGCTATTAGGGAGGCTAAAGTGGGAGGATTGTTTGAGCCCTGGTGTTTGAGGACGCAGTGAGCTATGATGTTGCCACTGCACTCCCAGCCCAGGTGACAGAGCGAGTCTCAAAAAATAAAAGAAAGAGTTCTGGAGATGAATGTAATGATGGTTGCACAACAATATAAATGTACTTAATAACACTGAACTGTACACTTAAAAATGGTTGATAGTACATTTTATGTTGGATCTATTTTATCACATTTTTTTAATGGAAAAATAAAATAATAACTACAAATAGCTCATCTATTCCATTGGTGCAATGTTTCTGTTAAAGAGGTCTGCAAAGTGCTTTGCAGCCATTTATTAGCTTTGGGATGTTTTGTCAAATCAAACCACATTCTTTAGATAAGGAGTTTGGTTTGCTTTGATATTTAGTGACCTTCCCTTAGCTAGGGCATAGAATTTCCAGATGTGCAACACTCCCAACTTCTAGCTGCAAGCTCACAGCCTGGCACATAGTAAGTGCTCCATAAACATTTTTTAAATAAATAAATAACAGCAAGGACTAATATTTATTTGAAGCATTTATTCAGAGGTGGGTTGAACTTGAAGCTGGTGACGCTTAAGCTTCAGGATGTCTCACTTTAATAAGCCTTTTTCTAGACCTTGTGTGCGGGCGAGGGGAGGACCTGAGCAATGTGTTCACATAGTCACATATTCATATAAAACTTGCAAAAGTAAGATTTATCTTCTTTTCATTAAAGAGGGCTTCCGAAGTTGTGTAGTCTTCAAGTCCCATGAAACCCAAATCTGTCCCTGTACTTACTGCCTTTCTAAGTACTCTATGAATTCCTTTCCATGGTTTCCTCATGCAATTCTCACAACAACCCTATGAGGTAGAAGCTATTATATTCACTTCTGAGATGAGGAAATTGGGCAGCTCCACCATGGTTACCCCATGAGGGAGTGATAGGCAAGGACTTTCACTCTGGCATTTGAGACTAACTCTACAACTCCACTGAACACTAGGGATGGCCAAACCTAACTCTAGCTCATGTTAAATTAGGCATGTAGCCAGGTGTGGTGGTGCGTGCCTGTAATCCCAACACTTTGGAAGGCCGAGATGGGAGGATCTCTTGACCCCCAGAGTTCGAGACCAGCCTGGGCAACACAGCAAGACCTCATTCCTACGAAAGAGTTAAAAATTAGCCAGGTGTGGTGGTGCATCCCTGTAGTCCCAGCCAGTTGCGAGGCTGAGGTGGGAGGATCTGTTGAGTGCAGGAATTTGAGGCCGCAGTGAACTATAATTGCACCACTGTATTCCAGCCTGGGTGATGGACCAAGATCCTGTCTTAGAAAAAAGAAAAAAAATTAGGTGTGGTCTTGGTAAATACTACAATTTCACCTGATGTAACTGTAATAGCAACAATTGCATGATTGGCTGGTCTTTAAAAATAACCTGTGATTTGGGGAAAACATTTATTTTACAGGTTTTTTCCTGTCCCTATAATACTCACTTCATATTTTTGTTTGGTAAGATAGAAGGAAGTTTGGGAAAGGGGAAAATGAAAAGGGCAAGGCCAAAGAGGAGAAAGGAACAGAGATGTCATCCTATGTTAAGGAAGATTCTCCTCGCCCCCTCCACAGTTTCTTTCTCTTTCTTTTTGAAGGATGTGCAAGGGTGCTTTGTCTCTTGGGGAGTTCCACTCCCGTTTCAACTGTTCTCTGAATCTGCTCAACTTCTGCATTAGAGTCCCTATTTCTAGTCTGACAGTCCTACAAGTCAAAGGGCAGAAAGGAATCTTTCCTGTAAACATCCTCTGGGCCACTCCTGGAAAAGGTGACCAGCAACCACCGCTTCCTGTCTTTATTCTGACTCTTGGAGCAAATAATACAGTTTTCTATTCCTCTAAGATTTCTTGGAGCCAATAGGAGAACAGAACTGAAAACGTCATAGGACTGAAAATATCCTCCTATTGAGGATGCTGCTTTCTTTAGATTCAGGTTCTCCGCTTTAAAAAGTCATTCCCACCCCTGGCTTCCACACAGATGCTGGGGATACGCACTGTGCCTGGCACTTAGGAAATGCTGCTCACTGACTCCCACCTCCTCAGAGAGGTGCTGCCATTAACCCAAAGACAACCCCTCCCCAGTTTTGTGTCCCCCTCCCCCACTGCCCAGAGTTTTCTGTCTTGATTTCCCTATTTCTGACTGCAGTGCAGTTATCACCCAGCTGGTCAAACCCCAGGGTCACTCTGCCCACCCTTCGCTTCCCTCAGACTTCATTAATCACCAAGTACCATGGGATTTCCTTCCTATTCATGCCCATACTCATTCTCTGTTTTCCATTTTCTTTGCTGATACTTTGTTCAATGCCCTGCTTATTTTGGGCCTGGGACATTACAATTGCTTCCTGGCGGGGTTCCCTGCCTTTAGAGTCGCTCCCTGCTAAAAGTGGATTTGTCATGTAGCTAACAAATCTCAAGCTCCAGGACAGATGCTTGTACCTAATTTTGTATCTTGTGACTTTATATTCTCGATCTGCCCCACCCCCTATCCATTTGGCACTCAGCTGCCAGATTAATCCTTTTTACAATAGGTTTTATTTTTTGAGCAGTTTTAGATTCACAGCAATATTGAGCAGAAAGTACAAAGAGTTCCTGTGTGTCTCGTGTCCCCAGACACACACACAGCCTCTCTGATTATCAGCATCCCACATCAGTATATTTGTTTCAGTCAATGAACCTACATTGATACATCATTATCTCCAGAAGTCCATAGTTGACATTGAGTTTAATCTTTTAAAAATACTATTCTTTCAGCTGGGCGTGGTGGCTCACGTCTCTAATCCCAGAACTTTGGGAGGCCAAGGTGGGTGGATTATCTGAGGTCAGGAGTTCGAGACCAGCCTTATCAACACGGTGAAACCCCATCTCTACTAAAAATACAAAAATTAGCCAGGTGTGGTGGCGGGTGCCTGTAATCCCAGCTACTTGGGAGGCTGAGGAAGGAGAATGGCTTGAGCCTGGGAGGCGGAGGTTGCAGTGAGCCAAGATCGTGCCATTGCACTCCAGCCTGGGCAACACAGCTAGACTCTGTTTCAAAAAATAAAAATAAAAAATAAAAAAATACTATTTTTTCATATCACTGGTCTGCTTTAAAACTATTCATAAAAATGCTGACCATCAGGACATATTTCAGAATTCAAGGAAAAAATTGAAAAAATAAAATAAAATTCTGTCCATATCTCCAAAGTCTATGTCCTTACTTGGATATTCAAGGCTTTCCACGATCTTCCCCAGCTTTCAACCTGATTTCTCAAGAGTCATCTGCGCATGCCCTTTGCAGGGGGTGCTCTTCACCGACTCCTACCCGCTGTCCCCATCATCACATCTGTGGCTCTGCTACACGTAAAATCTGATTGAATTCAACTCCACAAAAATGTGCTGTGACTTACTTAATCTAGGATGTCTATCTGCCTCCATTCTGACCATGAAAAACCCACCCAGTTTACTATGCCAGTCCACGAGCCCCTCCTGGCTGCAATCCTGTTTGCCTCAATAGCAGTAGTTTCTAGCTTGAGAGGGGTTGAAGTGGACTAGTAAGACTTTTAAAAACAATAATAAAGTACAGGGAGGCCGAGGCAGGCAAATCACCTGAGATTGGGAGTTCGAGGCCAGCCTGGCCAACATGGAGAAACCTCGTCTCTACTAATAATACAAAATTAGCTGGGCGTGGTGGCATATGCCTGTAATCCCAGCTACTCGGGAGGCTGAGGCAGGAGAATCACTTGAACCTGGGAGGCGGAGGTTGCAGTGAGCTGAGATTGCACCATTGCACTCCAGCCTGGGCAACAAGAGCAAAACTCTGTCTCAAAAAACAAAAACAAAATAATAAAGTACAACATCTGATTGTCAATTTTTTATTCTGCCAAATAAGAACTTAAAAAACAACTACCACCATCACAGTATCTTATTTTAAAAAAGACATTTACTAATCAAAAAGCATAAAAGGCATAATATCAGAATAACTGTTGGTTCTTCAAATGTAATTCACTTAGCTTTAGGAAAAAAATCATTTTTAAAAAAAATTGTATGACTGTCTGAGGTACTGAAAACTGTTCAGACTGGCATTTGGGAGTGATTCTACAGTGCTTCTGGTCTCCACCACCTGTTTCGCATTTAATCACAGGCTGCCTTGGGGCACATTTTCATTGTTGCCTCTCTATTTAACTTCTTGTGCACATATGTTATTTCCCCAACTGGAAGGTAAGCTTTATAAGGAATCTGTAAAAGGACTGCACGCTTAACTTTCCAGCAAGGCTTTGCACACAGAAAATGTTCAATAAATATTTGTTGAATGAATGAATCAACCTTTTCTAAGCCTGTGCTAACCAATAAATCTCCTCTTAATGAGATCTGAGCGCCCCATCCTGAGGCAATTTCTCTCAACAGACTTCTTTAAAATGAATTATCCAGTACAAATTGCTTTACTTTTGAGTGAAGCCTAAAAATAAAAATTGTTTAAACCTGATATGAAAAGTAAACAGTTTTTTCCTCAGGGCAGTAGCAAGCCCCAACAGGGAGGAGAATCAAGACACAAACACACTTCTGTACCCGCCATTTAATTGATCCTAGTTATTTTGGGCTTTGTTGGTAGGCATGCACACAGTCCATGCTTCTGGCTTGACTTGACTGCATAGGGTGGTTGGCATTCTTTCTGGGGCTCTCACCCCTGTGCCTAAAGCCTCCACGATAACCATGTTGTGCCTTTCCCTCTCTCTACTCGGGTAACTTGG
Organism: Homo sapiens; assembly: GCF_000001405.40. Taxonomy (NCBI): domain Eukaryota; kingdom Metazoa; phylum Chordata; class Mammalia; order Primates; family Hominidae; genus Homo; species Homo sapiens. The sequence continues at coordinate 94,322,355 of NC_000001.11, forward strand.
AAAGAAAGGTTAGGAAGAAGCTTAACATCTGGCTAGCCAAGCCTTGGTTTTAGATTCCAGAGTTGATACAGAGCAATTCAGAAAAGTGTCTTTTGGATTTAAAGCATTGTTTTTGCTCAGGATCTCGAGTTACCTTCAAAAAATTTAAATAAGATAAGGCCACATCCTTGCTTAAAACATTCATCAACTTTCAATTCAATTCCATTCAACGGCTATTGATTGAAGACCTGGCCCTGAAGAACAGAGCCGGAATGCCAGGCCCTGTTCTAGATGTTGGGGATATGTCAGTAAACAAAGCAGACAAAACTTTCTGCCTCACCGAAGCTTAGAGGGAGGTAGGAGTGAGGTGGGGGAGACAAACAAGAAAGATAATGAATAAATAACATATTATTTCTGTGTTAGAAGGTGATAGATGCAATGGAAACTAATTGGAGCAAGGGGGTGTTGCAATTGGGACGGGAGGGACAGAGGAGGCCTCGTTGAGAACGTGGGTGGAGCAAAGGCTTGGAGGAGGTGAAAGGTGTGGCCATGAGACCATTTGGGAGAAGAGGAAATGCCTTCCATATCATGACCTCACCCAGCACCCTCTCACCCTGTGGCCCTCCCACACGGATCTCCAGCAGCCCCTGCAGTCTCCTCCCCACCTCCAGGCTTCACACACATTGTTTCATCCTCAGGACTGTATTTTCCTTCCCTGTCTCTTGACCAACTCCTCATCCTTCCGACCTCAATCTAAATGCCACCTCCTCTGGTGGGCTTTTTTTTGCTGCCCCTCATCCATTATAACTTAGATGCCCTGCCACAGTCATAGCCCTCCCTTCAGATACTTAATAAATACTGTTTGAATGAATGAACAAAGAAAAGGGCTCAAAGCGGGTGTTGAGGACAGGGATTCTGACTCATTGATTTATCCCCAGTGCTGGGCACATTGTTGAAGGTATTTGGTAGACTTTATCTTCATAAATAAGCTCCATTATCAAGGATGGATAGAATGATTATGTTATGGCTTACTTAAATTTAAGCATAATAATACTATAAACAAGATTTGTTAAAGGGGGAGTGAAGCATTAAATTGTGTTACGGGGAATGAATTCCCTCCTTCCTTCACTTTTTCCAATGAAGCAGGCCTTGGTTTCAGTCCTTGGCCCAGACGAGCCCTTTTCAAGGAACATTTCCCACCAGTGACGGTGCCTTCCTGTCTGAGATCAGCATGTCCTTCAATTTATTCTGCAACTCAGTCAAATTAATTAAAACTAGATTTGTCCTGAGAGTTTGTTCGTTAAGATGTCACTGTATATCAAATTCCCAATTATCTGGGATAATTAAAACATCCTAACTTTTTCCCCGAATTATTTATACTTTTGGGAGTATCCCCTTGTAGGGTTCAGGACACACTACCCCAAAATATGGCACCTTGGCACTTCAGAAAACCCCAGAGGCAGGAAGGTTACTCTCACCTTCCCCTTGCCTTTCTCTTAGAAGCAGGTCATAAAACCTTCTTTCCAGAGGTGCCCACCCTGTAGCCAGGGGGAAGGAACGTCCCTGTCTTTGAAGACACAGAGACACAGAGAAGAATCTGAACAAACAAGCCTTGCTAAGTTCCCCCTAGTTTATTAGCATTAGATCATACAGTTTTGTCTAATCATCTCCACAATCATCCACTTATTCATCAAACTTAGCATAAAAACCCACAGGTTTCTCTGTCTCTTTGGATCTTCATTTCCGAAGCTATGCCATATAAAACTTACATATTAAATACATTTATATGCTTTTCTTTTTTTAATCTGTCTTTTGTTATAGATGCCTCAGCCATGAACCCAGCAATGAGTGAGAAATTTTTCCTCCCTTACACTCCAAAGGTATATTTTTATTGCTATTTGCTCAGGAAATGCCATAAGGATGATTTAACGATTTCAAATCACCACCTCATTTGACATGCATTTTAGGTAACATAAAAATCATGCAATATGATTGAAACAAAAGAAATTAATTAGAGCAAAGAGAAAAATACAAGCAAGGCAGTAAAGTGAAACAAGAAATAAAACCACTCACCACTCACGACACGGAAATTCCAACTGTAAAGACTCAAGTCTTTTCTGGAGGGGGATCACACATTTGGCTCTGAGCAATGAAGAAAACAGACAAGTTATAGGATTCACAGTGTTTTATAACATACATACCACGGTCTCAGGAGCCTTAAGACCTGAAAGACGTTTCTCCCATATGTCCTCAAAAGGGACACTGATGTCATGAATGACACTTAAAGCAGATGAGTTTCCAATAGCTGTTTCTTATGGTATCACTCCAGGAGCCTTTAACCTAGGGCCTAATGACAAAGTGAGGTCCTTTAAAATTCAGTTCTCTGAGGGAATGACATGATGCAGTTCACAAATGAAGTTTTTTAAGTATCTGACTTGATGCACAGATAAAGTTTAAAATATCTAAAATATCTAAAAGAAGGCCAAGTGTTGTGGCTTCCATTTGTAATGCCAGCACTTCAGGAGGCCGAGGTGGGAGGCTTGCTTGAACTCGGGAATTTAAAACCAGCCTGGGCAACATAGGGAGACCCTTTCTCTTTAAAAAGTGTAAAAATTAGCTGGGCATGGTGGCTCATGCCTGTGGTCCCAACTACCCAGGAGACTGAGGCAGGAGGATTGCTTGAACCCAAGAGGTCAAGGCTGCAGTGAGCTGTGATCACCACCACTGCACTCGAGCCTGGGAGACAGAGTGAGCCTCCATCTTGAAAAAAAATAAAAGAAATAAAAGAAAAAGGAAAGGAAAGGGAAGGAAGGAAGAAAGAAAAAAAGAAAGAAAAGAAAGAAAGAAAGAAAAAGAAAGAAAGAAAGAAAGAAAGAAAGAAAGAAAGAAAGAAAGAAAGAAAGTTGGATGGCCTGCATCTCTCCCTAAATGTTGTTTTCTCCAATCAAACTTCCATAAGAATTAAGGAGCAGAGAAGTCAAGGATAAATTGTCTGGCAGGTACCCAACAGCTGAAACTCTATACTTCTGATTAGATGCGGATGTACACCTAAGAACTTGGCATCCACTTGTGAAAGTGAAGGTTCCTAACCAGGCCATGTACTTGTATAGACCTACGTCCTCAAAGAGGCAGACCACAGTGTACCCATGGGTAGGGGCCAGATTTCCTTCAGGAAATAGTCCACAGTTGCTGTAACATGACAATAAATGAACAGCCAAGATCCATGGAGTGGCCATGGTGTGGGACATAGATAACAACCCTCCCACCAACATTAGACACTGCACAGTTAGTTTTCTGTTATCCTGTTTTGGTTTTATCATGTATACCTCCCCACCCATTAGAGTAGTTAGTTGAGAATTGACTGTTAAAAATGAAATCAACCTGCCGAGAAAAAGTCATGTTGGATGAATCACTGGGGCCCTAGGCTGTTGGCTTCATGTTTAATTTGGATGCTTCCCAATCCAATCTTGAGTAGGTCACCCCATATAGCTTCCTCCATCAGCAGGATGATTTTGTTTTAGAAAATATGTACACTTGGTAAACTGTCAAAGTGAGTTGTACATATGGTATGTGTTGTTCAGAGGGAGAAAATATTTTCAGCACTACTTGAAGTCTTTATACCTGACAATGCATTAAGAATTCAACACAATAATCTTATTGTTTTAGCTGTTGCTTTTACCATTACTCATGCAGCATGACTGGGAAAAAAATTAATGATCCCCCCCACCCCCACAGTGTTTGGTGTGTGTGAGTTTAAAAAAAAAATCTTTTGGTTTGGGATGAATGCGTCGAACAATCCACCATCTGGTGTACAAATATTTTTATAGACACGAATCCAAATACCACAAAATCAGTGCCATGGCTCAGGTTCTGTGAATCTTTTTCTGAGGCAGACTTTTTATTAAATATGATTATTCTTGAACTATGAGACTCTCTGCAGGAGCATTAAGATTTAGCCTTGAGAACAAAACTCTTTATGTTGACCAATATTTTTAAAAAGATGGAAAGAACTCTCTCTGGAGCTAATTTCAAGGAGGACAAAAAAGAATTTTGTTTTTGTTTTTGCTTTTTTGTTTACATACTAAGCATATACAAACTGAATCAGTGACAACTTCTGTTACATTCCTGCTGTAATCCTGGCTAGTGGAAGAAGATAAGATATCAGTAAGCTCTGCGGGCATCAAGTTTCGGCCCTGTCAGGTGTAATCAGAACCCTGGTCTTAAAACGAAGGCCTCCACTCCACCTCCTCAGGCAGAGGACACTTCATTCCCCAGCCCCAGGCACTGAGAGGAAAAGGAAGGATCCATCCTGTAAGAGCAAAATAAAACAAAATAGCAACACTGGGTTTGTGCGTTCCCTTTAACTCTTGACACCCTGGAATTAATGCAAAGTGGTCTGTATTTAATATCGAATTCCCTCCCCTCACAATGCGATAATGACAAGAGATTTTTAGAAGGCGTGGAAATTAAGAAATTTTAGAAAATTAAGATTCTCCTCTGAACCTAATGTAAAGAAAATTGATGAGTCTGTGCATTTGATGGGATTCCTAGGTCAGCACCATGTCGTGAAGACATTTTCTGAGATAGTGAGTTTGCTCAAAATGTCACTCCAACTTTTAAAGCATGGAGAAAATTGCTTGTCAGTGAATGTACCACTCAGAGCAAAATAGAATTTTTATTGCTAGATTTCCTTTCAAAGTTAAAAATAAGGATAAACAGAGCCAAACGGCTGTTTGGGGGAATGTAGTGATCTGGGGAAGAGAATGATGGCATATCGTTGGAGCTTCCAGCTTTGCTAGTGGAACTCATTGGAATGTCCATGAAAATCACCACAGAGTTCAGACATAGTTCTTAACTGGCAAAACTGTCCTAAAATGACTGGACTCTGATGCAGCTGCCTTGGGAGAAGTGGGAGAAATAACAGTCCCACTTCAGCGATCTGCAAACTAAGGTACAGTGGAAATTGAGCGGTCGGGCAAGGGTCACCAAAACTCAGTGGTGAGCGGGAGACAGGCCCAAAGAGCTGAGGAAGTGTAAACTCCAGTGATAAGGCGATAACTTGAGGAAATTAAAACCCCGTAGTGTGGGAAAGAACAATTAGCCAAGACAGAGGGGCAGGAAGGAATACAGAATGAATTACAATCAGAGGAAACTAGCCAGCAACAAAAGAGATGAACTGGCGGGGGCGGGGCGAGAGGGACGGGAGAAGTGACTTAAGAATGCTGGCTTCTCTGGGTTCCATCACCGCCTTCTTGTTAGGTCGCCGTCGCTGCGATCATGATTTAACCCCTTCATGCCTCGGAGTGTCTAGCTCCAAGGCAGCTATCTTTATCCATGAAGTTCTTTGAGATTGTGCCACGAATATGATGAATTCCAGATAAGAATGACTGCATCATTAGTTTAGAAAAAGTTACCCCCGCCCCTCCAAAAAAGACAGAAGTTTAAGCTTATATAGATTAGCAAAATATTTCCATCAGAAACATAAGAAGGAACATGTAAAACACAAGTATCAGCAAATGCAGATGTTTTCAGACCAAGAAGAAAGTGTTCATGAAAATGAAATATTTTAAAGGAAAACATGTAAAAGTGTTTCAAACTGATTTTGATGACTATCAGGATGACCTAAGGGGATGAAATGTCCTATAACTAGTAGGAAATGATAGAAAAAAAGTATGATTGTTTTATGAAAATAATAATTTGCTTATTTTAAGTCAATGAGTTTGTCACACATGATTATGGGCACGAGAGAAGATATGCTATGAGCCCAAAATTAAATTGTCTTTTACTTCAATCCTAAAAATCAGCAGGCAGAAAGCTAAGAGGAAGCTCTTCTTTAATCAACCAAGATGCTAAAATCATGGAGAGAAAGGCAAAAAAGATAGACCACAGTAGCTAAGTCATTCAAAAGAAGGGGGAGAGTTGATTATGTAGAATGAAGTGGAATGAAGATGCTAAGTAGGAGTAGAAAAACATGATACTATAACAAAGGGTTGATTGAGCAAACAAAGTGGGTAATAAGGCAAATTAAACATTCTTATAAATCCTGTGTCCAGGAAATGAATTAACTGCTCAGACTAATAAATGAAGAAGCATCACACAGAAGATAATGATTAAATGTCACCATGGGAAAACAGAAGGTTCCCGGTTTATAAAACCAGCACGCTTAAAAAGAAGAAAAGGGTGGGGGCATTTGAAACAATACTAAGAGGCTTTAAAAGTGAACTGAAAAAAAAATGTAAAGTAGACAGTGATGGAAGGACAGCCTTAGAAGACACCTCAATGATACAAGATTCTTTAAATATCTTAAAGGGATTGTGGGTAAGGAGGAGCATCCAGGAAATTGAAACATTAAACTTGGGTTTATTTTAATTTATTTTACTTTAATTTTTTGGTCTTGCCTTCATGAGGCCAATAAATGTACCAGAAATGGAAACAGTATCAGAGAGTGATAAATTAAGAACAATGAGGAATTCGCTTCCAATAAATTAAGTAACTCAAGAAAAGACAACTCCTGAGTGGGAAGAAAAAGCTGCAGAGATTAATACTGCCTTCATGCAGCATTTGGATGGCTCCTAGGAATCATAAAGATACCTGGGGAAATCAGAGCCAAGTAAATCTAGTACCTTTCAAAAAAAAATGGACTACGGAGGAAGCAGAAAAATGCTAGCCTTGCAACTCGGGAGCAATTGAAATATTTAAAGTATAGATAAAGCAACCAAGGTGGAATTACCAAATACCTAGAAATATATGAGTTCAGCAGACAAAACAATCAAATTTTAGGGAAAGTGACCTCCGGAATAAAATCCTTATAGAAGTTTTCAGGCTTTTGAATTTTGGCCACTATACTACAGTTTATAGAGAAGATGAATAAATGGACATCTATTAGCAACATCATGATATTCTGCAAATGGCATTTGTTAACTAACATCATAGAATACAGATTGATAAGGAGGAATTGGAAGAGATTAAACAGTCCTCTCCCCCTGGAGGTGCTGACATCAGCATAGATACAAAAGTATCCATAAGCGTAGGCATCCAATGACCGGAAAGCTAGTGGCATCTGTCACACATGCATTGTACAATTGCAATGCATTGTATGCGTGAGCAAGAGCATCTCAATCTCAGATTCATTTAAACAAATAAGTCATCACAGAAATAGTACCTATGAAGAAATCCTTGAAGAGGTTTTGGAATGAATGGTTTGCTGGGCAGGCAGGATATTTCTGATACAAGAAGAGCCTCTGAGAAGGCCCACAGCCAGGAGTGGGAAATAGGGCTGAGGAATCATGAACAGGGCTGACAGAGCATAATATTCGTAAGAAGTGATGGGAAAGATTAGGTAGCCTATAGTAGGAGACAGATTTGAGCATGGGCTTTGGAGTGAGACAACCTGGTTTGAAGCCTAGCTCCATAGTGGTATAATCTCTCCCCCACCCCCACCCCCACCCTGACCTCTGTGTGCTTTGGTCTCTTCATCTCAAAATTGGAATTTTAATATACTTACCTTAAGGATTGTGCTAAGAGTTAAGTGAGATGTTCTGTGTTCAAGCACCTAGAAAAAATAAGAACTCCAATATTAGCTATTGCTGTGAGTGAATTGTAGTCAGTCCACAGATGATAACACTCGCCTTCCTCATTTCCTTGGGGTCATCTCTTTTGACTTTCTGCTGCCTTTTCAAAACTTTTACACTGTCTAAGGACAACAGCCCTACCTGGCTCTCTCACTCTAAGAGATGGTGGGAAGGACAGTTTCACTCTCGATTTCCCTGTTCTCCCCTCAAAACACACTCTTTCTTCTTAGCCCCCTCTGCTGTTTCTGAGAACACAGTGCCCCATTTCTTTCCAAAGCTAAAACCTCTCTGGCAACAGAGAACCCGACTGTTATGGATTCAGCAGTTGACGGTTGACCTCCAGCAGGTTGGTGCTCCATCAGTAAGCCCATTCCTCTCTCCCAGCTGCAGTAACTCCTTCCTGTCAGCCTCCAGCCCTGCTCAAGTCTTCTCTGGCTCTGTGCATTTCTTCCTCCAATGTGCAGAGCCAACACCACCCACTTCTTTCCTTCCCTGCATAAATGAAACTCCCCTCTCTCTGATTTTTACTCCCCCTTCCTCTGCTGAAGCAGCTGGTTTGATGGCCACCAAAGGAGAAAGTTTTTCTCCATCTTATTCTATTCTAGTTTTTTGTGATTCTGTGTTACCTCTATTGACAGATTGTTTTCTCTTTTCTGATGGTTTCTTTATAGTCTTCTTTTGCTTTGCTCAGGTTGTTCCTGTAAGTATCTCCAGGGATTCTAGACTTGGCTTGTTCAGTTTCTCACACTGTACTGAACAACCTCATGTAAACCTTCAAGCCCATGATTTATCATTTCGTTGTTATTGTTGTTGTTTTTGAGACAGAGTCTCACCCTGTTGCCCAGGCTAGAGTGCAGTGGCCCGATGAAGGTTCACTACAGCCTCGACCTCCTGGGTTCAAATGATTCTCTACCCTCAGCATCCCAAGTAGCTGGAACTACAAACACACGCCACCATGACTGGCTAGTTTATTTATTTTTCTGTGGAGACAGGCTCTCACTATGTTGCCCAGGCTGGTCCTGAACTCCTGGCCTCAACTGACCCTCCTGCCTTTGCCTTCCAAAGTGTTAGAATTACAGGCAAAAGCCAGTGCACATGGCCATTATTTATCATCTCTCTGCAGGTCATTCCTTGACTATCCTTCTGAGGCTGGAATTTCCAATTGCTTTTTGAAATTCTCACACCATTGCCTTTTCATTCATTTATTCATCCACTCAAAAATATTTATTGAGTGCTACCGAAACATGTTTAAAACTATCTACTTAAATAAAATAAAAAATAAAAAAATAAAAAAAAAAACTATCTAATTATCTCTCTCCATCCCCACTCTCATCTGCATTTTGTCCTGCCTTTTCTCTGGGTAAATGATATCCTTTTCTTAGGAGCAGAAGCTAATTTTATTTCTTTGTAATCTCCCAAAGTGACCTAGTATAGTTTCTAGAACTAAATGGGACTCTATAAATACTGTTGAATTATATTGAGCTGAAATCATACATGAAGTGATAGACAGTTATGAGAAGGACCTTAGAGGACACACATCTATTCATTCTTTGGCAAAAACACAAATAGACTCAGTTATCAATTAATACCTCTCTTGCACTAATTTTACTTTTAGCATTAAGATTCTAAAATTCTATACAAGTAGTGCAGAAAATTTATGTAATAGGCCTAAAAACATTAATTTTAAAGACGGAAATAGAATTGTTCATAGAGAGGACTATCCTTTGTCTAGCAAAAGACCTTGGATATGAAAGATGAAATCTCCAAAGCTAACTTAATTTGTATAAGAAATGTATCAAGAATTGAAAGCTATTACATGCCTGTAATCCCAGCACTTTGGGAGGCCAGGTCGGGCAGATCACTTGAGACCAGGAGGAATTTGAGACCAGCTGGCCAACATGGTGAAACCCCATTTCCACTAAAAATACAAAAGTTAGCCATATATGTTGGCGCATGCCTATAATCCCAGTTACTCTGGAGTCTGAGGCATGAGAATCGCTTGAACCCAGGAGGAAGAGGTTGCAGTGAGCAAAGATCATGCTACTGTACTCTAGCCTGGGTGACAGAGGGAGACCTTGTCTCTAAAAATAAAAAAAGAAAAAAGAATTGAAGTCTGAATAAAAAAGAATGAGATTATGTCCTCTGCAGAAACATGGAGCTGGAAACCATCATCCTCAGCAAACTAATGCAGGAACAGAAAACCAATCCTACATGTTGTCACTTATAAGTAGGAGCTAAATGATGAGAACTCGGACACAAAGAAGGGAACAGCAGACACTGGGCCTGCCTGAGGGTGGATGGTGGGAGGAGGGAGAAGATAAAAAAAATTATTAAGGCCGGCTGCAGTGGCTAACGCCTGTAATCTCAGCACTTTGGGAGGCCGAGGCGGGCAGATCACAAGGTCAAGAGATTGAGACCATCCTGGCCAACATGGTGAAACCCTGTCTTTACTAAAAATACAAAAATTAGCTGGGCGTGGTGGTGCATGCCTGTAGTCCCAGCTACTCAGGAGGCTGAGGCAGGAGAATCGCTTAAACCTGGGAGGCAGAAGTTGCAGTGAGCCAAGATCATGTCACTGCACTTCAGCCTGGCGACAGAGGGAGACTCCGTCTCAAAAAAAAAAAAAAAATTATTATTGGGTACTAGGCTTAGTACCTGGGTGACAAAATAATCTGTACAACAAACCCCCATGTCATAAGTTTCCCTATATAACAAACCTGCACTTGTACCCCTTAACCTAAAATAAAAGTAAAAAAAAAAAAAAAAAGAATTGAAGGCTGAAAGCCAGAAGGGAAGTGAGAAAGAGGAGCTCAGGGCAGTGAAATGAAGTGGAAATGTTGTCAGGGAACTCTACATATAAGGGGTTAAGAGTGACCAGGTGAGTTTTAAACACAGGGATGTCCCATATTTGGTTTTAAGTTATTGGCTGTGCAGTGTTGTAATTGGATGTAACTCCCATCCTATATCAAATTATGTTTACATAATTAAGAGAGTCCACTAAAGTGATTTTTCCTGAGCAAAGAAAGTCTGCTCTGTGTTCTGATATACATTTTTAAGCACCTCTCACTCATCATCCAAAAGTGTCAGCTGGGTTCCACCTACTAATGACCAGTTATTCTATGAGATGATCTGAAAGATTATAGAATGGCTAATAAAGGGAGTAGCAAAAGCCTGTCACACAATGAATACTTGAAGAGCTACCAGGCGTCTGTTTGACAGAGGGGATTGCCCTGCATGGCCATGAGATGTGCGTGACTCACCCTGGAGAGGGGAGCTCCTGTACAAATTGACCATTCATGGTCTTAGTTCTGAACTGCCTTTCTGGACCCTTCTTTCTGTTTCTCCTCTACTTTTGATGCTCTGAGCTAGCAAGTTTGATGTCCTTCTTCTGTTCCCTATTCTAGGTCTGGGCTTGATGTTCACCGATTTTCCCTCAGCTCCGACTGTGGCTCCTCTCAGCTGACTCTGACCCTGCTCTCAGCCGGGCTGCATCTGCCCATCTCAGGTAAACATGGCTGAGCCTAGGTAAACTGTGGGACCTCTCAGCTGGAGCTCCACTCCTGTGCGTGGAACACCTGGCTGGTTTGGCAATTGAATTAGACACTGGGAAGGCATGAGCTGACATCGCTCTTCCTTCAAATATTTGGAAGGGGCAGTTTCCTTATTCACTACGGCCTCGAAGCAGAGAATGAGGAATACTGGGGCACTAAAAGGACTGAGTGTAACTTAAAACAAAAAGGCGCTCGACAGCAGCCAGAGCTACCACAGCTGTCATTTTGTCCTCACTGAAAGGGCTCCAGCAAAGGCTGGATAACCATCAAGTGGCAACACTCTGGGAACGTTTGCAAAGGGAGCCACGCATCCTACAGATAATTTTACCAGCAGGTTTGCAGGTTCCTTCAGCACTGAGCTTCTCAGATTCTAAACTTTTATACTTCTTTGAGTTAAAAAAAAAAAAAAAGTCAGATGCAGCTGGGCGCGGTGCCTCACGCCTGTAATTCCAGGACTTTGGGAGGCCAAGGCAGGCGGATCACCTGAGGTCAGGAGTTCGAGACCAGCCTGACCAATATGGTGAAACCTCGTCTCTACTAAAAATACAAAAATTAGCTGGGCATGGTGGGGTGCACCTTTAATCCCAGCTACTTGGGAGGCTGAGACAGGAGAATTGCTTGAACCCGGGAGGCGGAGGTTGCAGTGATGAGATCATCCCACTGCACTCCAGCCTGGGCGACAGAGCAAGACTCCCTCTAAAAAAAAAAAAAAAGTCAGATGCTTGACTAGAAGGGACAACTCGGAGTGAGAACTGGAGGGTCATTCGTGTGTGGTTGTTGCCAAGGAGGAAATTAAAAACTGAGAAACAGGAGAGTTAAAATCTAAGTTGGGAGAGGGGAACCTCAGATCCCTTCTGAGGATATAGTTAAACTGTCTGTGTTTTCTGTGCCAAACAGAGCAGCTTAGACCTAAAGAATGTCAGCAATTTTCATCCTCCCACACAGCTACTTTATAATAATTAGTTTTACTACTTTTTTTCACAAGCTATTACTTTAATTATTTTAATTAAGTTGTTCATGCACTTGCGTTGCTTACAAGCACTTTTCTTTTTATAGCACATCAATAAACAGCAGAGGGAAACTACCACCTTGGAAGGAGCCAGGCAGTTTCTGCTGGGTAGGCCGCAGCCTGGAACATGGAAGTAGCTTCTTCCATCCTACACTGGAAACCACCCAGCATCCCGGGCCCTCCAGAGAAGAGCCAGACTCCCTTCCCTGGGAAGAGACTATAGTCCTATCTGTATCCTCCGTGGTCATTGCCCCTCAGTCACAGCAATGAAGAGCAAATTACCTGTTTTCTGTATGTTCCTCTGACAACAACTGCCACAGAGTAAATATGAAAGGTTCTGGATGATTCCTTGTCAGCTTTTATTAAAATTCCACATACTTGGCATTTCTTAGCTATCTGGGTTGACTCCTGGTTCCACCCCTTACTAGTTGCGTGACCTTGAAAAAGTGACTTACCTTCTCACATTCTCAGTTTCCATATCTGTCAAGTGTAGGTAAAAGCACCAAACTGGTAGAGTTATTTTGAGAATTATATGAGTTCTGAGTGAGAGGGTGCTAAGACCTTGCTGGTTAGAGTGGTTTTTCAATCCTGATCACCTCCTTCTCCCTCTTAGCTTCTTTTCTCCTCCCCCTCCTGCTTCTAGTCTAGGCTTCTGGCAATTTTGACGTAACAAAAGTGGGATTCCTTCATTCCTGACTTCAGAGCTTTTCCTTACTTCAGTATTGCATGATAATTCTCAAGCCTGTTCTTTACATAAATACAAAAAGGAGAAAGTGAAATAGTAGAGGAACCGACCGATTTGAAGGAGCTGCCACTATTTGATTCCTCCTGTTAGGACATCTGAATGACCCCAAGTTCCTGTTCTTGAGGCTGTTGTATCATATTCTTAAAAGCTATGCATGCATTCTGCTTTGAATGTGTCCCTCAGCCTCATTCTTCTCCACTTGCTGGGGGCCATCCCGCCCCACGGGAAGGTAAGTTCAGGCTCAGAAGGAAAGACACGACAAAAAAATCTTGCTTTTATTTTTGTTGTCTAAAATCATGTTTCATGCTCTTCTTTGAATAAAATCCAGGACTCCAGAGATGACCTGTTACTTTTCTTTCAGCAAGTCTCTAATTTGCCGAGGAGTAAACTTGTAATGAAAAGAAACCAGAACTCCCCAAGGTAGCTCCCCCTCACAGTCATTCCTCAAGGCAGGGGATCTTTAGAGCAGACCTCAAGAACTCCATCCTTTCTGTGAAATAGGGCTGCTAACTCAACACCTGTTAAGTATGATTTTTTAAAATATATTTTTTGTTAAAACTTTGATTAATAGAGACAGAAACTTTCACTCCAAAACCTTTGCTATGATTAGATCTAGAACAGAGACTATTTGGTCTACGTTTGAACTGAAAAGTTTGCCCTTGACCTCGTGAATTGTATTGTTCTAATTAAAGTGATAACTGCAGTATTAGCTTTTATATAATTCCAATAACCAAATCGAGACTGCCCATTTAGGTTTTCAAAAGGAATCTGTTAGCACCATCTTGTGACTATTTTGGTACCGCTTAAAGAACAAAATTTTCAGCCTGAGGCTTGCTTGTGTTCAAAAAGGCGTCTTCTCGCGCCCTCTTGTGATGTGTTACAAAACTGGGAGAAACAACAGATACAGGATAACGCCTGTGGTTCCAGGAATTGCTCTTCCTGCTATCATAGCTATTAGTGATTCTTTGAAAAATCACGGCTATTAATAAAAATCACTTCTATTAATTTTGCTTGTAAGTTAATAAAGCAAATTACAAAGCAAATATATGTAATTTGCTTTATTAATTTACAAATATAAAGTAATATGAGAAATAACAATAAAGTCTCATTGTAACCTCAAAAATGGAAATCAAGGTAGGAGGCTGAGGAGGGTGGATCACGAGGTCAGGGGTTCGAGACCAGCCTGGCCAACACGGTGAAACCGTCTCTACTAAAGATACCAAAAATTAGCCGGGCGTGGTGGCACGCTCTTACTTAGGAGGCTGAGGCAGGAAAATCGCCTGAACCCGGGAGGTGGAGGTTGCTGTGAGCTGAGATTGTGGCGCCACTACACTCCAGCCTGGGCAACAGGGTGAGACTCTGTCTCAGAAAAAAAAAAAAAAAAAACCCACAAAAAGTTAAAGCTGGCCAGCCAAAGAAAACATAAACTATACTTATGCTATTTCCTCACAGCAGCAGCACTTTGGTTCGTAAATGGAAGTGCCCGCCATCTTGGTAACTAAGCTTTCTACACACTAGGTGCTGCTCTAATTTTGTCACATGTGCATTCGCACCACAAAGAGGTAAGCCCTTTACCATAATCCTCATTTCCCAAAGAGAAAACTGAAGCACAGAGAGGGAACTGCCAAGGGCCAGTGACTGGTCAGTGACAGAGCTGGCGGGTGAAGCTGGGACTGAAGGCCAGCCACTGCAGGGGCCGAGGGAGAGCTTTCCCCTTGTTTCTCTGAAGGTTCTCTGAAGAAATCAACTAGCAAAAAGCAGGTTAATTGGAAAAAAGGCATACACATCTATTTAACATGTATATATGGGCGCCTTCAGAATGAAGACTCAAAGATAAAAGAGAAATTGTCCATTTTTATGCTTAGGTACACCACAGTATGGACAGCCATGTAGAAATATGACTGGATGAAAAGAGTATGATCCAATGCTAATAGACTGAATGGGGACGCCCAGCAAAGCCTGTCTGTCTGGATTCTTCTTGGCCTCCTGAGCACCATTCCTTCCTTCTGGGTATGGGGCAGGACCCTGTCTGGAATGGGGGGGGCGGTTATACGACTCATAGTCAAACAAGGTGGGTCAGATAATTTCTTTATAGCCTGTTTTTATGCAGAAAAGTGGAGGGAAAATTAAAGTAGTATTTTTCAGTTTTATGACTAGCTTTGGGGAGAAAAGATTCTGGTTTCTATGACCTGCCTTGGGGGCAGAGGGATTCTAGTTTCTATGACTAGCCTAGGGCAAGTATGGCACTGATAGGGCGGAAGGGCAGAGAAACGGTTTTGCTTCTAAGGGTGCTTCCAAGGCCTTCATTTTGAGGCATTGATTTCTGAGCCCCAACACACCCCTACTTCACACTACCCACGACTGTGACTTTGGGCAGGATTTTAGTGTCTATTGCCACCTGCTTTTAACCTTCATTGTTCTCCTAGCCCTTTAGCAATGTCATCTAAGCACTTGGTAAACGGTGGTGTGAGTCCTGAAAAAAGCACCTGAAAAACCTCGCATTGGAAGTGGACTTTAGGTGTGATACAATTTGAAGTGCAATATAAGAGATATTGATAAAATCTCATTTTAACCTCTAAAATGGAAACAAAGAATATCCTTCCCATTTTTGGCCGGGCGCGTTGGCTCACACCTGTAATCCTAGCACTTTAGGAGGCCAAGGTGGGTGGATCACAAGGTCAAGAGATCGAGACCATCCTGGCCAACATGGTGAAACCCCGTTTCTACTAAAAACACAAAAATTAGCCGGGCATGGTGGCACGCACCTGTAGTCCTAGCTACTTGGGAGGCTGAGGCAAGAGAATTGCTTGAACCCAGGAGGTGGAGGTTGCAGTGAGCCAAGATCACACCACTGCACTCCAGCCTTGTGACAGAGTGAGACTCCATCTCAGAAAGAAAAAAGAAAGAAAGAAAAGAAAAGGAAATCCTTCCCATTTTTTTACATTTGTTAAAACCACAAAATCTTAAAGCTGGCCAGCCAGGCAGTTGCCATATCTGTGCTGTACATTTAGGAGAAACTTGCAGGCTTTCTCAACCTTGGCACTATTGACATTTTGGCCTTCAGAATTCTGTGGTGTGGGGAGCGGTCCTGTGCATTGCAGGGTGTTCAGCAGCATCCCTGGTGTCTATCCAGTCAGTGCCGGTAGCACCCCTCCAGTCATCACAAACAAAAATGTCTCCAGACATTGCCAGATGGCTGGGGATGGGGCAAAGGAGAGGCCCCAAATTCTCCTAGGTTGAGATGGAACATACTATGAGAGAGTTGAGAAAAGGTAAAAATTAAAGTAGCATTATAGCCGGTATAATGTTAATATCTCCAAGTTGCCCTAAGGCAGAGAAGGAATTGGAAACATGAAACATTGCCATTGGCTTGGCTGAAAGGTCATTTCCCAGAAAAGTACCATGAAACTACCATGTTATATGTCATGCAGGCTAAGTATGCAGCCCTTATGTTGATTCCTCTGGAAAAAACGATCTTGAGTGTGTAAGATTTTCATGATTGCATTGTGTGATCGCATCATAAAATGTGCTATGTTTTCAGAAAATTTGAAAGACTTACTCTCATGATTTCTTGACCTTCAGGTTATCTGTGGGCTCAGAATTTGAACTTAATTTATTATCTCACTTAGTTTTCTCTGAACCCTTCTTCATGGGCTCTTCTTGGTTAATAGTTACAATTCCTCCTCATATTTGGTATTAGCTCAAAGATTTAAATATCCTCCTTCCACATACAGAATCTTCTAAGAGTTTTCAAGTACAGCCTCACCTCTTCCACCAATATCTATGAATGTCTCAATACCCTAATTTAAATATTTCACAATTTCACCCCTTTTCATTACCATTTTTTACCTGTTCCTGTTTTTCATTATCAATATTTCATTCAGCACTCATTTGATAATCACCTATTTATATTATAAGAACTTAATATAAATTAATATTTATATATATTTATATTAAGAGCCAGGGATACAAAAAGCATTAAGCTGGTCCCTAAGGAGCCCACCTGCAGTCTGGTACAGAAGAGGAGAACAGAGAAAAACAGGCATTTGCCAGGCAAAGGGTACCCTCGGCAGAACGAATAACATATGCAATGACCAGAGCTGTGAATGGGTCTGGTTCCTTTCCATTCTTGCCTTCTGGTGTTCCCCAAAGGCGGAGCTCTTTCCCTCTTGCTATGACAGGCAGGGCCACCACATCAGGAAACTCATTTTCTGTAACCACAGCATGGCTTTTGCTCCAGGCTCTGCCCCTCCTCCATTCACCCCTCTCTCATCTGCTTCATTCTCCCTTTCTGCTTCATCTCTGTCCTCTGTGTCTCAGCCCACCCTCATCTATTGTCCTATGGCCATTATCACTAGTCAGACACAACCGGCATCTGTCCTAGAATCTGGCAAGGGCCTCCTGACTGCTCTTGGACACCATCTCTCCTCTTTGCAAACTGCCTGAACAGAAGCTATGTGACATGGATTGCAAATCACTTCCTTATGCCCAGCTGCAGGGCAACTATGTGGTATTTTCAGCCTTGCATGGGATGTAAGCTCTGTGGCAAGGAAGCAGTGGGGTGGGGGTGGCTGTGGCTACACTTGGTGGCTATGTCACTGCCACTGAAAAGCCAGGCCCCTGTCCGCGGAAGTCCAGGTTGATTTCCTCCCTTGCTCTCATTCTCCCCATTCTTGCCATGGCCCGCCCGGCCCCAAATGCCCAGCCCTCACCCCTTTCTCACCCTCCCTTCACCCCACGCCTTGTTGTTCCTCAGATACTGCAAGGACACTCCCATCTCAGGCTCCCTGTGCTTACCTAGTCCCCCAGTCCCCATTCTTCCCCTTCTTAACTGCATGGTTCTCTATTTTCTCCAAATCACTTCTTGAATGTCACCTTTCCTGAGAAGTCTCCTCGTCAGCCCTCATAGAATAGCACCCTCATGGTTCCCGGTAATTCTTACCCTACCTGACTTATTTCTGTCTGTTTACTTTCTGTCTCTCCTCCATGAGAGCAGGGCCTTTGTCCATTTTGTTCTCTGCTGTCTTCCCAGGGCACTGGAGAGTGTCTGGCATGCACTCAGTCCTCACTGAACACTGGCTGAATAAATGGTGGAAGAATCAAGTCCCCTTTCTGCTCCCCCTAACAGAATTGATATTCCCAGCCAGGAGGTTCAGGTGAGGTTTTCCCACCTCTGGGTGCTGGGTAAGAGTGGGAAAGGGGGAATGTGATGGCCTGGAAGTCCTATCCTCTTAGCAGCAGTCATGGCTCCAGGATGTGTACCTCCCCAAGTCCAAGTTGAACAGCACAGGGGGTGGTTGGTTCAGGACTGGGAAGATGGCCTATGTCAGTCCAGTCCAGATAAAGCTCCTTTAGCTTGATGGTTATGGGAATGGGAAGCTCTCTGGTCTCTAGATGGGCATAAGTGAGCCTGGTAACAGTAGTATAGCTGCAGGTACTTTGCTAAGAGGAGAAACCCCAGCTTGAAAATTAGGTCAAAAGCTGAGCCAATAGCATCATAGACATAGAGAGCCAGAACCTTTACCACAGTGTCAAACTTTCCGAATTCTGCTGGATCTCTACAGCTTCTGGGCTCCGTGTTTTGTGAACTAATCGATTCTTATATTGTTTAAATCAGCTTGAGGTTAGTTTTTCTTTTTTGTGTAGTTTCAAGCATGCTAACTGGTACACTGCTCTTAAAATGTCACCAGGCCCTGGTAATGTTTGAAGAAGGACATTCACAAATTAGAATATTCATTCTTTATTGAATGAATGAATTCACTCATCAAGTATTTATGGTGTTCCATACACATACTTTAGAGAGTGAGCAAAACTATTAGGGATAGCAAACCTATCTTATTTGAGGGAAAATGATAAGAAATGGGGAGTGTTTGACCTCAAGGAGAGAAGACTCAAAAGGGCCATGATAATGTCTTCGTGACGAATGTAGTTTCATATGTTGAAGGGTGTGATGGGTTGAGATATAGATTTAGCTGGAAACTGCTGGAATACATGATTGTCTTCACTCTGTTTTGGCTGCCAACCCCTTCTCCTAAGGTACCAGAGGGAAATATATGAAATATATTCACAGAGAACAAAGCAAGGCAAGGCAAATCATGCAATTGGCTCAGGGATCAGCTTCAAACAATATGTTTCCTTTCAAAAAAAGAAGAGCTCCTTACCTAAGTTAGACTGGTCTGAATGGGCTGGGATCAAGGCAAGACAGAGGTCCTCTTCTGGTCTCTTCTCTTCCAAAGTCCAAACACTTAACATAGACCTTACCACTCCAATGGGAAGAGAGGATGCCCATGCCCATTCAAACCATATGGGGAGAACAATGCAGGAATAACAGATACACGTGTGTCTATATCTTCCCCTTCCACTCCCGCGTCAAGTTTTCAGATGAGATCATAGCCCTGATCAACAGTAGAACTGCAACCTCATGAGAGACCTTGAGCCAGAGGTACCTAGCTAAGCCATGCAGGGATTCCTGACCCACATAAACTGTGAGATAATAAATTTTTGCCATTTTTAAGCTATCAAGTTTCAGGGATAATTTGTACACAGCAATAGATAACCAACACAAATTGGTACACAGAGTTTCATTATGTCAATTTAGGTTATTTCCAAATTGTAATCTAGCATTAAACATCTTTGTATGTATATTTTTTGTGTATTCCTGAAGGTAATTGTGTAAGATAAATTATTAGACATGGAATTGTTTACTCCTATTTTGAATTATAATCAGTACTGTCAAATTACTCCCCTCCCCGAAAGATTACATACCCGTTATACTCCCAGTAAAAGTTTCTGAGAGTGCCTCTTGCCCTATAACCTTGCCCATAACAAATACTACAGATCTTTATCATTTACCAATTTGAAATAAAAAAAATAGATATCATGTATTGATTGCTTGCTCCATGCCAAGCACTGCCCCAGGGCTTTAGATGCCTTTCTCCACTTGATCATTGCAACAACCCTATGATGTAGATACTATCATTACTCCCATTTTACAAAGGATGAAAACAAGACTTGATAAGATTAAATCATAACTAAGCAGTAGAACAGACAGACTCAGGCAGTCTGACTTCAGAATCTGAGCTTTCACGACTGGTGAGATTGAGCTAGTCTCAAGTGGCCAATAAGCCCATTACTATCACTTCCTCTGTGAACTGCATACTGATATTCTTTCCTCCCGTGCTGAATATCCTGTTTGCCACTTCACATTCACTCTCTCCATTTTCCATCTTGCTCTTGCCCTACAAGTGGGACCTCTTTGGGATTCGTCAGCATGGCGCCTGTGCCCTTGGGCTCCCAGCTGGGCTCAGCCAGCAGAAAGCCTGGCAGGAGATTGGAGGTAGGAAGGGGTTAAGTTCAAAGTATTTATTTCCTTAGGTCCTTCCCTGTGAGGTTGCCTCTGACTGGGTGTATCTTTAGAACAAAGCTCAGTGATCTTCTGACCGGACCTGCTCTCCCTCTGAGCTCCTGTAACCTTTCCCTCCTCTTATCTTTTCAGATCAAGAAGTGATAACTGGGACTGCTACCTGGAGCTATCAGGTAACTGCACTATCTTATGTAGTTTCATGAGATCACAACTAGATAAATAGTTTCTTTGTAAATAAACTCTCTTTGGTTTATCCTTGGGTATATACTATCATTTTTACTTTTTTGTTATGTTGACTTTTCTAACTGAATTATAGATACTCTCCTCTCCACATTAGGGCACCACCCTTTGTTCATCATGGGAACATTTCCCTCAGCTTGTTGCTTTCTAGTTTTATTTTAATGTGGCTTTTGTTTAGGTTTACTTGAGCGAGGTCTGTTCACTCAAGACTCAAGAATGGAATGGAGTCCACTCAAGAATGGAGTCTTGAGTGAACAGACCTCAAGACTCAAGGTCACTCAAATGTGACCTAGAGTTTGAAAAATACATGGCAACTTCCCGCTCCCTTCTCTTTGGAGTGGAGTGAAATTCTAGAGCTGATCCACTCATGGCCCAAATATCAGCTTCCCCTCCATAAAAGGTTACATTCCTCTGTAAGCATTTGGAAAGATTCATCTTATGTTCCAGAGATGCCTACCGGGAGCTGCTCTTCAACTTCATGTGCGTCTTCCCTCTATCCACTCTGCTGTGGAGCTCTGGTTACCTCACGGCTGCTACCTACCTGGAGTTCCTAGGCATAATCCCCTCCCTGCAGAGAGGGCCCTTCAACCAGGAACCAGTTGAGCTGAGTCTGGGGGAAACCACGCTTTGTTTATTATATGCTCCCTTCATTTTCCATAATACCATCAATCATTTTGAGGGGATAGGGAGAGGGTGAATTGCCATTGAATTGAAGGGAATTATAACATAGGATGGTGGGGGAAGAGGACTGAAACTGAGGGTTAAATGTGATTTTTCCAGAAGGCACTCAGGAAGTTAAATTACTTCATAAGAAGTTCTTCATGGGTTCGCCATGTCGCTAACATGACTCCCTGTCCTTAGATCTTTCTTCCAACCTTCTTCTAACCCCACCTCTCAAGGAAACTCTGCTACTTGTCCACAAGGGTCAGTCTTATCCCAAGATTACTTCTCTAACCACAGCAGTACCTTTTCCTTAAGATATTGAAGGGGAAGGGGAGCTCTTCCTGTACACGCTTATGGAGTGAACAGTTGCCTTTGCAAGTTCCCCAGAACTGTGTGGGGAGAGGGTTCAATATTTCAATATGGAGGAGTCCGGAGTGGGCAGCCTTGGTCCAGCCCCCTTGGAAGTATCCTGACCCACATAAGCTGCAGACCCCTATCTTCATGTTCCTATTACTGAGTGTGTTAATATCTTTCCCTAATCTCATGCTTTCAGACTGTATCCCCTCAGGCCTCACAAAATAAGAAATGGACCCAACCCATGTGACCACTGTCTGAGCCACCCTGCAGCAGCTTTCTAGCACCTCTTGTGAAATGATGGGATGCCGTGTTTTTTTTCTTTTTTTTTTTTTTTGAGTTGGAGTCTCGTTCTGTTGCCCAGGCTGGAGCACAATGGCACTATCTCAGCTCACTGCAAGCTCCGCCCCCTGGGTTCAAATGATTCTCCTGCCTCAGCCTCCAGATAGCTGGGATTACAGGTGCGTGCCACCACACCTGGCTAATTTTTGTATTTTTAGTAGAGACGGGGTTTTGCCATGTTGGACAGGCTAGTCTCAAACACCTGACCTCAGGTGATCTGCCCACCTCGGCCTCCCAAAGTGCTGGGATTACAGGTGTTAGCCACCATGCCAGGCCAAGATGCTGTTTTTAACTAAGCACCACCCTTGCCCTTAGTGAGGAGAAAAATGAGAGAGAAAGGGTTGGTTACATATCTTTTGGAGGAGGAGAAGGGAAGCCAAAAGGGAGAGATGCATTTTACTTTCTCACCTGAAAGGACAACAGGACCAACAAGTCAGATCTGGGGCCACTGCTGGACATCAGTGGGACAGGACACTGGGAAGATGCCAGCTCCATGTCCTTGAAAGTGCATGATTAGTAGAGTGTCATAGAAAGGATGACATAAGAAGGATTCCTGTCTTTTAAAAGAAAACTCAATGTCTTTCTCTTTACCTGGACTTTAAGTCAGTCTGTACTGTTTAAGAATACAAGTATGAAGTCCAAGTTGGACTTAGCTGACTTGTGAGGGAGGGAAAAATGCTAAAGGTAAGAGGATTAGGGGCCTGGAAGTAGAAAAGACACAAAACAGGCCATGCCACATTGTTGAAGGGAGAAGCTGTCGTTATGGGGTGGGTGTGTGTGTGTGTGTGTGTGTGTGTGTTTGTGTGTGTTGTGTATATGTTGCCAAAGACAGACATTGGTAGGTGGGGCTGGGTAAAAAGACTGAAGAGATATGGTGTGTGTGTGTGTGTGTGTGTGTGTGTGTGTGTGTGTGTGTGTGTGTTGTGTATATGTTGCCAAAGACAGACATTGGTAGGTGGGGCTGGGTAAAAAGACTAACTGAGAGATGATTTGCTGGAGAGAGGGAAAGGATGCTTGCTGTCAGAGCAAGGGCCAAAGAATAAGTCCTCAAACAAGCTGGGGACACCATGGGTGTGTAGAATCTGTGGATGGTCTGGGAAGGGAGGCTGACGGCCAGGGACCTGGGCACTCAGGTCCAGAGAACAGAGGAAAGTCCAGAGGGGGTTGCTCCATAAAATGACCCCACCTAGGAGGAGGACATTTATCACAGGGACTGGAGAGAGACAGTACATTTTGTAGAATCAGCTTTATTAAGGTTTAATTTACATCCAATAAAAGTCACATGGGGTGAAGAGGGACTGGGGAGTTATTACTTAACGGGCACAGAGCTTCTGTTTGGGGTGATGAAAGAGTTACGGAAATAGAGAGTGGTTGCACAATATTATGAATGTCATTAATGTAACTGAACTGTACACTTCATGGTTAAAATGGCATATTTTATGCTATATATATATATATTTTACCACAATAAAAAGTCACCAAATAATCAAAACATAGAAAATATTCATTACCCTCAAAAGTTTCCCTGTGCCGCTTAGCAGTTATCACTTTCCCCAACCCTGGCAAACACCAGTCTACCTTTTGTCACTGTAATTCTGCTTTTTCTAGGATTTCTTATAAATGTAATCATAAAGTATGTAGTTCTTTCTCTCTGACCTCTTTCACTGAACATAATTCAACCACACTGTTGTGTGAATCCGTAGTTTGTTTTTTTTTAATCGCTAAGTAGTATTTCATTGTACGGATGTACCATAGTTTGTTTACCAATTTCCCAGAAAATGGACATTTGATTGGTTACTAAGTTGTTGTTTTTTTTAAAGCCAGCCTGGACTAAATGCCAGGCTGTCAAGAAGGTAGATCTCACTCTTACCCAAGGATGAGGTACAAACGCTGGCTATATACAGTTATGAATAAGGGCCCACAGAGCAGCCCTATGTGTTTTCTTATGACAGCTTAATATCTTGAACCACGATCTGCAGATGACCTCCAGATCTCAGATTTTCCTGTTCACAGTTCTCAGATTTTATTCTGTGAGACATGCCCCATGTAGGGAGCGCTGTGACTGAGAACCTATGTTGACAGGCTCCATGAACACCGTGGAGCAGCAAAGACGTTCTCCTTTTGTGCCTTGCTTTCTACATAACTTCCATGGCAGTTGCATGGAGATCCAAGGTAGGCCAACAGGAGTTTCACAAAACATACCATATTACAATATATTTAACATAATATAATTTATTATATATAGTGTCATATAATTTAATATAAAATATATAGTCATATCACTTGTCTGCATACCTGATGCTTTTATTCTTGCATAAGAAAAAATAATCATGGCTGGGCACGATGGCTTATGCCTCTAATCCCAGCACTTTGGGAGACTGAGGCAGGTGGATCACGAGGTCAGGAGTTCGAGACCAGCCTGGCCAATAAGGTGAAACCCCGTATCTACTAAAAATACAAAAAAATCAGCCGGGCATGGTGGTGGGTGCCTGTAATCCCAGCTACTTGGGAGGCTAAGGCAGGAGAATCGCTTGAACCCGGGAGATGGAGGTTGCAGTGAGCCAAGATCACGCCACTGCACTCTAGCCTGGTGACAGAGTGAGACTCCATCGAAAAAAAAAAAAAATCATTTTATGTTTGGAGTTATCATTTATTCAAAATCAACTTTTTTCTTTCCCTTCCTCCATAAAGGACTCCCTTCCCTGGCTTTGGTGCCTCAGAATATATCTTCAGACTCTACTAGGGGCAGCTTGCCTTTAGGAGTCCTTGGCTGGTATCTGGTTTCAGAATTTTGTTGACACACCTCACTCTTAATCCCGTCTCCCAACCTGTGCTGTGAGCTTGATATTTTAGATCATGCTTGTTTCCCCTTGAGTGGCCCTGGGCGAGACGAAGGACAGTTAGCTTCTTGCCTATTTCTGACGCATGAGCCACAGGCCCCAAATGGCAAACCTGCTCACCTTGCAGATTTTCTCCATGGTCTCTGGTGAGAGGCTGGTGGTATTTAATGAGACTTCTCAGCCTCAGGCTTCAGTTGTACCTTCCAGTGGCCCCAGGTGGCCCTGAGCACCCAGTGATTAATGTCCAAGGTCTCTGCCCAGCCATTTTCTGTTTCCCTGTATCCCCCGTCCTCTGGTGGCCAGAGGAAACTACCCACCCTGGTCTGGGCTATTGCTCCCATGAACGCTCAGTAACAATGCCTTTAGTTTCCTTTCTCCTACAGATGTGCTCAAATCAAGATATGAAATCCCAGACTGGGAGGAAGGATAGTGTAGGATTGGTGACCATAGTGGACATCTGTTGTTTTTCTCTGCCCAATACCACTCTCACCCCCTTCTACTGTTAATGGCATTCTTTTCTTTTTAACTTTTATTTTAGGTTCAGGGGGCACATGTGCAAGTTTGTTATATAGGTAAGTTGCATGTTATGGGGGTTAGTGTACAGATTATTTCATCATCCAAGTAATAAGCATAATACCTGATAGGAGGTTTTTGATCCTCACCCTCCTCCCATGTTCCACCTTCAAGTAGGCCCTGGATTCTGTTGTTCACTTCCTTCAGTTCATGTGTAGTCAGTGTTTAGCTTCCTCTTATAAGAAAATGTGATATTTGGTTTTCTGTTCCTGCATTAGTTCGCTTAGGATAATAGCCTCCAGGTCCATCCATATTGCTGCAAAGGACATCATCTCATTCTTTTCATGCCTGCATAGTACTCCATGGAGTACTTTATATGGACCACAGGTTTTTTTATCCAGTCTACTGTTGATGAGCATTTAGGTTAATTTCATGTCTTTGCTACTGTAAATAGTGCTGTGATGAACATACACGTGCATGTGTCTTTATGGCAGAAAGATCTACATTTCTTTGATGATATAAGTTTGGATATTTTCCCCCACCCAAATCTCATGTTGAATTGTAATCCCCAATGCTGGAGGTAGGGCCGGGTGAGAGATGTTGAGGTCACAAGGGGCAGGTCCCTCATGGCTTGGTGCTGTCTTCATGATAGTTGAGTTCTCACAAAATGTGGTCATTTAAAAGTGTGTGGTACCTTCCACCCCCTGCTCTTTTTCTCTTGCTCCTGCTTTTGCTATGTGAAGTGACTGCTCCTGCTTCACCTTCCACCATGATTGAAAGTTCCCAAGGCCTCACCAGAGGCTGGGCAGATGCCAGCATCATGCTTCCTGTAAAGCCTTCAGAACAGTGAGCCAATTAAGCCTCTTTTCTTAATAAATTACCCAGTCTCAGCTATTTCTTTATAGCAAAGCAAGAATGTCTTAACATATTTGGGTATATATCTAATAATGGGATTGCTAGGTCAAATGGTAGTTCTGTTTTAAGTTCTTTGAGAAATCACCAAACTGCTTTTGACAATGGCTGTAGTAATTTATATTCCTACCAGCAGTGTATGTGGGCATTCCTTTTTCTCTGCAACCTTGCCAGCATCTGTTACTTCTTAACTTTTTTTTTTTTTTTTGAGATGGAGTTTTGCTCCTGTTGCCCAGGCTACAGTGCAATGGTGCAATCGTGGCTCACTGCAACCTCTGCCTCCCGGGTTCAAGTGATTCTCCTGCCTCAGCCTCCTGAGTAACTGGGATTACAGGCATGCACCACCACACCCAGCTAATTTTGTATTTTTAGTGGAGACGGGGTTTCTCCATGTTGGTCAGACTGGTCTTGAACTCCCGACCTCAGGTGATCCACCCACCTCAGCCTCCCAAAGTGCTGGGATTACAGGCGTGAGCCACCGTGTCTGGCTTGACTTTTTAATAATAGCCATTAATGGCATTCTTTAGAGCCATTAATGGCTGTTATATGATCCTTATTTTACCTTATGGTAGTGAAATAGGAACAAATTCCAGTGTCTTGCTCCAACCCCTAACCCCCATACACAGAGCGTGTGACCTAGCCTGGCCTTTCAGAGGCATTCTCTTTGATTCTTTCTCATCTGTCACTGGTAATGAAGATGTAAGTAAGATGTGATCCCAGAACTGCTAGCAACAATATCCCCCATTATGTGGAGAAAACTGAAAAAATGAATCTCATATGTAGGAAAATATCTCAATTTTTCTCTGAAAATCTGTCACTCTCCCTGAATGCACTTTTGTTCCAACTGACAGTTACCATCCCTATCCTCTCCTGCCCAAAACATGGGCATGTGGCCCAAGTGTGGCCAATCAGATGCTGTCCTATGAGAATTTGAATCTTGAGCTGTGTGACACAAGAATAAATGACATTAGGATCATCTTAACAGCATCACCCAGAGACTGTTTTTTAGTTCCTAAATCTAGATTCCTGGATCTTCTGTGGTTCCTGTTCTCTTAAAGACCGAATTGTCCAACTTTTTCTTTATTTCTCTGTGCTATTCCGTAGTTCTGTAATAAATTTTATTGTTACTTATGTTAACCGTAGTAGATTTCTGCCATTTGCAACCAAAAAAACCTTCTAACTAATAAGTCTTCTAATACCTATTGCCTCTCTCTGTTAAAATCCCTATCAATTATCCCTATTGCTGGCTTTATTTCCTCTACCAATATTGCATCTCCCATCCGTGAAGAACAAGAATGGAAAGTAGACTGTGATTCACAAGAGACTTATGAGGAATGGTGTGACTGAGAGAAGTAGTTGCTAAAATTCATTATTAAAAGACAAATCTTCTTGGGTCTCATGTTTCTGCACATCTTACAAGCACAATGACTGACACTTTTGTTATGAACTATCTTTTTAAGGATATTTGTATAGCAAACTACTTTGGAAGATAGAGTATCTTCCCCTGGAACAAAGGTGCGTGTTTACTTGCTGTCCATTATAAAAGGTTTTTAGTTCCCTAAGCTCAGGGTTTCTCTCTTGCAACACAATCCACTACATGTGCAGGTGTCATCTGGCTCTGCTTGCATTGATCTGTGCCAATTAGGGCTTAGGAAACTGGTACAAATGCCAGTATCTAACTACTGCTATTGCTGTGGGCAATAACGTTTTTTGTCTGTGATCCAGGAGTCTTGTGTCTTCTGTCAGCATCTATGAAACTGTGGCAGCATAACTTAGATTATAAGTACAGCAAAATGTTCACAGTTCTTGACAGTCTTAGTGACTATGATGGGATGTAGATTGATAAGTAAAAGAGGAATGATGAAGGCCTTATAGGCCAATAAAAAGTTTCTGTGGGGAGCCTCTGGTAATCAGTAGTGAACATGTTGACCAAATTTTATGATCAGGTAGGCATGAAATGCTTCTCTATTTTTTGCCAGTTGTGAGTTGGAATTGAAGAGTTGCAGGCTCATTGTGTGAGTCCAGCCCAAGAGTGCAAAGTGACATAAACCTGGTGATGCCAGGCAGATAACAGTGTGGCTGTGACTCTGAGTCAAAAGGTCCCCAGGCTGAAATAGAAGGTGTTAGACATGAGGACCTTGCTGCCCAATAGAAGGCACTGGACTGGCCAAAAACATTGTGACTTCATTTGGTTGAGCCATGAGCAGCCACCACGTTGTCTAAAACTGAAAATAAATGAAAAGCCTCACTGCTGGAGAGGCTCTTTCCCCTTTTGCCCTCTGATCCCTCCCTCCCTCTCTACCCTGGCCTCTGCTACTGACAGTACAGATATTCAATGGACCTTCCAAGCCCCTTACCATCCACAGGTATTTGGTATTGTTTAGCAATGGAATGGCCTCTTCAAAAATTGAGGAATCAAAAGATTTCTGACTCTACTTCCCTCACCTTGTCTTGGTCCACTTTAGTAAGGCAGTTTGGTTAATGAAGGCAGCTGTCCCCAGAGAGAGATCATCTCCTCTTGGCAGGTTTTTGGATGATAACCAGGACAAAAAGGAGTGCAAGGCTGTGTAGACTTATTTTGAAATGTGAGATTTCTCCCTGACCATTCCTGGCCATGATGCATCTTTCTTTTCCCTGATAGCAACCCCACGCCAGCCTGGTGGCCAGGAGAGTTCAGCTTAATTCTGGTTCAGTCATCTGTATTATCTATTTGGATTGACTTGGATTACAGTGATAATTGCCACTTGGTTGAGCACATGCTCACCAAATCCCCCTACAGTGAGTGGCTCACACAGGCCAATGTGGGGGCTATAATGGGTCTCTATAACTTTTATAAAAATGTCCAGCCTTCTGAACAAAGGTCGGGGTGTGATTAGGGGACAATTGAGAAAAGGTGAATTGCACCTACTAGAATTGGATGCACCAGTTTGGAAGCAGGACAAAACAAACAACAGCACCTGAGATGGGAGCACTCAGACCCTGAGAGACACAAAAGAGAGGGGGATTCAGATGATGTTTGTTTTCCAGAACCACCTCCGGAGCCTTCCTCATGAAGGAAAACTCTGACGAGGCTTTTCCAAACTGTCAGAAGGGACTTAAATGGAACTGCCTGCCGGGTCTGCAATCCTCTGCCAGATGGTTCTGATCATGATTTGACTGCCACTTCCTTTAAACTTACTGAGAAGTCTATCAGAAACAACAGTGGATGGCCCCAGCTCCCACACCTCCCACAAGAACACCTGCTAACACCTCCAGATGTCTTTCCTAGCCCCTTCTCATAACTGTCACTCAGTCATTTTCTCTGGTGGAAAAATGCCACCCAGGTGGTGGTATGAAAAAACAGGTCAGGTTGGACTGGCTGCCCTCAGGCAGTCTTTCTAAAAACAAAGACTAAACTCATTCATTTAAACTAAACTGGGAATTTTAAAGTTTACCAACTGGCCAAAAAGTCATGTCGGAGGCACATCAGCCTCTCCACCTAGATGACGTAGGTTCCACTAGGGACCCCCAACAATTATAAACAACACTTTTTTTTCCATGAACATGATGTATACCCTTGGGACTGTACTTTTTATATAGAACTCAGGCATTAACCTCTCTGCCTTCTGAAAACACATTGACTTACGACTTAGCAATGGTCATAAGAAATCTTCAGATGTTTAAAGAAGCACCACCAGTAGATGACATAGCCCTCTGAACTACAGATATCTCTCCCAAAAAAGGGCAACTTTTGGCTACGTGGGAGAGATTCCCAGAGAGATAACTGTATCCCTTGTTATGTATGTGTCCCCAGTATATAATGCCACTATGTCAGGAGTCAGTTTAAACACATGGTATAAATTAGTGCCTGACTTTAGTTTAAGTGATCAACACTACTGCCTCCTTCCTGGAAGGCATTCCGGTTGGCCTCAAGTGGCCAGGGTTGTTATGAATATAATTGCCCTGGATTTCCATTTTGAGGGCCAAGACAGAGTCTATGCAATCACTGATATATATTGATGTTCCTGGATTAATGTCTTAGGCCAAGTGGAAAGACCAGTACAAAAATTTACGGAGAAAGCCACGTGACTCTCTAAAGCGGACCCTGATGATTCATAGGATTTGTTCAGCTGCCTCGGTCTGGCACCCTGGGCAGCATGAAGGTCAATCTTGTAGGTTGGCCTCATTCTGCTGATTTGAGTCCTCTTAATAATAGCTTAATTAAATGCTATATGATACAAATGGAACAGATTTGCCCTTAGCCTCTATTGTTCAGATTAATCAGAGTGGCCAATGGAGTGGTGTATTCATGGGAAATTTTGACAGAACCCAGGGAGTATAGATAGACAAACTTACTATCTAGTCTAGTGTAATAAAGATAATGTTTGCTTCTGGGAAAAAGAGTAGACAGGCTTACATTCCATTGTAAAATATTTGTTGGTTTGTTTGTCTGTTTGTTTTTGAGACAGGGTATCGCTCTGTTGCCCAGGATGGAGTGCAGTGGCATGATCTTGGCTCACTGTAACCTCTGACTCCCGGGTTCAAGTGATTCTCATGCCTCAACCTCCTGAGTAGCTGGGATTACAGGCGCCTGCCACTACGCCCAGCTAATTTTTGTATTTTAGCAGAGATGGGGTTTTGCCATGTTGCCCAGACTGGTCTTGAACTCCTGACCTCAAGGGATCCACCCACCTCGACCTCCCAAAGTGCTGGCATTATAGGCATGAGCCACTGAGCCCAGCCCCCTTTGTAAAATATCTGGATTCTTGGACCTTAGGGTCTCTCCTCTGTGATGTAATCCATCACATAACACCTGACTCTTTTTGCATCACCCTGTGGGAATCGGGGCTTGGGGAACCAGCACAAATCCTCATACTCTGGCTACTGTTATTGCTGTGAATAATAAGGCCTTTAACTCTGACCCAGGAGTCTCAAGTCTTCTGCTAGTATCCGTGAAACTATGACAAGCTAACTTGTTAGATTGCAAGTAGGGTAAAATCTCAGACACTTCACAGCTCTTGACATCATTCCATCTTATTCATAATGCTCCTAGTGGGTTAAAGTTTTCCACCAAGTGAATTTAGCATAATCCTATTCCTTTCCAACCTCAAAAGAAGGATTAATGAGGGACTAGGGTGGTATTTGCTGTCCTCCACAACTCTCTCCCCATCAGCGGGCTTGGCCAGGCTCATTATCGTTTTTGTTTTTGAGACAGGGTCTCCCTCTGTTGCCCAGGCTGGAATGCAGTGCTGCAATCACATCTCAGTGCAGCCTCAAAACTCCTAGGCTCAAAGGATTCTCCCATCTTGTCTTCCCAAAGTGCTGGAATTACAGGCATGATGGCCACAGACAGGCTCTTTAAACAGGAAATTACCTCAATGGGTCTCTCCAGGCTCTGCCTCTTGTACTCTCTTGTGCCATCCTCTCTCAGCCTGTTCTTGGTCTTTGTCCACAATAGTTGTAGTGGTCATTATTGGTTGGCTACTCAGTATTCATTCTCTACCATTTTCCCACCCCTTTCATGATGGTTCCTGATGGAACTGCAACACCATTCAGACATTCGCTTATTTCCAAGCAGTGAGAGGAAGCTGATCCCACCCCCAGCTCCAGAGGTGAAATTGATCAGTCTAAGGGAAACTTATTCACTCCCTTTGCCAAAAGACCAATTCTGGCCAATGAGGATTTAGAAGTCTAAGGAGGAAACCCAGGCTGGAGTACAGTGGTGCCATCATGGCTCACTGCAGCCTCGACCTCCGGGGCTCAAGTGACTCTCCAGCCTCAGCCTCCCAAGCAGCTGGGGCCACAGGTATGCATTACCATGCCTGGCTAATTTTTAAATTTTTTTGTAGAGATGAGGTCTCCCTATGTTGCCCAGGCTGGTCTCAAACTACTGGGCTCAAGTGATCCTCTTGCCTCAGCCTCCCAAAGTGCTGGGATTACAGGCATGAGACACTGTGCCAGACTTAACGCTTTTCTTTTAAAAGAAAGCCACAGAAGGAAACATATCCTATCTCATAATGTGATGTTAGGATCTTCTGTAGCCATCTTACTACCAGCCTGAAAACGAAGCCCCCATTTAGGATGGCAGAATGGAGAGATGGCGGCAATGTCATCCTGCTCAGTCAATCAACTGTGGTGCCCACTCTGCCTCTGGGCTTCCTGTTAAGAGAAATATATAATACATTTTCTAAATGTTCGACTCAGTTTGAGTAGAGAATTCTATTACTTGTTAACATACATTGAGCTAAGTTTTGGGCACTCTTCAAGTACCTTAAATAAATCCATGTATTTACAACTTATAAGAAACCTATCAAGTTCACTATTTTCCTCATTTTGCACACAAGAAAACTAAGATACAAGGAGCTTGAATATTTTGCCCAGGTCACACAGCTAGTTAAGGGATAAAGCTAGGGTTGAATCTAGAGCTGGCTCAAAATCCGTAGACTTAACCACTCGTCTATCACTTTGCACCGGGCTGTCACTTGCAACCTAAAGCATTGCAGCTGATACTAACTACACGTTGCTTCTCAAGGCTGCCTCAACCAAGACTTAGGCTTTGGACCTCCTTAGCCTCCAAATCTATTGCTTCAGGCAAGCTTCACTCTCCCATGCCCACCTGCAGGGACCAGGAGTCCAGACATTAACATCTAATGTCATTTCCCATTTGAATACCTAGAAAGGCAGCCAAAAGTTAAACGTGAGTTCTTATTTCATATTCTGTGTATTTTAAGCACCTTGATATGGTCACCCTATTCAAATGACATCTATTGTGTGAGCCAAATCCTGCCTTTCAGGAGAGACCCTCTTAAGGACCTTAAGAACTGGCTGGCAGCAACTGGGAGCTTTTATATTAGTCCTGTTGCCATTGAGGAAATAGACAAGCTCTCCTCAAGCCTGTCTCGGGGACTATGTGATATATATGCATATATTATATACGTAAAACTTAGAGTTCATTGCTACATTTTGATAAGTAAGTAGGCAGACAGTAAATAGGAAGATCAATAATAGACAAATAGATAGACACATCCCCCCACACATATATTTACCAAGCTTATGTTGTGATAGGAAACTCCCGAACCTAGCACAGCTGTATATATTCTTCCTTTGATAATCAGCACTGTTTCCCCCTTCATTGTGTAACATGGGAGTGGGAAGGAACATGATTACCAGACAAGATCAATCAATTTACCTCTGCTCCCCCTGCCCTTCGTCCTGAGCAGTCCCTTCCCCCCTCCTCATTGAGAGTTTTAGGCTGTTGATCACATTCTTCCTAGCCTGTGATTGGAAGAGGATCTGGACTTTGCATAGGAACATTTTAGCAACTTACTTTCCCTGCCAGCCCTCCCATGCTCCACGCCTACCACTATTACCAGTAAATTATTTGGCAAATTTTCAGAATTATTTGAAAAATAATCAAAGCATCTAGGGGACAGGTGAAAGGGATTCTAAATCTGAGGCAGAGGTTATCAGTGGATGGTTCTATTTGATTAAGTCAGGCATGTACTCTTGCTTAATCCTGAGGCAGCATTCTTTCAACACTAATCTGTTTGAAGTCACTTCATAAGGATCAAGAAGAGAAATAATGTTAAATAACCCATTTCTAGATTTATCTGAAAAAGAAGGTGTGTTATCTTGAATGATGTGGAGAGAGGAAGACTTCACATTTGAGAAACTCTAAAATGGTAAAGGATCTAAAGTGTGATAGGATCTCCTTATGTCTAAACATGGAGGACTTGGGTTTTTTCTCCTAAAATGTTTTGTATTATAAACATCTGAAGCTTCCTTTTAAACAGAACTAAAATGAAGCAGATAGTTCAAACTTATCTGAATTTAGAGTGCAAAAAAGTATAATGTCTCTTTTTCAACTCACACTGGGCTTTGAAGATAAAGGTCAGAGGCTTGAGAGGTCTTGTCTTTATGTGAATAGCTAAAGAAGAGGATGCTCACAGAGGACTGGGATTTTTCTTTGTGTGCACTCTAGAAGAAATTTTTTATTTTATATTTTAAAAATTCAAATATTATTTTCTCCAGACCAAAAAAAAAGATATAGAAAAGTGATAATAGGGATGGGGAAAATGCTGGAGGAGCTCCAATTATGAATGGCTTATGTGTTCTGGTAGAATGTTCTGCTCCCTGACAGTCCTCCTGGTTTCTTAATGGAATAGTTCAACACTAAGGAGATGGTCAGGGTGATGTATTTATCTTTTGGAAATACCAATCCTCAATTTATAGATAAACATTTTTAGTTATTCTTATAAATTTTTTGTATGGCATACTATATGATATACTATAGTGCAGTACAGCCTTTCATATTGGTGGTTTCCACATCCACGGATTCAACAAACCGAGGATTAAAAATATTCTGAAAAAAAAAGTCCAGAAAGTTCCAAAAGGCTAAACTTGAATCTGTAGCATGCTGAGCACTGTGTTGAAACCATGAGACTAAAGTGATGTGTAGGCATTGTATTAGGCCCTACAAATAATCCAGAAATCATTTAAAGTATATGGGAGGAAGTGTGTAGGTCATGTGCAAATACAACATCGTTTTATATAAGGAACATCCTTGGACTTTTGGTTTCTGCCGGGGGTCCTGGAACCAAGCCACCACAGATACCAAGGGATGGCTGTATAATAGTATTTTTTTCTGATTTTAAAAGTAATACATTTACTGTTAAAAAAATTTAAAAGTATTCTTCATTCAAACAATAAATATTTTTGAGATCCTATTATATGTAGCCTCTAGGAATGCAATCTCAAACAAAAATAGACATATTCTCTGTTTTCATGGAGTTTAGAATCAAACATAAAGCACACAGAAGAAATGTCATTCACTTATTCATTCAACAGATATTTATTGAGCATCTGTTCTTATAATCATGTGAAAATTGCCTATAATGCCAGTACTTAGAGTTCATGTTAAATTTTTCTTAGTAAGTAGGCAAACAGTAGGTAGGAAAATAGATAAATAGATAGATAGGTAGACAGATAGATAGATAGATGAATGGATAGATGGATGGACAGATGGATGGATAGATAGATAGATAGACAGATGGATAGATAGACAGATAGATAGATAGAGGTAAATAGACAGATAGGTATAGATAGATAGAACTGTATCTTGAACATTTCCTGAGTGAATGAATTGTTGAGTTAGTATAATGAGCCTCATAATCTCAAAGTGAAAATACGCTCATATCATTTTATTTTTTCCAAGAAATTGCCTAAGCACTCATCTGCTGAATAAGCAGGAAGCTCAGTATTTTCCTCCAAGGATTCTCTCTCTTGTTGAAAAGTCTGAGAATCCAGGTGCTTTCCAGGTTGTAAAGGGTAGATCAGGCTGACTTCCTCCTGAGGCTCACACAGTTGTCCCACTATACCTTCAACACGGAGTAAGACCTGCATGATCCCACAGCAGATGTTTATCCACTATTGACCTGAGGCCTTGCTGACACAGGTCACCACACAGTTTTCTCAGTTCTTTCAGAGAGCATGATCCCATGGCCTCAGAGCCAAGGGCCATCAGTATTCACCTCTGCAGTGCTCTGAGTGTTGTGGCATTAAGGATGCAACATTTTCGAATTCCAGGCAAATCCACGTTCTAGGACATCACCAGCCCGAGAAGAGCCGAGTCAGACCTGAACCCTGATGCTCTTGCCTTCCTATGGATCCATCTAGAACAGTTTTCTCAACCCACAGTGAGAAATATATTTACTCAACCCAGTATACACACTTGTGCACAGGCACTCATATACATAGATTTGAAACAAAAGTATCACAAAACTTACCTTTACTACATATGATCGACATTCCTATAATCTTCCTCTATTCTATTCTGTCATTTTTTTTTTTTTCAAATACTGGTGGTCCATTAGTGATTCAAGGCCCATAGTTTGAAAAACACTGATATAAACGTTGGCTACTTTTTCTATTTAAACCTTAAAGTCAAAAGGGTCTGATTACGCCCTGTTTCCTTAGACAATAGAGATAAAGATGAATCCTTTTAAGGAAGCTACCTTCAGAGATCCAGGGGCCCTGTACCCATTCTCATAGGAAGCCTTTCTCAGTGATTTAAAGAGACTGACTCTTCAGCGAGGCCTCACCCGTACCCCTGTACAAGTGATTTCAAGGTGGTAACACGCTCTCTTCCAGATAATGAGGATGGACTTTCATTGATCGCAAATGATTTTCTGGCACAACTCTTGCTGGAGAAGAGAACAATTCATTTTTGGATGGCGTCAGGATCTCTTCTGACCTCAACAACGCTAACTAATAGTCAAGTACTACTTTTAAAAATTAAATAATATTTGAGTTACTCTTGGAGTATACTGGCTGGAAGGGCATATGTGGAAGGCTTTTGTTTTTCCACCTAGGTGCTGGTCCCCTCGGAGTGTTCAGTTGGTGAAAGATCAGTATGTACCACCCACTCTTCAAAACAACTCCGGGAACCTAAATGCCCATCAAGGACTGAACAGATAAATACACTGTGGAATATTCACACAATGGAATAATATACAGTAATGTGAGTGAACAATTTGTAATACAGTAATGTGAGTGAACAATTTACAATTACAGGCAATGTGTGGGTCGCAGGTTAAGGAAAAGGTGCCAGATACAAAATAGCACGTCCCGCATGATTCACTGACGTGAGTTACAAAGTAGGCAAAGCTAATCTATGCTTTCAGACATCAGAACAGTGATAGTGATTATACCGGGGCATAGTGACAGGAATAGAGCACAAGGCAGTTGCTGAGAGCCAGGAAATGTTCTGTTTCATGATCAAGGCACTGGTTACAAGGGTGTGTTAAGTTTGTGAAAATTCAGGACACATTAACAATTGCAACAGCTTTATAAGGAAATGATTGTTACTATTTCCATTTGTAGGTGGGTACTCTGAGGTTCAGAAAGGCTGATGACTTGGTCAGGCCACATGTTCTTGTAAGTGGCAGGGCCATGAGTGGATCCGGGCTGTCTGCCTCCAGGGGCCCAGGAGCATAACCAGCCTGGGGAGTGATACCAGCCTGGGAATTACAGCCCTGACTCTGTGAAGGAGCTTCCTACCAGGCTTTTCACATACCCTGTGATAATGCTGTGGCAGGCTTCCCTGTGTCTATTACACTCAGTCTGTAATGGAAATGCCTTACTTAGATCCTAATCATGGTGTTTAATGTATAAAGACAGAAATCAATCACACAGAAAGGCTGCATACAAATAACCAGTGTTTTGTACAACATAAAAAAGTAATTTGTATACATAAGCCAACATAAGACTAATCTAAAATACATAAAAATATATTGTAGAGTCCAAACTTTTTTTATATTAAATATCAATAGAATTTTTCAGAGTAGTATCACGTTTACAGATAAATGGAATACAAACTACAGAGTTCTGATATAACCCTAGCCCCCACCACTACCAGTTTCTTCCATTAACATCTTGCTTGTCTATTTCCTCAATGGCAACGGGACAAATATAAAAGCTTCCAGTTGCTGTCAGCCAGATCTTATGAGCAAAGTATCTTTCCTGAAAGGTAGGATTTGGCTTACATAATTGATGCCCTTTGATCATATCAAACTGCTTAAAATCCACAGAATATGAAATAAGAGCTCACATGTTAACTTTTGGCTGTCTTTCTAGGTATTTAAATAGGAGATAAAAGTAGACATTAATGTTTCATCTCCTCTTCTGGGAAAGCAGTGGGCCCTGCAAGTGGGCATGGGAGAATAAAGCTTGCCTTAAGATGTATACTTGGGAGACAAATATGTTCAAATCCCAGGTCTCAGTTGAGGCAGCCTTGAGAAGCAAAGTGTAGTTAGTACCTGTTGGAATGCTTTAGGCTGCAAATGACAGCCAGGTGCAAAGTGATAGAGTAGTGGTTAAGTCTGTGGACTCTGGGCCATATCTAGGTTCAAATCCTAGGTTCATCACTTAACTAGCTGATATAGAGTAATATATAATCTCTTTCAACTTTTTTCCTTTGAAATGGGAAATTAAATGTATAATCAGAGTGTACATGGAGTAAATTCATCTGACTTCCTGGAAAGAAACCTTTGATGAGGTCATACATGGAAAGATGATTGTATTAGTCCATTTTCATAATGCTGTAAAGAAATACCCAAGACTGGGTAATTTATAAAGGAAAGAGGTGTAATTGACTCACAGTTCTGCATGGTTGGGGAGGCTTCAGGAAACTTACAATCAAGGTGGAAGGGGAAGCAGGCACTTTCTTCACAAGGTGGCAGGAAAGAGAAGAGCAAAGCGAAGTGGGAAGAGTCCCTTATAAAACCATCAGGTCTCATGAGAACTCATCATCACAAGAACAACATGGGGAAATAGCCCCCATGATCCAATCACCTCCTGGCCTCGACATGTTGGGATTTACAGTTTGAGATGAGATTAAGGTGGGGACACAAAGCTAAACCATATCAATGATGAATAAGAAGAAAGCTTCAGAAACTCTTGGCATTGTATCCAAGTCACTTAAACAAGCTACAGTGGACAATGGAGGCCATTTTAAAAGTGGTTTATGACCAAATTCTTTGGTAAATGTTAAGTAGGATTTTATGAGGTTATTCTCATGATCTCCAATAGTTTAAAAGCTTAGAAACAACTATATTCTGAAATGCAAAAGTAGGAGAAATTGTTATTGAGCACCATGATACATATATTTAAGGTCAAGATAATATATTATGAAAAACCCCAATTTATAAATATACTTTTCATTAGAAAGTATATGGGTTTTGTGCTGTACTACTTTTAGTACAGTAATTCACTGCTGTATGAGTTCGTTCTCACGCTGCTATAAGGACATACTCAAAACGGGGTAGTTTTTATTTTTTTATTTTTTTTTTTATTGAGACAGAGTCTTGCTCTGTTGGCCAGGCTGGAGTGCAGTGGCATGATTTTGGCTCACTGCAACCTCCATCTCCCAGGCTCAAGCAATTCTTCTGCCTCAGCCTCCCGAGTAGCTGGGATTACAGGAGTGTGCCACCAGGCCCGGCTATTTTTTGTATTTTTAGTAGAGATGGGGTTTCACCATGTTGGCCAGGCTGGTCTCCAACTCCTGACCTAAGGTAATCCGCCTGCCTCAGCCTCCCAAAGTGCTGGGATTACAGGCGTGAGCCACCACACCTGGCCAAAACTGGGTAGTTTCTAAATGAAAAAGGTTTAATAGACTCACAATTCTGCAGGGCTGGGGAGGCCTCAGGAAACTTACAATCATGGCGGAAGGGGAAGCAAACACGGCCTTCTCACATGGCGGCAGCAAGAAGTGCAGAGCGAAGAGGGGGAAAAGCCCCTTATAAAACCATCAGATCTCATGAGAACTCACTATCAGGAGAACAGCAAGTAACCGTCCCCATGATTCAGTTACCTCTCACTAGGTCCCTCCCAACAAATATGGGGATTATGGGAACTACAATGCAAGTGAGACTTGGGTGGGAATACAGCCAAACCATCTCAGCTGTATAATGACATTTTGGTCAGTGATGAACCACATATTCAACAGTGGTCCCATAAGATTGTTATTTATCCTAAAATAAAAATTTAATTAAAAAATACAATAAATTATGATAATAGTAAGTGGACTGCTTAAGTCTGTTTCCCTTCCTAAGGCACATGTTCTATCAATAAGCAGTTTCAGTAAGCATGCAGCATGTTGCTTTGGTTGACATCCCCATCATAAGTTATTACTTTCTTGATTAAATTTTTTACTTTGAGATAATTTTAGATTCACAGAGTTGTAAGAAATAATACAAAGAGATCCCATGTATCCTTTATGCAGTTTCCCCCAACGTTGACATCTTTCAAAACTATAATACAATATCAACCTGGATATTTATAGTGATACAGTGCACCAATATTATTGAGTTCCCCAATTTGACTTTTATTCATTTGTGTGTGTGCATGTATACAAGCTTTGTTCTGTACAATTTTATCCCACGTGTAGCTTCCTGTATCCATCACTAGAGTCAAAATACAGGACAGTTCCATCATCACAAAGATCCCTCATGTTCTATTATAACCACACCCTCTTCTTTCCAGTCTCTAGCAAACACCAATCTCTGTTTTTATAATTTTGCTATTTCAATAATTTATACAAATGGAATTATAAAGAATGTAACCTTTTAGGATTATATTTTTTCACTCAGCATAATTCTCTAGAGATTTATCCAGGTTGTTGAGTGTATCAATAGTTCAATCTTTTTCATGGCTGAGTAGTATTTCGTGGCAGTGATATAACACAATTTGTTCAACATTCACCCTTTGAAAGATATCTGGATTGTTTTCAGTTTGAGGCTATTGCAAATATAGCTGCTACTAATATTTTTGAATAGGCTTTTATGTGAACATAAGTTTTTATTTTTCTGGGATAAATGCCCAGTAGTGCAATTGGCGGGTTGTATGATAATTGCATGATTCATCTTTTAAAACATTGTCAAACTATTTTCCGAAGTGGCTGTACCATTTTACATCACCACCAGCAACGTATGAGTAATTCAGTTTCTCTGCATCCTTGCTAGCACTTGGTCTTGTCACTATTTTTTGTTAGCCATTTTGATAGGTATGTAGTAGTATCTCATTGTGGTTTAAATTTACATTTTCCTAATGGCTAATAACATTGAAAATATTTTCATGTGTTTTATTTCCATCTGTGTATCTTCTTTGGTGAAATGTCTCTTCATGTATTTTTCCCATTTTCTAATTGAATTGTTTTTTTTTCACT
Source organism: Homo sapiens (assembly GCF_000001405.40). Taxonomy (NCBI): domain Eukaryota; kingdom Metazoa; phylum Chordata; class Mammalia; order Primates; family Hominidae; genus Homo; species Homo sapiens. The sequence continues at coordinate 94,363,138 of NC_000001.11, forward strand.
GTTTTTTCTTTACATATTCTAGATATTAGTGCTTTTTCAGATATGTGATTTGCATATACTTTCACTATGTAGCTTGTCTTTCCTCTTATTAATGTGATTTTTTGCAGATCAAAAGTTTATAATTTTGATAAAGTCCAATGTATCAGTTTTTTCCTTTATGATTGTGTTTTTAGTGTCAAATCTAAGAACTCTTTGCCTGGCTCTAAACTCCACAATTTTCCTCTTACTTTTTTTCTATAAGTTGTATAATTTTATACATGGTAAGTTAATGATCCATTTTGAGTTAATTTTTGTATACAATGTGGTATATAGGACAAGGTGTGTGTGTGTGTGTGTGTGTGTGTGTGTGTGTGTGTGTGTTTTTCTTGCCTATGTATGTCTGTCCAATTGCTCCAGCCCCATTTATTGAAAGGCTATCTTTCCTCCATTGAATTGCTTTTGTACATTTGTCAAAAACCAGTTGGGCTTATTTTGTGGGTGTATTTCTGAGTTCTCTATCCTGTTTCCTTAATCTATGTGTCTGTCTCTCTACCAAAACAATACAGTTTTGATTACTGTAGCTGTATATTAAGTCTTGAAATCAGGTAAACTGAATCTTTTCACTTTATTTATTTATTTATTTAGTTAGTTTTTGAGACAGAGTCTCTCACTGTTGCCTAGGCTGGAGTGCAGTAGTGCGATCTCGGCTCACTGCAACCTTCGCCTCCCAGGTTCAAGCAATTCTCCTGTCTCAGCCTCTGGAGTAGCTGGGATTAAAGGCACTCACCACCACATGTGGCTAATTTTTTGTATTTTTAGTAGAGATAGGGTTTCACTATGTTGGCCAGGCTAGTCTCGAACACCTGACCTCGTGATCCATCTGCCTTGGCCTCCCAAAGTGTTGGGATTACAGGTGTGAGCCACTGCATCCAGCCCTTTCAATTTATTTTTCTTTTTCAAAGTAATTTTAGCTATGTTACTTTCTTTACCTTTCCATATATATCTTAGGATAATCTTGTCTCTATCAACAAAAACATCTTACCGTGATAGGAATTACATTACACTTGTATATTAATTTAGGGAAAATCAATATCTTTATTAAGTTGTCTTCCAATCCATGAACACACTATGTTTTGCCATTGCTCTTTTTTTTCTTAATACATTAAGTTCTAGGGTACATATGAACAGCGTGCAAGTTTGTTACATGGCTATACATGTACCATGTTGTTTTGCTGGACCCGTTAACTCGTCATTTACATTAGGTATTTCTCCTAATGCTATCCCTCCCCCAGTCCTGGGGCCTGGGGCCAGTCCCATGACAGGCCCTGGGGTGTGATGTTCCCTGCCCTGTGTCCAAGTGATCTCATTGTTCAATTCCCACCTGTGAGTGAGAACATGTGGTGTTTGGTTTCCTGTCCTTGTGATAGTTTGCTCAGAATGATGGTTTCCAGCTGCATCCATGTCCCTGCAAAAAACAGGAACCCATCCTTTTTTATGGCTGCATAGTATTCCATGGTGTGTATGTGCCACATTTTCTTTATCCAGTCTATCATTGTTGGACATTTGGGCTGGTTCCAAGGCTTTGCTATTGTGAATAGCGCTGGAGTAAACATACGTATGCATGTGTCTTTATAGTAGCATGATTTATAATCCTTTGGGTATATACCCAGTAATGGGATCACTGGGTCAAATGGTATTTCTAGTTCTAGATCCTTGAGGAATTGTCACACTGTCTTCCACAATGGTTGAACTAGTTTACACTCCCACCAACAGTGTAAAAGCGTTCCTATTTCTCCACATCCTCTCCAGCGTCTGTTGTTTCCTGACTTTTTAATGATCGCCATTCTAACTGGTGTGAGTTGGTATCTCATTGTGGTTTTGATTTGCATTTCTTTGATGACCAGTGATGATGAGCATTTTTTCATGTGTCTGTTGGCTTCATAAATGTCTTCTTTTGAGAAGTGTCTGTTCATATCCTTTACCCACTTTTTGATGGGGTTGTTTGTTTTTTTCTTGTAAATTTGTTTAAGTTCTTTGTAGATTCTGGACATTAGCCCTTTGTCAGATGGGTAGATTGCAAAAATTTTCTCCCATTCTGTAGGTTGCCTGTTCACTCTGATGGTCATGTCTTTTGCTGTGCAGAAGCTCTTTAGTTTAATTAGATCCCATTTGTCTATTTTGGCTTTTGTTGCCATTGCTTTTGGTGTTTTAGTCATGAAGTCCTTGCCCATGCCTATGTCCTGAATGGTATTGTCTAGGTTTTCTTCTAAGGTTTTTATGGGTTTAGGTATTACATTTAAGTCTTTAACCCACCTTGAATTAATTTTTGTATAAAGTGTAAGGAGGGGATCCACATTCAGCTTTCTACATATGGCTAGCCAATTTTCCCAGCACCTTTTATTAAATAGAGAATCCTTTCCCCATTTCTTGTTTTTGTCAAGTTTGTCAAAGATCAGATGGTTGTAGATGTGTGATATTATTTCTGAGGGCTCTGTTCTGTTCCATTGGTCTATATCTCTGTTTTGGTACCAGTACCATGCTGTTTTGATTACTGTAGCCTTGTAGTATAGTTTGAAGTCAGGTAGCGTGATGCCTCCAGCTTTGTTCTTTTTGCTTAGGATTGTCTTGGCAATGTGGGTTCTTTTTTGGTTCCATATGAACTTTAAGGTAGTTATTTCCAATTCTGTGAAGAAAGTCATTGATCGCTTGATGGGGATGGCATTGAATCTATAAATTACCTTGGGCTGTGTGGCCATTTTCATGATATTGATTCTTCCTAACCATGAGCATGGAATGTTCTTCCATTTGTTTGTGTCCTCTTTTATTTCATTGAGCAGTGGTTTGTAGTTCTCCTTGAAGAGGTCCTTCACATCCCTTGTAAGTTGGGTTCCTAGGTATTTTATTTTCTTTGTAGCAATTGTGAATGGGAGTTCACTCATGATTTAGCTCTGTTTGTCTGTTATTGGTGTGTAAGAATGCTTGTGATTTTTGCACATTGATTTTGTATCCTGAGACTTTGCTGAAGTTGCTTATCAGCTTAAAGAGATTTTTGGGCTGAGATGATCAGGTTTTGTAAATATACAGTCATGTCATCTGCAAACAGGGACAGTTTGACTTCCTCTTTTCCTAATTGAATACACTTTATTTCTTTCTCTGGCCTGATTGCCTTGGCCAGAACTTCCAACACAATGTTAAATAGGAGTGGTGAGAGAGGGCATCCCTGCCTTGTGCCAGTTTTCAAGGGAATGCTTCAACTTTTTGACCATTCAGTATGATATTGGCTGTGGGTTTGTCATAAATAGCTCTTATTATTTTGAGATATGTTCCATCAATACCGAGTTTATTGAGAGTTTTTAGCATGAAGGCTGTTGAATTTTGTCAAAGGCCTTTTCTGCATCTATTGAGATAATCATGTGGTTTTTGTCATTCATTCTGTTTATGTGATGGATTATGTTTATTGATTTGTGGTATGTTGAACCAGCCTTGCATCTCAGGGATAAAGCCGACTTGATAGTGGTGGATAAGCTTTTAGATGTGCTGCTGGATTTGGTTTGCCACTATTTTACTGAGGATTTTCACGTCGATGTTCATCAGGGATATTGGTCTAAATTTCTCTTTTTTTGTTGTGTCTCTGCCAGGCTTTGGTATCAGGATGATAGTGGCCTCATAAAATGAGTTAGGGAGGATTCCCTCTTTTTCTGTTGATTGGAATAGTTTCAGAAGGAATGGTACCAGCTCCTCTTTGTACCTCTGGTAGAATTAGGCTGTGAATCTGTCTGGTTCTGGACTTTTTTGGTTGGTAGGCTAGTAATTATTGCCTCAATTTCAGAGCCTCTTATTGGTCGATTCAGGGATTCAGCTTCTTCCTGGTTTAGTCTTGGGAGGGTGTATGTGTCCAGGAATTTATCCATTTCTTCTAGATTTTCTAGTTTATTTGCATACAGATGTTTATAGTATTCTCTGATGGTAGTTTGTATTTCTGTGGGATCAGTGGTGATATCCCCTTTATCATTTTTTTATCGCATCTATTTGATTCTTCTCTCTTTTCTTCTTTATTAGTCTTGCTAGTGGTCTATCAATTTTGTTGATCTTTTCAAAAAACCAGTTCCTAGATTCATTGATTTTTTGAAGGGTTTTTTGTGTCTCTGTCTTCTTAAGTTCTGCTCTGATCTTGATTATTTCTTGCCTTCTGCTAGCTTTTGAATTTGTTTTCTCTTGCTTCTCTAGTTCTTTTAATTGTGATGTTAGGGTGTCAATTTTAAATCTTCCCTGCTTTCTCTTGGGGCATTTAGTGCTATAAATTTCCCTCTACACACTGCTTTAAATGTGTCCCAGAGATTCTGGTATGTTGTGTCTTTGTTCTCATTGGTTTCAAAGAACATCTTTATTTTTGCCTTTATTTTGTTATTTACCCAGTAGTCAGTCAGGAGGAAGTTGTTCAGTTTCCATGTAGTTGTGCGGTTTTGTGTGAGTTTCTTAATCCTGAGTTCTAATATGATTGCAGTGTGGTCTGAGAGTCAGTTTGTTGTGATTTCTCTTTTCTACATTTGCTGAGGAGTGCTTTACTTCCAACTATCTGGTCAACTTTGGAATAAGTGCGAGGTGGTGCTGAGAAGAATGTATATTCTGTTGATTTGGGGTGGAGAGTTCTGTAGATGTCTATTAGGTCTGCTTGGTGCAGAGCTGAGTTCAAGTCTTGGATATCCTTGTTAACCTTCTGTCTTGTTGATCTGTATAATATTGACAGTGGGCTGTTAAAGTCTCCCATTATTATTGTGTGGGAGTCTAAGTCTCTTTGTAGGTCTATAAGGACTTGCTTTATGAATCTGGTTGCTCTTGTATTGGGTGCATATATATTTAGGATAGTTAGCTCTTCTTGTTGAATTGATCCTTTTACCATTATGTAATGGCCTTCTTTGTCTCTTTTGATCTTGTTGGTTTCAGGTCTGTTTTATCAGAGACTAGGATTGCAACCCCTGCTTTTTTTTGCTTTCCATTTGCTTGGTAGATCTTCCTCCAGCCCTTTATTTTGAGCCTATGTGTGTCTCTGCACGTGAGATGGGTTTCCTGAATACAACACACTGATGGGTCTTGACTCTTTATCCAATTTACCAGTCTGTGTCTTTTAACTGGGGCATTTAGCCCATTTACATTTAAGGTTAATATTGTTATGTGTGAATTTGATCCTGTCATTATGATGTTAGCTGGTTATTTTGCCTGTTAGTTGGTGCAGTTTCTTCCTAGCATTGATGGTCTTTAAAAGTTGGCATGTTTTTGCAGTGGCTGGTACTGGTCGTTCCTTTTCATGTTAAGTGCTTCCTTCAGGAGCTCTTGTAAGGCAGGCCTGGTGGTGACAAAATCTCTCAGCATTTGCTTGTCTGTAAAGGATTTTCTTTCTCCTTCATTTATGAAGCTTAGTTTGGCTGAATATGAAGTTCTGGGTTGAAAATTCATTTATTCAAGAAAGTTGAATGTTGGCCCCTACTCTCTTCTGGCTTTTAGAGTTTCTGCAGAGAGATCCACTGTTAGTCTGATGGGCTTCCCTTTGTGGGTAACCCGACCTTTCTCTCTGGCTGCCCTTAACATTTTTTCCTTCATTTCAACCTTGGTGAATCTGACAATTATGTGTCTTGGGGTTGCTCTTCTTGAGGAGTATTTTTGTGGTGTTCTCTGTATTTCCGAATTTGAATGTTGGCTTGCCTTGCTAGGTTGGGGAAGTTCTCCTGGATAATATCCTGAAGAGTGTTTTCCAGCTTGGTTCCATTCTCCCCGTCACTTTCAGGTATACCAATCAGATGTAGATTTGGTCTTTTCACATAGACCCATATTTCTTTGAGGATTTGTTCGTTTCTTTTCACTCTTTTTTCTCTAAACTTCTCTTCTTTCTTTATTTCATTTATTTCATCTTCAATCACTGATACCCTTTTTTCCACTTGATCGAATTGGCTATTGAAACTTGTTTATGTGTCATGTAGTTCTTGTGCCATAGTTTTCAGCTCCATCAGGTCATTTAAGGTCTTCTCTATACTGCTTATTCTAGTAAGCCATTTGTCTAATCTTTTTTCAAGGTTTTTATCTTCCTTCCGATGGGTTCGAACATCTTCCTTTAGCTCGGAGGAGTTTGCTATTACTGACCTTCTGAAGCCTTCTTCTGTCAGCTTGTCAAAGTCATTCTCCATCCAGCTTTGTTCTGTTGCTGGAGAGGAGCTGCAATCCTTTGGAGGAGAAGAGACGCTCTGGTTTTTAGAATTTTCAGCTTTTCTGCTCTGGTTTCTCCCCATCTTTGTGGTTTTATCTACTTTTGGTCTTTGATGTTAGTGACCTACAGATCGGGTTTTGGTGTGGATGTCCTTTTTGTTGACGTTGATGCTATTCCTTTCTGTTTGTTAGTTTTTCTTCTAACAGTCAGGTCCCTCAGCTGCAGGTCTGTTGCAGCTTGCTGGAGGTCCACTGCAGACCCTGTTTGCCTGGGTATCACCAGCAGAGGCTGCAGAACAGCAAATATTGCAGAAGAGCAAATATTGCTGCCTGATCCTTCCTCTGGAAGCTTCGTCCCAGAAGGGCACCCACCTGTATGAGGTGTCAGTTGGCCCCTACTGGAAGTTGTCTCCCAGTTAGGCTACATGGGATCAGGGACCTACTTGAGGAGGCCGTCTGTCCATTCTCCGAGCTCAAACTCTTTGCTGGGAGAACCACTGCTCTCTTCAGAGCTGTCAGACAGGGACGCTTAAGTCTGCAGAAGTTTCTGCTGCCTTTTGTTCAGCTATGCCCTACCCCAGAGGTGGAGTCTACAGAGGCAGCAGGCCTGGCTGAGCTGCGGTGGGCTCTGCCCAGTTTGAGCTTCCTGGGCTGCTTTGTTTACCTACTCAAGTCTCAGCAATGATGGATGCCCCTCCCCCTGCCAGACTGCTGCCTTGCAGGCTGATCTCAGACTGCTGCACTAGCAGTGAGCAAGGCTTGGTGGGAATGGGACCCACCAAGCCAGACACGGGATATAATCTCCTGGTGTGCTGTTTGCTAAGACCTTTGGAAAAGCGCAGTATTTGGGCGCAAGTGTTCCATTTTTCCAGGTACCACTGTCATGGCTTCCCTTGACTAGGGAAAGGAAATTCCCTGACCCCTTGCACTTTCCGGGTGAGGCGATGCCCTGCCCTGCTTTGGCTTGCCCACTGTCTAACCAGTCCCAGTGACATAAACCTGGCACCTCAGTCGGAAATGCAGAAATCACCTGTCTTCTGCATTGATCACCCTGGGAGCTGCAGACTGGAGCTGTTCCTATTTGGCCATCTTGGAAGAATGTGCATTTTTAACAGGGACTTCAGGGACTTGTGAGTTGAAAACCATGGAACTATATCAGACTACCTCAAAAATATCCCCAAATGTTTATAAACAAAGCCAAGGCCATGCATTCAGGCCCGGTGAGGTCCAGGAACTGTGCAAGAGGCCTCTGGCTCAGAGGGGCTGAAACAGGTCTATTTTGCCATTTCTTTAGATCTTCTTTGATATTTTTTATTAGCATTGTTTAGTTTTGGGAACATAAATCTTGTATATGTTTTGTTAAATTTATACCTTAAGTAATTCACTTTTATTGAACAATTTATAAATAGTACAAGTATTTTTCCTTTCTGTGTCCCTGTGTTTATTGCTAGTATATAAGAATACAGTTGATTTTTGTATATTTATCTTGTATCCTGCAAACTTGCTGAACTCATTTATTTCTTGGAGTATTTTTGTTGATTACTTATCACTTTCTCTGTACACAATCATGTAATTTTAAAATAGAAATAGTTTCATTTATGTCTTCCTTATTTGAATGCTTTTAAGTTTTCTTTCCTTGCCTTATTGCTTATTAACTTTTGCCACTATTTTGAGTAAGATTGGTGAGGGTGGACATATTTGCCTTATTTCTGATCTTAGGGGAAAAGCCTCATTTTTTACCAAGTATAGTGTTAGCTGTAGGGTTTTTGTTGTAGATGGTCTTTATCATGCTGGGGAAATTATCTTCTAGTCTTATTTTTCTGAGTTTTTATGATGAATGGGTGCTGATTTTGTCAAATGTTTTTTCTGCATTGATTGATATGCATGTGGCTCTTCATTTTTAGCCTGTTAATGGGTTGAATTACACTGATTGATTTTCAAATACTGAATCAGGCGTGCAACCCTGGTATAAATCTCACTTGGTCAGAGAATATAATTCTATGCTGAATTCAATTTGCTAATACTTTGTTAAGGATTTTTGTGTTTATATCATGAGGGATATTGATCTTTAGTTTTCTTTTTGCACTGTCTTTACCTGGTTTTGGTATTAAGACAATACTAACCTCGTAAAATGAATTGGGAAATATTCATGCCTATTCTATTTCCTGGAAAAGATTGTATAGAATTAGTGTTAATTCTTTTTTAAATGTTTGGTAAAGTTCTCCAGTGAAACCATCTGGATGTGGAGATTTCATTTTTGGGAGTTTTAAGATTACAAATTCAATTTCCTTCATAGTTACAAATCTGAATTATCTATTTCATATAAGTAATTTGTGGCACTTTGTATTTTCTGAGGAATTGGTCCATTTCATCTAACTTGTCAAATTTACATATGTAGACTTGTTAATATGCATGTAGACTTTTAAATAATCAGGGAATACTACTGTGTCCAGAGTTGGTTCCTTCTGGTGGTTTCTTGGTCTTACTGACTCCAATAGTGAAGCCGCAGACCTTCATGGTGAGTGTTACAGCTCTTAAAGGTGGCACGGACACAAAGAGTGAGCAGCAGCAAGATTTATTGTGAAGAGCAAAAGAACAAAGCTTCCCAGAGTGGAAGGGGACCTGAGTGGGTTGCTGCTGCTGACTGGGGTGGCCAGCTTTTATTCCCTTATTTGTCCCCACCCACATCCTGCTGATTGGTCCATTTTACAGAGCACCAATTGGTCCATTTTACAGAGTGATGATTGGTGCATTTACAATCTTTTAGCTAGACACAGAGCACTGATTGGTGTTTTTTTACAAAGTGTTGATTGGTGCATTTGCAATCCTTTAACTAGGCACAGAGTGCCGATTGGTGCGTTTTTTACAGAGTGCTGATTGGTGCATGTACAATCCTTTAGCTAGACTCAGAGCACTGACTGGTGCATTTACAGTCCTCTAGCTAGACAGAAAAGTTCTCCAAGTCCCCACTCAACCTAGGAAGTTCCGCTGGCTTCACCTCTCAATCCCCCCTCTAAATAGGACACCCCAACTGCTGTTGGGAATTGGGCAATGACTGTTCTAGCTACTTCCTGCTGGATAGGGGCAAAGAAAGGGCCCTGCAGTTGTAGTGTCCTCCAGAGGGGAACTCTTTAGGCCAGTCAAAGGGCCAGCAGGTCAGTCCAAGGGTCCTCAGTAGAAGTGGTTAGTTGAGCTCATTTGGGGTTCCACTTGTAAGACCATCTGTAGTTTGATGGCCTCGATCCTACAGGAAACAAATTTGACAAGGAGGTTAAAAATACAGGGCCTGAAGGTGAGTAATAGCAAGATGTCTGTCACGGGACCTAGAAAGGGGAGAAGCCATGTCGCCCAACTTCAGAAGTTGGTATAAGAGTTTGAAAGGCATTATCTGATTTCAGAAGCCGTTTCCTGTAAATGCCGGGGGGCATCTCATACTATCCCTGACTGAAGTGTAAAAACAACACTCTTCCCCTAAGAAGGTGCAGAGTCCTCCTTTCTCAGAAGTGAGGAGGTCTAGGCCTTGGCAGTTTTGGAGAGTCTCTGCTGCCAAAGGGTCTATTTGAGATTGTAGAGTAAGGATAGATTTCATTATTTCTTGCAAACTGTCTGAGAAATCCTTTGAGATTGTGTGGTAGTAGGATAGTGAAGTGGACAAACTTGCTAGTCTGGTTCCTGTAGCAGTGGCCATTCCTAACCCTATAAGTAGGGGTATTAGTTGTATGGCCCTGCACTTATGCACTTGAACTTTGAGGGACACTGATAGGGTCTGATTTCCTGGGGCAATGTTAATGTTGGGACTTAGGAAGACTAAGGTGCAGGTGCCTGTCCTGTTGGTGGGGAGGCAGATATAGGTTGAAGTTCCACATAAGAAGAATATGCCTTGGCTGGGTAGACAGAAATTTACCCTGGCTTTTAAAGGAATAGGGTACACTGTTTTTTCCTTACTACTTCTATCACTCTCTTTTTCTCTCTTTCCTTCTCTGTCTCTCTTTTTCTCTCTCTCTGACTTTCTCTCTGGCTCCTTCTTTTTCTCTTTGTCTCTTCCTCTTTCTCTCTCTTTCCTTCTCTTTGTCTTTCTCTGCCTCTGCCAGCCACTTATGCTGCTGTTCTCCCCTCTCCTTCCCCTTCTGATGCATTCAGCAGTGTAAGACTGCCACCTCCTTGGGTTTTTGCACTGCATGCAATAACTCCATGGTTTCCTTGTGATATTTAAAGGGGGTTCCCCCAGAGGTTAGGAACTCCCTTTCTTTCCATATTGCAGCATGGGGCATGTAGGAGTAGATAAGCATACTTGCTATCTGTATACACATTTATTCTTTCTCCTTTTCCCAGTTCTAAGGCTCGGGTAAGTGCCATTAGTTCTGCTAACTGGGCACTGGTCCCTGGGGGAAGCGGCTTACTTTCAAGTACTATTACATCACTAACTATGGCATAACCTGCCTTTCATATCCTATTCTCCACAAATGAACTTCCATCGATATATAGGTTAAGGTCAGGATTAGCTAAGGGGAATTCTAAGAGAGCCTCTTGGGTGGCATAAGTCTGGACTATAATTTGTTGGCAGTCATGCTCGACTGGTTCTCCATCCTCTGGGAGAAAAGTGGCAGGGTTGAGGGCCACACACGTGCATATTTGAAGCACTGGTCCCTCAAGAAGTAGTGCCTGGTATCTGAGCAGGCAGTTGTCTGATAACCATAAACTTCCTTTGGCATTTAGTATGCCATTTACATCATGAGAAGTCCAGACAGTGAAATCCTTTTCTTGTATTATTTTGATAGCCTCTGACACTAAGATGGCCACCACTGCAATTACCCATAAACAGGCCAGCCTTTTGCTTTTATATCAATTTCCTTACTTAGGTATGCCACTGGTTGTGGGGTTATCCCACGAGTCTGCGTAAGGACTCCAAGAGCTATTCCTGCTCTCTCTGTGACATATAAAGAAAAGTTTTGTCCTGTGGGAAGGCTTAAGGCTGGAGCTTGTACTAGGGCCTGCTTTAAGGTTTTGAAGGCTGTTTCTGCCTCTGGTTCCCATTCTACTATATGAGTATTTGCCCTCTGGGTCTCCTTGATTAGATTATAGAGGGGCCTGTCTATCTCGCTGTATCTGGGGATTCATAGTCAGCGAAAGCTGGCGATTCCAAGGAAACCCTGCAACTGTTTTAATGTCTTAGGGTGAGGATAAGCCAGTATAGGCTGTGTTCCTTCCTTTCTGAGGGCCCTGGTTCCTCTGGTTAAGATTAGGCCTAGATATTAGACTTGTTGTAGGCAGAGCTGGGCCTTCAATTTAGACACCTTGTACCCTTGATTAGCTAGAAAGTTCAAGAGATCTAGAGCAGCCTGCTGGCATGAGGCTTCCAAACTGGTAGCCAAAAGTAAATCATCCACATACTGAAGGACCAGAGTGCCTGGACTTGAGAAGTAGCCTACATCTTGGGCCAGTGCCTGACCAAACAGATGAGGGCTATCCCTAAACCCTCGGGGCAAGACCATCTACATAAGTTGGGACGTGTGGTCTGTGTGATCCTCAAAGGCAAAGAGAAACTGGGAGTCAGAGTGCAGGGGAATACAGAAGAAAGCATCCTTGAGGTCCAGAACAGTGAACCATTCTGCTTCCTCTGGTATTTGAGAGAGCAGAGTATAGGGATTGGGTACAGCTGAGTATAGAGGAATTACTGCCTCATTGATGAGTCTAAGATCTTGCACTAGTCTCCACTGACCATTTGGGTTTTGTACTCCTAGAATTGGGGTGTTGCAGGGACTGCTGCATTTTCTTACTAAGCCTTGAGCTTTTAAATGTCTAACAATATCCTGTAATCCTTTATGAGCTTCAGACCTTAAGGGATATTGCCTTTGATAATGAAAAGTGGTGGGGTCTTTTAGCCTGATTTTGACCAGGCAGGCGTTTTTTGCCCTTCTGAATTGTCCTTCCAATGCCCAGACTTCAAGGTTGATTCCCTCCTCAAGCAGGAGACAACAAATGGGTAATTTGTTCCCCATATTCATGTAGATAATAGCTCCAGCTTTGGCTAATATGTCCCTTCCTAATAAGGGTGTGGGACTTTCAGGCATAACAAGAAAGGCATGGGAAAAGAGCAAAGTCTCCCAATTACAACTGAGGAGGTGGAAGAAATACCTGGTTACAGGCCATCCCAGGATTCCTCAGATGGTAACAGATCTTGAGGACAGCTGTCCAGGACAGGAGATTAACATTGAGAAAGCTGTGCCAGTGTTCAGGAGGAAGTCAATTTCCTGGCCCTCAGTGGTTAAATGTACCCAGAACTCAGTGAGGGTAATGACATGAGCTGGCGCTTGCCCTGGGCACCCTCAGTCCTTTTGCTGGATCATCTGGTTGGGGGCTTCTGGCCCAGAGAACCTTTGCCTTCTGGGGTAGTGCACCTTCCAGTGATTGCCTCGGCATAGTGGACATGGGCAAGGGGGCAGCTTGTTTCTCGTTGGACAATCTTTTTTAAAGTGTCCTTGCAAACCACAGTGATAAAAAGCCCTACCGGGTGATTGGCCTGCTCTATTTTCTGTCCTCTCTGAATCACCAAGGTTTGTTTGTCTGAGGGCCATGACTAAGGCTGCTGCCTTTCTCTGATCTCGTTTTTCGTTTTCAGCCTGTTCCTCTTGGTCCCTATTATAGAACACTGAGGTTGCCGGGTTTAATAATGCCTCCAGATTTTGTTCAGGGCCCAGAGCTCACTTTTGGAGCTTTCTCCTGATATCTGCGGCTGATTGGGTAACAAACTTATCTTTTAGGATCAATTGACCCTCAAGTGAGTTGGGTATCAGGGGAGTATATTTTCTTAAGGCCTCCTGTAGCTGCTCAAGGAAGGCAGAAGGATTTTCTTCCTTTCCCTGGGTTATGGTGGACATCACTGAATAATTCATGGGCTTTTTCCTAATTCTCCTTAGTCCTTCTAGAACACAGTCGACAGATGTTTGTGACTCCAGTCCCCATGATCTGAGTCGAGGTCCCAATGGGGATCCATACTGGGGACAGCTTGCTGACCTGTAGGGAATTTGTCCCTTTCTTCAACTGCCATTCTGTCATTTACTTGACTAAGATACCAGGTATCTCCAAACTCTCCAGCTACAGCTAAAGCCACATTCTTTTCATCAAAGGCCAGGGTTTGATCTAACAATAGCATGACATCTCTCCAAGTGAGATTGAAGGTTTGCCCTAGACCCTGTAGGACATCTATATACCTATCAGGATCATCTGAAACCTTCCCCAGGTCTGCCTTGATTTGCTTTAAATCAGAGAGGGAGAAGGGGACATGTATCCAGGTTGGGCCAAATTCTCCTCCCCCTACAGGTTGAAGGGGACATAACTGATAGCCTGGGGGTTTTTGTGGTCCTTTGGAGATTTCTTTGGTTGTTTCCTTCTGGGTTGGGGAGATTAGAGGAGACTTATCATTAACAGCAAGGGGAGCTATATGGAGGCTAGGATATGGGGGTAAGCTGAGAGGTCCTCCTGTGGGATGTAAATTGCAAGGTTTGCATAGTTGTGGATTGTCCTTCAATGAAAAGAAAGCTTGGACATAAGGTATTTCACTCCATTTGCCTTCCTTCTTACAGAAAAGGTCAAACTGCAGGATAGTATTGTAATTTATACTTCCCTCAGGTGGCCATTTTTCCCCAGCAGAGAGAGAATATTGGGGCAGGCCATAGTACAGAAAAAAATAAGTCACTTCTTTTTCCGGGTTTGGGGGTCAAATTTGTCCCAATGGCTTAGGATGCATTTCAAGGGTGAGCCTGTTGATGCCTGAGTGTTTCCCATCTGAAAGAAAAAACCGCCCACAGTTTTGGTTTGTATATTTTCCCCTGCCCCACCCAAGAACCTGCAACGGTCCCTGGACCCTGCTGATCAGAATAGTTGCACTCACTGATGCAGCAGCAGAAACTCCTCTTGCCCAAGAACCCGCAACAGTCCCTGGACCCTGCTATTGGGATAGCTGCACTCACCGACGCAGCAGCAGATCCCTTTCTTGCCCAAGAACCCACAAAGGTCCCTGGACCCTGCTGATCAGAATAGTTGCGCTCACCAACGCAGCAGCAGAAACATTAGTTTTCCTCTTAGACCGCAAAGAGGACCAAGGAAGGTCAGATTTAGTGGCCCTTACCGACACATTCTCGAAAACCTGTTAGAGTCCTAAGTGTTCTCCTGTTAGTATTGGGACCTTACCCCTGTCCTATAAAGATGTTATGCCCCAAAAATGAAGTGGAGGGCCATACCCTGAGGGAGGGAAGGAATCTCCAGGGTTGGAAGAGTGACGCCTTTTGTCCTCACTTCTCATCATATGAATAGGAAGGATATCATTTCTGAGGCTCCCCATATCCTACCTTCAGGAATAGCTTTTGTTAGGCCTGCTAGTCTGAGGAGGGATCCTAAAATTCCAGGTAGTACCCCCCCTCCCTGATGGGACTTTGAGCAAAAATTATGTCTTTCTGACTGGTGAGCCCGGGTGCCTAAAGAAGGGAGCAGAGTCCTGAAGTTTATACTAGAAATCATTCTTATAGGAGAAACTAGAAAAGCACCAGAGACAGGGAGTGGTTTTTAGAAGCAGGACTAGCCTCGGAGAAGAGAGGTGAGAGGAAGTTTGTCTGACAGGCATTAGGACCCAGGAGGCAAGGGTCAGGATAGATAGGGTAGATGGGGGAGTCTCACTTGGGTGACGTGACTTTGAGAGTTCTGCTCATGGCTACAGGGTCAACCAACTTTTTGTCAGGACCCCGGAGCTGAATGGCTTTCCTCTCTGTCGACCCTCGGCTCAGCCTGGAAGTACAGGAAAAGCAGAAGCTGGTTCCAGGAAAACCAATGCTCCCAACTCCGAAGAGTTGGGTGTTGTTAGAGAGCCCTTTCCCAGAAAGCCTGACACCCGTGTGTTTAGTCCAGTGGCCGCACTAGTTGCTTTTAACTGGCTGACAGGTGCCAATGTTTAGCCCCTGAATTCTAAGGAAAAATACGACAGAATAACAAGCGAAAGAGGTCTGATGGTACGAACCACTTGGCAATAGTCGCATCTGGGTCACCAAGATGTGTCCGGAGTTGGTTCCTTTCGGTGAATTCTTGGTCTCGCTGACTTCAAGAATGAAGCTGTGGACTTTCGCAGTGAGTGTCACAGCTCTTAAAGGTGGCATGGACCCAAAGAGTGAGCAGCAGCAAGATTTATTGTGAAGAGTGAAAGAACAAAGCTTCCACAGTGTGGAAGGGGACCCAAGTGGGTTGCTGCTGCTGGCTGGGGTGGCCCGTTTTTATTCCCTTATTTGTCTTCACCCACATCCTGCTGATTGGTCCATTTTACAGAGTGCCAATTGGCCCATTTTACAGAGTGCTGATTGGTGCATTTACAGTCCTTTAGCTAGACACAGAGCACTGACTGGTGTGTTTACAATCCTCTAGCTAGACAGAAAAGTTCTCCAAGTCCCCACTCGACCTGGGAAGTCCAACTGGCTTCAACTCTCACTACCTGTGATGTCTGTAGAATATGTAATGGAGCTCCTGTTTCATTCTTAATATGGGTAGCAATTTGTGCCTTTTCTTGTCAGTCTTGCTAGAGATTTGCCTATTTTATTGATCTTCTTAAAGAACCAGTATTTTTGTTTCATTGATTTTTCTCTATTGCTTTTCTGTTTTCAATTTTATTGATTTCTGCTCTTATCTTTATTATTTCTTTTCTTTTGTTTGCTTTGGATTTATTTTGCCCTTTTCTTTCTAAGTTCTTGAGGTAAAAGTTTAGATTATTGATTTGAGACTTTTCCCTTTTTCTAATATATGCATTTGATACATGTATTAGGAAAAACAAACATTTTCTTCTGAGTACTGACTTATCTCTGTACTACAAATTTTGATATGTTGTATTCTCATTTTTATTCAGTTCAATGAATGTGTTTATTTATTTATGGTGTTAATGTTTCCACTGTAATAGATTTGTCTCTTTCTCCTTTCAGTTCTATCAGTTTTTGTTTCCCATATTTTGTAGCTTTTATGTTTGTGCATGTGACTTCTTCTTTGACTCATGAATTACACAGACATATGTTGTTTAGTTTCTAAGTGTTTGGAGATTTTCTTCTTAATTTTATGTTTTTCATTTCTAGCTTTACTCCATTGTTTTTGGAGAACAAACTTTGTGTGTTTTCAATTGTTTTTAATTTGTTTAGGTTTGTTTTATGGGCCAGGATGTAGACTATCTCGGTAAATGTGCCGTGGATACTTGGAAAAAAAATATGTGTTCTTCTGTTAAATGGAGTGTTGTATAAATGTCTATTAGTTCTTGGTGGCGGATGGTGTTGAGTTCTATATCCTTGATGACTTTCTATTTGTTCTATCAATTGTTGAGAGAATGGTGTTCATGTCTTCACTCTAATAGATTTTTCTATTTCTCCTTTCAGTTCTATCAGTTTTTGCTTCCCAAATTTTGTAGCTTTTATGTTTGTGCATGTGTCTGTTTTAGTGCACCAAATGTAAAGAGAGGTTTAGTTAAAATAAAGGCATGAACTTTGTTCTGTGGGTTGACCAGCTGACACAACTGTGCCAGGTACTGGGAAGGAGAGGCACTGCAAGTGTAAAGGGCAAGCACTTGCATCTCTGGGCAAATCGTCACTCACTGGACACCTCTCAGTCTGGCCGAAGTCCCTGAAATGTATCTCTTATGGTGGAAGTCTCCAAGTTCTCCGTGTCACTTATCATCATTACTACCTTGAAATGAAGTCAACTCCAATGTTCTTTATAAGGGCTCTTAAAAATGAGTTATTAAATGTGAATTGATTTGCTTAAGTCATAATTTAAAAAACAAAAGCTAATTTAAAAATCTGTCATGTATTGTCATTATTAAATGTTATATATAACATTTTCCATATTAACTTCCCTACTTCCTCATAAGAATATTTTCACCTACAAGGAAAAAGTGTAATCCTAAAGATGTGACCATTTTTTGAAGGGTTAGCTTTCCTTCCTTTTTATGATAATAACACAATAAATGTTTTTAACACAAACGTGTATGTATTAATACCATGTGCTATCCTCATGACTTTTTTTTGTTTTTTTTTTTTTTGAGACAGAGTCTCACTCTGTCACCCAGGCTGGAGTGCAGTGGCACAATATTGGCTCATTGCAACCTCTGTCTTCCAGGTTCAAACGATTCTTGTGCCTCAGCCTCCCAGGTAGCTGGGATTACAGGCATGTGCCACCAAGCCCAGCTAATTTTTGTAGTTTTAGTAGATGTGAGGTTTCACCATGTTGGCCAGGCTGGTCTCTAACTCCTGGCCTCAAGTGATCCACCTGCCTCACCCTCCCAAAGTGCTAGGATTACAGGTGTGAGCCACCATGCCTGGCCTCCTCATGACTTTTTTGCTTTCTTATTTATTATAATATTCTTTAGGAAATGAGTTTAAACTGGACATTATTTGTATTGAAGAAGGAAGTTCTGGATAGTAGGAATTAAGGGCCTTTGCTTGTTACCACACCATAAGGTGGCCAAGTCCAAGCTAGGGAATTGCTGCTTCTTCATTTCAAGAAGTCCTTGTCTTTTGGTTTCCTGTGTGAATGGAAAACAAATCTTGGGACCCCAAAATCACTAAGCCAAAGGGAAAAGTCAAGATGGGAACTGCTTCACACAAATCTGCTTCCCATTCAAAGATAAAAAGCTACATACCTTCCTCACAGTTTGCCCCCACTAGGAAATTCCTTGTGGACCCCAAGATCTTTACTCTAAAACAGTTCTGTCAAATTTCACCCTGATGATGTAAATTGATAGTTTATCTTCACAGGTACAGGTCAAAGGACAGAACTCAAGATCATCCCTCTGCTCACCTGAGACCAATGCATGTCTGACTGCTCCCTCTTGCCCTATGCTTATTTTATCTTAGTAAAAATGCAGATTCATTGAGCTTGATGAATGCATAAGTGGCTATTCTTCTACCCCCTCACATGTGAAGACCTGATCAAAGACTCAAAAGAATGTAATCGTTTGTCTCTTATCTACCCACACCTTTTAAAAATTTATTCCTCTTTCTGCAGTATCTGCTCTTTCTCCTTTAAATATTGAAGCCCTCAAAATCATCTTTGGAGAAAGGCACAGACCTGTCTCCCAGGTGTGTGACCTTAACCTTGGCAAAATAAACTTCTAAACTGATTGAGACCTGGCCAGGCATGGTGGCTCATGCCTGTAATCCAAGTACTTTGCAAGGCCAAGGCGGGCAGATCACCTGAGTTCAGAAGTTTGAGACCAGCCTGGCCAACATGGCAAAACCCTGTCTCTACTAAAAATACAAAAATTAGCCAGGCGTGGTGGTGGGCGCCTGTAATCCCAGCTACTCAGGAGGCTGAGGCAGGGAGAATTGCTTGAACAAGGGAGGTGGAGGTTGCAGTGAGCCGCGATCGTGCCATTGCACTCCAGCTTGGGCAACAGAGTCAGATTCCATCTCAAAAAAAAAAAAATTTGATTGAGACCTGTTTCAGATATTTTTTGGTTTGCACATGCCATTCAGGAGACCATATTTTTCAAAGTATTGGGCAGCTACTTTCTGTTAGGCTCAGAGGGAGACAGGTAAAGGAGGCAGAGGTTTTGCTTTTAAGCAGTTGACAATCCTAAAGCCTCAAAGTGCTACCATTTGAATACTAGTGGTTCTAGGCAAATTCTGAACTGCTCTTGTTGTCTTCACCCACTCGGACCTCAGCAGAAAGAATCACTGAGGAGGTAAAGAGTGGAAAGATGGATTGTGATTATATGATGTTGATGCATGATTCAGTGAAATATAAAGTAAGGAAACAGGGACTGTCTGTAAACTGTGCTACTTAAAAAGAAATGACATGTTTCCCAGTCCTTCTAGGGCACTTAAAATGTCATTTGATTATAAAGTTAAATGTATAGACAGGTCTCAGGGAAAATATGTATTGAGTTTTCAAAACCCTTTTAATCCACTGTACCCAGTGGCTAATTTTGAGGAAGCAGAGTCTTGACAAGGTTGTTTCCTGCCAAGCAGGCTGTGGGGAGGTACTTGGGCAACTGCTTGGTTTACTTTTTAAGCAGGTGTTTCGCTTGGCATGCGGTCTCTCTTTGGGAAATGGCTGGTCCTGCAGGCCCTTACATAACCTTCTTCTCAGACAAGTCCTGCCCCGCCCTTCATGCCATGGCTCTTGCAGCCCACAGTCTGTTTAAATCTTTGATGTCTCTTAAGATGCAGGGCCACAGCCCCTATGAAGAGCTCCTATCTCAATTCAACCTGCTGGGATTTCCTCATCCTTGCAACATACAGGTTTAGTAACCTATACCTGTCACTTAAAAAATATAGGGACGGCCGGGCGTGGTGGCTCACACCTTGTAATCCCAACACTTTTGGAGGCCAAGGCAGGCGGATCATGAGGTCAGGAGTTCGAGACCAGCCTGACCAACATGAAGAAACCCCCGTCTCTACTAAAAATACAAAAATTAGCCAGGTGTGGTGGTAGGTGCCTGTAATCCCAACTACTTGGGAGGCTGAGGCAGGAGAATCGCTTGAACCCAGGAGGCGGAAGTTCCAGTGAGCTGAGATCGCGCCATTGCACTCTCCAGCCTGGGCGACAAAGTGAGACTCCATCTCAAAAAAAAAAAAAAAAAAAAAAAAATATATATATATATATATATATATATATATATATATATATGGACAGCAGAGCGTAATAGTTAAGACTTCAGGCTCTTTATGGAGGCCTCTGGATTCAAACTCACCACTTACTGGACCAGTTTTTTGGTATGTCTCAGCCTCAGTTCCTTCATCTGAAAATGATGATGGTAATCTCACAGGTTAAGTTAATTCTTTTTTTTTCTTTTTTTTCTTGTTTTTGAGACAGAGTCTCACTCTGTCACCCAGGCTGGAGTACAGTGGTGCCATCTCGGCTCACTGCAACCTCCACCTCCTGGATTCAAGCAATTCTCCTGCCTCAGCCTCCTGAGTAGCTGGGACTACAGGCACACGCCACCACACCTAGCTAATTTTTGTATTTTTAGGGGAGATGGAGTTTCACCATGTTGGCCAGGATGGTCTTGATCTCTTGACCTCGTGATCTCCCCCTCTTGGCCTCCCAAAGTGCTGGCCTCAGAGATGTGAGCCACTGCGCCTGGCCTAAGTTAATTCTTATAAAGATGTTTAGAACAACTCAAAGGTCCATCAATGGATAAATGATTAAAAAGCTGAGTGCATATATGAATTTTGTTTATATATGTTTATATAATTTTTGACATTTTGTTTATCTACTTATCCATTGATGAATTCCCTCTTTAAAAGGAAATTCCTTCCTAAAAAAGAATGAAATTTGGATTCATGCTACAACGTGTATGAAACGTGAAGACATTATGCCATGTGAAATAAGCCAGACACAAGAGGACAAATACTGTGTGATTCTACTTATATGAAGTATCTAGAATAGTCAAATACATAGTGACAGAAAGCAGAATAGTGGCCAGGAGAGGCTCGGGGAAAGGGGACATTGGGAATCATGGTTTAATGGGTACAGAGTTTCAGTTTGGGATGATCAAAAAAGTTCAGGAGATGAACAGTGGTCAAGATTACAAAACGATGTGAATGTATTTAATTATGCTGAACTGTACACTTAAACAATGATAAGTTATCTAGTATTTTTTACTACATCAAAAAATAGAGTTAAAAAAAAGTGCTCCGAAGAATGTCTGATACATAGTAAGTTCTCTGTATGAGTTATCTGTGGTATCTCTTGCTTACTGATGTTGCTCTTTAACACTTGCATTTTCACTCGGCATTCAGTTTGATGTCATCTCTTCAATTTCGGGGCAAGGATCTCATCATAATTTGCCTTGTCCTTCACAGACCTGACAGTGTACTTTGCATGTAGTTGGACCCTGTAAATCATTGACTGGTAGTGCAAATTCCAAATGGCCTGTTTCATAATGATGTGACCTATGCTGTTACTCCAGTGGAGTTTATCTCAGTGTTTTCTCTGTGGGAGGCTGTTAGCATGGTGACTAAGAGCTAGGATCTGAAGTCAAGCAGATCTGAGTTTAAATTCCAGTTTTGCCGTTTACTAGCTGTGTACCTTTGGAGAAGTCACTCAGTCTGTCTCAGCTTCTATTCAATTGTGACTAGGATCAATAATACCTACTTTCACATAGTTACTGTAATGATTAAAATGAAATAATTATATAATAAAATTAAATAACACATGGCCCATCCTAGGGGCTCAATAAAGGGTAGTTAATATAAACATTTTTTATCCTAGGCAACACTACCACCTTGACTTCAACACTCAGAGAGACAATTTCTGAAACCAGCCTTTTGCTTGTAGTGGGTGCCAATCTCTGCACTACTGTGGATGTTTCTGCAGCAAAGGATAATGTCTTGAGACCCTAACTACTCAGGTGGATTGTGGGACTTAATGTGCTTCCTAGACCCAGCAGAGTCAGATGTACCAGGAAAATTCTAAAAGCCCTAGCAGAGGGAGAAAAGAAGCTTTCTTAACTCAGAGGGAGTTTCCACTTAATGCCGACAGCTACTCTTAGGTGTGAGTGGCGGCTCAGAGGCTGCAGGGGAGGCAATGCTAAGCATAGTTAGAGCAAAAAGGCTGGGCCTTTCTCCAAAGTCCCTAAGAGATGGAGAGAAGAGGAATTACTGGCCTACCCAGCCCTAAAGTACACACATGAGGAGCAGATACATTGTTCAAAGGCTGAACCTGTTTTTTTAAAAAAATGATGTCTGGTGTGAATGACTTTGATAGCAGCCAGGAACAGGAAGTAGAGTGGCAGCTGCACAGATGAATCCCCGAGAACTGAGTTTTTCCTGTAGCAGGAACCAGATCTGGGCAGATTAAATCTTGCTCTCTCTGAAACACCTTGGGGAGACTTGTTCCCAGAGTGAAGAATGGGGCATTCTCTTAGCTGACAGAAGGGGCACATGGCCATCCCGAGAGGTGAGTGTTGGGGAACAAATGAGGTTATCTTGGAACTGGCATTCCAGGAAGTCTAGAAAGTGTCCTGAGCAAATAAAATACACTTGTGGACTGGAAGGAGACCTCTGATTTTACAACATGTGAGGAGACTCCAGAATACAAAGCAAAGAGAGAGAGAGCAAGCTGAGAAAAAAGAGGGAGAGCAAAAGTGTCAAGAGAACACACTTGATGTGGAGCAGTTAAGAAGAAAGAGGCCAGAGGACTGTACCCATGCTGTTGCACAGAGCACTTACCACCTGACCAGGAGCCACTGACACCAACCCCTGCCATCTGTTGCCATTTCTCTGGCTGTCATGCACCTGGTGGTACAGAGGTACTCTGTATGTGTCAGCCATGGCCTCAAACACAGATGAGTTCCATTTTCCTGTCCATGGAAAATATGCGTAGCTAATCTTCCAAAGAACTTTACATTTCAAAGCTCCTATGTCTAACTTATGAATCTGCTCTTAATCATTACCCATAGCTTGAGAACTGTCACCCTAACCCAACTTTAAGAGATGTTTATCTGTGTCACTAAAGACATCAATTCTCATAAATGGTGCGGAGATGCATATAGATATATGTCTATATATAGCAGGTTACCAAGTAGAATGTGCAGTGTGTAATCTTAACCATGAAAAAAAAATGCTCAAGAAAAAAAGACTAGAAAGTTAGCTTATAGGAGTTATATTCACTTCCTTCTCGATACCTGATACGTACTATAGTTTCCAAATTTTTAGAAGTGAAGAGATTACTTTTAGAATCTGTTTCTTTCTTTCTTTCTTTCTTTCTTTCTTTCTTTCTTTCTTTCTTTCTTTCTCTCAATATGTTTTATATGTAAGTTTCAAAGAAAAAAAGAAATTTCCCACAGCTGCCAAAGCCACATTTCCCTTCAAAGCAAGATGAACAGCCAAGAACTCCTTTCTCTGGGCCATGGATGGGTAGAAGGGTGGTGGGATTGGCAATGACCATCTATTTCTTAAACAGTGGCCTTGAAGGCCATGATGAGCAACAGGCTTCTTGGAAGAAAGGTGTGATATTAATTCAGGGCTTCCTAAATTATATTTTAATTTCATAATAGAAACAATACGCGTAGAGTTTCAAAAACACATTCTCACACTTTTCAAAGCAAGTGTCAAATTACTAAGATAACCTGGGTTTTAATCTCTTCTATTACACATTATTAGTACCGCTAGACTATCAATTTAATTTGGCATATATTTGCTACTTATTATTTACAAGGCAGTTTGCAGAAATGCAAAGCTGAACTTTAATCCAGTGGAAGGGAAAATACAGGTAGATACATAACAATATCACAAGTCAATATATACAATAAATTTGGCAAAAGGCAGTAAAAATGCTGTAGGATTAGTATAATAACTTTTTATACTTTCTGAATCCTTTGTAGTCAATATGAGAATTATAAATATAACAATTTGAACTTTCTAAGCAGTCAGTTGAGTATTTGATGACTAAAAAACTCCCTGGTCAGAAGGCTGAGGCCAGGAGGATTGCTTGAACCCAAGAGGCGGAGGTTGCAGTGAGCTGAGATTGAGCCACTGCACTCCAGCCTGGGTGACAGAGTAAGACTCCATCTCAAAAGAAAAAATAATAAAATAAAATAAAATTTACTGGGTCAATTAAGATTTTCAATGAGCAGCATTTCTTTTATTCTGTTTAATTTTTAGAATTGTGTCTCTGAGAGACTATGATGATTATTTGGAGCTGCTATAAGAAGTTTAACTATCTCCTTGATTTGTTAACATTTTCTTTTCAGTAGATGTGCTCACAGAGATTATTTAGCTTTGGTTCTGTATTTTGGAACATTTTTTCTATGCGAAGCTTTTCCTGCTAAATATGCTTAAACCTTTATTTCACAATTTACGGAAGGTCTGACACCTTCCCCAGTGTTATTGCCAAGTGCCTGGGTGTGTGTTCTGACTCTGCCATTTGCCACTCTGACACCACTTCACTTTTCTGAGCCTCTATTTAACAACAGGACTTGAGTAGTTTGAAATAGTCCATACCATCATTATTTACTTTGGTTTGGTGGAAACTGGAAGCAGTGATGGTGCCTTAACTGGGGCATTTTTTTAAAAGACACTAACAGGTAACCATTTCCATTTCTATAAGCTCTTGGAGCTCCCTGCTGCATCCCACATGGCACCAGGCTACTGACAACCTTGCTCTCTCCTCTCTCCATATTTCTCCCATTTTCCTTCTCATCCTTACCCCTTCCCTTCTTGATGGTCTGAAGAACTCCAAACTCTTCTATTATGAAGAACAATTCCATTTCTTGAACCCTTTCACAAACTCAATTTTGGGTTTACCTTAGCAAAACCAAACCCATTGTGCTACTTAACAGAAGAAAAAAATTCAAATGTAGGATCAGGCATTCATAAAACATAGTTGTGGGAGGAAAATAGCAACTTTTATTCTGCATGGGTGAAAGTTGTTAAGTAAACATTGTCAGTGTTATGCGATCTTCAGCTCTGAGTGCGACAAGGGTCTCTGAAGTTTTCTAATATTTGAATAACAGCAGCAGCATTATAATGTGACAGTGAATGATGGCCTCCCAACTTTTATTCCTCCTGGGCAATTAATTTTTAAAGAATCTGATTCCTTGTACTAAATCTCTTTCTGCTTGAAATACCCAAGGTGCTTTCTGTTTTCCTGCACTGAGCACTTATGATACAAATGAGGGAGTGAAGGCTCAGGTAGCTTAAGTCACTTGCTCAAAGGTCACATAACTTAGAAATGGTAGGTCTATTTGACATCAAAGCCCACACTGCTCTTCAACTCTGTATGTTTCTTAATTATGTTTTTCAGACATGGCTATACTTTTCAAGTAAAATTTACTTATAGTTACCAAGTACAAGTAAAATTATTTCAAGGAAGCAAGGGATAGACATGAAATTTATTTAAAAATAAAACATAATTCCCATGAAGGAATTCTTATCTATGAACGCCTTTGAATTACAAGTGAAAGAAATTCCGTTTAAACTAACGTCTACATGAACAGAAACTTATTGCCACCCGCACAAAGATATATTGTTGCATGACTGTAAAGGGTATATGTAGCTAGATTATGAATGATTGATGCAGAGCATTCTGAGATTATCACTTTATACCTTCCCTCCAATTTTTTTCTGATGTCAGCTCTATTCTCTCAGACCAATTTCTTCAAGTTGTGGACAACATGCTACAAGTGGCTAAAAACCTATATGCTTACAATTCTATAACTAGAAAGGAAGGCTATTTTTCCTAATAGCTCCAAATAGAGAAAATCTGGAGAAGCACCCTACTTGCCCCATCTTGTGTCCCATGTTCATCCCTTGACCAACTTCTGTGGCCGAGGTGATAAAGTTATCTAAGAATATAGCAGTTCCTATTCAGATCACGTGGCCACAGAAGATAGAATTCCCCCAAACAAGTGGAGTAACACAGACAATGACAATGGAGAATCATCTTAGCCTGAGTCCTCCAAACGCCAGAGTCTTGCATTCAGGTAGTTTATTTAAGAAGTATTCTAAGGAGGAGGAGTGAGAGTCTGGAGGAGTAAAATAGGGAAGGAAAAACAAAAAACAATTTAATGATGCATTATTGATTTGGCAGCCACTATGGACAACTGTTGCTCAATCCCACCAAGACCTTCTGAGGATCTAACTTATGAGATGCATCTTAAAATTGCCCATCTGAGTGAAGAGAGAGAAAAGCATTTCTCCACTGGCTTCCAACCATATTGGGCAAGCTTTGCCCCATGACTGTAACTATCTTACATTTCCATTTGGCTCATGGGTGGCAAGTGGCTTCCTATTGGTATCGCACACTTCATCATTAAAGTATCTCCAGGGCAGGAAGCAACAATTATAGAATGTAGTAGGCCCAGATAAAATATTATCAGATTATTTTTGTGCAAAACTATTCAAAGCCTGTCCAAAACTGGTTACTACAGTGATGCCTAAGAGGGCTGGAGAGGATATAAATTCATGCATTGTTGGGAACAGGCCCCCACATCTGGCCATAAACTGGCCCCAAAACTGGCCATAAACAAAATCTCTGCAGTGCTGTGACATGTTCATGAGGCCATGACATCCATGCTGAAGGTTGTGGGTTTACTGGAATGAGGGCAAGGAACACCTGGCCCACCCAGGGCAGAAAACTGCTTGAAGGCGTTCCTGAACCACAAACAATAGCATGAGCGATCTGTGCCTTGAGGACATGTTCCTGCTGCAGATAACTAGCCAGACCCCTCCCTTTGTTTCGGCCCATCCCTTTGTTTCCCATAAGGAATACTTCTAGTTAATCCATAATCTATAGAAACAATGTTTATCACTGGCTTGCTGTCAGTAACTATGTGGGTAAATCTCTGTTCCGGCCTCTCAGCTCTGAAGGCTGTGAGTTCCCTGATTTCCCACTCCACATGCTATATTTCTGTGTGTGTGTCTTTAATTCTTCTAGTGCCCCTGGGTTAGGGTGTCCCCGACTGAGCTGGTCTTGGCAATGCATAAAAAGTGGTCTAATAAATTCCACTCCCTTCACTGCTATAGTCCTTATGGCTGCAGCGCATATGTCTTTCTAAAGCCTCTAGAATATTTGCTACTTCCTGTGCATCGGGTCCAATTAGCATGATATTATTAATATGATAGATCACAGTTATAGTCTGTAGAATGTCAAGATAGCCAAGATCTCTGCAGACTATATTGTGACAGAGAGCAAGAGTGTTAATAAAAACCTGGGGTAAAATGGCAAATATGTACTGCCTTTCTTTCTATGTATAAATGAACTCCTTTGGTCCTTACTGATGGAAATTAAGAAAGAGCAAACTCACCAGATCAATAGCAGCATTCCAAGTGCCAAAGGCAGTCTTGTTCTCTTCTAGAAGACACCATATCTGATGTGGCAGACCTGATTTAAGCCATCACTTGGTTAAATTCACCCTCATTACCATGGTCCATAGAGTTCCTGTAGGGGTCACGTGGGTAATTAGTTGAGAATATAATGGATATCAATGCTCCTGCACTTATTAATTTTTTTTATTTTTATTTATTTATTTATTTTTGTGAGACAGACTCTCGTTCTGTCACCCAGGCTGGAGTATAGTGGTGTGACCTGGGCTCACTGCAACCTCTGCCCCCTGGGTTCAAGCAATTCTCCTGCCTCAGCCTCTTGAGTAGCTGGGATTATAGGTGCACGCTGCCAAGCCCAGCTAATTTTTGTATTTTTAGTAGAGATGGGGTTTCACCACGTTGGGTAGGCTGGTCTCGAACTCCTGGCCTAGGGTGATCCACCCACCCCGGCATCCCAAAGTGCTGGGATTACAGGTGTGTGCCATGGCACCCAGCCCACTCCTGCACTTTTAAAGTGTTTAATGGTGCTGCTAATCTCTGCAATTCCTCCCATATGTGTTATTACTTAGACATATTAACTTGGCTGAGGGGAAGGACAGTTGCAAGTGTCTTACCATGATGGCTCTTACTCTGTAGGCTGGAGAAAAATATGAAGGTTCTGCCAGTTAGTAACTATCCATATCCCGACAGCACATTCAGAAACCAGAGAAATAGCCAAAGGTTAGATCTAACAGATCCCCTAAACCGATTATGAGACATACTTGAGCTAAAATTGCATCTATCACTTGGCTTCTCTATGCCCCCATTCTAACTGGAGCATAATAAAGGTATTTCAGGTCCCTTGATTCAGAATCAATACAGAGCCACGTTCCTCATATACAACATTTCTTGAAAAGTCTGAGGATTTTCTTTTTGCAGGTTCACAGTTACGCTGATAAATAGTCTTAGATCCTTTTGGGGAATATTTATCATATATCCTTGCAGTAGTATTGCAAAATCCTTCCTCAGGTTACCCATCTCTTGTTCAATGAGTGGGCTCCAGGTCTGTGAAATGACTTATCTGGAAAGTGGGTGAGGAAAATCTGTTTTTCTGAAGTGAAAACTGGTAAATGTTTCTGTTCACCAGCTCTTGATGTATTCTTTTTATTATATTAGGTTGGTGCAAAAGTGATTGCTGGTTTTGGCCATTATTTTTAATGTAATCACTTTTGCACCAACCTAGTAAGAGTAAGTAACATTTTGGTTGACTCTCTGTCGCCCTCGTCAGAATGCCCTGACTTGTCAGCCATTGCTGCAGATTCTTCAGGGTCAAGGCATATTGAATCCTACTCTAGCCTTGCAGTAGCTGTCATAGCAGCTATGTCCACATCACTCTAACAGGCCTGCCATTTGACCTCTTCCATTCCAGGTCCTGTCATCCCCTTGATACTAGGAATCTCAATTCCATGGCAATATCTTCTGTCAAGCCCAGCCTATGTAAGACAGTTATCACAAAGTGCTCAAATAATGAGTGCTCCTTAGCACTGCACTCCTCATTGCTTTCATGAAAGAGGTGTCCTCTGGATCCTCCTAGGAAACATTGTCAAGTGCCAGCTTCTCTGATCACACATAATACATTCATTCTAATATTTTTACCTCCTTGAATCTTTGGACCCTTTCCTCAAAAAAAAGTTACAAAGTTACATCCTGTGCAAACATCTGATTGGTTGCAGAAAGAGACCAATCAGAGGTTGAAGTGAAGTTACAAAGTTATACTGCTATGCAAATGAAGACTTGGCTCACAACCAGCCTGATTTGTTGTGGGAGGAGACCAATCAGAGGTTCTTTCAATTTTTCATCTGCCACACAGAAAACGGTGGGGGAGGGAGTGGTTGCAAAGGGAGTGGCCTTTGGTCCTTTCGTTACTTGAGCATGGAAAGTTGGGGTTTTTTCTTTAGATTTAGTTCTAGGAAGTCAGTGTGACTTGGCCTTAGGTTCTTTGCCTTCAGACCCTATTCTCCTGCCTCTGTGGTAATTAATGCTATTTAAAAACATTTCTGTTTCTCCTCTGAAGCATATGATAGAATTCTTCTTCTCTTTCTTAAACTCAACCATGGCTTTAGCCAATAGGATGCATGTGGAAATGACATGTGTTCGTTCCCAGTGGAAGCCTTTAAAAGCCAATGCACAGTCTGCCATGGATTTCCCTCCTGCAACAGTGACCTGAAAAGCTGCAGATGAAGCTCCATCAGCCTGAGTCCTTGTGTGAGGATCATGCAGAATGGTGCCTACAGTAGGTCAACAAAAAACACATGACATGAGCAAGAAATTATGTGTGTTGTGTTAGGTCAGTGAGATTTTGAAGTTGTTTATTACTGCAGCACAGCCCTAGTCTATCCTGTTAGACATTTTGCTTTACTTTTTGAAGCATTCTATCCATCTTACCTTAAAATGATTGCTTGTTATACGGGTGATCTGATGTTGACATCTGCCATCCCATTGATCACCAGAGGGCATGTGATTGTACCTTCCCTCTCTTCCTTTTCCGTAAATACATCTTTCCCAATGATGCGGGTTCAATGGAAGAGGGTAGTTCTCTCAGAAGAGGACCATTTTTTTTAATCAAAGTGAAGAAAACAACTGTGCCTTCTGCTAAAATCTGAAAACAAAGCAAATATGGGTCTTTATAGAGAGATTTGTGACCTTTTTTTAAAGAAAAGAGTCTGTCTAGAAAAGTCTTATTGTAGGCTGGGCGTGGTGGCTCATGCCTGTAATCCCTGCACTTTGGGAGGCTGAGGCAGGCAGATCACGAGGTCAAGAGATGGAGACTATCCTGGCCAACATGGTAAAACCCCGTCTCTGCTAAAAATACAAAAATTAGCTGGTTGTGGTGGCGCGCACCTGTAATCCCAGCTACTCGGGAGGCTGAGGCAGGAGAATCACTTGAACCCAGGAGGCAGAGATTGCAGTGAGCCGAGATCACACCACTCCAGCCTGGTGACAGATCGAGACTCCATCTCAAAAAAATAAATAAATAAATAAAAAGAAGAAGAAAGAAAGAAAGAAAAGTCTTATTGTAGATGGTTGTAATGAGTCCTTGACTAAAGAACTCAAAGAATAGAATGCTTAGCACAATCTCTGGCACATAATGGATATTCATAACATACTTATTCAGAAAGAGAAAGAGTAAAGTGGAAGAGAAAGAGGAGGAGAAAGGGGGAAGAGAGAGGGAGAAGGAGGAAGATCCGAAAGAGATTGAAAGAAGACTGTGGGTTGGGCATGGTAGCTCACCCTTGTAATCCCAGCACTTTGGGAGGCTGAGGTAGGTGAATCACCTGAAGTCAGGAGTTCAAGACCAGCCTGGTCAAGGTGGTAAAACCCCGTCTCGACTAAAAATACAAAAATTAGCCAGGCTTGGTGGTGCATGCCTGTAATCTCAGCTACCTGGGAGGCTGAGGCAGGAGAATCGCTTGAACCTGGGAGGAGGAGGTTGCAGTGAGCTGAGATCATGCCACTGCACTCCACCCTGGGCAACAGAGTGAGACTCTGTCTCAAAAAAAGAAAGAAAAGAAAAGAAAGAAAGAAGATTGCGACTGAAGACACACACACACACAAAGTCAAATTCAGTTGAATATATATATTCAGTAAGAATAATTTAAGTTTCAGAAAGAAGGGTATATCCAGGTTGGCATTATTTTAATCAACCAAGAGACCTATTATAGCATCTATATCTGACAGAGATCTTTCCAATACGATTGATCCATAAAGTCATAAGGCCCATGTGGCAGGGAAATTTGCCCTGCAGCCTGAACCTGATGTAGAGCCTTTTCTTGCTCTGGACACCACTCAAAACTGAATGCCTTGTGTCTCACTTGCTTACAGGATCAGAGAAGGATGCTCAAAGATGGTATAGGTTGCCTCTGAAATCCAAAGAGTTCTTTTCTTTGTGATAGAAGATGCCAGGTATTTTTAACTTTTGGAGCAGTTATTTTAATATGCCTCAACCATTGGACCCACAGAAACTTCACTGGTGTTTCAGACCTTTAAACTTTGTCAGAATTTTTCTTCTATTCTTTAGCATACATGTGATTTACAAAGGCAACTTAGAGTGCTTGCTTCTTACTGCTCACCAGGCACAATTAGCATAATGTAACCAATGTAATGGACCAGTATGATAATCTGTGAGACAGTAATATTATCATCCTCTGGATTCTATTATGACAGAATAGGAGAGTTGACATAGCCCTGTAATAAAACAATGGTGGTGTGCCATGCTCCTTGCCATGTAAAGGTAAACTGTTTCTGATTACCTTTGCTGATAGAAATGGAGAAAAAGCATTTTCCATGTCAGTATCTGCATACCAGGTGCCAGACTGCAAATGACATCATCACCTATTTAAACTTGCAAAAATCCACATTCATATTCCAAGGCCAGTTTGGCTTTTGCCACCAGCCCAATGGACAAGTTAAATGGGAAAATGTAGCCATTGGCAGATTTTTATTAAGGGGGAGTCTGCTTGCCTCAGAGAGCGGAGAGGAAAATGCTTGTGCTGACAAGGAATGTTCAGGGGACATGAGGATTCAAAGTTCTCAGCCCACCTCTTTTGCTGGAATGTCTCCACCACGTGTCTTAGGTTCCTACTCCTTTCCTATCGATGTTGTAACTTAGTACAAGAGACCTAAAGTGTTGTGCATTTAATTGACACTGCAGCCCAGCCAAAAGAGTTCAGTTGGGAGAGTGTTAGACTGAACATCAAAAGGACCCTTCAACTCTGCAGCATTTCCAATCAGGCTCTGTGTTTAATTTTCAATCGTGTCTATCTTGTTTCTATAGGACCTAAGAGACTCTTTTAAAAATGCAGTAGATACTTTCTGATTTCCCACCAATGCCCTGTGTCTGGCATTCAGTGCCTTACATTTGTCCTTTTCTCTAGATATGCTCTCCAGAGTTATGAGACATCCCAGGCCATGCAATCTTTGTGCTTACTGTTACCTTAGCCACTAAATGCCTTGGGTATCCTCCTGAACCTTGCTTTTCTTCTGCATTCCATTCCATAGTCTGAATAATGCTTCTCTCAATACTCCCCCTAGCAAGAGGGTTATCCATATGTTCTGTTTCCTAGAGCCATCCTACTCCCTTTTTAATTGCTTTATCAGTCAGGAGCCTGGCAGGAAAGAGAACCATGAAAGGGGGCAATTAATGAAGGTGCTGTTCACAGACATGTGACAAGATATAGGAAAACCAGAAGAGATGGTGGAGTTCCACAGGGAACTCCTCAACAGCAGGAGGCCATTACCATTTCTAAACTGGAAAGGTCAGGAGAGAGAGAGATTACTGAAACCGGTGAGAGCTGTAGTAGTAGAAGAGGACTTCCCAGCAGGAACCGTGGCCTTTGGCATAGGAATGCATAAATTATCACCAATCAAGGAGACAATCAGGGGAATAAGTCCGTCAGCCTTTTTCTGTCCTCCAATTTTCCAGTCTCTTACCAGTGCTTCCCATTGGCCAAATCCAACTGCAGACTTGGTTAATGCTATTGATAAAGGTCATGATCCTGTGGCACAGTGCAGAGTGCCAAAGAGATGGCAAATGGATCTGAAAGAGCAAGTAAAAATAGTTGGTGCAAAAGTAATTGCTGTTTTTGCCATTAAAATTAATTCTGCAGGTGTGTGTGGTTACCTGTAGTAGTTCCATTTCCATTTCCTCTATGAGACTACAGTGTGAGTGAGTGTGTGTGTGTGTGCACGCGTGTGAGAGAGAGAGAGAGACAAAGAGACACACAGAGAGACAGACAGAAAGAGAGAGACACACACACACATACACACACACAGAGACAGACAGACAGAAACACTTTCATGTTTTTGTCTCCATGGCTACTTCCTTGTTTCCTCCAATCTTTAAACCTGGAAACCAGTCCTAGCAGCACTGAAAATGGATCTCAGGTTTCTGAAGCAAATGCTAAACTCTCTCACATTATTTCTGCCTATCCTTTCCTTCTTGGTTATTGTGTGTGCTCAGCTTTAGACTCTGTGCTGTGGTTAAGAACTCAAACAATAGATTCCAATAGAACCCCAGATTCCAATCCTATTTCCTCAATTACTAGCTGTGTGAGCTTGGGCAAGTTCCTCAGTGTCTCTTAGCTTCAGTTTCCCCAGTTAGTAAAGGGGATAATAATAGTATCTATCTCATAGTGCTATTGTGAGAATAAAGTGAGATACACCACTATAAACAGAAGCTGTAATTATTATTCATTTTTCCCCTTTCACCTCTTGGACCTGACAACAAAATCTCACTTACTGAACTTTAACATTCATCATTTACTAGGACTCAGACTGCAGTTACTCTCAGGAGCTTCCAGCAAACACTTCATCCAACCTCGTTTTCTAGAATCCCCCTGCAGGGGTCACCATCAAGTCAGTGCCCGCCCAGGGATATAGGAAGCTCCTCTTCATCTTTCCTCTCGTCTGCCTCTCATTCCACAAACTGTTCCTCATGTGAATAGAAGTGTGTGTGTGTGTGTGTGTGCGCGCGCGCACGTGCGTGTGTGTTTATAGAACAATTTTATGTAAATTCTTCTTAATTTTATAGTTACATAAATATAACATTAAGTATTTCTATCTCTGAAAAATACCTGAAATTGTATTGAGTTGCTTTGTACTAATATTAAGGCTTTCCTGTGGGCCCATGGGCCTGGATGGGAATGAAATGGTTCCCTGGCCTGGAACCGCATGATCTCCGGAGGGTTATTTAAAGATATGAAAAGCAAGCTAAATGGCAAAGTAATTAGTTCTAGTCTCATGTGATTTGCAGGCTATTTTCCCAGGCTTTGCTGATAGGCCTGTGATGTTGTATTTCAAGAAAAAAAGTGTATATTCACCTATATTTCTTTATATTTAAATTTTTTTAGGATTTGTCTATTTATGCTAGTTTCTTACTTGATTTCAGGATGCAAAAATAAAGCTCTTGATTAGACACTTTTTTTTATTGTGGCACTGAAGACATTTTATCATAACCTTTTTATAAACTTGTTATTTTGAAACAATTTTAACTATTAATATATAGACAAGTTGCAGATAGTACAGAGAATCCTTGTATACCTTTCATCCAGCTTCCCCTAATGTTACCATTGTATCTAAGTATGGCACATTTATCAAACCCAAGAAATCAACACTGGTACAGCACTGCTAACTAACCACAGACTTCATTTCAATTTCCCCAGCGTTTCCACTTATGCTCTTTTTCTGCTCCAGGATCAAGTGGGATCCCACATTGCACTCAGCCGCTGTGACTCCTCAGCCTCCTCCAATCTGTGATGGTTTCTCAGTCTTTCCTTGTTGCTCATGAACTTGACACTTTTGAAGAGTACTGGTCAAGTATTTTGTAGAATATCCCTCGATTTGAGTCTATGTGATGTTTCTTCATAATTAGTTGGGGGTTATGGACTTTTTGGGAGAATGCCATGGAGATGAAGTGCTCTTCTCATTGCATCATGTCAAGGACACATGATATCAACATGTGCTCATCAATTTCTTCCTGGTGTTTTTAACCTGGATCACTTGGCTAAGGTGGTATGTGCCAGGTTTCTCTACTATAAAATTACTATTTTTTTTCCTTTCCATATTCTATTAATTAGAAACAAGTTACTAACTTCAATTAACACTCAAGGGCTAGGTAAATAAATTACACTGCTTGGAGGGAGGAATATCAAAGAATTTTTGGACAGACATTAAAATCACCACAGCATTTAATATATGTTTCAGGGAAAATATTTTGAGGCTATGCTACCATTCTGTTTCTCTTTAAAATTTCACCCAGTAATTTTAGCATTCATCCCTGAGTCTTAACCACAATAATTATTACTGAGATGTTCAAATTTTTTTATTATTATTGCACTCATTCCATCTACATTTATTCTTTGGAATGCTGGAATTTTTCTGTGAGAGTTTTTTCTTCACCCCATTTATTTATTCAATCATAATTTTTATCAGTATAGACTAATGAATTTTTATTTTATTCTTTGGGTTATAATCCAATACTATCATTATTAATTTTGTTTCAGAATTGTTCCAGGTATGGCAAATGAAAGCTCTTTTTATTTCTATATCATCTATCAATCAATCAACATGAGTTCCTACTGCTATCTTTGACCCTATTCTAGCGCCAGAGGGTTGATTCTAGCCATCCTTCTCCTGCTGACTTGTAACTTCATTTTCTGACAGTGGGAAACATGACTTGCATTATCTACAATTTATTTACTTCTGTGTTCAACCCTAATATACCTATAAAATAATATCAGAATCACTAACCTGTCAGAATTGCTAACGTGTATTCTTGTCTGAAACATAAGTAGAATACACTGATTTTATTCAGTTCTTTTTGACTGTAACCTAACAGTTTTCAGTAAAAACACTGTTTTCCAAAATTACTTAGGTCAGCTCCACCCCCACCCCCTGCGGTTTGGTATACAGTTACATTTATTTGTCATAGTCTGCATTCCATCTTGGGATTCCTGGTAGCCTGATATATTTTTTAAAACTTAGATATAGGCTGGGCACAGTGGCTCACGCCTGTAATCCCATCACTTTGGGAGGCCAAGGCGGGCAAATCATGAGGTCGGGAGTTAGAGACCAGCCTGACCAATATGGTAAAACCCTGTCTCTACTAAAAATGCAAAAAAATTAGCTGGACATAGTGGCGGGCACCTGTTATTCCAGCTACTCTGGAGGCTGAGGCAGGAGAATCACTTGAACCCAGGAGGCAGAGGATGCAGTGAGCCGAGATCATGCCATTGCACTCCAGCCCGGCGACAGACTGACAGAGTGAGACTCCGTCTCAAAAAAACAAACAAACAAAAAAAACCTGGATATAGTAAATTTCACTCTTTAGTAGTATGTAGTTGTACTCTCAAAAAAAAAACAAAACTTGGATATAGTACATTTCACTCTTCGGTAGTATGTAGTTGTACTCATATGTAGTAGCATGCAGTTCAGTGGGTTTTACAAAATGCACAAAGTCATGTACTCACCACCATGGTATCATGCAGAACAGGTCCATCACCCTAAAACTCCCTTCTACAGCCCCTTGGAGTGAATTCCTTCACCCTGCCCAACACCTTACAATAACATTTTCAAGACAGAAAGGAGATTAGCAGTCAACTTGTTCAAAAGTGTTATATTTTATAACTTTTTAGAATTTTTTAAATGTATAAAAGTAATGCACACACATTTTTGTTTAACAGTAGATAACTGTGTAATCTGAAAAACGACTCTCCCTCAGTGGTGTTCACATGTGTGAGTATGTAAGGGCTTTGTCTACTATCTCCATTGGTAAGTCCTTGCCCGGCCCAGTCTTCAACCTCTAAATCTGGAAATCTCTCAGTAGCCAATGATTCCAATACCCGTTCCCAGAGGTAACCAGTATTGACCCTTTTATTTCACACATGAGAAAGTTGAGAGCCAAAGATTAAAATTACACAGTCATTTATGAGAAAGCTTGAGGTGGAACCCAGACTCATGACTCCAAGTCCATTGTTCTTTCTACTTCCTGGTGTTTTTGTTCAAGAGCATGTGCTCAGATCAATCTGCAACCCAAATATGGCTGGGTGTGGCATGGATAACTTGTAACAATCAAAAAAACAAAACAAAACACAAACACACATCACTTCTGACCTCAGATGCCGCAGTGCTGCAGTTAGAGGGGAAAGGCATTTGTGTATTTGGGGGAGGACTCCATCCAGATAATATTTACTTTCTACGTTATGACATGGAGAGCTGTGAAATAAAACCTTCCCATTCTGGCTGCACCAGCGATTTAGTAGGGATTTGTAGAGAAGCTTGCAAACAGAAGGTCATAGCATCTGGAGGCTGAGGTGATTGGATCACTTGAGCCCAGGAGTGGGAGGTTCCTGGGTGCCACTACACTCCAGCTTTGGCTACAGAGCAAGACCCTGTCTCAAAGATTTTCTTATGGAAGTTCTTGTTTTGCAAAGATTTGATCAGTTGTAAACAGAAGCACAACATCCTAGAACAATAAAAAAGTAATTGAAGCTGGGTGGCTCCTGCCTGTAACCCCAGCACTTTGAGAGGACAAGGCGGGCAGATCACCTGAGGGTAGGAGTTCGAGACCAGCCTGGCCAAAATAGTGGAAACCCCATCTCTACTAAAAATACAAAAATGAGTCCAGCTTGGTGGCAGCTGCAACCTCAGCTACTCAGGAGGTTGAGGCAGGAGAATTGCTTGAACACAGGAGCGGAGGTTGCAATGAGCCGAGATCGCGCCACTGCACTCCAACCTGGGCAACAGAGTGAGACTCTGTCTCGAAAAAAAAAAAAAGAAAGAAAAAGGAAAGTCATTGATAAAATATGTGTCTTTGAAATTAAACTTTGAGGAACTGAAGAAAATGAGAACCTCTGGAATTTGTGTATTAGCTGTGATGACAGGAAGCACCCTCCCCTCTAGACCAGTGTGGCACTCTGAGGCAAAAGAGAGCAGGAGAACAGCAGTGCCAGCCTGACATAAGAGGTGGAGCTGCCACAGGATCAGGGGATGACACCACCCTTGTGCCTTCCAGCTGAAGGATTCACCAGCACCTAGAGAAAGAGGAGCTGCAGCTCACTGTCAAACTATAGTATGATAATAGCCGAGAATCCTTGAAATACAGCACTGATATTTAAACTTACATTATTACCACTGTGCAGTTTCACGTTTCTGAGCTGCTATGGTTTGAATGTCCCTTCCAAAACTCATGTTGAAACTTAATTCCTAGTGTGGTAGTATTGAGAAGTAGAGCCTTTAAAGGTGATTGGATTGATCATGAGGGCACTGCTCTCTTGAATGACCAATCTGTTAATGGATTCATGGATTAATGTGTTAATCAGGGGAGGGGAACTGGTGGCTAGCACGTGAGTATGCTCAGTCACCTTGCTATGTGATACCTTGTGCTATCTTGGGACTCTTCAGATTCCCCACTAGCAAGAAAGCTCTCACCAGATGTCTTCCTTTAACCTTAGAATTCCCAGCCTCCAGAATGTAAGAAATAAATTATGTTTCTTATAATTACCCAATTTCAGGTATTCTGTTATAAGCAGCCAAAAACGGATTAAGAACATGAACTAATCATTTTATTGCTTGAGTAAAATGAATTCTTTCATATACTGTTTAAGAGAGATATCCAAGCCTGGTCGAACCTGCTAGCATGTATAGTCGTAGGCCTGGTGCCCAGCGTGGGCAGACCAGGGAAACATTTCCAATACGGAATGGTGCCCAAACATGCCCCAATTCTACAGGAATGTGCCACTGTTTATATGTATGAAACAAAATCTCCAACCAGCAAAATCTAGAAATCTTTCCAAGTATAACAACAACATAGGCATCTTTCTGAATCACATACTGGTTAGTTGTGTTTTGAAATTAACTGTAAATCCCACAGGGCATTCTTAACTATTCTGAAGGTTGCTTGAGAGACATTTGAGATAAATTATTTTCCTTCCATTTTTCAGATACCTTAGGTCTTCTTAAGATAAGTTATTTTTTCTTTCATATTTTTAGATATTTCAGGTCCTTCTCAGGACATAAGGTTACAAGTAAATGGTCTTAATACTGGAACAAATTCCAGGGATGTTTAAGTAGATGCAACTCTATCAATCTGAATTTATCTTTAAGATCTTTCTTTTTAAAAAATGATTAGTTAGCTTGTTTGCTCATTCATTCATTGATTCATTTCTTTGGGATTATGATTTACATGCTATAAAAGGCACAGGTCTTAAGTATTCAGTTTGATGAGTTTTGACATTTGTAAATACCCATAAAACCACCACCCCAAAGAAAATATAGAACATTTTTGTCACCCAAGGAAGTTCCTTCATGCCATCTTCCAGTGGATTTTACCCCGCTCCCACATGCACCCACTTTCTTTTATCATACATTGGTTCTGCCTGTTCTCGCATTTGTATTCATTGAATCAAGTAGTGTGTGTCTGCTTATCTGTCTCCTTTCACTCAGTTTTTGTGAGATTCATTCATGTTGCTGTACTTTTCAGCAGTTCTTCCTTTTTATTGAAGAGTAATGTTTCATTGTCTGGATATACCACAACCTGTTTACCCATTCTTTTGCTGATGGACACTGAGTGTGTTTCCAGTTTTAGGAGGTTATGAATAAGGCTGTTATGAGTGTTCTTTAATATGTCTTTAAATTTTCTATTTTCTAAACAAATCTTTTTGTTTTGAAATAATTTCTAATTTATCAAAAGTTACAAAGCTTAAAATGGCACAAACACTCATGTGCCCTTTATTCAGATTTGCCAATTATAAATATTTAACCTTTGCTTTATCATTTATGTGTGTGCTCTTTATGTATGTGTGTGTTTTTCCTCAGGGCCATTTGAAGGCTCTTTACTCCTAAGAAGTTGAGTGTATATATCCTTAGAATATGAATGTTCTGTAATATAATCACAGTATAGTTAGCAATTTCAGCAAATGTAACATTGATATAATACTCTAACCTACCAATAGTATTCCAGTTTTGTTGGTTATTGACCCAATAATGTCCTCAACAACGTCCTCTACCCCCTTCACGCTCTAATCTAAAACCCCGTTTAGGGTCAGCTATTACTTTTGATTGTCACTTCTTTAGCCTCCTTTAATCTGGAACATTTCCATATTCTTTCTTTGCCTTTTATGACATTGATTGTTATTATGAATATAATACTTCCTCTCTTTTTTTTTCTTTTATTACTATACTTTAAGTTTTAGGGTACATGTGCACATTGTGCAGGTTAGTTACATATGTATACGTGTGCCATGCTGGTGCGCTGCACCCATTAACTCATCATCTAGCATTAGGTATATCTCCCAATGCTATCCCTCCCCCCTCCCCCCACCCCACAACAGTCCCCAGAGTGTGATGTTCCCCTTCCTGTGTCCATGTGATCTCATTGTTCAATTCCCACCTATGAGTGAGAATATGCGGTGTTTGGTTTTTTGTTCTTGCGATAGTTTACTGAGAATGATGATTTCCAATTTCATCCATGTCCCTACAAAGGACATGAACTCATCATTTTTTATGGCTGAAAATGTGGCACTTCCTCCCTTTTTAAACAAAATGATCCTCGTCTTAGGTTGTTCTGATGTTTCCTCATGATGAGATTCATATTATGCATTCTAGGCTGGAATCTTGCATAGGAGATGTTGAGAGGCGTGAGATATCCATCTTTCCTACATTGGTGATGTTAATTTGGACTGACCAGTCAAGATTTTGTCCAGTTTATTCATTGTAAAATGACTATGTTTTCTCCATTGTAACTAATAAGCAGTTATCTGTCAGCAGATCATTTAAGATTATGAAAATATCCTGTTCCTCATCAAAATTCACTCCTAGCTTTGGCACCCATTGATGAGTCTTGCCTGATTCAATTTCCACTATGATTGTCACAAAATAATAATTTTCCAGCTTGCACTCCTCCCTTACCAGTTGGCCTTCGCATTTACCTGTAATCAAGAGACCTCTTTTCTCCACTATTATTTATTTGTCTGTTTATTGTAGATATGAACTCATTAATTTCTATTTCTTCAATGGCTTATAATTTATTACTGGACTTATTTTGGTGTACAAATTATCTCAGGTTTGGTCTGGAGGAGCCTTTTCAAGATGACTCCTGTGTTCCTGTGACATGCCCTCATGATTTTTTAATCAACTTTTTAATTTTCTGATATGACTAAATATTCATCTTATACCTACCCTGCTCCATCCCTGGAATTAGCCATTTCTTTGAGGAGCCCTTGTTCCTTTTAGTGGTAAATGGTGTTAAAAGACCAAGATCTAGGTATGAGGTATGATCATTGCTACCAGACTTTGTTTCTTGGTCTTTTCAGTGGACAGAACAAAGAAATATGTAAATGTATACACACTAGTATACAAATGTATACCTGTAAGTACATATACATGCATACTTATCACATATACACACATACACATACCACATACATATTTTACAAATTATACAATCACATCTGAGGTTTCCAGTTGCAATCCATCCCCCTCAGAATTCTTTTTGGTTTTCTCCTACTCCATAATTTTTTTGTCCCTTCTTCGTCAGTGATAACTCTAGATCCCAACAACATCAATACCTTTGCTCATTTGATCAATCCAAAATAAAATTCTTAAACAGTTTAAGAATTACTTTGCCCATAATACTAGAATAAACAAGTCTACTATAATGAGTTCAGGGTTCATGTGTAATTCTTCCTTATCCACAACCCTGCACAAGACTGAGGATGTATAGTCAAATATTATGTTCATAAGCTACATGGATTCCTTCCTTCTTTCCTCTCTTCCATCTTTGGCTCTCTTGTTTTTTCTCTCCAGTGTGGTTATGGTATTAATATGAAATAAAATCAGTTTCATTTGTTGTGGTTTGCTTTCAGTTTTTCATTTTTTCCTTCTTATTCTTATTCATTGAATTTCATTTCTGAATATGTAGAATGTAATCATGCTTCCAAGAGTCAAGCTTATGCAAAAAGATAGTCTCAGAGAAGTGTTACTCTTTTACATCCCTTCCATTCTATTTCTGCATCCCCTTGTAGGTCACAAATTTCATTGTTATCTGATTTTTCATCTAGTATTACTTTTCGCAAAGTTAAATAAATATATGTATATATCTTTATTTTCCCTTCTTTCATATGTTAAAGTTAGCATCCTTCATAAGCTCTTTTGCTTTTATAAAAAACTTAATTATACCTCCTGGAAATTATTTCATTTCAGTTCCTAGAAATCTTCCCTATTTTGAGGCGGAGGTTGCAATGAGCTGATATTGCGCCGCTGCACTGCAGCCTGGGTGACAGAGCGAGACCCATCTCGAAAAAAAAAAAAAGAAAAAAAAAAACAAACAGAAAAGAAATCTTCCCTATTATAGTTTGTGTAGCTGCATAGAACTCATTATGTGTATATACCAAAGATTAATTAGTGTCCTATACTTGAACAGTTGGTTTGTGTTCAATATTATGCTATTTCAAAATAATCTTGTGCATATTGCATTTTTGTATTTTTGGGTGTGTATCTACTTCCTAGTATATGTAAATTCCAAAAGGTAACACTCTAGGGTAAATGCCTGTATAGTTTTATATTTGAATCTGTGTAGCCAAATTCCCCTCAATTGCTTTTCATTCCTACCAGCAATGCATGAGGGTATTTATTTTCTCCATACCTTGCCACATAGTAACATTATCAAGCTTTTTTTTTTTTTTTTTGAGACGGAGTTTCACTCTTGTCGCCAAGGCTGGAGTGCAATGGCCCCATCTTGGCTCATCACAACCTCCGCCTACTGGGTTCAAGCAATTCTCCTGCCTCAGCCTCCCGAGTAGCTGGGGTTACAGGCATGCACGCCTGGCTAATTTTGTATTTTTAGTACAGACAGGGTTTCTCTATGTTGGTCAGGCTGGTCTTGAACTCCCCACCTCAGGTGATCCACCTGCCTCGGCCTCCCAAAGTACTGGGATTACAGGCATGAGACACCGCCATTATCAAGCTTTTGAATTTTTTTGCTAAAGTTGTGGGTGAGAAACTGACTTTAGTATAGTTTATCTTGCATTTCTTTATTAGGAGCGATGTTGAACATCTTCCAACGTGTTTAAAGACCAGCTTTTGTATCTCTTTTTGTAAATTGTCTGTTCTTGTCATTTGCCTATTTTTCTGTAGGATTTTTGGTCTTTTTCCTTAAGTTTTATAAGTTCTTTATCAGTTAGGGATACTGATTTTTTATTTGCAATGTAGGCTGCAAATGTTTTCTTCTAGTTTGTTGTTTGCCTTTTGACTTTGCTTATGGTTTTTGGCATGCCAAAGTTTAGAAATTTTTAAAAATTATATTTATCAATTTTTTCTTTTAGTGCATTTGAATTTTTAGTAACAGAAAACCTTTTCTGATATCTAGATTACAGAGGTATTTACCCATGTTTTCTTGTTGTACTTGTGTAATTTTATTTTCCACATTTATATCTGTGATCCATGTGGAGTTTATTCCTGTGTATGGTCTGAGGAAGGAATTTAACTTTTTTTCAAATGGTTATCCAGCGATCTCAACACCATTTATTAAAAAAAAAAACAACTATATTTGCCTGAGTGAGAAGGGATATTACCTTTATCATACACTAAATTTTTATATGCACTTGTCTCCATTTCTGGACTTTCCATTCTGTCGATCTGTCTATTCATGTACTAGTACCACACTGTTTTAATGATAGAGTCTTTATAGTATTTTGTTTTGTTTTTTTTTTTTTTTTTACAGTCCAGTGGGTTGTTGTTGTTGTTTTACACTTACTATGCCATGAATTCATAGGGAATAGGTTACAGCAGCTCAGGTTCCTTTCCAGTTTTTCTCACAAAGTGTGCTTCTCTGGGTGGAACAGGCTGGCGCTTCAGTTGAATCCAGGTACCTTTCTCTTTGGCTCCCTTCTTTTTCTGATCATTTTCCTTCTTGCGTTTCAGGAAGCTATCTCAGCTCTTAGAGTATGTAATGATGTAATGTGCTCAGTACACACACTGATTCTCTTGATAAGAATCTTGTCCTTAAAGTATTGGTTTATAGCAATGTCAACAACATCCTGAGAACATCGTAGACTTCCAGTTATGGCATGGTAACACTTGTGCCGTGTTCCTTTTTCAACAAGTGCCCATCTCCTTGATGTTTATGACTTAACTTTTCTGATAGATTTGCATGTATGTGGCCAAAGGAGCAATGCCATGTTTCCTAAAAAGCCTGGAGAACATGTATTGGGTGGCTCTCCTCTTTCTCTTTGTGTTCATCATCTTGGCGAATGACTGAAAGATGGTGGTTACAGCCAAAAGGCTATAGTATGTTTCACTATCTAGTGGGGCTATAACCTGCCTTTTCAGTTGCTCTTTGATGTTTATTTTCCCCTATAAACTTTAGGATGAACTTGTCTACCTTCATAAAAACAACAACAACAACAACAACAACAAAAAACCTCATAGGATTTTTTTCTTAAAATTGCATTAAGCTTATAAATTAGCTTAGGGAGAACTGACATACTGATGATATTGAAACATCCTTTTGTTTTTGTTTTTGTTTTTGAGACGGAGTTTTGCTCTCACTGCCCAGGCTAGAGTGCAATGGCCCGATCTCAGCTCACCGCAACCTCCACCTCCTGGGTTCAAGGGATTCTCCTGCCTCAGCCTCCCGAGTAGCTGGAATTACAAGCATGCACCACCATGCCCGGCTAATTTTGTATTTTTAGTAGAGATGGGGTTTCTCCATATTGGTCAGGCTGGTCTCAAACTCCTGATCTCAGGTGATCCGCCCGCCTCGACCTCCCAAAGCGCTGGGATTACCAAGCACAAGGGGTGTCTTTCTATTTGCTCAAGTCTTCTTTTCTGTGTTTCAGGAATGTTTTGTAATTTTCTTCATATAGGTTTTGCACATTTCTTGTAAGTTTATTCCTAAATATTTTATCTTT
Source organism: Homo sapiens (assembly GCF_000001405.40). Taxonomy (NCBI): domain Eukaryota; kingdom Metazoa; phylum Chordata; class Mammalia; order Primates; family Hominidae; genus Homo; species Homo sapiens. The sequence continues at coordinate 94,407,551 of NC_000001.11, forward strand.
TTTGTTTCTATTATAAATGGGGCTTTCTCAACCATTGTATCTTACAACTGGTTGTGATTTGTGTATGTGAATATTATCCAGCTCATCAGGAGCACCAGGCTAGACTAAAAACTGAGGAATCTGGATCTCGAGTTTGTTCTTGGTAGTTATTTTATAATCAATTCATTCCTGCTGCTAAAGCGATGGTCAGCAAACTATAGCCTGTGGACCAAATCTGGCCTACCTTCTGTTTTTGTATGGCCTGCAAGCTAAGAATGGCTTTTACATTTTTAAATGGTCAATAAAGAAACAACAACAAACAAAAAATAATATTTCTTGACATTTGAAAACTACAGGGAATTCGAATTTCAGAGTCCATAAATAAAGTGTTATTGGAACACAGCAATGCCGATTCATTTATATTATTGTCTTTGGCTGTTTTCCTGATACAACGGCAGAGCCGAATAGTGGTGGCTGAGGTTCTCTGGCCCATGAAGCCTGAAATATTTATTACTTGGCCCTTTGCAGAAAAAACGTACAGAACTTTTCCTGAAGGAACTCATTCTCTAAGAGATGCAGAAGTTAAGTAAATAAACCAGTACGATACAGAGCTGTCATTTCTATTATAGAGGAGCAAAGAAGATTTTATTTTGACTTGAGGGTAGAGAAAGATAGAGAAAACATAACAGAAAGCGTTGACTGAGCCAAGTCTTGAAAGACAATATACACCGGGATCAGGGTAGCAGATTAGGTTACTAGAATCAGAATGCAAGGCTGCTGCGATGGCTCATGCCTGTCATTCCAGCACTTTGGGAGGCCAAGGTGGGGGGATCACTTGAGGTGAGGAGTTTAAGACCAGCTTGGCCAACATGGTGAAACCCCATCTCTACTAAAAAAATCCAAAAAAAAAAAAAATTAGCTGGGCGTAGTGGCGGGTGCCTGTAATCCCAGCTACTAGAGAGGCTGAGGCAGGAGAATTGCTTCAACTCAGGAGAAAGAGGTTGCAGTGAGCTGAGATTGCGCCACTGCACTCCAGCCTGGGTGACAGAGCAAGACTCCATCTCAAAAAACAAACAAACAAAAAAATCAGAATGCAAAGAATGGGCAGAGCCTGCCATATGGAGACGATAAATCATCCATATGGCTGGATGAGCAGAAGAGCTAAGCTAGGACCACACTAAGAAAAGCATACTCCCATGCTAAGAAGTTTGGATTTTATTCTTAATGTGATGGAGAGTAGCTGAAGAATTTTAGATGAGAGACTGACATGATCATAATTGTGTATTATAAAAAGAGTTTTCATTGCAATGAAACACAAGGATGGAGGAACTTAAGTCTGGAATCAGGCAGAGAACACAAGGCTTCCTCCTATGTTAAACTGCAATAAGACCCTGATAAAGTCGGCTACCACATTCATGTTGTTATACACTCCTATGCGCTTTCTTTTCCTTATACTAATTCTACCCTTATCAATCTGTTCCTTTTTATAACTTTTAAGGCCTTTTTTCCTGGGGTCCTTTTTACACTGAATCATATATCATCTGGGGGGTGGCAGGAGGGGAGGAAGTAGGGAAGGTTAATGGGTATAAAAAAATAGAAAGAATGAATAAGATCTAGTATTTGCTAGCACAACAGCGTGATTATAGTAAAAAATAATTTAATTGTACATTTGAAAATAACTAAAAGAGTACAATTGGATTGTTTGTAACACAAAGGATAAATGCTTGCAACGATGAATACCACATTTACCCTGAAGTGATTATTATGCATTACATGCTTGTATCAAAATATCTCATGTAACCCATAAACATATACACCTACTATATACCCACAAAAGTTAAAAATTAAAATAAAAATTCATCTTATTTTTTTAACTGTTTTGTATTTCGGTCTTTTCTCCCTAATAAATCACTGATAGATCATTGATACATTTTATAACATAGGCAATTGAGACAATATAGTATGAATTAATTTAGACCCACATTGTATTGTAACCCAATTTACATTTTTCTGATCCTGAAATTTATAATTACCATATACCGTTATATCGGTGAAACTTTACTTATTACAACTTTAAAAAATTATACAAACAGCAATAATAAAGACTCCATTGGCTTTTCATAGCTTTTTATTTTAGAACTTTCTGGCATCATTGTGGCGTTTCTGACACATCAGATTTTAGCAATTTTCCACTCTGGTGGGTAGCACATAGTGGTACAGAATCCAGAATCAGATAGTGGCCAGTTGTCACATGAGGACAGTGGGGAGCAGCATCTCAGCCTGGGCATGGTATTATGCAAAGTTCTATTTCTGAGAAGGAGACTTGATAAGGCTCAGCAAAGTATCCAATCATAGCTGGGTTCAAGGCAACACTTTGGTCCTAAGATGGGAACGGTGCTACTGGAATTAATAACCAGTCAAACTAAGCTTTATCAAGCCCTAGGAGCTGTGTCTGGTTGACTGGATATACAGATGGACTCCATATACAGACGGATGGCTGAGCACTGAGTTGCTGAATAGGGCAAGACTGTATAGTGGCTACAATTTGCTTTGTAACTGCATAATTTTATAAATGAATGGAACTGAGCATGCAAGTGTGGCACACAGGGGACAAGAGAACCAAAATTAATATAAATATAAAACTAATGCATGTCATCAGAAACTTGCCTCCTTGCAACTCCCTAGCCTGGAATTTTCACTCTCTTATAGATTCCCATAGTACTTTGATTGTATATCCAGCACAACTTTTATTACAGTGGTCCTTGTGGTTATTATTATTATGGTATGTAGATTATTCATTTCAAGAGGGTAGGACTGTTTTATTTACTTTTGAATTCCTTTTAGGTGGGCTCTCAATTCACAAGTAGCAGGATAATTTCTTGAAATAGCAGTTTTATATTTTCTGTCTAAAATTCTCCCCTTCTCTTTTCCCATTCAGAGAGAAAGGCCTGTGCTTCTTTTTGCCTTCACTGGGGTTGGTAGATGGCTTCCTGACTTTTGATCATCAAAGCTTAGACTGAAACTGAGGTTCAAGGAAACTAAAAAGATCCTGACAGAGGCTGGAGGAGAGAGGGGTTCTTTAGCTGAATAGTGCACAGGTCAGCTGAACGCCTAGGTCTGAAGATCTCAGCCTCACCCCAAAACTTCATACCCCTTTCATGTCATAGAAGGAACCATGAAGGCTGGGGCAATGACAGTTCAGTCACAGCTAGTGCACACAGATGATTAATAAATGGAACGGACTCCATAATGCCCTAGAGATGTATGAGACCCCAGAACTTTGACATAATTCTTAAAGTGGAAAAGCCTGAGAAGATTGGGTTTTTTGTTTCATATTTAAATTTCATTTTCAAATGTAATTGGTTCAACAAATGATGCTGGGACAGCTGGATATCCACATGCCAAAGAGTGACACTGGGCACTCACTTCACACAATATGCAAAAATTGATACAAAAGGGATCAAAGACTTAAATGAAAGAGGTAAAACTACAAAACTAAGAAGAAAACCTAGGGGATACATCTTCATGATCCTGGATTTGGCAATAGATTCCCAGGTATGACACCAAAAGCATAAGAAACAAAAGAAAAAATAGATAAATTGGACTCTATCAAAATGTAAAACCTTTTTGTATTAAAGGACACTATTAAGACAGCAAAAAGACAAACTATGGAATGGGAGAAAATACTTGCAAATTATATATCTGATAAGGGTTTAGTATCCAGAATATACAAAGAATTTTTACAACTCAACAACAAAGAGACAATCAACTCTATAAAAGGGCAAAAGAATTGAATAGACATTTCTCCAAAGATATACAAATGGCCAACAAGCACGTGAAAAGATGCTCAAAATCATTAGTCATTAGGGAAGTGAAAATCAAAACCACAATGAGACACCACTTCACTTTACACTCATTAGGATGCCTGTAATAATAGTAATAAATGAAAAATAACAACTGTTGGCAAGGATGTGGAGATATTAGAACCCTTTTTCATTGCTGGTGGAAGGTAAAATGGTTCAGCTGCTGTGGAAAAGTTTGGCAGTTCCTCAAAAAGTTAAACATAAAATTTTTAAAAGTTTAAACTAAAAAGTTAAACACAGAATTACCATATGACCTAGCAATTCTACTCCTAGTTATATACCCCTCCCAATACATGTACATTCACGTTCATTGTAGAACTATTCAAATAACCAAAAGGTAGAAACAACCCAAATGTGCATCAGCTGATGAATAGATATAAAATGTGATGTTTCCATAGAATGAAATTATTCATCCATACAAAGGAATGAAGTATAGTACTAATAAATGCTACAACATAGATTAACCTCGGAAACTTTATGCTAAGTGAAAGAAGCCAGACATAAAAGGGCACATATTGTATGATTCTATTTACATGAAATGTCCAGAATAGGTAAATTCATAGAGATGAAAGCTGATTGATGGTTGCCAGGGACTACGGGGAGAGGAAGAAGGGGAATGACTGCTTAATGGGTACAGGGTTTTCTTGTTCATGATGAAAGTGTTTTAAAACTAGGTAGAAGTGGGAGTTGCCCCACATTGTAAATGAACTGAATACTGCCAAACTGTTCATTTTAAAATAGCTCATTTTATGTCATGTGAACGTCACCTCATTAAAAAAATTTTTTTGATGTAATAGGTAATATATTCACATGGTTAAAAACTTAAAAGGTACAAATTTATTCAGTGAAGTCTTCCCACCCCTTACCCCTACTAAGTTACCCTTCTTGCAGTCAAGTAGTATTATCAATGTCATGAGTATTTTTCCAAAGATATTTTATTCATCTATAAGCAAATAAGTATATATTACTTTCCCCCACTAGCTCCGTTTACAAATGGTGATAAACTTTGCATATTCTTCCGCACCTGGCTTTTTTCTGCTTAATATTATATTTGAAAATCATATCAGTTCATATAAAATTGCTTCATTCTTTTAATGAGTGTATAATATTCCATTATATTTGTTTATCCAGACCTCCACTGATGGACATTTAGAAAAGTTCCCAATTCTTTGCTCTTACAAAGATGCATTATACCTATGATATTTTACTTATGTGAGAATACATCTGCAGAGTCAATTCCCTGGAGTGGAATTCTGGGTCAAAAGGTACATGCATTTGTAACTATTTTAAAGCTATTGCCCAGTTGTTCTTCTGGAGTTCATATTTATTTACCTGCCTCTCAGAACTAGTAATCAAAAATTACAGTGTTACCACACTTTGGGGTCTTTGCCAATCTGGCAGATAAAAATTGATTTTTAGTGTAGTTTTATTTTGTATCTCTATGATAAGAGTAATCCTTTCATATGTTTAAGAGCCATTTTAATTTTTTTATTGTGTGAGCTATATCATTATTTGCTCATTTTTTAAATTTAGCTTTTGGCCTTTTTCCTACTAATTTTAAGGTACTTTTAGAAAAATTAACCACTTATCTGTAAAAATAAGTGCAGTTTTCCCTTACAGTTTTCTTTCTACCCTGTTTACAGGTTGTTTTTAATCACAAAAAAAATGTTTAAGTTGTGAAATTTATTTATTTATTTTTTCTATGGCTTCTGGATTTTAATACCTAGAAAGGTCTTCCCCATGCCAAGATTATAAGATAAATGTATCATAAAAAATTCTGCCATCTTTTCTTCTAATATTTTTATGGTATCTTTTTTTTCCTTTTAAAAAATTCATTCTTTGAGCAATTTTGAATTTATCCTTTTTATTTTATTGGGAGTATGAGGTATGTATTCAATTTTTTTTTCAGATTATGTAGGATTAAAGAAAAATAAGATTTGGCTCTTTCCCTCATGATAGTTACTGCAATTTAAATAAATAAACACTACGGGAGCTCTGGCAGAAGCCTGAACAGGATGCAATGCGGACACAGTTGGGAGGAAAAGGGAGTACATTCCTCTTTGGGACCCTGATCTAGTGAGACAGGACTATCTGAGTCCATCAGAAAGTCTAGTAGTGGTGAACCTCAAAAAGGAAGAGGTTGAGATCTCAATCTCTTTCCTCCCAGGAGGCTCTCCTATGCAAACTTCCCCAATGCCAGCTTGGGCTAACTAGGGCTATTTGAAGAAACAGCCTTGTCAGGATGTCCTTTCCTTGGTGCAGTTGGGTACCTATTCTCCTTCCATTTCTAATTGGTAAGAGGGGCTTTTCAAGTGACTCTTTTCTGAGCAAAGATGATTTGTTCTCAGTGACTTGAGGTGTTTACCTTTCCAGAGAAATGATTGGCAGGTCTCTAAAAAAAATTTAAGATCTGCCTCCCCAGACACCCTACTACATATTAATAGAATTATATATGAAACAGTAGTAGTACAAAGAAGATAATAATTAACTTGGCAATGGGGTGAAGGGGTTAGGGGGGACTGGTCACAGATGACTGTTCAGAGTAGGAGACCATGAACGCTTCGTTTTAAAGGATAAACTGAGTTGAACGTGAGGATGTTAGGGTAGGAAGGGATTCAGGTAGAAGGAATAGGATATTCAAGGGAAGACTACAGAAGTGAATAGCAGGCATCTATCTCCTGGGGTAGGGGTAGAATATATCTGTAGGAGGGGAGAAGTGCCAAGATAGGAGTTAGAGAGGTAGGCAGAGCTTATATCATCACTGGGTTTGTGTGAGATGCTAAGGCTATTGCAGTTTATCTTGGTGATGAGAAACTAGTAAGGAATTTGTTTGCATCTCATTACCTTTCCTGATGAGCATGTACCACTTCTGTGTCTCCGACCTTGGGTAAATAGTATCACCCTCTTAGACACTCAGCAAGGCAATATCAGAATCAATGTAAAAATTTTCTTCCTATGAATTAATTATTTCACCTATTTCCATTTTATGTGAATCCACAAAGTCATTTTCTTCCTATTTGATCTGTGCTGCCCTGACTCACATGGTCACTACCTTTTACCTAGACTATTTCATGTGTTCAAACTGGTCCCTCTGCTTGATGGTTCCTCCTTCAGCCCACTCTACACACTGCCACTAGCATGATCTTTCTTAAATAAATCCTGAGGTCACTACTCTTTCCCCAGACCTGCAATACACCTTTCTACATGCAGAATAAAAATCCTACCCGGTTGGATTGGTGTTTCAGACCCTCCACAAATTGACTTCAGTTAAACATTGCAAACTTTTCTCTCATTTCACATGCCTCCCTCAGCCTCCATCCACATCAGACTTAATCACCTTCCTCAATCTGCTTCGGTCTCTGCATCTTTGCTCCTGTTGTATCTTCTTCGGAATCCTCTTTTTTCCATCTGTTTTTCAAGGTCACAGTGTCTGCATAATAAATTACCCCCAAATTTAGTGACTTAATACAATAAACACATTACCTTCCACAGTTTCTACGAGTCAGGAATTTAGCAGCATCTTGGCTGAGCTGTCTGGTTTGAGATTACTCATGAGGTTGCAGTCACCTGAAGGCTTGACTGAGGATGGAGGATCTGCTTCCAAGATGGCCCACTCCCATGGCTAGCAAGCTGGTCTGGCTCCTGGTGGGAGGCCTCAGTTCCTCTCCAGGGCACTTTGAGTGCTCTCTGTGGCAGCTGGCTTCCCCAAGAGCAAGCAATCCAAGACACCAAGGCAGAAGCCACAGTGCCTTTTATAATCTGGCCTTTGAAGTCACATAGCATCACCTTCATTATACTCTTTTGGTCACAAAACTCAGCTCTGATGTGAGGGAAATTCCATGAGGGCATAAATATTAGGACACCATGATCACCAGGGACAATCTTGGAGTCTGGCTAACACAACATTTCTTCCAGAGGCTTTCTAGATTCACTAACTTCCTATGCCCTGCCTACCTGTTCTCAGTAGCTCAAATTCTTTAAAAATCAGAGCTCTTGGAGATCTCCCCCATAAAATCACATTTTCTGTTTTTCTTTATTATTTAATATTATGAAGTGTGAACTTGCAAAATTGCATTGTTAATTATCAAAGGACATAGTGCTGAGGAATTTTGTTCTCTAAAATCCTAGACTGTTAGAAAGTTTGTTGTTCTGAGATTCTATCAGTGAGAACAGAACATCCCTTTCTTGCCTGGCAGATTTGAACTCTTTGAGTCACTTAGAGTTACAGAAGCAGTCTCCATTTCCAGTGCAGAAGTTCAGATAAGGGATTTTCAGACACAATATTCTACATTAATCTTAAATGTATGTTTCTAAGAACTAGAATCTTGAATCTGCTTCTCAGCCCAGGTTTGATATTACATACAGATCTGATTTGCTTTAGGCCTATCAAGCACTGCTTTATTTAGATTTTACCTAAACTCCTCTCTTTCTCTAAATACTATAATGACTCCTTATTTCTTCCTTTTTTTTGAGACATGGCCACAATTCCTCTGCTGTATAGTATCTTTTGCTGTAGCAAATTAATAAACTTAATGGGTTCCAGATTTGGTCCTGGTGATTTTTGTCAGATGGGCTTTATCAATAGCTAAAATTATTTGAGCTCGAATAACTAGTGTAATTTTTTAGAATCTCCCATGCTTCTTGAACAAGGGTAACTTTTAGAATGTTTTGTCAATAGATCATTTCTATCTTTCCTCTGACTGTTTTGAAATCTATTTTCTAGACTGTTTTTGACTAATCTTGCTTGTACTTCCTTCACTGTTACAAACTCTAAGATGATACCGTTACTTTCTCACAAGGTTCCCAACTCTTTTCTAGCACTTTATTACTGAATTAGTAATTTCCTGTTTTGTCCTCCTGAGTGACTCCTGCGGTCCTTTAGAATTTAGCTACAGAATCACCTTTGTCAAGCCTTAAGCCTTTATTGAAAGCATTAGACAAAACTAAATATTTTCATGTTTGTGTTCTCATAGCACCTTGTTCATATCTCTAATATAGTACTTACCACATTTATACTTGATTTTTTTTACACGTTTTTCTTCTCTAACAGCCTCTGGAGAATATGATCTCCATGATCTGTTCATCCTTGTGTTATCTGTGCCAGGCATACTTAATTACGTAAATTATGTGAGGTCGTTGGGGCTCACAACACAATACTCCAAAATGAAGGTCTCAGTAGCAAAAGTTCTCTGCCCTACTCTGGCCCTCCTGTCTCTCAGTCCCGTATTTCCCTAGGCTAGCCATAGATATTAGGATCCCTATTCCTCAAGACAAGATGTAGAAACCAGAACCTCTATCCCCTAAAGCCAGCCATAAAAGCCTAAACATATTTTGCTAGTTTTCCCTCCCCCTTTTTCTGTAAAATCTGGCCATAAAGAAATTATCTGACCTGCCTTGTTTGACTGTAGGCTGTTAAGAGCTCCATTCCATTCCTGCCCTATACCCAGAAGGAAGGAATGGTGCTCAGAAGGCCAAGAAGAATCTAGACAGGCCTTGCTGGGTGTCCCCACTCAGTCTGTTAGCATTAGATTATACCATTTTTGTCCAATCACATTTCTACATAGCTGTCCATACTTTGTTGAACCTAAACACAAAAATGGACAATTTTCCAAGTATCTTTGGGTCTCCATTCTGAACGCTCCCATGTATACACATTAAATTTGTATGCCTTTTCTCCTATTAATTTTTTCTTCTATTAATCTGCCTTATGTCAGCGGTTTTCAGTTAACTTTCAGAGGGCCAAAACCTTTTGTCCCTCCAGGTAATGAAAATGTCCACATGACAAATAGTGAATTAGTAGGAGCTTCAGTTCTGCATAATTTAGAATTCACTGTTGAGCACCTCTATACGCATGCCATTATTGTACCTCGTCTTTGTGATCCTCATAACCTGTATTAGGCAACAGCTCATTTATATTGAGAAAACACCTAGGGCACAGCACCACTACTTTGTAGGCTACTTTAATATGTATGTGCATTATGCGAGGTTTTATGAGCTTATTTTCTGACACACTTGCTTTTCTCCAGTTTCCTCAGCTGAAAACAGCGATTCACTGTTACTGTATATATGCTAGGCTCAATGCTGGCGATAACAATTCCTGCAACATAGGGTCAGACAGGAGAAGAATGTTGTAATCTGCAAAGCCCTTCTGATTCTGGGAGTGAGGCCAGCATTAATACAACGCACGATTGTTACTTCTGAATGTCCCTTTGCAAAGAACAGTGTTTCTCAAACTTTTTTCTGACCAGATCTGCATACATTTTACATCGCCGCTGGCGATACATACGTGCAAAACACTGAAATCGAAATTTCTCTAAACAACTCCTTTACTACGTGATGTACTGTGAAACTTTTCTATTTTGTTCTATTCTCAATTTTATTAAAAACGGAGGGTGATGATCCCGATCTACCAAACCAATTTCACAATGCGCTAGAGATTATAACCCGCGGTTTGGAAAATACTGGCTTGGAAAAAGCTCTTTGATCTGTGTCATTCTCCTCACATCTCCCTACACCTCTGCGGAGTTCCGATTGTTTGGTTTCGTCCTGATAATCACTGTGCTGTGTTTTCCCTACACGCTCTGTGACGGGGCCGTCCGCCTCCTTCCTGGGCTCCTTTAAGAGGGTGGTAACGGTACATCACCGCGGGAGTGGAGAGGCAGGGCCCACTAGGTCGTCGCTGCAGGCCAGGCCCGCTCATCCAGTTATTGTGAAAGCCGGGGTGTGCGCGCGAAGAGTGGGAGGGTAGGGGTGAGGCAGGGGCAGCACTGACGCCTCGCAGGGCTGAGTAGCAACAGCTCCTCCGCGCCGCGTTTCCGGAGACCCTGAAGGAGTCCGCGCGTGCGCAGAGCGCGTCCCGGGAACTGTTCCGCCCACGGAGGCTGCCGAGCGCGCTCCCGCCGGGCCAAAGTACAAAGTGGGCTCCAGAGCGCGGGCGGCGCGGCGGCGCGAGCCAGGGGGCGGTCCTGCGCGGCCGGCCCCGCCCTCTGCTCTCCTCCCAGTCTCCCCCGCGCTGCGTGCAGTAAGGTAGCCGCCGCCGCCGCCGCCGCCGCGTCCCCTCGCCGGCTCGCTGGTACCGGCAGTGCCATGGCGGCCTTCAGCAAGTACTTGACGGCGCGAAACTCCTCGCTGGCTGGTGCCGCGTTCCTGCTGCTCTGCCTGCTCCACAAGCGGCGCCGCGCCCTCGGCCTGCACGGGTAAGAAGGCCCGTAGCCGTGCAGCTTTCCCGGGCTGGAGCGGGCGCTCCCCGCGCGCTCTCTCTCCCCACCCGGCCGACAGGTCTCTTTGCCCGACGGGGTCGGGCGGAGAGAGGGCCGACCGCGACTGCCGTGGGACTTCAATGTCAGGGTGTCCGCGAGTCCCCGCCACGACGGCGTCGGTCCCAGCTGGCCTGTCCGGCGACCTCGCTCCACCCCGGGAGTGCGAATTCTTCTGTGCCCGCGGGCGAACCGGCGCCCAGCCAGCACTCAGGCAGCGGCCTCCAGTTGGGGGTGGGAGGGGGATGCGGTGTGTCCCCCACCCCCTTCCCTACATCACCCCCTTCTGTGTCAACTTTCTGGGTGTGTTCTGGTTTTGCCATCTCATCTTCAGACCGTGAAGGATTTGTTTTGGGGACGTGGATGTGTGATTGAGGATGGGGATTGGATTCGCCAGGCTGGAGGCTGGTGTCTAAGTCACTTGGACGAGGTTTGGCTCGATTCCCGACTAACTGCTATTGAAAGTCGCGAGGGTGGCTTCTATGAAACTATTCCCGGTCCACTTGGCAGGATTGCCGTCTAAAGTGGTGAGCCCTTGGAGTCGGTGAACCCTTTGGTCGGTGAACATTTGGTCGGTGGCATTTCATCCGGAAAGGCTGGATCGGTTCTGTCGGACTTAGAGGGAAATGTTTTCCTTCCTGGGCTCTGTAGGTGAAAGATGAGAGTGTGGTTTAGGTGAGGATCAAGCTCCTTTTTAATGACACGCCACTGCTTCCACCGCGGGAGAATTTCAGTGCTTAGATTTAACTTTGGGAGGTTATCAGTTCAGAAAAAGTAAAAAAGAGAGAGCTGAATTACGGTTGCGACATACAGGTATGTATGTCACATACATGCAATTTTTATTTGCTGGACAAGTGAAAGAGAAAAGGCTACTTCCCAAGCGTTCTTGCCAGTCATTGAATATTTCGTATTAAATCTTGACATACTACTTTCATGAATTTTATTTCATTCATTCCTCTGAGCAGGTACTGTTGCCTCCCGTGTTTGATTTGCCTACAATATCTAATTAGTAGTAAAATTTGGGCTAAAACACAAATAGACTTCTAGTTTATAGTACCCTTTCCATTAAGTTCTTTCTAGCCGCCTTCTGTTTTTATCTTACTAGAGTCTGAAGTGATGATCTTTCTTTTCCTTCCTAAATCCATTTAACAGAGTTGAAAATGATTTGCAGCATAGTCTGGGCAATAACAGCGCTTACTCATTTTTCTTCTATTCAGTTTGCTTTTAAAAGGATTAATTTGGGAAAATAAAAAGCAAGTTTTTCTGTTGGTTTGTATGAACTCCCAGTTGCAAATAGAAGTTACCTGTTACCTGGGAACATGCCAGTAGAAAGAAGATGTTAGGTCCTTTAACTTGAATTCTGTTTTTGCAAAGAAGTGTTTCAGGGCATAGAACAGGTGTTTTAATATGGAGGAGGGGACTCGAGGACAGCCCTACAAGTTCTGGATTACTTTTATGATTATATGTATATGTGATATAGTATCACATACATGCCACATACATATAGTACACATAGAGCTTGAAGAATTTTTACAAGTAGAACACACTCGTGTAATCAGCACCCAGATCAAGAAACAGAACATTATCAGCACCCCAGAAATTCTCCTCATGCCCCCATCCAGTCACAGTCCACCTAACTACTAAACCAGTTTGTAAGACCATAGATTATTGCTAAGGGAAATTTTAAACAGAATCTATTGGGAAATAGTAGCGATAGAAGTAAAATAATGTAATAGAATTTGTCTTATTAAATAATTTTAGCTCCTCATTTGCCATTGTAAAATGCCTAAAAAAATTTTTTTTTGAGAAACTTTGTGAGCTTTTGTGGGGATTAAATTCTTTAGCAGGAGATGTACTGAACAAAAGATTATTATTAGTCTTTTGCATTGGGATGAGTGGGGAAAATCTCTATTTTACACAGTATTTTGTTGGAGGAGATTGCAGATTCTGAGCAGATAATCATGAAGTTTAAATTGTTGAGGTGAAATGATTGAACTATTTTGAAACCATTAAAAATGGTATTGAGTGTATTTTTGTAGATATTGTACTTCCAGAAGCTTACAAATATCTTTTAGTCACCACCTTTGGTATCACAGTTTGAAGATTAGAAGATTCTAACTTTATATTTGAGTGGGCTTTTGAATATCTTTGGTAACAGAACTGATTAATTTTAATATCTGGTGCTTAATTAAGGAAACTGTGGCTACTTGGCCTTCTTTTGTCTATGTTGTTAATAGTAGGTTGGTTTTAGAATATATATTCCCTTAGAATTGGATAGGTAATAGAGCTAGTAAAATCACTTTAAAAGTTACAGTGTAACATTATTCCAAACATTGGGAGAATGAGTAATTAAATGTTCTGGGTTACTTTTAATTTTTGTTAATGTAATTTTTTTCACTCAGTTAAATCTCATATATATGTGTGTGTGTTTCTGACCTTTTATTGTGGAAAATTTCACACATATAAAAAATAAATAGAATAATACAAGGATTGCCCAATGCACTTTACCCAAGGAGTACCAACAACATTCTATATTCTTGTTTCATCTATTTCAACCTGCCTGTCACCCCTTATTTTTATAGGTTTTTTAGGTAAAATTTATATACATTGAAATGTACAAATATTAGTTGTACATTTTTTAAACAAATGGATACACTATGTAACACATCCCTATGACAAATTAGAACATTTCTATCCCACCAGAAAGTTCCTTTGTATTCATTCCTGATCAGCTTGTATTCACTCCTGATTCCAGCACTGCTAAGCTAACTTTTTCACCTTAGTTTGCCTAATCTTACCTTTTATTTTATTATTTATGGGGAAAAGAAGAATCTTTTTACTCATGGATAAAGAGGGCTATTTAAAGGAAGTGTCTATTTCAGAATGTTATATTACTGTACTGGGAGCTATAAGATGTGTGTGTGTGTGTGTGTGTGTGTGTGTATTACAAAAATATATGACTTGTTTTCTCAGGGAGCTTACCTTCTTGTTAGGGAAAAGAAACTTAAACACTGATAGCAGAATGAAATGTACAGATAGACATGTCTTAGAAGTTTTGAGAAAGACAAGATTAATGTGTTTGGGAAGGGTTGGGGAAGGCTTCATGAAGGATGTGTGTTAAGCCTAGAAAGGGGGTAGGAGTGGATAACTGGAATAAAGTGACTGTTACAGCATCCTTTATCAGATTTTTGTTGCATTTATGTTAGAAAGAAACTTTGTGGTGCCCTTTCAATCCATCTTCCACTGCCACCAGAGCTCTTTTTAAGAAGCTCAGATATGATCATAATATTCCTTCATTAAAATCATTAATCTACTCTAAAATACAAACTTTCTGTATTCATGGTGTGGTCCTTCCCTACTTTTCCCACTCATCCAACCATAAGTGCTGGGATTACAGGCATGAGCCAACTTGCCCAGCTGATACTTCTTTTTCTTCAAGACTCAGTCAACACTTTGTCTTAGGTGTTTTCTGTCTTTTTCTGATTTCCAAACTGATGTAAGTGTCCTCTGCTTTTATGATACTGTAGGCCAGGGGTCCCCAACCCCCGGGCTGTGGACTGGTACAGGTTGGTGGCCTGTTAGGACCCAGCTGCACAGCCTGTGCAAGCGAGCATTACCACTTGAGCTCCGCCTCCTGTCAGATCAGCAGGGGCATTAGATTCTCATAGGAGCGTGAACCTGTTGTAAACTGCACATGTGAGGGATCTAGGTTGCACACTTCTTATGAGAATCTAATGCCTGATGATGTGAGGCAAAACAGTTTCATCCTGAAACCATCCCCCAACTCAACCCCAATTTGTGGAAAAATCGTGTTCCGCAAAACTGGTCCCTGGTGCCAAAAAGGTTGGAGACTACTGCTCTAGGTATCCCCTACTCTAGCACTTACCATTCTGTATTGTACTAGTTTGTTTTCTTGGCTTTTGCCTACATCAGATCCTGAGTTTCTTGAGGGCATGAACTGAGTCATCTTTAATTCCCTAGTTCGGCTCTGTCATGGGTTAGACAGTGTTTATAGAGAGGATAAATGACATAGGATAGTTGAAGAACTTTTAAGCGTAATTGACAGGCATTTGGAGATGCCTAGTACAAACATGAATAGAAACATTCTTTTTGCAGAAGTAATAGTTGTGTACCTGAGCATATATAACCTGACCTGGGTAGTGGGAAATCAGTGGGCCAATTTTAGAAGGCAGGGAATGGTACCAGTCTGTATAGCCATAGTATTTTATTATCTTTAAAAAACAGAACAGAACAAAGCAGTTTCTTTCGCTTCTTATCAATGCTTGTCAAATAGAGTTCGGATTTCTCATCTTGGATTTCAGAGCCTCCCTCAATCTGGTCTTACTTTACCTGGCTAATCTTATATGCCATTGCCTGCCAATGGGTACTCTCTGTTCCAAATAGGACAGTTTCTACACTGTTCTTTGAACAGGCCACACTCATTTTTGGCTTTGGAGCTTTATTCATGCTGTTACTCATACCTAGAATATCTTTCTATGATATCCCTGTTCTCCAACTCTTGTCATCCTTGAAGGGTTAGGTCAGGGTCACCCTATCCATGAAGTGTTATTTAACTACTCCAGATGATCTAAATGATGATCACCTCTTTTAAAATTTCTGAAGCATGCATTTAAATACCTTTATTGTTTTATCTATTCATTGCTTGACTGGTTATAATCTAGCTAGGTCTACCAAAGTCCACCTGCTTATGGGGTGAGTTTCCTGCTTTTAAAAGCCCCCCTCTGTAAATGGTGGGAACACAGTTTCCTCTCCTAAATATTTCTCAGGAATTTCAGGGAGCTTGTGTTTCTTTTAGTGACATCTTACTTCGCTTCCTTTGGAGCACTTTCTGCTCTATTTTAGAAGGTACTTACATCTTGTCTCTTGAGCCTGTCTCTTTGGCGTCTGCCTTGATTTCTCTAAAGAATCAATCACAAAGCAGATATTTATAGTAGGGCTTTATTGAAAATTTGGGAGGAGTGGTAGGGATTATATCCCAGCATAGTGAACAGCTTAAAATGCTTTTATTTAGAAGTTTTTTGGACATTCCCACTGCTGGAAATTTCTTGACTTTTTTTTTTGTCCTGAGTCTCAGCCCTGTTGCCTGCTGCTGGGCCTTTCTTTACCCATTGGGTGTCCTTATATCTCCAGCTTCTTACTCCCTGCACTACGTTACTGCTAACCCCTCTACAACTTTCCTGCAAACTTCAAAATTCAGCTTTCCTTCCTTAAATCTGCCCCATTCAAATCAAGCTCTAGAAGGGGCTGGCTTCACTTTTCTCAGTTTCACAGGCGCACTGGGTGTTTTGCAAAGTGCAAGCATGAATCATGTGAGGGGCTAGAGCGGCTTGAGACCCTTACAGTTACCCATGAGTAGATGTTATATGGCCCCGTTTGGATCCTCAAAATAAAAAAGAGATGCTTAAGCAACCTTGGATGGAAAAAAAAGCATTGAAGAATTTGCCAGCCAAAGTAGCTGTGTACTGAACCCAACTGAGGCAGATCAGGCCCAGAGCAGTGTTCTGAGAACTGTGTAGCTGTCTGTGGTCTGCTAGGGGGAACTGAGTACAGGTTGTTTAATTAATTATATGTCCCAGTTACTGGCACATTCACATCCTTGGGTAGGCATTCTATTTCAAGGCTTTTGCTCTTGCTGTTTCCCCTGCCTGAAGTGCTCTTTCCTCAGATACTCACATTGCTTACTCTCCCCACTCTTTCAGTCTTTTTTCAGACATCCTTTTAGTGAGACCTTCTATTGCCATTCGATTTATTTTTATTTATTTATTTATTTTGAGACGGGGTCTCACTCTCTCACCCATGCTGGAGTGTAATGGCACCATCTTGGATCATTGCAACCTTTGCCACCCAGGCTCAAACAGTCCTCCTACCTCAGCCTCCCAAGTAGCTAGGACTACAGCCACACGTCACCACACCTGGCTAATATTTTTTGTAGAGACAAGGTCACGTTATGTTGCCCAGGCTGGTCTCGAACTCCTAGGCTCAAGCGATTCTCCCACCTCAGACTCCCAAAGTGCTGGGATTACAGGCAAGAGCCACTGTGCCTGGCCCCTGCCACTCAAAATAGCATCCTGTCTACCTTCCAGACTTTACTTTTCTCCTTAGCACTTATCACTATAAAATATGCTATATATTTTACATATTTATCTTGTCTGTTGTATATGTTTGCAGTATATACATACTGCTAGCATTTAAGTTCCACAAAGGCAAGAATTTTTGTCTATTTTATTCACAGTTATAGCCCCAGTGGCTAGAACTGTGGCTGGAATATATAGTAGACACTCATATTTGTTTGACTCTACAACAACAAATGAGATTCTCATTTTTTGGGGGCTGTGGTTACTATTGTTTTAAATAACACATTCTTTTTGCTACAAATGTAAATGTTGTCTTTAGTATATTTATGAGCTCTTTAGGAGCTGGACCACTTATACCCCCTATATGTACAGGTAAAGCAAGTCTCAGAAACTTAAAAAAATGCTATCATCACCTGCTTTTGACAGTTTAATAGAGTGTAAACATTAAAGACAATTTAAGAAAATTAAAAATCATCCATAATGTTATAACCATAATACAAATATTGTTTTATTTTTGTTTCCTTTTATTCTGTATTTATGTGCATTTTTACAGTTATAACGTACATGTTTTGTTATTTTCATTTAAAGCATACCTCTTTCCTATATTTCCCTGTACATGACCTTCATAACTATACTTTTAAAGAAATACGTAAATATTCCTCTGTGTGACAATATCTTAGTTTATTTTCCTGTTAGCTATTGAGGATCTAGACTGTCTCTGGAATTTTTATGGATTATACTGGTGTATTTTTGCAAGTGAACATTTTCATCTCTGCTGAATAACTTCCTTGGAATAAATTGCCAGAAGTAGGATTAATGAATGGAGGCTTATGAATTTCCTTAGTGTTTGTGGAAACTGTGGGCATTCTTAAACTACACAGGTTGATGTATTACTTTTCATGAGTTGTGCCAATTTGCAGTACTATGAATGAATGCTGACTTAATTACCTACTCATCATTAGGGGATATTTAAATTTTTTTCTACTTTACGGATGCAAAATAGTCTTGAAAGATTATTTTAATTTGCACGTATTTTATAATTTGCAAAAATGAACATTTTTTTGTGCAGCTACTTGATCTTTATTATGGAGGTAGTTTGGCATAGTGTTAAAGAATAGTCTTTAGAGTCAGATGTAGGTTCAATTTTTCCTTTGGCCGTTTGTCAGATCTGTGACCTTGGTCAATTTACTTAACCTCTTTGAACCTCAGTAGAACAGGGATAGTAGTATTTACTCACTCACTCAGCAGTTAAGTGAGGATTAATGGAGAAAACGTTTTAACCCAGTGCTCAGTAAATAAAAGGTAGCTCTCATTTCTATGCTTGCTAAAAGAAAACTAAAAGGACAACAAAACATACCTTTGTTAGCTTCTTAAAAACTCCCGAGCCTTCCTAATTTCCTCAGATACACCCATGAAAATCTCCCAAAGGAAGCCTTTTTCAATTGATAGAATCATTTACTTTCAGAGTTGGAAAGTATCTTAAGTTAGTTTTATGTGACATGGTTTTAGGTTTCTGTATTTTTTCAGTTGCTGCTTCCTGAATATGACAGTCTTTATTTCTCCACCTTTTAAAGAGGCATTGCTAAATGGAATTCGGCATTCAAAGTGTCTTCTCACTGGCACACTAGCAGAGAACTGTGACCTACCTTGTCCTAAGCTTTCATTAAAGATCCTAAGATGTTAAGCTTTCATTAAAATAGCATGAAGTTACATTCATTTTTATGACTCTCAAATATTTTTCACTTGTATTTAGCTTTCACAATGGTTTTCCCTTCTTTCCCCCTCCTCACCTTGATGTGTTTGATTTTTTTTTTTTTGAGATGGAGTCCTGCTCTGTCACCCAGGCTGGAGTGCAGTGGTGCAATTTTGGCTTACCGCAACCTCCGACTCCCGGGTTCAAGTGATTATCTTGCCTCACCCTCCCGAGTAGCTGGGATTACAGGCACCCGCCACCACACCCAGCTAATTTTTTTGTATTTTTAGGAGAAATGGGGTTTCGCCATGTTGGCCAGGCTGGTCTTGAACTCCTGACCTCAGGTGATCTGCCTACCTCGGCCTCCCAAAGTGCTGGGATTACAGGTGAGAGCTACCGCGCCCAGCCTGAATTTTTTTTTTTTTTTTTTTTTTTAAACCTGGGTGCAGGTCTTTATACTTATTTTTGGTTGGGCACATTACTTCTTCCCTCTGAAACTTTTTGATCTGCACAATTAATTACTATTCCTTCTGTATGTTTTCCTAACAAACTTAAAAAACTGATTGGACAGGACTGAGTATAGAACAGTATGTTTACACCACTATAATCTTTCTATTAATTGACACCCTTTGGTTATTGTATTGGCTCTCATTTTTAACTTACCAGCATCTTTTCACACATTTCCTTCTGGTAGTAGACCTGGCATTCTGACAGTATCCATAACCTGATGCATACTGGGCCAGAGTCCTCTTTTGGGATGTTTCTGCTGGAGCTGGTGTGGGGAAGGGTCTTTCTTTCCTGTCACAGAGGTGTGAAGGTAGACCCTAGAACTGTATTAGCCTTGGTCTCTTACATGGAAAGGGCAGAAACCCTGATTTTGTTTATCATCAAATGCTTTGTAGCATAGTGAACAAAATTTACAAAAATTTCGTGGTCCCTTTCAAAGAAAAGAATGACCTTAGTCTGACATAGTTTTTTGGTGAATTCATATTTTCTCCTAAAAGTTACCACTTCCTTCTAAGTACCCATGCCATACTGCCCATTTAGATAAGTAAGTTGTAACTTTTTTCCTAGGATCAACATCACACTCATCCATGACCTGATGAATATCACCTTCTAATCTGTTTCAATGTAATATGAACTTGAATTATGAAGGAGAAAGATAGGATCTTCCTACATTTTCTTTGGAATTTTATCTGCTAAATTAAGTAAAATTTTACGGGAAATGGTATTTCACTATGTTGACCAGGCTAGTCTCGAATTTCTGGTCTCCAAGCGATCGCCTGCCTTGTTCTCCCAAAAGTATCAGGATTACAGGCATGAGCCACTGTGCTCGACCCTATTAGTTCTTTTGGAAAGATTTTTATGTAACTGTTGTTTAAAATGGCATTTATATTATTTCTACATAAAATTAGGCATCAGGCCCTTGCTTAAAAACATGGCTTTCATCATAACATTCTTTTTAAGAGTAAGTCACTTTTGTTTTAGGCATCTCTGTCAAGAATATAGCCTTCTATAAAGTTAAGGATAAAATTCTTTGGATAACTGCTATTTATGTAATACAGTGGAACTATTATAAATATTAAGATGGTTTGAAGCCTTCTTAGGTAAAATAGGAGTATGCTAAAAGGTGTTTTGTTTTTTTTTTTATTTTTTATTTTTTTGCCACAAGATTGAGAAATGGAAAAGTGTTTTTTTAAACACACCTTTCTTATCAGTTTGCTAGATTAGCAGGCCCGAGTGAATGCAGTTAAGTTAATAAAGTATAAAATTGAAAATAAAGCTCATCAAAGCATAATCAGCTAGTTTGATATCTGTAAATAGATGTAGCCGTCTCACCACTATAATGGTACTATAATAATTGACATAAAAGTGGATTATATGATTTACTCTATGCTTAAATTATTTGGACTTTAATATTTTATTAATACATTTATTGGCATTAAAAAGCACTGTGTAGAATGAGGCAACTGCTCTAGGTAAATAATAATTTAGTCAACATGTTATGTTTATAATGTATCATTGCATGTCACTATTTTAAAAATATTTATACAGCTTCTTAAATGTATGAAGTAAGCAATGTGAGACATAGTACGATATGGTTTGGCTGTGTTGTAGGAGGGACTGGTGGGAGGTAATTGAATCATGGGGGCAGGTCTTTCCCATGCTGTTCTCGTGATAGTGAACGGTTTTTTAAAGAGGAGTTCTCCTGTACAAGCTCTTTTTGCCTGCCGCCATCCACATAAGATGTGACTTGCTCCTCTTTGCCTTCCACCAGCATTGTGAGGCCTCCTCAGCCATGTGGAACTGTGAGTCCAATTGAACCTTTTTTTTTTGTAAAGTGCCCAGTCTCGGGTATGTCTTTATCAGCAGGATGAAAACAGACTAATACAGCAAATTAGTACAAGTAGAGTGGGGCATTGCTCAAAAGATACCTGAAAATGTGGAAGTGACTTTGAAACTGGGTAACAGGCAGAGGTTGGAACAATTTGGATGGCTCAGAAGAAGATAGGAAAATGTGGGAAATTTGGAACTCCCTAGAGACTTGCTGAATGGCTTTGACAAAAATGCTGATAGTGATATGAGCAATAAGGTCCAGGCTGAGGTAGTCTCAGATGGAGATGAGGAACTTGTTGGGAACTGGAGCAAAGGTGACTCTTGTTATGTTTTAGCAAACAGACTGTCAGCATTTTGACCCTGCCTTAGAGATTTGTGGAACTTTGAACTTGAGAGAGGTGATTAGGGTGTTTGGCGGAAGAAATTTCTAAGCAGCAAAGAATTCAAGAGGTGGCTTGGGTGCTGTTAAAGGCATTCAGTTTTATAAGGGAAGCAGAGCATATAAGTTCAGAAAATTTGCAGCCTGACAATACCACAGAAAAGAAAAACCCATTTTCTGAGGGGAAATGCAAGCCAGCTGCAGAAATTTGCATCAGTAACAAGGAGCCAAAAGTTACTCATCAAGACAATGGGGAAAATGTCTCCAGGGCATATCAGAGACCTTTGTGGCAGCCGCTCCCATCACAGACCTGGAGGTTTAGGAGGAAAAATTGGTTTCATGGGTCCGTCCCAGGGTCCCTTTGCTGTGTGCAGTCTAGGGACTTGGTGCCCTGCATCCCAGCCACTTCAGCTGTGACTAAAAGGGGCCAAGGTATATCTCAGGCTGTGGCTTCAGAGGGTGTAAGCCCCAAGCCTTGGCAGCTTCTATGTGGTGTTGAGCCTGCGAGTGCACAGAAGTCAAGAATTGGGGTTTGGGAACCTCTGCCTAGATTTCAGAGGATGTATGGAAATGCCTGGATGCCCATGCAGAAGTTTGCTGCAGGGATGGGGCCCACATGGAGAACCTCTGCTAGGGCAGTGTGGAAAGGAAATGTGAGGTTGGAGCCCCCACACAGAATCCCTGCTGGGGCACCACCTAGTGGAGCCATGAGAAGAGGGCCACTGTCCTCCAGACCCCAGAAGGGTAGATCCACCAGCAGCTTGCACTGTGCGCCTGGAAAAACTGCAAACATTCAATGCCAGCCCGTGAAAGCAGCCAGGAGGGAGGCTGTACCCTGCAAAGCCACAGGGGCAGAGCTGCCCAAGACCATGGGAACCCACCTCTTGCATCAGTGTGACCTGTATGTGAGACATGGAGTCAGAGGAGATAATTTTAGAGCTTTAAGATTTGATGGCACTGCCAGATTCTGAACTTGTGTGGGGCCTGCAGCCCCTTTGTTTTGACCAATTTCTCCCATTTGGAATGGCTGTATTTACCCAATGCCTGTACCCTCACTGTATCTAGGAAGTAACTAACTTGCTTTTGATTTTACAGGCTCGTGGGCAGGTCTCAGATGAGACTGGACTGTGGACTTTTGAGTTAATGCTGAAATGAATTAAGACCTTGGGGGACTGTTGGGAAGGCATGACTGGTTTTGAAATGTGAGGACATGAGATTTGGGAGGGACTGGGGCAGAATGATATGGTTTGGCTGTGTCCCCCTAAATCTCATCTTGAATTCCCAGTGTTGTAGGAGGGACAGGTGGGAGGTAATTGAATCATGGGGGCAGGTCTTTCCTGTGCTGTTCTAGTGATAGTGAATAAGTCTCATGCGATCTGATACTTTTATAAAGAGAAGTTCCCCTGCACAAGCTGTTTTTGTCTGCCACCCTCCACGTAAGGTGTGACTTACTCCTCCTTGCCTTGCACCATGATTGTGAGGCCTCCCCAGCCATGTGGAACTGTGAGTCCAGTTAAACCTCTTTCTTTTTTAGATTGTCCAGTCTTAGGTATGTTTTTATCAGCAGTGTGAAAACAGACTAACATGGTGTCTCAGAGGATAAGGACAACAATTCTGTAAATTTTTGTTAATTTAGTGAGTAGGCCTACATGTAAAAAAGCTGTTTTAAAATTAAATATGACTTTAATTTTAAAAATTAAACATTTTTGCATTATCAAAGTTAAATATACACCATGGAAATTTGAATAACTAGAAGAAGGGAGAAAACACCTTTTCTAACGTTTATCATTAGTGTCATATTTTATTGATTCTAAGATGCACTTTTTTTACATTTTAGCATCTCTGTTCACATTTTAACTTCTCTGAAATTTGGATGCAACTTACAATGATGGCATTTAGCTAAAATCATATTAGCATATTGGTGCATTTCCTTTTTACTATGCATACTTTTATCTTGCCTATAAAAATACTGCATATCAGCTTGCATGAAAGTCAAACTTCTGACTATAAATTCATTGTTGTTGCCATTCTTTAGTTTATCTTGGAGGTGTGGCTAAAAAAGGTAAAAATATGCGAAAAAGAAGAATTTGAGATAAAATCAGATTTTTTCCTCTTTCCAGAATGAGGGCTGGAGGAAGTAGCTTGGCCTGAGATAGGCAGGTAGAAATCAATCAACTACTCAAAAACAAAGAACCCAAAGATCATGCCACCAAGTCAAAGTCGAGTGCTTGCTATGTACCAGATGCTGGGTTTTCAGATGTTAAGCTAAAAAGTAAATTAGACAAGAGTTTTGCTGTTAAGAAACTCATAGACTATTGAAAGAGAGAATGTTGTATCTTGACATTTTATATGAAATTTCTAGTTCAAAAAAAACCAACAAACATTCCCTGATAATATTTTATTTAAAATATGGTTTGTTGTTGCTTTTTGAGACAGACTCACTCTGTGGCCTGGGCTGGAGTACATGGTGCCATCATGGCTCACTGCAGCCTTGACTTCCTGGGCTCAATTGATCCTCCCACCTCAGCCTCCTGAGTAGCTGGGACTATAGGTGTGCACCACCATGCCTGGCTAATTTTTAATTTTTTTGTAGAGATAGGGTCCCAAAGTGTTAGGACGATATAGGCGTGAACCACCATGCCTGGACTAAAATATAGTTCTTTATTTACCTGTGAATACAGTTATGTTGCATCAGGAAATTAGATTTAAGATATTTTCAACTGTAGGACTCGTGACTTTTTACCCCATCAACAGTGCCCAAGATATATTGTTTAGTAAAGAGGTGGGGTGGAGGAAGCAAGCATGGGACAGAATAAATGAGGTGATCCCATTTCTTAAGTATCATATAATTTCTAATTTAACTGTTACTGGTTGAATACATTTCTGTATGTATTTTATGACTGGTTCAAGAAAATATCTATTCTCTCTTCCCCCACTGGAGGAAACAGGAATGTGAGAGGAAATAACAACATTTATCCAGTACGTTCTGTTGAGCGCTATATGTCAATAGGCTAGGCTTTGAGATACCAAATTAAATAAACGTTATTTTTAACTCCAGTCTTGTGGCACTATTACTACAAATGCATAGAAAATTTGTACAACTGAGTATGAGTAGACCTGTGGTAGTAACACAGTTTAATTCTTCTGGTTGTTACCTGGGAGGGTTTCATACTGGAGCTTGACCTTAAGAAATATATAGTGTTTTGCTAAGGGGTAAAAGGCATTCCAGGTAGGGAAAACAGCTTGCACAAAGGCATGGAGTTAATGGAGTTATATTTGAGAAGGAACTGCAAGGAGACGAAGCTGGAGATATTACTATAAATAAAGTATTTATTGAACACTTAACCATATTTTAGACATTGTTCTAAATGTTTTACGTTTATTCCTAACAACAGTCTTTTGAAATAATTCTTTTTATTGTCTTCATTTTACAGGTGAGGAATAAGTAAAAATGGTATCTAATTATGAGAGTCCTTAAGTTCGAATTAACCATGTGGAAGGTAAAAGGCAGAATAAAACATTTAAATCAAAGTCTTTCAAATGAATTTAGATTCAAAGAACTCAAGAATCATTCAGGGGTTAAAAAAGGTTTTATATTAAATTACAAAGTGAAATTCATTATTAAAATTCTATTTGCTATATTAAGTCATGCATTGCTTAACAATGGAGATGTCTTCTGAGAAATGCACTGTTAGGCAAATTTTTTTTCTTTTTTTTTTTGAGACGGAGTCTCACTCTGTTGCTCAGACTGGAGTGCAGTGGCACTATCTCGGCTCACTGCAACCTCTGCCTCCTGGGTTCAAGCAATTCTCCTGCCTCAGCCTCCTGAGTAACTGGTATTACAGGCACGCACCACCACCATGCCCGGCTAATTTTTGTATTTTCAGTAGAGACAAGGTTTCACCCTGTTGGTCAGGCTGGTCTCGAATTCCTGACCTCGTGATCCACCCACCTCGGCCTCCCAAAGTGCTGGGATTACAGGCGTAAGCCACAACGCCCAGCCTTTTTTTTTTTTTTTCCAGACATAGTTTCGCTCTTGTTGCCCAGTGTGGAATGCAGTGGCCCGATCTCGGCTCACTGCAACCTCTACCTCCCGAGTTCAAGCGATTCTCCTGCCTCAGCCTCCTGAGTAGCTGGGATTACAGGCATGTGCCACCATGAGCAGCTAATTTGGTATTTTTAGTACAGACGGGATTTCTCCATTTTGGCTAGGCTGGTCTGAAACTCCTGACCTCAGGTGATCTGCCTGCCTTGGCCTCCCAAAGTGCTGGGATTACAGGTGTGAGCCACCACGCCCGGCCCGGTTAGGCAATTTTATTGTTGTGTGAACATCATAGAGTGCACTTATACAAACATAGATGCTATATACACACCCAAGCTGTATGGTATATGGTATAGTCTATTGCTCCTAGGCTACAAACCTGTACCTCATGTTACTGTACTGAATACTATAGGCAGTTGTAACACAATGGTCAGTTTTTTTTTTTTTTTTGTCTAAACATGTCTTTTTTTTAGACAGTGTCTGGATCTGTCGCCTAGGCTTTAGTGCAGCAGCATAGTCTTGGCTTACTGCAACCTCCGCCTCCCAGGTGCAAGTGCTTCTCCTGCCTCAGCCTCCCCTGTAGCTGGGACTACAGGTGTGGGCCATCATGCCCTGCTAATTTTTTTTTTTTTCCAGTTAAAACGGGGTTTTGCCATGTTGGCCAGGCTAGTCTCGAACTCCTGGCCTCAAGTGATCTGCCCACTTTGGCCTCCCAAAGTGCTGGGATTATGGGTATGAGCCACTGCTCCCAGCCTCTAAACATGTCTTAACATAGAAAAGGTTCAGTTAAAATATGGCATAAAAGATCAAAAACGGTGTACCTGTATAAGGTGTAGTTACCATGAATGGAGCTTGCAGGACTGGAAGTTGCTGTGGGTGAATCATTGAGTGAGTTATGAGTGAATGTGAAGGCCTAGCATATTATTGCACATGACTGTAGACTTTATAAACACTGTACACTTAGGCTACATGAAATTTATTTAAAAAAAATTTTTTAGTTTAAAAAAAATCACTGTCTTCCACTTCTATATCTTGTCCCACTGGAAGGTCTTCAGGGACAGTAAAATGTGTGGAGCTGTCATTCATATGATAGCAGTACCTTCTTCTGGAATACTTTTTGAAGGATCTGCTTGAGGCTGTTTTATAGTTAACTTTTTTTTTAAGTAGGAGTACACTCTAATATAATGATGAAAGTATAGTATAGTAAATACATAAACAAGTAACATAGTCATTTATTATTATTATCAAGCATTAAGTACTGTACCTAATTGTTTTATATGACTGGCAGTGCAGCAGTAGTTTCATCACCACATACATGTGAGTAATGTGTTGTACTGCGGTATGATGTCAGCTACAGAGTCACTAGGTGATAGGAATTTTTCAGCTCCATTATAATCTTATGGGACCACTGTTGTGTATGCATTTTTCACTGAAATGTTATGCAGTACATGAGTGTAATACAATCATGGTGCAATACTCTAAGAGTTAAGGCACCTTTTATTGTAGATTATACCACAGACAGAAAACTGCATAAATACATAAATAATGCAATGACATCTTTTACAAAACAAAACACCCTTTTAACCACTACCCAGATCAAGAAATAAATCTTTGCCAGCCACTGCAGAAGCCTTCCACATGGCCCTTCCCAGTCACAGCCCCTTTCCTCTCACCTAAAAGTAATTGCTATCCTGACTTCTGTATAATCGCATCTTTGTGTTTCCTATAATTTCATCACCCAAATGTGCATTCCTGAAAACTATAATTTAGTTGTGTTTGTGGTTTTTTTTTTATCTATGTCTCTTAACCTACATATCCCCCTGCCACCTCCCTTTCCCTTTCTTTCTTACAGTTTATTCCCTGAAGCAGCCAGTTATTTTGACCTGTACAGATTCTGTAGTCTAGATTATGCTGATTGCATACTTTTTCTTCATCCTTTGTATTTCCCATAAATTGGTAGTTGGATCTAAAACCTTGATCAAATTTAGGTTTTGCTTTGAGTTTTGTTTTTTTTCCACTTCCTAGGAGTTAGTGTGGTATATTCACCATCAGGAGATATATAAAGCCAGGCATGGTGGTTCTCACCTGTAATCCCAGCACTTTGGGAGGCCCAGGCAGGAGGATAACTTGAGCCCAGGAGTTTGAGACCAGTCTGGGCAACGTAATGAGACCCTGTGTCTATAAAAAGTAAAAAACATTAGGGAGGTGTGGTGGTACATGCCTGTAATTCCAGCTACTGAGGTGGGAGGATCACTTCAGCCTAGGAGATTGAGTCTGCAGTGAACTGTGATGGCACCATGCATTCCAGCCTGGGCAACAGAGCAAGATTCTGTCTTGCAAAAAAGAGAGTTATAGTGTCTAGTTTTCTCTCTTTTTGTGATTTTAGCAGCCACTGATGCTTGACACCTAGATCAGTGAATTTATTAAAGCTTGCAATATGGTGATATTTGAATTCTGTTATTTCTTCACTTATAAGGTGGAATGCTTCCACAGAAAGAAACCTTTTCTTTTCTGCTATCTGGTTAGTAGTTGTACCTAGTGGTGCAGTTCAATTAGGAAAAGTTGGATATTTGCTTCTTCATTTACCAGTTATCAAAATAATATGTTAATTTCGTGTTATTACCTAAAAGTGACCAGTGAGTTCTTCTTGTCATTATGAACCTTTTGATTTAATTATTTGTGCTTCAGTTTATTACAGCTCTTGTCCTTATTTTTGCTCAATTGTCCCATCTTGGACCAATGGGAGCCTCTTTAAGCTGGCTCCTTAGTGCTTTTGACATGGCTTTAGTGATCTTTGATAGCTTCCTTGCTGTCTGTAGTAATATGTTCCAGGCTCCTCTTAGACATTTCCTGACCCAGATCTAGAATCAGCTTTTTTTCCTAAGAAGAGGTTGCTTCCTTTTATTGGGAAATGGTATTTCAAGATCACAATTGGAATTTAGGGATGCTCATTGCTACTAGGTTGGCAGTTGTTTCTAGGCTTTTCTTATGGACAGAGCCACGATATGCATACTGACACTTCCAATCCACATACAAGATTTCAAGATTTTTTAAATTATCATCTTCTATTTACATCTGTATCTCCTTGTATCCCAAACTGATAATCCTGATTCTCAAAGACACAGTTGATGGTCAAATTAGAGTATCACGGAAATATTCAGTTGCGTTATCCCACTTTACACACTCAGTGTTCTCCAAATAATAATACAAATATCTCTACTATTAATATGATTACTGAAAATAGTTAAATTTTTTTCACATAGGCTCTTTCCATTCTTCCTTATTTTTTGGTTGTACTGTATCTGTGTTGTCAGAGCATATTGATATAGGCATGCCTCATTTTATTGCACTTTACTTTTTTGTGCTTTGGCGGTAATGTGTTTTTTACAAATTGAAAGTTTGTGGCAACCCTGCATTGAGCAAGTCTATTGAAGCCATTTTACCAACAGCATGTGCTCACTTCATGTCTCTGTATCATATTATGGTAATTCTCGTGATATTTCAAACTTTTTCATTTATCATATCTGTTATGATGATCTGTGATTGGACATCTTTGTTGTTACTATTGTAATTGTTTTGGGGTGCCATGAAATTCAAAAGCTAGGTTTCTTGTGCCAGTTAGCCAAGTTGTGAATGCAAAGGAAAAGTTCTTGAAGGAAAACTGCTCCTTCAGTAAACACAAGAATGATAAGAAACAGCCTTATTGCTGATAGGGAGAAAGTTTGAGTGGTCTGGATAGAAGATCAAACCAGCTGCAACATTCCCTTAAGCTAAAACCTAATCCAGAGCAAGATCCTAACTCTTCAGTTCTGTGAAGGCTGAGAGAGGTGAGGAAGCTGTAGAAGAAAAGTTTGAGATTAGCAAAGGTTGGTTCATGAGGTTTAAGGAAAGCAGCCATCTCTATAATATGAAATTGCGAGGTGAAACAGCAAGTACTGATGTGGAAGCTACAGCAAGTTATCCAGAAGATCTAGCTAAGATAATCGATAAAGGTGGACTATACTAAACTACAGGTTTTCAATGTAGACAAAACAGCTATCTATTGGAGAAGATGCCACCTAGGACTTTCATAGCTAGAGAAGATAAGTAAATGCCTTGCTTCAAAGAACAGTCTGACTCTTTTGTTAGGGGATAATGCAGCAAGCAATTTTAAGTTGAAGCCAATACACATTTACCATAGTGAAAATCCTAGGGCCCTTAAGAATTATGCTAAATTTACTCTGCCTACATGTAAATGGAACAATAAAACCTGGATAGCAGCACGTCTGTTTACAGCATCATTTATTGAATATTTTAATACCACTGTTGGGACCTACTGCTCTGAAAAAAGATTCCTTTCAAAATGTTACTGCTCATTGTCAATGTACCTGGTCACCCAAGAGCTCTAGTGGAGATGTACAAGGAGATTAATGTTGTTTTCATGACTGCTTATACAGCATCCTTTCTGCAGCCCATGGATTAAGGAGTAATTTTGACTTTCAAAGCCTATTATTTAACAAATACATTTTGGAAGGCTGTAGTTTCCATAGATAGTTATCTCTGTGATGGATCTGGGTTAAATAAATAGAAAACCTGGAAAGGATTCAGTACTCTAGGTGCCATTAAGAACATTTGTGGTTCATAGAAGAAGGTCAGAATATCCACATTAATGGGATTTTGGAAGAAGTTATTCCAACCCTCATGGATGACTTTGAGGGGTTCAGGATTTCAGTGGAGGAAGTAACTGATGTGATAGAAATAGCAAGAGAACTAGAAGTGGAATCTGAAGATACAACAGAATTGCTTCAATCTCATAATAAAACTTGAAAGGATGGCCAGGTGTGGTGGCTCACACCTCTAATCCCAGCACTTTGGGAGGCTGAGGCGGGCAGATCACGAGGTCAGGAGATCGAGACCATCCTGGCCAACATGGTGAAACCCCATCTCTACTAAAATACAAAAAATTAGCCGGGTGTGGTGGCATGCGCCTGTAGTCCCAGCTACTTGGGAGGCTGAGACAGGGGAATCGCTTGAACCTGGGAGGCAGAGGTTGCAGTGAGCCGAGATCACATCATTGCACTCCAGCCTGGCAACAGAGCAAGACTCCATCACACACACACACACACATACACACACACACACACACACACACACACACACACACACACACAAACTTGAAAGGATGAAGAGTTGCCTCTTATGCATGAGCAAAGAAAGTGATTTCTTCAGATAGAATCTACTCTTGGTGAAGATGATGTGAACATTGTTAAATGACAACAAAGGATTTACAATATTACATAAACTTGGTTGATGTGACAAGATTTGAGAGGATTGATTGACTCCAAGTTTGAAAGTTCTATTGTGTAAAATGCCATCAAACAGCATAGTATGGCACAGAGAACTCTTTTTGTGAAAGGAAGAGTTAATCACTATGGCAAACTTCAGTGCTGTCTTATTTTAATACATTGCCACAGCCACCCCAGCCTTCAGCAACCACTGCCCTGTTTGTTCAGCAGCCATTAACATGGAGGCAAGACCCTCAACCAGCAAAAGGATGAACATTTTTTAGCAATAAAGTATTTTAAAAACCAAGGTATGTCCATTGATTTTTTTTTTAGACGTAATGTCATTGGATACTTGAGAGACTACACAGTATAGTGTAAACATAACTTCTATGTGCACTGGGAAACCAAAATGTTCACGTGACCCACTTTATTGCCTGTTAGCTTTATTGCTGTGGTCTGGAACTGAATGTGAAGTGTCTTTGAGGGTACACTGCTATGTATTCTTTCCCTTTTAACTCTCATTTATTCCTAGTTCTGCAAGTAAATCCATATTGAGTGCTCACTACCTCTTTTTAGGTCACTGGCTTTATAGTCATTCTTCTTGTCCAGAGCTTGTTCTGTAGTAAATTCCTCAGGAAGAGCTCATGGAACAATAATCTCTGAATTGTTTCATGTTGCAAACAGTTTGTCTGTGACCTTTGTACTTGAAAATTTGTCTGGATGTAAAATCCTAGGTTCACATTTTCTCTTCTTGAATATCTTAAATATGTTACTCTATTGTTTTCTGACACTGAGGGTTGTTAACAAAGTCTGTGGCTAATCTCTTTTGCTTTTCCCTTTTAAATGACTTGGTCTTTTGTGTATCCAAAGGATTTTTTTTTCACATTAAAAAAAAATTCTAGGCTGGGCGCAGTGGCTCATACCTATAATCCCAGCACTTTGGGAGGCTGAGGTGGGCAGATCACTTGAGGTCAGGAGTTTGAGACCAGCCTGGCCAACATGATGAAACCCTGTCTCTACTAAAAATACAAAAATTAGTCAGGTGTGGTGGCATGTGCATGTGGTCCCACCTGCTCAGGAGGCTGATACAGGAGAACGTGGGAGGTAGAGGTTGCAGTGAACTGATTGTGCTGCTGCACTCCAGCCTGGGCAACAGAGCGAGACTCTATCAAAAATAAAAAATACTCTGTTTTGTTTGAATATATGAAATTGTATATTTGTATATAATTTGTATATTTACTTTCATGTTTTATCTGTTGTGTTTATTTGCCCTTGTACTTTTTATGGTTTCATATTCAATTTTGAAATTATTTTTCTTTCTAAATTTCTAATATTTTATCACCACATTTGTAAGTTTAAAAAATATTATTTTATGCTGTGAGTTTATGTCTAGCATTGGCTTCTTGTACTTCATTTAGAGACAAACTCTCACTGTGTTCCCCAGGTTGGAATGCAGTGGCTATTCACAGGTGCAATCACAGCTTCCTGCAGCCTTGAACTCCTGGCCTCAAGTGATTCTCTAGCCTCAGCCTCCCAAGTAGCTGGGATTGCAGGCACACACCACTGTGCCTGGCTAGCATTGCTTCTTAATTTTTTCTGGATTATTTTGACATCATAGGTTATAGTTTTTATATCTTGTAGGAATGTGTTTCTCACATGCTTTCATTGTCTGTAGGGATATTTTTATTCTTGTATTTTTTCTTATAATGTTGTAAAAGATTTAACTTTGATACTATCCCATTGTTTGCTTTTCTTTTTTTGTCTGAAATTAATTTTTTCAACTTTTAGAAGAGGAAGTTTGATTTAGGATAACTTTTCTAATTTATGCTCTACAGCACCCTCTTCTGTTGTTTTCAAGTAGTGTTTGAAAATACTGTTTACTATCTGAGATCTCTAGGCTGTTTCTTTCTTACCCTTTGTTCCTATGGTCTCACATAGTATTCTGTTCCTTGCAGTTTCTCTTCGCAGGAGGCTCTGTTCTGAAAGGGAGCTTTAACTGGTTAATTTTGAGTCTTCAAGGGTCCAGGCTGCTCCAAGCCCAATAGACATTACCTTGAACTCCTTGCACTTGCTTACAGTGCTGTTTACTGGACTGTGTGGAATGCCTCCCAGTTCAGCTGCTGCTCTCAAATTGGTCCTTTAAGTTTTCCAGTGAGTTCTTTTAGTGATGTAGGGATCTTCCCGAGGTGGATAAGATACCCTATTACTTCACTCTGCTACCTTTCGGGTTTTGTAGCTGTTGGTAGGTTGTTACCTCCTATTCATATTTTGGGATTTGTAGAAATACTTTGTCATCTAGTTTTCTAGTTTCGTTGTATGTGTTGTCCATGGGTTTTGGGTTTTGCTATCCTAGTTGCTCAGTCAGGTTTTTTCTTGGGAGGTGGAGGATGGGTTCAAGGAGCTTCAAAATAATCCCATTTATCTCAAATCACTAGAATAAAGATAGAATTTTTAATAAATGCCAGTAGAATAATTGGTTAGCCATTGGAAATGCGATAAAATGAGATCTACATCTCATACCATATGTAAGGATAAATCCATTAAAGTATACAAGTGCCAGAGAAAAACATGGGTGGATTCCTCTATAACCTGGGTGTAGGGAAAGCTTTTGTAAGTGTGATTCAAAAATCCAGATGCAACAAAAGAAAATATTGATACATTTGACTATATAAAATTAAAAAGCTTCTGTGTGGTAAAAACCCACCATAACAAAAGACAAATGACAAACTTATAGAACATATCTGTAATATATATCACAGATATAGGGCTAATAAGTATATAGATGATTCTTAAACATGTGATTAACCTCACTTAAAATATGAGAAATGCAAATTTAATCTATACTAAGATACTGTTTCACATACTACTTTGGCAAAAACTTAAAAATGCAACAATATACTTTATTGGTGAGGCTGTGAAGAAACTGGAACTCTCTTAAAATCCTAGTGGTAATGCAGAGGTGCAGCCTTTGTGGAGGGGAATTTGATTATAGCTAACAAAACTGCGTATGCATTTATGTATTGACTCAGTAGTCCCACTGAGGATACAGCTCTGAAAGTGTTCAAATACAGATGTGTAGGGTTATTCATTGGGCATTTCTTGTTATTA
The DNA here is from genome assembly GCF_000001405.40 of Homo sapiens. Classification (NCBI taxonomy): domain Eukaryota; kingdom Metazoa; phylum Chordata; class Mammalia; order Primates; family Hominidae; genus Homo; species Homo sapiens. The sequence goes on from NC_000001.11 coordinate 94,441,567, forward strand.
CAAACTATTGGAGACAACCTAAATGCCCATACATGCATAAGAGGTGGTTGAATAAACTATGGTACTTACACACAATGGAGTGTTACAGAGCTGTGAAGAAAAATGAAGGTGCTTTCTATGGACTGATAGAAAGTGATTTCTAGGAAACATTAAGTGAAAAGTACAAAAGACTAGATATGCTATCTTTTATGTAAGAAAGAAGGGAAAATCAAATATGTTATTTGCTCATTTTGTACAAAAAGAAGATGGATAAATAAGGAAATGATGAAACTGGTTACTTAGAGGGTATGAGTAAGAACGGGGTCAAAAGGAGGGGGTGGTTGAACAAGGTAAGAGGATATTATTGGGATAATCAGAGAAATTGGAATAAGGTCTGATTAGTTTTAGTATTCTATCCATGTTAATTTCATGATTTTGATAATTGTACTATAGTTATATAAGAGAAAGTCTTTGTTTTTAGAATGTAAACACTGAAATATTTAGAAGTAACAATCTCAGATGGCTTAGGAAAAAATGCATGTGTGTGTATATATAGAGAAGAATAAAGCAAATTTGTTAGAACATTAATTGGGAAATCTAGATGGAAGGCATAGAGAATTCAGTGTATTATTCTAGCAGATTTTCAGTATGTTTGCAATCATATCAGAATTAAAAGTTTATTTTAAAAATACTGTGCAATTGCTATAAGCCGTTTTCCCAGAATTCCGTCTGTAAGATGACTTATGTGGCTCTTCTGCCTTTTTTCTAAAGGACTTCCATATTTTTATGGAACACTATTTTATAGTTGCTGTGGAGGAACCCAATTTTATGAGTGTAGTGAATCTTATAAACAAGTTATGCAATGTGCTTTAGTTATCAACTTTTGCATTGGTATTATATATAATTTTTAAAATAGTCTTTACATTAAAAAAATGGTTTAAATATATTTAGGAGGTATAAGTGCAGATTTCTTACATGCATATATTAGACAGCAGTGAAGTCTGGGCTTTTAGTGTACCCATCACCTGAATAGTGAATGTTCTACCCAATAGGTAATTTTGCAACCCTCACCCCGCCACCCTCCCACCTTTTGTAATCTGCAGTGTCTGTTATTCCACTCTGTATGTCTATGTGTACACATCGTTAAGCTCCCACTTATAAGTGAGAACATTTGATATTTGACTTTGTTTCAAAGTTATTTCTTGGGATAATAGCCTCCAGTTCTGTCCATGTTGCTGTGAAAGACATGATTTCATTCTTTTTTATGGCTGAGTAGTATTCCATGGTATATATGTACATTTTTCTTATCCAGTCCTCCATTGATAGGCACTTAGGTTGATTCCATATCTTTACTGTTGTGAATAGTGCTATGATAAACATACCAGTGCAGGTATCTTTTATATATATATATTTTCTTTCCCTTTGGATGTATACCCAATAGGGGGATTGCTGGATGGAATGGTAGTTCTGTTTTTAGTTCTTTGAGAAATCACCATACTGTTTTCCATAAAGATGGTAATAATTTATATTCTCACCACAGTGTGTAAGCATTCCTTTTTCTCCACATCCTTGCCAACATCTGTTGTTTTTTGACTTTTTAATAATAGCCATTTTGACTGGTATAGGATGGTAATCTCCTTGTGGTTTTAGTTTGCATTTCTCTGATGATTAGTGATGTTGAGCATTTTTTCATGTTTTTGGCCCCTTTGTATGTCTTCTTTTGAAAAATGTCTGTTCATGTTGTTTGCCCACTTTTTAATAGGGTTACTTGTTTTTTTCTTGTTGAGCTGAGTTCCTTGTGTATTCTGGATATTAGCCCTTTATTGGATGCATAGTTTGCAAATATTTTTTGCCATTCTGTAGGTTGTCTGTTTACTCCATAGACTGTTCCTTTGTTGTGTAGAAGCTTTTTAGTTTAAGTCTCATTTGTCTATTTTTGTTTTTGTTGTGCTTGGTTTTGGGACTTGGTCATAAATTCTTTGCCTAGGCCAATGGCTAGAAGAGCTTTTCTCTTGTTTTATAAACAAGTTATAAGATGTGCTTATCAGCTTCTGGGATTTGTGTAGTTTTAGGTCTTACGATAAGGTCATTAATCCATCTTGAGTTAATTTTTGTATGTGGTGAGAGGTAGGGGTCCAGTTTCATTCTACATGGCTATGTAATTTTCCCAGCACTGTTTATTGAATGGGGTGTCCTTTCCCCAGTGCATATTTTTGTTGACTTTGTAGACATCAGTAGGTTGTAGGTGTGTGATGTTATTTCAGGGTTCTGTATTGTGTTTGTATAGAAATTTTAGAATTCACATGTTGGGATTTTGGTGGAGATTGCTTCTGATAGATAGATCACTTTCTAATATTGGTTATATTGCCGTATTTTTTTGGATCAGTCTTGCCATGAGCTTATAAAATGTGTTAATTTTTCCCAAAATTAAACTTTTAGTGTAGTTTTCTCTCATGTCTTTTTTATTTCATTATTTTTTGCTTCTATCTGTGTTTTTATATTTTTCGGCTGGGCACAGTGGCTCATGCCTGTAATCCCAGCACTTTGGGATGTTGAGGCAGGCAGACCATGAGGTCAAGAGATCAAGACCATCCTGGCCAACATGGTGAAACCTCGTCTCTCCTAAAAATACAAAAATTAGCTGGGCATGGTGGTGTGCGCCTGTAGTCCAAGCTACTTAGGAGGCTGAGGCAGGAGAATTGCTTGAACCTGGGAGGCGGAGGTTGCATTGAGCCAGGATTGTGCCACTGTACTCTAGCCGGGGGGGCAGAGCGAGACTCCATCTCAAAAAAAAAAAAAAAAAAAAATGGAGTCCCACTGTGTTGTCCGGGCTGGTCTCAAACTCCTGGACTCAAGCAGTTCTTCTGCCTTGGCCTCCTAAAGTGCTGTGATTACAGGTGTGAGCCACTGCACCTGGCCATTTTTATTTATTTTAAATTATTTTAGGCACTGGACAACATGTTGAACCTTCTTCTTAAATATACGCATTTAAGGTTATAAAGTTCTTTGTGAACACTGCTTTAGTTGGAGCCTACAGATTTTTTGTTATAAACCTTTTCATTTTGTAAGTCTGTTGTTACATATATTACTCATTTCAAAATATTTTCTGATTTCTTTGACCCATGACTTTTCACCACCCCAAAGTTCAGTGGTTTCAGCGATTATCTTTTACCCTCAGTTCTGTGGGTGGCTGGGCAGTTCCTCTGCTGGTTTTGTCTAGGTTCACTTGTAAGACTGTTGATTTCTTTTTTCCATTATTTCATTTTTTGTTGGGAACAGGCCCCTAAAACTGGCCATAAACAAAATCTCTGCAGCACTGTGAGATGTTTGCAATGGCCACGATGCCCATGCTGAAGGTTGCAGGTTTACCGGAATGAGGGCAAGGGACACCTGGCCCACCCAGGTTGGAAAACTGCTTAAGGCTTTCTTAAACCACAAACAATAGCATGAGCAATCTGTGCCTTAAGGACATGTTCCTGCTGCAGATAACTAGCCAGACCCATCCCCTTGTTTTGGCCCATCCCTTTATTTCCCGTAAGAAATGCTTTTAGTTAATCTCTAATCTATAGAAACAATGCTTATACTGGCTTGCTATCAATAAATATGTGGGTAAATCTCTGTTTGGGGCTCTCAGCTCTGAAGGCTGTGAGACCCCTGATTGCCCACTCCACACTCTATATTTCTGTGTGTGTGTGTCTTTAATTCCTCTAGCGCCACTGGGTTAAGGTCTCCACGACCAAGGTGGTCTTGGCAAGTGGCGCCCATACATGGGGCTCAAACCCAGGTTGAGGGGTCGCTGGAGTGATGGTTGGAGAACATGGAACTAAGCAGGAGGACACCCGGGTACTCTAAGCAGTCCCCATGGTGGGTAAGAAGGGGAGCTCGGAAGCATCAGGGTAACATTGGGACAAGTGTGGGCTCTGGTTCGTTCCACCTTGGAACCTTTTCACACTGATGTGGAAGGAGAGTATAACGAAGTAACAGAGCAGGTTTGTTTGCCACCTAAAGTAAAAACAGCAAAGGAGGAAGAGGTTCATCCCTACCCTCCTGCACCCCCTCCTTATTTTGAAGAAAAGGAGTGGCCTGACCCTCCAGATCTTTCTTTTCCAGAGGACACTGGGCGAAAAGTAGTTGCCCCAGTGACTGTTCGAGCAGTGCCTCTTCAGTGCTGTAAAACAGGGACCAAAAGAACTGTACATGGATTTTATAGCTCGGTTACAGGAGTCTCTTAAAAAGGTGATTGCAGATTCAGCTGCTCAGGATATAGCGTTGCGGTTATTAGCTTTCGGCAATGCTAATCCCGAGTGCCAGGCTGCTCTGCGACCTATTAGAGGGAAAGTACATTTAGTTGATTATATCAAGGCCTGTGATGGTATCGTAGGTAATCTGCCTAAGGCTACTCTGCTAGCCCAAGCAATGGCAGGACTGAGAGTGGGTAAAGGAAATACTCAGTTTCCTGGAGCTTGTTCTAACTGTGGGAAGCATGGTCATACTAAAAAAGAATGTAGAAAAAATCAGCGAATCAGGCTGCCAGATAGGGGAAAAAAGAAAACTGCTGAGCCTGAAATATGTCCAAAATGTGAAAAAGGAAAACATTGGGCTAATTGGTGTCACTCTAACTTTGATAAAGATGGGAACCCAATTTCGGGCCCCATTCCAAATGGGAGCATTTCCGGCTCAGGCCATTCCCTCACCCCTGGGCAATGTCTGTCCCCTGCCACAGCTGGTAGTGCCGTGGTAGATTTATGCTGCACAAAAGCTGTGAGCCTTCTGCCTGGGGAACCCCTGCAAAAGGTCCCAACAGGAGTCTGTGGACCCTTGCCAGCGGGGACAATAGGATTACTTCTAGGAAGGTCTAATTTAAATTTAAAAGGAGTACAAATACATACAGGAGTCATTGATTCAGATTACAATGGAGAAATTCAAATTGTTACATCTACTTCTGTTCCCTGGAAAGCAGAGCCAGGAGAGCGCATAGCACAGCTCCTGATTGTGCCGTATGTGGAAATGGGGAAAAGTGAAATTAAACAGGAGGATTTGGAAGCACAAATAGACAAGGCAAAGCAGCTTATTGGGTGAATCAAATTACTGATAAATGTCCTACCTGTGAAATAACTATTCAGGGAAAGAAATTTAAGGGTTGGGTAGATACAGGAGCGGACATTTCAATCATTTCTCTACAGCACTGGCTGTCTGCGTGGCCAATTCAACCTGTTCAATTTAACATAGTTGGAGTTGGTAAAGCCCCTGAAGTATATCAAAGTAGTTATATTTTGCATTATGAAGGACCTGATGGACAACCTGGGACTATTCAACCGATTGTAACTTCTGTACCTATAAATCTGTGGGGAAGAGATTTATTACAATAATGGGGAGCAAAAGTTCTAATTCCAGAGCAATTAAACAGCCCTTAGAGTCAACATATGATGCCTGAAATCAGGTATGTCCCTGGTATGGGACTAGGAAAAAATTTGCAAGATTTGAAGGAACCGCTTTAAGCGGAAAGACAAAGTTCCTGCCAAGGTTTAGGATATCATTTTTGATGGCAGCCATTGTTCAGCCTCTAGAACCTATACCTTTAAAATGGTTAACAGATAAGCCAATTTGGATAGAACAATGGCCACTAAGTAAAGAGAAACTGGAGGCTTTAGAGAACGTCGTTAATAAACAATTAGAAGGACACATAGCTCCAACATTTTCTCCTTGGAATTCACCAGTTTTTGTAATTAAGAAAAAATCAGGTAAATAGAGAATGTTAACTGATTTAAGAGCCATTAATTCAGTTATACAACCTATGGGAGCATGGGAGCATTGCAGCCAGGATTGCCTTCTCCTGCTATGATTAAAAAAAATTGGCCTTTAATAGTCATAGATTTAAAAGACTGTTTCTTTACTATCCCCTTAGCTGAGCAGGACTGTGAATGGTTTGCATTTACAATTCCTGCAGTAAACAACCTACAGCCTGCTAAGTGTTTTCATTGGAAAGTGTTGCCACAGGGCATGTTAAACAGTCCAATAATTTGCCAGACTTATGTAGAGCAAGCAATTAAACCTATTGATAAAAAATTTTCACAGTGTTACATTATTCATTATATGGACAATATAATTTGTGCTGCCCCCTATCGAGAAACATTACCCCAATGTTATGATCACTTGCAAAATTCAGTTTCTAGTGCTGGTTTAATTATAGCTCCTGACAAAATTCAGACTACTACTTCTTACTCCTACTTAGGGACCTTAGTAAATGACATTACCATTGTGCCACAGAAAGTAGCCATACGTAGGGATCAATTGAAAACATTAAATGACTTTCAAAAATTACTAAGGGACATTAATTGGATACGACCTGCTCTAGGCATTCCTACCTATGCCATGAGTAATCTATTTTCTATCCTTAGAGGAGATCCTAGTCTCACTAGCCCTTGGCAATTAACAAAAGAAGCTGAGGCAGAGCTTCAGCTAATCAAAAGCAAGTCCATAAAGCTCAAATAAATAGAATAGATCCAGAAAAGACTCTAGATTTGCCAGTTTTTCCAACTCAGCATTCATCTACTGGTGTTATTGTCCACAAGCAGGACTTAGTAGAGTGGCTTTTTCTTCCACATACTAATTGACGGACTCTAACTCCTTATTTGGATCAAATTGCTACTATGATAGGAAACGGGAGAACTCGGATTGTTAGATTACATGGATATGATCCTGGAAAAATTGTTGTCTCTCTCATGAAGGCACAAGTACAGCAAGCTTTTATAAATAGTCTTACTTGGCAAACCCATTTAGCTCACTTTGTGGGTATTCTCGATAATCATTTTCCTAAAACGAAACTGTTTCAATTTTTGAAATGAACTAATTGGATCCTCCCTAGAATAACTAAATTTAAACCAATTGAAGTTGCTGAGAATGTTTTTACAGATGGGTCTAGTAACGGTAAAGCTTCTTATTTTGGATCAAAAGGTAAAGTTTTCCAGACGCCTTATACTTCAGCTCAAAAAGCGGAGCTTTTGTAGCTGTAATTGAGGTATTGACTGCTTTTAATATGCCTATTAATGTGATTTCTGATTCTTCATATGTGGTTCATTCCACACAAATAATTGAAAATGCTCAGTTATGTTTTCTTCTGCCTGTGTTAAACGTCACCTTTTGCAGTGTTTTGCGGTGATGGGCATTCCAGCTTCTATTAAAACAGATAATGCCCCAGGCTATACTAGCCAAGCTCTAGCTGCATTTTTCTCTATGTGGAATATTAAACACAGTACTGGTATCCCATATAATTCTCAAGGACAAGCCATAGTGGAAAAAATGAATCTGTCCCTGAAACAGCAGTTGCAAAAGCAGAGGGGGATAAACAGGGACTACGGGACACCCCATATGCAATTGAATCTAGCATTATTAACTTTAAATTTTTTTTAGCATGCCTAAAGGCTAGATGCTATCAGCGGCTGAACAGCATCTACAGAAACCAGCTGCAAAGACAGAAGCAGAACAACTGGTTTGGTGGAGAGATCTGATAACAAAAAGTTGGGAAATAGGTAAAATAATAACTTGGGGTAGAGGTTATGCTTGTGTTTCTCCAGGACCGAATCAACAGCTGATTTGGATACCATTAAGACACCTGAAACCTTATTATGAGCCAGATGCCAAGGAAGAGATTCTGGGAGGATCCCGAGGACCCCGTAGTTGCAGCCATGTCGAGATTGACACTGAGGAGGATCCCAACTGTCATGAGCAATACCCATCGAACATAGCCACCTACTTGGGGACAGATCAAGAAGCTGTCACAGATGGCGGAATAAAAACCTGAGGAAAGCAGGACAACCAGTCACAATGAGTAATTTGATGGTACCTATGATAGCAGTGATTACCATTGCCGTGAGTATTCCTTCAACAATGGCTGACACAGAGAACAATTATACTTATTGGGCATATTTATCAATCTTGGCTGGCAGTAATGCCTGGATGTAATCACTCTATGACACAGTTACACATGCTTTCTGATCTCAGTATTTACCGTAATGAATCTGCTCCTATAATTGAGGCATACCGCCCTCAAAAAGCTATTTGTAAACAAAATTGAACCTGGCCAGAAAAAGTGAACGTACTTGTTTAGGAAGATTGCATTGCAGAACAGGCAGAGGTGCTGCACAGTGATTTCTATGGAATCATTATTGATTGGTCCCCTAAGGGGATGTTTAGCTTGAATTGCATCTCTCAGTCTGCGTGCCACAGCCACACTTATGTTCAGCTGGTCTGAACAAAATGGTCAGATGGTAGAAATGGTAAGAAGTATGGCAAGAGTTCCTATTATCTGGAAACATGGCGGTATGGTGGCACCTCAACCTCAAATGATATGGCCCGCTGTGGGAGCTAAACATAAGGATTTGTGGAAACTATTAATGGCTGTTAACAAGATCAAAATTTGGGAAAGAATAAAAAGCATCTAGAAGGACACTCTACAAACTTGTCTTTGGATACTGCAAAATTAAAAGAACAGATATTTAAAGCAACCCAGGCACACCTGACCTTAATGCCAGGAACTGGAGTGCTTGAAGGAGCTGCAGACAGATTAGCAGCTAGTAACCCATTAAAATGGATTAAAAACACTTGGACGATCTGTGATTTCACTGATGATTATGCTTTTAATCTGTGTTGTTTGTCTTTGTATAGTCTGCAGATGTGGATTCCAACTCCTGCGAGAAGTAGCTCACTGTGACAAAGCCGCCTTTGCTTTTATTACTTTGCAAAACAAATAAGGGGGACATGTTGGGAACAGGCCCCCCAAATCTGGCCATAAACTGGCCCCAAAACTGGCCATAAACAAAATCTCTGCAGTACTGTGACATGTTCCTGATGGCCATGATGCCCATGCTGAAGGTTGTGGGTTTACCGGAATGAGGGCAAGGAACACCTGGCCCACCCAGGGCGGAAAACCGCTTAAGGCTTTCTTAAACCACAAACAATAGCATGAGCGATCTGTGCCTTAAGGACATGTTCCTGCTGCAGATAACTAGCCAGACCCATCCCTTTATTTCCCGTAAGAAATGCTTTTAGTTAATCTATAGAAACAATGCTTATCACTGGCTTGCTGTCAATAAATATGTGGGTAAATCTCTGTTTGGGGCTCTCAGCTCTGAAGGCTGTGAGACCCCTGATTTCCCACTCCACACTCTATATTTCTGTGTGTGTGTGTCTTTAATTCCTCTAGTGCCGCTGGGTTAGGGTCTCCACGACTGAGCTAATCTCGGCAATTTTTACCCCTTCTAGTAGTTTAGAAGTTATTCTCTTTTTTCTTTTACAAGTTACCCTAGAACTTTTAACATGGGTTTCACTTTTTTCAAGTCTAAACATCAATCGGTAATACTTTATCATCCTCCCAGATAGTAAAAATACTTTAGAATACTACCTTCATTGACTTTTCTCCTAATTTATGAGCATTTGTTGTGGTGTAACTTTTTCTTAGCCATGTGAAATCTCTTAAACCTATTGATTATATGTTTAACTTCAGTTGTATATTTTATTTTTAGAAATTTCATTTGGTTTTCTCAGATCAATGTTACTTTTTGGTAGGTATCTTCTTGGTAGGTATCTACTTCTTGGTACCTACTTCTTGTTAGGTATCTTAAAAATTTTTGTGTGTGTGTTTAAAAAAATACAGTTTACATTGTTTTATAGGATGACTCTGGAAATGCCAACTGAAATCTTGGGTTTGTTTTTGTTTTCTGTAATTTCTGCTGGTCCTTGGTTATGGAGTCTAATTTCCTTAGTGCTTGATAATTTTTTATTACGGTCTGGAGATTTTATTTAAAATTACTTGTCAGAATAATTTTGAGGCTTATAATAAACATACTTTACTTTTAAGAGCAAAGTTTGCTTCTTTACCCAGGAGCATTGTCAGTCAGGGAACAACTTAAACCAAGTTCCTTGAGAACACATTCTAAATTTTTTAGAACAGCATCTTAATAAACAAAAACAACACTCACGTTTCAGATTTTATATTTTTGTTTCCCAAAGGATTTATATCACTGTATTTCCAAGTCATTGTCATGTTAATGTCTTTCAAATCAACATCTCTGCTCATGAACTTCAAATCTAAGCATTTTAAAAAATTGTCTTCTGAACATTTCCGTATACTTAGCTTACGGGATGTGAAATCAACATGTTTATAGTGAATCCAATTACTGTTTCTCTGAATGCTTGTTTTACTGTTATTCTTTATTGTAGTCAGTGAAATCACTGTCCTCCAGTCACCCAGGGTGCAATCTGCCTTTGAGACTTGGAGAAAAATACTTTGCCATTTGAGATATCAGTTTGGAGTTGATAGCTGCTAATACTTCCTCTGTCTTAAGTTTGTGGTCTTCTCTCCCTCTCATTTCCATATGCAGTTAGTTCCCAACTCTTATTTATTCCCTTACTTGTCATTTCTAGTAATTTTCATGCTTCTTTCTTCCACTCTCATACCCACTGTCTTTGTTCAGGCATTCATCATCTCTGATCTTGGGATAATCCTTGGGTGCCTAATACATTCTAATCACTGAGGTCAAGGTTTCTTAGACAGGGTCACCATGTAATTTATTATCCTAACTGGTACAGTTTTGAGACTGAAAGAGTGCAATTAATTATTATATCAGGACAACAGATGTAAACAAGGACCATTCTGGGCAAACTTAATTCAGATGGCCACTCCATTCCAGGAAGATAAGTGCTGAATTTTAAAGACGAGTAGTAATCAAATAAGTTGATTGATGAAGAGTCCTTTAAAGCAAAAGAGATAGTATATGAGCAAATAGTGGGGTGAGAGAGAGCGCAGTATTAGGTTGAAGCATGTGCAGTTGCCATTTTATAAGTGAGAAATGGTCAAATAATTCAGTTTCACATAGTTTAACCTGATAGATGAAGGTAACTTGAGCACAGAGTGTGCCTCGTGGCAGGAGATGAACCTGAAAAGAAGGCAGGAGCCAGATCATGAAGTTCTTTGAGTACCATTTTATGGAATTTGGATTTTATTCTGAAAGTCATTATGTACATATTTATTTTTAAATTTTAATGATAAGGTATTTATCTAATTTTTGAATAGGCAGTACATTCGCATGGTCTGAAATTTTAAAAAAATGTTGGTGTAAGTGGGAATAGTTTGTAGTTTTCTTTGTGGAATTTGATTTTGGTGTCAATGGTTTTTTTTGTTTTTTTTTGTTTGTTTGTTTGTTTGTTTTTGGAGACAGAGCCTTGCTCTGTTTCCCAGGCTGGAGTGCAGTGGCACAATCTCAGCTCACCGCAACTTCCGCCTCCCAGGTTCAAGTGATTCTCATGCCTCAGCCTCCCAAGTTAGCTGGGACTACAGGCATGCACCACCACGCCCAGCTAATTTTTGTATTTTTAATAGAGACAGGGTTTCACCATGTTGGCCAGGCTGTTCTTGAACTCCTGGCCTCAAGTGATCCGCCCGCCTCTGCCTTCCAAAGCACTGGGATCCACCCGTCTGGCCTTCCAAAGTGCTCGGCCTTCCAAAGTGCAGGTGTGAGCCCGCCCAAGTTTGGGTGTCAGTGTTTTACTTGCAGCAAAAATAATGTGGAAGCTTCTTTTACCTGTGTCCTAAAACAGTTAAAGCATTGGAATTATCTGTTCACTGGGGGTTTTGTTAGAACTCCCCGGTAAATCGTTTGGTTTGGTTCTTTTTTGGGGAATAGAAGGGTAGGAGGTGGGCAGCTCTCAGACAACTTTATAATTTCAGTTTTTCAGTCTGTTTTTTCTTCTCTCTGCTAGGTTTGGAAAATTATATTTTTCTTTTTTTTTTTTTTTGAGATGGAGTCTCGCTGTCGCCCAGGTTGGAGTGCAGTGGCGCGATCTCGGCTCACTGCAGGCTCCGCCTCCCGGGTTCACGCCATTCTCCTGCCTCAGCCTTTTGAGTAGCTGGGACTACAGGTGCCCGCCACCTCGCCTGGCTAATTTTTTGTATTTTTAGTAGAGATGGGGTTTCACCTTGTTAGCCAGGATGGTCTCGATCTCCTGACCTCGTGATCCGCCCACCTCGGCCTCCCAAAGTGCTGGGATTACAGGCGTGAGCCACCGCGCCCAGCCGGAAAATTATATTTTTCTAGAAAATTAACCATTTCATTCAGGCTTTCAAATTTCTTTACATAGAGTTGAGATAAGAAGTCTTTTACCTTTTTTTTTTTCAAATTTTATCTATTTTTGTGCTCATTTTTTTTATTTTTTGTGTTTTTGTACTCCTTTTAAAATCAGATTGTCTCGTGATTTATTTTCCAAAGAATCAACTCTTGAATTTTAATGTATTAGTATTTTGTTTTCTAACTCATTAGATTCTGCTTGGGTGGTTTTAAATTTCTTCTGCTTTTTTTTGTTCTTTGTAAACTTTTGGTTGGATGCTTGTATTATTAATCTTTTTTTTTTTCATTTTTTATTGAAATAAGGTTCTGAGCATTGCTTTAGGTGAATTCCACAGGATATATATTTTATATAGATGTATGTGGTCTATATATATATGTATGGGCATGCATATGTGTATGTACTTGGGTATATTCAGTATGTATATACATATACACGTATTTGATGTGGTTATGGAAATAAATTGAAAGAGGACAGAAACTAATGATAACGAACTCAGAAAACAAGTGAGAATATTATAATAGTTCACATGAGAAATTTTGATGGCCTGAATTGAAATCATAGCAGTAGAAATGGAAAGAGCATAGAGAGAGATTGGAAATGAAGTGTATGAGAAAAGGAAAATAAATATCTTAGAATAATTCGCAGCTTTGTGGTTTGAGTAGCTGGTAGATGAAGGTGTGATCACTGATTTAGGGCTTATGTTCAGTATGGAATAATGGAAGAATAGATTTGGGGTGGAAAGGTGAGTTCAGATATAGACATGTTTGCATTAAATCCTGGTACAGATACCTTATTAAAAATCAGATATTCAAGTCAGGGGCTCGGGAAAGAGGAGGAAGCTAGAGATTTTGAGGGAGGGGGTCAGAGAAAGGGTAGATAGTTGATTTTGTGGTTTGACTGAGGTGGTCTAGGATAGTATCTCTTTGACCTAGAGATAGTAGGTCTAAAGATGCATTACTCAGGGTCTAAATTCTTATAGAACTTACTTTCTTTTTCTTTTTAAGATGAAGTCTTGGTCTGTCACCCAAGCTGGAGTGCAGTGGTGCAATCTTGGCCCACTGCAACCTCTGCCTCCAGGGTTCAAGCCATTCTTCTGCCTCAGCCTCCCGAGTAGCTGGGATTACAGATGTACACCACCATGCCCAGCTAATTTTTATATTTTTAGTAGAGACAGGGTTTTGCCATGTTGGCCAGGCTGGTCTCAAACTCCTGACCTCAAGCGATCCACTAGCCTTGGCCTCCCAAGATGCTGGGATTACAGGCGTGAGCCACCACACCTGGCCTAGAACTTTCTTTATAGAACTAATTTTGTTTTCATTTTGATGATAAATTAAAAATAAATTAATATAAGCATATTCTGGGTTATCTGAATGACTACCATGCTATACAGATTTTAGTGCCAGTATTGTGTTTAAATGGTTGCTAAGTGATCATCTAGAGCCCACATGTATGATAAATCTGCTGTATTGGAACTTATATCAGGTTAATGTGTATTAATGTAAAGTCAAGAAAATCATCTTCAACTTCTGTACTCATACTGAATTGTTTTGCCATTAAAAATATCTTTTATAGTGATAATTTCAGGTGAAAGCTATTTTCATAGAACTTCCTGAGAAACAAATCTCATAAAGAAGTTTTTAAGAAACTTATAAATGAATTTTTTTTTTTTTTTTTGAGACCGAGTTTTGCTCTTATTGCCCAGGCTGGAGTGCGATGGCACGATCTTGGCTCACCACAACCTCCGCCTCCTGGGTTCAAGTGATTCTTCTGCCTCAGCCTCCTGAGTAGCTGGGATTACAGGCATGCACCATCACGCCCGGCTAATTTTGTATTTTTAGTAGAGACGGGGTTTCTCCATGTCAGTCAGGCTGGTCTCAAACTCCCGACTTCAGGTGATCCTCCCACCTTAACCTCCCAAAGTGCTGGGATTATAGATGTAAGCCACTGCACCTGGCAAGAAATTTTAATTGTCACAGACTGATTAAAGAAAATAGGACTTATATGTAGATTATGTGTTCAGGCCAATTGAAGCTTTATAAGATGTCATGGTTCCCTCTGAACAAGGTATTTCATGGAAACTTGGAGAGAGAAAAGTGATGAAGTGATGGGAGAGCTGACTGATCATGTGACTCATTGGTAGGTGTGTGTGTACATGTGTATATATATATTTTTGTGAGCATCGTACTGCATGAATCTCCATTTATCTCTAAGTATCAATTTATAACATTTATTAGTGGTAAGCAGTGTGGCATTTTTATTGAATACTAATTTTTTTATTTTTATGTTGATATACATATACATTGTGAAATGATTACTATTATCAAGCTATAGTCACCATCCTGTACATTAGATCTCCAGAACTTATTCATCTTGCGTGACTGAACTTTGTACCTTTTGACCAACTTTTCCCCATTTCCCCCAACCCCTGAGCCCCTGACAACCACCATTCTATTCTCTGCTTCTATGAGTTTGACTTTTTTAGATTCCACATGTAAGTGAGATTATGCAGAATTTGTCTTTTTGGGCCTGGCTTATTTCATTTAGTATAATGTCCCCCGGTTCATCCATGTTGTTGCAAATGACAGAATTTTTTTTTTTTTTTTTTTTTTTTTTTTTTTTTTTTGGAGACGGAGTCTTGCTCTGTCGCCCAGGCTGGAGTGCAGTGGCACAATCTCAGCTTGCTGCAACCTCTGCCTCCCAGGTTCAAGCCAGTTCTCCTGCCTTAGCCTCCCAAGTAGCTGGGACTACAGGTGCATGCCTCCACACTGGACTATTTTTTTTTTTATTTTAGTAGAGACAGAGTTTCACCGTGTTGCCCAGGCTGGTCTTGAACTCCTGAGCTCAGTCAGTCCTCCCGCCTCGGGCTTCCAAAGTGCTAGGATTACAGGCCTGAGCTGCCACACTTAGCTCCTTTTTTTTTTTTAAGCTGAATTTATTCCATTGTATTTATATACCACATATTCTTTATCCATTGATCTCTCGATGGACATTTAGGTTGATTCCATATCTCTTACTGTTATGAATAATGCTGCAGGGAACGTGAGAGTGCAGATACCTCTTTGAGATACTGATTTCATTTCCTTAGGATCTATACCCAGAAGTGGGAATGCTGGATCATATGGTAGTTATGTTTTAATTTTTTGAGGAACCTCCATACTGTTTTCCATAATGGTTGTACTAATTTATATTCTTCTCAACCAACAATGTTCAAGTGTTCTCTTTTCTCCACGTCCTTGCCAACAGTTATCTTTTATCTTTTTGATAATAGTCATCCTAAGAAGTATGAGTATTATCCCATTGTGGTTTTGATTTGCATTTTTCTGATGATTAGTGATGCTGAGCATTTTTTCACATACTAGCCAGCCATTTATATGTCTTTTGAGAAATGTCTATTTGGGTCCTTTGCTCGTTTTTTAAAATTGGATTGTTGTCTTGCTATTGAGTTGTTTGAGTTCCTTATATATTTTGGATATTAACCCCTAATCAGGTGTATGGTTGCAAATATTTTCTCCCATAGTTTATCTCTTCACTGCATTGTTTTGTCGTGCTAAAATGCATTTTGTATAACAGTTTTACAATTCATAAAAGATTTTAAACATATAAATAATCATATTTAAAATATCGTATAATACAACTGAAATTAGAAATAATAATAATCTACGTGCTTTTTAAAATAAGCGCATCTATTGTAGTTAAGTTTGGCTTTTTAGTCTTGTTTGGTGTCCTGGTATCTTACTACTGAAGATGTGCATTCGGCAGATCATCGGAGTTCAAACAGATGTTGAACATAGAGGGTTGAATAATGTATGACCCCTGTAGTAGACTCAGATTCCCCTTTAAAGAAGGGTTTCCTGCCCAGCTGTGAGAAATGTGAAATCCTGACAGCCCCCTCTTTCCCCGCCTTTGTCCCCCACCTTAGAGTCTGGCTCAGCTCTAGAGACACTCCCCTCTCCTCATGTCACAGACTTCCTGGGGCAGCATGCATTTGCAGACTGAGCAAGGCGGAGGTAAAAAAGGCCTGACCATTTCAGCCCATCAGAGAGCACTCTGATGGACAGTGCTTGCTTTAGAATTTCCTATATGGTTGGCTGAAGTTATTTTGGGCTTGCATCAGTTTGAGTTCTGTCCAAACCTGATTTCTCTGCCTTCCATTCACAGGTGTTGATCCCTGATGAACATTTGTACCCCAGACACCATATTACCTCAGCTTCAGAGAAACCAGCCTGCAGTAGCTCCTGATAGCATGGAACTAGTTTAATGGAAGGGAATATACATCCAACAAGAAATTTAAAACGTGATCAATGTTATGTAGAAGCATAGGGTGCCATGGTAGTGCGTTATGGAAAGGACCGATGCCCAGCTAATTATATTGTTTTGGGAGGTAGCCTAGACTAGTAGTCAGAATATGAACCTTGGGCATACTGCTTACTCTCTCCAGGCCACTTTCCTCATTTGTAATATGGGAATGACACATGTTCTGTCATCCTTTAGAAGACTAGCCTAGGATTGCTCACATGGTTGGGGAAAGATTCCCAGCAGTAAGAGGGAGCAATGCACATTTTCCAAGCCTCTGTTTGTGTCAGTTTGCTGATGTCCCATTGGCCAAAGCGGTTTACATGGCCAAGCTATGATTCAAGGATGAAGAAGTAGACTTGCATTTATGTTTGTATTTATACACACACATACACACACCTAAAAATTACCAAACAGAATGTCTGTTACATAATAGTGGTAGTTAAAATTTATTAAGCACTTTTTGTAAATAATGCCTAGTAAGAGTCAGGTGGACTATTATTATTTAATATGTTCTATCTCACTATGATGTGAAAAAGAAGAAACGCTTTTAAATAATTTGGTATATTTGACATCTTAAAATCATCTTAATGATAACACTTTTCACATAAAGTAAAGCTCTCTCTCTCTTTTTTTCCTCTGCAGTAAGAAAAGTGGAAAACCACCATTACAGAACAATGAGGTAAAAGTTTAAATCATCTTCTTTTTGGGATTTCATGCATTTATTTCATTTATTTTGTCATATGATTCTGATTTAGGATTAAATTTTATAATTAGTAGGGAACTTAAAAATACTCCAGTCTTCTACACATTACAGGAATACTCTCTGAAATAGGACTCCTGACAGGAAAGTGTTACTCTAGGAGGCAGCATTAACTGCATTAGTTCTAGCCCATGATGATATTAGTTTCCCCCCCTCTTCTAGCTTCTTAGCAGTGACTCTGTTATATCTTTTGTATCGAGATATATCTTGTCCCCCCTCCCTTCCCCTCCCCGCTTCCCTCCCCTCCTCCACCTCCCCTCTCCTTTTCTCCCTTCCTGTCCCCTCCCCTCCCCTTCCCTCTTTTTTCTTTTCTTCTCTTTTCTTCAAAATTTTCTTTTTACCAACCAGGTCTCATTCTGTCATCCAGGCTGGAGTGCAGTGGCATGATCATAGCTCACTGTAACCTTGACCTCCTGAGCTCTAAGGATCCTCCTACCTCAGCCTGAAGTAGCTGGGACTGTAGATGTGAGCCACCTTGCCTGGCTCTGTTTTCTCTAGTACACCCACATATATTTGAAGATAGTTGTATCTTACGAGTCTTTCTTTTCCTGTGCTAAGCAATCTTGATTCCTTCTAATATGTCTCATGTGACATGGGTTCTGATCCTTTTTCAGTTCTGTATACATTCCTTTGGACCTATACTAGTTTCCTTAGGCATTGTGCTTAGAATGGAATGTAGTTGTCCAGTTATGGCCTGACTAGCATGGAATATATCAGCATGATTACATTTCTTGATATGAATACAATATTGCTAAAATTCATCCTAAAATTGCTTTTAATTCTTTAACCGTAACTATTTTTTACATTAAGTGGAATTTATGGTAAATTATAAACTTCAGGTGTATTTTTGACAACTCTATATCTCTACATGTTATATTCATGATAGATTTATTGAGATATATATACCATAAAATTTATCCATTTAAGTGTATAAATGAGTAGTTAGTGTAGTCACAGAGTTGTGTGGCTATCACCACTACCTAGTTTTAGGAAATTTTCATCTCTCCAAAAAAATCCTGTACTCATTAGCAGTCATTCCTTATTACCCTCTTCCCCCAATCCCTGGCAACCACAAATCTGTTTCTGTCCCTGTTGACTTACCTGTTCTGGACATTTCAAATAAATGAAATCATATAATATGTGGCTTTTTATGCCTAGCTTCTTTCACTTAGCACAATGTTTTCAAGGTTCATCATGTTGTTGTATCAGTATTGCATTCCTTTTTATTGCTGAATAGTGTTCTTTGTATGCATATACCACATTATGTTTATCAGTTCATCAGTTGGTGGACATTTAGGTTGCTTCTACTTTTTGGCTATTATGAATAATAACAATGCTGCTATGAAAATTTGTGCACAAGTTTTTATGTAGAGATATGTTTTTATTTCTCTTGGGTGTGTATCTAGGAGTGGAATTGCTGGGTCATATGTTAACGCAGTTGCTTTGTTTTAGATAAACATTAATTTATTGCGGTAAATGTCAGCTTATTGGGTTTAACCTACTATCTATACCATTAGTCTAATTTTTAGTGCAATTCTCACATCTGGTATGTTAAGTAGAAGAATTATCTACAAATTTAATTTGCCTTTCCTTTCTTTCACAGAACTGCTGATAGTATTGACTATGTAAGGACCAAGGAGATTGCTCTGTGACATCTCTTAATCTTTGTTTCTGGTTATTCAGCTGTGACTACATCCAACTATAGCAAAATCTGGTTCTTATTTCTCCATTGAGACCACAATAATTTTATAAGAAACATCTAATTCCTTTATTAATTTATTAATTCACTTAGTAAGTCAGTCTTTCAGTAAGTAATAAGTTTCCACCCTCATGGAGCTTACATTCTGCATATCAGCTAGTATGCTAGTTATGGTATCCTTAACAAATAAGAAAATTAGAACAATTTAACATGACGTACTTTCAGTAAACTGATGCTGGCTTCTAGTGATTAGTGTCTCTCAAGTCTTCCCCAACCCTCCATGTCAGTGTCTGTTCTCTGAATATCCTGGTGATTGACATCAAGATTGTTGTTCTTTAGTCTCTGTAATATTTCCTTCCTAGTCTTTGAAAAATGTGATAAGATGTGCTTATGTCCACTTCTCTGGCATATCTCCAGCTCCGTGATCTCTCATGTCTAAGTTCTATCTGAGTAATCAAATGTTAGTTATCTGAACTTAGTCATATCTCTTATTTGCATATTGGATATCTGCAAGTTCTAGGACAGCTAGATTCATTTTACTCATTTTTTTCTTATTTTTCTGTACAATATTTTAGCATATACTTATTTGCTGGTTGCATAGTGTGAGAAAGATAAATTTAGGTTATATTAAGTGATTGGCAATAAAAAGGACACAATATGCACACTGATAGCACATTTGTTAAATGTATAGGAAGTACACACGTGTGCTAAAATGAAATCTAGTAGGATATGTAACAAAGGCAGTAGGTTTAATTTTCTTATTTTTGCTCGTCAGAATTTTCTAATTTTTCTACAGTGAATATGTTACTTTTGAGGAAAGCAACTTAACGTATTTTTTTGGTAGAAATTTTTTATATCCTTTGTGATGGAGATAGGGTGGGGAGAGGCAATTTTCATAAGACGTGAATTTTAAGGAGGAAAAAAGAATTTAATTAGAAAGTTGGAGAACAATATAATGAAATTCAAAATGTATAAAGATAAGTACTGTGCTGGGTTCAGTATTTAGCATTCCCATGCATATTTTTGTATTTTGGCATGTGTGTGTATGTGTGTGTATCCATAAACAATATAGTTAGAATTACTTTACATATTTAAAAGTTTCATAAATTCATGTGTAAAATGAATTGCATGTATCATTCTAATTTTTTCCAGCATACTAATTTTTAGGTCACTTCATGTTTAAAGCTGTAGACCTGCTCTTTCATATTCTGTTTCTGTGTATGTGAGCTGCTTTCTTTTTTACAGTTGTATAGAGTTTTCATTGAATAATTTTGCTATGATTTATGTAATATTGGTGTACATCAGGTTGTTTTTAATTTTATGGTATTATAAACGAGTACGATGTTTTTATTTGTGTGGCTAAGCATATGTGCAGGTATATTTGTAGGGTAAGTTCCTGAAAGTAAATTTACTGGGTTATTTTACATTTTACAGTCAGTGTACATTTTACATTTTGATAAATGATACATAATAGTTGTACCAGTTTTCACTTTTCCCTACAATGTATAGGAATACTTATACTCTGTCAGCACTACATGGCCTCTTATTTTACTGCTATTTCAAACATCTTTTTCAGTCAGTCTCACCTACGGTGATTGACGTATCAATAGGAACTTCTCATTGTACTTTGACCTTTGTTACCTTTTGAATTTTAGGTTTTCTTTTTTCCTTTGTTGCATTATTACTTCGACTTCTCAAATAGCTTTTAATGATTTGTTTGCTTTTTCTATAATGTTCATGTTAAACTTATATCACCACAGTGGTCTTTTTTTTATATTTAAAAAAATTATTGGGAAGTTTAGAAGTGGGAAAAGTGGTCTTTTTTTGTATTTAAAAAAATTACTGGGAAAGTTTGGAAGTGGGAAAAGTTCATTGTGAATTTAAAATGAATTCTTAGGAAAGGCTAGTAATATTATGTACTGCCTCTATAGTTACTCTTATTTAGATTGGTTTCAGGTAGAGTTTTGCTGTGATCAAGATTCCTGACATCTCTTTGAATTCAGCCCTTCTGAGCCAGCCTCCCAGTCCAGGTGATCCTTTGCAGAAAACAATGATAATTTGGAAGAATATAGTTAGTTCCTTTCATGGATTGAAACGTAATGAAAATCCATCAGGTTTCAGTCAGTTTAAGGATAGGGAAAGTGACAATAGGAACAGAAGAAAATGAGGAGGAATTTTATACAAGTTAGCAACTAATATTTTAAAGTGTTTCAACGTTACTCTCTTGTAATTCTTTTTTTCTAACTTTCCTCATTGTTTGTCTTAGATCATTTCTTTAGAGTAGCTAGAAACAGGTGGTCCTCTGTTTAACTCAGATGTCCATTTCACCTCAGGATTGTGCCACTTAAAGTTCCAGCTAGCAATAGAGAAGGGTGTTGCCTACAGGTAAGGCAAGGTGAAGTGAGGAGGGAGTGGTGATGGCGATAGGAGGAAGAACAAGTAGTTTAACTTCTTTTTTTAAAAAGGTAGTTAATATGTATCACCTTTTCTTTACTCTTTTCTTCCTATGTTTTCTGGGTTTGGGGAAAATACAAACAGATTAGGTTGAATGTGTAAGGTTTAGCTTGAGGAGAATAGGCTAGTTCAACTAACTGGACTGTGAGTGGGGCTTTTTGTCTGTTTTGTTTGCTGTTGTGTGCTTATCATTTGGAATAGGGTTTGGATCAAGTAGTTGTTTGTTGAATGAATGAATGTAAGCATGTATGAATTAAGTAGACTGAGCCTGTAACTCAGTAGGATGAGGTTTGCAACTTTGTCTGAAAGACCTGAAATGCTGAGTCTCTGTTCCAGCAGTTGCAGGGTAGGTGGATTCTTTTCCAGTTCCTCCTATTGTAGTCTTTCTAGTCTAACCCTATAAACACAGTGCCTTCAGACTTCCTTTTTTGGCCTACAGTTCTGCACTGCACTCAGTGCTTATTTCTTAGGATTATGTCTATAAAGCCTTAGCACAGTGTCTGACACATAGTTGGTAGTTATTATTATTCTAATTCAGTACCCAAACAGTTCACTTAAGGCTCATCAAGTTAGATATTTATTTAATCAAAGCACATTTACATTATAGCTAACTAATAGCGTTACTCTACTAATACAAACAGGTATTTGTTTGTCAGGAGCACAGTAGTTAGCCAGATAAGTGAGCTGTGATAATGGAGTTGGGGAAAGGGTTAGTCAGGGAATTGGGGTTTTTCTGGAGTGTCTTGCCTTTTCCAAGAAGTTTCCCCTGTCCTTCCAAACAGTCCAAGAGTAGTAAGTCTCGTCACGTGTTTCCTTATCTTTGCAAATGGTTTAGTACTTCCATTTTCATGGAGCTAGTGAAAATGAAAAAACTCTTGAGAGAGGTAAGATTATCTTCTTTTAAATCCCTCTACACTCACAGTAAGCTCTCAATCTTTACTGTGGCTTCAAGGCTCTGTCCTTTATAAGCCCTGCCTACCTTTTAAACTTCTCTCATTCTTGTTCCCTTTGCTACAGCAATACTGCCATCTTGCTGTGAAATGTGCACACCGATTTTATTTCCAACACTGTATTTTTGTGCTCGTTGTTCCTTGTGCTTCACTCCCTCCCCTCTGCTACCCACTTTAAATAATCACATGGCTTTTTTTTATTTATGTCTAAGCTTAAATGTCAAGAGACTTTTCAGACCATCCTGTGTGAACTGTTCTTTTTTTTCCCCTCATGACCCTGTCTAGTCTGTCTGTAATAATTTATTTATTGGTTTATTTTTTGTCTATGTTTCTCCCGCTAGAATGTGAGCTGCATAAGTGAAAGAACCTTGTCTGTCTTTGAATTTTATGAGGAAGAGAGAGTGAATTGACAGACTGTATATTGGAAATGTTAAATGGTAAATCTAGGAATCCAAAAGTTTCCTCTATTTAATATCAGGCAAAATTCTGTTCAGGATTTTTTTTTTTTAAATATGGTGTTAATCAGGAAGTGGCTAATACAAAACTCAGTAAACCCTTGACCTTTTTTCAGCTGTCTCTCTGACCTCGTCCTCTGTGATGGTACCTTCCTCACAGCTCCAGCCAGGTTGGCCATTTTGTTCTTCCTCAAGCACGTTGCAGGTGTTCACCTTGGTATTTTGCAGTTGCTATTTCTTCTGCTTGCAGTTTTCTTCACCCAGATAATTGTGTGGTTCCAGAACTCACTTCCTTATTCAGTTTTTAGATAACATTGTTTTCTCAAAAACATGTTTGAATATGAGGAGCAGTGTAAGTATGCAAGTCTGTGTTTTGTAAATTCAGTTTTTATCTTGATAGCTGTTTATGTTGACTTAGATGAAACATGGTTCTTTAATTTTATGATATGTTTGTTATAGCTATCTTAAAAGGGCTTCTTTTTTTTAATGCAGAAAGAGGGGAAAAAGGAGCGAGCTGTGGTGGACAAGGTGTTTTTCTCAAGGCTCATACAGATTCTGAAAATCATGGTCCCTAGAACATTTTGTAAAGAGGTAAGTCTTATGAAATTATAATCTTAAGTATATTGGGCCGTTCTTTAATAAAATACCTGAGGCTGGGTAATTTATAAAGAAAAGAGATTTAATTGGCTCCTGGATCTGCAGGCTGTACAAGCATGGCACAGCATCTCCTCCACTTCCGGGGAGGCCTCAGGAAGCTGGCAATCACAGCTGAAGGTGAAGGGGGAAGCCAGTGTCTCACATGGTGAGAGAGGGAGCAAAGGGCCAAGGAGGTGCCACATACTTTTAAACAACCAGATACATGAGAACTCACTCACTGTCTGGAGGACAGCACCATGCCATGAGGGATCTGCCTCCATGACCCAAACACCTCCCACCAGGCCCCACCTCCAACACTGGGGATTACATTTCAACATGAGATTTGGGTGGAGACAGATACCCAAATTAAATTATTAAGTGTTCAACTTTCAAGGTTATGTAAGATTAGAACAGTAAAATCATAACACTTTGGTTATACTATAGGTCAAATGTTTTCTCTGTAGGTCAAGAAGATTACTAAATTTTTGTCTTTAAATCATCACCTGTCATACAAAAAACCTTGTTCAGTGCCAGTTTTTAAATAGTTTTCTCTTGTTTCTGAAGTATTATTTCATTTTATTTTATGTGAAATGCTAGGGTACTGCCATACAGCTACCCTAAATGGTGTTGCTTTGTTATAGTTAAATACTGTTGATAAACACTAGATTAAATTTCAAAAGACAAACCCTTTTATTACATTGAGATGTTAACAAGTCACATTAGTGTGGAGTATATTTGATTAAATATTTTTAAGATATGCAAAATGATATCTGGATTCATCAGTTATTTCATTCAGGAAGTGAGCTGCTTATACGAATAGTTGTATAATTCGTTCCTTTGCTTTTTTATCAAGATTATCTTCATTATTTGATAAACATTTTTAATGATTATTAAAATAATGCCGTATTCTCCATCTTCCTCAGCATTCTCTCATTCTGTAACTAGAAGTATCATTACCTTCAGCTCTTCCTCTTCCCCTTGTCACCCTTTTTGGTCACTGGGATCTGCTAATTTTTCCTATACTTAACTGTTACAAAAGCATTGCAGTTCCCAAAGAAAACGTACATTCCTTCATCATGCTGGATTTGCTCTTTCCCTCACTTTGGCATCATCTCCTGATGATTCTGCCCTTGAGAAATTCTTTTTTTAAAAAAAGTAATGACACTTGTTTTTTCCTAATTAGACAGAGGTAATACATGTTCCTTGAAGAAAATTAGAAAATGCAGCTAGATTTATTTTTTGGCACCTATCAGCCTCTTACTCGTTTTGATATATAGTCATCCTGTGTGCAAGCATATATTTTAATTTAAAAATGGGATCACACACTTTTAAGATCTGCTCCTTCCCTTATATTATAAATGTTCTTTCTAAGTATCCTAAAGTTTCTTATAAATTATTCTCTCCCTTTACATTCCTACTGTTCTCACTATATCTTACCTGGATTATTATATCTTAATTGGTCTTTTTGCTTCTTTTCCTTTTCCAATTTGTATTCTTTCTTAAAATCCTAATCAAAACATGTAACTTCATTTTCCTTATAGGGTAAATCACAACCTGACTTTGGCCTTCCTTTTAATACCATCTGCTTAGGAGATCATTGTTTTACGATCTGGCCCTATGTCCTCAGCCTTTCATTTGTTTACAACATCATGTCTGTGACATCCTGTACGTCCCCACAACAAAAACAAATATGTTTTTAAAAATTGCTTAATGCTTATCTTTTTTGTGAATATTTCCAGTGACTCTTCAGGCATAACTAATTGTCCTGCCTTTGAAGAATCCTTATTTAAAATACAAGCTTCTCTGGAAAGATGCATATGTTACCTTCCAATCAGTTAACAGCTTAATGTTCATTTTAACTATTGCAGGGGTTCAATGAATGTAAAACAAATTTGAAACATTGGATGAGTCCCTGGGAATTAGTAAGGGAGGTAGAAGGGGCTAATTTGGCCAGCTTCCCACCCTCTGCAGGCCTTCTTCCCTTACTTTAACTTCTATGTCACTGTCTTATTGTTCCAATTTAGAAAATTTAAGATCAGCTTTAAATATGTGTACTTGGGGTTGGGGTGGCAGGATTCTCATCTCACAGAAAGATAACTGATTCCCAGCCAGTCACCCAGCATCTTGACTTTCCCTGCTTCGTAATCTGTCTTGCACAGCATTGCTTAAGTAATATTCTTTAAACATCACTTTTTAACATCACTTTTTGTTCTACTGAGAAGCTTGCGAGAATTTTATGTGTGTAAACTCAGTACAGTACCATAGTTCATATGATTTTAATCCCTTTTTTCCCCCATTAAATCCTTCATCTTTTTTACCTTTAATCCTCATTCTCTTTTTTGTTTTACTGTTTATCATATTTCTAATGCCATAACTGTCTTTTGCTACCCCAAACCTTCCCATCCCACAGCTTAGGACATGAAATGATACAAATATGTTTGCCTAAATTTGTCTGCTACTTTTTATGTGTAACTCTTCCCTTCATAACTAAATTGAAAGCCCTATGAGGGCATGGACACTATTATAAATTTTTCTAACAAATTAAACCAAATTTATTCTACCTAGGCAAAATTTTAGGCTTCAATTTTGGTTAGTTGTATAACTGTATATGTGCAGTTACTGTCATTTTTCTTTGTTAAAGTTATATGTCAAAATATAAGAAAATCAACAATACACTATGATCTAGGTAATCTAAGTTACATTCCCAGCTTCTGTCCTTGACTAGGTATATGAAGGCAAGTCCTTTGACCTGCCTAGGATTCACTTTTGAATTCTGAATGAGAAAGATTAAATGAATCTATGAGGCTTTTTTCATTTATATAATATTCTTGCGTTCCCTTTAAACTATATTTAAAATTACTTATAGAAAAAATGTCAGCCAACTATATTGAAACTTACATAAAGCTTTAGATTTGGAAACCAAAAATTGTTACCAAGGTAATATTTCTTTGAACTTTCTAAAATGCATGTATTTAATTTACTATACCTGGTTTATTTTAGACAGGTTACTTGGTACTTATTGCTGTTATGCTGGTGTCTCGAACATATTGTGATGTTTGGATGATTCAAAATGGGACACTAATTGAAAGGTACTTTTTCAATCACCTTCCTCCTATATGTATGAAATGCTAATTTGTCTCATATTTATGCATTATCTTTATAAGCAACAAATAGATTCTAAGTTAGGTAAAAGATAACCCAAGTCAAATTATGTGTTTGTTCATTTACTTAAAAAATACTTAGTGTTTCCCATGTGCCAGGCAATGTGCTATACTGTGATGGGGTCTATATGCCAGCAACTAGGAGAAACTGTACCAAGCCTTGCTGAGCTGACAGTTTATCAAGAGTTAGAGACAGGTAGACAGAAAATTAAAATGCAGCATAATAAGTGCTGTAATGGGAATTCTAAAAAACCACCAAGTTGGATTTTTGAAATTAATGAGATAATTTGGAGGAAAATTTCAAAGCATTTCAAAGAATCACGTTGAGCATGTTTATTAGAAGGGAAGACAATTCTTAGACATTTCTTTCTGCATCTGGTGATAGTGCTTTTTATATTTTTTCATTATAGTCTTTCTACATATTATTAATCACTGCAATTGCTAATTTTGAATGTAAAAACGTAAAAAATGTCAGTTGGGATATCTTGGGTTATAACAATTTACCATTTATCTGTTAATAAAGAATTTATTTTTCATAATACCAATTAGAATGTCAGAGTAAACATTTTTGCTAGGAATTTTATTTCCTGGTATGCAGTATTTTGTCAGAAAATTCCTTAAAGTATTTAATCTAAAATAACTTTTTGAATGACAGTACTTAAAATTGTTAAATGCCCCAACATTTTGGAATAAAGGTTTTTTTCTCTTAGATTATTGATCTGCTTCTTAAAGATTTGTAGGAAGAGGAAGAATGCTTTATGACCATGCTCTCTGACTCATTTCTCTAGGACAGTAAAAAATCTTGTATGTATAAGGATTAAAGCCTTGAATTACATACTTCTGAATATGGGTAAATTATGTAGGCCCTCACATTCCACCCAAGTCTCCCTGAAACCTGTGGTCAGTCCTGTGCCTTTTAATTTTAATCAAAGTAATATATGAATGTAACTTTAAAAGTAATACATGAACATAGCTTAATGTCAGATGTTCTGCAGGACTTAATGACAAAACACATGAATTCCTTGGCTCCTCTCACTCACAACTGTCATTACGTGGAGCCGGTCTTTTTTCCTATTCTTTTTACTGCTTCATCTCTTATTTTGTGTCTGTGTTTCCATATTGCATACTTGTATTACTGTTCATAGATTTCTCAGTTTCAAGAGTGTAAGTGTTCATTTCCTACTTTGGAAGGTGAGAATTAGCTCTTTTACACTCCCTCCGTGCTCATCTTCTCAATGTTTTATATGTATAATAAAAATTATATAATTTTTGGTTAAATCACAATTTATTGTTTACATGATTTTGACTATTGCTTACAGCTGAGCCACATGGCATACTTTGGTAGTTGCGTTTCCATACAACTTTTTGTTTTTCCTGGTGTTTACAAATTGGCAGTTATTTGTGCACATTAGTTTTTTTTTTTTTTTTTTAAACCTACTTCCCCCTAATTCAGTTTGAGCTTTTTGACAATACTGAGAAATCTTCTCAGTATTGTAATATGGTCAGACACCAACTAATCTATCAACTTCATCTTTCTATTTCCACCCCCGCCCTATACGTTTTGTAGTTTCCAGTGTTCTTGCCTTTTTTTTTTTTTTTTTTTTGAGATGGAGTCTTGCTCTGTTGCCCAGGCTGGAGTGCAGCGGCGCGATCTCAGCTCACTGCAACCTCTGCCTCCTGGGTTCACGCCATTCTCCTGCCTCAGCCTCCTGAATAGCTGGGACTACAGGTGGCCACCACCACACCTGGCTAATTTTTTGTATTTTTAGTAGAGACAGGGTTTCACAGTGTTAGCCTGGATGGTCTTGACCTCCTGACCTTGTGGTCCTCCCGCCTCGGCCTCCCAAAGTGCTGGGTCTTCTTGCTTTAATCAGGATTGGTTGCATTTTAGGCCCACTGAGTAGCAATCACGTTTGAATTTGCTTTTATCATTATTTTGGGAATTTCTTTCATCTTTGTATCCTGAATTAAATAACCTGTTTCTGGATTTTTTGTTTTTCTCTTCCTCAGTTTACTTTCTCGTTTTGGCAGATGCACTCTTTTTCTGAGTAAGGATGAAGGGAGATAAATTTTTGAGACCTTGCAGATCTGAAAATGTCTTTCTTCTAGTCTCATACTTGATTGATAATTTAGCTATGTTTGTGCATTCCAAGTTGGAATTCACTTTTCTTCAGAATTTTGAGAACATCACTCTGTTCTGGGTCTCAACCTTGGCTGCAGAATGATTGGAATCATCTGGAGAATTTTAAGAATTATGAATGTCTGGGCCCCACCACTAGAGATTCTGATTCAATTAATCAAACCTTTTTGAAGCATCTAGTGGATTCTGTTGTGCAGCTCCAGGGTGGGTATTGAGGCCTCTTGCCATTCCGATTGCTCAGCTATAGCTGGAGATTTGTTCCTCCCTCAATCTCCCCCTCAATCTTTTTTTAAAAAATTGTTGATGTTGTATTACTGGATGTTTGAAAATTTCACTGAACATTGGTATGAATTTTTTTTTTTTGTTCATTGTGCTGGGCACTAGGTGAACTCTTTTTCCATCTAGAAACTTATTCTTCATTTGAGAAATTTTCTTGTGTTTAAAAAGAAATTATTCCTCCATTTTTTCTGGAATTCTTATTAGCTGAGTGTTGGAGCCTCTGGACTGATGATCTGATTATCTTATAATTTCTCTTCTATTTTTGTCTCTGCCATTTTATTTTATTTTCTAGGAAATTTCTTTATTATCCAGTGAATTTTTATTTGTTATAATTTTATTTCCAAGTTATCTTCTATATGGATGTTCATTTTTATAGCAATCATTCTTTTAAGTATGCAGTATTTTTTCACCTCTGAAGCTATTTAAGTTTTTAATGTGTTTTTAGCTCCCTGCATTTTTTGTTATTCTGTTGTCATTCACATTAGAGGCCTTCCTCAAGCATTCTGTGACTCTTGGCTGTGAATTCATATTTAAAAGTAAGTGCCTTAAACACTTACTAGAAGCTGGAGTTGAGAGCTTGTTAACTGGTCTCCCTTGAAGGGTGTTTGTAGGGGGACCCTAATCATGTGCACGTGTGTGTAGTACTCAGTTTTAAAATTTAATTATGAAATTTTAAAAAATTGTTTTTCATTTTTTGTATGAGTTTCTGAACCATTTTTTAAAACCATTATTTTGGTATACTTTACACTTACAGAAAAGTTGAAAAATAGAATAAGGGGCTGGGTGTGGTGGCTCATACCTGTAATCCCAACACTTTGGGAAGTTGAGTCAAGAGGATCACTTGAGGCCAAGAGTTCAAGACCAGCCTGGGCAACACAGTGAGACTTCGTCTTTACAAAATATAAAAAAGTTAGCTGGCTGTGGTGGCACATACCTACAGTCTCAATTACACGGGAGGCTGAGCAGAAGGATCACTTAAGCTTAGGGATATCCTGTCTCACAAAAAAAAAAAAAAAAAGATTAGCATAAGGAACTTCCTTATATTCTTAACCCACATTCACCAATTGTAAAACACTCATTTTAAAGTTGTTAACTTTCTCCTAAATAGTTTTGAGCCTCTGCTGTGTATGAAATTCTTTAATATTTGGACCTTATCTCAAAAAAAGTTTTAAAATATTGTACATTCGTACAGGATAATTTTATTTGAAAAGTTAACATATATCTCCATCTCAGTATTTAAGCTACAGTGCAAATTGATTTATTTATTTTCTCTTTTTGCCTTTTCTAAAGTAAGTCCAGATTCATGTATTTCTGCTAAAGAAAGCCTCAAAGAGACTTATTATGGTCCTTAATGTACTTCATTTTAATATCCTTTTCATATTTTAAGCTTATTTGTTGATGGTGACTAATGACTTTGGAGTATGGGCAAATCTTAATAGGAAAGACACCCTCTTTAAGGTAGAAACTATACTAATTCCATGACATGGAGGAAAATTCTTCATACCTTGTTGCTGCTTTATCTAATCATAAAAATATATTTTATTTTCACCCATTTGGCTACAAGCAGAATTTAAAAATTACCAAACTCTCTTTTATAAAGATTCTTAAACATTTGGAAGTTGTAGTGATTAGGGCTATTGTAAAATTGTTTTTTGTTAATTATTTTTTTTGCAGTGGAATAATAAGCAGAAATAAGGCTTTATTCAAGAAACCATTTTTTAAATTTATAGCTGCTACTCCAATGGTAAACCATTGCTGAATGATGGCATGTTCTTGTGTGTTTCACAGCTTGGGCAGCACTAAAGCACTTTGGTTTTAAGTAAGGTTTGGTTCAAACAATTTTAACATAAATTCTCTGAACCTTTTGTACTGTCTTGATTGCTTAATGTCTGTAATATTCTTATTGCTATAAACAACATTTTTGTGTGGTTCTATTTAACTTTCTTGTAGTTAGCGTTTTTTTTTTTTTTAACTGTTTTACTTTTTAGGGGCTATATAAACATTGGAGTATTAATTTCTCTTAATCAGTCTAAAGGAACATTTCCCAAAGTATGTTCTGTGGAATCTTGGCTATGATAGAGGAAATGTTTCATGCTACAAACCCCTCTCAGAGAGTTAAAATGCACATACTATACATTAAAAGCTTTGAGAAGGTCTTTGGTAAAGACATTTGTTAGATTTGTTTAACCTAGGATTTCCCAAATTTATCCATCTAGTCCCTCACAGAAAAGAAATTATTTCTCTAGTCATATACTAGTAATTTTTGTGTGTGCGTGGGCAGCTAGGTTTAAACCACTTAGTCCAGTGTTTAAATGTTTTATATAAATATGTCTTATGAAATTTGGGAACATTATTAAGTATTACTTGAAGTAAGAGTTCTGTGATCAAATACATACTATCTTTGTATTAGGTCATAGACATATCTTACTCAAAGATCCTTTACTTATATAATACTGCTTTGTTCAAATTTTTAATAAAGTTTTAGAACCCTTTTTAAAAATTTTTAATGTATATTTTAAAAGCAGAAAAATATGTAAAACAGATTAACAACAGGCAAAAGAGAAGCTAGTCTAGCTGAAGTGTGTTGAGGAACATGAAGCTTCTGTAGATCCATTCTGGGCTCTGATCTATGCGTTAGTCCCAGTATTGGCAAACTAGGACCCACAGGTCAAATCTCACTACCTGCCATCTGTTTTGGTAAAGTTTTATTAGAATACAGCCACACTTCTTGGCTGCTTTTGTTTTACAGTGGCAGAATTGAGTAGTTGCAGCGGAGCCCTTAGGGTGCACAAAGCCTAAAATATTTACTCTTGACCCTTTGCTGATCCCCATTAAGTCTGTCTCCCTGCCATTAGTTCACACAAATGAGAATCAGATTATTAAAATATTTTAAAACAAACAAATGGTACTTTGTTTATTCATAATAACCCATTCCTGGGACTATAAAGTTGTTAATTGTTATGCTAGCTTAGTTTCTTTTGTAGCCACTTAAGCCTTTTTTTAAAGCAGCCATTTTTACTAAGAAATAATTAGTTATCATTCTGTTTAATTTTGCCATTTGCAGGATGAGGTTCCAGCAAGTTCAAAATGATGACATTTTAAAGTTGCAAACATGTTTTTGCAAAAAAGTGGTTTTTAGCATCTTTTTTATTGATTGTTTTGATTTAATAGAAGTTTCCAAGAGTAATTTTAGAGCTTTACAGAAGTTTTCCTAGTGTTAGATTTTGCTTCTTTTGCAACTAATGCATTGCATGTGGTGGTTTGCAGTGGTATCATTGGTCGTAGCAGGAAAGATTTCAAGAGATACTTACTCAACTTCATCGCTGCCATGCCTCTTGTAAGTTTAATTCATTAAAAATCTTTTTAACACGGGAAATTTGCATCTTATTAAAATCTTTAAGGGTTTTACTTATTAAATTCTTTAAAGACTTATGATACTAAGTTCCTATTTTCAGTTTAGTTTTGTAATTTATAATATAATTTTCAATGTAAACCTTCATACTAGATAAAAAAGGGATTATGTTTGGTTTAATTTCATTTATAATGTGTATATATATTCATATACATATGTATGTGGGTGAGGGGTTTTTTGGCATTTTTTTTTTAACCTTCAGTCCAGGTTTTCTTCAGTGTTTAGCATCATCAATGACCATTAGATAGCAGTAGCACCCTTCTCCTAGTTCTAACAACCAGAAATGATTCCAGTCATTGCAAAATGGGTATGGGCAGGGGGCAACTTGGGGAGTTGGGGGGATTTAGAGGGGGGAATGCAAATCATCCTGGTTACTTTAGGCCATAAACTATTACAGTAACTTGAACTACTAATTTACTTTAAGTTAAATTGGAATTTATGGTCTGAATTTTTTACAGATAAATTGTTTAGTCTAAAATATAAGTGATTTTCTTAGGTTGGTTCTCATTTTAATTTTCTTGGCGCTGTAAGAATGTAATATTCTGAATTTGTGGGTAAAAATGAGAAGCTTGGTTGTAAAATCCAGTTATGTTGAAATTGCCAGAAATTCTTGTTTAATAAAGCTGGAAGCTGGGGCTACATAGCTTTTAGACTTTTTAAAATAAACAATTGGAATAAGCAACATAGATATCAAAGATTAAGATTCAGCAAAGACCACTTGAGAAAATTTGTAATGTAACGATGGAAAATGTTAGTAAAGATGGCTCTAGAAATAATCTGGAAAATAGCATTAGTTGGTGTAAAACCTGTAGTGTTTTTTTTTTTTAACAAATGCAAATATAGTGTATATAGAATTCCGTTGTCTAGGGTTGTAGTGCTGATAGTAGGAAACAGAAAATATAAATGTCTGAACTCCTAAAAGCAAGTCTTTACATTGGCTAGAAAGGGGATATATTTGACTTTTTGCCCGTTTACCAAAAAAAATGGGCAAGGTATGTCGCGTAATTAGTGATATTAACATATTCCATGTAAACTTTAACATAGAATAATTCAAACGAGGTACATTTGGTTTAGCTAAATGCAGTAAAGTAAAACAGAACTGAATTATATAAATTTGGACTAAATTATAAAAATTGTAGGATTTGGGACACAGGAAATAATAGAGAAATAAATTATAGTTTAGTAAGCAGAAATGAAAAGCAAAACCAATAATATTTGTTTGTTTGTTTTAGATCTCTCTGGTTAATAACTTCTTGAAGTATGGGTTAAATGAGCTTAAACTGTGCTTCCGAGTAAGGCTCACTAAATACCTCTATGAGGAGTATCTTCAGTAAGTGATAACCTATTTTTATATTAAAAATATTTAAATAGAAGAGTATTTATGAAGCTGATCAATATAGCAGTTTTTCTTATTTATTGTATGTTTTCTAAGAAAACCACTCTTAGGTACAGAAGCATGTTGGGAACAACCTTTCAGTTATTTGGAATCTAGTCCTGGCTCTTCCATTAATTGACAAGTCATCATTTTCTGGACTTGTGTCCTCCTCTCTAAAAATCAGTTAGGGCAATCAATAGGATCTCTTCTGGCTCCAAACTTTTTTGTTTCTATGTATTTGAGCTAGGTGGTGTAATATGATTTTTTTGTTGTTGTTTTATCTTTAAAGTCACTTGTTTTAAAATCACTTTTCTTCTTGCTATTTTAGAGCTTTCACATATTATAAAATGGGGAATCTGGACAACAGAATAGCTAATCCAGACCAGCTGCTTACACAAGATGTAGAAAAATTTTGTAACAGTGTAGTCGATCTGTATTCAAATCTTAGTAAGGTAAGTTTCTCTCCTTTTTAAAAGATTATTTGTTTAATTTTTTGAATTTTGAATCTAAGCAAATTTATATAGAATTGATTTTGTGGACATAACAGCAGCATGTAAATATTTAATGCTTTTATAAGAAAATTAGAGTTGTTGTAATAGTTTTAATTATTTTAATTTTTTCTATTATTTTTGTGAGGTACTTTGGCAAAGAACTGATAATTTAGTGTCTTATAAGGATTTTCTAAGAATTTTGCAGGTTGATTCCATTAAAACAACAGAAATTTGAATTCTCATCTTTTGACCTGTGTGCATCCGGCCATTGTTAGAGATTGACTGTCAATTTATGTTTCTAACTCCACACTTATAACACTAGACTAGGACTTCCTTTCTGCCCATTTCTCTGCTTCAGTATCTTTAATTCTAATAGATCATTAGTAAGTAGTAGTCAAAAAATTTCACAAGATGCAAGTATATTTCAGTTTTCTAATTACTGTTTTTCCCATTCTCCTCAGAATATTGCCAAAGCTCCTGACTGTGATAGGCCTTAGTCAGTTTTCCTTCTTCTCACTGATTTCTCCAGTTCTTATCTTAGTCATGTTATCTCACCACCCTTACAGCTTTTGCTGTAGTCTTCTTATTAAACCCTCTTCTTTGCCATTACCTCTTGCATTGACTATGATATGTAGTAGGCACCTATAAAATAGTCTGCCCAGCATCCCCTCCCCTCTTCATCTGAGATGCTTCAGTTCCCACTCTAACTCATGTGACTTCCCTTGGTGTTGGCTAGGAGCTTGTCTCATACTGGACCAATGATAGTATCTTTGCCTCTGGTCACAGTTGACCTAGATATACAGTTTTGAGACAAAAGAAAACCAAAACTATAAAAAGGACTGGGTCACATTGTAAGAATAGGAATGTTCTTGCTTCAACCAGATGGATGGAGGGAAGGCAATTCTTAGAGATATATATCCACAAGAGCTGCTCTCCTCATGCCCAGGCCCAATGCTTTTCACTTCCAGCCCAACTTTGTTATTTATTTAGCTCTCCAGAAGCCTTTGCTAACTGATCCCAAACTCGGGAACTCTGACAACTACAAATAGTTCAGTAATTAAGCTTTCTTTTCTGTTCCCATTACCACATTTGAAAGTTTGTTCTCTCTCTTTCTCTCTCTCTCTGTCTCTGTGTGTGTATGTGTGTGTGTATGCATGCATGCATGGTGGGAATGGGGGGTGTATCTATACAACTTTCCATGTAATTTTATAGACATTATTATGTATTCTTTAAATCTTGGCACTTGAGCAAGTCTCAGGTTTTGTCAAATCTGGAATACAGAAGAATATTAAATTAAGTACTTGTAGTGGGGCTGTACACCAGTGTGTAAGTTAGATGTTTTAAACATCTAATTGACCTCCAACTTAAATTATGAGTCATTATTTTTGTCATAAGTTTTAACAGTTCTTGAATTTTATAAGTATCTCTAGCTTCTTGATAACTTATAAGGCAAAAAAAAAAAAAAAAAAAAAAAAAAAAGGAAAGGGAAAGGTAGATGTTGAAACAAGCCAGTTAACAAACCAAGCCATCTATCCTAGTAATAATGTGGATTAGAAAGTGCTGGCTGTTGGCCGGGCATAGTGGCTCATCCCTGCAATCACAATACTTTGGGAGGCCAAGGTGGGCAGATCGCTTGAGCCCAGGAGTTCAAGACTATCCTGGGCAACATGGTGAAACCCCATCTACAAAAAATACAAAAATTACCCAGGCATGGTAATGTGCGCCTGTACTCCCAGCTACTCCAGAGGCTGCAGTGAGCCAAGATCTCCAGCCTGGGTGACAGAGCCAGACCCTGTCTCAAAAAAAAAAGTGGAGGTGCAAGCAGTGGCTGTTGACTTAAAGTGAATGAACACAATTTGTGTTTCTTGAAAAACATTTCAAACTAATGCAGCTGATGGTGCATTAGTTGAGTTGTCTCTGTGTGTAAAGAGCAGTACATTAATGTGTTATTTTGGTTCTAGAGACTTGAGTTTTATATCACAAAATTAGATTCAATGGCTTACTTGATTATTTTGCCATGGAAGTGATAAAGTAATAGAGTCAAACAATATTGGAGCAGGAAAAGCTCCTCACTTTACAGGTGAAGATATGTAGAAACAAACTGGTAGCAGATTTGGGGTTACATCTCAGGTCATTTTATTCAGTGTCTTTACATTATATTGACACATTACTGAGTTACTAGTGGTTAATTATCACAGTAGAGGTATCTTAGTTGATGGAAAGTGATAAATGTTTTTCCTACTTGATGGTCAGTAGACATTGTGTAAGCTGTTCCCATTTTAAGTTTCTTGAGAGGAAAACTGTTATCTTTCATGTATTCTTTGATCTACTTACTATCACAGTACATTGTACATAGTGGGACCTCTACATGTTGATAATTATATATTAAATGTTTAATGACATTTTATAGTTAACATGTTGTATTAGCTATCATTCTAGTGCTTTAGTTTTAATTCTGTGTATTCTAATATTTATTTTACAGCCATTTTTAGACATAGTTTTGTATATCTTTAAGTTAACGAGTGCAATTGGAGCTCAGGTGAGTCTGCTTTTATTTCAACTTTTAAATTGATATAATATAATATTTGAAATACATATTGTGAATAGCTTGATGGCCTGTAAGAATTTTTGTAGATCTCAAAGAATGTATTTTCACATGATTTACCTAACAAAGTCTGGTTATAAAATAATACTTCATTCGAGATTTTAGAAGTACTAATTTTTCTTTTTAATTTTCCTTAAATTAGGTACTTGGAAAAATTTTGTGGCATTAAAAACCAGACAAATGTATTGGCCAGGCGTGGTGGCTCATGCCTGTAATCCCAGCACTTTGGGAGGCTGAGATGGGAGGATCGCTTGAATCCAGGAGTTCGAGACAAGCCTGGACAAAAAGCGAGACCCGCTTCTTTAAAAAATAATAATAAAACAGAAGTTCTTAAACCATGAATATACTTGTACTTATTGTTTCAAAGTAATGTCTAAAAAGAGATATGGAGACATCCATTTTAATATGAAATTCTAATGTTAAAATAACGATACATTTAGAGTGGGTGTAACAGTTCCAAGAATATTTTATAATGTAAATGGTTGGCTATCCCATGAGCCTTATTATCCAAGTCTCTGATATTTGTGATGGCAAGAAT
This sequence comes from Homo sapiens, assembly GCF_000001405.40. Taxonomy (NCBI): domain Eukaryota; kingdom Metazoa; phylum Chordata; class Mammalia; order Primates; family Hominidae; genus Homo; species Homo sapiens. The sequence goes on from NC_000001.11 coordinate 94,478,920, forward strand.
CACTTTTAAGTTTTCTTTGAGTTATCTTATTGAAATGTAACTTTAGTCATTTAATATGTAATGTTATTGTTACATATTTATAACACAGCCATATAATAGTATGGTTGTTTTACATATGTGTATGTGTGTATATGCATTTCAGTTGATTAATAAATTATTTCCATACTGGTTTTTGTTGCTTTCCAAAACACTGGAAAAGCAGGGTTTTGGTTTTGCTTTGTTTTGTTTTTCGAATTTTTCTGTTTATTTTCCTAATTCTTTGCTGTCTTGTGATCCAGGTTTTATCATTCTTGTATTTTGTTTTACTATAACCAAGTGAATAGGCCAAATCCTTCTTGTCTCCTTGCAGTCATATTTTTATGGTACTTAACTACATTTTTGTGATACTTAAATATGTCTCCATGTCTACTTGTTATCTGATTCTGCATTTCTTAAAGGCAGAAACTGTTTTAGTTATCTTTTTGGTCCACATTTGTAGTAGTTGTTGATATGCATTGAATTGATCAGATTTACTTTTTTTTTTTTAATCTTGAATACTTACTAGCACATATATTGTGCTAGATAGTAGGAATAAAAAGATAAGTAAGACACAATTCCTGCTGAAGAGGAATTACAATGTGGTAAAACAGGTAGATAGTCAAACAATTATGATGCAGCATGATAAAGTTTAGTAATAGAAGTTTCAAGAAAGTATTTAGTGCCAAGAAGAACTGGAGGTGATATCTGAGCTACTTTGGGGAGGTAAGTAAACATCCATTAGATTATGTCAGGCTTGCCAAACATAAGAACAACCTCACTGAATGGAAACTGTTCAGGAAACATTTATATATTTTAGTATGGCAGAGTATAGGGTATATAGGGGAATGAGGGAAGTGCCTATGATGAACTTGGAAAGGTATGCTTCAAGCATACCTTTCTTTTTCTCTTGGGATGGTCAATGGGTGATGAGGTCACGTACAAAGTTATTAATACATAGTACAGCAGCTGGAAGCAAGATGTACACGCAGGGAAAGACAGAGCTCGTTCAGGGGGAGCTGAACTTGAGGCATCTGCACAGTATTAAGGTAAAGATGTGTAGTACTTATTTCTTGGGTTCATAAGAGTGATAGGACTAGAGGTATAGATTTGAGATGAGAAGAGAACTAAGGAAGGAGTTTGAGGGAATATTAACATTAAAAAAGAAGGCAAGAAAAAGAGGTCTAAGAATTATTGTGGAATCTTAAGAGATTATCAAGAAGAGTTCCAACAGGAGAGTGTTAGATAACATAGAAAAACTGTGAACTGCAATTAGGAGTTTTTAGGTGAGCAAAATGTAGGAGAGCTGAGGGATAAGCTACAGTGGTAAGAGGAAAAGCCCATGAGTAGTAAAAGTGTAGAGGCTACTGTGTACTTTTTCAGAAAAAAAACAAAGGGAAAAAATTACCCAGTAGGGCAATTTCTTTCAGTCATTGAGGTTAATTATAAAAATTGTACATGTTTGTATCTAAGTGAATTTATTATTATATCCCAGAACTTTGTGTATCTTTCTCTCCCAATAATAATAGGGCCCAGCGAGCATGATGGCCTACTTGGTTGTTTCTGGGCTATTCCTAACTCGACTTCGAAGACCCATTGGTAAGATGACAATAACTGAGCAAAAGTATGAAGGAGAATATAGATATGTTAATTCTCGGCTCATCACAAACAGGTAAAGACAAATGCATTAAAGCCTTGCTAAAAATTAATTTCTATGGATATTGATGTCATTTAAATTGACTCCAAAAAGTCTAGTGACACTGTTACTGTAATAATGTGCATATTGTGTTGAAAATATACATTATGAAAGAGACTAGTTTTATAAAGTAGTAATCATGAATATTTTGAACTCTTTTTCTTACTAACCATGTAGTATTCCTGATTCACCTGTTCATACCTTCTGTTGATGAATTTTCTGTTAATTTTACTTCAGACATAATCAGTTTACAATTCAAATTTCAACTTACAATACCTGTTCCAAGACAATTTTGTCTCAATTTTTCCACAAATATTTTTATTTTGACTGTTCATAATGCTCAATGATTCACTGTCACTGCATGTGCCTCTACCTATTTTCTAGAGTTTTTTAAATGTAAGATAGGAAGAAAAAGTGTGGACTTTGGAGCCAGCCATACTAGCTTCAAAATCTACCTCTTCCACTTATCAGTTGCATGTATTTGATTTTAGCGAATTATTCATAGTTTCACTTTTGTTTATAATAGGTAGATAATATAGGGTTGCAATGAGGATTAAATTTGATAATACATATAAAGCTTCCAGCTCAGTTTTTTATATGGAGCAACTGCTCAATAAATGTTCTCATATATTGATCTGTTAATGTTAAGTCATTTTGAGGGTTCTAATATGTATTTAATATTCTACTCTATAGGCATTTGCAAATGACAGTTCCCTCTTCCTTTATTTCCTTGGATTGCTAAAATAGTACAAGTTTTAAATAGGGTTTTTTGCTCTAGGGAGGCAGCGGAATAGAGTTAAGAGGTGATTTGCCAAGTAAATGAAAGATGCCTTTTAGTGAAAGAAGCAGAAAGCATGACTCATGGCTCCAGTAATAAGAACACTCACTGCTTCACGTGAGAACCCTTAAGACAGGGCAGTTCCAGGTATGGCATTATCAGGGCTCTGGCTCTCTGGTGTTCTCTTGGCTCTGCCCTGCTTTGTATGCTGCCCCATTCCTCGGGCTAATTCTTCTTGTGACCACAAGATGGCGATAGCAGTTACAGATTTCACTAGCTCCTCTCCCCTGCAGAAAGCTCCAGAAACAAAAAGGGGCCATCTCGCCTGGTGTGTCTTTATGAGAGCAAAGAAACCTTTCCCAAGAGTCCCACAACTGACTTTCCCTCATATCTTATTGGCTGGAATGGTTACTTGACCATGCCTAAAGCAATCACAGCAAAGTGATTGGCTTAGACCAGTTGGGACCCTAAATGGGGTTGAGGCATTCCTAAAGCATTAGGGTACATGGAAAATAATAGATAACTTTACAAAAGTTGGGATTATTTTAGGAAGAAGAACAATGAAGAGAATAGATGTTGGATGGGCAGCCATCAATATTCCAGGATGTTTTATCCTTTCAGATTTTTCATTAAGGCTAAAATGACTCAGTTCAGGAGGAGAATCCTCACCTCATCTTCTTCCATAGGCTTAGGTGTGGAGAGGAGATAGAAGGAAGTTTTTTTAAAAAGTAATTAGAGGTATAGAATTGTAGGCTTCTTATACTCTTGAGTCTCTGTCATTGTGTCAAGGAAACCATGAAACGCGTGACAAATGTGTCATATCTTATGGGAAGTTAATTTTACTTGAAGTGGTTGAGGTAGGTGGTACCTTGTTTTTATGAAAAACGCAGGTCCATTTCAAAATAGAAATATAAAACATAAATTGTTTAGGGGAAAAAAGAGACTTTAAAGAAATATTTCAACCTTGCCTTCTAGACTTCTCTATAAATATTTTTCTCTGCCATAAGAGGTACTTTGCTGGGAAAGCTTACATCATTCCTGTGTAATAGAAAGACTATAAATGTTAGGGTCAGATAGGAGTTATGATTTCAGCTCCCTGACCTGCTGGCTCTGCAACCTTTACAAATTTACTTAACTACACTGAACTTCTCTTCATCTATAAAATACCTTTTTTTTCTAGTCGTGATCCCTGTGGCCCTTGTGGACCCATGCACATCTGCTCAGGAAACGTGGAATTGTTGTGAGGATATGATGGGGTTCCAGGGTTTCCTCCTGGGAGCTGGCACTTTGAAGCCGGTGGGACTTAGCCTGCTTTTCTGTCTTTAAAAGGCTGTATGTCAAGTCATCACTATCCATCTTTTTCTAGCTGTTGCTTTTTCATCTCTTTCTTGTTTGGGCCTGTACTTTAACTTGAAGTCTGCAATGTTGGTCCCAGCCCTGCCTTTCTGTACATCACAGCAACTTCTTTCTCTAATTTCGAATTTCTGAGAATTCGTGCAGTATGTCTTTTGCAGCCAGGATACCTATGCCATAGGTTGCAGTCCAGCATATGATTCAGTCAGGAGTGTATTCCTGTGCTCCGATCAGCTGAGCTAGGAACAGAATCTCAGGTATAGACTGTGGCTTGAGATGCACCAGATAAGCTCTTAGTCACAAAATGTCCATTTAAATACAAACATTCAGCCATCATATACTGTATTTCAATTATTTTCCAAGCATAGGTAACATTAAAATTAATTGCTAAATTATTTTCTTTAATAGTGAAGAAATTGCCTTTTACAATGGGAATAAAAGAGAAAAGCAGACAGTCCACTCAGTCTTCCGAAAACTGGTAAGATAACACACTTGAGGTTCATGTGTTTATGGAAAGGGTTTTTTTTGTTTGTTTGTTTTGCCTATGGCCGACACACATACACACACACACAAACACACACGTATGTATACATATCTTAAAGATTTTTTGAAAAATAGCTATAAAGGATTTTATACTGCATTTTTAATAAAAAATATGAGATTAAAAACTATCATATCAATATATTCAAGTGCCCATTTATAAAATTGCATAGATTTATTAAAATAATATTAAGTGTACCATCTGATCTTTGACAAACCTGACAAAAACAAGAAATGAGGAAAGGATTCCCTGTTTAATAAATGGTGCTGGGAAAACTGGCTAGCCATATGTAGAAAGCTGAAACTGGATCCCTTCCTTACACCTTATATAAAAATTAATTCAAGATGGATTAAAGACTTAAATGTCAGACCTAAAACCATAAAAACCCTAGAAGAAAACCTAGGCAATACCATTCAGGACATAGGCATGGGCAAGGACTTCATGTCTAAAACACCAAAAGCAATGGCAACAAAAGCCAAAATTGACAAATGGGATCTAATTAAACTAAAGAGCTTCTGCACAGCAAAAGAAACTACCATCAGAGTGAACAGGCAACCTACAGAATGGGAGAAATTTTTTGCAATCTACCCATCTGACAAAGGGCTAATATCCAGAATCTACAAAGAACTTAAACAAATTTACAAGAAAAAAACAACCCCATCAAAAAGTGGGCAAAGGATATGAACAGACACTTCTGAAAAGAAGACATTTATGCAGCCAACAGACACGTGAAAAAATGCTCATCATCGCTGGCCATCAGAGAAATGCAAATCAAAACCACAGTGAGACACTATCTCACACCAGTTAGAATGGCGATCATTGAAAAGTCAGGAAACAACGTGCTGGAGAGGATGTGGAGAAATAGGAACACTTTTACACTGTTGGTGGGACTGTAAACTAGTTCAACCATTGTGGAAGACAGTGTGGCAATTCCTCAGGGATCTAGAACTAGAAACACCATTTGACCCAACCATCCCATTACTGGGTATATACCCAAAGGATTATAATCATGCTGCTATAAAGACACATGCACACATACGTTTATTGTGGCACTATTCACAATAGCAAAGACTTGGAACCAACCCGAATGTCCATCAGTGATAGACTGGACAAAGAAAATGTGGCACATATACACCATGGAATACTATGCAGCCATAAAAATTATGAGTTCATGTCCTTTGTGGGGACATGGATGCAGCTGGCAACCATCATTCTGAGCAAACTGTTGCAAGGACGGAAAACCAAACACTGCATGTTCTCACTCATAGGTGGGAATTGAACAATGAGAACACCTGGACCCAGGGTGGGGAACACCACACACCGGGGCCTGTTGTGGGGTGGGGGCCTGGGGGAGGGATAGCATTAGGAGATATACCTAATGTAAATGACGACTTAATGAGTGCAGCACACCAACATGGCAAATGCATGCATATGTAACAAACCTGCACGTTGTGCACATGTACCCTAGAACTTAAAGTATAATCAAAAACATAAAAAAAAAATTAAGTGTATTTTTACAGAGGTTGCTTAGGAGCCTTATTTAGTGATTCCCACAGAAAGAATTTGTTCCTGAAGCATTCATGAAAATACAATAAAGATTATTATGTAAAGCAAGAGTCAGCAAACTTTTTCCATAAAGGGCAAGATAGTATGTATATATTTTAGGCTTTTCATACCACACAGTGTCTTGCAACTATTCAGCTCCGCTACTCAAGAGTAGCTATATATAATACATGAATGAGTGGGTGTGGCTATGTTCTAATAAAACTTTACTTAAAAAAACAAGTAGCAGGCTAGATTTGGACTATGGGTCAGAGTTTACTGGCTTTTTGTTTTAAAGAATATAAGCATTGTTTCTTGTGAAAGCTTTACTTCAGTTTTTATTTAATTGCCACTTGGAAAATTTGAATTCAAGTACTTTTATTCCATTATTTATTCAAAAGATATTGAATGCCGTCTAGTTGCCTGTGCTCACTCCAGGTGCTAAGGATGATGGTGGTGGACATGATGGATAAAATCTTGCCTTTAAGGAGCTTACATTTTAGTGGAAGTCTGAAGTTTGTGAAATTAAATGTATATTTTAGATGAGTTAAAGAGGTTAAAGAAATTGTCATTTTAAATTATTTCAGAAATTGGATTTTTGCCTCGTCGGTATTTAACATGGCAGAACTTTTAGAGTGCTCACTGGTAGAATGCATTTAAGGTAATTTTTCAGGGGCCTGCAGTTCACCAGTTTGCTCTCCACACGGCTTGCTTATTCTCATCCTTTAGATTTTCAGCCCAAATGTTAACACCTTATTGAAGCTTTGTCTTCTCTGATCAGCCTATTTGAAATGGCCTCCAACAGTTACTTCTTGTTTTAATCATCATCTTTCCTTAAAAGTATATATATATTTGCAGTCAACCCTCTGCATCTGTGGGTTCCAAATCCATGGATTCAACCACACAGATTGAAAATATTCAGAAAAAGAAATTGTGTCTGTACTTATGTACACATATTTTTTTCTTGTCATTATTCTCTGAACAATACAGACATTAGTGTAATAGCTATTTACATTGTATTAAGTTTTATAAGTAATTTAGAGATGACTTAAAGTGTTTGGGATGAGCCAGTTGCGGTGGCTCACCCCTGTAATCCCAGCACTTTGGGAGGCTGAGGCGGGCAGATCAGTTGAGGTCAGGAGTTCGAGACCAGCCTGACCAACATGGCAAAACCCCATCTCTACTAAAAATACAAAAATTAGCCGGTTGTTGTGGCGGGGGCCTATAATCCCAGCTACTCGGGAGGCTGAGGCAGGAGAATCACTGGAACCCAGGAGGCGGAGGTTGCATTGAGCCAAGATGGCACCACTGCACTCCAGCCTTGGCGACAGAGTGAGACTCTGTCTCAAAAAGTAAATAAAGTGTATGGGATGTCGTACTCAGGTATATGCAAATACTATGCCATTTTTCATCAGGGACTTGAGCATCCATGGATTTTGGTATCCAGAAGGTCCTGGAACCAATCCCATCCCCTTTGGATACCGAGGGATGACTGTATTACAGTCTCTAATTATCTTGTTTACTAGTTATGCTCTTTCATTAGAATGTAAACTCCATAAATTCAGGGACCTTCTCTGTTCTATTCATTGTATCTCCAGCTTGAGCACAGTGTCTGACACATGGTAGTCATTGAATAAATGTTCCAGAGATTGTCTAGTTGCAGAAGATACCAAGTTGTTAACAAGCTACCCTGTACTCAGGAAGCCACATTTTAGTGGAGCAGACAATAAATAAACAACTAGATGTTCTGTATAATTTCAGGTAGTAATGAATTCGGTGGCCAAAAATGAAGCAGGATAAAGGGATAGATATGAAGGGGGCTATTGCCCAGCTACTTTAGCTGGAATGGCCAAGATCTTTCTTGAGGAGGTGACATTTAGTCAGAAATCCACATGAAAGTGAAGGAGTCACAAAATATAGATACCTTAGAAGAATGTATTCCTGGCAGTGAGAAGAGCAAGAGGAAATCCTTAAGAAGGTACATGTTTGAGAAACCGTTATTTCTGGAGCTTGGTGAGGAGGAGCAAAGTAGAAGCATATGACCTTAAAAATAGAGCTCAGTGCCAGATCATGCAGGACCTTGAATAATCTGGTAGATGGACAGTTTGAGAACACTACAACTCCAGAATAAAAAAGCAGTTTTAGACTTGTAGTTTTAAGACAATGCGTGCTCATGTTAAAGCTAAAACTGAGGCTGTGTGGCACTGATTTACATTAGCACTCAGTTCAGATTGGGTGTAATACAATTCTTAGATAAAGCACAGACCATGTGTCTCCACTGAAAGCAAAGCATTCAGTGCCAATCCGGACAGCTAGTGTTTCACTCAAACTAGTTAATCTCTGTTCTTTTTGCTTTCGTTGTTGTCCTCTTTTGGGATATGTGTATCCAAAAGCATGGTGACTACAATAGCATTGTGCTATTGCATGCAAGAGAAACAGCATTGTTAAAATTGTTTATGTAATTTCCATGCTGTTTGCATAAAAATGGTTTCATGAAGTGTTTGTTTGGCACCCGCTCTGTGAAGAGCATTGTCCTCGGTGGTGTGATGTACAATATAAACAGAATATAAACAGAAATCACGGGCACTCAGTAAATATTTGTTGAATAAATGAACTATACAGTTTGTTTTATCCTTATAGTAGATTCAGTTTTTTATACAGAGAAAAAGATGGTTTTTTGTTTTTGTTTTCTGCCAGGTGGAACACCTACATAATTTCATTTTGTTTCGGTTTTCAATGGGCTTCATTGATAGTATTATTGCCAAATGTAAGTATATTTTGAAAGAGATGAGATTTGTGGAAAAGGTGAAATACTGTTACTGTTTTAAATCTTACCTGTTTGGTTTCAGACCTTGCCACTGTTGTTGGTTACCTAGTTGTCAGTCGCCCTTTCTTAGATTTGTCTCATCCTCGACATCTCAAGAGTACACATTCGGAACTTCTAGAGGTAAACTGATGATAATACAATGAAAATGTAACAGTAAAAATAAAGCCAAATTTTTAGTCATAGAACTATAAGTAAAAACTAATATTTATTTCTATTTAAGGATTACTACCAAAGTGGAAGAATGCTTTTGCGAATGTCTCAAGCTCTGGGTCGAATAGTTTTGGCTGGGCGTGAAATGACTAGATTGGCCGGGTAAGATTAGTAATAATGAGCTGTTGCAGAAAATAATTTTTAAAAATATATTATCCTTAATGATTGTATCAGTTGAGATTAAGATAAGGGGTCAACATTTCCTAGCCCAGGAAGGTGGTTTTGATAGAAAATTAAGGAAGATTTTTCTGATGGTGAACTTTTCATGTTTCTTGAGGACAGCTGGTTTGCGCAGTACAGTAGATTAGAGGCTGTCAAGTTGTTTGCTCCATGGACACGTATTTGCTAAGTTGGGAAATGTTGAATCATGGCAGTCTTAATTCACAGAAAACTATGTTTATGAATAGAATTTTCTCATTTAAATTTTCTTGTCCTCTACCATACCTTTTTTTCTTGGATCTTAGATACCGGCAACCTAGCAAAACAGATGAATAGAAATGAAGTTGACTTTAATGGGAAAAAAAATGAGATGTTATCTTGTATCTGTAGGCGTGCTTGTGAATGTAGTCATATTATCTAGTAGTAAAATTATCTTTAGACAGTAGAATGAAATTAAATATTAAGATTTCAGTATTTCAATCTCCAATATAAAGGGCATGGTATGGTGTAAAAAACACCATAAATTTTAGGTCACCTGAAGAAGTTTGATGACTGAATATCTTTCCTAGGCCTGTGATCCATCTTCATATTTCTCTTTTTCCTCCTTCTTAGCTCCTGTGGCAGTTATGGTCTTCATGCAATATAGAAGTTGTTAACTACTATGAGTAGAGTCTCTTTCATGAGAATACTAACATTCTTCCTACTTGTTAACTTTTCTTATGGCTTTACAGTTCATGGTATATAAGGTGCTTCTGTTCCTTTAGGGTGTTTCCTTTCACTCTCTCTCTCTCTCTCGCTCTCTTTCTGTGTGGGTGTGTGTGTCTTTCTCTTTCACTCCCTCCCTTCGTCTCCCTGCCCCCCTTTCTTTCTCTTTTTTCCACTTTGTTGAGGTATGATTGACATATAAGAAACTGTTCATATTTAGTGTATACAATTTGATGAATATGGGAATAAGTTATACACGTGTGAAACCATCAAGACCATAAACATTCATCACCTCCCAAAGTTTGCTTTAGGAGGTTTCTGCTTTTTATTCAGAGAAAAATCCTGTTTTCTTCTTCGATGCAGAATACTTTCTCTTTGGCGATCATGGTCATTTTTGTTATCTCCAACCTCTTGTCGTTAGTTTTGATTTTTCTCTATTGCCACAGTGATTTCTATCTAATAATAAGAACTCATCATCTTTCCCCTCTTCAGAGTAAGAAAGAGGGAATCTTTCAGATTCTTCCGTTTGCAGGAAGGCAGCATGCATTCGGCATACATTTAATAAATGCCTTCCTTGGATAGAAAGACCAGCTTTATACATGGCTTTATAGGTCACTTCAGCAAGAGATCAGAGTCCATACTTCCTGGGTCTAAGGAATATACTAGTAGTGGTCCTTTTGTAGTATCCAAGAGAAACCTCCTGAAAATTCTCAGCAAATAACTGCCTTGACTTGGCTATTAATGAAGTATCTGTTGAGTTGGGGATCCTATGGAAACCTCTTCCTTCATCCCTATATTCCTGCTCTCCTACTGAAACATAATAAAGCACACATGTTATCATTAATACTTTATGTTGATGAGACTGTTAGGTTACTTCATTTATACTAAATTATAATTTTAGGAACTTCAGTTTGTATAAAATAAAAGATGTGACAATAGTCTGGAGTTTTGATTATGGTTTCCTTTTCTAAAATTTTAGTTTTACTGCTCGGATTACAGAATTAATGCAAGTACTGAAGGATTTAAATCATGGCAAATATGAGCGCACAATGGTCTCACAACAGGAAAAGGGTAAATATGAGTGTCACAGTTTAAGGTCACAATTTTAAGTGTTTGCTGACATAATATGATGCTTTAATACCTATTTTCCATTTAAGGTATTGAAGGAGTACAAGTCATTCCCTTGATACCTGGTGCTGGAGAAATCATTATTGCAGATAACATTATAAAGTACGTACAGAAAAAGGTCTTTTAGCACCATAAATGTTTGTTAAACTTCATAGTAGTCTTTCTTTTTCAGCTTACAATTGCTTAGTGTTTAAAATTATTTCTGCTTTTTTAAAAAACAGCTTAGAGGTATCATTGACCTAAAAATTGTGTATATTAATATTTAAAGTATGCAACTTGATGCTTTGATATCTGTGTATGTTGTGAAATGATTACGTTTTGGCTAATTAATTTACCTATCGCCTCTACATAGTTAACCATTTTTGTGTGTGTTTAGTGAGAATTTAATTTAGATGTGTCTTAGCAAATTTCAGGTATACAATATAGTATTTTCTACTATTGTCCCAGTACAGTGGATCTACAGAATTTATTCTTCTGGCATCACTGAAATGTTGTGCCATTTGACCAATATTACCCCCATTTCCTCTCTCTCTAACCCCCTGGCAACCACCGTCCTACTCTCTACTTCTATGAGTTTGACTATTTTAGATTCCACATACAAGTAAGATCACATAGTGTTTCTCTTTTTGTGTCTTGCTTATTTTGCTTAGCATAATGTCCTCCAGATCCATCTATGTTGAAAATGGCCCAGTTTCCTTCTTTTTTAAAAGTGGGGTAATATTCTATTGTGTGTATTTTGTGTGTATGTGAATATATACACACTGTACACACTATATTTTCTTTATCCTCTCATCAGTTGAAAGACATTTAGGCAGTTTCCATATATGGACTATTGTAAATAATGCTGGAGTGAACATGGGAGGAAGATTCTCTTTGAGATACTGATTTTATTTCCTTTGGAAATGTTCCCAGAAGTGGGATTGCTAGATCATACGGTAGTCCTAATTTTAATTTTTTGAGGAACATCCATATTGTTTTCCATAATAGCTGTACTATTTGTAGTCCCACCAACAATGTACAAGGTTTCCTTTCTCCACATCTTTGCCAACACTTACCGTTTGTCTCTTTGATAATAGTCATCCTAACAGGTGAGAGGTGATGTCTCATTGTGGTTTTGATTTGCATTTTCCTGATGACTGAGATGTTGAGCACCTTTTCGTATGCCTGTTGGCCATCTGAATTTCTTCTTTTAAGAAGTGTTTAAGCTCTTTGCCCATTTTTTAATCAGGTTATTTGTATTTTTGGTATTGAGTTGTATTAGTTCCTTATATACTTTAAAGTAATTCTCTTTTTAAAAATTTCCTCTATAGGTTTGATCATGTTCCTTTAGCAACGCCAAATGGAGATGTTTTGATCCGAGACCTTAATTTTGAAGTAAGTTTTTAAATGATCATATAAAAGCTTAAATCATCTTTAAAATGTGAACTGAAAAAGATTACCTGAATATTTAAAGTAACTTTAAGGCTCGACTTAGTCTCTGAATCCACAGAATTGCTTTAAAAAGTAAGTCTTTGAAACGCTTAGAAATCTATTTTTCTTAATTGACAGGACTTCAAAATTTCAAATACTACTACCAAAAAACTTTTTGCAAATGAAGTTTATGTCAAGAAAGTCATAGAAAATATAGTAAATTGGAGTCTCCAGTGTAAAATGAGTATTTAAACACACAAATATAATTTTAGTCTCTTTACATTAAAAAGAAACTTATGGTGTGGCTGGTATTGTTGTGACTGTACAGGATGATTTGTACCTATAAAAACAAAATACAGACTGTTTTATTACTGATGAAAACGGGAAGAGCCGCACAGTAGCGCTACAAATAGACACTCACCTAAAACAAGTAAAATCCCATGCCAAGTGAAAACTGATGTTGATTCAATATACTCTGCTAATGAAATGGGATATGGCAGACCAAATTAAAAAGAAAAGACAAAAGATGAATGTTTTTGTACGATTTGTAAGACTCGCAGATTTAAGGGTTACTATTTAGGTTTTCTCTATGTTGTGGCTTTATGAATGGTTCAGATCCAGAAATCTTCATAATTAGTAACAAATTCCTATCACATAGGCTATGTTCCCCATTCTAGACACCATTCCTCTAGAACAACACTTTCCCGTAGAACTTTCTGCAATGATGGAAATGCTCTATACTTTCACTGTCCAGTAAAATAACCATGTGTAGATATTGAGCATGTGAAATGTGACTAGTACAGCTGCAAAACTGAATTTAAAATTTAATTTAATTAATATGATTTAAAATTAAATAGCCACATGTGAGTAGTGGCTATGGTATTGGACAGCACAGCTCTAGAATTCCTCTCCACATGCTAATGTGCATGGCCATCTGTAGTTTGTGTTTCATGTGGGGATTTTTTTCCTACTGCTTTCTTTGAAGGAATATTGTCTGATAGTTTATAAAATAAAGAATATAATTATTGGACTTGTTTTTAATTTGTTACAGTCTTAAGTAAGTCTTCAGTTTTCTGCTCTTAGTAATTTATATTAAGCACATGTCTACTTTCTTCTCAATGAATTATAAAAATGAAAATTGTTAGTTATGCAAAGTACTTTGAACTTATTCAACAATGAGTATTCTATCGTTATCATATTTATTCCAAAGCCAGGAAATACAAGAAGTACAGAAAATGTAAATGTAGTTGGTAAATATTGACTGGCTCCACATATCACAGAAGTGTTTTCTCACATAGCTCCAGGTACTTCAGTCACTTGAATGTTCCTTTGGCAAAGTAGGTAGCCAGGCTTGATTTCCAGTAGCCCCTTTATTGCCACTGTCCAAGGATAAAAAGGACGTGAGACTTCGTTGAAGAATGCCTCTTGTCCCTTTCTCCTACTTACCCTCACTTCTGTCTTTATGCAGAAATAAAATATACCAATAATATAGGGGCACACATGACTGAAGCACAATGAGAAAGGGGGTTGGGATACTTAGAATAGATGGATCATGATTATGGTCCATAATAATATTTTGTCTTGATGTTACCACACTAAAGCTGTCACTTTCTTTTTAGTTCAAAGCCTTTTCTTTTAAAGCCCTTATGTTTGTATTGAATAGACTTCTGTCGTTTCTATAATTTCACTTTTATAGTCTTAAAAATGTCCTAGAAGAAAACCTAGGCATTACCATTCAGGACATAGGCATGGGCAAGGACTTCATGTCTAAAACACCAAAAGCAATGGCAACAAAAGCCAAAATTGACAAATGGGATCTAATTAAACTAAAGAGCTTCTGCACAGCAAAAGAAACTACCATCAGAGTGAACAGGCAGCCTACAAAATGGGAGAAAATTTTCGCAACCTACTCATCTGACAAAGGGCTAATATCCAGAATCTACAATGAACTCAAACAAATTTACAAGAAAAAAACAACCCCATCAAAAAGTGGGCGAAGGACATGAACAGACACTTCTCAAAAGAAGACATTTATGCAGCCAAAAAACACATGAAACAATGCTCACCATCACTGGCCATCAGAGAAATGCAAATCAAAACCACAGTGAGATAACATCTCACACCAGTTAGAATGGCAATCATTAAAAAGTCAGGAAACAACAGGTGCTGGAGAGGATGTGGAGAAATAGGAACACTTTTACACTGTTGGTGGGACTGTAAACTAGTTCAACCATTGTGGAAGTCAGTGTGGGGATTCCTCAGGGATCTAGAACTAGAAATACCATTTGACCCAGCCATCCCATTACTGGGTATATACCCAAAGGACTATAAATCATGCTGCTATAAAGACACATGCACACGTATGTTTATTGCGGCACTATTCACAATAGCAAAGACTTGGAACCAACCCAAATGTCCAACAATGATAGACTGGATAAAGAAAATGTGGCACATATACACCATGGAATACTATGCAGCCATAAAAAAATGATGAGTTCATGTCCTTTGTAGGGACATGGATGAAATTGGAAATCATCATTCTCAGTAAACTATCGCAAGGACAAAAAACCAAACACCGCATATTCTCACTCATAGGTGGGAATTGAACAATGAGAACACATGGACACAGGAAGGGGAACATCACACTCTGGGGACTGTTGTGGGGTGGGGTCCTGGGGGAGGGATAGCATTAGGAGATATACCTAATGCTAAATGACAAGTTAATGGGTGCAGCACACCAGCATGTCACATGTATACATATGTAACTAACCTGCACATTGTGCACATGTACCCTAAAACTTAAAGTATAATAATAATAAAATTAAAAAAAGAACAATAACTACCCTGTATTAAAATACATCAAAATGTTTAAATTAATGAGTTTATTATGATACTCATTATGTTGAAAAGTGACAAAGGGAAAAAAATGTCTTTAATTCTTTCTCTTTTTTGGGTTTCATTTGGAAAGTCTTGAGTCCCCACTTATGTCCTTACTTGTTGGAGTGTTTTACTTCATAACCATGTTCCTTACTTCCTGGTGTTTATCCTGTGATTCTTGTTTTCTCCTCCCCTGGGAACTGTTTCTCTGACTTCTTTTTGGTTCACTGTTATGAATTCTAATCTCTTTCTGACTTAAAGTATTCTAAAGTAGACCTGGGTTTCTCACATTCATTATGTCTTTTTATTGTTTTTCTTAACATAGCCTTTCTATAATCAACAAATGTTCTTCAGTTCTTTGCAGCCTCTAATTATTTTCTACTCATCTGGCTTACTTGAAAATAAAGATTTCTTTCTCTTGGAAAGAGGCATAATAAAACAGACTTGGCCCCTCAAATAAATCTTTCCTACTTTATGATTCATTTGCCTTTTGGGTTACATTTGTAACCAAATAATAAAAACTTCTTTGGAATAAGAGATTTTATACCATTTTCCATTATAAACTCCCCAGTACAGACATATTTATCTGTCTAGATATTATTCTGGGAAGTATGTAGACTGGAGAGATCCTAAGAGGTAACAGCTTGCAGGTTACCATGTGGGGATTAAAATAGTACTTTGTCCAAGGTGGGCGGATTGCTTGAGCTCAGGAGTTTGAGGCCAGCCTGGGCAACATGGCAAAACCCCGTCTCTGTGAAAAATACAAAAAAATTAGCTAGGTGTGGTGGTGCACACCTTTGGTCCTGGTTACGCAGGCGGCTGAGGTGGGAGGATCGCTTGTGCCAGTGAGGCAGAGGTTGCAGTGAGCGGAGATCGCACCACTATACTCCAGTCTGGGCTACAGAGTGAGATCCTGTCTCCAAAAACAAGTACTTTGTAAGTTACTAAGATTTTTACCTTTTCAGTAAGGTATACTTATAGTGTTTAAAGAAACTAATTAATCTTCATAAACACCATACTTTTATATAATTTTTCTTTTACTTAAATTTATGTGTAGAATTTTTTATTTGTTATGATAAATTTATAGAAAGTAGGATTTATCAAGGAGTATTATTTGGGGGGTATATTTTTATTGGTAAGAATATGGTAGTTCAAAGCATTGGTTGATCCGGTAAAGCATTCTGAGAGCCCCAATAATACAATGCTGTTAAGAACTTAATTTTCAGTAAATGTTACTCTTGGCTTTTAGTCTTAATTTAACCCCACAAAAATATGTACTTAATAAATTTTTAATACAGAAAAATTATCACTGGCTTATCATGGCTGACGTCATAATTGGAAGTTTTGTTCAACACTACCAAATGCCGTGAAGTAAAGAAAAGTGAATGCTGAGTAGGTTAGCCAGGCTTGATTTAGAGCATAAAAGGATAACTCAGGATTTCAGTAAGTCTGGTTATTATTTATATACATCATTACAAATCTGTTTTTGGGGTTTCCTGGCATACTGCAACAAATAATGTGGAAGGGTATTATTGGAGGCAGGAATATTGATGCCATTGTAAACCACAAAGAGCAGTTAGGAGGGGAGAATTTATATACGGCCAACATTACTCAAATAAAACGTAGCAGGGAACCATTTAATTACCAGCTCACTGAACTTTAGGACCTTCTAAGGGCATCGCTGTTACAGTAGAGTATGATTATTTTATATGATAACCTTGCTTTATGAGGAACATTCAGTATATTCAATTTTATGTGATAAGGAAATTGTGTTATTTAAAAAGAAGTCTATCAAAATGATTCTTTATCAGAAAAAAGTTTATTCATCTGAACGACTCTTTAACAATTATGTGTGTAAATTGTTATTTTCTTTTAGATCAACTATGTGTTAGGCTGCTTCATTCTTTTTTCTTTAAGAAGTTTTTAAAATGTAAAAATGAAATTTGGCTTTTTAACCATTTCTAAGTGTATAATTTAGTGGCATTAAGTACATTTACAGTGTTATGCAGCCACCACCACTATCCATTTCCAGAACTTTTCCATCATCCCAAATAGAAACTCTGTACTCATTAAACAGTAACTCTCCTTCCTTCCTCTCCCTTGCCCCTGGTAACCTCTCATGCTGTCTGTCTATGAATTTGACTGCTCTAGGAATCACATATAAGTGAAGTCATACAGCATTTGTCCTTTTGTGGCTGGCTTATTTCATTTAGCATAATGTTTTCAAGGTTCATCTGTATTGTAGCATGTGTCAGAGTTTCATTCATTTTAAAGGTTGAATGCCATTTCATTGTGTGTGTGTGTGTGTGTGTGTGTGTCACATTTTGTTTATCCATTCATCCTCTTGGGTCGCTTCCTTGCTTCCACCTTTTGGCTATTGTGAACAATGCTGATGGCTCTCCATTTTGTCACAGTAAAAGTCGAAGTTCTTTCAATGCCTGCCACTACCCTACCCCTACCTGATACATCTCTGATCTCATTTCCTACTATTCTTCTTTCCTGTTCATTCTTCAGTAAAATCAGCCTTGTTTCTGTTTTTTTTTTTTTTTTTTTTTTTTTTTTTGAATAGGATAGCTACATTCCTGCTTCAGTGCCTTTGTACCAGCAAATTTTTTTTTTTTTTTTGAGACGGAGCCTTGCTCTGTCGCCCAGGTTGGAGTGCAGTGGCACGATCTTGGCTCACTGCAACCTCTGCCTCTCGGGTTCAAGCAATTCTCATGCCTCAGCCTCCTGAGTAGCTGGGATTACAGGTGCCCGCCACTGCATCCAGCTAATTTTTGTATCTTTAGTAGAGACAGGGTTTTACCATGTTGGCCAGGCTGTACCAGCTTTTTATGGGTGGTAAAGGTGGGGGCTAGAACAGTCTTCTTTTAGTTAAATCCTAATTCACCCCTTCTTTCAAAGTTTTACTTAGTTGTCATATTCAATAAAGTCTGCTCTGACCACCTTAAAAATGCGGCTTTCCTCACCCGCTCCCAAGTTCCCTTTGTCTGTTTTTTCCTCCAAAGTACTTATTTTCTAATATACTATTTAACTTATATGTTATGTATATTCTTTATTGTATGTCTCTTACCACTAGAATGTAAACCAGTAAGGGTAGAGGTTTTTGGTTTTTTGTTTTCATTTTTTGTCTCTTTAATTCATTAATATGGCCTACTTGCCTAGAACAGAGCCTGACAGAGAGCATTCAATAAATATTCATTGAATTAAATAATAGGAACAGAAGGCTCACCAGCTTAACAAATTTGTTAAAGGCAGGTTACCAGCTAGGGTAACTCATATCTTTCTGATATTTTCTTTCCTATTGTGTTGCATTGGTGTTTAGTGTTGTAAGCTAGAATTATAGCTAAGATTTTCTGATTCTTTACAGAGTTGATCAGATACTTACAAGATCATAAGCCTAGAACTTAACCACTCTTTACATTTTCTCATTTATCTTTATGTTGTTGCAGAATAATTTAGTGACACTTGTATATATTTATAGTGCACATATATTTTGATAAAACACTTATAATTTCTAAGAATGGAATCTACAGAAACATTGCTTACTGTTACATAAGTTGCTGACTTGTACACTCATTGCAATATTATCTAGAAGAGCAAAACAAAATGCAGATGACCTAAATATTTAACCAAAGGGGAGTGTTTAAATAAGTTATAGTATATCCTTACTATGGAAGATGCTTGAGGCATTAAAGGAAAGGAATGGGGGAATCTGAATATACTGACCTGGAAGAATATCTGTGATATATTGTTAAATAATAAAAGCAAGTTGTAGAACAGTCTATAGAGTACGTTTTCATTTTTTTAAAAGAGACTGTGTATACGCATGTATTTATTGTTTTCAAGAATTCTCAGTTTTCTAAACTTTATCTCTCTTTATCTTAAGTTGATGATATCAATCAGTCAGTAAATTTATTTATTTATACATGTATATAGATGGGGTCTTGTTCTGTCAGCCTAGGTGACATCATAGCTCACTGCATCCTTAAACTGCTGGACTCAAGCAATCCTCCCACCTCAGCCTCCCAAGTAGCTGGGGCTACAGGTGTGCACCACCACACCTGCTTAATTTTTTATTTTTATTTTTTGTAGAGATGAGGGTCTTGTTTTATTTCCCAGGTTAGTCTCAAACTCCCAGTTTCAAGCGATCCTCCTGCCTTAGCCTCCCAAAATGCTGAGATTATGGGTGTGAGCCACAGTACCCAGCAATAATAATTTTTTAAGTGAAAAAAAAGTAATGGTAAAAATTGGAAGTAAACAAAGTAAAAGGTCCCTTCACAATACCTCTTCACTGCTCTACCTAATGCTACATTTACAGACAAATAGAAGGCTTATAATTAGCCAGGAGCTATTAATATTTGAGTCTAAGGAAATGTTGATTAAGTATATGTTAATTTGATTTAATTACTTCACAGACTGATTTTTTTTTTTTTTTCAGGTTCGATCTGGGGCTAATGTTCTAATTTGTGGTCCAAATGGCTGCGGAAAGAGTTCACTTTTCCGTGTTCTTGGTGAAGTAAGTACAAGTTGGCCTCAAAATTTTGCAGTCTTATTTTGCCATACTGTCTACCACTTTGTAAATTTTACAATTGTTCTTCTCCCTTCTCTCTCTTTAATAGTTATGGCCTCTTTTTGGAGGACGTCTAACTAAACCTGAAAGAGGAAAATTATTTTATGTTCCTCAGGTAAGACCTAGCTTGAGTTATCTTTGATCTAAAGATCTTTTTGTTTATTTATTTTTTCATGTTGCTTCTAATTGACTTTTGCTCTACTACTGTCAGAGACCTTACATGACCCTTGGAACACTTCGAGATCAAGTGATATATCCAGATGGACGAGAAGATCAGAAAAGGAAGGGAATTTCTGACCTAGTAAGGGAATGTTTATATCCTAGATCCACTGAAAATACTCCAGATTATTTATTTTAATCAATTAAGTATTTTAAATGCCAGGTAGTTTATCTTAAGCTGTAAAGCCTTCCAAAGCTGTAAATTGTGATTTTCTAAGCTGAGGTAAGATGTTAATCCCTTGGCTTAAAAAGAGTTTAATCTTAACCTTTACACCATTGTTTGTTTTCTCATTGCCATCATCCTTTTACTGTGTACAATAGTGTTATTCTCTTTAAGCTACTAGACATATTTTGTCAAGTTTGGTGTAGATACTAGGAGCTGAAAGGTTCAGGGCTACCTTGTGCCACATTCTTTTCTGAAATGTATCTTTTAAGTGGTACAGACAATAGAATTATAGTGATTCCAGTTTAAAAAATAAACCACTATTAAGAATGTTGGCTTATATTAAGTTTAATTTCATCTTTAATCATTTTGCTGAAAGGTACTGAAGGAATACTTAGACAATGTCCAGTTGGGTCATATCCTTGAACGTGAAGGAGGCTGGGACAGTGTTCAGGATTGGATGGACGTACTCAGTGGTGGAGAAAAGCAAAGAATGGCGGTAAGTATACTGTGAAGAAGTTGCACAAGAATGCAACTGGTTCCAGCATTTTGATTAATCAGGACACAAAGTTTCATCTTATATTTTTTTATTCAGCAGCTGTTTCAGTATGGATTAGTTTAAATTATCATAAAAGTGCTTGAAAATCTTTAACTTGCATGTAAATTTGGAATTCTGAAAAATTCATAAATACCCTGCCAGTATCTATGAAAGGAAAAGCTGCAGATCCGACTATATACCAATAATCCATTTTTCTAAAAGTTCAGAGAAACTCTGTAGCTCATTATTCCTGGGATATAAGGTAATCCTGGCTGGGTTATGAAATTTCTTCTCATGTCTCTTCCCTATAGACATCTCTTTTGTATCACTCAGGCTATTCTTTCTGAAATAGCTGAAGGTATTAGAAACGATCCATTCAAATTTTATCTTTATTCTGTTCTTGCCCTTTTCCTCCACTATTATATGTATGTTTTTGTTTCAAGGTTCAGTATCTACTACTTAAAGTTACTTAGAATTTTTAAGTTTTCCTAATATAAACAAGCATTTGAAAGAAACTACTTTAATTGTTATGATGACTAAACTTGTCTCAAACCAAAAATATGCGCTAAACACTACGTAGTAAGAATGAGACCAGCCTGGGCAACATAGCAAGACCCTTTCTCTACAAAAAAAAATTTAAAAATTATCTGGGCGTAGTGGCACACACCTATAGTCCTAGCTACTGGGAGGCGGAAAGATTGCTTGAGCCCAGGAGTTTGAGGCTGCATTGGGCTGTGATCACACACCGTGGCACTCCAGGCTGGGCGATAGAAGGAGATCGTCTCTCTAAAAATAAATAAATAAATAAAAATTTAAAAAGAACGGTAGTTTGGGTACCTTGTCAAGAGGGGCAACTTCATAAAGAGTCATTTTTTAACTATATATTTCATAGTTTGAATAGATCCAAGCAAGAGATTCTCCTCTCCCCCTGCAGAGTATGGAGATTAGAGAAAACTGTAGCTAAGGAAAGAAAGCAAAAGAAATTGGCTTATGGCAGAATTTCTGACCCATTATATTCAGGTTATATTCCACCTTTTTGTTACCTCCGAGTCCCTGATTTTGCAAGTTGTTTTTCCCAAAATCATACCCACTCTACATGAGGTTAATATTAACCTAATAGTGTGACTTGCCTGGCTAGTGCTATAACGTGAGATGAATCTAGTGTGAAGAGTAAATCATAAATGAGAGAGATAATAGCTATATTCAAAATGGAAATTAGGCTGAAGGAGTGAAAATTTGAAATGATTAGGCATTTCTAGAGTCAATTTAGAAGATGACTATAGAAATAACTGCAAAAAAGAGCTGCAAAATAACTTTAAATTTCTGTACTATGTCTTCAGAGAAAATGGAAGGATGTGGTTCAGAAATGGACACGACGGAAACTCAGAGAATGAATAATGAATGTACTTAAACCAAGGAACAGTGTGTGTGTGGTATAAAAGTACAGGAGGGATAATTTTGATTTGAAGATTAGGAATTCAAAGGCGTGCCCAGAGCAGTGGGGGGCTGAGGCGGGAGAATCACTTCAACCCGGGAGGCATAGGCTGCAGTGAGCCAAGATCATGCCACTACACTCTAGCCAGGGCAACAGAGCAAGACTCTGTCTCAAAAGAAAAAAAAAAAAAAAAAAACACATGATCCATAATAGAGGCGTTTGGGAAATGGGGAAAGCTCACCTGTGACACCACTGCATATATAACTGGAGCATGGCCAAGCCATTGTCTAGAGAATTGAATGTGATGTGTAAAAGAGAGCCTGTTGTTTTGTTTCAGAGGGTGGAAAGGAGAAGGCTAACGCTACAAATACTAACGTTGGTGAAATTAGGTAAAGATTATATATGTGTATTCATTTTACTGTCCTTTCAGTTTTTTGGTAGGATTGAAAATTACCAAAGTAGAAAGTTGAGGGGAAAGTAGGTATTAGAATTTTTAGGAAGAACAGACCTAAAAGGCCTAGCCACTTAGAACAGTGAGTCAGCCAGGGTTGCTCCAGCTAATGTCACAATTTGGGATATCTTGTGTTTCTGACCAAAAGTTATCTTTTCCACTCCATTTTTCTTGCTCTTCCTATTTAGTAATAACTTTTCTTATTTTGAATTATGAAAAAGTATATATGATGGAAAAGTGGAATATTTATTTAAGTATAAATTGGGCCAAACCCCTTTACCAGAGATACCACTGTTATAAAATTTTTAGTGTTTTTTTAATCCATTTTTGTAAATCTTTTTTTTTTTTACCTTAAATTAGCAACTATCCCCCTTTCTCAAATTCCCTGAGATCTCTAGAATATTAATCCTTCCCTTTCCTTACAATTGTTCAGTCCTTTTCTGTCTCTGCCTCCTTTCCTGTCCAGTACAGACTTCATAATCCAGGGTGTGGCCCATAGGAGATAAGATATATTTCTTAAGGAATGAACAGTTCATCCCTTCCCCTTAACTTCCTTTCCCACTTTTTGTGTCATCGTATTACCTAAATCCCAGCCCAGTTATTTGCCTTGGCACTTCTCTAACCGCTCTTCTGAGCACAGCTAAAAAACATCAGATGGGCTCACAGCATGGCTTAGCAATCATTTTACTTATTTTTATCCTTCTCTCATTTTTCATGACAATCATTTTAAAACTACCAATTTTGGGTTTTCTACCCCGTTACTTAACCCACTGCACTTGGCAGAATAACTCGCCTTCTACTTTTCAAAGAAAGATAGGCTATTATTTCAATTAAATGACAGCTAATTTTTATTGAGTGCTGAAAAGATGACAGACAGTATGTCAGGCACCTTACACAGGTGATCTCATTTCATCCTCACAACAGTCCTGTGAGGTAAGAACTGGGAATGCCCCCCTAGTTTTTTTTTTTTTTTTTGAGACAGAGTCTCATTCTGTCGCCCAGGCCGGAGTGCAGTGGCACAATCTCAGCTTACCGTAATCTCTGCCTCCCAGGTTCAAGAGATTCTCCTGCCTCAGCCTCCCAAGTAGCTGGGATTACAGGCATGCACCACCACGCCTGGCTAATTTTTGTATTTTTTTTTGTAGAGATGGGGTTTCACCATGTTGGCCAGGCTGGTCTCGAGCTCCTGACCTCAAGTGATCCACCTGCTTCGACCTCCCAATGTGCTGGGATTTCATGCGTGAGCCGCCGCGCCCCATTTTACAGAGGAAATTGAACTTTTGTGCAATTCAGTAGCTGGCCAAGCAAAGACAGCTAGTAAATGTTAAAGCTGGTGGTGGGGGCTTTGTCAGGCTTAGGCAAGCAGTATGGCTGCAGTGTGCATATGCTTATTCACTTTACAACAAGCTTGTCCAACCTGTGGCTCACGGACACATGCAGCCCAGGACAGCTTTGAATGCAACCTAACACAAATTCATAAACTTTCTTAAAATCTTATGAGATTTTTTTGTGTGTGTAATTTTTTTTAAGCTCATCAGATATCGTTAGTGGTAGTGTATTTTATGTGTGGCCCAAGACAATTCTTATTCTTCCAGTGTGGCCCAGGGAAACCAAAAAATTGGACACTCCTGCTTTACAACTTTCTTGTATTGTGGCATTAAGTAGCTGACAGCATAGTGGGAGCGAGAGAGACACATGTTGAGAAAATGTCCATGTCATGTAGTAAGTGTGGTGATGAATGTACGCAGAGAGTCCTTTGGGAGCAGAGAGGAGAGGCATTGGTGGAATGCCCTCAGATAACCATTCCTCTTAATTAACTGTGTGCTGCTCTGTCCTGACCTCCCTACTTCCGCTGTCTTGGAGGATATGTCATCCTTCTTGAGAAAGGCAAATACTTCCATCTATGTTTATGGAGCCTCTGTCTTCTGACTTTATCACATCCTTTTCCTTCAGTTATATCCCCTCCCGCAGCCCCCACCTACATTTAACCTCTTCTAGTCCTTCTCTTGTGGAAAGACATTTTTCAGGTCTCTTTGATCTAAAAAGCAAACTCTGCCTTAGCCAAAGCTTCTCTGTGATCTGTACCTTTCATTTTCTGCACAGTTGAACTTCTTCATAGTCTATACTTGCTGCCTCCCCTTCCTCACTTCATGCAAACAGGTGGAAAGCTGTTTTAGTCATTCATTTATTAGATAGTTGAATGCTACCCATATATAAGTGTCAAGTACATGGTAGTGATTAAAACAGTCTCTGCTTTTCTGAATTTTTTTTTTTTTTTTGAGGCAGTCTCACTGTTTCACCTAGGCTGGAGTGCAGTGGCACAATCTTGGCTCACTGCAACCTTCACCTCTCAGGTACAAGTGATTCTTTTTTTTTTTTTTTTTTTTTTTTGAGACAAAGTCTCACTCTGTTGCCGAAGCTGGAGTACACTGGCACGATCTCAGCTTACTATAACCTCCACCTCCTGGGTTCAAGCGATTCTCCTGCCTCAGCCTCCTGAGTAGCTGGGACTACAGGCACGCATCACCATGCCCAGCTAATTTTTGTATTTTTAGTAGAGACAGGGTTTCACTATGTTGGCCAGGCTTGTCTTGAACTCCTAACCTTGTGATCTGCCTGCCTCAGCCTCCCAAAGTGCTGGGATTACAGGCGTGAGCTGCTGCGCCCGGCCAGGTACAAGCAATTCTTGTTCCTCAGCCTCCCAGGTAGCTGGGACTACAGGTATGCACCACCATGACTGGCTAATTTTTGTATTTTTAGTAGATACGAGGTTTCACCATGTTGGCCAGGCTAGTCTCGAACTCCTAGCCTCAAGTGATCTGCCCTCCTCAGCCCCACAAAGTGCTGGGATTATATATGAAGTGCTTCAGAGGTGTTACAGAAAGGACCCACTTGGATTGTGGCTAGGGATGAGGGTAGGTTTGCCTGAGATGACATTATAAGCAGAAATCTGAAAGCTCTAAGGAACAGAATAAGGCATTTGAGACATCAGAAAAGAATGATGTGTGTTTAAGGCTCTAAGGTGTAAAGCACCTTGTTCCTAGCAGTTGAGAGGAGGCGGTGTTGGCTAGAATGTTGGGGTTAGAGCGTGAGTAGAAATAAGATTGTGCAGGTCTTGTAGACTGTGGTAAGGAGTTTGAGTTTTAAGTGAAATGGGAAGTTGTTGAAGGGTTTTAAGCCAGAGAGTGAAGTTCCCTGATTGACATTTGTGAAAGATGTTCTCTGGTTACATGGAGAGTGGACTGGAGAGGAGCAGCAGAAGTGGTAGGAGGCTACTTGTAGTCTATCCAGACAGGAGATGAGTGTGCTCTGGGCTAAGGGCATGTTTGTGGAGATGAGGAAAAGTGAGTGAACTTGAAACTTCACATTTCTTTCTTGAATGGACTTTTTAGTTCATTTTAAAAATAGCTGTGGGAGAGTGAAAGGGAAGAGGAAAAGGGAAGGACCAGACCAGGGAGGACTCCTGGCTTTCTAGCTGGAGCAACTGTTTGATAGTTTCATTTGCTGAAGTGTTCAAGATTAGGGAAGGGAATGGATTTTAGAGGGAAAATCTAGAAATTACATTTGAGTTTTAGACTTTTAACGTTTGAGAGTCCTGTGAGATACCCAAGTAGAAACTCAAAGAGGAATTTTTATTTTTAATTTTTTAAATGTTTTAAATTTAAAATGTTTGTTTTTTGAGATAGCGTCTTGCTGTTTCAGCCAGGCTGGAGTGCAGTGGCCTGATCATAGCTCACTACAGCCTTGAGCCTTGACCTACTGGGCTCAAGCCCTCCTGTCTTAGCCTCCTGAGTAGTTGGAACCACAGATGAACACCACCATGCTTGGCTAATTTTTTTTTTTTTTTTTTTTTTTAAGAGATGTGGTTTCCCTGTGTTGCCTGGGCTGGTTTCAAACTCCTGATCTCTAGCAATGGCTCCTGCAACAACCTCACAAAGTGCTGGGATTATAGGCGTGACCCACTGTGCCTGGCTGATATTTTTATATATCTGGAAATTTGAGAAGTATGAGTGAGAGATGCATATTGCAAGTTTATAAAATGTAAATAGTATTTGAAATCAGAAGATTGGATGAGATCACTGACAGAATACAGGAAAAAGAGGAGGAGACCTAGAAATTAGCCCTAAGGAGCTCCTGTATTTAATGGTCGAGTGAAGGAGAAAGTGCTAGAAAAGAAGCTGAGAAAGGATCCTCAGAAGTAGGAGGAAACTTAGGTGCATGGTTTCACTATCACTTTCTCAAGAAGGATGGAGTGGTCTTCTAAAGAGAATGTTGCAGAGAAGGTAAATTAAGGATAGAAGAGTGCCCCATTGGTCTTAAACATGGAGATCTTGTCAGGGGGCAGATGACAAAAATTGGAATATCTGTTAGACAAAAGGTCAGAATAAACAATCCCCAGAAAATACATGGGAACATAAATGTAGGAAAATGTTCATCATTCCTGATAGTCAAAGAAATGTATGCTATAATTTTGATGTTAATTTTCATTTATAAAATTAGCAAAGGCTTAAAAAAATGAGCACAACCAGAACTGACAATGGGGATATAAAACAGGTACAATAAAAATTATTGGTGAGAATATTAATTGGTACCATTACTTAAGCAACAAAATATTTAAAATAGAGACCTTTTTGCGTCGGAGTCATCTAGTCTGAATTCTGAGATTTGGTTAAAATATGTACTCTGTAATCTTATTTGTTTAGTGAGCTTTCTTTAATACTAGTTTGAAACTTCCTCTCTCATCAGTCTTAAGGTTTGTGTTTTACTCTGAGCAATTAGTATTTCCCATGAAGTACGTTTTTCCCTTTGTTCAGGATGACAGCAAAAACAGTTATGTTTATATTGTTTCTATTTCTGGGAAGTAGATTTTTTGAATTAGAATAATTTTTATACTTTTGATTTACAAGACTACAAATGCATATTTAACATAAGTTTGTTTCGGCTTACTAATTTTAGGTCTGCCTGTGTTTTACACAAAAAATTTTTTTTATGCTTCAGATGGCAAGATTATTTTATCATAAACCCCAGTTTGCCATTTTGGATGAATGCACAAGTGCAGTTAGTGTCGACGTGGAAGGCTACATTTATAGTCATTGTCGAAAGGTAAGTACGCAGGTGCTCAGTTTGAGGAGCCATGGCCTCCTACCTAGTGTAAACTATGTCCAAATCTGTCCAAAGAGAAGATTCCAGGTCACTAAGTAACAAAATTTCTACCAAAAGATTTCTTGTTTTAATAAAGATTTAAAACATATGAATAAAAGAAAAAGAATTATAAATACAGTTCTGTATATAATTCTCTTTATATATGGGAAATAGATTTAAATATGTTGTTTTATATAAGTGAGATATAAAAGATATATATAAATGAGATACAAAAGATATCTCATTTATATATAAATGAGTTACAAAAGTTTTTAACTTTTATGTTAAAAGATTTATTTATTTATTTTTTAATTTATTATTATTATACTTTAAGTTTTAGGGTACATGTGCAAAATGTGCAGGTTAGTTACATATGTATACATGTGCCATGCTGGTGCGCTGCACCCACTAACTCATCATCTAGCATTAGGTATATCTCCCAATGCTATCCCTCCCCCCTTCCCCCACCCCACAACAGTCCCCAGAGTGTGATGTTCCCCTTCCTGTGTCCATGTGTTCTCATTGTTCAATTCCCACCTATGAGTGAGAATATGCGGTGTTTAGTTTTTTGTTCTTGCGAAAGTTTACTGAGAATGATGATTTCCAATTTCATCCATGTCCCTACAAAGGACATGAACTCATCATTTTTTATGGCTGCATAGTATTCCATGGTGTATATGTGCCACATTTTCTTAATCCAGTCTATCTTTGTTGGACATTTGGGTTGGTTCCAAGTCTTTGCTATTGTGAATAATGCCGCAGTAAACATACGTGTGCATGTGTCTTTATAGCAGCATGATTTATAGTCCTTTGGGTATACACCCAGTAATGGGATGGCTGGGTCAAATGGTATTTCTAGTTCTAGATCCCTGAGGAATCGCCACACTGACTTCCACAATGGTTGAACTAGTTTACAGTCCCACCAACAGTGTAAAAGTGTTCCTGTTTCTCCACATCTTCTCCAGCACCTGTTGTTTCCTGACTTTTTAATGATTGCCATTCTAACTGGTGTGAGATGTTATCTCACTGTGGTTTTGATTTGCATTTCTCTGATGGCCAGTGATGGTGAGCATTGTTTCATGTGTTTTTTGGCTGCATAAATGTCTTCTTTTGAGAAGTGTCTGTTCATGTCCTTCGCCCACTTTTTGATGGGGTTGTTTGTTTTTTTCTTGTAAATTTGTTTGAGTTCATTGTAGATTCTGGATATTAGCCCTTTGTCAGATGAGTAGGTTGCGAAAATTTTCTCCCATTTTGTAGGCTGCCTGTTCACTCTGATGGTAGTTTCTTTTGCTGTGCAGAAGCTCTTTAGTTTAATTAGATCCCATTTGTCAATTTTGGCTTTTGTTGCCATTGCTTTTGGTGTTTTAGACATGAAGTCCTTGCCCATGCCTATGTCCTGAATGGTAATGCCTAGGTTTTCTCCTAGGGTTTTTATGGTTTTAGGTCTAACGTTTAAGTCTTTAATCCATCTTGAATTGATTTTTGTATAAGATGTAAGGAAGGGATCCAGTTTTAGCTTTCTACATATGGCTAGCCAGTTTTCCCAGCACCATTTATTAAATAGGGAATGCTTTCCCCATTGCTTGTTTTTCTCAGGTTTGTCAAAGATTAGATAGTTGTAGATATGCGGCGTTATTTCTGAGGGCTCTGTTCTGTTCCATTGATCTATATCTCTGTTTTGGTAACAGTACCATGCTGTTTTGGTTACTGTAGCCTTGTAGTATGGTTTGAAGTCAGGTAGTGTGATGCCTCCAGCTTTGTTCTTTTGGCTTAGGATTGACTTGGCGATGCGTGCTCTTTTTTGGTTCCATATGAACTTTAAAGTAGTTTTTTCCAATTCTGTGAAGAAAGTCATTGGTAGCTTGATGGGGATGGCATTGAATCTGTAAATTACCTTGGGCAGTATGGCCATTTTCACGATATTGATTCTTCCTACCCATGAGCATGGAATGTTCTTCCATTTGTTTGTATCCTCTTTTATTTCCTTGAGCAGTGGTTTGTAGTTCTCCTTGAAGAGGTCCTTCACATCCCTTGTAAGTTGGATTCCTAGGTATTTTATTCTCTTTGAAGCAATTGTGAATGGGAGTTCACTCGTGATTTGGCTGTTTGTTGTTGGTGTATAAGAATGCTTGTGATTTTTGTACATTGATTTTTGTATCCTGAGACTTTGCTGAAGTTGCTTATCAGCTTAAGGAAATTTTGGGCTGAGACAATGGGGTTTTCTAGATATACAATCATGTCATCTGCAAACAGGGACAATTTGACTTCCTCTTTTCCTAATTGAATACCCTTTATTTCCTTGTCCTGCCTAATTGTCCTGGCCAGAACTTCCAACACTATGTTGAATAGGAGTGGTGAGAGAGGGCATCCCTGTCTTGTGCCAGTTTTCAAAGGGAATGCTTCCAGTTTTTGCCCATTCAGTATGATATTGGCTGTGGGTTTGTCATAGATAGCTCTTATTATTTTGAGATAGGTCCCATCAATACCTAATTTATTGAGAGTTTTTACCATGAATGGTTGTTGAATTTTGTCAAAGGCCTTTTCTGCATCTATTGAGATAATCATGTGGTTTTTGTCTTTGGTTCTGTTTATATGCTGGATTACATTTATTGATTTGCGTATATTGAACCAGCCTTTGCATCCCAGGGATGAAGCCCAGTTGATCATGGTGGATAAGCTTTTTGATGTGGTGCTGGATTCGGTTTGCGAGTATTTTATTGAGGATTTTTGCATCAATGTTCATCAAGGATATTGGTCTAAAATTCTCTTTTTTTGGTTGTGTCTCTGCCTGGCTTTGGTATCAGGATGATGCTGGCCTCATGAAATGAGTTAGGGAGGATCCCCTCTTTTTCTATTGACTGGAATAGTTTCCGAAGGAATGGTACCAGTTCCTCCTTGTACCTCTGGTAGAATTCGGCTGTGACTCCATCTGGTCCTGGACTCTTTTTGGTTGGTAAGCTATTGATTATTGCCACAATTTCAGCTCCTGTTATTGGTCTATTCAGAGATTCAACTTCTTCCTGGTTTAGTCTTGGGAGTGTGTATGTGTCGAGGAATTTATCCATTTCTTCTAGATTTTCTAGTTTATTTGCGTAGAGGTGTTTGTAGTATTCTCCGATGGTAGTTTGTATTTTTGTGGGATCGGTGGTGATAATCCCCTTTATCATTTTTTATTGTGTCTATTTGATTCATCTCTCTTTTTTTCTTTATTAGTCTTGCTAGCAGTCTATCAATTTTGTTGATCCTTTCAAAAAACCAGCTCCTGGATTCATTAATTTTTTGAAGGGCTTTTTATGTCTCTATTTCCTTCAGTTCTGCTCTGATTTTAGTTATTTCTTGCCTTCTGCTAGCTTTTGAATGTGTTTTCTCTTGCTTTTCTAGTTCTTTTAATTGTGATGTTAGGGTGTCAATTTTGGATCTTTCCTGCTTTCTCCTGTGGGCATTTAGTGCTATAAATTTCCCTCTACACACTGCTTTGAATGCGTCCCAGAGATTCTGGTATGTTGTGTCTTTGTTCTCCTTGGTTTCAAAGAACATCTTTATTTCTGCCTTCATTTCGTTATGTACCCATTAGTCATTCAGGAGCAGGTTGTTCAGTTTCCATGTAGTTGAGTGGTTTTGAGTGAGTTTCTTAATCCTGAGTTCTAGTTTGATTGCACTGTGGTCTGAGAGATAGTTTGTTATAATTTCTGTTCTTTTACATTTGCTGAGGAGAGTTTTACTTCCAAGTATGTGGTCAATTTTGGAATAGGTGTGGTGTGGTGCTGAAAAAAATGTGTATTCTGTTGATTTGGGGTGGAGAGTTCTGTAGATGTCTATTAGGTCTGCTTGGTGCAGAGCTGAGTTCAATTCCTGGGTATCTTTGTTGACTTTCTGTCTTGTTGATCTGACTAATGTTGACAGTGGGGTGTTAAAGTCTCCCATTATTAATGTGTGGGAGTCTAAGTCTCTTTGTAGGTCGCTCAGGACTTGCTTTATGAATCTGGGTGCTCCTGTATTGGGTGCATATATATTTAGGATAGTTAGCTCTTCTTGTTGAATTGATCCCTTTACCATTATGTAATGGCCTTCTTTGTCTCTTTTGATCTTTGTTGGTTTAAAGTCTGTTTTATCAGAGGCTAGGATCACAACCCCTGCCTTTTTTTTGTTTTCCATTTGCTTGGTAGATCTTCCTCCATCCTTTTATTTTGAGCCTATGTGTGTCTCTGCACGTGAGATGGGTTTCCTGAATACAGCACACTGATGGGTCTTGACTCCTTATCCAATTTGCCAGTCTGTGTCTTTTAATTGGAGCATTTAGTCCATTTACATTTAAAGTTAATAATGTTATGTGTGAATTTGATCCTGTCATTATGATGTTAGCTGGTTATTTTGCTCGTTAGTTCATGCAGTTTCTTCCTAGTCTCGATGGTCTTTACATTTTGGCATGATTTTGCAGCGGCTGGTACCAGTTGTTCCTTTCCATGTTTAGTGCTTCCTTCAGGAGCTCTTTTAGGGCAGGCCCGGTGGTGACAAAATCTCTCAGCATTTGCTTGTCTGTAAAGTATTTTATTTCTCCTTTACTTATGAAGCTTAGTTTGGCTGGATATGAAATTCTGGGTTGAAAATTCTTTTCTTTAAGAATGTTGAATATTGTCCCCCACTCTCTTCTGGCTTGTAGGGTTTCTGCCGAGAGATCCGCTGTTAGTCTAATCGGCTTCCCTTTGTGGGTAACCCGACCTTTCTCTCTGGCTGCCCTTAATATTTTTTCCTTCATTTCAACTTTGGTGAATCTGACAATTATGTGTCTTGGAGTTGCTCTTCTCGAGGAGTATCTTTGTGGTGTTCTCTGTATTTCCTGAATCTGAACGTTGGCCTGCCTTGCTAGACTGGGGAAGTTCTCCTGGATAATATCCTGCAGAGTGTTTTCCAACTTGGTTCCATTCTCCCCGTCACTTTCAGGTACACCAATCAGATGTAGATTTGGTCTTTTCACATAGTCCCATATTTCTTGGAGGCTTTGCTCGTTTCTGTTTGTTCTTTTTTCTCTAAACTTCCCTTCTCGCTTCATTTCATTCACTTCATCTTCCATCACTGATACCCTTTCTTCCAGTTGATCACATCGGCTCCTGAGGCTTCTGCATTCTTCACATAGTTCTTGAGCCTTGGTTTTCAGCTCCATCAGCTCCTTTAAGCACTTCCCTGTATTGGTTATTCTAGTTATACATTCTTCTAAACTTTTTTCAAAGTTTTCAGCTTCTTTGCCTTTGGTTTGAATTTCCTCCCGTAGCTCGGAGTAATTTGATCGTCTGAAGCCTTCTTCTCTCAGCTCGTCAAAGTCATTCTCCGTCCAGCTTTGTTCCGTTGCTGGTGAGGAACTGCGTTCCTTTGGAGGAGGAGAGGCGCTCTGCTTTTTAGAGTTTCCAGTTTTTCTGCTCTGTTTTTTCCCCATCTTTGTGGTTTTATCTACTTTTGGTCTTTGGTGACCGTGATGTACAGATGGGTTTTTGGTGTGGATGTCCTTTCTGTTTGTTAGTTTTCCTTCTGACAGACAGGACCCTCACTACTGATTTCTTCTCTTCTTTCCTCCCTTTTTCCTTTTTTTCCTTCCTAAATGATATAGAAATTTTAGGTAGTCATGTAAAAGATATCTCATTGATATATAAATGAGATATAAAAGATACCTCATTTATGTAAAACAACATATTTAAATCTCTTTATAATTCTCTTTATATATGGGAAATATATTTAAATATGTTGTTTTATATAAATGAGATATAAAAGATAAAAGATATAAAAGATACCTCATTTATATAAAACAACGTATTTAAATCTATTTCACTTTACCTCATTACTTAGAGTTAATAAACTGACCTTTTCTTAATTTTTCCATTAACTTTATCTAAACATTAGAGTTTTTTTATGAATAAAACTCAACAATAATTATTTGGCAATTTTTAATTTATCCGTTTTATTTTCTAGCCTGAGCAATATTTTACCAAAGCTGCTTTTAGTAGCTAAGTCTGAGGCTATCTTTATTGGTTCCATTCTTTAAGTAATTATTCAATAGTATCAGTTTTCTTTCTTTGAGAAATTGTTACCAACATCTATACTATGGTTAAATTTTGGAACAAATGTAGTATATCCTAGCTGTTTTATAGTTTCTATATAAGTAAATGAGGTAGATGAGGATTTTTAACATTTTGTATGTGTTCTTTGGGAGTTCTCAATAAATAAAAAAGGTCATATTGAGTATATATATTATGAATTCCTACTATTCCAAGTGTGTTCATGATCAGCAGCAGCAGTGTCACCTAGGGGTTTGTTAGAAATGCAGAATTTCAAGCCCTGCTAAATCAGAATCTGCATTTTACCAAAATTCTAAGATGATTCAAATGCGCATTAAAGTTTGAGAAGCACTGGCGTGATGATGAAAGAATTTGCTATTCTTTGTAGAAAGATTTTAACTACTGATTTTATCTTGTTAATGATTTATTTTCTATTCTTGAATTTGCTTTGGTAATATATAATTATACATTTGTTCATGTTGGTTTTCAAATATATAGGTATTAGAGATGTTTATGGTATTCTCATGTACATAAAACCATGTAGTCTGCAGTTGATTCAATGACATAGCAGCTCTTTGCTGGTAATTTTGACCACGTGATTTCCTCTTATGCTCTAGCTATAGGCTTGAAGTCCCCACATAAGACTGTATAAATTCTATAAAACATCAGTTCCATTTAAAAGAAAATTCATATGGGGCCTCATTGATAATTTAAATTACTGTGATACCACTTAAACATGTATAAACATGATGAGGTGTGAATTCCTTAAGCTTAGAGCTCTTTTACAGCTACAAAACTAATATAAACTTACACATTAAATACATTAAATACAGACAAAACTTAAATACAGTTTCAAATTTACAACATTAAAGAGACCTATGATACCGTTTAGATGAAACTAAACCAGTGGTTTGGGATTTAATTAAGGAAAGATAGAATCTGAGGTTCAAATTTCATTATTTTGCATTTTGCTTTTTATTTTGACTTATATACTTCATATATTTTTTATATCCTCATGTAAAGAATGTGTGCATTAAGTAGATGTCTAATCCAATTATTGTAGTATCATAAACAGAGAAATAATATCTTAAATGAGCTCTGAAAAATCAGAAAAGTGTGGTATGGTTGAAATATATGTTTTATTAATACTGATAATATGCTTATTTTATTATGCAATTCCTAACCAATTTAAGAACCTTTTTACAGTGCAGCCAAACTTATTACACATTAGAAGTTTTATTTTATATCACTTTGGCAATCAGAGGTGTAGATACAAACCGAGGAACTTGAATCTCATGGTAAAAATGATCTAGAATATACTTATAATGATCTTTTAAAAATTATCATCAAAATGAAAATAAAATTAAGAAACCATGGTGGAAATTTCCCAGATGCCCTAAGCATGCATTTGCCAGCCTTGAGTGATCCACTTGGAGGAACAGTGACCCAGAGTGGGGTTTCTCAGTCCTGGCACTATTGACCTTTTCACTGTTAATTCCTAGTTGGGCAGGGTTGAGGGTTGCTGTGCACTGGAGGATGTTTAGAAAGCATCCCTGGCCTCTGCCCATTAGATGGCAGTAGTGCTTTCAGTTGTGAAAATAAAAATGCCTCCAGTCATTGCCAAATGTCCCCCTGAGGGACAAATATCACTGACCTCCCCACCTTGGTTGAGAACCACTGATCTAGAGCAACTACAGCTATTATCTATTAATGTTTTTTTTTTTTTGAAAATCTGAAGTACAGATCTATAAATACGTATTCACAATCTGAAATCCAGAAAGTGCTTAAATTTAAAACATTTTTCATAATTTTGTAGCAAGCTCACTGGGTAAAACTTCGCCTAAGCTAACAAAAGATATTTAAACTCTATATGTCTCAATATCAGTGTCCATGTGTGTTGCTACAGAAACATTTATGTGTTTAATTATAAAATTCTGCCTCAGAACTCTCTGGGGGTGTTAAATAATACATTTTCAAAATCTGAATTCCAAGACACATTCCAAAACAGTAGTTTACGGTAGGGGATTATGACCCTGTATTTGAAAAGCAAGTTGACTGTCAACAATGCTATACTGATTTAATTTTTCCTGATTTTGACCTTTGGCTATTTTTATCCTTCTCATATTCCTCTCATATATTTTTCACAATAAAATAGGAGACATGATAGGAGATATGTTTTTTGCCCAAAAGAAAATAATACACTTAATGCCAGTACCTGGTAGTTTTTATTATGTGGTTGATGGCCAGTACTTTCCATTGCTATAAACATTTTGCATCCAGTTGTAAATTTTTTCTCATTGACATTGCTTTTTAACTTTAGTCACTGAAGACTGTCCTCTTAACAGCTTAAAGTACATGGACTAGTTTAATTTGTGACTCTGTTACTCATTAAACCTAAATCATTTTCTTTGTATTAGGTTGGCATCACTCTCTTCACTGTGTCTCATAGGAAATCTCTTTGGAAACATCATGAGGTTTGTATTTCTTTCATTGAATGGTACAGTGAAATTTTATTTTCTTTAAAATATGAATTCAGGTTAATATGGTTTTAGATTTTATGGTTTGTATTCCCTTAAACATATGTCTTAAGGAGAAAAGGTGGTTTTGTTTTATAAAATAGGATTTTCTTAAATATTATAGTTGTCAGTTTTGAAAGCAATGGTGTAACAGTTTTTCTCCAGTTTTATAAGTGACTCTTATCTGTTAATAGTAACTGACTAAACTTTGCATAGTCTTATCACAAATATGGTGAAGTAAACTTTTCTTATCCAGCAGTGACAGAGGAGAAAAAGTCTTAAGAAGAATTAGATGGCAAAAAATTTAGGGACATTTTTAATAGAGGTCAGGACTACAAGGGGGAAGATTGAATAACATAAGCTATGTTTATCAATGTACTGTAGTAAGTAGGATTCATTAGATAGTCACTATAATTTACAAAGATATTCAAATGAGGCTTACATTGGTGCACGTGTATTACTTATTCTGGTGCTTCAGTAGTGCCATTCTCACTATGTCAGTTCTTTTCAACTCAATGTGAAATGCTCAAAACCTGAAAGTAAACCCAGTTTAATTCTCTTTATTTTCTTTCCTCCTCCCTCCCTCCCTCCCTTCCTTTCTTCCTTCCTTTCTTTTCTTCTTTCCTTTCTGTCTTTCCCCCTTCCCTCTTTCCTTTCTTCTCTTCTTTCCTTCTTTTCCTTCCTAAATGATATAGAAATTTTAGGTAAAAGCAAGGATTTGAGAAAAATTGGAATAATGGTAAAGGTGCCTTGTTCCACAAAATACATACCTGATTAAGGACCTTTTTTTGCCAGATACTGAGCTAAGTGTCATGAGGGATGCAAATTAATTACAGTTTTTACCTTCAAGAACTTTAGGATGTAGATGATAGTCTACAAGTGATAAAATGAAGAGCATAGGATTTGAAGTCAGAGAGCCTGGGTTCAGGCACCAAAGTTTCTAGCCTCAGTTGCTTCCTTTGTATAATGAAGTTATTGAGCCTTACCTTCCTATCTCTTAGATTACCATGAAAATTAGACAGGTAGCCTATATGAAAGTACTTAATAAAATTCAGTGAAATTCTATATAACTGTGTGACTTTTAAAGATAGCTTTTATTATTTTATGGCATATTATAACTTGTCAATTTTTCATGAACTGAGCAGGAAATTGAATAACTAGAAATCAAAGGCATTTAAAATATAGCCAAGCCTTTATGTTTTCTCGGAAGTTCATAAGTATTATAGCCATAGGACATTGAGAGGAATTGAGAGCATTTGGGTTTCACCCTTCCTCTTCTTTTGGAGGTATAGACAAGTAGCAAAATAATCATCACGCCAGTGATCATGTGAAGGAGGGGAACACAACTAGAATGTGAGGGGCCAGGATAGCTAAGAAATAGTAATACAGAAAATGGAAACTCAGAAAGCTTTCTGAAAATAAGCCACTAAATAAAAACAGAAGGCTTTGTAACTGCTGTTGTGTCTTCAGAGGTTAGGATATATCGGCAGTTTTTATAGCTCTTTTTCCCCTCTACTAAATTAAAAACAAATAAAAAGCCTTAAGCTGGAGATTTCAAGCTGATTAGGAAATCAGGCTACAGGAAACAATACTGACTGACCTATGGAACAGTCTTGCATTTAGCACAGTTTAACCTACTGGTAGCTGAGATCCTTGGTCAT
Organism: Homo sapiens; assembly: GCF_000001405.40. NCBI lineage: Eukaryota > Metazoa > Chordata > Mammalia > Primates > Hominidae > Homo > Homo sapiens. Next base: position 94,516,906 of record NC_000001.11, read on the forward strand.
GGAGTTACGGAAGCATTCTGATTTGTGGGATGCTTATAGATTTAGCTCCCTTAAAATAATGAGGAAGTCTGTATTTTACTTTTCATAAAAGACAGTACTATATTCACTCTTAGTTACTGACTTTTTTTCCCCCTTCTTTCCCATAGTACTACCTGCATATGGATGGCAGAGGCAACTATGAATTCAAACAGATAACAGAAGATACAGTTGAGTTTGGCTCTTAGAGAAATCTGGAGAACTATACCTGCTTCAGTGAAATAATTACAGAATATACTTAGAAAGGCAAAGTACATTGTAAAATAAAGTTGAGCTTAGTTTTTTTTAAAAAAAAAAACAAAGCAACAAATTAACTAGATACAGAATAATGGAGAACAAGTTGTTAAAACATTTAATATTATATAGGATATTGCTAATTGTGTATATGTTGGTTTAATTAATAATATGTACTAAGAATGTCCTTATTCTTGTGGTTAAAAACCTGCCTAAATTAAATTGGGCTTCAATCACTGTAACCTGATTCATCCTGGGATGTAAACCATTCGAAGTCAGCTAATTGGACTTTTATGGCTCTATCTTTTCCTTCAGTGAAGAACCCTATTTAAAACTGGGTCATCATTTGTCCTGTTCTAGCAAGATAGTCTTCAGTTTCATTTTCCTGTGCCCTGTGGTAGTTGGAAACAAATCATAATGTATTATTTAAATGTTTAACATCATTGCATAACAGCGTTTATTATACAGTGGCAGATTTCTTTAGCTGCCACAGTAATACTCATTCCTTGTGTGTGTCTTGGAGTGCATTTGACTCCAGGAAAAGCCATTTTGGTTTTCCTTAACTAAATGATAAATGTACCCCTCTCAGTCTGCAGTATTGAGTTGTTTAAAGTATATGTGCAGTCTTGCTTACAAGGAGGGGTTACCATGTATCACACCTAATCTTCCCAATGTTTGGGATATTAAAACACAAAGTCCTTAACATGCCAGGCTCAAGGTCTTATAAGAGTTCTAGATTTTTAAGAGAATTAGACAAATTTGTGTGTGTTAGAAGCCCATTCATTAGAAGTGTGGTGGTTATTTGGTATTAAACTCCAAATGAGCCATAGGAAGGCACTACATGAAATAATGCACTGAGTATGCAATGCTATCACTGTCTTTGACTGTGATTTTATGTTTAAAAAGTATGTTCTAAAATTATTATATATACATGGGTGAATTATGTTTCCGAGGCACTGTTTTATCTCTGTGAATCTTGAATAACTTTTTTATATTTGGGTTATGATGTCAAACGATCCTAAGCGAAGATGATTTCAGTTCATCAAATCATCATTAATGACTTTATGTATTATTTGCACAGGGAGAATTGAAACTGAGTATAATCAATAAGCTAGATACGAAATCAGTTTCTCAAACTGAGCTTCAGAAAGGGGCATTTTGTACTCTTGTTTTTGCATAACTGGTTTTGTTTTTTTGCAGAATTAACTATAACAATCACTGGCTACCGAAGTAAACTGATGTACTGAATTCCATAATACATAACATTCAATTTTTACCACTTCTGTTTAGCGAACTTGTATACTTATTTTCTGTTCAGATTAAAAAAAAAAAAAAAAAACTCAGATATCCTATACAACCTTTGCTTGTTCTTTTTATTCTGGTATCTAAATACTGAGAAGTTCATTTATAATTCAGCCTTGACTTGAAAACATAGATAGTTTAATCTTGACTTGAAAAACACAAAAATAAATTCAGAAAATGCTTTTAGCACAGTGTCTCTTTTTTAAAGTTTTGCCAAGTGTGGTTTTTAATTGAATGAATTTCTCTTTTAGAAAAGTTCAGTAAAATCTGTGTACCTGACAAATGCTACCAAACAGCCAGGAGACCTTAAAAGATACTATTCGTCTTGGAAAAGATTTTAAGGCATGGGAAAGTTTCAGATTTTCAGATTTCTGGGTTACCTTAAACCTACTCGTAGAAGTATTCTCCTAGCTGCCTTATAATTGCTTTTGTTATGATTCTTGCCATCAAAACAACAACAACAACAATTTGGGCTTTTTTTCTTAATTATTTTCTTTTTTATGTAACAAATATTACAGTGCCTCACCATTTGAGGCACAGAGGAAGATCCTTCTGGAGAATCACATTAACATAATAGTGGTTCTTCGAAGACCCACAGTAAAGAAATCCATTGGTTCAAAAACATGATTGACCACGGAACATCTTTTTCTACATAATTCCTATTAACACCTTCCAGAAACTGCAGTGGGAAATGGTAGTTTAATCCGAAGAATAAACCAAAGAATAAGAACTTTCATCCATGAGCACCACGCTGCATGCCAAGACATATCACCGTGTTCTCATAATAAGTTTTTACTTTTTATATAATGAGAAAATAAGTATGAAACAGCAATGGTAGTTTGTTTTGCATTAATAGAATAAAATATATCTAGCATTTGTCTCTTTCTCCCCTTTCTGAATGATTAACATTTGGCTTAAAACCGGTGATATGATAGCATCTGGCATTACTTTATGTAAAGTTTTAACTTTTAAATTTGGTGTTTAAAATCATAATTTGTGCTGAGAAGCAGAATGAATTTTCTTCTAACAGATGGACTTTGACATTGTTAGCTGCAGGAAGCTGTCTCTTTTTTTTTAAACCTACATTAGTGATTTTTCCTTTGTGAAGAATTGGAATGTTCTGACCATTTCCATATACATAACATATGCATGTCACTTTAAGAAAGTGCCAAAAAAACTGAAAAGCAATCCCCTCCAAACCTTAGGAGCAACGATTTTAAACTCTTCTAGTTGGTGTAATTGCATTTCATTTTTTTAAACAATATGCCTTTATAGCCATTTCTTGATTTATCAATTTTAGACATTCCCTACCACCTTTGTTTCTGCCACATCCCCTCATGTAGTTAAATCATTTTTTAAATTTGTAAACATTTTATTGTAGTATATGTACAAAAACATTGATAAATTTATAAGAAAGCATACACACTGGTAACCACACCCAAACACCAAATGAAATAGAACATTGTTACAGCACTAAAGGCTCCTTCTTGTTCTCTTCCAATTATTAGCTCCTGACTTCTATCACATAAATTGGTTTTGCCTGTTTCTGGACTTTATATATATTAGATACCCTTCTGTGTATGGCTTCTTTCCCTCAGTATTGTGAGGCTGATTGATCCATGGTAAGTGTGACCATAATTCCTTCACTTTCATTGCTGTATAATGGTTAATTGCAGACCATCCCTGACTTAACAGAGGGTTCACCTTACAAGTTTTCAGCTTTATGATGGGTTTACCTGGATGTTAAATGCATTTTTTGACTTAACGTATTTTTGACTTACTGTGAGTTTATTGCGATGCAGCTCCATTGTAAGACCAGCAGCATCTCTATATTGAATAGGCTATGTATTCCTCTTCCCATTGATGGGCATTGGGTTGTTTTCTGTTTGGAGCTGTTAGGAACACTTCATAGAAACACTCTTATGCATGTCTTTGGGTGCACATGTGTGTGCATTTCTGGAGTGGAATGTGTTCAGCTTTGGCACTGCCAAAGTTGTTCAGTTTTTACACTGCCACCATAAGTGTGTAAGAATTCTGGTCTTCTTAGTCCTTGCAAAGATTTGGTATTCCCAGTGTTCTTTTTTTAATTTTTATTTTTACTTAATGTATCTTCAGCCATCATTGTGGTTTCATTTTGCATTTCCCTGATGACTAATGAGGTTGAACTCATTTAATGTTTATTGGCTATCTAGATGTCCTCTTTTTTGAGGTGCCTATTTAGTCTCTGGGCCCTCTTTTAAATAATGTTCTATTCCAGATATTCTATATTCTGGATATGAATCTTTTATTAGATAACTATTCTAATATCAGACAAATTAGACTTTAAGACAGTGAGCATTTCTGGAAATAAAGAGGGACATTTCGTAATGATAAAGGTCAGTCAAGCAGTGTAACATTTCTTGATTTGTATGTACCTAATAGCATAGGCTCAAACATAGAAACTGACAATAATAAGGGAAAATAGACAACCCCAATTTTTAGAGTGTTACTTATAGACCATTCCTGACTTAACAGAGGGTTCAGCTTACAAGTTTAATTCCATGATGTTTAATTTCTTTGGAATTTCTGTTAACTCAGGTAAAGCTCCTTTTGCTAGTTCTTAGAGTGGAATAGCAAGCTCTGGGATCTGGATTCGAAAATGCTTTTCAAAAGTAGCAGTTATTCTAAATAAAAATAGTTATAGGCAATACTTTGAAAGCTGTCTCTCTTTTTAAAAAAGATAATTGGTGCAACTCTAATTAGCCAGTCAATTTACCAAGTGACTGGAATGCTTGAGGCAATACAAAACTCCAAATTTTGTCAAACACACATTTATTTTTGGCATTATCTATGACCAAGATAATGTTTTAATGATGGTGGCATGCCCTCTTCCTGGAACACTTTGTAACTTCCCCCCACCTTGCCTGGTTAACTCTATGTCCTTCAGCTGAGATTGTAGGTAACCCTTCCAGGTCCAAGTTAGGTGGCTCCATGTAAGTTCCCCAAAACACCCTACTTTCCTTATCATAACATTTATGTTCTATTGTAATTGACATTTCACTCTGCAAATACATAAGCTCCACAAAAGTTGGGATTATATGTTTCATATTTTAATCAAATCTATAATGTCAGGCATGTAGTAGGTGCTTAGTATTAGATTAAGTTACTGAACAAACGAGTGAATTCAAATGCATAAGTATGGTTCTTGCCAAGGAAATGACAATCCAGAAAAGGGGCTACAATGGGTGGACAACCGTTTTGTACAGTAGTAAGAGTTAGAGTGTAGTAAGGAAGTGGAAAGAATGCAGTGGGAATCCAGGAGAGGAAACCTCCTCGGTGAGATCCAGGAAACATTACAGTCTTGCTGAGTTGGTAGAAGCAAGGAGCATGATCAATGTAAGCAAGGCAAGAAAGCTTTTGGTCTTTAGGAAGCTGTGGATTAAGACAGAGGTCCTCAAATTATTGTCTGGAAAATGTATAGTATTTTTAGTATGATCACTACTCTGCCTTTTCTTATGGCTTGGATTCAGAACTTGCTGATATTTAAGTTTTAATACATGGCATCTTATCAAGACTGTGCAGTTCTATCCATTGGTGGGGTGCCTGTCTCCCTTTTCCATCCCACCTCCCCTACCCTGTTTGTGAAGGAAGGCATAGAGAGCAGTTTCTCAGACTTCAGTGTGCATACAAACTACCTGGAAAATGCAGATTATCATTCATTAGGTCTGGGATTGGGCCCAAGAATCTCGATTTTTAACTAGCTTTCAAGTGATGCTAAAGCTGTTGTCCCAGACCACAGTTGAAGTAGCAGGATCTGGGGTGGGAGCTCTGGCTATAGACTAGAGAGGCCATCACAGGTACAGTTGCAGAAATCTGCAGAATATTCTCTGGGTTCATTTATTCAGGCTTCCCTTTCATGTTCCTTCATGCTTAATCACCTACAGGTATTCTGGATTTTATTTACAATTCCTTTAGTTCTTTTATAATCCAGTCTGTGAACATTTCAGTCAAGTTATCTGTCCTTCTCAGGAACTCAAGATGGCGCCACAATCTTAGTTGTAAAGGACGCTTCCCGTCCCAAATGATGTTAATATATGCAAGGGAAAAAGCATTTCCTGCCCCTCTGAGTTTCTGTTACATCTCTTATTCTCCGGCCTGAAATATGCTTGGAGAAGACAAATTGCTTTGCAAATGGAGCATAGTTGTTTGGTTGGTTTTTGAGAATCAGGCTGGGTAAAGATTGTCATGTCAAAAAATTTTTTCTTACAACTCCTTTAGATCCCTATTTTTAAGGTTTATTAAATTGTATATATTCAAGATGAATTTCAGCTTCTCGGTTTCAAAATTCCTGAATTTTTAATTTTCATTTCACCCAGAAATACAGTGATTTTAAAGTATTAATTATTGATGCTTTAATAATGTATAATCATAGGATTTAAGTGAAAAGGGGCTAAAGATCTTAGACCAATGAGCGCACCTGAAAAAAATTTTCCCATTTTTGCTTAAGCTGTCTTGAGTTTCTGTTCCTTGCAACCAGAAAAATCCTAACAGACTCATATATAACAAACTTTACAGGGAGTGTGCAGTCTACAGATGGAGACTTGTCTATGCTCTATGTATTCTTAATTTGTTTTGGCTTCAGAGCAGGTTGCATTCTGATTTCTCCAAGGCCTGGGAAGCGCCATTTGGGTCTGTGACTACTTCCAGACTCTCTGCAGTAAATAGTAAACACGTATTGCTGATCGCGGTCATTAATAGATCAAGCCAGTGGTTCTCAAACTTTAGTGGGCATTAGAATCACTTGAAGGGCTTCTTGTTAAAACATAGATTGCTAATTTGGTAAGTCTGCAGTCAAGGTCAAGAATTTGCATTGCTACCACGTTCTCAGGTGACACAAATGCTGCTGGTCTTGGGACTACACTTTGGGAACCGTCAGATTAAACTAACAGTGGAATAAAGCAATGGTTTGGATGCATTCAAGAAAATGAACAAAATTTCTTCAGAGAATCAGATATGCACACAAGATTTAATCTTTGCCACCATGCAGATAGCTTTTCTTTAAAAGGAAATAGTCTGGCTTAAAAAAAGAATATTAAAAATAAATATGGACAATTGGGCCCCCAGGCATGGAGGAAAGTGTAGCAGGATGAGGGAGATGTCAGAAAGGCACAGGGGTCTGCTACAGAATGGCAGACGAGCATGTATCTGGATTTAGGAGAAAAAAGGCTCCTCCACCTTCGCACCAAATGCCTTCACAACAGCTGATGAGTAAAATTCTACCTTTACTCTCATTTTTTTTTCATTTTAAGAGTATGACTCTTGATAAAATATTATGAATCATTGACACTTTAATGATTTTTAAATCCTTTCATTAGTTGGAATGGTGAAATGGTATCCTTTGAAATATCCATCTGTGGCTGGGCGTAGTGGCTCACGCCCGTAATCCCAACACTTTCGGAGGCCGAGGTGGGCGGATCATTTGAGGTCAGGAGTTCAAGACTGGCCTGGCCAACATGGTGAAACCCCATTTTTTTTTTTTTTTTTTTTTTTTACAAAAAGGCCGAGCGCGGTGGCACATGCCTGTAGTCCCAGCTACTCGGGAGGCTGAGGCAGCAGAATCGCTTGAACCTGGGAGGTGGAGGTTGCAGTGAGCCAAGATCCCTCCACTGCACTCCAGTCTCGGCAACAGAGTGGGACTCCGTCTCAAAAAAATAAATAAATAAAAGAATTATCCATCTATGTTTTTACCCAGGTCTGTCTTTTGATCCTTGGCCCTTTTCCCCATTTAGTTAGCTCAGTAGTTCTGTGATCACTGTCTCTGGAAGGGATATGGCAGCTGAAAGCAGAGAAAAGTGGATTCTCCTGTGGTTCAGGACAGTGTGAACAGCAGGACTAGTGCATAGACCACAGATTTAAAAGAGAACATGGCAACAAGTAGGACAGAGGCTTCCCCACCCCAGCCTGCCACTCTCAGACTTGAAAAGGACTTTCCAAGCTGGAGGGAGAGGTTAGAGGGGAAGTGGAGGGATCTAGAGGGCAGTTACAGTGGTGGCGGGATGTGCACTTGAACACAACTCCAGTGGAAAGGTAGGTAACCCAGAGGGAGTCACCAAATTGCTTTGGATGGTTTCTATCATCTGGTGGAAAGGAAGCCTAAATAAAAAAACCACGTGTTAGAGAAATGAAAAATACTACTATTGTGTCCGTGGACTCTGTTCTTCTATTTGTACCACTATGGGGCCTCGTGTATGGGAAGTCATGAAGTCTCGTGGCTCTGGAGTAGGAAGTTGCACTAAACGGTGAAAGGCTGGACAGGAGGCTCCTGGTGCATGCACTGGCCTGCACTGAGCAGCCTTTTGGTCCTCATCCATTGGGTGCTCTTCTCTGGAAGCCGGTGGGTCTGTAGAAGGAAGGATCATTCCTTCCTTCACATCCACCTCATCTTTGAAGACTTTGTGGATCCCCACAGAAGAATATGGTCATTTCCTCCTTGGACTTTGAGAGAGAGAGAGCTGGTGAAGGAGAGCTGGTGGAAGATTGCTCTAGATCCAGTGTGGGGCCTGGGGTCCCTAATGGTCAGCAGAATGAGAATTGAGTTAGAAATAGAGTCACAGAGTCAGGGAGAGCCAGGGCAAGCTAGAATCTGGGAGCATCCCTGCATTTGTCTCTCGCCACCTCTAACCATGATGACCAAATGGCTGCCACTTCACTTCTCCTGTCCAAATCTTGTGAAAATATCTCTTTCAGTTAACTATAATCTAGAACCATACAGGGACCATAACTCTGGGAAACATAGTTCCGGATTAGCCAAATTGACACATTATAAAATTGCTCATAGAACCCTATGAGCATAGAGTTGACAACAATACCCATTAAAACATAATTTATTACTTGTAAAAGGGTTACTTAGGTGTTGCGAGGAAAATAGACTGTAGGGGAGTAACTGTGGGAACAGGAGGCTAGCCAGGAGGCTATTGCAGTCTTCCAGTGAGACAGGAGAATGGCTTGAAGTAGAGGGAGAGCAGAGGAGGTGACCTTTGGAATTGGGGTGTATTTTAAAGGTAGAGATAGCAGGCTTTGCTGATGGATTGAATGTGGCATGGGAGAAGAAAGATAAGTCAATGATAACACCAAGAAGTTTTGGCCTGAGCCAATGGTGGCTGTTTCTTAAAATGGGAAAGACTAGGGGAAAAACAGGTTTTGGGTTTGGGAGAAATTAAAGATTCTCTTTGCATGTGTTGAGATTAAGATGCCTGTTAGCTATCCAAGGAGAGAGTTTGTGTAAGTATTTGGATCAACAGTGCAGCTCTGGAGTTCAGAAAAGAGGTTGGAGGCTGTGACACGTATTTGGGAGTCATCAGCATCTAGATATTATGGGCATCTGGCATGATAGAGCCATGGACTTGAATATATTACCTAGAGAGTGATTATTGATAGAGAATGGGAGAACTAATGAGAACTAATTATCTTAGTTCAAGCACTAAGTTAATCCAATATTTAGAAGTTGGAAAGAAGATGGTGTCCAAGAGGGAATAGGAAGTTAAGGAGAAAATCCAGATGAGGGATTCCAGGGATCAAAGGAAACTTGTTTTTTATAAGGTAGAAAATAATACAGGATGTTTATCTTCTGCTAGGAATGATCAAATAATACGGGAGAGATTTATACGGCTGGAATGAGGGGATAATTTTAGGGGGCAGTGTCATTAAGTAATTGAAAAGGCATGAAAATGAAATGTTATTTTACACTATAAGTTCACATTCTAGGGACCTTCTCTTTGTGTTTATATTTGATGGTCAGCGCTTATACAACATGATAGGGTGCTTTTGACTGCAAGGAACAGAAAACCTGACTCAGCTCGCTTAAACAATTAGTCAGATAATGTCCAGTGAAAAGTCCATGGGTTGGGACTTTGAGCAAGGCTTGATCTAGCAGCTTGGTGCTGTCACCAAAGACTTCACTTCTTTTTTCTTTTTTTTTAAGCAGTCATCTATAACATGTCTCAAAGAGTGGTTACAAACACATGTGAAACAAATGTGAAATTCAAAGGTCTTGCCAAAGGAATGAAAAGCAAAGACTTCACTTTTTACAATTGCTCTGCACTGCTCTCCAATATGTCAGCTCCATGTAAAGCTGGCTCCCTTTGTGGTCTCAAGACTGCTGCCAGCAGCTCTTGTGGCTACGTCTCTTCACTATGTTCATCAAGAAAGAGCATCCTGCCATTCCCAGAAAAAAGCCTTGATATACACTCCTCTTAGTCTTGGTTAGGTCACATGCCTACCTCTAAACCAATTTTTGCAGCCATGAAGAAGGAATGTGCTGACTGGCAAAGCTGGAATCACCTAGATCACAGTCGAAAAGCAAGGGCTATGGGAAAGGAGAGCATAAGCATTCATTCTAAGTATCTGAACGAAAGTCGGAGGATGTCATAACAGTAATAAACCTTCCAAGCAACTATTGGAGGAAAATCACACAATTAAGTACACATGTCCTAGAACAGGTAAAAAGAGCATTTGGGAACGAGTTTATTCACCATTTGATGAATAGAGATAATTGTTTAAGGGGCAGTTCCTTAGATTATAAGCCATCAGCTGAAATTAAGCTAAAATGTCTTTGGATTTCATGAGTATTAGTTTCTTATATGTAAGCCAAATTCAGTTAATAATTTAAGATTGGAAAAATATCTTTAGAACGCATGAAAGGGCTGGGCATGGTGGCTCACGCCTATAATCTCAGCACTTTGGGAGGCCGAGGTGGGTGGATCACTTGAAGTCAGGAGTTTGCCAACATGGCAAAACCCTATCTCTACTAAAAATACAAAAATTAGCCAGGGATGGTGGCTCACACCTGTAATCCCAGCTACTCAGAAGGCTGAGGCACGAGAATCGCTTGAACCTGGGAGGCAGAGGTTGCAGTGAGCCGAGATCTCACCACTGCACTCCAGCCTGGAGACAAAGCCAGACTGTCTCACAAAACAAAACAAAGAATGCATGATAGTTTGGTTAACTAACAATTAGCTCTATGGGGTACATTACTGGTCAAGTAATGAAGTATAATTTGGTCCACTGGAGGGCAACAGTTTCTGGATTGCAGCCAACAGTCTTTGGTATGGTTTCTGCCCCAGTGTCAATCACAGTGCTGATTTTTAGTATCGGCTGTTAGGTCTCAGCAATTCAGAGGGATGTGGCAAAGTAGGGAGTGGTTAACATTTGCTGTGTGGAAGCTTTCTGATTATTGCAGTTCAGCCTCATTCCAGTCCATAATGAATCCCTTCCTTGTGATCAGCCAGATTCCTCATTAGTACCCAGACCTGTTTTCTATCTGCCAGTATTTTCCTTAGTGGAATAATTCAAATTCCTTAGATAATGAGGCCAAGAAATTACATAATGCTATAATTAATCCTGGCAGGGAAATATCTGGTTAGGCACCTTCTGCTGTAGCTTGTTCTGCCTCCTCATGTAATGCACTAAGCTCTTTGTCCCAGGTAGCCCCATGTGAGCAGGAATTTGAGATAAAGGTTGAAGCACCTTGAGGATGTGCCCCCATGCCAGTTTCTTTTTTGTTGACTCTGCTGCAAATACATCCCTTTTCTCTGTATAACAAAACACTACAACAGTGCAAGATTCAACCTCTCTAGCCTCTGTGTTGATGGCCAAAAAAAAGTAATAATAAACAAAACCAACCAAATAAACCAACCACTGGTCTGTTTTCCATAATTTCTCCAAAATGGCTATCATTTTTATGAGGACATCAAAGGTTTGTTTCAGGCATTCTTCCTTAGGATGTGGTGTTACATAAAACAGTTCATGTTTGGAATTTTATTGACATTGTTCAATTTCTTTGGTGCAAAGGAACAAAACGGACTTAAAATTTATTAACAGCTAGATAGTGAGCTGAGGCTGCTCATCTGAATGCTTGCTCAATTTCTTTGTGGAACCACTTCTGAGTAGGTGTGCCATCTGGATGTTTTTCCTAGATAACAGTGCCCCCTTCCACAGTGGGAAGCAAAAGCAGTCTTGTGGCCCAGTAGGTGCCAAGAACCTTTTTCATCTCTAGTTAGAATCCTCTTTTACTACAGTTGAGAGAATAAGGCTGTTTTGCATTTGAATGGAGAACTACATTCTAGAGATAATAAAGCCAACTCAACTCAGCCATGACTGACTGAGTCCACTGTGCAGTCACCCTCAAGAGCTGTAAACCATGAGCTAGGCCCAGTCCCTGCCCTCCAAGAGCTCTCAATCTAGCTTGCTTTTAATGGACTCTAGAGATCTCATTCCACTTATATCTCTCCCTATCCTATATTGTCCTTTTACCTAATTTTGTTTCAATACAATCATCCCAAGAATGTTTCTTTTTTTCTCATCTCCAATTAGTCAAACTACTGCCAATGGGAAGAAATCTCTCCAAGTCTGCAGTAGAGAGCATTATCTTTTCTCTTCCCTGTAAGACGACATCCCTGCCCCGTCATGTGCCTTGCAGTGACTCCAGTAGACAAAGTATTGTCAGGCTTGGTCACTTGCTTGGGACAGTAGCATGTGAACAGAAGTGACAATGGGCACCTACAGAGCAGAAGTGTAGGAGATGGGCTTAAAGCTTGAAGCTGTGGTTGCCGGTTTCTACCAGTTTTTTGTTTTTCCCTCTGCCCTGATCTAATTAGGGGCTTCTCCATTGGTTTGCATCCTAGAATGAGAAAACATTGAGAAGAAGTGCAGTCAGCCTACAGTCACCAAAATGTATTATAAGCGAAAAAGATACGTTGTTGTAAGCCACTGACAATTTTACAGTCATTTACTGTAGTAGAGCTAATACAAACACCAAATTGTACATAAATAATAAATGGAAGATAGAATAAGTACAACAGTAACAATTCCCAGTCACCTTTATTTAAAGTATATTAAATAAATTATCTCAATATATACAAATAGAACAATATTACCTACATAAATAGAAAATCCCCATATAGAAAACCTTTTTAAAAAATTATATATACAATGTCAACCATAGAAGCTTTAAGTACCTTAAATCATAAACTCTGTAGTTTGTATAGTAGTCTTATAAAAATATAGTTAGCTCTCAAATGTTTAATGCCACTTAAGTCAGTTAAAGTGCAGATTGTAAAGCATATTAGGAAGGTGCCCAGAATACCAATGTCTCCTGCACTTAACACATTAATACAAAGTTTGCCAATTGTTTTGAATTTCCAAATGTATTCCTGAAAAAAAAAAGAACCTAAACACTATATTATAGACATATGTTAGAAAAGTCCTAGAAATGCACCCAATTTCCTTCCATTTTACTTTCCTACATGGATTGAAGTCAGCCCCTCAAAAGCTTTTCGGCTGGGCATGGTGGTTCACGCCCATAATACTAGCACTTTGGGAGGCCAAGGTGGGTGGATCACCTGAGGTCAGGAATTCAAGACCAGCCTGGCCAAGATGGTGAAACCCCATCTCTACTAAAAAATACAAAAATTAGCTTGGCGTGGTAGTGCGCACCTGTAATCCCAGCTACTCGGGAGGCTGAGGCAGACAATTGCTTGAACCCGAGAGACGGAGGGTGCAGTGAGCCGAGATCGTGCTACTGCACTCCAGCCTGGGCAACAGAGCAAGACTCCGTCTCAAAAAAAAAAAAAAAAAAAAAAAAGCTTTTCAAAAGTCCACCCAGGATTTTTTAAGACATTTTCCCATTTGTTTTTGCTTGGACGACCTGGTTACTCCTTGAGTGCGGAATATATAATCTAAAGCATGTTATGTGCAAAAGGTGCCATGGTGTTAAAAATTAAAACTTGGAATTGGTTGTAGTACCATTCGTTACATTTCAAAGTGACTAATGCTGATGTCAAAACCAGAATGCTAATGGTAATAACAGGTCATATCAAGAGTTTTTTGAACTCCAGGGTCTTCATGCTCCGAAATACTCATTTGCGTTTCCATGTATTCTATCCTCTTAAAAGTTCTCGGTCACAGTGCAATATAGCATTTGCAGTAGCTCCAACAGTGCTTCCTTTATGAAACATTCAGTGGGGAGTTCTCCTTCCAGCTCTGCCCCACTCCTGCCTTTCTACACTTGTGTAGAGATATAGCCAGGATGATGACAAGGATGATGACCACAAATACCACAGCTCCAATGATGTAGAATATTTCTGAAAAATAAAGGGCATCTAGTCAACTTGGAGAGCTCAAATCCCATTTATCAGTGGACAAAATTGACGGCATAACCCCAAATTACACCATCCTATTTTTGTGCAATTTGACTTTCTTTCACTCTTTCCACCACACTTACATTAGGAAAGAATTTGTCAAAACCTGAACGTTTCAGAGTAATTGACAATGGCTAAACACATTTAATGGGCATTTAATAAACTGAATAATGCACAGTCCAGAAAAGATATGTAGTTGGAGGTAAGAACAATGGCTGGAAAGAAGTGCCTAAAAACGATGCTGAGATTGATGGCAATGATTATAACGGAAGGTGAACCCTAAGTGCAAAGTGGGAGATCCAAAGTGCTACCAGGATTTGGGTGAAGAAGAGATAGTAACTAGTTGGTGCAGTAGCAAGGCCTTCTGGTGGAAGTGGCGTTTGAAATGCCTCTCCAAGATAGAGAACGGCCAGGGAAGCAGAGAAGTGTGTGTGCACAAAAGGAGAGGCAGTGGAATTAGAGCTAGGCTTTAGGACAATGACTGAAGGCTGTGGGTAGGATGGCTCAGAGGGGTGCAGGACCAGAGGTAAAGAGAAACCTCTCCTGTCAGTGGCAATAAACAGGAGAGAACAGTTTATTTAAAGTGTTTTAAAATGTTCAAATATCATCTTCACATGGAGCTAAGCCATCATTTCTTTTTTCGTTGTTTCTTTTTTTTTTTTTTTTGAGATGGAATCTCGCTCTGTCACCCAGGCTGGAGTACAGTGGTCCAATCTCAGCTCACTTCAGCCTCCGCCTCCCAGGTTCAAGCAATTCTCCTGCCTCAACCTCCTGAGTAGCTGGGACTACAGACACGTGCAACCACACCCAGCTACTTTTTGTATTTTGAGTAGAGATGGGCTTTTACCATGTTGGCCAGGCTGGTCCCAAACTCCTGACCTCAAGTGATTTGCCTGTCTGGGCCTCCCAAAGTGCAGGGACTACAGGCGTGAGCCACCACACCCAGCGTAAGCCATCGTTTATATCCCCTGACTCTTTTCTTCACTGGAAGTACTCAGAATACTTTCCCTGTAAGGCATGGATCGAGACACACAGGCTTGCAGCTTCCTGCAAGAGTCTGAAGGCCCACAGCACTTCCGGTTAGGGACTGTTCCTCGCACAATGGGCCTGAGCTCCCAACATATGCACATGCATGTACACACACGTGTCCGCCATATACACACATGCATGCATGTGGGTATATTTGATATACTCAATCCCTTCCCTTGATGGGTTAGACTCTACAGCCTCTGTGGCAACAGCCCACAGTGGGTACTCACGAATGTCTACTGTGTCCTGCTGCAGCTGGTCCAGAAGCCACCCCCAGAATTAGAATTTAAGCATGAAAAAATGCCCAGGGAAATCTGTGACTTGTTGCTAAATCCTAAACACAGTTTGTGTATCCAGTGCTCAGCAGAGGGCTTAGCACATGACAGGTGCTCAAGAAAACACCTGCTAATACAAGGGCACAATCAACACAGAAACATTTCTAAATGTCCAAAATCTTTTTTGTACCAAAGCAAAATCAAAACCAAAACAAACAAATAACAACAAAAAACCTCCAGGCAGTTTGTTTTCCTGAATATTTAACCAAGGAAGTATATCCCAGCCCTGAGGGTGGAGCTACTCCTCCAGAAGTCACCCACAGCACCCATACCCCCAGGCAAATGGCTGGCAGAGCCACTCACCTCTGAATTCCCCTTTCTCCTGGCCCATACACTCTACCGGGCTGTCTGTACTCTTCCGGTTAACTGTTCGGGAGGGAATCACTGCTTGAACACTGAAACAGTAGTTTTCTCCTTTATCCACATCAATCAAAAACTCATTAGTGTTTGTTTTGGCTGTTTTCTGTAAAAAGATAGAGTTCTTAATTCATCTGGGCTCTGAGTCAATTCTTTCCCCTTTATTAAGTCACTGTGGAAGTAAAAACCTAGGTTCTAAGCAAAGCCTACAAGAACACAGCTGACACGTGAAGGATTAGAAGTGACTTCGCTAATCAGTTTCCCTTGATCACTGCTAAAAATGCCTTTTCCAAGACTGAGAAGATCCAATTTAGGCATATTGAACCCTATTGAGCCCCTTTAGAAGATATCTGCAGTAAAAGAAAAAGGAAGGGAGTATTATGCATTGAACCAAAAACAAATTTTGTGCCTGGGATCCTCAATAGAGGGAGAAATGTGAGCATGGCGGGACCTTTAGAGATGACCTGATCCAGCCGGTTGGCTGAGGAACCTGGGTCTCCGAGGGGGCCCTGCCCAGAGTCACAGGGTAGTGCAGAGTCACAGGTAGGACCAGGCCTGTTGTCCACCCCTCCCCACAGTGCGCGCTCCCCCTTCTACTCCATCACCTTCTCAACAACTCTGTTCTGCTATTTTTGAATTGGGGAAGAAATGGGTTGTAAAACCCAAGTATTCACAATTTAAAACAGGTCATAAAAACAAATTAAAAAATGCTCACCTTTCCTGAACTTGAAGATTTCCAATAATAAAGTGTATAAATTAAGTCCTTGCCAAAAACATCCCGGAGGCTTAGGAAAGTGTTGTTCCTTCTGACTAAAGTCCGTTCATCTTCTACGGTCACATTCACTTTTGTTCCCACCTGTTCAAAACTCTGAATTGTTGGCTGTCCGAGGTTTGCTGAAACAAAGGAAATGAGCTTGGTTGGAACCAAAGAATTCTGTACAAAGTCAAATCCTGTTTTGTTATCACAATTGACAACTTAATTATCTCTCATATAAAACATGTGCATAGAACCAGCTCCCTGAAAGAAGCAGGCGTGGCGGCCTGGAGCTGAATCCTAAGACATTCTGTGGTAGTGCTGGCCCAAGGGGAAGACAATGGAGCCTCAGATGTCATTTTAAGTTTTCTAGTAGTCACATTAGAAAAAGTAAAAAGGAACAGGTGAAATTAATTTTAATAATATATTTTATTTAACCAAAGACAGTTGACCCCTGAACAACATGGGTTTGAACTCTGTGGATCCACTTGTATGCAAATTTTTTTAAATAAAAGTTACACCAAGTGTGCCGCCTCCTACTTCCTCCATCTTTTCTCCTGCCGTGGCCCCTGCTCTTCCTCCTCCTCCTCCTCCTCAGCCTACTCAACATGAAGATGACGAGGATGAACACCTTTATGATGATCCACTTCCACTTTATCAATAGTAAATATATTTTCTCTTCCTTATAATTCTTTCTCTTCCTTCCTTCTTTCTTTTCTTTTCTTTTCTTTTTTTTCTTTCTTTCCCTTTCTTTTTTAGACAGAGTCTCGCTCTGTCACCCAGGCCGGAGTGCAGTGGCGCAATCTCAGTTCACTGCAACCTCCTCCACCTGGGTTGAAGTGATTCTCCTGCCTCAGCCTCCCAAGTAGCTGGGATTACAGGCACCCACAACCACGCCTGGCTAATTTTTGTATTTTTAGTAGAGATGGGGTTTCACCATGTTGGCCAGGCTGGTCTTGAACTCCTGACCTCAAGTGATCCACCCGCCTTAGCATCCCAAAGTTCTGAGATTACAGGCACGAGCCACCATGCCCAGCCTCTTTTCCTTATAATTTTCTTAATAACATTTTCTTTCCTCTAGCTTACTTTATTGTAAGAATACAGTATATAATACACGCAACATGAAAAATGTGTGTTAATTGACTGTTTATCTTATTGGTAAGGCTGCAGTCAACAGTCAACCGATAGGTAGGCTATTAGTAGTTAAGTTTTTGGGGAGTCAAGTTATACTCGGATTTTCAACTGCACAGGGAGTCGGTGCCTCTCAGCCATGCATTGCTTGAGTCAACTGCATATATCTGGAATATAATCATTTTAATGTGTAATCAATATAAAAAAGTTTTGAGATATTCTACACTTCTTAAATTCCAGTGTGTACTTTATACTTAGAGCATTAGCCATATTTCAAGTGGTCAACAGCCACATGTGGCTAGTGGCTACTATACTGAACAGGGTGGTAGCATAAACTACGATATTTTAGGTTCAAAAATATGTAGGGCTGTGAGAAAGCCCAGGAAATGTCCTTGGTACCTCGAGAAGCCGGATTTAACCACGGGGTCTCTGCAATGGCTCAATTATCTCATGTGCTTTGGTTAAATGACAGGAAAACAAACATCAATTCACAGGCCAAATATGTGTGTGCACATGCAAAACAAACACATAAAATATCTTCTATCTTGCACCAACAAAGGATTTGAAGTAGCTTACAAAAAAACTCAAGAACTATTAATATAAAAGAGAATCATGAGGATGCCATTAATTAGGGGGGAAATGAATGTCAACCATGCCACAGTCACCAGAGGGGCTGCTGACGCTGCTACATTCTTGCCTGGTGCCACAAAAGACACAAGCAGAAGCACCTGGGGGTCTGGAGGGTCTTGCAAATGGGGGCTCTGGGAAGGCAGCCACATTCACCTGGGGTCAGGCCCCCTATTTCAACCCTCAAAGTAGATACCAGAGGAGGATGGTTGGTTGGTTGTCCGTCCACCCCTTCTTTTCACCATTCCTACCTTGAGAAACTGTTCTCTCTCGCTGGGCCTAACACTCACACAACACCTTCATTCTAACCAGCTGGCCTTACAAGAGAAGCTAATTTCACTCTACTCAATGTGCTACATGCATTTATCTAAATTGCCTAGCTCAGAGCCACAGTTGCGGCAAAAGAATAAATCTCCTACTTGACAGGAATTCTCTTCATTCTTTTACTGGCTCCTAGGGCCAGCTTACAGGGGCAAAGGCTGAGGAGGAAAGTATTCCACCTTTCCAAAACCAGAACGAGGGTGACAGGCAGATGGCTGGGCAGGTGCTGGCACATCACGGAACTCAAATCATGGCCAACTGATTAGAAAAGGTCAGCATAATTAGGCTAATTATGGGCTCAGAGGGAAACCATGGACTTTCCTCATTGATTTATGACCGTTTGGGAAAAATCCTCAACTGGGATTTTTAGTGTGATAACGGGACAGAAAAATCAGGATACATGATATATATATAGGGAAAAGCTAAAACCCCGGCCTTGGTGGATTTCCTATCCCTACCCGCTTCCCTGGCCCGCCCTCTCCCAACACACATTCAGCCGGTTACTGAGGACAGTAACAGGGTCTGGGGACAGACTGGGGGAGAAAGTTACTTGATGACACTGTCATCAGCTCCAAAGTTCACATTCTGTGAACCTCCTACCACATCTGGAATGTGTGAAGAGGGCTGTGATACATACCAGTTTCTGAGAAAAAAAGAATAAATATTTTTAATTTTGTAGCCCCTAAAGGCACAAGATCACGAGAATGTTCAGACGTTTCTAACAAGAATGAACGGTATTACAGCCCAAGCCACTTACTCTCCAGGTAAGGTGTGAACTCTGGGGAGTTCTCATACAGAGGCTCCCCAGCAGAACCGGTGCTCTCCACATTCCCTGCCGGGTAGGAGAAGACCCGTGCCAAGTACGTCTGCTTCACATCCTTCACAATCTCGTCGGTGAGGTCACACTCTGTGTCTGTTGTGTAAAAGCATTTGCTTTTCCAATCTCCTGACTTAGTGCTAAAGAAAGAAAAGAAGGAAGAAACATAAATGGAATGTTACAATTTGCACCCAACAAGATAGACTGCTTCCTGGCTGTGGTGTTCTGTGCTAACATCAGGAGCCCTACAATCAATCCTAATGATGCAGTCACTGTGCTGAGCACTTTGCTTTTTTTTAAACATTGTTTTGTAGAGATGGGGTCCTGCTATGTTGCCCAGGCTGATCCTTCTGCTTCGGCCTCCCAAAGTGCTGAATGTACAGGTGTGAGCCATCATACCTAGCAACACCGAGCACTTGGGATGCATGTTTGAGTCCTCATAGCAACCCAGGGGATGGCTCTGTAATTTGCCTTGTTTTTACAAATAAGGCTACTGAGACAAAGTGAGATTGGGTGACTAGCTCAAAATCACACAGCTGGACTTTGAACCAGACAGCTATTTGACTCTTGGATCTGTACTCAACCATTTTGTTAAATATCTTTCTTTTAGAATGTAGACGCTCTCTGTCAGGGTAACAGGAGAGAAAGAGCAGTTTTCCATCAAGATGAGGCAACTGAGACAAAGTGAGGTTGTTTACTATAGTCTACTTATTATAGTTGTTTGTTATATAATGTTCTATATTCTATGTAGAATAGAGTCTATATAGTGAGTCTACATAATAACATGTTATACATATATTCTCTCATGACCACTATTAATAATATTATTAATCATTCATTGACTCCACTATATGCCAGGTATTCTGCTGGACCCTTTACTCATGTTACTTCATTTGATATAATCCTTCCAAGAAGGTGTTGGATCTTTCTTATCCATGAGGACACTGAAGCTCACAGGCACTAAGCAACTTGCAGAAGGTCACATATCTAACGAGTGGCAGAGCTGGGTCTGTTTGCCCCATTATACTACATGCCTCCCTTCCTTTGCAAGATGTGAATCCATCCCAACAAAGATTACAGAATAAGAGTACAGGTAGTATCTGTCTAATAAAGTCTGAGACTAAAAAGCTAAAGACAGATCTTTCTTTTGTGAGACGTCACTGAAGGGGAAATGATTTAAAGGACTTCTACTGACAATGAAATTCTTCTAAATGACCAAAATAATAAATAGGTGAAGCGTCACTGCAACTTGATTCACACACTTCTGTCCCATGGAAAGTGACAGTTATGCTGCTCTTCCCTTTGGCATTACTGACTGCCAGAGCCAGACCCATCGTTCAAGGCCAGGTCCCAACTCCACCTGCTCCAGGAATCTCCAGATCTCCCTGCTGAGCATTTACATCTCCCTCCCCTGTCCCCCAGCATGAGTTTCTCCACGATGCTGTTAATATGAACACAGTCTGCCTGGTACGAGGGCTGCATGCCCTTGTGTGCCCCCATTAAGCAGCAGGGCTATAGGGTCTCGCTGACTATTAGATGGTTTGCATTTACAGGTTGAATTAATACATAATCTCAGGGAAAACGAGGCACCACATGGATTCCATTGTCTAAATTCACACATAAAAGCCACAAATATATTTTCTTTCAAAATCTGAACTAAGTAACCAGGCCAAAAGGATTTGGGTAAACACATTCTTTATCCTAAAGTGCACAAACTAAGATTGATACTGAAATATTTTGGTTTCTATTTATTTAATTTTATGTGATAAAAGTAGAGAGGGTATTTTGTTCCCGAATGACCAAAATGTGTTTTATTTTATCATTTCCATTTCAAAAAGTGAATGAGACTATGCTGTTTCCTTTTTATCAGTACAGCAAATAGTTGTTCAGATAACAGGAGAAAGTCTCCTAGGGCTTTCTATGTAACATAGAGATACAGTATTTGGTTCCTCCCAGCTCACAGCAGGGACCACATACTCTATAGCAAAATTTAGCACAAGGATTTATACAGTACCCTGGTAAGTAGTAAAACTGTATAAACAGGTAATGAAGGGACAATTCTGTAGAAAATCCCTCTGAATGCCATTAATAGCATTAACACTTTAAAAGCCTCCAAGGTTCCTCCAGGCATTGCAAAACCCTCTGATTTGGAATTTTGAGTTAACTAAAAAATTCAGTCACTAATTTGGTTGCAGGTTGTTTTCCAGAAGCTTTGTAAATTCAGCTTTAGAATTCAGAACATTTCCATGGAATGAATATCACCGGTGACGGTTTGTGCTAAGGCTTAAGCCAATAACATTTCCCAACCACCACTGAAAACTGTTAGCAAAGGTGAAAAATGCAGTTGGAGTTCCAAGTAGGGGCTTCTGCACAGCAGTAGTGTCCTGCGGCTGGAGCCAGGCTGCAGTAGTGAGAGCAGTCGGGAGGGAAGAGGGGCAGCTGCTTAAGATGCTAACTGTAGGGAGGGAAAACAGGCAGAGAGGAAGGCCAACTGAGGAGATGCAGTGGGCAAGACTTTCCTTCTTCCTCCCGCTTTGGAGCCTCCCATCAGACTGTGGCAGAGCCACCTGAGGGATGGTGGTGTGTGGATACTGGGTAGACTTTGGTTCCAGACCTGACATGGGCACTCACCATCAGTGTAGTCATGAATAAATCCCTCACTTCTCAGAGCAACAGTTTCCTCAACTGTAAAATGACTGCTCTGGTCCTTTTTAACCAGGAATCTCATTTATTCCTGGGGTGGGCAGGAGAAGAGTGCACACCTCAGGCCGAGGCTGATGGAAAAGCTCCCAGGCCCTCCAGTACAGCAGCAAGAGATTGTTCAGTCCATAGGACCACCCTGAGTCGGCTGGCATCCCCCAAGCTGTAGCCCTGCGCTCTGCTGTTTGCAGATCAGGAGCTGTGCTCATTTAAATAACAGCAGCCTTATAAAGTTCAAGAACTTACAGTTAACAAAGGCTTATGTTTAAAAAGCAGATGAATCATAAATATATTCCCATGTGTCCCTCAAATATTAGATTGAATATATTTAGGAGGTAAGCATTCCTCCCAAAATCTAATTTTTACCATATGGAAGTAAAGTGTTTACTAAGGTAAACTTCAGGCCTGTATCAGAGAAATTACTTACTAATTCTCAATTGGTGAAATCTGAATTGACAAGTTTGACCAGAACTGTAATCATTATTTCATGTTATGAAATTCCTTCATCTTTCTCTCCCCCCACCCCCATACATATCCACACATGCATGCACGTATGCATGCAAGTTCTCCTTGCTGGTTTGGCAACTACTGTCATGAAGTTCATTTTGAAAAACAAGAACATTCACTTAAAAGATGCATCGTTATCTAGAAGTTGCATTCCTAATGCTGTAAAAGGCCTGGCACAAGCTAAAACAAAACAGAACAGCAAAATACCTTTTGTTTTAGCTAGTGCTACTTTTGTACTTTTATGTAATTAGCATTAAAATAATTTCCACAGCAGCTATTCTCTATTTCATAAGATCTCTACCAAGCCTCCTAGAACATTTCAAAAACCAAAAACTTGCCAAGAATATGGTGAAAACCATCAAGGAAGTCATAACCTTTAGATTGAACATGCTGAATTATCGCCTCCTGGGGACAGCTGCCAGTCAGAGTTGAGGCACCAAGAAGCAGAGCCACACCAGACCCAGAGGGTGCAGACAGCAGAGTATTTCTGCTCTGCCAGGCTCAGTGAGTCACGCATTTGGCCTCCTCCACTAAGATCATGTATTCTACCAGATTTCGATTCATGGAGTCCAAAGATGAATGAATCAAACACTGCTTAAGGGCAATGTATACATTGGGATTCCTCCCCACCTCTTCCCTAAGGTGTTAGACATTGTTCACAGTCTAGACAGCAACAGAAAAAGACATCAATGTTTAGATGAGATTAATTAATCTATCATGACCCAAAGCACACTTCAGTGCCTACTCAAGATGGTTCATCTCTCCACAGTTTATACTCCACTTAGGAACTCTCCCATCATTTCCAAAAACAATTAAAACAATTAAAATGTTCTATCAGTTTAAGGTCTGGAAATGTTGCAGGCCTAATAGAGTATGACACCGGCCAGCGAATTGCCAAGAATCCCTTCTTCTTCGTCATCTGTTAAATAATTTCATCCAGTAATCAGCTTTAAAGACATTCTTGTTCAGCATAGGACAGTAGAAACATCAAAGACCTTAATTTTCTTTTTCTGTACCCAGCTTACCTTATTTGAACAGTGTAGACTTGATTGACGGGTTTGGGTTCCCACTCCAAAATTGTCTTGAAATTAGTTGATTTCCAAGTTAAATTATATGCTGCCACAGTATTTGTAGTGCCTTTAAACAACAGAGAAACAGCTATTATTACATGCACTTCAGAGCACTCGAATGTATTGATGTATAAAACACCTTCCCACCTGACATCACCATAAACCTCACTTTTTATTTTTCAACCACAAAAGCTTCATTAGTGAATTATCAAGAGAAAAAGAATCTTCAAATTTTTTCTAGACCTAGAATTTCTTCATGACAAGATTCACCTTGTAATCCCAGGACACCGGCAAGGATCTTGACATTTTCGTTTGAAATTATTCATGGGCAAAGCCTTGTTATAACTTGACCGGGAAGAGCCCAGAGCCATCAGTGTGCCAGTCCAGGACTCAGCTCAGGAAGAGTCAGGTTCAGCCCGCCAGGAAGGGTTTTCAGTAAGTTATGGAAAAAGATAAATCCCACACGTGTGACAAGAGTTAGGACTGCATACAAATGAAAAAAGCCAAACTTCACTTTTTCCACTTTTATCTGAAATGTCGCTACACTGAAACTTCCACAGAGACCCACGGGGACGTGTGGCCTGTCACACCGTCGGCTGTATTGGATCAGGATTATTTCTTATGAAGGTCTGCTTTGCCAGTACGCAGCAGGTCCCAGTCTCTACGCCGTCCCGAACACCTCGTAGAAATACGGGGCATGCACAACGTTGTACCTGCTCCAATCTAAGCAGCAATCCAGCCCTTTTGGATTGCCTCTACCCAAACCTAGAACAAAGATGGCCAGGAAAAGACCAGGGACGCTCTTTATTAAGGGAAGATGCACATATAATGAAAGATAATATCCAAACCTCTGCACGCCAACACGTGCAGACGCAGGCACAAGTCCTATCATATTGAAGGTCGCAACTCACTGGGAAGCCCTTTCCCCAGAGTTAAAGCGGGAGCTAAAAGTCCGCTTATGCAACAACAGTCCAATTACTCGGACACCCCGAGCAAAACTCTCCAGCGGAAGGGGCAGCGGGGTCTGGGGCGCCAACTCCCTCCCTGCAACTCCCGCCGGCGCCCGACGGACTCGGTTCATTCAAGCCGGGCTGGGTGAGCGCAGCCGAGTCCCGTAGGCGCGGGGGACAACATGGGCGCCCCGGGGAACCAGGGCGAGCCCGCTGCCAGCCAGGACTGTCGCCTCCCTCCTGCGTGTGGCGCGCCCCGGGCTTCCAGGGGCTGGTGCCACTCACCTGAAGCGCCGGCCACCTGGGCGAAGACCCAGCCGAGCAGGAGCGTCCGAGCGACGGCGGTCTCGGGGCGCGGGACCCGGGGCCAGGCAGGGGTCTCCATGTCTACCAGTTGGCGGCGAGATCGAGCGGGTTCCGTGGCGCCCGTGGGGCTGGGGAGGTTGGGCTGAAGGCGCCCTGGGCCGGCCAGAGGGAGTGCGAGGGGGTGCGGGGAGCTCGCAGTCTTGGGGAGCCGGTGCCCCGCGCGCTATAAAGGGCCGGCGGCGCGCTCTCCCGCGCCTCTGCCCGCCCCCGGCGCCCGCCCCCGCCGCTCCTCCCGACTCCCCGCCCCCGGCCCGGGTCACTTGCCGTCGCGGTGGGCGGCCCCCGGCGAGTCCACACCCCTGCCCCGCCTCCTCCCGGTAGGAAACTCCGGGACCCTGCAAGGGATGACTCACCCCAGTGATTCAACCGCGCCACCGAGCGCGGAGCTGCCCTGGAGGACGCAGGCGGGTCTAGTTGCCCGGGTCCCCCAAGGCCCCCG
Source organism: Homo sapiens (assembly GCF_000001405.40). Lineage (NCBI taxonomy): Eukaryota > Metazoa > Chordata > Mammalia > Primates > Hominidae > Homo > Homo sapiens. Next base: position 94,542,057 of record NC_000001.11, read on the forward strand.
GATTCACCCAGGCCCGCGACTCCGACGTGCAGCTTAGGTGGGTTGCAGGTCTATGGCAGGAAAGGGAGGGCGCCTTGGAAGAATTCTTCCCTTCCATTTGGTGATAAAGTGGGAGAGGCGGCATTTACAACATTTAATAGAAAGCACGGGCTCTGGGCTCCCCTCGGGCAGCGGAGGGCATTTCCCGGATGCTTTGCCCACCTGGGGCAGAAGCTCGGGACCTGCAGCGAAGTAAACGTGTGGCTGTGAGCAGGGCCCTCTCCCAGCCACGGTGGCTTCTTCTACCCCACGAAGGTCAAGAATACCTGGCCTGCCCACCTCGCGGGGCCCTTAGCGGGTCGCACAGGAGAAAGGCGGTGGGAATGCCGGTGTCAGCCACGGTGTGACCGGCTCGGCTCACAGGTCTGAGGGTCAGTTGGCTCAGGCATCGCCCGGTACGACCAGAGATAGTGACTGAGGAAGAGCAGCCTCACATCTGGCAGTTTGCCTCTGGGAGAATTCCAGCGTGACATCTGCAGCTCTGTGGTTCCAGAAAGGATGGTTCCCACATTGAAGAAGACATCTGTGGGACTGAGTTCCACCGAAATGCAGAGGAACCAAAAATGAAAATGAAAAATGTAACCAGAGTTGTGTGCCACTAGTTTTAAGCTTTGGTTTTTCTAAATTATTTTCTGGCTTCTCCTTCTGGGCTTTGCTGTAAACTTGCCAAGCATGAGAACAACTCTTCATCTATTGAGTGGCATTTTAAGCCATCCTGTCAAAGTATCTCCTGTCATTTTTATTATTATTACTCTATATTGCCTGCAAGACACGACTGGAGAATTCTTAGTGTAAGAATTGTTTGTTTCCTCTCTCCTTCTTTCCCACGTTTTCCCAGGGAAGTCAGTCTTGCATTTTAATGCATACTATATACATATCTCGTTTAGCTTACTGAACCACTTGTTTTAACAGAATAAAACTGTGCAAAATTTTAATTTTCCTCCTTTGCCTGAACTGAAATAGCACATCCAGGTTTAGCCCTTGTAGACTTTCCTTCCTCGAAGCAGAAAGTTGCCCTTGATGATTTCCTCTTTGAGCTCTCTGCCAGCTCTGAAACCCACAAAATTTATGTTTGCAAAACTAAGCCATGCAATCCTCTTTTTATGCAGGCTCTAGCCTGAGTCATTTTCCCTAAGAGATCTTCAGCTCCACCTGGGATGTGATTCTTTGCTCTCTGGGATTGAAGGTAGCTGAAGAGAAATAGTTACACTTCAGGTTTGTTACAAGACCCAAGAAATTGTTGCAATTCCACTTGGAGTCACTGACTTTTCTGAAATCATATAGGGCTTTAAACAATGTCAAGATCAGCCATTTGATAAGAAAAATGTTTACCATTGGATTGTGATACACAATGTGCCTTAAATATTGATAAATTAGATGAATATTTATTTTGTATATCCATTAAAATAGACAGGAAAGAGAAGATGTTGGGTGTTTGCACAGGCTTTTTAGTCAGTACGGAATGACATTCTTCAAGATTTAAAAATGCTAAAATCATTACTATTTTCAAGAAGAGGGAGGAAGAAAACGTGGTAAATAATATTTCATTGCGAAGTGTTTTTCCCTGACTGATCTAATTGTGGCCAGATCTACTTTTTGACGGTGCGAAGTGTACTTTTTAATGGTGCCAAACAGCAGTTGATCTATAATAACTGCTGCTTGGCACCATTAAAAAGTACATATCTAAAATTTCACTGTTGAAATTTGTTCACAAGAACAAATTGACTGTTAAAATTATTCCCTAACCTTAACACAATTTTTTTTACTCCTGTCAGTAAAGTCAAGCTTAGCAGTTAACAGTTCCCTCCTCCATGATCTATCTTGGAGGCTCTGAGAAGTTCAAAAAGTTACTAAACTATAACAATAATCTCTCTGGCTTGACCAGTCCCTTTCTCATTGGATTTTAGGATGTCAGAGGATGGGAGAACCTCACAGACATTCTTTTATGGATGAGAACCCTGTGGCCAGCTGATCTGAGTAAACTGGCTTGCCTAACCACACAGTGCAGATCTGGTCTTCTGACCCCGGGGGCTTTCCTTCCATCACCAGGCTTTCTCCTACTCCCAATGAAGGAAAGTAAGACTGGGTGGTAAATCCATCAAATGAATGATTAATTAATCCATCCATAAGCACTCAAAAATGTTCTGCATGTACACAAAGTGCAGAAAAGTGCAAAACTGCACAAAAACTGCACACAAAGTATAGAAAATACTTTGCAGTTTGGGGAACTCATTGTTCTTAGGCAGAAATATCCTGATGGTTAGTCCTTGAAATAGACAGACAAGGAGACACGTAGAAGAGTTTGAATTCCCTTTGCATAACCAGTGATGAAATGTGGTTGATGAGAAGTCTGAAAATAACTGCGGAGATGTTTCAGCCCTTCCACTGTACTTTTATAGTACTTGCTGCCAATTTTACCGACTCATTTTCATTGAGAACTTCACTTAATCTCACTTGTGTGTTTACCTGTTAATCTTTCCTGTTGGATTGGGTTTTTTGTCTGTTTTTTTCCTCTCTCAACCCTTTCCACAATTATCAGCACATAATAGGCACTTAATACCTTTTGAGTCAATGAATACTTTATAAAACTATGAGTGCAACCAAATATTTCACTGGTGTTCAAGAGATGAAATCTGTCACTGAAAACTCTTTCTAGGGGCCAGGCAGTGAGTGTTTCATGATGCTGAGATTGGTAAGAAAATACAAATCCATCATGACTGGAAAGGCACCACTCGACCGCAAGTTCTAGCAGTCTAACCAGTGATTAGCTATCTCTGCACCACCAGAAAATCTCACCAGGAGGAGAGATAGCTGAGAAGCAGAAACCAGATACAGAAGTTTGGAAACTAGCTAGCATTTTTTTAAAAGACTGGATTCTACGATGATTCAGAATATACTTCATCATGCGATGAGGTTGTTGATAGTTTTCCTTGCATACAGAGGCTGAATAACTTTTTAAAACAAATTCCTCAAAATGTTTATTTCCCAGGAAAGAGATAGGTTAAGATACATGATAGCAAGTAAAATTGAGAATAATTCAGAGAAACTTATTTTATGCATATGAAATGGTAAAAAGAGCAATGAAACCATTACCCAAAATTCAGGTAAAAGGCAAAGTATGAGAAAAGGCCAGAGGGAATTAGGAGTTAGTAGGAACACAGAGTTCTGGAGGAAAAGGAAAAAAGTGACTCAGCAGAACCTAAGAAACATCTGGCTGGGTATAGTTAGTCATGGAAAAATTGGCAGTCATGATTATGCATTTTGTGAAAATAGCAATATACTAGTCCAACAGTTCATTTAGACCAAAATTAAACAGTTGAAAGTCAGTATGATAAAATCTATTATCCTGGTCATTCAAAATACTTCTATCAACTGTCTAGAACAGCTTACAAGAAGCTTTGCTAAATGAGTTATCACATAGCACCAGTATTCTGAAAAATGTAACTTTAGAGAAAAACCTTCCAATTCAAGTCTTAGACTGGGATTGGTATTTTCAGCAGACATCTATTTTTATAAACGTAAAGCTTATCAAACTACCTTTCAACTTTCATTTTGATGAACAGTAAATATTATTTTATTATCTACATACAATGGTGACAAAATAGATAAATAATAAATATGAATTGTGGGTATTATTTTAGTAACAAAAAGTCATTTAAAATGAAAACCCTTAACCTATGTTCTTATTAATATAATATTTATGTGATTTAAAATTTTGTATATGGTATCATTTACTTAAGCATCTCTTAATTCCTCATTTCTGTAACTCTTTATACCTGACATATGTACTAAATTTGATGAACAGAAATTCATTCATTCAACAAATGCTTGAATGTCCACCAGATACTGGGTTCTTTGCTAGACTCTGGATGTACAGAGTAAAACAAAGAAGTCCCTTTCCTGTTAAACATATCATCATTCCTACTTATGTCCAGATTTTATGTTTGTTTGTTTGTTTTTTGAGACAGAGTTTCGCTCTTGTTGCCCCAGGCTGGAGTGCAATGGCACAATCTCGGCTCACTGCAACTCCACCTCCCAGGTTCAAAGCAATTCTCCTGCCTCAGCCTCCTGAGTAACTGGGATTACAGGCATGTGCCACCATGCCCAGCTAATTTTGTATTTTTAGTACATACAGGTTTATCTATGTTGGTCAGGCTGGTCTCAAACTCCCGACCTCAGGTGATCCGCCTGCCTCTGCCCCCCAAAGTGCCGGGATTACAGGTGTGAACCACCATGCCCGGCAGATTTTATGGTTTGAATGATTTTCTGTCAGCATTTGAATTGGATATAAAACAATCTTAACAGTGTTGTTTATTTACAAATTTCATTCTGTCCTCCCCCCAAAAAGATTTAGGTGTGTCATGATCAGTTCATCAAATAGGTATCTTTAACTCAGAAAATGACTTACAGGTTTAAAATATACATTCTCTATCAGTTTGAACGTATTGATGAACTCTCAAAGTTTTGAATATGGAAAAAATATATGAAGCTCAACAAGAAAGACAGCTTTATAAAAAGGCAAGTCTAGCAGAAAAGATAACCAAGTAGGAGGAGATTCCTCACGTAAGGAAAAAAACAAGTAAAATAATCAGCTTAAAAGCATGTGTGCAAGATATTTCATTGTTATTTTTATGTTTGTTTGTTGACATTTTATAGCCTAGTTAACAGATGCTCCAAATTTTGAGCCTGTAACCCTTCCAATCCCTTGCTGCCTTTGATGGTGATGCTCCATCCTATTATACCAACTCCACATTGAAGCAGAACTCTCAAGACAGAGGTAATTCCTTAGTAAGCAAAGTTATTTTTCACACTGGAAACATGTTTGTTTGACTGGTTGTAATTGTCATCCTAAACCATCATTACCCTTTATGTTACAACATTTTAGCATCTCACAGTTCTAAATCAACTACTTCTATTCTCACAGTTCTAAATCAAATACTTCTATTCCTTGCCATAAGGGGAATAACAGGTTGCTTTAGCGTCATTGTTTGTGCCCCCTCACACCCACCCAGCAAATCCGTATGTTGAAATCCTCACCTCCAATGTGATGGTGTTAGGAGGCGGAGCCATAAGTAGATGATCTGGTCGAGGATGGAGCCTTTGTGAATGGGGTTAGTGCCCTTATAAAAGAGCTTCATCTTCCTTTCTGCCATGTGAGGACATAGCAAGAAGACGGTTCGGGAAGCTGAACCAAACCTGCTCGAAACTTGATCTTGGACTTCCCAGCCTCCAGAACTGTGAGAAATAAATTTATGTTTGTTTAAGCCAGTTGGACTATGGTATTTTTTGTTATGGCAGCCTGAATGGACTAAGATACAGGACATATACTATGGAGACAGCTATTAAAATGACCAATTTAGAGCGATTGATCTTAGACCTGCACCTTATTTTAAGAATAGTGTTTACTTTTCATCTCCAATCACAATGGATTTGTTAACCAAGATCCTGCCTTATATGGGTTAATCAATACTTATTAAGGGATTACTATGCACAGGACAGTATACCAGGAACTGTGAGTCCCTTTGGTAAAATATCTCGTAACTAGTCAGGAAGACGAGACAAATACTTAAGCTTCCACAGGGGAAAGTGGTACGAATGATGTGGGATATAGTGTCACATCTCTTGCTAGTAGATTGAAAGCCCTGTGCTGGAAGAGACTGCTCTATCTTTACAGGTAGCTACAGTGCTAGCAACAGTGCCTGGCACACAGTAGGTCCTCCGTATTCAGAAAGCTTTGCTTAAAGATACAGAAGATGTTCAGGACCTCTACAGAGAGAGTTTGGTTCTCACTGGGGTGATGAGAGAAGGTTCCCTAGAGGAAAGTATTATTTAAGCTGTGGCTTAGTCCATTTAGTCTGCTCTAACAAAATACCTTAGACTGGGTAATTTATAAGTAACAGAAATAACAGTTCTGGCAGCTGGGAAGTCCAAGATGAAGGCACTGGAAGATTCGGTGTCTGGCAAGGGCTCACTCTTTGATTCGTAGCCGGAAACTTGTTGTTGTATCTCCATGGCAGAAGGGACAAGGCAGCTCCATTTAACTTCCTTTATAAGGGCACAAATCCCATGCATGAGAGCAGGGCCTCATGCATCACTGCCTAAAAGGCCCCACCTCTTAATACGATCACATTGGGCATTAGGTTCCAATGTATGAATTTTAGGAGGAAACCAACATCAGACCATAACAAGCTGGACCACAGAGGAACAGCAGAGAGGAGGAGGAGAGTTTTAGTAAGAAAGAGGAGGTCATGGCCTCTAAGAGTGAGCAGAAAACCAGTTACAGGCAGACTCTGGAGATAATGAAGATTCAATTCCAGACCATGGCAATAAACCAAGTATCACAAGAAAGCAAGTCACACAAACTTTTTGGTTTCCTAGCACATATAAAAGTTACGTTTATACTACATCATAGTCTATAAAGTATATAATAGCATTATGTCTAAAAAAGTACAGACCTTAATTTAACAATACTTTATTGCTAAAAAAAATACTAAGAATCATCTGAGCCGTCAGAGAGTTGTACTTTTTTTGGTGGTGAAGGGTCTTGTCTTGATGTCGCTGGCTGCTGACTGATCAGGGTGGTGATTACTGAAAATCGGGGTGGCCGTGGCAATTTCTTAAAATAAGATAACATGAAGTTTGCCACATTGATTTTTCCTTTCACAAAAGTTTTCATCACCCTATATTGAGGTTACACACGATGTCTGTGTCTTCTGCTCTACCCTAGCATCATGCAGGCAGGAATGTGTCTGTCTTGGTTCTCCACCAAAGGCCAGTACTTCTAATACTTAGATGCTATAATCAAGCACTTGCCAAAAAAAAAAAAACAAAAAAGTCTGATAACGAAGACATAGCCCTGACATGGTTCTGACAGTTTATGTCTTGGTTATGGTTATGACAAAACCTTTCCGAGGATTCAGGAAATCTGCAAAATGGCTTTGTTCTGTCTTTTATTTCTTAGCTGATGTCATGATGTCAGTGGAAAAGCAAATGATCATTTGGGAATATCCAGTGATCTCAATACCAGTCTATTACTTGCTGCCAGTGAAAATGGCCAAAAAATATTGTTCTAGCATCCTATAGGTATTAACTGAATGCTCACAACAACCTTCTGAGAGGTAGGTGGAACTATACATTTTACAGACAGGCTAACTGAAGCCCAGAGAGGTTAAATAATTTGCCCAAAGTGGCACAGCTGGGAAATGGCTAAGCTGGGATTTGAACACAAATAGTGGAGCTGCAAGGTGCACATCCACAACCTATGTTGCTATGTGGCCTCTCCTCAATCATGACACTAACACATGCACATTTCCTATGAAAGCTCAGTGAAAACCACTGCACTGATTCAAGTCCCTTTTTCCTTTTTCCCCTGTCTTCCCTACCTGGTGAAGTTGACCCTCTGTGATGCGCCTGGCTTCAAAACATGGGGACTTTCTGAAAGAAAACTAAGCCAAAACCTGGCCCAAGTCAAGAACAAAGGGATCTTTCTTTTGCTTTGTTTCCAACTCATTTCATCCACATCTAGATTGCTTTCCTCTCCAAAACAGGAAAAAGGAAGCTATCTCTGAAAATGGCTTATTTACCCTGACAACATGAGATAAATGCTCCTCAGCATCTTATTATTTATTAAGAAATATGGGTCATGATTACAACTCATAAATATTAGGAAAGCCCTTTCTGACCTACTTCTTGCTTATGGCATCATTGAGCTGATGAGTTAGATTAGTCCATAATCACTTTCACTTATCTATCAGCCATTCCACAGCCCTTTTCTCACCTATGAATTAATGTCCTATTTATCATCGTGATACAAACATCCAGGCTCAAGTTGGAACTTGTCGTGCAGTCACTTCTATTTCCCTGGAATATTTGTGCAGTGATTGCTCCCTACTTGAGAGCCCCGTAGGGAGCCTCTGCAGATGAGCTCCCTCCTATGGGATGTAGGGTGGTCTCCACTACGACCTGACCCCTCCGTGGTCAGTCACTTCCCCAAATGTAATCTATGTTGCCTGGTACCAGCTTCAGAGCCTGCCTCTAGTACCAGGTTATGTGATACCAGTGCCTGGGTGTCACCTAGAAAAATGTCGGCGTCTGCAGAACCCACGACTGAGGCTCATCCCAGGAAAAATCACCTTGTGCCCTTTTCCTCCCTCCCATCAGAAACATTTTTGTCGTTTGGCAATCAGGTTACAATAATCATTACAAGCAGTCATTAAGGAAAAAAACTCATAGGCGCGATGGTAGTTGATTGAGACGGGGCGTGTGTGTGTGTGTGTGTGTGTGTGTGTGTTAGGGAGCTGTTGGGGAAGGTGGAGATTTTATTTTTATAATGAAGAGGGTTTGGAATTGATTGTAAAGGCATGAACCACAAACACCCACCAGCTGTCTCCGAATATCCCACGAATGGGAAAGGAGAGCTTTGGACCCTTACGTGAGAAAGTCATTTTGCCTCTGTTTTTACAGGGCAGAAAGGTCATGCTGTAACTGGAGATATTACCCCAATGATACCAAGCAATACCAATAGATTCTCAGTCCCAGCTGCTTTTTAGCTGAGTGGGGTAGGGATGGTTTCTCACAGTCTCATACAGCGATGAGTTACAATAATAGGTGTGCCAGAGCTGCTATCTCTGTGGTTCTGTTTCACAGAGAAGTTCCACGCACTCTAAATTACCAAAGAGAACTTCTTCCTTCGTTGCAGTTTCAGCTCCAGCTGCTGCACTCTTTCTTGATTGTATCTGATGTCTGGCCCTGCTTTGGTCTCTGCCTTTTGTACGCTGTATCCAATGTGGGCCTCCTGAAAATCTGATCCCTGGATATCTGATTCAGGCCTTTTCTGTTGCTAGAGAAGTGTGCATGCTGGCTCTTGGCTTTCTTATGTGCTTGTGACCTGTTGGGCAAGGCACTAAATAAATATTCTCCAGTCAGCATTTCAAAGAGAAGATTAGGAACACGTTAAGCCTTTAGTTTAAATGGTTCAGTTAATCCAGGAGTAAAGCACACTGAGGTTTGAGGCCATGTGAAATAGCTGACGTCTTAAAATGAAATGTAAGCATGGAAAAGTGGCACACACTCCTTCCATGAAGGGAAGGAAATGTGAACGCACGCTGCCCATATGTGTCTAGCCATTTGATTTCCCTGGGGTTTAGCTGTACTATCTGTAAAAACGGGGCAATGGGCCTGTGGTCTGGATCTCATATTTTATGATTTGCTACTTAAAGACTTGGATATTTGGGCCAGAGCTTATTATCATAGCTGATCTGTGCCAGTTATATTGAATAATTACTATTTCCAATTTTATTTTAAAGTTTTAATTGACATTTATCTGCTTCTAATAATTGTAGTTCATAGTTTCTGGGAACCTACTTTCCAAACTGACGTTGTTCAAAGCATCCAATATTTCTAGATATAAACTGGTTATGAGAGTTTAACACCAAAACCAGACTGACTGTTTCTTTTCACAGGAATTAACTCAGATATTAGAGGTCATTTGCTTGCGGGTCTGTTTGCTTTAGTTCGGCATTGACGTCACATGCAGTAATTATGGTTACTGCGGTCTTAGCACTGTCCATCATTACCAAGACTCGGCCATGCAGTCAGTGCCCAGTGAATGCTCAGCTCTCAGGGCTGGATAATCTCACCAGGCACATTGGTAGGGCAATCACACACCCAGGACAGGGTAGGTGCCCAAAGGAGACGGCTGGGTGAAAATGGGTTGCAGGACAGGCTCTGCACCTGCTATCAGTGTTCATCACTTTCCGTACTCAGCAGGGATGTGCTGTTCTGGGAAGGGCTTTGGGGAAGAGAGAACTAAATAGGGACAGGTGAGAGAGTAAGACACAAAGTAATTTTCTGGGATTCTTCTATCAAGTATAATATCCTCCCAGACAAACTCACTGAATTTTCCCTTCAACTAACAGCCTCTGGCCTCTCAATTCTTCAAAGCCTTCTTGATGATAATGGACAAGTATTGGTGGTTTCCCCCAGCACCCACTTTCTAATCCTCCCACCTTCACTAAGCACCTGCCTCAATGAGTAGATTTCCCTTTGCCTGAACACTTCACAAAGAAACCATTGTCTTACCAGCATTGATGAGTATTCTGCCTAGGGTAGTATTGTTTAGTCACTGATAACATCCTGAATATTTTGAGTGCTTGCCATGCACTAGGCTTCTCTAATTTACTGCTCATGAAAACCCCGGGAAGCAGGCGCCATGACCTTCCCCATTTTACCCTTGAGAAAGCTGGGGCTAAAAGTGGCTAACGTAACTTGCTCAAGATCACACACTGGGGTGTGGTAGAGCTGGGGCCCAAAGCACGTTGTTTCGCTCCAGAGTGCATGCACTTGACCATGACCCAGCCGGTGAGCACCCTACCCAGCACTCACTCTGCATCAGCACAGAGTGAGATTCTGCAACGGCATCAGAAGAACAAGCTGTTCCTCCTGCCCTAGAGGGGGCCTAGGGAGGGGAAGGCAGAAATATGCGCTACAAGAGGACACAGTGCCAGGTCCATGATACAGACAGAACAAGAGTGCTGCAGGGGCCTGAGAAAAGAGTCGTCAATTTTGGGTGCGGAATTATTTTATCTTTCAATTCACCTGGCTAACATGAATTATTATACATTAAAACAATGATTCGGACTGAAAATTGGGGAAACAGTGCCTTTTACACCCACACAAAATGGATGTATGGCTTCAAATAAAATTTTAGAGCCCATTTCTCATTTGCATTCCCCAAATAATTGGATGCCTCTCTGTTCACTTTTGTTTTTTCTCTTACTGTCAATTTTCTTCAAGGGTGAATTTAGCTTCCTTTAGCAGTTTACTTCATTCCTTCCCAAGGTGTTAATGTTGATGTAAAATCTTTTGATTAACTCTGAGGAGGAAGAACAGTCCCTTAAGTTGATCTGCCCCTCCCACACCTGTTAAACTGCTCTAGCTTAATGAAACCAAAGAATCAGACAAACCCCACATCCACCCAGCCCTCTAGTTCACCCCCTGAACAGTTGTTTGATTGATGGATAATGTTTTGACTTGGCTGCTCAAGCCAATGACAATAATGACAGTGTTTGATCTTGTAGACAGAGCCTAAAACTTTGCTGATGTCCTTAGGTGTTGAAAGGAATAAAAATTTCAGATTAGTATAATGATCAAAATGCTACTGAGGATCATATCCAGGTAGAATTTGCTTTTTTCTGTGTAAATTCACTCAGAGTGAGGCAGCAGGAAACCCTAGGATGCGGTGGGTGAGGAGGCTGGAACGAACAAGACCTGAGTGGGTGGAAGGGTGGCTTCCCAACAGCCCCGCTGAGCCCCAGGCTGCAAGCCCCTGTGGGGGTGGAGGGTGGGAATGTCCCAGCAGGACGCCAGCAGACTTTGTCCTTTCTTGAAAACACAAACAGATTGAGAGGTCTGCACAAATTGCTACATGATACCCAACATCCTGTGGCTGAGTAAACGGAGACACTTGGCTACCTAAGTCCTTGCTTATGTTTAAAAATTTAGTATTCCAGGAAGCAGAGATTTTACACCAAGGATGTCCAGGTTTGGACATGATTTTTTTCCTCTTATGAAACAGAAACATGTCTGCACTCTTAAGATACAACAATATCATCCCAGGAATGCAATTATGAGTGTATTGCCAGAAAGAAATGAATATCTTGAAAAACAAATAGAGTCTTCTTTTTTCTTATCAACCAGATAAACCCGTTTTTAAAGAAAAGTTTGCTATGCAAGAAATTTA